>NC_000011.10:83824698-85209199 GCF_000001405.40 Homo sapiens
AAGCATTTCACACATCCGCTATTATACACAGTTTTGGAAGTACCACTGCGAGAAAAGCTGGTGTTTTACTGGTGCACTGAGTTAAGTTTCAGACTTTTGAAAGCTGCTTACAGTTAAATCCTTTGAGTAGTGATATTGTGAGTCAGGTGTTACAAGTCTGATGTTAAGTACATGGTTCCCAATGTACTATTTTCACTGCACCTTGCTAAGTTGTGACATATAGTATGTTTATGACACATTGAATAAGCAAGACTTAAGGAATATAACTGGAAAGGAGCAATGTTAATTTTGTTTCCCTACACAGTTTGCTGAGTGCCCACAGATTTTATTGTTTTTCTTTTTGTTGTTGTTGTTTTTGTTTTTTATATATACACATATATATACACACATATATATACACATATATATAGACATATATATACACATATATATATACACACACACACACACACACATATATATATATATATATATTTTTTTTTTTTTTTTTTTTTTTTTTTGAGATGGAATTTCACTCTTGTTGCCCAGGCTGGAATGCAATGGCATGATCTTGGCTCACCGCAACCTCCGCCTCCCAGGTTCAAGCGATTCTCCTGCCTCAGCATCCTGAGTAGCTGGGATTATAGGCATGCACCACCACGTCCGGCTAATTTTGTATTTTTAGTAGAGATGGGGTTTCTCCATGTTGGTCAGGCTGATCTCAAACTCCCCACCTCAGGTGAACTGCCCAACTCAGCCTCCCAGAGTGCTGAGATTACAGGTGTGAGCCACTGTGCCCGGCCTAATTACTGCTTTTCTTTAACATATATTATACAGCCGGATTCTATGTCAGACAATGGGGATGCTGTTTAAGTGACGCTTGGGGCAATTCATGAGTTCTCTGGTCCCTTTTAGATAATGGAGGGTTTTTCCTTGTCTACTCCAAGTTCCTTTTCGAGGAAATTCAGTGAACAAGATGGAGGTAGGAGGGAGCTCAGCACAGAGGGGACAGGGCTGCTGCTCCGTCCCCACTCAGTGATATGGCTCTTCCTTTTTGTACAACAGTGAAACACACTTGTGTGTGGTTTGTTAGTAAATAACTGCTGTCCTGAGCCCTCCTGAGTGACCCACAACTCTGGCTCCCTAGAAGTCCCCACTGCCCTGCTGTCTGGCATCTGTGGCACTACGGCCATTCATTGTGTGGATGGGTGCCAGGGTTATGCCAAGGTGTGAAAATTTTGAATAGCATCCCTGACCATAGGTAAAGAAAAATCCAGAGTGGCTGAAGCATCAGTGAGAGTAGGGGAAGTATTGTGGATGGGGCAGGCTGTCCAGGCAGGCAGGGGCCAGACTCTGCAAAATTCTGTGGGCTGTGTTAACAATTTTAGGCTTTAAGAACAGCAGGACACCATTGAAAGGCTTTAAAGAGAGCAGGAAAAGGATATGATTAGATAGGCTTTTTGTACAGTTTCCTCTTTCCAAAGGCTGGAAGTCTGTATGTGATGGGTGATGTTTATATGCACTAGGCAATCATCAGGAATAAAGAACTCTGCCCATAGTCAGGCCCTGCTGAATACCCACACTCTGGTGGCTGGGCCAGGAGGTACAGCCTGGCTAGTGGGGCTCTGAAGCCAAGGCTGAGCAAGAGTGACTCCCCTGGAGCCTCTTCACAAGCCATATCTGTTTTCATTTGAGGTGGTCTTGTGATCAGGTGAGCAGTGAGTTCTGAGCTGTGCAGGAAGAAAGATCCAGTAAGGTAGGGAGAAGTCTAAATGGGCTCTACAATTAAGAGAGGCAAAAGCCAGAAATGACTGAAGAGTCAATGTGTCTAGATGCAGTGGGTTAGAGAGAGAGAGCAAATGCCTGGAACAAGCATGCTGGTTTGGAGAGGCAACTTCCACATGGTTTCTGGACCAGAACTCTAAATTTAACTGGTCAGATTTAAGGCAATAAGCTTTTACCTCCTCAAAAACAGCATCAACTCCACTTAGTTGGATTTCACTTCAAAGTTTAAGAGTATGTCCTGGCTGATACAGTACCTTGAAATTTCTGAAACCTTACTGATACTTTTTCCTGAAGGGAGAGTAGTGGTTTTGCTGGAGTTTGGGTGACTCCAAGTTTTGAAGATGAGAGAAGAGAAGCTGAAGGTGTGGCTTAGGTGAAAGGTTTCATAAGATTTCTGATTTAAGCTGTTTCACTTTTGGGGACAAGGTGAAATAATAGCACTGAGATGTGGAGATGAGACTTGTCCCTAACACTGCATAGGCCCCAGATCCTCTTTAGTATTTCAGAGCGTGCTTGTTTCAGGAACACACAGAGGGAGAGAGAGTTTCTTAGGCAGAGAACATCAGTACTGAAAACTAGGAAAGCAAGGTTCCTTCATGGGACCGGGAACCAGAGCCAGAGAGGAACGGCACGGCAGGTATGGCATGGTGACTGGAAGGGATGAGGTCTGGCGGCTCATATGAGGACCACTTCAGGAAATCGAAGAAATAATTTTGGACATCTTTACTGGGGATGGCAGTGGAGAGGTGGAAGCAACAACACCAGCAGAGATTTAGAAATGTTATTTGAGGTAACAATATAAGGTGACCTTATCAGTACCCCAAGATGGAGAATAGTCTGTATAGTGCTCATATTCTGTTTAATTAACTTGAAAATAGAGTCCTGGCAAATCAAGTCCTTCCCCTCTGCACGTTTCTAAACATGAAGATAACCTGAAAATTTTTGAAATACCCATGTCAGCTGTGACTCATTTTTACTCTTTTTAAATCAACAATGCAATTTAAATTCTAATTTGGAAATCCAGTTACCTATTATACCTTCACTTCGACAGCTGCAGCATTTCACTTCTGGCAATACATATTCCCAATCACGTATCTTGAAACACACTTTGTTAAATACTTAAAGTCCATATCAAGAATGAGCTTTGGAGTTAGCAAGTCAGCTGGGGTGATCATTTTTGGATGCCTGAGGAATGAATAAACTAAAATTGCTTGGAGAGACAGGAAATAATCTCTTTCTAGGGGTATTGCTTCTCTGTGCTCTGTTTCACATTTTTTCCTAACAAATCACTGAAACAAATAATAAGAGAAGCATTTCTAGCTTTCCTTCTGCAGAAAGAATGCCTGAGGAGGCGACTGCACTAGTTAATGTGACTGCATGCTGAATGCCCTAAATTCTCCTCCATGAATACATCAAGAATATGGTTCAATTACTGAATTCCGTTCTGCAACAAATCCCTGAGAAATAGAATACATAAAAGAGAAACTAGAAAAGATCACTTATAATACATGTATAGGATGTAGCCCAAGGTGACAATTTCTTTGTCTTTGAGCATCTTAAATATTTAATTTTGGAATTCTGGTGGGGATAAGGGGTAGGCCTGGAAAAAAATCCCTATAATGGAGCTTCAGGACCCTCCATCTTCAGGTTGCTAAGTAATGTGTTTTGACAATGCATGAACACTAGATGGCACCCATAACCTTAAAACATAGTAAAACGTTACTTCCCTTTTCTGTATAGGCAAGAATGTAGGAATCAGTCAATTATGGGGATTATAAAAATTAGCTGGGCAGAGTGGCAGGCACCAGTAATCTCAGCTACTTGGGAGGCTGAAGCAGGAGAATCACTTGAACCCAGAAGGCAGAGGTTGCAGTGAGCCGAGATCACGCCACTGTGCTCCAGCCTGTGCAACACAGCCAGACTCCGTCACAAATAATAATAACAAATCTACTCGAGCATTTCCCACTACTGGTGTCCTGTAAGTTACTCCTTATGTAAGGGTTTGGTGGTCAAAATGTTTTTGAAAGCCATAGACTTCATCTGCTCTAGGAGATTTCCAATGGACACAGGTAAACATGTTTTTTAGAAGTTCTTCATTGAAGAAGCCTGTACAAATGAACCTATTACAGTAGCAACCTATTACAATCCTGCTGTTTCAGTGTTCTACGAAACACACTTTGGGAAATGCCAATCTAGTCCAATCCCTGTCCCAAAGAAGGAACAGCCCAAACTATCCAAAAGAGGCCCTCCTTATACATGGGTATCTGAACCTTTTTAAAAAACAACAGATACAGTCTTAAAGCAGAGTTGATAGTAATAGCAACACTTATTGAATATGTATACTATGACATGCTGTATTTTAAGTGTTACTGTCTCTTCTCTTTCTTCAGTGTGTGTGTATATATATATATGTGTATGTATATGTGTTTATATACATATACATACATATACAATACCTGGCACATAGTAAGCCATTAATAACTAAATTACCTAGGAATATTCTATAGTCTGTGTGTGAGAGTAGGAATGGACATTCTGCCCCTCATTAGAAAGGTTATTGTCTATTATGCAAGTCTCTTACCTATGAAGAACAATTGAGACCAAAGACATATCCTCCAGATCCCTTCCCTGGGGATTCTACTTCCTTTCTCTGAAACTACTACATTATTGTTAACATGACTTATTTGCAAATTAATCTTACATGACCTATTAATATGTATTGAATTTTATTTAGCTTTTTTTTTTTTTTTTTTTGACAGAGTCTCACTCTGTTGCCCAGGCTGGGGTGCAGTGGTGTGATCTTGGCTCACTGCAGCCTCTGCCTCCTGGGTTCAACCGATTCTCCTGACTCAGCCTCCCAAGTAGCTGGGACTACAGGTGCACACCACGATGCCTGGCTAATTTTTGTATTTTTAGTAAAGACAGGGTTTCACCATGTTGGCCTGGCTGGTCTCAAACTCCTGACCTCAGGTGATCTGCCCGCCTCAGCCTCCCAAAGTGCTGGGATTATAGGCATGAGCCACTGTGCCCAGCTAGCTCTTGATTGTTATTTAGAGTTTTTGCTTTGCATTTTCCAGGAAGGTTGCTTGCCCCTGTATGTCCAGTGCAAGTTATAGATGAAAATATTTTATCTTCCATATTCCATTATTAGTAATTCTTCTGTGCCATTTTGCTTTCCACATTGTAATGTTTGAGCTTCTCAAGACTGTTCTTTTCTCTCAATGTTAAGCAATTAAATTCCAATAGTGAACCTTGAAGCTAGCCATTTTCTTATTTATTTATTTATTTATTTTTATTATTATACTTTAAGTTCTAGGGTACATGTGCACAACATGCAGGTTTGTTACATATGTACACATGTGCCATGTTGGTGTGCTGCACCCTTTAACTCGTCATTTACATTAGGTATATCCCCTAATGCTATCCCTCCCCACTTGCCCCACCATACGACAGGCCCCGGTGTGTGATGTTCGCCATCCTGTGTCCAAGTGTTCTCATTGTTCAATTCCCACCTATGAGTGAGAACATGCGGTGTTTCGTTTTCTGTCCTTGCGATAGTTTGCTGAGAATGATGGTTTCCAGAAGCTAGCCATTTTCTAGCTAGCTACAGGTGAAATACATTTTGATATACTAAGGAAAAATGTTCCCTCTTCTTTCTCAACTGAAAAAAGCAGATAATATTTTCCTCATCATCTGTATTTGCAAATGTTATACATAAAAACGGATATGCTGTGTGAACTTCAAAGATTGTTGTTATATTCTGTGAATTATAATATCTAAGACGACTATAATTCTGATTGGTTGCCTTATTTACTGTGTGGTCCTGGTAATAATATTTAAATGGATAAATCTATTTTTGAAGCAGAAATACTTGCGAGTTTTCTTTGTCAAGCCATAGAGTATCACTAGATCACCTTTTTCCTCTCACATGTATGGAGGTTAAAATAAATAAAGCCTATGGCTTGGTGGATTTTTTATTTAAACAGAGTTAGAGAGTCTAATGCCATCTCTGTAGCTCAATTTCTTTATCCTTAATATGAACATAACAAGGCATAGTGTTGTTGGAAGACTAAATTATTTATGATAGTGACTGACTCAAAAGTACCATGTAAGTATTAGTTCTTTATTGCTTTATGTGTTCCCGAATGTGATGTGCACACAGTGCGGTGTGCACCAAGAAGATGTGCCATAGAGACTGTTGACAATATTTTGAAAAGAAAGTGTGCTGAGAGGAGAAAGAACACTGACTTGAGTTCAGCTTTATAGTCAGTAGCTGTGGAGACATAGACAGATCATTTAGCCTCTCCAAATCTCTTTTCTTCTGATCTGGAAAATGGGAGTAATAATAATAACCTATCCTGCCACTTAGAATGCCTTAGAGAATCTCTAGAATTAATGCATGTGACAGTGCTTTGTGTCTGGGAACATTTAATGACGATATGAATGCTGATTGTAATGAAATGACAAAGTGGTCCGCAAGTATACAGAATGTAAGCCAGGATGATGAAGATACGTTAGTATGCTTTAGGTAGAATTTTAGAATCAATCTTCAGGCTATAGTGACTTCTTAATGTACCACCATATTTATTCAACACTTTTTCATTCGATAAACACTTCTTTTTTGGGAGACTGCTATGTGCCAGGCATTGTGCTAAATATTGAGGATATAAAATCATATAAGATAGAGAATTTGCTTTCAGAGACCGTACCACCTAGTACAGAAAGACAGACATGTAAACGTATATGCACAATAAGGTTTGATAGCTGCCAGTTATATCTTACATATCATGAAAGTATTGAAGAAGTAGGTAAGGGAAGTAGTTTAAGGAATGATGCTCAGCTCTTGGATGGCAGAACAAGGTCCTGGTGTGGGACTATACGCTGTATCTCCCATACTCAACATCCTTCCAGAGAACTGCACCTGATGAGTAGGCAGAGGCCTTCATATGTGAGAGGACCACAGTGACACATACGACAAGGCTATTCATGCAAATTTCCGGACACCTTACTAAAGTCAACTGACTGTATGATGTTATTCAGGTAAACTGTGTGTGTGTGTGTGTGTATGTCAGAGAGAGAGAGAGAGAGAGAGAAAGAGAGAGAGATTTTCCCATTTTTTGAAGGGTTGGAATGGTGGCTAACAAATATAAGGTAAATTATAAGATTCTATTTATAAATCACAGCCATAAAATGAAAACAAATTTTTCTAAATGCACAATGAAAACCACAAACTAAGTGCTTTGTTTAGTTATGAACTATGAACCATAATATCAGCCATAAGTACTGGCTCCTTATGTAACCCTCCGTTATTATTTTCATGATTAGTAAAATTAAAATATAGGCAGGAACACTCACAATGGATTTACCCTATCATACTAAGGAGGAAGCTTGACATAGTAGAAGGAGACAGCCAATAAATATTTGAATAAGTTAAAGGAAACAGGAAAAGAAAGGAAGAGGAAAGGGAAATTAGAAGGAAGGGGGAAAGTGGCAATGAGATGGAAGAATGAAAAGAGGGAGGGAAGGGATATGGTAGGTGTAATGGGCATTAAAATGGAATACTTAAATCCCAGCTCTGACTCTCTATAGTTAGGTAAACTTTGACAAGCTGGAAGTTTATCTTCATTTGAACATGAGGCAGTACCTTTCAGAGTGATTGTGAGAAGAATAAATAATAGTTATGCAAGATAAGTCAGAGGTCCATTGAACAATGTGTGCCTATAGTCACCAATACTGCTTGCTTAAACATTTGCTAAGATGGTAGATCTTATGTTAATTGTTCTTATAACAAAAGGAAAATAATAATAAAAAAAGAAGAGAACAGGAGAAAACTTTTGGAGTGATGGTTGTGTTATGGCATAGATTGTGGTGATGGTTTCATGTGTGCATACATATCTCCAAATTCGTCATAAGTATGTACAACTTTTTCTACGTCAATCTCATCTCAGTAAAGTACCCTTGAAAATTACTTACAAAATAATGCCCTTTGCACCAATGCAGATGCCACTGGAGGCTATTATCCTAAGCAAATTAACACAGGAACAGAAAGCCAAATACCACATGTTCTTACTTATAAGTGGGAGCGAAATACTGGATACTCATGGACATAAAAATAGCAACAATAGGCACTGGGGACTCCTAGAGTGGGGAGGGAAGGAAAAGGGAAATGATTGAAAAACTACTGGGTACTACTCTCACTATCTGGGTAATGGGATCAATTGTATGCTCAACCTCAGCATCACGTGATATACCCATATAAGAAACATCGTGTGTACCGCCAAATCTAAAATAAAAGTTGAAATTATTAAAAAGGTAAAAAAAAAGGTGCTTAATACATTGTTGCTGATAATTCTTGAATTTAGTTGAATGGTGCCACTGCTACAACTTAGTACCATCAGCAAACTCTATATAGCATTATCTTATGCATTTTTTTGTTTTTACATTTGCACCAAACTATACACATTATAAAGGTACAGTGTTTAGAGTATGGTTATGAGTTTGGGAGAAAAGTCTGTTTTTTTAAATAAAATAAGTAATATATCATTTTTAAAAAGGCATGCTTCTCAACGTTCTGTTGGATGCAAATGTGTCTCAGAACATCTAGAAGAAAACATTAGCACCTTCGCCTTTATTTGAGGGAAGTAAGTGCCACAAGCATCAAGGACCTGAACACCATTTAAACTGTGACATGTAGACCATGCTTGATGGCTCATGCCTGTAATCCCAGCACTTTGGGAGGCTGAGGCGGGTGGATCACCTGAGGTCAGGAGTTTGAGACCAGTCTGGACAACATGGCGAAACCCTGTCTTTACTTAAAATACAAAAATTAGTCGGATGTGGCGGTGGGCAGCTATAATCTCAGCTACTCAGGAGGCTGAGGCAGGAGAATCACCTCAACCCGGGAGGCAGAGGTTGCAGTGAGCTGAGATCCTGCCACTGCACTCCAGCCTGGGCAACAGACAGAGCGAGATTCTGTCTCAAAGGAAACAAAAACAAAAACAAACAAAATTGTGACATGCACCAGAAGTCGTGATGCTCTCATCCACTTTCCTTTGTAATTAAGGTGCTTTTGGTATCATAATTGAAAGTTATGACTTTTTCATTGATGGCGTCAGATATGGAGGGAATAAAGATTAAAGAAACATACTCACCGATAGGATCTGGTCTCCTCTCTGGAGCTCCCCACTTAGGTCTGCTGGTCCACCAGCCAGAATGAAGGACACAAAAATACCTTCTCCATCTTCCCCACCGACAATGTTGAAGCCCAGGCCAGTGGAGCCTTTGTGCAGGACTACCTTGCGAGGCTCTCTGCAGAAAGAAATAGAGAACACAGCTCAGAGGGTGATCCATTTAAGATTTACGTTGCTTTTACTTTCAATGGGATATATGATATCAGCAACTCACTACTTGTAAAATTGTTTCTCAAACTAAGATAACATTTGCACATCAAGAAAGAGGCTAATATCAGGACAGATGTTTGAGTTCCCCACTGCAACAACTACCAAAATACCATGCAAAAAATCATTCCTTCATTCTAAAAAAATTTCTTAAACTACCTTTACTTCTACTTTTCTTTTGTTTAAAACATCTCTTTTTGTATCAAGCACCACAGTAGTACTCAGTATGACGGATGCACACAAAAGCAGGGAGGGATTTTTGGGAAGAAGAGACTAAGGTTGAATGCCCAGATCATGAAAGATCTTACAAGCCAGGTTGTGGGTTTGTTGTTTGCTTGACTGTTAATTAAAATTTACTGTGTAGGCCATGGGGCTCATTAGAAGATTCTGAGACATTAAGAATACTTAAATTCATTTTAGGAAAATTAACAGATGGTCCTATGGAGGGCTGACGGAGAGGAAAGCACAGATATGATCGGAGGTGGGAAAACCATTTAGGATGTTGTCTAGGAATCCAGCTGTGAGGAAGTCACAGCCTGAAGAAGGGTGACAGCAGTGAGAATTTTAAAAAGGGCAACATGAGAGAGGAAATTTGAAGGGAGAAGCAGTAGGTCCAGAGATGACTCAGACATTGGAAAAAGAGGAGAGAGAGCATCTAAGTAACTAGCAAAAGGAGAGATGAGTGGAATCCAGGGTCATGAGAATGAGTATGATTTTGACACACTCAGTTCCAGGAAATAGTGAGATATCCAGGTGGAGATGTTCTGAAGCAGCTGGAGACAAAGAATAGGAATATGGGCCTTCAGAGAGGACTATAAATACATATTTGAGGATCATCAATAAAAAGGTCAGAGATCAAATCTTGAGCCAATAGTTCACTGAGTTTGTGTACAGCTCAGAATAATATGGAATTATAGAATGTAAAAAGTCTTAAAATGCATTTAGTTCAATTTTCTGTATCAGTAGTTTTAAAAAGTGTTTTTGCAAGCCTTAGGTTTGACCAAGTTGTCATTTGCATCACCCACCCTCCTCTCCCAAACATCTCAGTTCATCTTCTATTTTCCAGCTCTTAATGATGTAAGAATGAGAAAGAGCCATCCCATGTATTTTATACTAATGGCTACACAAAGAATTTGTTACTTGCTATCACATTTCCATGCATAAAATGATGCATTATGTATATATGCCTTATTATGAGGAAAGGTGTAAAGTGCACCTCACAACTTGAACTGTAAGTAATAAATTATGTAACAATGCATTAAGTCAGAGGTAAAGTGACATAGAGTTAACTCATTTCATTCTACAAATACTTTGTAAACACCTACTGTGCCAGGAAGGTGTTTCAGGTGCTCAGAATGTTTGCAAACAAAACAAATATCCCTGTCCTTGTGGGCTTACAATCTAATGAAGGTAGACCACTAATAAACAATAGATGCAATAAATAAGTTCATTATATAGCACGTTAGAAGGCAAAAAGTATTTTGGAGAGAAAAAAAGGCAGAGCAGTGTAGGAGGGATAGGTTGTGGTGAGGAGGGCCTGGGTAGGATGGATTGAGAAGGTGACATTTTAGAAAAAATTGAAGAGGTGAGGAAACTAGTCATGTCGCTATAAAAAGGAAGAACATTCTGGCCAGAGGAAAGGAACAGCCAAACAGAGATCCTAATATGGAAGGGTGCCTGGTGTTGTCAAAGAAGAACTAGGAGGCCACTGTGGCTGAACTGAGTGAATGAGGAAAGGAGAATGGTAAACAATGAAGTCACTGTTTTAGTTTTCTATTGCTGAATAACAAGTTACCACAAATCTAGCAGGTTAAAACCACAGCCATTATTCTCTTTCAGTTCTGTAGGTCAGGAGTCTGGGTGGACTTGACTGTGTTGCCTACCTATGCTGAAGTCAAGGTGTCAGCCAGGCTCAGCTTTATTGCAAATTTCTGTGGAAAAATCTGCTTCCAAATGTATTTAGGTTCCTGGCAGAATTCAGTTTCTTGTGGTTGTAGGATTGTATTAGTCAGGGTTCTTCAGAGAAAGCCAACATGAGATTGCACACACACACACCCCTATGGTATATACACATACACACACACCCCTATAGTATATACACATACATCATAAGGAATTGGCTTATGTAGTTGTGGAGGCTGATAAGGCCCAGGATTTGTGGCTGGCAAATTGGAGACCGAGGAGAGCCAGTGATATATATTAAATAGTTGTAGGCTGAGGCTAAGCCTGAAGGCAGATGAAGACTGCTGATGTCCCAGCTTGAAGACAGTCAGGAAGAAGCAGCAAATTCACCCTCTCAATGCTTTTTTATTCTATTCAGGCCTTCAGTGGATTAGATGAGGATCACACCCCTTGGGGAAAACAATCTGCTTTACCCAGCCTATTGATTTGCATGTTCATCTCATCCAGAAACACCCTCACAGACATACTGAGGAAAATGTTTAACCAAATAGCTGGACACTCAATGACTCAGTCAAGCTGATACATGAAATTAACCATCATAAGGAATAAGGTACCCATTTCCTTGCTGGCCATCAACTGGGGCCTCTCTCAGCTCCTATAGGCCATCCACATTCCTCACCCCATGGCTCTCTCTATCTTCAAGCAACTAATGGCACATTGAATCCTCTTCACATTTGGAAGCTCTGACTTCCTCTTCTCCAACTAGCTGAATAACTCTTTGCTTCTTAGGGGTTTATGTGATTAGGCCAGGCCCACCCAGATAATTTTCCTATCTTAACTGATTAGTAACCTTAATTACTTGCAAAATCCCTTTTCTTATGTAAGAACTTAACTGTGGGAGTAACACCAGGAGGTAGATATCATGGGTCCCTCTTAGAACTCTGCCTACCACTATCAGAGAGACAACGGTGCATTAATCCTGCAGGGCCTTGTAGATCATTTTAAAAGCTTTGACTTTTACTCTGATAGAAATGGGGAGCCTGTGAGGAAATGAATTGACCTGACTTACATTTGTAAATGATTCCTTTGATGTAAAATAGAGTCCTCTTGCAGCTGGGTGGGCATGGCAGTTCAGCTCCCCCTTGATCACAGAACAGCAGGGAGGGAGACACAGAGCATTCACCTCATTCTACCTCATTGCCACTAGGTGGGAGTAGAAGTTCAGCTCCGCGCTTGGATCCACTAACACCAATCGGGGAGAGAAGATGGGGTGCTGACTAGCACTGCCTTGAACCACCTTATTCTCCTTACCTTTGCATGGGGGTAGGAGTTCAGCTCCTCACAGGGCCCTGCTGATACTATCCTGGCAGGCAGAGTGGTTTTCCAACTAGTACTGATTTCCTCTTTCTCCTACTTCATTGCCACTGTGCAGGGGTGGAAGTTAAGCTTCTTGCTGGTTCCCATCAATATTAGGAGTAGGGGAATGGAATGCCAACTAACGCCACCTCATTTCAGCCTGTTGCTGCTGGGTAAGGGTACGAGTTCAGCTCCCCACTAGAAAGTGGAGTATCGACTAGCATCACCTCGTACCCCCTTGTTCTGCCTATTTGCTGCCAGGTGGGGATGGAAATTCAGTTCTTGTTCTGTCTACCAACAACAGCCTAGTGGAAGAAGTGTAAGGCCATCTTAGAGTTGCCTCTCCTGGCTGCCGCTGGTAGAGCCAGAAACCTAGCTCTCGGCATAGCACTACTGACACTGCAGGGTTGAGGGGACAGTTTTTTCTTTGGTGTTTGGCTAGAGTAGGTCAGTATTATCAAAAGTTTTCCGGTTCTATTAGTCTACCTGTTTTTCCCAGTCATTTATCTAAAGGGAGCAGGTTTTACTTGGGGCTGTTTTTGTCTGTACTTATTGGCGGTTCCAGGCTGCAGGTTCTCCAGTGCTCTGTCCAAATACATAGCAAGCAAAAAAAAAAAAAAAAAAAAAAAAGAAAAGAAAGAAAAAGTCCTGGGAACTCACTACAGTATCCTTCCTTTCCTAGCCAGTTTGTTGCCTCCTTTCCAACTCTAAAGTCTTCCTACATTTGTGTTTTTCTACTCAAGGTTATTTGTTTTGTTTTGCTTTTTAAATAAGAGGGTGGATTAGAGAGAAATGGGGATACATTTTAAACGTAGAGGCCAACAGAATTTTCATGAAAAGGTTATTGTCGAAATCTCCCCCTTTCCCCAGAATAAACACACGTATAGACATTCTTAGTGGGTCCAACAACACTGAAGCTCTATATAGTACATATAGATGGAGGGAAGAGAGTGATTAGGACTCTGACATTTGTCCCTGTGCTAGATATTGTGCTTGATGCTTTATATGAATCATTTGATTTATTCCTCAAAAAAATGAAAGGTATACTGATTTTGCAACTACTTTAAAACAGGAACAGAAAGCAAAATAGATTGATGATTGGATAGATGGGTAGGTATGTGATAGAGAAAGTATAGGAAAATGTTAATAGTGGAATCTAGGTGACAAGTACACGGATGTTCATTGTAACATTTTTAAACTTTTCCTTATGTTTGAAAAATGTTTATAATGAAATTATGAGTAAAATAAATAACCTGATGAAGAAATCATTAGGGCAAATGTTTAGATTAGTGAAATGAGACTACTTGTCTAAGCTTTTAACTGAGTTTAGTAAGCAGCAAAGGCAGGATTAAGGACATAGATTTTCTGTCTCACAATCCAAAAGTCTAGAATACGGTATATACCAGAGATTGCAAACCAGCAAGTCAAAGGCTGAATTTGACTCATAATATTTACAAATGTTTGAATTAGCTGCCCAAGTTTAAAATTAGGAAAATTTGCATGAAATATGGATTTGTGGCTTCACATGAAAAAAGTCTGGCATTCCATCAACACTAGCTCCCAGTTTTGCTGTGAGGCAACACTTGGTTTAGAGAATGGGCTTCTTTAGAAGGGTCATTCATGCTCTAGTTTGCCATAGTCCTGACCTCTTTCTCCTGTTCCCAGACAAAAAAAAAAAAGCTGTCATTGTACCACATTTGCACTTCTTATAAAATTAAGAGGAAAGTATTTCTTGTACTCATACTCCTATCAAAAATGGGAAAATGAAAGCTTTATGGAGGGAATCATATTTTAATAAAAATGGGAGAGAGTAAGATTCCTATGGAAGTAAAGATTATTCTTACATGTTTAATATGCAATGTGACTTTATGCAGGAAGAATACAGCTTTCAAAGGTCATTATGAAACATCATTGCCCATTACCCATTTATGTTACCCATCTGGGGGCATTTTGTTAGTGACCTTTGCACTTTGACATACTGCTTCCTGTCTTTAAAAACAGAAAACATATAATGTTTGCATGACAGTAGATTTTATTTATTTTACCTGGACCCCATTGATTTCAAACTATCAAAACAAATCTTTTAAAATATATTATTTGGAATTTTTGAAACTCAGAAGATTTAAATGCCTTTTTTAAAAACAGAATTTTATATTATAGTTAATTATGATACTTACTTTAATAGTGAAGATAAATGACAAAAAATAAATTTGTAAAATGGAATGCAAATAAAATGTCCTAAGCACACTTCAAATGATTTATTTTTTCTAATTTAAATTTCTTATCCTAATAACCTATTACAGCAATCTGTAGATTTTAAAGCATTTCACATATATTTTCCTGTTAGAGGATCAAAGCCCTTTAAAGTATTACAAGTCCTATTTTACCGATGCTTAGGTAAATCGGCTTGTCTACATTCACATAGCCAGAAGCATCAGAGCTAGTCTCTTTGCTGTAAGTTAAGTGTTTCATCCATTTGATGGAGAGGGAACTTAAACAATGAAAATTTTTAAAAACTAAGCTAAAATTCAAGTATATTTAAAGTATAGTAGTATACATTGAAGTATATATAAGCCAGAGGAGGATTCTTAATTTAAAAAAGGGATTACGATATATTACAGAATATAGTTTCCAAAACCATTGACACTCAAAGATTCACTTTAACTGCCCTTAGCTCTTATCATTTGAACCACATGGTTCAATACCGCATTCCATGCTGCCTTGCACTCTTCTCTCTCTGAATGTCATGGTATCTACTCCAACCCCTTCATCCCCTCTAATTCAGGTTTTGACTTTTAGGATAAACTCCCAACTTGAAGTCTCCTTGATCCTAGTTTCAATCTTCCAAATACATTCTCCTCCCTAAAATACAAATCAGATCACCTTACTACCCTGCTTAAACGTCTCCAGGCACCCTATGTTCCAGCCACATCAAAGTCCCTGTGCTTCCCTGAGTTTGACATGTTGCTTCATACCTCTACGTTTTGGCTCAGGCCACCTTAAAACTCAGTTCAACCATCACTTCTCTGAATCCCCAGGTACATATGATAACTTGTTCCTTGGGTCCACACTGTGTCTTCCACACATGCATCTATTGCAGCATGTTTTACAGTGTGTCATAATTGCTCATACCTTCTTCTCAAGAAAATGTGAACTCCTAGAACCCAGGCACCAGCATTTCCCCAGTAATAGTAAGATGCCTGGCAGGTAGCAGAAACTCAGGAAATAGGTATTAAATGAATGGATAAACTCCCACAGTGATTAAGGTCTCCATTTCATATTATAATTAATTACACGAATGTCTTTCCCTCTTCCTAGATTTTAACCAGGTATGTCAAAATCTAAATTCCAGAGATATAGATCACAAAACACAAATGGGCAAAGCAGGATGAGAAGGAAATATAGCAAACTGGAAGACACATTTCATCTAAAAGGGGGCTGCTGCTGCTCAACTCTGGACAATCGCTCCAAGCAGGAATGTCAAGCAATCTTGACAGATTCTCTAATTTTTAAAGATAAGCCAAGAATCTAGATATTTATATAAATTTCCCAGAATTCAAATATGACAATGGTTAAAAAAGGTAAAAGCATGGTGCAGGTCAAACTAAAGATGTCTGTTATGCATCCAGCTATGAACTGCCAGTGTGAGACTCTGCCTTGTTAGAAGTTTGATGGTGCATTTGACATCTGCTTCATGTTTTTCGCTTCCATGGTGCTCAGAATGGTACTTGACTGATGGTCATTTAATATTCCACATTTAGCCCATCCTTTTCTTCACTTTTCAGTTTCTCCCATTCTGTAATACCCTTTTATCTTACTGTTTCCCGTTTGTCTTTTTTTTCCTTTTATATTACAGCTGCTCAAGACCCATGATCTTCATGATAAACCATTCTCAAACATTTTGAGCCTAGCTGCTTTTGCATGCATACTGCTGAGGCTAATGACTCTGGGTCTGATTAATATAATAGCCCACATTTCTAAGAACTGTTTTGTGTGTGAGGGCATTGTGGCCCCCAGTGAGATCATAATATCCTGGAGGTGAGGTATCATGGTTTACTTTCTAGGTATACCTAATACTCATAGAACAGTGTTCAGTCAACATCTGATGATTGAATAAATAAACACAATTTATAAATAACTCAAATACTTTTTATACTAGAATGATTTGGGGACTCTGATTTCCTATTTTATTCATCATCCAGAATTCATATTGCTGAAGGCTCTGTTACTAATCATTATTATACATCATTATACATTGACAGTGGAACAAAATTCTATCTCTCATTTCTCATTCTGAAATTAGCTCAGGGATTGTAATCTTCTAGAAATTTTCCCTGATACTCTCCTTAGTCTCTCTACTCTAGGCTGGGTTGGGTGCTTCACCTAGCAATCTTTTCATGTATCTATCATAATGCTTATTCCACTGGATTGGTTTATTTGACTCCCTTTCTAGCTAGAGTGAGCAACTTCAGGGCAGAGACCCATACAAAACGACATACGTTGGCATTTGCTTTTTGTCTCCAATACCTGGTACATAAGAGGTGCTCACTGTCAGCTAATTTCATATTATGTTTTAAGTATGGAATGTATAGAAGACATAATTTGGTCACTCACAATATCAGCAGTTTTAAAAACAAAGTTAGATAGCTACTTAAAAATATGTATCTTACCCATCCATCCAACTTCCAATAGACAAGCATCTATGGAGTACCTATGTTGTGTTAGGCACTGTGAATACAAAGATTAAAGAGCCTGGGGTAGGAGGAGCCACATGTAAACAAACGCTTATAGAAGCCTAGGAAGTGGACAAGTGCTATGACAGAAACTTGTGAGCAATAAGCTAAAGTAGCCAAGAGTAAGGAGCGGCCAGCCTTCTTCTTAAAAGGTATTATTCTTTTACCATCATCACTTAGATGAAATGTGCTATATTCATTTATGCAGTTTTTATTTTTCTCTTAATATTATGTAAAAAGTCTTTAAAATTATAAAACCTTTGGATGCTGAGCGAATGGAGAAATGCCAGCCTGACCTGCTGCAAGCTGTGACAGATCATCAGCAGCATAATCTTACTCAGCTGGAGTCTCAGAGGATCCTCTAAACTAGTCAGGATGTTTTGAGGAGAAAGGAGGTGCTGTAGGCTTTCTCTCTTTACGGCAGATGGTTTAAGAGTGTTCATGACTCAAAAAGGAAAATTACCGCCAGGCTTGGTGGCTCACGCCTGTAATCCCAGCACTCTGGGAGGCCAAGGCGGGCGGATCATGAGGTCAAGAGATTGAGACCATTCTGGCCAACATGGTGAAACCCCATCTCTACTAAAAATACAAAAATTAGCTGGGTGTGGTAGCGTGCACCTGTAGTCCCAGCTGCTCAGGAGGCTGAGGCAGGAGAATCGCTTGAACCTGTCTCAAAAAAAAAAAAAAAAAAAAAAAGGCCGGGCACGGTGGCTCATGCTTGTAGTCCCAGCACTTTGGGAGGCCGAGGCGGGTGGATCACGAGGTCAGGATATCGAGACCACGGTGAAAACCCGTCTCTACTAAAAATACAAAAAATTAGCCGGGCATGGTGGCGGGTGCCTGTAGCCCCAGGTACTCGGGAGGCTGAGGCAGGAGAATGGCGTGAACCTGGGAGGCAGAGCTTGCAGTGAGCTGAGATCACGCCACTGCACTCCAGCCTGGGCGACAGAGCAAGACTCTGTCTCCAAAAAAAAAAAAAAAAAGAAGGAAAATTACTACTTACACTGAAGTCTTTCTCATGGCCATTCGTGGGCTATTCCTTGAACTCTGAGCGTCTGGGGGCTTGGGAAGTTACTCCAGTCAAATCCTACAACCTCCATGGTGAGAGGCTGTATTGGGTAGTGGGAATTAAGATATAAATATGTTTTCATTGATCTTTCTAAAGAACATATCTTACCATGTTTCTCTCTTGCTCAAAAGCCTTCTAAGGATCTGTGTACCTTTTAGGATAAGGTCTAAACTTCTACATAGGCATTCAAAGCTTCCTATTATTTGACCTCACCTACCTCTCCACCACTTAACTTCATTGTGCCCCTTTGTATTTCATATTTCAGCCTTACAAAGTTGCCAACCACAGCTTCTCATCCCAGGTTGTTCCTCCTTGTCTTTGCCCAGGCTGTTTGCTGTTTGCTTTGGCTAGAAGGATGCCTGCCTTTTCCTGCTATTCTCATCTATCTAACGAGGTCCTACTTGGCCTTTAAGACTGAGGCCAGGTACAATCTCCTCTCTGCTGTCCCCTCTACCCTCACCTCCAGAAGAACTGACTTTTTTGAAACCACATTGTCCTTTCATTGATCACACCACTATCACTGCCTTTACTGTTCTGAAATAAATTTATTTACCCATCCATCTATGCTGTCAATCTGTATGGTCCTGAAAGACAAAGATAAAGGACTTTTAGGTCCTTGTTTTGTGTAATTTTGGAAGCGGGTACAGGCTGAGCATATAAGAGACATACAAACAAAAATATTGTTTCATGAACGGAAAAAAAAGTGAGTGGTTGGGAAAAATGATACTGAGTTCTAGTTCTGGCTCTCTTGGGATATGTGGGAAGCCAGGATTGTCCTCTACAGGTCGGGTTCCTTGCTTGGGTAATGGAGGGAATAATGTTTGTCTCATGGGGAAGTGTTGAAATTCCGATAAGACAATGAACTAAAGGCATCTAGAAAACTGAGAAGTTTTAAAGAAAATTAAATATTGAGATGCTATTTCCAGTAATTTGGCATATTAGATATTCTGAAAACCCCTTTCATTACAAAGCAGCTAAAAATTCTGAATAAAATAGTTATAAAATACTTTTAAATGCTTGGCTAAGCTTGCAAGTAAGAGAAATCTTCAGAGGATGAAAATGAAGCAGAAATGCAAACTCAGAAGAAAGCAAGTACTGAGAATAGCAGCAGACTGAAGAGTGATGAGCTAGTGTGTTAGTGTCTAGATTTGATGGCTGCATGAATAGGACTGTGTGAGCCCAGTGGTGGGATTAGATCAGAGACACCTGAGCAAAATTAGGACCCTGTGAGGCTACACCCCAAACAAAAGGATAAAGTACAAAAATATTAGCACTTCAACAATATCCAGGATACATATCTATCCTGATTTTGGCTCATAGGGTAAAAAAAAGGGCCTGGGGGCCAGGCGCGGTGGCTCACGCCTGTAGTAATCTCAGTACTTTGGGAGGCCGAGGCGGGTGGATCACTAGAGGCCAGAAGTTCCAGACCAGCCTGGCTAACATGGTGAAACTCCATCTCTATTGAAAAAAAAAAAAAAATTAGCTGGGCATGGTGGTGCATGTCTGTAATCCCAGCTACTTGGGTGGCTGAGGCACGAGAATTGCTTGAACCTGGGAGGCGGAAGTTGCAGTAAGCCAAGATCGCATCACTGCACTTTAGCTTAGGCAACAGAGTGAGAGTCTGTATCAAAAAAAAAAAAAAAAAAAAAAAGGGCCTGGGGAACTAATCAAGGCATGTTTGAATGTCAAATAAGTTACACTTGCAAACAGAATTGATAAAACTGAATAAATTGGGAGAATAAAGGAGGGAGAGTCCACCTGAGTCGTAGAAGAAAGATCTTCGCAATAGATCTCCAGAGCTGTGAGGTCGAGGTGATCTCCAGCTCCAGCTGCAGGTGGCTAACATAAATGTGCTGTCCTGGTGGTAGGGGTAACGTATGAGATGGGCTCATCTGGCCATCCTAGCTCAATGACAGTAGTCATTAGGGTCACTTGGGTGGCTAATTTCCCTCTCAGAGTCCAGGCTCACCAAGCCTCCAGCTCATTAAAAATATAATTTATCCTAGTGTTTTTCCTATTGAGAGCAATGTGCTAGTTATAGCACATTCTGGTATCTTGAGTAGTTACATTTTGCATCATATATTAAAAACATGGTATTACAGCATATAAGCTTGATTACTCCTGGATACACTGACAAAAACTGAGTTCCAGAGACTGTAGATGGAAGGCCCAGATCTAGTATAACGACAACCCAAAAAGGGTCTATTACCCGTGGAAGTCATATGGGAAGTCTACAGCTAGTCTTCCTGAATCCTTTTTCCTTCATTTCTCTATTAAATGCAACTACGTTCACGTGAACAATGTTATTAAAAAGAGGAGATACTTGTAGGAGATCAAAAAGATCTTTTTAGTAGAATGAGAAGACATGTATTAGGAAACTTGTGAAGAGAGGGGCATACCAAAGGTGGTCACATGGAAGACAACAACAGAAGGCTTCAAAGCTGCTGGTTGATTACAACCTTCTTATATCTAAATGAGCTAGCTCCTCAGAAGGATGCAGTATAATGTGTGCCTCATATTTAAATAGTTAATTTGGTCAGTTAGCCAAATAATCAGTCAAACAGATTATTGGGCATCATACAGATACACAAAGATAGAGGGTTTTGTTGAACTGCTATTTGAGGACATGTTATTAAAATAATAGAAAGAAATCTGTCATCATAAGGGGGGATCTATGCATTAAATATACAATATAGAGCAGGCTGACTTCAGCAAAATAATAACCACACTGATACAGAGTTTATACTAAACATACTGTGGTTGGTACTGTGTGGGATAAAACAACCCTACTAGAGGGGGATGGTATGGGATACTGTGATATTGGGAAAGAGTATGGGCATTGGAGCTACATAGATCTAGGCTTGAATCATAATCCTACCAATAAATACTTGAGTAACCTTGGTGTAGTTTCTTGAGGTCTTGCTTTTTTGGCTATAAATTGTGAACAGTAATATCTATTTTCTGGCATTGTGAAGATGAATTGAAATAACATAAAAATACTAGAATCACACAGCAAGTGCTTGGTAAATGCTAACTCATTTCCTTTCCCTCTAGAAAGTTATGACCTTTGAAAGGCAAATAGTCACACATAAAGTAATAAATCAACATTGCAAAGCCACATATGTTAAGTACCAAATGAGTATTGTGGATGAAAGATCTCTGTGTTAAAGAACAAATATTAAGTCATATAGAATGTACAATCTGAACTAGATCTTGACAGATGGGTAGAAATTAGGAAAGTGGAAAGGAAAGTAGAGGGTATTTCCGTACATGGCATGAGCCTAGGGCCAGAGCGGAGATATGCAAGATGTATTTGGAGAATAGTGAGTATCCCAGTTTGAATAATGTGCAGGATTGGCTTCAAGGAAAACTAGAAGACTGAGGCAGACTGGGAAGGAACATGGATGCCAACCTAAGGAATTCACACTTTATACTTGGATAATGTGAAGACATTGAATGTTTGTGTACTCAGGGGAGACTTTGTGAATGCAATAACTTCTATTTGTAAGCCTTAAGTGTTTATGTTACATTGTTCTGTTTCTACAGCCCCCCAAGTTTGCCTGCAATGAGGTTAATTAATAATTCTAAAGGTCTCTAAAGACACTTCTGCTGCAAAGTGAGGGGCTTTGATTGAGGCTGTAACATAAGGTCTTGGATTTAACTGCTAAGATCTGTCTGAGTTCTTTGTAAAACTCTTTTCCTTCTCTTCTCTGGAGTAAATCTTAGAATTAGGCACACATCTGAGACTACATATAACAACCTTGGTAAATGGAATCAATCAGACAAATTAAAAAATTTTCTTCTCGCAACATAAATCAACTATAGATCAATTAGTTTGATTTAAAAATATTTGGAGTACTTTCTTATCCACATATCAAACATGATAATCTAATAACCAAGTTCCACCTCAATTTGTTTTTGTCTAAATTTCTCAAGAAAATAAACAAAGAACCAATTTTATGTTGCTCCACATACGTTCTCACTTTTCATAACCATACCTTCTAATCATTATCTCCCAAGCCAAAAAAAAAAAAAAAAAAAGGATTACCCCTCTTTTTCTTTTATTTCATAATGTTTTGGTTGCCAACTTATTTTTTAAGTTATATATACTATCCATAATAACAACAATTTGCTTTTGCTCCCTGTTGCATTTTGAAGTTTTAAAGATAAGTTAATTATAAAAGGAATGTTTTTTGATAATTATAACAGGAATAATTTTAGCAATCTTGTTAAACTAAATAAAAGTAAAAAAGTAAATATCTATTGTACAGAGTTATTTTTCATAGTTGTGTCATTTGTTCTCAAGCTCTCATGACTGGTGAAATAATGTCTGAAACTATTATGAAGCTGGGGCATTAGCAAAACTAATATTCAAAAATAGGATTAGAGAAAAAAACTCTGCATATTCTTCTTGAAGGCAAAGTACACTTTATGAAAGATTTTTTAAAATGTCTTTCGAGTTGAAGCATTATGGTATTATGAAACTCCAATTAATTATCAAATGTTCAAACCCTCTACAATTAGTGTGATATGGGGAAAATGGCTTGAATTAAAGTGAAATAATTGGGTTCAAGTATTTCATGTTTTATCTTAACTCTGATTTGGATATATCCATATTATTGTAGAAAAAACTTTAGGCTGAGGCCTGTTTTCTAGTCCTGACTCCAATATTAATGCCTGAGTGTCCTTGAAAACAGCCTCTGAACAAGTTTCCATATTGTATAACTAGGGGAGGGGTGAAAAAGGCAAACCAGAATCGCCACGATCCCTTCCAGTTCTAGCATTTCACATGCTTGCTTAATGAAAATCAGAAGTGGGGCGTTCCCATTTCTAAAACCACAATTCCACTTGATGATTTAATAAATATTTAGTACTCACCTTCAAGAAAGTGGAGAGAACAGAAATGGCTCTATTGTTAGGTCCTCTCCAACTTGGCCTCTCTTCAGCTTTTGACATTATAAACGTTCCTCTCTGTATTTCCGTAATTGAAATTTTGGGAAATGTTCTATGTATCTGTTTGCCCAATATCGTAGCTACCAGTCATATGTGTTAGTAAGCACTTGAAGTGTGGTTGGTGTGATGGAGAAACTTAATTCTCCTCTTTTTCCTTTCCTCTAGCTCTTTCTTGGAGGGGTCCTTTGTCTCTCTAGGTCTCAGTTTAAATTGTGCTCTGTGACCACTCCATCTAAACTAGTCCCCCACACCTTTTTTTTTTTTTTTTTTAATCACGGCATCTTGTAAGGACACTTATCTTACAGTAAATTAATTGTGTTTGTTTGTTTGCTTGTTGCCCATCTCTCACTAGAATGCAATCTCTATGAGAACTACAACCCCCTTGGGCCTCTAGCATCTAGTCTAGTGCCTGGTACAGATTAGGTACAGATTAGTGCCTGGTACAGATATTTTTTGAATAAATTAATAAATAGGTGGTCTTATCCTTTGCTATATTGATAATCCACTAATTCATATCTCTAGCTCAGATCAGTCTTCTCTACTCCAAATTTCTATTCAGTTGCTCCAGAATGAAATCATTATTTTCTCCCAGAATTTTTTTTCTCCCTTTTGTTCCTTATCTGGGTTAATTGTGTCTGCCCAATTTTCAAATCAGAAACTTCTGCATTTTCTTCTCTACTGCTCATCTAGTACTTCCAATCATCCAACAAATGCAGTCATCTTTAATTCAGAAATGCCTCTCACGTCATCTTAGTATTGTTGCCTTAGTTCAGGCCCATGACATCTCTGCCAGGGATCCCTAACTAGGATTCTCCTAACAATATGAAGTAACTATTAATTTGGGCTCCATGGACTTCTTCAATCTCAACTTCCAATACATTCCTTCTGGCACTATACCTATCAATTATGCATAAATTCCTGTGTGGCCCTCATGGTCAGACTCTCCTGTGCCATTTGTGTGTTCTTCCTCTGTTTGGAATGCCCATCTCCAGATGAACCAGTTTATCCTTCAACAATTCCACAGGCACATTTAGCCATCTCCTGGGCAGTGTTCCCAGAGCATTTTATTTGGGGGCATTATAGCACTATCACTTAAAAATAGATACAGATATACGTATCTGTCCTCTACCAACTGGGAATTCTTTATGCACAAAAAATATATCTATTCAATTTTTTGAAGAATGACTTATTCCTCTGCAGTAGTTAATTACCCAGCTTTGGTTTCAGACACACATCTAAGTTTAAAACTGAGATTTGCCATTTATTAGCTACAAGACTTTGGTCAATTTACTTCATCTTGTTGAACCTCAGTTTTTATATCCCAAAATGGGTATAATGGTAGTACTTACATTGTGGTTTTTGTGAGGATTAAATGGGATAATAAATGCAAATTCCTGGACCATATTAATAAATAAGGGAGATAAATAAATATAAATAAATAATATATATAATAAATTAATAAATAATAAACAAATAAAAAATTGCAAGCTCTTAATAGCCATTCAAATGTTTATCGAGCATAAACATTTGTCAAGTATTGTGTTATAGATGAAGATTATTATGACCGACTTGGTCCTCATAGAATTTCTAATCTAGAGGAAGAAATAAGACATAAATATAGAGACATAGATATTTGAAACGAAATGTAGAATAATAAAAGAGATACATAAAAATTGTTATGAGGGCCTGGGATAGAAAGAAATAATTTCTAGATGGGGGTCTATGGAAGGTTTGCTGAAGGAGATCACACTTTAATTACACAGGAAAACATGGCCAGAATTATTTGCTTTGTGAATTACTTCTCTCAGCATAGCATGTGCTTTGCAAGGGCAGATGCAGGTTTTATGTGGTCTGGAAGTTTTACAATCTGGAGCTCCTTTTTTTTTTTTTTTTAAAAAAAAAGCATAAAATATTACATTTATAACGCGAATTTCTTATTTACCCAGAATGCTAGTGCCTGACATCTAAAATGTGCTTACTGTAAATGAACTCCCTTTCCCCCGGCCTTCGTGTCTCCAGTACCCAGCAAAATGTCTAGCAAACAAGGTACAAGAGCTTGAAGAGGTCCATGTAATTGAAGGGCCTAGGGTTTCAAGGTAAATACACTTCTGGTGCTGTGCTTGGCGCTGGAAATATAACTATAAATACAATTTAGGTCCTGACTTAATGGGCTCTCATCCTAGGGGGACAGGGAGGTAAGTAAAAATAACTAATTATAATAACATTCATTCATCCGTAACATTTGGGGTAAGTGTGTGTGTGTGTGTGTGTGTGTGTGTGTGTGTGTGTTTTTTTACTTGAGACGGAGTCTCACTCTGTCTCCCAGGCTGGAGTGCAGTGGCGTGATCCCGGCTCACTGCAACCTCCGCTTCCCGGGTTCAAGAGATTCTCCTGCCTCAGCCTCCCAAGTAGCTGGGATTACAGGCATGTGCCACCACTCCCGGCTAATTTTTTGTATTTTTAGTAGAGATGGGGTTTCACCGTGTTAGCCAGGATGGTCTTGATTTCTTGACCTTGTGATCCACCCCTCTCTGCCTCCCAAAGTGCTGGGATTACAGTCATGAGCCACCGCGGCAGCCCGGGGTAAGTTTTCTAATAGATAGGAGAGCACTGATTTGATATAGAGAGATGGGGAGTGGGATAATAATTAATGAATAAGGAAAAGCATAAATTAAGGAAGTCAGGGAATATGTGGTGTTTGAAGGAAAGCAAATATTTTCACTGGACTACAATGTACCATTCTAGCAGGGGTGTGGTGGAGACATGAAGGCAGAGGCCAGATCAGGAAGAGGTTCTTAGACAGGGCAAACAGAGATTCAATTCTTAATACTCAGAAGAACAGAGCAGAATATTTGCATATACTTTCTTCATTCATTTAACCAAGGTTTGGCCAGCAGCTACTGGGCTCGACCCTGGCTGAGCCTTGCACATACAAAGCTATACAAGAGCTCTCTGTCCCTGAAAAGTTTACACTCTGCATTATGTGTTGAATTTTGTGTCTCCAACCCTAAAGAAATTTTGAGGCCGGGCGCGGTGGCTCACACCTGTAATCCCACTACTTTGGGAGGCCGAGGCGGGCAGATCACGAGGTCAGGAGATCGAGATCATCCTGGCTAACACGGTGAAACCCCGTCTCTACTGAAAAATACAAAAAATTAGCCTGGCGTGGTGGCGGGCGCCTGTAGTCCCAGCTACTTGGGAGGCTGAGGCAGGAGAATGGTGTGAACCTGGGAGGTGGAGCTTGCAGTGAGCTGAGACCGCGGCACTGTACTCCAGCCTGGGTGACAGAGTGAGACTCCGTCTCAAAAAAAAAAAAAAAGAATTTTTGAAGTCCTAACTGTCCCAATACCCCAGAATGTGACATGTTAGGAAAGGATTGTGGCAGATGTTAGATGTTAAGAAGAGGTCACAGTGGAGTAGAATGAGTCCCTTATCCAATCTGACGGGTCTCCTTATAAGGAGACAGCCAGGGCTGGGCGGGGTGGCTCATGCCTATAATCCCAGCACTTTGGGAGTCCAAGGCAGGTGAATCACCTGAGGTCGGGAGTTCGAGACTAGCTTGGCCAACATGGTGAAACCTCTTCTCTACTAAAAATACAAAAAAATTAGCTGGGTGTGGTGGCAGGCACCTGTAATCCCAGCTACTCGGGAGGCTGAGGCAGGAGAATTGCTTGAACTCGGGAGGCAGAGGTTGCAGTGAGCGGAGATGGAGCCATTGCACTCCAGCCTGAGCAATAAGAGTGAAACTCGGTCTCAAAAAAAAAAAAGGCGGGGCGTGGTGGCTCTTGCCTGTAATCCCAGCACTTTGGGAGGTCAAGGTGGGTGGATCACGAGGTCGGGAGTTCAAGACCAGCCTGGCCAAATTGGTAAAACCCTATCTCTGCTAAAAAAACAAAAATTAGCCGGGCATGGTGGCGGGCACCTGTAATCCCAGCTACTCAGGAGGCTGAGGCAGAGAATTGCTTGAACCCAGGAGGCGGAGATTGCAGTCAGCCAAGATCGTGCCACTGAACTCCAGCCTGGGTGACAGAGCGAGACTCCGTCTCTTAAAAAAAAAAAAAAAAAAGACAGCCATGTGAAGACAGAGATACACCAGGAGAATGCCATAAGAAGATGGAGGCCAGTGTTGGAGTGGTGCAGCTGCAAACCAAGGAACACTCGAGGTTGCTGGTAAAACTCCAGAAGCTAGGAAGAGGCAAGGAGAGTCCCCTACAGGTTTCAGAGGGACCAGGGCCTGCTAACACTTTGATTTTGGACTCTAGCCTCCAGAACTGAGAGACAATACATTTCTGTTGTTTTAAACACTCAGTTTGAGTAGCTTGTTATCTGAGACCTAGGAAGCTAATACGTTCTGGTAGGGGCTACGTGAGCCAATGCACAAACTGACATGAACATCACCTGCCTAGAGGGGCAAAAGGAGTCACTGAGGCTGACTCAATCCCTATGACCTGTCACTTCAGAAAATGGATTTGAAATAAAAGTATAATCATACCAGTGCAGTTTTGGGAGCTGTTACCAGGTGCCTGGGCAGAAAGCCTTATATTCAAATGGCAAAGCTTTCCATAAACCTCATTAATAGAATTTCAGAAGTTTTCATGTAGTTAAGATATGTATGTAAGAATTACTGTGGAAAAAAAAGACAAAGGACTACCATGAATGCATCATTAATTACTATTACTGAAATTCATTTTCAAAGATAATATGTAAGGAAATACAAACATCTTACTAACCTTTAGCTGTAGTTGAACTCTAAAAATTCTTTCCTTTAAAAGAAACATTCAACTGTTCTCTTCTCTGGGGGTATCACAGGTGTTGTCCTGTATAAATGTCCTGTATAAATGTTTTACCAGCTACAAGTTCTGTTTTTTTGCTAATTCTAGGGGAGGCTTTACATAACAATTAGTTCAGCCCTGATGAGTTTTCTAATTCCTTCTTTTCTTTATCAGGAAAAAAGAGGAAGAGCATTGCTTCCCATCCTTGCTTTCTCAATTGAGAAATTTCATTGATCTTACTGACCTACTTTCCCTTTCTACCCAGACTCCTGCCCTTAGAGCAGAGGTTAGCCAAACTCTTCTTGAACATGGCATTCTTAAAGTTATTCATTAACTATTTCCTTTAGTCACAGCAAAATCTGAAAGCCAACTTTGGACACTGATAAGAATGGGAAGTGATTTTTAGAAGAATCATCAAAATTTTTCCTCTAAACAAATATGTGTAGCCTCATCTTCTGACAAACCCTCAAAAATACTCTAAATTCCAATCACATAAAATCCCCTTGATTTTCTCCGAATTCCTAGCTTTTCTTTAAGTGGACTCTTTCCCTCACCTTGGTCTTTCCATGTATAGTCCTTTCTGCCAGCAGTTGGCTTCCTCTCTTTTATATACCTAGGAAACTTTCCCTCATTCCTCATGAATAGTTGAACAACATTTGGTCTCCTCAGCTCTCCCTAACACTAGTTCCTCTAGGATTCTATTGCACCAAATTCATATTGTGATTATCCTAATTATCACACTCTATCTTTTTATCCATTTAACAAGTATCTGTTGAGGGTCTACTATACTCCTGGAGGGCTCCACTGTGGCTAGGATTATTACCATAAAGCAGATGGTTTCTGCTCCCAAGAAGTTCACAACATAGAGGCTTATTAGAAGAGTAAACTAGAAATTATAAGCCAGAACACTAAAGTTATAATCTTGTACAATAAAAATTTATTTGCATACTTGCTTTTCTCACTTGACTCTGAGATTCTTGAGTATTTTATTTACTTTGTGAGTTAGTGTCTGATATCTAAAAAGTACCTAATAACACCCATTGAAAATGAAAACTTTCAGTAAACTAGGAATAGGGGAACTCCTCAACTTATTAAATAATATCTACAAAATCCCTACAGCTAATATCATGCCTAATGGTAAAAAAAACTTGAAGCTTTCCCACTAAGATCAGAAACAAGGCAAGAATGTTCCCTTTCACCACCGCCTTTCGTCATCATACTGCAAGTTCTAGTTAATACAATCAGACAAGAAAAGGAAATTAAAAGCATACATATTAGGAAGGAAGAAATAAAACTGTCTTTGTTCACAGATAACATAATACTCTTTGTATAAAATCCAAGATAACTGCCAAAATCTCCTGGAACTAATAAGCAATTAGAGCAAGGTTGTAGAATAAAGGATTAGTACAAAAAAGCCAATTAATTTCCTATATGCTAATGATGAAAAAGCGAAAACTGAAATTACAAATATAATGCCATTTATATTAGCACCCCTGAAAATGACATACTTAGTTATAAAGCTAACAAAATATGTACAAGACCTATATGAAAAAAACTACAAAACTCTGATGCAAGAAATCAAAGAACTAAATAAATGGAGAGATAGTCCATGTAAATGGAGACCTAGAAATACTCAATATTGTCAACATGTTAGTTCTTTCCAACTTAATTTGTAGATTTAGTGCAATCCCAATCAAAATCCTAGCAAGTTATTTTGTGAACTTTATATGGAGAGGCAAAAGACCCCAAATAGCAAGCAAATATTGAAAGAAAAAACAAATTTGGAGGATAACACTACCTAGCTTCAAAATTTTCTATAAAGCTATAGTAATCAAGACAGTATGGTATTGGTGAAAGAGGAGACAAACATGGTGCTAGAACAACTGGACATCCACATGCAAAACAGAAAAAAATAGGTAGACACAGACATTATACCCTGAACAAAAATAAACTCAAAATTCATCACAAACCAAAATGCAAAACACAAAACTATAAACTCCTTGGAGATACTGTAGGAGAAAATCTAGATGACCTTGGGTTTTGAGATGACTGTTTGGATACAACACCAAAGGCATGATTCATGAAAGAAAGAACTGATAAGCTGGACTTTTTTATTTTATTAAAATAGAACATATGTTTTTAACATATGTAAACATATGGACAGTTTTTATTTTATTAAAATAAAAACAGTCTGCTCTGTGAAAGACAACGTCAAGAGAATGAAATGACAAGCTAAATACTGAGAGAAAATGATTACAAAAGACATGTCAGATAAAGAACTATTATTAAAAATATACAAAGAACTCCTAAAACTCAACAAACAAACAAAATCTAAAACTGACAAACAACTCAACTAAAAATGGGCCACAGAACCTCAGACACCTCATCAAAGAAGATAAACAGATGACAAATAAGCACATGAAAAGACGCCTCACATCATATATCATCAGAGAAATGCAAATTATAACAATAATGAGATACCACTACACGCCCATTGAAATGGTCGAAATCCAGAATACTGACAAAAACAAATGCTGGCAAGGATGTGTACCTGCACTTATTCATTGCTGGTGGGAATGCAAATGGTATAGTCACTTTGGAAGATAGTTTGGTGGTTTCTTACAAAACTAAACATACTCTTACTATATGATCCAGCAATTGTGCTCCTTGGTATTTCTCCAAAGAAGCTGAAAACACATGTCCACAAAAAAACCTGCACCTGCATGTGAATAGTTCTAGCAGCTTTATTAATAATTGCCAAAAGTTGGAAGCAATCAAGATGTCCTTCAGTAGGTGAATGGATAAATACACTGTGGTACATCTAGAAAATGGAACATTATTCATCACCAAAAAGAAATGAACTACCGAGCCACAGAAGTACATGGAGGAAACTTAAATGCATATAAGCAAAAGAAGCCAATCTGAAAAGGCTACATACTGTATTATTCCAACTATCTGATACTCTGGAAAAAGTAAAACTATGGAGACACTAATAAAATCAGTAGTTGATGGGGTATAGGGGGAGGAAGGGATGAATTGGTAAAAGAAGATACAATTTTTAAAAAACTTTTAAGTTCAGGGATACATCAGGAGGCTGAGGCAGGAGAATCGCTTGAACCTGGGAGGTGGAGGTTGCAGTGAGCCAAGACCGTGCCACTACACTCCACCTGGGTGACAGAGACTCTGTCTCAAAAAAAAAAAATTTTCAGGGATACATATGCAGGTTTGCTACATAGGTAAACTTGTTTGTTGTACTTGAAGGTTTGTTGTACAGGTTATGTCATTGCCCAGGTGTTAAGCCTAGTATCTATTAGTTATTTTTCCTGATCCTCTCCCTCCTCCCACCCTCCACCCTCTGTCAGGCCCCAGTGTGTGTTGTTCCCCACTATGTGTTTATGTGTTCTCATAATTTAGCTTCCACTTATAATGAGAACATGTGGTATTTGGTTTTCTGTTCTTGCATTATTTTGCTAAGGATAATGACTTCCAGCTCCATCCATATTCTTGCAAAGGACATAATCTCCTTTTTTTTATGTCTGCATATAATTCATGGTGTGTATGTACCACATTTTCTTTATCCAGTCTATCATTGATGGGCATTTAGGTTGATTCCATGTCTTTGCTATTGTGAATAGTGCTGCAATGAACATATGCTTGAATTTTCTTTATAATAGAACAATTTATATTCCTTGGTTATATACCCAGTAATGGGATTGCTGGGTCAAATGGTATTTCTGACTCTAGGTCTCTGAGGAATTGCCACACTGCTTTCCACAATGGTTGGACTAATTTTCACTTCCACCAACAGTGTAAAAGCAGTCCTTTTTCTCCACAACCTTGCCAACATCTGTTGTTTTTTGACTTTTTGATAATAGCCATTCTGACTGGCATGAGATGGTATCTCATTGTGGTTTTTTGATTTGCATTTCTCTAATGATCAGTGATGTTGACCTTTATTTTCATATGATAGCTGGCCACATCTATGTCATCTTCTGTAAACTTTTCATGTCCTTTGCCCACTTTTTAATGGGGTTGTTTGTCTTTTTCTGTACATTCCTTTAAGTTTCTTAAAGGATATTTGACCTTTCTCAGATGCGTAATTTGGAAATATTTTCTCCAATTCTGTAGGTGGTCAGTTTACTCTGTTGATAGTTTCTTTTGCTGTACAGAAGCTCTTTAGTTTAATTAAATATCATTTGCCAGTTTTTGCTTTGGTGTAATTGCTTTTGGCACCTTCATCATGAAATCTTTGCCTGTGCCTATATTCTGAATGGTATTGCCTAGGTTGTCTTCCAGGGATTTTATAGTTTTGGGTTTTACATTTAAGTGTTTAATCCATCTTGATTTATTTTTGTATCTGGTATAAGAAAGGAGTACAGTTTTAATCTTCTGTATATGGCTAGCCAGTTCTCCCAGCACCATTTATGGAATAGGGAATCTTTTCCCCATTGCTTATTTTTGTCAGGTTTGTCAAAATCATATAGTTGCAGATCTGTGGTCTTATTTCTGGGTTCTCTATTCTGTTCCATTGGTCTATGTGTCTGTTTTTGTGCCATGCAGTTTTGGTTCATGTAGCCCTGTAATATAGTTTGAAGTCAGCTAGTGTGATGTCTCCAGCTTTGTTCCTTTTGCTTATGATTGTTTTGGTTATTAAGGATCCTTTTTGGTTCCATATGATTTTAAAATAGTTTTTTTCTAGTTCTGTGAAGAATCTCATGGTAGTTTAACAGGAATAGCACTGAATCTATAAATTGTGTTGGGAAGTATTGCTGTTTTAATGATATTGATTCTTCCTATCCATGAACATGGAATGTTTTTTCATTTGTTTGTGTCATCTCTGAGAACCCTGGTAAGATACTTAACAAGAAGATCATCCCCAAGACACATAATCATCAGAATCTCCAAGTTCAGATAATTTTTAGGGCAGGGAAACTATTTTGTATGACACCATAATTCCAGATACATGTCATTATACGATTGTCCAAACCCTTAGAATGTGCAACACTAAAAGTGAACGCTAATGTAAGCTATGGACCCTGGATGATAATGATGTATCAATGTAGCATAATCAATTCTAACAAATGTACTTCTCTGGTGGAGGATGTTAATAACAGGTGAGGCTATGCATGTGTTGGGGCAGGACACACATGAGAATTTTCTACATTTTCTGCTCTTTTTTTTTTTTTTACTATGAACCTACAGCTGCTCTGAAAAATAAAATCTATTAAAAAGTGGTTAATGAATACAAGTTCTCTTTGCTCCTATGTCCTAAATACCTGGTAAAATAGTAGGCACAAAGAATATGATCAATGAATCATTATGGAATGAAAACCTAAAAGACATCTAAATCTCAGTGCGAACAAGTTGATCCTAAGAACTGATTTTGATAAAAGGAAGATTGCAGCACTGGGGACCAAAAACAAAGGAGGGTGGTTAAGAGATGAAGACATTCGATCTAGCACAATGAAGCTGGGGCACCCCAAATATGCAACGTGTCTGTTTTGCTGAGTACGAGTTCTGATCTATGTAAGGCCAACTCAGGACTCTTCCCAAGCCCTGCTTGCTGCTGAAAATTACATGGAAGGAATTCTTGCTGTCAGACAAGAAAAATGGCTTCTTGGGTATGTCAGGGGGTCAAAACCACACTGCAAAAGGTGCTTTCTTGCATTTCATACCTCTTCCCATTATTTCTCCACTGAAATCATTCCAGTTTCCCCATAATGATCCCTTCTTCTGGCAAAATAAGTCAAAAGGCATGAGGAATTGAAAAAGAAAAAATCAGAGGAATGAAGACTCTAGTTCACTCTCATTATCCTCCAGATAAAATGGAGCTCCTGGTCAGAAAATTAGGAGGCCTGACTTCTGGTCTTGAATTTGTTGTGGCCTTGGAAAATCTTCTGCCTGTCTCTTACCCTTAGATCATTTTCTCACAAGGAGGTGGACATTATAATATCCTTTTTTGCCCCACAATGGCTATGGCCCTTGAGTAAATTGAAAGAAGGACATTATTATAAAGCAGCTCTCCATAGTGATGTGTGTTTTACTGACACACAAGGCCAGGTAATGATAATGATATTTTCTTCTGCAAAAACCCCATGCACTCTCAAACACAAGGCTTGATCTTTGATAGCCATGGTTCTCTTAGATGTCAAGGGTGACAGGTACTGATGTGGCTTATAGTTTTTTTGTAAGCCCAAATTATTTGCTAGCATTGACATATTGGAATACACAAACACAAATGCATAAAAATGATGATCTAGCACTCCTATAACTTTGTAATGATTTCAACTCTGATATGGTTTGGCCGTGTCCCCACTCAAATCTCATCAAAATGGGAATTTCCCTGCACAGGCTGTCTCTTTGCCTGCTGCAATTCATCTAAGATGTGACTTGCTCCTCCTTGCCTTCTGCCATGATTGTGAGGCCTCACTAGCTATGTGGAACTGTAAATCCATTAAAACTCTTTTTCTTCCCAGTCTTGGGTATGTCTTTATAAGCTGCATGAAAATGAACTAATACAGTAAATTGGTTTGGGGAGTGGGACACTGCTGAAAAGATACCCGAAAATGTGGAAGTGACTTTGGAACTGGGTAACAAGTAGAGGCTGGACCAGTTTGGAGGGCTCAGAAGAAGACAGGAAAATGTGGGAAAGTTTGGGACTCCCTAGAGACTTGTTGAATGGTTTTGACCAAAATGCTGATAATGATATGGACAATGAAATCCAGGCTGAGGTGGTCTCAGATGGAAACGGGGAACTTGTTGGGAACTGGAGCAAAGGTAACTCCTTGTTATGTTTTAGCAAAGAGACTGGAGGCATTTTGCCCCTGCCCTAGAGATTTGTGAAACTTTGTACTTGAGAGAGATGATTTAGGGTATCTGGCAGAAGAAATTTCTAAGCAGCAAAGCATTCAAGAGGTGACTTGGGTGCTGTTAAAGGCATTCAGTTTTAAAAGGCAGAGCATAAAAGTTTGGAAAATTTGCAGTTTGACAATGGGATAGAAAAGAAAATCTCATTTTCTGAGGAGAAATTTAAGCCAGCTGCAGAAATTTGCATAAGTAATGAGGAGCTGAATGTTAGTCACCTAGAAAATGTGGAAAATGTCTCCAGGGCATCTCAGAGACCTAGATCTTTATGGCAGCCCCTCCCTTCACAGCACTGGAGGTTTAGGGGGAAAAAATGGTTTTGTCGGCCAGGCCCAGGGTCCCTCTTCCGTGTGCAGTCTAGGGACTTCTTGCCCTGCATCCCAGCCACTCCAACCATGACTAAAAGGGGCCAAGGTAGAGCTTGGGCCACAGCTTCAGATGGTGTAAGCCTCAAGTCTTGGCAGCTTCCATGTGGTGTTGAGCCTGTGATGGCACAGAAGTCAAGAATTGAGGTTTGGGAACCTCTGCATAGATTTTAGAAGATGTATGGAAATGCCTGGAAGCCCAGGAGAAGTTTGCTGCAGGGGTACAGTCCTCACGGAAAACCTCTGCTAGGGCAGTGTAGAAGGGAAATGTGGGGTTGAAGCCCCCATACAGAGTCCATACTGGGGCACCACCTAGTGGAGCTGTGAGAAGAGATTGCTATCCTCCAGACCCCAGAATGATAGATCCACTGACAGTTTGCATTATGCGCCTGAAGAAACCGCAGACACTCAATACCAGCCCATGAAAGCAGCTGGGAGGGAGGCTGTACCCTGCAAAGCCACAGGAGTGGAGCTGCCCAAGACCATGGGAACCCACCTCTTACATCAGCATGACCTGGATATGAGACATGGAGTCAAAGGAGCCCATTTTGGAGCTTTAAGATTTGACTGCCACGCTGGATTTTAGACTTGCATGAGGCCTGTAGCCCCTTTGTTTTGGCCAATTTCTCCCATTGAGAATGGCTGTATTTACCCAAAGCCAGTACCCCCACTGTATCTAGGAAGTAACTAAAGTGCTTTTGATTTTACAGGCTTATAGATGGAAGCAACTTGCCTTATCTCAGATGAGACTTGGGACTTTGGACTTTTGAGTTAATGCTGAAATGAGTTAAGACTTTGGGGGACTGTTGGGAGGCATGATTGATTTTGAAATGTTAGGACATGACATTTGGAAGGGGCCAGGCGTGGAATAATATGGCTTCACTGTGTCCCCACCTAAATCTCATCTTGAATTCCCACACATTCTGGGAGGGACCCTGTGGGAGATAATTGAATCATGTGGGTGGGTCTTTCCTGTGCTGTTATTGTGATAGTGAATAAGTCTCATGAGATCTGATGGTTTTAAAAACTAGAGTTTCCCTGCACAAGCTCTCTCTTTGCCTGGTGCCATCCATGTAAGATGTGACTTGCTACTCCTTGCCTTCCACCATGATTGTGAGGCCTTCCCACCCGTTAAACCTCTTTTTCTGCCCAGTCTCAGGTATGTCTTTATCAGCAGTGTGAAAATGGACTAATAAAAATTCACTAATATATGCCATGAATTAACAATGAAATCGGTATCAGGTATATGAAAAGGTGCTTAACATCACTGAGCATCAGAGAAGTGCAAATCAAAACTACAATGAGATATCATTTCACCCCAGTCAAAATGGCTATATCCAAATGACAGGCAGTTTCAAATACTGGTGAGGATATAGAGAAAAGGGAATCCTTTTACATTGTTGGTGGGAATGTAAATTAGTACAATCACTATGGAGAACAGTTTGGATGTTCCTCAAAAAACTAAAAATTGAGCTATCATATGATCCAGCACTCCCACTGCTAGGTATATACCCAAAAGAAAAGAAATCAGCATATCAAAGAGATATCTGCACTGCTATGTTTGTTGCACCACTGTTTATAATAGCCAAGATTTGGAAGCAACCTCAGTGTTCATCAACAGATGAATGATAAAGAAAATGTGGTATGTATACACAATGGAGCCACAAAAAGAATGAGAATCCAGTCATTTTCAACAACATGGATAAAACTGGAGATCATTATATTAAGTGAAATAAGCCAGGCACAGAAAGATAAACGTCATATTTTCTCACTTATTCGTGGAATCTAAAATTCGAAACAATTGAACTCATGGAGATTGAGAGTAGAAGGATAGTTACCCGAGGCTGGAAAGGTAGTGGTGGGAGGTAGGTGGGGGGAAGGTGGGATGGTTAATGGGTACTAAAATAAATAGAAAGAATGAATAGGACCTACTGTTTCATAGCACAACAGGGTGAGTAAAGTCAATAATAATTGTACATTTTAAAATAACTCAAAGAGTATAATTGCATTGTTTGTAACTCAAAGGATAAATGCTTGAGGGGACAGACACCCCGTTATCCATCATGTGCTTATTTCACATTGCATCCTTGTATCAAAACATCTCATGTACCCCATAAATATATACACTTATTTTGTTCCCACAGAAATTAAAAATTGAAAACATTTTTAAAAACTAAAAATGGAACTACTACATGATTCAGCAATCCCACTACTAGGTATATATCCAAAAGAAAGGAAATCAGTATATCAAAGATATCTGTGCTCCCATGGTGATTGCAGCACTATTCGCAATAGCCAAGATTTGGAAGAAATGTAAGTGTCTACCAACAAACGAGAATGGATAAAGAAAATGTGGTACAAATACACAATGCACTACTATCCAGCCATAAAAAAGAATGAGATCCTGTCATTGGCAACAACACGAATGGAACTGGAGGTCATTATGTTAAGTGAAATAAGACAGGCACAGAAAGACAAACTTTGGATGTTCCCACTTATTTGTGGGAGCTAAAAATAGTAAAACAACTGAACTTATGGATATAATAGAATGATGGTTACCAGAGGCTGTGAAGGGCAGTGGTGGGGGAAATATTGAGATGGTTAATGGGTACAAAAATATATTTATAAATTTATAAAGAATGAATAAAATCTAGTATTTGATGGCAGAACAGGTTGATTATGGTAAACAATATTTTAATGTACACTTAAAAATAATTAAAGTGCATAATTGGATTGTTTGTAACATAAATAAAGGATAAATGTTTGAGGTGATAGATACTCCCCCACTCCAAAAAAAAAGAGTGGTGGCAGCAGCATTCATAATATTACTGTCTACAAACTTTAAAACTCTGTACAACTACAGAGAGAGAGAAAGTGATGACTAGTTGGCTTATCTCCCTTAGTGAAGAAATTGGCTAGAAGTGGAGAAAATTGGTCACTTAGGGAATATAATTCCCCTTATTCCTTAGGTCATAGTAGAAGCAGGAACTTTAACAAGCCATCACTTGTTGAATATGGTCTGTGCTTGGGAGACTGCCCAGTAATTACATGATAGGGTAGGACCTAGCAGCTACCCTGAAGGACTTTTGCACTCAGTCGAGAGAAACTTTTCAACATGGAAAAAGGAGAAAACTACAGGCATTAAATTGTGTGGCAGAGATATGATCTGTTATATAGGCAATCAAGAAGAGATACTGGCATTGTGTATGTAACAGTGTCCAATAAATATTTTGAATGAAACAGAGATCAGTGGAGACCCCAGATATCTGGAAGGAACCTATGTGTGTTCACATATTTGAGCTAGCACATAATGTGCATGGGCTCTAGACTTACTCTTTTGTGTGTAAATAAGGAGGTAAGGTGTGGTGACATTCTACCCCTAAATATTCTTTTTACATCTACTACTATTCCTGAAACTCTGCTCTGAAGAAATCAGTTTTGGGGGGTGTAGAAAACGTTTGAACTCTTGATGTCTCTTTCTAAATGAGGCTTACTCACTCCACTATCTGTTTCTTTACCATGTGCTGTGTTCTGTCTTCCACATTACTGATTGTATCTCCTCAGGGTGTGTGAGAGGTGCACAGGAAATGTTTTGTTAAATGGACAATGAATGGAGACTTTGTCAATTGAGTCCTGGCGTGGAGGAGGAAGAAATGGGTTCTAGCACATGAGAAAGAAAAAGGGCAGATGGGATATAGGAAGAGAGATCAGAGAGGGAACAAATCCCTACTTGTATCTACTGTTTGTTAAGTAGTATGGTAGGCCATTTATAGACTTAAAAAAATAAACTGTCAAAAAAATCCTATGTAGCAGATATTAATCTCCACTTTTAGATTAAAGAAACAGAGACTCAGAAAGGTTTAGTAACAGCTCAAGGTGATAAGACTAGTAATTGCGGAGCCAGAATTTAAATGAAGTTACAGATATGCCAAAAGGCCATCTTCTTTAAATTATACCAGGCTGCTATACCAAGGAGAGAGACTTGAGGACAAGCAAGGACTTCAGGGATGCAGTGAAAGCACTGTAAGAGAAGGGATGCTCACACATTTTATTATCAGGCAACATTGATATTGAAATGCAATTTCCCATCAATGTTCATAATTAATGCTTGACCACAGGAGAATTCTCCTTTGCAAAACTGAATAGGCTGTGAAGAACATGGCTCTGTTCTATACTTCCATGTAGCTCTTACAGACCTGTGCTTAGGAGAAAAAAATTCCCAACTCTTGATATCAGCCCATGTAAGCATGCAACTTCTTTAGTTTAAAGAGGGTGTTCATTTACCCTTCAGGTTTGGTAATCACCTGATAAAAATTACTGAAATTCCACCCGAACAGTGCTAGTAGCTTCCCTCAAATCAGCTGCTTGTTCTTTTGTTCTGTAATTACAAAGATATAATCACACTGAATTACTATAATTTTCAACATTCTGTCACCCTATTAGTCTGAGTTCTTCAGGGGCAAGGCTTGGGCCTTTTTCTTCTTGATTTTCTCAAATATCTCACCAGAGTGCTTGGCACATACTAGACATTCAGTAAATGCTTAGTTGAACAAATGCATAAGAAGTTAATCAATCAAATCAATGACTGAATGAATAAATGGTGCTTGTCCCCTGCAAAATCCTCTTTGAGCAGTCTAATTCTCTATGTAATAAGCAGGAGCCTTTACCAAATGTGATCCATTGGTCAATAAAGGTTGCTGACTGACATCTTAAAAGCATACTTCGGTGGAATAAACATTTACCAGCACTGAAAGTCAGCAGAGAGATTAAATAAAGGATAAACATCGCTGGCTGTTTCCCTGGCAATAAAGGGGCATCTGGTCTGTGGCATAGGATACAGACGTGCTCTTTCTTTAAACTCTCTTATAATTGGTCAGAAGAAGGAAGTAAACAGAAATCCTGATGGAATTTAAGAGTCTCTGAGGGATTGAAATATATGCAGAAAAAAAAACCAGATTTCATTTGGATATATAAAGATAGATGTCTCAAGATGAGTAATATAATGAAGGCTGACAAATGATACCTGAGGCAATCCTCTTTGTTTTTGGTTCTTGTTAGCCATGCCACCTTCCAGGTCACAGCCAGGCAAGGTACCAACAGAATGAAAATCATTATTTATAAGCAGTTCAATCCAAGGTCAAATTTATTGTCCCGCAAATATTCATCAGATAAGACTAAGGCTGTTTCTACTCATGTGATGGATGAGCCACCAGAAAACCCCTCTGACCACGACTTTTGTCTAGACTTATTTTCATGAAAGATAAAGACAAGACGGAAAAGGACTTTTGTCAGTCAGACTAAAAGACGTGATTGGAATGTATGTGACATTTCTGTTAAGGCAGGATGGTCTAGTAGTGCAGGAGACAGCCATCTAGGTTGCAGTCAAGAATCCTTCCCTTCCCAGACACATGACCTTGGGGAAGTCACTGGTCCTCTGTCATATCTGTAGACAGGATAAATGACTCTTACCCAACCACCTTACAAAGCTGCTATTAGGATCAAATGGAATAATGTCCCTGAGATGCCTTTGTAAATTATATTGCACTATGCAAACATAAGCCTGGTATCTTCATGGTGAACAGCGAAAAAAAAAAGACAAGAATAAAAGAGAAAAAAAAGAAAATGAATGGCAAATTAAGACTAAGAGAAAGGAGGAGGAGAAAGTTTCTGTAGAGAAGGGAGGGGAAAGGGAGAAAATACAGAAAATAAAAGGGGCCAAGGGAGGAACCGGTAGAGGAGAAGGAAAGATGCAGCAGTGGCAATGAACGATCTCATAATTCTGGCACACAGGTAGATAAATAGGCAAACAAACACATAAACATAAAACCGAAGGAACAGCAGAACTGGTCAGCCATGGGATTTAGAAAATCATGTCTATGTCAAGACCACAGAGCTCTGATAAGCAAGTGGAAGACCCCATCAGGCAGCCTCTTAGGAGGAGACAGTGAGTCAACCATGAGTCAGCCTCCTTATTATAAATTTCTAAATGGAAAGCACTACTGAGTTCATGTTGTTCTCATCTGTGCTCTGCTCAGTCATACACTCAGACAGATTTGTAATCATTGTGCAGCCATTGATAATGACCTTTTCTTTGCCTAGTCAAGGTCTATTGGTCATTCAGATAAGAGCCTTCCATGACCTCCCTGACCACCCCGACAAAGTCAGATGCCCTATTATAGGTACTCAGAGCATCACAGTCCCCCCTTTTTTTTTCACAGAGCTTGACACAGTAACAGATTTATATTTATTTGTGTGATTATTCAATTAATGTCTCATTTTCTCCCCCAGACTGAGGACAGAGTCAATGTCTGCTTTGCTCATCATTATATTCCTAATTGAATTTATTGGTTGGCATCATCATAAACAGAATCAAGTTAAAAAAGGACAGTATTCAAAGAGAGGTAATGGTGCAAATGTCAAGAAGAGGTTGGTGCTGGGGCTACAGTTAGAAAGTTTGGGACAGATAAAATCTTTTTGATAGTTTAAGCAACTAAATCTTGTCATGGAATAATGGTTCTGGTTTTCATTTTCATAACAGACTTATGACTGGGTGCTTTTTTGCTCCTCGTTGGTTAATTCAGCATATTAACTAGCTCTTTAGTGACATCTCAGTCAATGTCATGGGTGAGCATATTATTATTAGCATTAATAACTGTGAGTACTGATTAAGAGGGGCAATTTTCTAGTTGGATATTCTGCAGCACGCTGTTTTGGATATATTTAATTATATAACAACGAGGAGAAAGTTTATTCACAATTACATTGAGACCATTTTTAAACCCATTTATTAAAACTTTAAAAGGTTTTCAAGGAAGATATACACGGTATGATAAGTAATCATGCTGAAACTCAACTATGTCCAGAAAATAGGGAGTATTTAAAAAATAAACATCTCTAACTTCAATTGCCCAGTGGATTCTGTGGCAGCCCTACAAGGTCAATACTACTGGCATTGAGCAGCCCGCAGTATGTGAGTCCACTAAACAGGGCAGCTCAATAATTCTCATAACGAGACTCCTGACCTGTGACTTCCCGGCTTCTTCCTAGTCCTGCTGGGCAAACCAGAAGCCTACAGTTTGGAGATATTATTCCTCCATTTTTTCTAATTCGGTACATTTCAAGGTGAGTGGAATCATTATACAAGTTTGTTCCCCATTTAATAACATTTTTATTTGAAAGTAGATTTTTGACAATGATTCTAGTTAACAAAAAACTCCAAAACCTCAGAAATCATATTGAGCTCTACTTTGTATTTTAATGTCTTACTCAGGCCTCCAGGTTGGCCAACTCATAATAACAAAACACATACAAGTTTGGGGAGGTAGGAAAGGGTAGTGACTTAAAAATGTGGGCTCAAATCTCAGTTCTGCTACTTAACTTCTCCAAGCTTTAGTGTCTTAATCCATAAAGTGGGTTAAAGGTACCTAAATTGTTATTAGAGCAAAATGAGAGCCACATAAAACACTTACAACACATATCAGTTACTATTAAATTAAAATATACAATATTTAATGTTATATTTTTAGCCCTTAAATATAGAAAAAATATTCTTTTTGAACTTTAGAGTCTGTGTGTTTTCAATACCTGCTTTAATGATACAGTACTCTGTATTCTTCGATTTATGTTTATTTTTCTTCATTTTAAGGAAGGCTTTCTTTTATGGAACAATAATGATGATAGTGGATAACGTCTATACAAGTATTTACCTAGAAAATCTAGATTTTCTATGTCATCTTGCAAAATATTTTTGCTATTTTGTTAGTCCTTGAAATTCCACGTTTGGAAACTTCTGTCTGTTCTAAACAAGAATCAATGGTTTGTTTATGTATTTATTTATTTTTACACAGTTGTTATTTGAAAAGCAGATGGCAACAGAAATCCAGTCCCTGTGAGAGAATTAGAACCCATGTCTTCATAGCCCTTAAATATTTCCTAGCTCTCCATAGTCTCAGCATTTTTTCAACACTGATAAATTTGGGAGACTCCTTAAAGATTGCTGTGATGACACCTTTTATATTTTAAGCGCTACACATGTAAGGAAAAAGATTATAAGGCCTAGAAAAGGATGTCTTACGGAGTAAGGAAATGGAAAAAAAAATCTGTTCACCCTTTGAAATGAGGCTAAGGAAAAGGAGCTGACAGCTCAAGTAGGAGGAGAGGTGGAAATTCCAGGGACACAAGGAAAAATGAAAAGGAAGCACGTGATGCTGAACTGGGGGGACAGCGATGGTCAGAGGAATTTGCTGCTCTGACAGATTCCTAATGAATCCCCTCGTTTTTAAACTCTGAAGATCTATCTCCCCCACCCAGGGATGGAAGGAAGGCCTGCAAACTTTTTGAGTCCTTCCAAACAGTTAAGATGTTTTTAGCAGGTGACCTGGCAGCATTAATAAGGTTGGGACTCTCAACCAAAGCTTTCTTACCCAGAACTTTCTTATTCAGGAGACAGGTCTGTCTTTATTGGACTATAAGTCACAAACATAAATCTTTTTGGGGGGAGCAGTTTGATTTCTTCCGATCATTTCTAAAAATCAAATGGGTGCTCATCTCCTTACTTTTCCCATATTCTTTATAAATAAACTCTTCAGCTGACAGGAAAGCAAAATAAAGAGAATGACACATACATATAAATACATATATACATATGTGTGTGTATATATACATATACATAAATACACATATAAACATACACATAAAATAAAATGAATATTATTTTAATACATTCTAAAAATAGACAAAAATCCTTTGCCCTTTACCCAACTTGCTTCTCTGTTTTGATAGAGTCACTTAAATATCTGTGATAAGCAAAGGCTCAGATTTTCGACCAGCGACCCTAGCAACTAACAGCTTAAAAAAAAAATCTCTTCCAAGTTTCAAAGAGCACTTCCATAATTCAGTATATTTATCAGCATGTCAACTCCTCCCTGTCCCCAACACTACTTAGCACTACTTTTGAAGGTCAGGGTGTGCTGAAGGAAGTTGAGCATTCACACTGATTACAAATCCTGAGGTACAGATGGATCTCTGAATGTGTGGATAGAGATGACTCAAGCCAACTAGCCCAAAGGGCCAGCTACCTAAAGTCCAACGGTCCCTTAAAAGTTTACGCTCCATAACTAGGAATATTCCTAGAAGTCCATAAGCCAAAATTTTGTCTCCAAAATGTTAGATTTGGAAGGCATCTAATACCTTGTTTATTTAACTCAACCTGATCACTTCGTATATGAGATAACAGACATCTTGCCAAAATCACACAGTAAGAAATGTTAGATCTGGGTTCTATGTACTGATTCAAAGATGACCTGGTGATTTTCGGATCACATTCTGCCATGATCATATATTTTGGAACCAAACATCTGAGTACTTAGAGGAAAAAAAGACGAGTCTTTTAGGTCAGCATCATCCTGGGAAATCTGAAGCACATTAGCTTTAAAAAAAAAGCTTTTCCCACCCAGGCAAAAGGAGTAAAGGAGAGAACAAGAGAGAGAATAATTCCATTAGAGGTCTTGTTTCCAGATGTTCCTTGGAAAGGATACCTGAGCTCAGGCTCAGAACACCAGAGTCTCCCCAGCCCCAATGGAGCCATGGTTTCATGAGCCTAGGTGGCCTTAAAGTATGGGAAGGGTGTCTTTTGTGCCAAACAGTGGTACATGGCTGTCCCTATGGAGTTAGGCCTGCCCTGGTGAGAAAGTACAATAGCAGTATCATCACAAACCAGTTAACTTGAAAGGATGGGTTCCCTTAGATCTGTTTATAAGTAAAACTACTTTTTGTTTTTCTTTTTGATACTCATATACTTCTGGATTTGGGAGACATTTTTGGTGGGGTTAGTTAGACAAACTATTTATTCCATAAAGGATTCCTTGAAGAATTTCCCTGAAGGTGGTCATTTAGTTTCCTTTTAAGTGCTACTTGTAAAGGCTGGCCAACCCCTTTCAGGGCAGCTGTTTTACCAATGTGAAAATGCTACTAGAATTTGTACTAGAAAATTCTGCCATTAAGTGTGTCACTAAATGACCTTGTAAGGTAACATAAAGTGCCTTCTCCTAGATGAAAGAAAGCTTTCTGAGTAGCTGAAGATACTTCTTACTCTTAGCAGTGTTAACAAAATGCTTCTAGGTTTTTGCACGTGATTTTATTTTCTATTTTTTTAACCTCTGCCTTGCTGCAGACACATCCCTTAAAATTCAATTTGTGCCACCTCCCCTGAGAATCCTCCCTTCCTTTCCAGAGGCAAATGCTTTTAACCATTTCAGCTTTTAAAAAATTTGTATACATTTAAGAGGTACAAGTGCAATTTTGTCACATGGCCATATTCCACAGTGGTGAAGCCTGTGCTTTTAGTGTATCCATCAACAGAATAATGTACATTTTACCCACCAAGTAATTTCGCACTGTCCAACCTCCTCGAAGTATTTCACTCTATTGAGTCTCCAATGTCCATGTGTATATATTATTTAGCTCCCATTTATAAGTGAGAATATGTGGCATTCGTCTTTCTGTTTCTGATTGTTTCACTTAAGATAATGGCCTCCAGTTCCACACATGTTGCTGAAAATGACATGATTTCATTCTTTTTATGGCTGAATAGTATTCCATTGTGTATATATACCACATTTTATTCATCCAGTCATTCGTTGATAGGCACTTAGGTTGATTAGGCTTTTTAACGGAAAGGTTTGAGGTTAAGCCAGAAAACATGAAACTGTGCCCCAAACTAGCACACTGTGAAGGGCTCAGCTGTGGGGGCCAACTCTCAAACTAGCTCATCTAGGTGCTACAGAAGAGTGATTCAATTTTTTCTGAGAAGAAGCTTCTTTTTTTTGGTATTCAGCGGTGTGCATGCTAATTGGGGGACTCTTCATTCCTATTCTCAGACTCTGCTTTCAATCCCATCTGTTGTCACTACCCTAACGTCTCTGAGTTTTCCGGGTTTGGCTAGGCAGATCTGCTCTTTGCTGAGCTGTAGGCCCCTTCACATAGTGCTACTGCACTGTGGTAGGGCTTCTTGTGGGTGGCAACTCGGGAGACATAATCCGAGGAAATGTCATTCTAATAGAATGCAATGTAAAAGGTACCCCCTGGAGTTGTACAACCCTGTTTCCATAGGTGATCAAAGGCTGAGATTACTTTGTTTTTCACCGATCAATACCCTTCAATCAGCTTTCTGTTGCAAAGAAATATAATGAAACCATTTGGCCTTTGATGCCCCCTTCTATTTCCTTGATCACTAGGAGACTGTCCTTTTAAACAAATATTATTATCCCATTAGCTTCCTTTTAATAGGGTCTCAGGAGAAAGAGGAGATTAGGGTGTGGGCTGTGTCTGTCAACTTGAAACTGAAACCAGAACTTATTCTGCTAATAGGGATATTATTCTTCCTCATTTTGTCTGGCATAATTATAGATGATTCAGATATCAATTTAAAAACAGCAGTGACTCTATGGTAGAGGACTCAATTAGATAGTTTTGTTGTCTCAATGGATCAAATTAACTGGAAATCTGAAATATCTCCACTTATTTTATGTCAAGTAAATAGCAACTTGGGTGAAAATTATATAAACATATGGCCTTTTAAACTACATTCATTTAAAAAATATCCTATGTAGTTGCTTTTCACAAAAGCATTAGGAAGGAGAGTTTTCAAATAATGGGATTTGCAATTTCAGTTGATTGCCTACACTGAGCAGTATAACACTTTAATGGGAAACCTGTTAAAGACCCATTGGCCTATGTAAGATGAAAAATAACTTTCCCACTATGTGCACGTTATCTCTTCATCTGACAACCAGCTGGGCATGTATAGCACAAATTTTTGTGTTCTGGACTTTGTAGAGGATTACTGAGACTTCGCCTTCTAAATATTTCAGTAATGCTAAGTTATTTCTACCTGAAATATTTCATTTTATATCCAGAAGTGTTTTACATAAACAAATACATATAAACATATTTAAAAGCAAGTGTTCAAAATAAGTCTTCAAACTAATCTAGCCTATAAAAATAAATTTTGTTTTTTTTCAGAACACTTAGACTAAGTGTATATTTAACTAGTACTTATTGACGGTCCAATATGTACCTGATACTTTTATTTTTAAAAATTGGTGAGTTTGGGCTGGGCATAGTGGCTCACACCTGTAATCCCAGCACTTTGGGAGGCTGGGGCGGGCAGATCACAAGGTCAGGCGTTTGAGACCAGCCTGGCAAATATGGTGAAACCCCGTCTCTACTAAAAATACAAAAAGTAGCTGGCGTGGTGGTGTGTGTCTGTAGTCCCAGCTATTCGGGAGGCTGAGGCCGGAGAATCGCCTGAACCCAGAAGGTGGAGGTTGCAGTGAGCCGAGATCACGCCACTTCACTTCAATCTGGGTGACAGAGCGAGACTCCATCTCAAACAAATTGGCGAGTTGTATACTATTTTCCCTTTTAGCTGTTGAGGAAACCCATGCTTAGAGAGGTGAAGGTCGCTGATCAACAACAAATGGTAGAGGCCAGGACTCAAACCAAATTCTTTGACTCTAGAGTAAGTTTTCTTCCATTCTTATAGGGAATAGAATATATTGTGTTATTCACTAGATATAAGGCAAATTGCTTTATGCTAGTTGGGACAATAGATCACTATGAAGTTTATACAGTTTGCTATTTTTTTGTAAAAGGAGTCACTCTGGTGTTTTGAAGTTAGGGTAACACCTTTACATTTTTGGCCTCATCAGAGAAGAAGAAATGGTGATTATGTCAACTACAGAGTTCCTCTAACTCAAGTGGAAAACAGTGGAAATTGAAAAATATTCTTAGGGCAAATTGCTAATAAGCTTTTGCTAATAAAAAGAAAGAAAACAAAAGTTTGGAGATAGCCTTAGAAGGAAATGCCATTATTCATCATAGTTGAAGGAAGTCTACTTTGTGCTGATGGCCAAAATGTGAAATGATAGCCACCCTGAGCCCTGCCAAGAGAGGTCTTCAAAAGGAATAATAAAGTGAGGTAGAGACAGTGGTAAAATTAGTCCCCACACCCTTACCTCTACTGCAAACAACACCTCAGCTACATAGTATGCACATGGACCTCTAGTACCATCCCAAACAGCAGGTTATTGATTCTATTTAAAGATTTTTAAGGTTAGAGTCATTCTAGTTCTTCATTATTTTTTTCACACTTAGGAAATTCTGCACGATGTCTAACTTAGCCTGAATGTGGTTTATGAATTGTACAACCAGTGCTCTCCACCTCAATAAAGTCTTTTCGTACCACATTATAGAGGACAGAGCCACACAGTGGAGTCAAGCTTGATTTCAAGTCCAAGCTATGCTACTTTCTATACAAGTACACTTGGGAAAATTACTTAAACTCTCTGAGAATCAGTGTTCAGAAAAAAAAATACCTATCTTGTAGGACTACTTTAGAAATAAAATCAGGTAAGACAGGTGATGTGGTTTGGCTGTGTGTCCCCACCCAAATCTCATCTTAAACTGTACTCCTACAATTCCCACGTGTTGTGGGAGGGACCTGGTGGGAGATAACTGAATCATGGGGCAGCTTCTCCCATACTGTTTTCATGACAGTGAATAAGTCTCATGAGATCTGATGGTTTTATAAGGGGAAACCTTATAAAACCTTGGCTCTCATTCTCTTTCTTGCTGCCATGTAAGAAGTGCCTTTTGCCATCTGCCATGATTGTGAGGCCTCCCTAGCTACATGGAAATGCAACTCCACTAAACCTCTTTCTTTTGTTAATTGCTCAGGCTCAGGTATGTCTTTATCAGCATCGTGAAAATGGACTAATACAACAGGTGATTGGTAGATAAATAGATAGAGCCTGGCACCAATAAGCACTCAGTAAATGTTAGTTTTTTTTCTTCCCTTGGAGGAATATTTATGAACTTGTGCTGTTGGGCAAATATCCATGTATGCTTCAGTCCTCAGCTCAAGAGTTACATCTTTTCAGGAACCAACATGACCTGCTCCCTAGTACCCTTTGGATGACCATTTACAGTTAGGTATCCCTCCTGGATTCTCCATTAATCCCTTATGCATATCTCCTATAGAGTGTAATGCTTACACTGTATCACAAGTGTGTGTTTGTATTTCTATCATTTGTACTAGACAATGAAGCCCTCTGGAGGGCAAGAAGAAATCTTGTTTGACTTATTAAATCTAGTACCTAGCACAGTGCTTGGCACATAAGGTGAGTTTCCTAGATATTTGCTGATTGAAAGAAAAAAAGAGAGAGAGTGTGTGCGTGTGAGAGAGACAGAGAAAGAAGAGTGGGGAGGTAGGGAAGGAAAGAAAGAAAGATAGAAAGAGAAAGAGAGAAAAAAGGACAAAAGAAAGAGAAAGAAAGACAGAAAAAAAGAAAGAAAGAAAGACAAAGAAAGAAGGGAAGGAAGGAAGGAAAGAAGGAAGGAAGGGGAGAAGGAAGGAAGGGAGGAAGGAAGGAAAGAAGGAAGGGAGGGAGGGAGGGAAGGAGAAAGAGAGACAGAGACAGGGAGAGAAAGGAAGACTTCATATTCCAAGGCTGCACAGTTTAAGAGGTTCTGTATTATTATCTTACCCTTCCAGGGAGACGGCCCGTTGGAGAGTCATTGAAGGCTGACGAGTTGCGGTGCTATGTTGGGAATGACTGCAAGAAAAGACAGAAGAAACACACATCATTTATTTATTTTTTATTTTTTTATTTTTTTATTATACTTTAAGTTTTAGGGTACATGTGCACAACGTGCAGGTTAGTTACATATGTATACATGTGCCATGTTGGTGTGCTGCACCCATTAACTCGTCATTTAACATTAGATATATCTCCTAATGCTAACCCTCCAAGAAACACAGATCATTTATTTAAAATGTTTTTGAACATTTTAATCGGTCCTATTGTCAATAACCAGTCTTGAAAGAAATACAGTAGAGATTAAATATTTGGTGATAGGTAGAACCCTCCACCAAAATATAGTACTCTACCAGATAAGAGTTAATTTTTTTATAATTTGATTTTAATATGTATTATTCAAAAGTAAGCTTTTAACGATAGGTGAACATTAAAATGAACAAACATATTTGGAAAAGGTAATTTTTTGCCCTTGGAATGAGATAACACAGAGCATAAAAACATACATTTCTTTATGATGCAATGTATTTTTTAAGCTGCAGAATAATTTTTTCTAACAAAATTTTACACAGAACCTAATCTGTAAATCAGGTAAATTATATTTAGTTAGTATAGATGTATTTATTAGTTCAAATTTGCAACACTTATTGTAAAATTAGTTAATAATAATTGAGCTATTTGATGAACACAAAACTTGAAAAATGAGACTTCCAGCTGCATATCAATCTTCAAATTTAATGTAGTTCTAGATTTTGATTACCTGTAACAAGAAAAGACTGATTTTGTAGATAAGTAATATAAATAAAATGATAATATCTAACATTTATTGAGATCTGAAACACTTTTCTAAGTGTTTTTAAATTTTTATGTCTCTTATTTCTCATAAATGTATGAGGTATGTCCCATTCAACAGATGAAGAAATTGAGATACAGAGAGGATTAGAAAGTTGCTCAGAGTCACATGGTAACTTCCTGTGCCTGAAATGGCATTGAGACTGTTTGATTCTAGAGTCATTTTAAATTCTTACAACAATTTTTCACATTTTTAAGAATTCATCTTGGAATCTTAGAATATTCTTTAGAAAGAGATGGCAAGAGAATCTTTCATCTGAGATAGGCACAATAATAATAATTCAACAGCCAACTTTACTGAATGTGTAATTTTAGTTTATAGTATTAGTTAAATATTTTGGTTGAAACACTATTTACATATACACATAATATATGAACAAGTGTATATATACATATATGTATAAAAGAAACCTGAGTCTAGGATTTCTCAGCACAAACATGGCAAATGCTGACATTGCCACAGAGAATCAAACTACAGGCTGCAGAGTCTTTCATTCAGAACCTTGGTCACCACAGGTGGGAAGAGGTGTTTTCCTGTGACACGTAGATAATATTTGTCTAAGGTTGAGGGTACAGAATTTTGAGACCATAGCTGAAACCTACAGAATCATATTCAAGTTAAAGACTGTGCCTCTTCAAGTTAAAGACTGTGTTTCCTGGTATCCCTCACAGTGCCAAGATATTCATTGATCATGTTTTCAATTGACTAGTTGAAAAGCATCGTAGTATTCAGGACTTGGACTATGTAGCCAGACTGCCTGGCTCAACCACATATACCAATGTAACCTTGTATATATTACTTAAATCGCTCTGTATGTCAGCTTCTCATCTTATAAGACTGGGATAGTAACAGGACTTTCCTCACAGGGTTATTATAAGAATTAAATGAATACAGTATTTAGAACAATGGCTCTCACATGGTAAAGCTATATAAGCATTTGTTAAATAAATAAACCATTATGATTTAGCAGAGCGTGTACTTTGAGATGTTTAGTACCAAATAAGAATAATTACTGTATTTAGACCACTTCAGTTAGTCATACAGTCAGTGCCACAAGGTGTATATTTCTGTGTATAACTTTAGTGATAAATATCAAATTAAAATATATTTTCTATTACAAAAATATCATAAATTTACAAGCATATAAAATAAAACATTTTCTATTAAAAAATATTACAAAATTACTGGAAATAAAAATGAGAAATTAAAAATATTCACCTATACTCCTATTACCTTCTTTCACATTTTACCGAGTTATCTAATGTAGTTCTTATAGGAGTCCTCTAAGGTAGATATAAGTATTCCCATACACAAGAAAACAAAACATATAGAATTTAAAATGATTTTCAGAAATCAACAGCTTGCAAATGTGGAGCCAGAGTCCAAACTAAAGCCTACCTTATCACCAAGTGGGTGTACTTTCCATTCTATCTTACTGACTCTCTACGTGTCCATATGTATTTCACATAGTTGTATATATATACAGAAACATATGTAACTTCATATCCTCTGCTTTTCCTAACATTTAAGCATTTCTAATATGGTCTCTATAATTATTATTTTGGAGTTACATAACGTTACTTCCTATGAAGATATAATTAATTAACCACCGTTGATAGTTGGATATTTGGGTGATGTTTACGGCTTTAATATTATAAACAGTGCTGCAATGAACATGTTGATATCAATTACTTTTTTCTTATTTTACAATTTTCTTCAGATGCGTTTCCCAAAATGGAAATGCTTATTAGTTTCTTGATTTATGTTATTAATTACTTTTCAAAAGCTTTGTATCATTTTATTGCCTCTAAAAATGTGTATCTGTACTAGTTTCCCCACAGTCTTAAAAGCACTGACATTATAACTTTTAAAACACCCTAACAATTTAATAGATGAAGAATGATGCATCAGATTTGTAATGAGCATTTCTTTGTTTATTAGTGAGAATGACCATTTTTTTCCGTATACTTATTGGCTAATTGTATATCTTTTGTGCAAAATGTCTAATCCTTTCCTTTACCATTTATTTTCCACTGATCTAGAAAGTACCAACAGTTCTTAGGCAGCTCAATTATGGTCACTAACCAAGATTAATAAGTAACTGTAATTTCTGATAGCTTTCTCATCATTAGCTCAGCCCAAAATTAAAACAAAAAAAATTCAGTAATCTCACTTCACTTATCATTACCTTATAACTAATTATTTTGTTATTCTACTCTATTCCAATAATATCCTCTTTAAAGTTTTAGCGACAAAGTAAATGCAAATGGTACCCTGAGGTGCACAGAGAATTTGACTCCTTTTATATTACACATGCAAGGTTAGCCAGTTTCTCCTAGCATGTAGATTTGGAACAAACAGAGCCTTTTCCAAAATGTAATTATCCTTTCACTCTCTTCTAAGACAAATACAGTGAACTAAGATAAATAGAGTCAAGACCTGTGGACACAAATGAATTTTTGTTATTCCCAAATATAATAGTAATGTCCAAGCTATACTTGCAGGAGGGATGCTTGTAGTGGATGTTTGGAGCTACCTGATGGTGACTACAACTGGTATTTTAAAGAACACCAAACATTTTTCCCTTCGGACCAAGTAGGTTCTATCGTTTCCACATTATTGGCTACATAAACAATGTGGTGTAGAGTTACCATCGCTAAGAAATTACAGGTAACCTTTTCCTGTCTCTTTCACCTCCTCAGGAAGAGAGGCCAGTCAGATGGAATTCTGAGAACTGTTGTAGAAAGAACCAAGGGAGGAAATCACAGCTAAAACATGCTGCTCTGTTCTGCCATCTCATTTTCCTACATATCCATAATAGCACCCAGGGCTATGAATCACTAAGATTTATTCACATGCCCATTTCTCCTACAAAGTCATGTGTGCTTTCAGAGCAAAGTATTGGGTTTCTTCATCTATACATTCGCAGCTCAGGGTTGGCACACAAAAGACCCTTCATCAATGTCTTTTTGAATGATGAATACCATGGATTGAATTCCATCTATCTGTAAGGCCCCCATGACTTCTTGCTTTTAAATTCTGCAATAGCATCAAGAACTAGGTTTCATCCCCATTTTCAAGGGAAAAAAGTGCTTGCTCCTCTGAGACAAACCATATTGTTTTATAAAAAGTTGAAATCAAAGCTCTGTGACTGGTCTATATAGAGCACCTGAAACACATTGTTAGAAAATACTGAACTCCCACTGAGTAACACTGACAAATTCTTTTTTTCTTTGGTATAAATACCACCCATTATTTTTACCACATATGCTCAACTTCCACGTCAGTGACTTTTGAAGATGATTTTTATGAAGATCACTTAATAAAGGAACTTCTCTGTCCCACCCACACCACCTCATTAGTAAGTCATGAACATTCATGAAGATTTAAGTGACAATGAATAGTGGGTGGGTAGAATGAGCATGAGGGAGGCTCAGCATCATGCTACAACATGGATGCTGGAGAAGAAGTCCCCTGTCGCCTGGTAGAAAACCTGTGGCACCAATTCCCTAGTTAGGTAGCTTGGCTGAGGTACTAAATTGGGCAACTGTGGAGATAAATATTACTAAGCCTTTTTAAGATTCAAAGAGAGGTATAAGCCCTATTGCCTGTCCAAATGATGCTGTCATTAAATAAAATTGAGGAAGTGCACAATAGAGTTTCCTTTCCAAGAACTCTCTGATTTTTTCCAAGTAAAAGACTCCAAACTGTTGCCTAAAAAATGAAATTTGAATGGTGCTGAAAGATGTATTCCCATTGCTGTGCTTAATTAAGAAATTTTTGAGCATCTGAATTGAAATTGTTCTATTACACATGGAACACAAAGGTCCTAGCTGGTGGTAACAAATGGCTTTTAAATTTTCTCCTTCTCTGAGGCAATGAGAGGCAGGATAAGTGGTTTTTCCAATATGTTGTAATATTAAAACTATGTTATTCTAATGGACAGCACAAAAAGTTTTTTGTGTACTTTATTAATTAACTGATAACAATAAAGTTACTTAATGTGACTTGTAAAGTCACATTCATCATTAACATATCTTCTTATGGATATTCAATATTGCCTATTTTTCCACTTCTAATGAACTTGCATTTATCCTTGTCATATTTAACTCTTCATCTCTCTCTTGCATATTTGTATCCATCATTTATTTAATCTACCTTAATATTTCTTTCTTCTCTTTTTCTGTCTACTTTCCTTCTCTCTTAATATAGCGCATGCATTAAATTGTCACTATTCTTAAAAAGAAGAGTATGTCTTGGATATCCAATCAGTACCTCAAATTTAACATAATTAAAACGTCATCACCTTCCCACATGAAACTGGATAGTCCTCCAGTTGTTTCATTGACACTTAACATGAAGTGTCTTGTACAATTACTTATATGTTGTAGTTATACCCAATAAATGTTAATTGGGCACTTATTATACACCAGGGATTGTGTTAGGTGCTTGGGATGACTCTTTCATTCCTCAATATTGTAGTACTCAATAAATATCTGGTAATAAAGAGAATGATGAAAGCAAATAAATCATTTGGCCCATGTCCAAATAACATGGATAGCATTTTTCAATAAATCCCCAGGCATATTTAATTGGCAAACTACCTAAGCTATGTTTGGAAGAATATATAAGTATTTTAAAGGATGGTGAAGGAAAACAAGACATTTTGAGACTCATGAAGAGCATGACCAAGATCATGAAGGGTCAAAAATATGTGGTGTGCTCTGGAAACTTGAGTGTCTTGGCTTGGCCAGAGCAGAGTGGCCAGGGGTAAGGTCAGGAAGCTGACTGTGGATGGGCAATGAGGGACAATGAATACCCTGCCAAGGTCTGGTCTTACACCTGTTGGCAATGGTGGGCTCTCCAAGGTTATTAAGTGGGGGGAATAAAGGGGTCAAGATGGAGATAACAGTGATTCAGAAAAGTAAACCTGAAACTATTCTGAATAATGAAAGGAAGTGGAGGAAATCTATAGTCAGGGAGACTAATAGTAAACCATCAGGGTGAAGAATATTAATAAATGCCTAAACTTGAATAATGCAGTAAAAATTAAGAAAAGAGAATGTATTTAATACATTTAGAGGTAGAATATTCAGGAATTAATAAGAAGGAGCTAAGGAGAAGACACTTTGATTCCAGTGATCTGGCTGGGTAGGCATTTCTCCTCCTGAAAGTGAAATTATCCTACATATAAAGGGCCCTGTTTTTCCCAGGGTATAGGAAGAGTTGTGCTCTCTTCTGTGACTTTTAAGCAAGCCTTCAAAAATAGACAGACTCTGGTGTTAGGATTGGGGGAGGTGAGGAAGAATGAATGGAGAATTCCACCATTGACTGAAAGGACCACGGCTCTATTAACAGAAGTGCATGTGTGTAAAGGAAAGTGCAAGTGTGGATAGAAAAATATAATTGAATTTGATTTTGTACAAGATTAGCTTGATGAACCTGTTACACATGTGGGAAATATGATCTATAGTGGACATCTATAATTATTAAAAAGTTCTTCCTTCTCTTGGCGTGATACCCATCTGTCCACAGTAGCCACTGGATGACTGAGATATTCCTTGCATCTTCAACCCTTACAAATAAACATTCATAACACTTTTGATTCTTTCTTTATGAGATAGTTTCAAGGTTCTTAGTTATCTTTGCTTGTATGTGCTTACATTTTTCTTCTGATATCTATTAAGTTGGTGCAAAAGTAATAGTGGTTTTTTCCATTTTTTTAAAAAAAATGATAAAAACCGTGATTACTTTTGCACCAATCTAATATTTAAACTGCAGAATGTAGAAATGAACTCATAGTTCCAGATGTGTTCAGATCAGGGAAGAGTGCCATGAGATGCTGACTTTTCTCCATTTGGATCCCATACTCCTGTCATAGCAGCCCAAGATAACATGGACTTTTACAATTTGCTGAATTTTATTGCTAAGCTTAGAGTCCACTGAACCTCTTATATATTTGTGACCTCAAATGATTAAAAATCAAATCTATCATGTACTTACACATTGGATTTTGGGACCCAATATAGTTACCACATGTTAAATTTAATGGTACCGATTTTGATCTAGATTTTAAGTTTGTTAAGCTAACATTCAGTTATCAATTTAATTCAATAAGTATTTATTGAGCATTTAAGATGTGTTGGCCATTATAGAATTTCACTATTTCATCTAGCTTTATATCATCAAATTTTACATTTTTATTTAAGTCATTGATTATAATAAGGCATAAGGACTGTGCATTGTGGCAAATCATCACAGATCTCCCTCCAGTGTAATAGTTAGTCCACAAGTTGCGCTGTTGAGCTCTCTTAAGCAGCATCCTTTTAATAGACTAACCAATCTTCTCCACTCTGTCAGTGACAGGCAGACCAATGTCCACAGCAAGCAGAATGTTTATGTCCCATAAATTTCCATTCCTTTCAGGTGATTTGCATACTAACAAAGAATCAATTGTAATTATTCTTAAATCTGTTTATTCTTATTGCATTTGTTTTTATAATTACATAATTAAATGTTGCAAAAATGAAATGTGTACAAAAAAGCCTTGTCTCTATCAAGAGTAAGTTTTCTGATCTTGAAAATCTAAAAAAAAGTATGTATTAATAGTTAAAAATATTGCTGTCAAATTAGGTCTGAGAGAGATAAGATCAAAAAATATTATAAAATAAAGAATTTTTCACTTAGTTCACTTTTAATTCTTACCTACATTTAAAGAAATCCAGCATGGAAAGTATGGATGATGGATTAAGTTATAATTTACGTAAGAAAAATGAAATAGAACTTCAGAAAAAAAATGGGTCCCAGGTTTCTGGCCTTACAAGTCAATTTGGTATGCCAAATATTTTAAAGCAATTAAAGAACAATTTAGACATTGGAAATAACACCATCAAAACTGTGGCCAGACGTTGAAAATTCCAGAAAAAATCTTGACCCTCACATATAAAAAAAAGATGAAGGAACACAATATGTTAACTGTTCTCAAATTAAAAGTGTGGATGACTTATAGAAATGCAAAGTGTAAGATTGTACTAATGATAATTTGCTTAAAGTTAAAATTGTGGACAATTAAGAAATCAAGCATGTTGGGACAAACAGATGGATATAAGTATGAAGAAAAACATTAAATCAAATTTAGAGCCCCCAATTTTTCATTCCATAGCCAAAGATACTCAAAATGTGCTTTTACTTTATATTAAATGGCTTCACTCAACAGTCAGCAATGACGTGGTGACTCAAAAAATAAATTGGATATGCTTTATTGGGAGAAATACCATTTTTTTCTTTTAAATACCAATAAAACACTCATTTTATTATGCCACTATACAATCATATTTTTAAAACTTAAAGTGAAGTAATTAAGACATGCAGGCAGTTTTTTAAATAAATGAAATGTTTAAATCCAAACTTTAGACTAACAAGTCAATAACTGGTTCTGGATGTGCAGGGTAGGAAAAGTTCTCTTATATGAATGTCTAATAGGATTATCAACCAGGTATTAGTTCTTTCCTTATCTTTAAAGAATAGCATGGGAGAATTTGGAGTCTTCTTATAAAGGAGAATTAGGTTAAGTTGCACAGCCAGAATGTGGTTAAGGTGAGATCGAAGACAGATGCAATTCTCAGCCCTTGGTTTTCTCCATCCTGTGCCACTGCGACCCATATTCTTCTCTGTGACAACAGTTAAATGACGAACATGGCAGCCCAAACACTGGCCAATCAAGCATGTTTGTCCCAGCATGCTTGATTTCTTAATTGCCCACAATTTTAACTTTAAACAAATTATCATTAGTACAATCTTACACTTTGCATTTCTATAAGTCATCCACACTTTTAATTTGAGAACAGTTAACATATCGTGTTCCTTCATCTTTTTTTTATATGTGAGGGTCAAGATTTTTTCTGGAATTTTCAACGTCTGGCCACAGTTTTGATGGTGTTATTTCCAATGTCTAAATTGTTCTTTAATTGCTTTAAAATATTTGGCATACCGAATTGACTTGTAAGGCCAGAAACCTGGGACCCATTTTTTTTCTGAAGTTCTATTTCATTTTTCTTATATAAATTATACCTTAATCCATCATCCATACTTTCCATGCTGGATTTCTTTAAATTTAGGTAAGAATTAAAAGTGAACTAAGTGAAAAATCTAAAAATCCCACTCATCACTGTTAGGTAGCTGAGAGACTCTGAGAGTACACTTCAAATGCTGAACTAATCTCCATGAAAAACTCTTTGCTTTAAAGCAATAATGAGAAATCTCAGCATTTTGCCCAGTGGACTGACTCAAATGGATTATGACTGGCCTCAAAGCCTGAAACACCAGGAGCAAAATATAGTGTTTTAACACAGCGGGCATATTCCTGCCTTTACTCATTTTGTTTTGGGTGGCTAGCTATACATCATTCTTCTAGGCTTTTGTAGTATAAAAGCTGCATCTCAGAAAGCAATAAGGCACTTAGTAATGTATGAACATGTATACAAAAAAAAAAAAACCCTTTCCCCACAGACCATTCTTCACAAAGAAAATGAAAAACTGAATTTATTATAGCTTAAATCAGGTATTAGATAGTTCCATAAATGTAGCTACTTCAAAAAGGAAAGCAAATTTTAGTTAGAAATTTTATAGAGCTGGTGGAGCCAAGATGGCCGAATAGGAACAGCTCCGGTCTACAGCTCCCAGCGTGAGTGACGCAGAAGACGGGTGATTTCTGCATTTCCAACTGAAGTACCGGGTTCATCTCACTAGGGAGTGCCAGACAGTGGGTACAGGACAGTGGGTGCAGGGCACCATGCGCGAGCCGAAGCAGGGCGAGGCATTGCCTCACTTGGGAAGCACAAGGGGTCAGGGAGTTTCCTTTCCTAGTCAAAGAAAGGGGTGACAGATGGCACCTGGAAAATCGGGTCACTCCCACCCTAATACTGCGCTTTTCCGACGGGCTTAAAAAACGGCGCACCAGGAGATTATATCCCGCATCTGGCTCGGAGGGTCCTACGCCCACAGAGTCTCACTGATTGCTAGCACAGCAGTCTGAGATTAAACTGTAAGGCGGCAGCGAGGCTAGGGGGAGGGGCGCCCGCCATTGCCCAGGCTTGCTTAGGTAAACAAAGCAGCTGGGAAACTGGAACTGGGTAGAGCCCACCACAGCTCAAGGAGGCCTGCTTGCCTCTGTAGGATCCACCTCTGGGGGCAGGGCACAGACAAACAAAAAGACAGCAGTAACCTTTGCAGACTTAAATGTCCCTGTCGGACAGCTTTGAAGAGAGCAGTGGTTCTCCCAGGATGCAGCTGGAGATCTGAGGACGGGCAGACTGCCTCCTCAAGTGGGTCCCTGACCCCTGACTACCAAGCAGCCTAACTGGAAGGCACCCCCCAGTAGGGGCAGACTGACACCTCACACAGCCAGATACTCCTCTGAGACAAAACTTCCAGAGGAACGATCAGACATCAGCATTCGCGGTTCACAAAAATCCACTGTTCTGCAGCCACCGCTGCTGGTACCCAGGCAAACAGGGTCTGGAGTGGACCTCTAGCAAACTCCAACAGACCTGCAGCTGAGGGTCCTGTCTGTTAGAAGGAAAACTAACAAACAGAAAGGATATCCACACCAAAAACCCATCTGTACAACACCATCATCAAAGACCAAAAGTAGATAAAACCACAAAGATGGGGAAAAAACAGAACAGAAAAACTGGAAACTCTAAAAAGCAGAGCGCCTCTCCTCCTCCAAAGGAACGCAGTTTCTCACCAGCAACGGAACAAAGCTGGACAGAGAATGACTTTGACAAGTTGAGAGAAGAAGGCTTCAGAGCATCAAACTACTCCAAGCTACAGGAGGAAATTCAAACCAAAGACAAAGAAGGTAAAAACTTTGAAAAAAATTTAGACGAATGTATAACTAGAATAACCAATACAGAGAAGTGCTTAAAGGAGCTGATGGAGCTGAAAGCCAAGGCTCGAGAACTACGTGAAGAATGCAGAAACCTCAGGAGCCAATGTGATCAACTGGAAGAAAGGGTATCAGTGATGGAAGATGAAATGAATGAAATGAAGTGACAAAGGAAGTTTAGAGAAAAAAAGAATAAAAAGAAACGAACAAAGCCTCCAAGAAATATGGGACTATGTGAAAAGACCAAATCTACATCTGATTGGTGTACCTGAAAGTGACGAGGAGAATGGAATCAAGCTGGAAAACACTCTACAGGATATTATCCAGGAGAACTTCCCCAATCTAGCAAGGCAGGCCAACATTCAGATTCAGGAAATACAGAGAACGCCACAAAGATACTCCTTGAGAAGAGCAACTCCAAGACACATAATTGTCAGATTCACCAAAGTTGAAATGAAGGAAAAAATGTTAAGGGCAGCCAGAGAGAAAGGTCGGGTTACCCACAAAGGGAAGCCCATCAGACTAACAGCGGATCTCTTGGCAGAAACTCTACAAGCCAGAATAGAGTGGGGGCCAATATTCAACTTTCTTAAAGAAAAGAATTTTCAACCCAGAATTTCATATCCAGCCAAACTAAGCTTCATAAGTGAAGGAGAAATAAAATACTTTACAGACAAGCAAATGCTGAGATATTTTGTCACCACCAGGCCTGCCCTAAAAGAGCTCCTGAAGGAAGCACTAAACATGGAAAGGAACAACTGCTACCAGCCACTGAAAAATCATGCCAAATTGTAAAGATCATCGAGGCTAGGAAGAAACTGCATCAACTAACGACCAAAATAACCAGCTAACATCATAATGACAGGATCAAATTCACACATAACAATATTAACCTTAACTGTAAGTGGACTAAATGCTCCAATTAAAAGACACAGACTGGCAAATTGGATAAAGAGTCAAGACCCATCAGTGTGCTGTATTCAGGAAACCCATCTCATGTGCAGAGACACATATAGGCTCAAAATAAAAGGATGGAGGAAGATCTACCAAGCAAATGGGAAACAAAAAAGGCAGGGGTTGCAATCCTAGTCTCTGATAAAACAGACTTTAAACCAACAAAGATCAAAAGAGACAAAGAAGGCCATTACATAATGGTAAAGGGATCAATTCAACAAGAAGAACTAACTATCCAAAATGTACATGCACCCAATACATGAGCACCCAGATTCATAAAGCAAGTCCTGAGTGACCTACAAAAAGACTTAGACTCCCACACAATAATAATGGGAGACTTTAACACCCCACTGTCAACAATAGACAGATGAATGAGACAGAAAGTTAAAAAGGATACCCAGGAATTGAACTCAGCTCTGCACCAAGCAGACCTAATAGACATCTACAGAACTCTCCACCCCAAATCAACAGAATATACATTTTTTTCAGCACCACACCACACCTATTCCAAAATTGACCACATACTTGGAAATAAAGCTCTCCTCAGCAAATGTAAAAGATCAGAAATTATAACAAACTGTCTCTCAGACCACAGCGCAATCAAACTAAAACTCAGGATTAAGAAACTCACTCAAAACCACTCAACTACATGGAAACTGAACAACCTGCTCCTGAATGACTACTGGGTACATAACGAAATGAAGGCAGAAATAAAGATGTTCTTTGAAACCAACGACAACAAAGACACAACATACCAGAATCTCTGGGACACATTCAAAGCAGTGTGTAGAGGGAAATTTATAGCACTAAATGCCCACAAGAGAAAGCAGGAAAGATCCAAAATTGACACCCTAACATCACAATTAAAAGAACTAGAAAAGCAAGAGCAAACACATTTGAAAGCTAGCATAAGGCGAGAAATAACTAAGATCAGAGCAGAACTGAAGGAAATAGAGACACAAAAAACCCTTCAAAAAATTAATGAATCCAGGAGTTGGTTTTTTGAAAGGATCAACAAAATTGATAGACCACTAGCAAGACTAATAAAGAAGAAAAGAGAGAAGAATCAAACAGACGCAATAAAAAATGATAAAGGGGATATCACCACCGATCTCACAGAAATACAAACTACCATCAGAGAATACTACAAACACCTCTACGCAAATAAACTAGAAAATCTAGAAGAAATGGATAAATTCCTCGACACATACACCCTCCCAAGACTAAACCAGGAAGAAGTTGAATCTCTGAATAGACCAATAACAGGCTCTGAAATTGTGGCAATAATCAATAGCTTACCAACCAAAAAGAGTCCAGGACCAGACGGATTCACAGCCGAATTCTACCAGAGGTATAAGGAGGAACTCGTACCATTCCTTGTGAAACTATTCCAATCAATAGAAAAAGAGGGAATCCTCCCTAACTCATTTTATGAGGCCAGCATCATCCTGATACCAAAGCCAGGCAGAGACACAAACAAAAAAGAGAATTTTAGACCAATATCCTTGATGAACATTGATGCAAAAATCCTCAATAAAATACTGGCAAACCGAATCCAGCAGCACATCAAAAAGCTTATCCACCATGATCAAGTGGGCTTCATCCCTGGGATGCAAGGCTGGTTCAATATACGCAAATCAATAAATGTAATCCAGCATATAAACGGAACCAAAGACAAAAACCACAGGATTATCTCAATAGATGCAGAAAAGGCCTTTGACAAAATTCAACAACGCTTCATGCTAAAAACTCTCAATAAATTAGGTATTGATAGGACGTATCTCAAAATAATAAGAGCTATCTATGACAAACCCACAGCCAATATCATACTGAATGGGCAAAAACTGGAAGCATTCCCTTTGAAAACTGGCACAAGACAGGGATGCCCTCTCTCACCACTCCTGTTCAACACAGTGTTGGAAGTTCTGGCCAGGGCAATTAGGCAGGAGAAGGAAATAAAGGGTATTCAATTAGGAAAAGAGGAAGTCAAATTGTCCCTGTTTGCAGACGACATGATTGTATATCTAGAAAACCCCATCGTCTCAGCCCAAAATCTCCTTAAGCTGATAAGCAACTTCAGCAAAGTCTCAGGATACATTATCAATGTACAAAAATCACAAGCATTCTTATACACAAATAACAGACAAACAGAGAGCCAAATCATGAGTGAACTCCCATTCACAATTGCTTCAAAGAGAATAAAATACCTAGGAATCCCACTTACAAGGGATGTGAAGGACCTCTTCAAGGAGAACTACAAACCACTGCTCAATGAAATAAAAGAGGATACAAACAAATGGAAGAACATTCCATGCTCATGGGTAGGAAGAATCAATATTGTGAAAATTGCCATACTGCCCAAGGTAATTTATAGATTCAATGCCATCCCCATCAAGCTACCAATGACTTTCTTCACAGAATTGGAAAAACTACTTTAAAGTTCATATGGAACCAAAAAAGAGCCCTCATCACCAAGTCAATCCTAAGCCAAAAGAACAAAGCTGGAGGCATCACGTTACCTGACTTCAAACTTGTAGTATACTACAAGGCTACAGTAACCAAAACAGCATGGTACTGGTACCAAAACAGAGATATAGATCAATGGAACAGAACAGAGCCCTCAGAAATAAAGCCGCATATCTACAACTATCTGATCTTTGACAAACCTGAGAAAAACAAGCAATGGGGAAAGGATTCCGTATTTAATACATGGTGCTGGGAAAACTGGCTAGCCATATGTAGAAAGCTGAAACTGGATCTCTTCCTTACACCTTACACAAAAGTTAATTCAAGATGGATTAAAGACTTAAATGTTAGACCTAAAACCATAAAAACCCTAGAAGAAAACCTAGGCATTACCATTCAGGACATAGGCATGGGCAAGGACTTCATGTCTAAAACACCAAAAGCAATGGCAACAACAGCCAAAATTGACAAATGGGATCTAATTAAACTAAAGAGCTTCTGCACAGCAAAAGAAACTACCATCAGAGTGAACAGGAAACCTACAAAATGGGAGAAAATTTTCGCAACCTACTCATCTGACAAAGGGCTAATATCCAGAATCTACAATGAACTCAAACAAATTTACAAGAAAAAAACAAACAATCCCATCAAAAAGTGGGTGAAGGACATGAACAGACACTTCTCAAAAGAAGACATTTATGCAGCCAAAAAACACATGAAAAAATGCTCACCATCACTGGCCATCAGAGAAATGCAAATCAAAACCACAATGAGATACCATCTCACACCAGTTAGAATGCCAATCATCAAAAAGTCAGGAAACAACAGGTGCTGGAGAGGATGTGGAGAAATAGGAACACTTTTACACTGTTGGTGGGACTGTAAACTAGTTCAACCATTGTGGAAGTCAGTGTGGTGATTCCTCAGGGATCTAGAACTAGAAGCATGCCATTTGACCCAGCCATCCCATTACTGGGTATATACCCAAAGGACTATAAATCATGCTGCTATAAAGACACATGCACATGTATGTTTATTTCGGCACTATTCACAATAGCAAAGACTTGGAACCAACCCAAATGTCCAACAATGATAGACTGGATTAAGAAAATGTGGCACATATACACCATGGAATACTATGCAGCCATAAAAAAACAGTGAGTTCATGTCCTTTGTAGGGACATGGATGAAATTGGAAATCATCATTCTCAGTAAACTATCGCAAGAACAAAAAACCAAATACCGCATATTCTCACTCATAGATGGGAATTGAACAATGAGAACACATGGACACAGGAAGGGGAACATCACACTCTGGGGACTGTTGTGGGGTGGGGGGAGGGGGGAGGGATAGCTTTCGGAGATATACCTAATGCTAACTGACGAGTTAATGTGTGCAGCATACCAGCATGGCACATGTATACATATGTAACTAACCTGCACATTGTGCACATGTACCCTAAAACTTAAAGTACAATAATAATAATAAAAAAAGAAATTTTATATAAAAATAGAGAGGTACTACAAAAAGCACCAATTGGAAAATTAGAAATGGGAAGATTTTCGTATGCCAGCTAGGATTTTAGGCATCTAATTCAAATTGCCCTGGATATCTTTTCATTTCACATAGGAAAGAAATTTTTCAGAATAACACACTCTGATTTTTATTCTTCGACAACATTGAAAAGGTAGAGTTTTTTTTTTGGAAAAAAGGGCAGAGATCTGGATGTCAGAAATGTGGTCTTTCCCCCATGCTCATAATGAACTCAGTGGCCCTAGATAAGTCACTTCATTTTCCTTGTTTTGATTTTTCCTTCCATTCCTTTTCAGTTGTTACTGTCCTCTCCTACTTTATTGAGTGTAGATGGGAGACACCACTGTGATGGGGAAGGAGCATGGGCTTGGGAACCAATGGACTTGGGTTAAGAATTTCTCACCTTTCTTAATGAGGTTCTTGACAATCTCAAAACTGAACATTTTCATCTGTAGTCCTGTCATCATATAATGTAAATAATAGTACCTTTTCACAGTTTGCTCTGATGGGGAAAATAAAGCAGTGTATGTAAAAAAAGTTGCAAAGTATGAAGCATGGAAAATAGTAAATTGAAATTACTTCCCAGGAAGGCAGAGTGACGTGGGTATAGGTGTCTCTAAATGCTGACCTGAACCTGAAATAACCAATGGGTCGAAGGAAGGAAAATACGGCTAGAGCTAAGAATGGAATCTGCAGGATATGGCAATTGCATGTGGTGTGTGAGTGAGGAATCCAGGACAACTTCCATGCTTCTAGCTGGGGTGACTGGTCAGCAGTGGTGCTTTATACTGAGAAAGGAATATAAGAATAATAATAGATTTGAGGGAAATACAATTATTCCAATATTGTATCTGATTAGTTTGAGGGAATATGCATGCCATCAAGGTAGAGATATCTCATTAAATAGATATTACAGTTTAATCTCAGAAGTCAGTAATGGTCTAAAAAGGTACATTTTGGAGTCAATATTGTATAGGTTCATATGAAGCCATGGATATTCCTAGAAAGGTTGTGATGGAAAGAAGTGAAAACTGAAATGAAGACTTAGTGATAGGAAACATTATAGGATGAGTAGCAGAAGGTAACACAGAAAAAAAGACTAAGAAGGAGAGAATTGAGAGGATGCATGAGGGTAAAGAAGAGAATAAGAAGGCATGTCAGCCAAAAACGGGAGCAAGGAGATAGTTTTAGTGGGAAGACTTTAGTCAACAGTTGCTAAAGACCTTAAAGCCCTAAACATGAAACAGGGAGTACTGCTCTTTGGAGTTTGGAATATATTCTGTAGGCAAAGAAGAGGTCATGAGCGCTTTTAAGCAAAATTAAAACATAGCCACTTTTGTAGTTTAGAATAAGCCTTTCATGATCCTCAGGTTTATAAAACAGCTGGAAAAGGGTTAGAGACAGTCAAGGATATGTGGAGAGAAAGCAGTTCTGAAGAAGACTGGCATGAATTCCAAGCCTTTCTGTTCTAGCATTTTCAGGGACCAGTCCTTACAGAGCCATTCTGTAGAGCAAATAGAACCCTTTACCCTGACAGGGGAATGCCACATTTCCCATGGCAACCGAGTGTGGGTTCCAAGGCTAAGAAATGCAGAACACCTCCTATTATTTTGCTGGGTTCTAATTCTACAATCTACTTTCCTTATTGATTTTTCATGCAGACATCCAAATAAATGTAGGATGTTTGACTTCATGGGATCTGTTAGTCTGTTTGTATTAGCCTCATGGAAAAGCCCCAGCTGTATAATGAAAGAGGAGATGTTTCACTTGACATCTGCAATCTGAATCTTCCTTACAATGGTCATGGCAGAGTAATTCCTTACAGTGGTCACTGTAGAGTTATCACCCTCATTGTACCAATAGGTAACAGAATAAAAGGCCAATTGTTCAGTTCCCTCTGCCCTACTATTTATACTCCAAAGGTAAGAATCGCCTCTTTCTCTGGTATTCTTTTCGGTTGAATATGTTCCAAGTAGTCATTTGTTCACCTAATCTTCTACTTATTACCAGAGCTCTAGTATTGAAAAGAAGAAAAAGTAAGTTGGAAATTAAGAGCCCAACATGATAAATGCAATGCTTTCTAAGATTTTAAATTTGATCCAGTAAAGTGAAACTAGTCACTGGGAACAAACTCCTTCCATTTAAATAAGTTAGCGCTTTCCTCTGGGATTAATTTTCTGACACAAAGCAATTTTTGCAAACATTTGTGGCTGTAAACAGCTTGATAATATTTAGTATTCATAGCCATTAGATTACCAATATAAGGCAAATATTAAATGTAAAATATCAATATAAGGAAAGTATCTAAACACTAAAATGTTTTGTCTTTGGATCTCAATGAAAATCTTCCAAATGAAGCTTTTAATGAATTTCCCATTAATGAAAAATGACTACTTATTAGCAACTATATTGTATGCAAGTTACAACTTTGTGAGGATGCAAGTGAGAGGATTTGAAAGGGCATAAAGGTAACAATTTTTAAATCTATGATAGTTTTCTTACCCTTCACATGTCTTAAGATTTGCAAAGAATTAAAAAAAAAAAACTCACCTCTAGAGGCCAAAAGTTTTATCATAGTTTGTTAAGTTAATAGAAGATTCAGACATCCATTCTCCATATCTCGGCTTCCCAATCACCTAACTGGCCAATACCCATTTGTTACCACCTGGTATATGCAAGGAATTATGCCTGGTATGACAAAGGAAAAAATAAAGCCTAAAATAAAGACCATGATCTTCAAGCATATATAATCTAACTTGCGAGAAAGGACATTTATTTGGTCATTCCAGTTCATTCCCTCCCATGTCAGTTTGGCCTACAATCTTCCTTTCTGTAAATAGAGGTACCGCTCACTGAGTTCAGTTGAAAAATCTAGGCATTTTCAATGATTTATTTTCCATCATACTCCATACCCAATCCATTAACAAGTTGTTTTACTTCTACCACAGAAATACACCCTACCTCTTCAGTGCTACCACCTTAATGGAAACAATACGCTCTCTTAGTAGACTGTTAAAACAGCGTCCCAACTGATTTTTCTCCTGTCCTGCAGTTACTTCTCACTGACCAAGATTGTTTTCAAGCATAACATCAGGTCATAAGTTGCCCAACTCACAGAAAACCTCTCAAAGACTTTTCCATTGCAGTTAGAATAAAATACACAGTCCCTTTGAGGGATATCAAATCCTGTGGCCACTGTCTGTCTTTTGTTGCTCATTGCTCCCCACTCTGTCTATCACTCCCTAACCTAGCCATGCTGGCCTTCTTCCTGCCTCTCAGATATTTTCGCTAGTTCTCTCTAAGGGCATCTGCATTCATTGATTGCTTTACCCCAGGTTTTCTCCTGGACACCTCCTTTTCATTCAGATCCCTGAGATGCCTTCCCTGGTCTTCTAGCTAAAGGTGTTCCATTCCCATCCCAGGTATTATATAGCCTCCTACATTTCTCCATATCACTGATTACTCACGGAAATTATCTGTTTATTGGTTCAATTTTGTATTTGTTGACTTATTTTCCAATTGAGAGTATTGCTTCCATGAGTTGGAATCAGGTAAACTTACTGAGAATTCTTTAATGCCATGATTCCAGTCAAAAATCATTGTTTTCATATTACTACTGCATGCTGTGTACCTTGCAGAAGTAATGCTTTCTTAGACTCCACTTCCCCACTGCCTTGGTTCTTTGAAATACCTGAGGAAAATGTGTTGACTTCATTTAACAGGAAGCATCCAGTCAAACACCCTGCTGGAAATTATTATGTTACTCAACTTCATGTCACATTTTATACTAAATATACCATTGGTTTGTAATTGCTCCAAATCCTTTCTCCCACCTCCAAACTTTATCAAGGCATATCCTCATTCATCCTTATTTAGCCAATGTTTACTGAGCACCACATATGTGCCAGGAAACAACCAATGTATTCCAGAATTCACTTTACTCAGTCGTCTACCTCATATTTGCTAAATTATTCTCCTTGTTGCCTTCTTGTAACCACCCACATTCTGTTATAGGACATTTCTGTATCTACTGAAATTCAGCACTGTGCTAGGTAGTATAAGAGTTACAAATAGGAAGCAAGCCCAGTTCCTGTTACTAAGAATCTTACAGTTTATATAGAGAGATACATAAGTAAGTGATAGTGATCAATTAACCAAAAACAAAAAGGAAGAAAGAAGAAAAGAAAGAGAAGCAAAAATAGACTGAACACTATTAGAACAGAGGAGATTTCACCCTAGCCTAGAAGTTTACAGAGCCCCAAGGAAACAAAAAAGGAAACAAAAATTTTTTAAAGATTTTGTTTGCCCTAAAATTTTGAGAAAGTTTTCCCTCTGAATTAAATAAAGTTAAAATTGATACATAATGGTTGTACATATTTTTGGGTACAGGTGCTATTTTAACACCTATATACAATGTGCAATAATCACATCAGGGTAACTGGGATATCTATCGCCTCAACCATTTATATTTTCTTTGTGTCGAGAACATGACAAATCTTCTCTTCTACCTATTTTTAAATGTACAACAAATTATTGGTAGCTATAATTTCCTTACTGTACTATGGAATACAGAACTTGTTTCTTCCATCTAACTATACTTTTTTTACCTTTAAAAAACTTATTTTCCCCAGCCCCTTCTCTTCCCAGCCTCTGATAACTACATTCTACTCTCTGCCTTCATGAGATCCACCGTTTTAGCTCCCACTTATGAGTGAAAACATACAATACTTGCCTTTCTGTGCCTGGCTTATTTTATTTAAATAATTACCTACAGTTCCATCCATGTTGTTGCAAATGACACAATGGATTATCACTCAGCCATGAAAAACAATATGAAATTGATTTGCATTTTTAAAAATTTTCTTCTGGGCCTTGAAGTTTCTAAATACTTTAATAGGATCATTTTAGGAATAAGACAAGTTATAAATAATGCACATACATGTGTATCAGGAAACATCATATTACTAAGAACTACTGTCTTTTTTTTTTTTTTTTTTTTTTGGAGATGGAGTTCTGCTCTTGTTGCCCAGGTTGCCAGGCTGGAGTGCAATGGCAAGATCTCAGCTCACCGCAACCTCCGCCTCCAGGGTTCAAGTGATTCTCCTGCCTCAGCCTCCCGAGTAGCTGGGATTACAGGCATGTCCCACCACGTCTGGCTAATTTTTGTATTTTTAGTAGAGAGTGGGTTTCTCCACGTTGGTCAGGCTGGTCTTGAACTCCTGACCTCAGGTGATCCGCCCGCCTCGGCTTTCCAAAGTGCTGGGATTACAGGCGTGAGCCACCGCGTCCAGCCACTACTGTCTTTTTTAACACAGTAGTGGAAACATTCATTAGGTGAGCGAAACTTCATAACTACAGCCATTTCCAAACATCTTTTATTTTGGGAAAACCTCAGCCATTTTCTTCACACAGGGCCCTTTAAACATGATACTTGACAACTAGGCAAAACTCCAAAGGAAGCACTAAGATGATTTCAAGAGCCACAGTCCCTGCTATTGTTCTTTACCCAGCCTGCTGCTATTCATTCTTCAGGACTTATCTCATGCACACTCAGATTCAGGAAAAGAATTTGCAAGCTCTCAGCTTTGTTTCCACAGCACCCAGGCATGTCCTCATCAAGGCATTTCCCACATAGCAGTAAAGCACTATTTTAAAAATGTCTTTTTCCCCAGCTAGGCTGTGAACTCCCTGAAGGCTGCAACCATAACACATTAACCATTGTACCCCCAACCCCATGTCTAGCACAGTTCCCATCTATTGAACTGAACACTGTAATGCTAGTTATATCATTTCCATTGAGTTCCCAAGCAAAAATACTCACTTTTATCAAGACGAACCATTTGTACTTGCATTTAATGAAGTCAAATGAATATACCAGGGACTCTCTTATGTATACAGTACACTTGACAAGGGGTGGGGGAAATTAATATATACCCTCTATTATACCACAAATTCACTAAAAAGGACAATATAAATAATGGAAGAATCCATTTACTGCCACTTGAGAATACAGTGGTGAAACTTAATTTTGGAATAAAATATGAAAACGACAATAAATAGATTCTGCTCTGCTCCAATAAACTTATATCTTATTGAAGGTATCTAGTTGAAATAGCAGCCATAAAAGTTACAGAGGTAGACGATTTAAGCAATTAGCCATGGCAGGACATTATAGGGTTTACTGCTGTCCGTAGCTGGTCTGCTTAAACAAGGCTGAAAGCCATCAACGCAGCTGAGCATGAAATTACAGAATCTTAATCTGCCCACATAAAGATGCTCACTGTTATTACAGTCAAATGTCATATTTAAGTTAATTTTGTGAAAGATGGACCAGCCATATTTTCTTTTGTGAAACAAAACAAAAGGAAGAAAATAGCTTGACCCCGTAAACAGGCACAAGTCTGACTACATTCTCTTACGACTGAGTTTTTTATTAATTAATGAATATTAAAAATACAGAGGTTAATCAAGAAAATGCAATTTTATAGAGAAAATAGTTTAGTGGTTGTCTGGGGCTGGGGTGGGAAAGGAGATTAATTGTAAGTGGGCATGAGGGATTTACTGGGGGCATGAAAGTGGTTTATCACTGATTTATGGTGATGGATGTAACACTGGGTAAAGTTACTAAGCATTATTGAATTATACACTAGAAATGGGTGAAGTTTATTGTATGTAAATATATGATGTGAAATTATGTATAATAAATCAGTCTAGGGCAAAATATAAAGCTTGAAACTACAGTACAAGATTTTTTAAAAATCATGTGTCATTAAGCAGTGTTGTATTTTTTAAGCTCTAAATTTCTAGGTTGTTTATAAAAGTTTTCATCTGATTCCATACTAGCAGAAAGCATCACTTTTAATAGATGCTGGTCACCTGATAATAACACTCATGTTATTCAATAACATGAATTATTCAATAATACTGATAATAACATTCATGTTTAGTCACGCTTTCCTCTCCAGCTTTGAAACCAGAGAAGCAGAGAGCCACTGCTAGCCAGCAGAGCTAAGTTCAATGTGGTGGATACATCCAACAGTGTGGATGTGATTTTACTGTTAATTGGCTTTGGTTAGTTACTCCTATTTGGGCCATAGCTGAATTACAACTCTTGGATTTGAATCTTTGTGGCATAAAAATATTAAGAAAGAAGCAATGAGGAAACAAACAAAACAGAAAAGCATTGATTCAAAGGGAAGAACACAAACTACCCTTAAGGGGATACTTTGTTTTCCAATGCCTTTAACCACTAATTTGAACCTAAACTGATACTGAAAGAAAACTACCAGGACCCAAATTGTGTATTCTATAAAAACTCTGATATTTTAAATGTTAAATTACTTGAAACATAAATTTCTTTGAATCTCTGCTCTCTAAATAACCCTCTAAAATTTACTTGAATACTAAAATACTATTTGTTACTATACAGGGCAGCTTGATAAAGTGGAGGCTGAATTATTCATTAAATCAATCACCCATTGATTTATTCCACAAATATTTACTGAATGTTCTATGTACAAGTACTCTCTAGGACCCAAAGATAAAGGAGTGAATAAAATGAAAAACAAGACAAACAAACAAACCCTGTCCTCATTCAGCTTGCCTTGTCATGGTGGGAACTGATAGAAATGAAAACTAAAATAATAATGAGAATACATACTACTTATTTAGAAATTACTATGTTGAATGTGTTTTGTTAATTGCTTTATACACATTATCTTATTTAATCCTCCTGATGGTTGTATCATCCCCATTTTGCGATGAAGAAACTGAGGCTTGGAAAGGTAAAATACTTTGTCTCCTCTAGTCACAAAAACTAGTAAGAGATAGGATTGCCCCTTAGTCTGTTAAAGTCCAAAGGCTGTGCTTTTACCTACTGTAAATGTTGCCTATACAAAGGGCCTTGGGAACTTTGGGGAATTGACTGACTGCCCTCAAAATTTGCAGATAAAAGTATCCTTTAGGAACTATAATAAATAATAGAGATCTATGTGTAAATGTGAGAATTTTTGAATCATAAATTATAAACTAAACATAAATATATATTTATAAACATTTGCAGAGATACATCTAAATGCACACATATGTATGTGTATACCTATATATTGGATATGTAAATATAAAAATGACTTTATTACATTCAGGTAAATATAAGTTTCCATTACCTCAAGAAAACTATAATGACTGATTTTCTCATGCTAGGGAGCTTTAGTTAATACTTTGTGTCTAAAATTGTAAATTATAAATTTGTTTTTGTATAGACTCAGAAGATAGAAAAGTCATAACGACATTTTCTTCATTTACTAATAAGGCTATTGATAATGGAGACTTTTTCTTTTAAATACTTTCATTAGTCTATGCTAGTATTGATCAAATACATTAAAGGACTGTTTTTTATTCTTTTTTCATTTTTCTATTATTACTTTCTATGAGATATTATTTAAAAAATAAATCTCATTGGCAAGAGTATTTTTTCCAATAATCAACTTAACATTTATCTGATACAATTGCTCCAACTACCTCTATCCTTCTCCAATTACTCCTACATAGTTGTAACACAAGGTATCCTCTTCTATTTTAGCTAAATAAATCTTGTCTTTCTCAGATGTTAACATCTTTCAAATATTTATAGACTAATAACAAGGTCCTATTAATTTTACTATTTCATCAAACTGCACTTATCTACTTATTTTCATATCCCTGTATAATTCAGAAAAAATATGACTATAGCATAATATGGATAATATTGTCCACATTTTATTTTAACAACCCTACCAAGTATCATAAATATATGAGAGATTATTTCTGTTCTGATAGGTGAGGATTAAACAGCACAGCTCCCATTACCAGGTGTCAGATGGCTGAATTTATACTGTCTGTGGAGTACTTTTTGCATACAGTGAATGAGGATATTTTCAAGTTAAATCTTTGGATAAATAAATGTCAAAGGTAATCATCTTTGAATACATGACTTACTCTTGTTGCTAAATCTGTTCTGGGGAAATTAGCCTATCAAGGGCATATCCATTAATTCCTGAGATTTTTCTCCGAAACTTTGTAGTCTTAGGTAGAGTCACCAGTCTCACTTCTTGAAAAGAGACTTTTCAGTACTGCACTTGGATCTCTGTCTCCAAACACCATCCTGTCTTCTTGATCTCACAGGCCAAAAAGCTCAGTCATGTAGGATTTATCCCTCTCCTGCATTTCTGGAGGTGTGAAGTGATGTTGGTTCTACTTTTAGAACATTTTCACATTGGTCTCTGATATGGATTAGCTCTGTGTCCCCACCCAATTCTCACCTTGTGGCTCCCATAATTCCCATATGTTGTGGGAGGGACCTGGTGGGAGATAAATGAATCATGGGGGCAGGTCTTTCCCATGCCTTTCTCATGACAGTGAATAAGTCTCATGAGATCTGATGGTATCAAAAATGGGAGTTTCCCTGCACAAGCTCTCTCTTCTCTTGTCTGCTGCCATGTGAGACGTGCCTTTCACCTTCTGCCATGATTGTGAGGTCTCCAGCCACGTGGAAATGTAAGTCCAATAAGCCTCTTTCTTTTGTAGATTTCTTAGTCTCTTGTATGTCTTTATCAGCAGCATGAAAATGAACTAATACAGCAAATTGGTAAGATTAGAGTGCATTGCTGAAAAGATACCCAAAAATGTGGAAGCAACTTTGGAACTTGGTAATAGGCAGAGGCTGGAACAGTTCGGAGGGCTCAGAAGAAGATAGGGAAATGTGGGAAAGTTTGGAACTCCCTAGAGACTGGTTGAATGGCTTTGACAAAAATGCTGATAGTGATATGGACAAGAAAGTCCAGGCTGAGGTGGTCTCAGATGGAAATGAGAAACTTGTTGGGAAATGGAGCAAAGGTGACTCTTGGTATGTTTTAGCAAAGAAACAGGAAGCATTTTCCCCCTGCCCAAGAGATTTGTGGAACTTTGAACTTGAGAGAGATGATTTAGGGTATCTGGCAGAGGAAATTTCTAAGCAGCAAAGCATTCAACAGGTGACTTGGGTGCTGTTAAAGATACTCAGTTTTATAAGGGAAGCAGAGCATAAAAGTTTGGAAAATTTGCAGCTGATAATGGGATAGAAAATAAAATCCCATTTTCTCAGAAGAAATTCAAGCCAGCTGCAGAAATGTGCATAAGTAATGAGGAGCTGAATGTTAATCCCTAAGAAAATGGGGGAAATGTCTCTAGGGCATGTCAGAGGTCTTGATGGCAGCCCCTCCCATCACAGAGCCAGAGGCCAAAGAGAAAAAAGTGGTTTTGTGGGCTGGTCCCAGGGTACCTCTGGTGTATGCAGCCTAGGGACTTGGTGCCTTGTGTCCCAGCCACTCTAGCCATGGCTAAAAGAGGCCAACATAGAGCTTGGGCTGTGGCTTCTGAGGGTGCAAGCCCCAAGCCTTGGCAGCTTCCATGTTGTACTGAGCCTGTGAGTGCACAGAGGTCAAGAATTGAGGATTTGGAACCTCCACCTAGATTTCAGAGGATATATGGAAATACCTGGATGCCCAGGCAGAAGTTTGCTGTAGAGGTGGGGGCCTCATGGAGAACCTCTGTTAGGGTAGTGTGGAAGGGAAGTGTGGGGTAGGAGCTCCCACCTTGGGGCACTACCTAGTGGAGCTGCAGGAAGAGAACCACTGTCCTCTAGACCCCAGAATGGTAGATCCACTGACAGCTTGCACTGTGTGCCTGGAAAAATGGCAGACACTCAAGCCAGCCCATGAAGACAGCTGGGAAGGAGGCTGTACCCTGCAAAGCTATAGGGCCAGAGCTTCTCAAGACCATAGGAACCCACCTCTTGCATCAGCATGACCTGGATGTGAGACATGGAGTCAAAGGAGATCATTTTGGAGCTCTACAATTTGACTGCCTCACTGGATTTCAGACTTGCATAGAGCCTATAGCCCCTTTGTTTTGGCCAATGTCTCTCATTTGGAATGGCTGTATTTACCCAATGCCTGTAGCCCCATTGTATCTATGAAGTAATTAACTTGCTTTTGATTTTACAGGCTCATAGGCGGAAGGGACTTGCCTTGTCTTAGATGAGACTTTAGACTGTGGACTTTTGAGTTAATACTGAAATGAGTTAAGAATTTGGGGGTTGTTGGGAAGGCATGATTGGTTTTGAGATGTGAAGACATGAGATTTGGGAGGGGGTAGGGGCAGAATGATATGGTTTGACTCCGTGTCCCCAGACAAATCTCATTTTGTATCTCCCAGAATTCCCACATGTTGTGGGAGGGTCCCAGTGGAAGAGAATTGAATCATGGGGGTGGGTCTTTCCTGTGCTGTTCTTGTGATAGTGGAGAAGTCTCACGAGATCCGATGGTTTTAAAAACTAAGTTTCCTTGTACAAGCTCTCTCTTCTCTTGTCTGGCACTATGTAAGATGTGCCTTTCACCTTCTGCCATGATTGTGAGGTTTTCCCAGCCATGTGGAACTGTAAGTCCAATAAACCTATTTCTTTTGTAAATTGCCCAGTCTTGGGTATGTCTCTTTTTCACCAGTGTGAAAATGACTAATACAGTTTCCATCTGACGGTACTAATACAGTTTCCATCTGCTGTTGTCATAGTGTAGCAAAGACAAAGTCAGAAGACCTGGATTTGATCCAGGATCCACCACTGAATAGCTTGGTTACCTTGGTAAGTCCACTTAACTAAGCCTTAATTTCCTCATCCACAACATGAGAAAAATAAGTCTTCATGATTTTTTTTTGTGTGACATCAAACACAATGTATGTAGTATATATTATGGAAGATATAGTAGGTACTCAATTAATCACTAAATATTATTACTATTATTACTTTCACCATTATTAACTACTTTTCCACTATTCAAGGTATTTTTTTTTCTTGAATTCATCCTTTAAAATTTTATCAAAGTAATCGTGCTAAACACTAATTCACAAATGTAATTCGAAAGCCTTTCATGATCCACCATTTAGCCTTATGTCCCTCTGCATATTCTATAATGTATTCACTCTGGGCTACTCAGCCTTTCTCAAACATCTCATGTTCTTTCATGCCACTAGGCATTTATATATGGCTCCCCTTGTTCTGGAATATCCCTCCCCTATCTCCTATTTCTTGCTGTACTTGATTCTGTAGTACCCACCACAGATTACTAGCCTTCATTGGAAAATAAAAGTTTAGAGGGTTCATTTGAATCAAGATTGAATGAATCAAGATTGTTATATGGATATAAAAACTGCTACATTAACAAAAGTAGCATCAAGAACAAGGGAGGGAATATTTACACTCTTACTCACCAATCAGCCTGCACAAGGGGTACTATTTTGGATTCAGAAACAATTACTCTTCAATCTGAAGATCAGAATGATAAGTGATTTTAAATCATGCCAAATGAAAAGCAACAGAAGGCACTGGAAATGTTTAATCTAGAAAAGGGAAAGCTCTAAGCAAATTGTAAACATGTGCAACCTCCTCATCTGAAATGGGCAGTGGACTTCCACTGTGTGGTCCCAGAAGGTAGCACTAAAACTAATAGGTATTAGGAAGACAGAAATGCATCCCAAGGGAACCCTTCCTAATCCCCAGGAATATAGGAAGGCAGATTGGACAATATGAAGAGATTCAGTTTCCTGCCCCTGAGGATAAAAAAGCAGGGTATGGGGAACTGGAAATGATGCTGAAGAGTCTTAAACCTCTAAATGGATAGTGGGCAAGATGAGTTGTTATGTTCCTGAGATGTGGTGACTCAAATGCTCAGCTTCCTTGAGATTTTTCTTACGTTCTCAGTCAGGATAATTCACACACATTTATTTTTTTCCATTGCCATTGTTCTATGATCATAGCACCGTCCATACAACAAATCATATCTCCATTTTACCCAATTTTATGGGTAGGTATTTCTGGATGAGAAATGTGTTATCGGGCAACCACAGCCTCTTTAATACAGAAGATGCTCAATAACAGGTATTGATTTAATTTTATAAATATGGACAATTCATTTATCTTTTCAATGAGTTTCCTTAGCAGTAAATATGAGCTTTAAATTTGATGATCTAGTATTCTAACTAATGCTATATAGTAAACTCCCTAATAATTAGACATATAAAGATTACTCTCTACTAGGTAACAAATATGAGTACTAATCTAAAAATTAATTTTTGAAATAAGTAGGAAAAAACCTATCAGACCCATTTTATATCAAGAATATTTGAAGGTAGATATGTACAGAGCTTCATCTGATAGAGTATTCTGTTACTCCTGACCTTCTCTCTGGGTAGAATTTCATAGAATGAAGTTCTTATGGTTTTATAAATAGTATTAATTGATTCTCAGTCTCAGAAAATGTTTCTGGTAGAAGTAGAATTGTTGTATGTTTATCCTGAGCACTTTATTGAAATTTATTGTAAACCTTTGCAATCAGGCTAAAAATATTCCTTTATTAACACCATCCCTTATTGGAAACTGGGGGCTTAGGCAAATTGGCAGCATCAAGCAATTCTTCCTAGGCCATTTGTACTGTTATTTCCACAATGAGTGTAGTTGCTTTATATTTTCAACCAATTCACATCTTAAAATAAGTGTTCATTGGTGATTTCCAGAAATTAGAAGCAAACTAAACCTCCTGTCATTCAAGAATAGCTACATAAATTATTGTGGATTATATTATTGATATGCAGTAGTCCCTTCTTATCTTCAGTGGAAATGTGCCAAGATTGGATGCCTGAAACTGCAGGTGGTAATGGACCCTACAAATACTGTGTTTTTTCCTATGCATACATATCTATGATAAAACTTGATTTATAAATTAGACACAGTAAGATATTAACAACAATAACTAATAATAAAATATAACAATGATTACAATATGCCCACATCACTACTCTTGTGCTTTGGGGGCATTATTAAGTAAAATAAGGGTTATTTGATCACAAGCACTGCAATACTGCAACAGTTGATCTGGTCACTGAGATGGCTCCTATGTGACTAAAGGGTGGGTAGTGTATACAGCATGGATACCTGGACTAAGGGATTATTCGGGTCCTGGGCAGGATAGTGAGAGATTTTATCATGCTTCACAAAATGGCACATAATTTAAAACATATAAATTGTTTATTTCTGAAATTTTCCATTTAATATTTTTAGACCATGATTGATATGCAAAATCATGGACAAATTGAGGACCACTGTGCTGTATAATTATAAAAATTAGTGTTATAAGCACAATGTGACAATTTGAAAAAAAAAGTTTATGATGTAAAAGAATGAAGTAAAAGATGTAAAATTTTACAAATACTTATAAATTTAACAGCTTAAATAATGATCTTATAAAACATCAGATCTGATTATATAATTCTTGGGAGACATTTATGAGCCTCTTGCATTTCTGCACATGTTGCTAGCAGAAGCACTGACTGTCTTTGTTCTGGGCTATGTTTTCAAAGATATTTGTATAGTATACAGCCTTGAAAGATAGACACAGTATCTCTGGAACTAGTTCTTTTGTTTACTTTTTTTTTTTAACCATCCATCATAATAACAATAATGCATTTCTCCATAGTAAAGACCAGGCAGGATTACTGTTCCTAATAAAAGATTCAAGTTCCCTACACTTGGGGTTCTTTTCCTATAACACAACCACTTGCATGTGCAGGCATCACCTGGCCTTCTTTGTGTTGCACTGTGGGAACTGGAGCTCAGGGAACTGCTGAAAATGCTTTTATTCTGGCTACAGCTATTATTATAAGTAATAAAGTCTCTGATTCAGGAGTGAAGAATCTTCTGTCCGTATCCAGTACAGTGTAGGAGGCTTACTTATTAGACTGAAAATGAAGTAAAAAATCTGAGGTCCTTCATTGTTCTTGACATTCATTCCCTTGCTTAAACCAGCTTAATCTACTTTCAGTATCATCCCATGCATTTAGGATAAAATTGCTAGTAATAATAATAATACCCTAAAACAACAATAATAATGGCTAATATTTAATGAGTGGCAAACATTGTACTAAGCATATTACATGTCATATAATCCTCACATTGATCCTATTGGGTAGATGTGATTGATATCACCACTTAGTAGGTGAGGAAACTGAGGCAGGGGCTCAGTGGTTTGGAAGAAATAAGGGTCATGATACATATTAGTCCAACTGTTAAGCAGTTTCTCTCACTTTTGATCTGATTCTTACCCATCCTCTGGGGCTCCATTAAATGGAACTTCCTTACAAAAACCTTCCTTTGACCTTCCCTCTAGTCTTATTTCCTCAAGGAACTCTGGTCTTTTCCTTTGCAGCACTTATCACAATTTATGTTAATTGTATGACTAACTGAGGAATCCTGTGATGGCTTATATATGGTATGTCTTCCATCTTACAGAGACCCACAGCAAAGGGATGAGGTCTACTTTGTTCTCCAAAGCTTTTAGCAAAACAGATGATAAGAAGTGTAGTGAATAAGCAGACATGTTTAACATGGTCATTCTTGCTTACATATATGTTTTATGGACCACTTATTGAGAATCAACTAAGTTGAAACATTTTGCCTAATTTATTGTTAAGCACTTCTACTCACTAAATTCCCTAAATGCCCCAATGAACTTTCATTATCATCTTTTGATGGGTTGTTGCTTTTTACATCTTAATGGTCTAATTCACCTTTGACGTAAGCCATTTGTACATTATCAACATACTGTTATGCAGCTGTGTGATAGGGTGGGCCAAATAAATTTTAATATGCAAATTTCCCCTTTAAAGAAGCAATTTTAGTAAAATTATATTGTTTTGCACTATAAAAGCTCACAAAATAAAAGTTGGAAATAGTTTTGTGAATAGCTGTGTTTTGTTAGAAGTAAATTCAAGTTTCCAGCTTGCTAATTGGAAGATTGCTATATCAGATGTCTGTCTGTCTGTCTCTCTCTCTCTCTCTCTCTCTCTCTCTATATATATATATATATATATATACATATATAGTTTTGCACTATAAAAGCTCACAAAATAAAAGTTATAAATAGTTTTGTGAATAGTTCTGTTTTGTTAGGAGTAAATTCCAGTTTCCAGCTTGCTAACTGGAAGATTGCTATAGTAGATGTCTCTCTCTCTCTCTCTCTCTCTCTCACACACACACACACACACACACACACACACACACACACACACACACACACACACACACACACCTCGGCCTCCCAAAGTGCTGGGATTACCAGCACCAGCCACCACACCTGGCCAAGATTTCAATAATTAATAAAGACATACATACATAGTTCGGGAGATAGGGGAGCACGGAAGTATAATAGGACTATTTACAATATGGTAGAGGAGGTAAGCCTCATAAGAAAGTTGATCACTCATTCATTCATCCATCTATTCCAAAATATTATTAGCATCTACTTTTGGAGAGAGTAGTGTGATGTGGGTAGAACACAAAGGATACCAACAATATCATCCATGTATCAAGTGCTTACTGTGTAGGCAATGCAAAGCACTTTATATGTGCCACTTAATTCTCCAGATAACCTTCGAGGTAAACATTATTTCCCCACTTTACACATGAATCTCATCGAGGTTAAGAAACTTCACCAAGGTAATTGGGTCAATGAGCAAAGGTACTGGAAACCAACGAAGAAAACAAAAACCAACCAACCTAACAAAAAAAGCCTAAAAATATCCCCTGTCAGTATGGCTCCGAAAGTTAACCACTTAATAACCACATTATCAGGGCTTACTCCTTCTGCAAGGGACTTTCAAGTTTATCGGTAACATAAAATAAGCACAGAAATTACCGTATATACCTAATATAAGATAAAAGTACTATAACAGAGGTACCAGAAAAATACTATGAAATTGCTAAGAAGGAAGAGCCAGTTTCTTCCAAGGTCTGCAGAGGAAGAATCAGAAAAAGATCCATGTAGGAGATGGCATTTGAAGATCTCGCACTGAAGTTGTCAATGTGAAGACTGTTTTAAACAGTGAACACTTAATATGGGAGAAACAGCTTGAGAAAGAAGAAATGAGAGAACATTTAATGTGGGAGAAACATCTTGAGAAAGAAGGCATGAAAGAAACTAGAAGGATCACATTGCAGAAGAATTAGAATATAGTTAATCACCAAACACTTACTATATCCCAAACATTGGGGAATAAAATAGGAATAAAACAGCACAGTGAGGAATATGGGCAGGTAAACAAATTACTATTTAGTATGATAGCAGAAGTATATAGAAAATACAAAAATAATAGAGAATAGAATTGAGAATACAAGATCATGTGACCTTCCTTTGGTTCACACTGAGTAAATTAGGATGATAGCATCCCTGGAGTGAACGAGAGTTATTTTCAAATATCCAGATACCCTCTCTAAGCTTCACTATTTTTGCTTTTTAATTCTGAAAAAGAGGACAATAACAGCATAATAGGATGGGAAGGATAATGACTTACTTGATAGGATGCTTGTGAGATCAAATGAGCTCATGTATGTAACAGGTTTATCCCAGTGCTGGCCCATCAACATGCTCAATAATGGTCAGTTATTATTATTAATATTATAATTATTAATTCTTTCTGACACTACTGGTAAAGGAAGAAAAATCACACTCAGGAAATGTGGCAAGAAGTTTATAAGCAAGCCTGAGTTCCTTCCTGCCCTGGAATTTAAGGCCCTCCATTTTATATACAGTTCTAGTTTATGGTTTTGGCCTTGTCTGCTGCTGCTTTGCACACACCTTCAAGCTCATCTAGACAACTGCCACCAGCACCTCCACTCTCCGTTCCCAAGGCACCCTTGCCTAAGTTCAACTGACCATCCCTCCTCAGCTTCCCAAGTAGCTTGCCTCCATTATGGCAACTGTCATGTTATATTATAATCATCATTTTATAAGCAAGTTTATTGGTTTCTAAAGTGCAATTCAAGTACCTGCAACATTGGCATCTCCTGAGAGCTCATTGGAAATGTTGCTTCTTATGCACAGTAAAGTGTTAGAAGTTTGGTCTAGAGTATGTATCCCCTGAGATCAGAAAACATTTTTTTCATCTAAGTATCCGTATACTTATTGCCATCTGGCAAAGAATAAGCTTTTAATGAATGGTCACTACATGTATGAATAAGTGAATGAGTTCATAGATGCCTTCTCATCTCTATTCCTTTATTCAAGTTATTTCACCTTCTTTTTTTTTTCAGCCTCGGATACCAACCTTTGTCTTCCCACTATGTTAACCTTCCTCTGAACACTTGAGATCTTTCTCTTCTCAGCACCTCCTGAAGCACCCTGTATTGATTATGACTGTCTTTTTTTCTCTCTCTCTCTCCATACGCACATGAGCATATATGCATGCACACACACGAGCATATGCACGCATGTACATACACATACACACCTACAAAAACAGAGCATATTTTTCATCTGCCTCACACCCACGATTAGCATTTGTCCTAGAGATCAAATATAGTGTCCTTTTTTATCTTCCCACAATTGTCTAACTGAGCCATTCCTAGCAGAGTAAACACTATTTGCTTAGTAAGTATTTGTTGAATTAAAGATTATTGCACATGACTGTTAGAGTAGGCCACTGGCCAAAGGAAGGGACTCAATATGCAGCATTTTTTTTTTTAAGGGACAGGGTCTTACTGTCACCGAGGTTGTAGCAGAGTGGTGCAATCACAGCTCACTGTAACCTCGAACTCCTAGGCTCAAGTGATTCTCCCACCTTGGCCTCCCCAGTAGCTAGGACTATAGGCCTGTGCCAGCATGCCTGCCTATTTAAAACATTTTTTCATAGAGATGAGGTCTTGCTATGTGCCCAGGCTATTCTTGAACTCCTAGCTCAAGCAATTTTCCTGTCTCAGCCTCCCAGAGTGTGGGATCACAGGCATGAGCTATCATGACCACCCTCATATGCAGCTTTTTAGCCTCTGCAGACTCTGCATCCTTGCCTCACTGAGTATCATCTTGAAGGAATGAAAGGAAATACAAGGTTTTATGCCATATGCTATTCAAGAGATTTCAGTTTAGGTGCTGGAATGACAATTGGCGTGAAAGCAGTAAGACCCTTGTTCTAGTAGGGCATTTATTACTAAGTTGCTACACAACCTTGGGCAGGCCATTTTCCCTTTTGTGGGACTGTTTTCCCATCTGTACATTATACACTGAGCACTGAAACAAATAATGTCTGAGACTCCTTTCAGTGCTAACGCTCTTTGATTCCATCCAGCTGCAAGGTTTTTGCAAATAGTAATTAATCAGAGAAATGAGTATAATAATTCGTGGCAGTAAACTGAGTATCATTCCATGCTAGACTGGTAGCACTGCAACTGACAATGGAAGCCACTGTCAAAGACCTCACTTACATCCACTCTGGTGAATAGCAAGAAAGCAGAGTAAGTTTGGGAAAAGCCGTAAGGTCATATAATGTGGCAGTAAAAAGTAAGAAGGCAGAGAAACTACGGATTGTTATAAAATAAATAAATGTTTAACTTTTCAAAATTACTGATGTCCATTTCAAATTTTAAATTTATGATGAAACGAAATGGGGAGAAATTAAATATCTGAAAAAAGAGAGACTTATGCTGGACCCAAGGGTCATTAATTGTTATGCTTCATCAAATGATTACTGGTTGAGGGAAAAGGACTTTGATCCCTGGAGACAGTATTGCTCAAGGGTTTGAATATATCACAGGCTTATCTTCTGTTCCAATCTTCCTCTGAGACATTTGATACAGGTCAATACAAAGAAAGCTTGGGAAGACTCTTCCTCTACTCCAGGGAAGCAGCCTCAATGTCTCCATGTCCTGTTCCTGCCCTAGAAAGTGATCCACTGGAGATTCTAATTAAATTTGCTATCTGAAGATGTGGGAGATGTGTCTAATTATGCTAGGCTCTAAAAACAGGATGGAGAATTTTATCTGAGTCTTTTGTTAGTCATTAAATTAAATGAACAGTTCAGTAATAAACCCAGCAGAGTAAATCAACCAAGTGAAGTGGAGTGTAGACTACATTGAAAAGTTGGACTGAAAAGGTGTCAAACCTGTAGGAGAACTGCAGCTGCTGAGCTCTGTAATAGAGTATTTGAGAAGTTAATGTGCATTGCAAAAGTGTGGATACACTATGCTGTGACACAAGAAGTGTGGTTTTAAGGGAGAAGAGTTTTAGAGTCATCAAATTGACATAAAATGACCTCAAAGCTGACAACTTTTGGAACTAAGAAAATATTCGATTAATGGTCAGTCAGTGTTTTCATTAAAGTTTAACTTTTCTTCTACTAAAGAAGTCAAGGTCCTGTGAAACATGAACATCAAATGAACGGTCCTGGAAGCACCGTGGAGAACTTGTTTTCTTTGTTATTTCAATTTAATGTCCTGTAGCATGGTAGAATGACTGCATTTAACAATAATACATAGTTTCAAATAGCTAGAAGGAAAATATTAAATGTTCCCAACACAAAGATATTATAAATGTTTGAGATGATGGATATGCTAACCTGATCACCACACATTACATGTATCGAAACATCACTGCACTCCAAGAATATGTACAATTATTAATACTTTAAAAACTTAAAAGATTATTCAAGGAAAAAGTACAGCTATTTTAACTTAGAGAAAAATGTGGTTTTCATACAGGTACTTTGAGAAGACATTTCAGTTGCTCTTCATGCCCCGACAGCTATCATTGTCGTGATGATTATTAAAGATGACACACTGAACATTTGAGAACCCACTATGTGTATGGCACTATTCTACTTTTATGGGGATACCAACAAATTGATATCAAGGGCCTCTATATTCAAGAGGTTTACATTAATATAGTTAATGAGACAAGACCACAGAAATGAATGATTTGCCGATTACACAAAGTAATCTTTAATTGAGCAATAATAGTTTGGCCTAAAGTAGGCAAAACATGATATGACTCCAAAGAAGATAGGCACTCACAAAGGTAGAAGTGCTCAAGAAAAAAAGTGATGTAAATAATAAATACTTGAGCTAGATTTTCTTATACTGATACAGTTATGAAAACCAAAGAAAGATGGGAAAGTAGCTCAGTGTAGAGGAATAGCAAGGGCAGAGGCAGAGAGAGGAAGGAACAGGGGAATGAAGCTGACAATAGACAGAACTGCCTGAATTGAGAAGTCAAATAATGACAATCTAAGGCAAAGGTGTAGGTTTGGGTATAACAAAATATAATTATCATTCTATATTGCTTTTACCGTAGTTATTTTTTCCTTCAGGGTACAGTTTCATATTAGCAAAACTAACAGGCTAAACTTATAATTTTCTACTCCTCATGTAACTTGTCTTAGATTGAGTGTTTCTATGAACTAAGGTTTTTTTTTCTTTCATTATTTTTTAATGTGTGGGATTTTTCCTTTGCAGTTCAGATCAGCTCCTCTGTATACACAGTGTTAATGACTGACATTTAAGAATGCTGGTTTTACAGCAAAATTGTCCATCTCATGTGTTACTGCTAGCTTCTGTTGCCTCTGTAATTCTCAACTCCATTTCAATGTTAGCCTCATAACATTTAATAATATGGAGTTATTAAATCACTTTATTTTTCTATTTAGCAGGATCAGAGCTACAAAAAGTGTTCTCTAATAAGGCTAGCGTTGTATAATGAATCAGCGAAAATAGTGAGGGATTAATTTAGAGGAAAAAAACCTTAGGAAATAAAATGACATTCTTTATGCCTGTTACTAAAAGAAAAGCAAAAGGTTTTTTTTTGTTTTCTTTTTTTTGACAGTGCAATTACAAAATGTGTTTCCTTATTTTGGTGTTTTGAAAGCTGTACAGATAACTTGTTAATTCCTACCCCAAAGGTTATAATATAAGCAGTTTAGAGCAATGGAAAAAAAAGAATTATTGAAACAGCAACAAATAAAACACAAGAGCAAAAATGGCAATCATATTTTGCACTTATATACTCTCACTTGCTGAGGGGCTATCAGCATACAAGGGCTGTCATATAATGCAGCTATATAGAAAAAAAGAAAACAAAGAAAAAAATAAAAATGTCATCAAAATTATATAAAATTTTTGTCAAATGGAGACATATGTCAAATGGAGACATATGTGATGTCAGGGACATCACAAAAACCAAAAAGTAACATTATTGATGACGACTTGTATATATAGTAATCATCCAACTTATGACTGGGTTGTTATCTTTAAGATGTCTTGTTTGGGTCCCCAATGTGTCTGGACTACAGGCTGCAAAACCTAGATCCAAGGGCTTTTGAAAATAGTGTCCACAGCCAAAACTAATCAGATGTTCAAACACAGTGTCTACCAAATGTTGTGCATGAGTGTACAAAAAATGGCACCGTGAAAAGAGTGCTAGCTGATTTCAAGAGGGTGACTGGGGGACTGCATCAAGAACACACAGTGGCAGGAACGATTTTAATGAAAAATCCTGAAGACAAATCCACGTTTTAGTTTTTTAAATGAAGCGCGTTAACATAATATCTACTATCTATCATCACCATAATTTCATAAAATAAAATATTTTTAACACCAAAATTAAAGGGAGATTCCAATCTCAGGAAGGATTCCTCCCAAGGAAGGACAATGGGCAACCCGATACTGATATTTGTATGTGTACATTGCAAAGTTCTTCTTTTCTTTCTTTTTGCCCCAGGCCAGCAGAAATTTGGCCATGAATCAGCTCAACTCTATGGACTCGAATTTGGGAAAACACTGAGAGAACATCCATGAGTGCTGGAATTACACAGATAGAATATTTTATAGTATGCCCGCGGCTTTGTCAAAGGTTGGGGAAGAGCTTAAGGAGCCAATTTAAATAGTGGGAAGAATAAGGCAGTGAGGGCTATAATTATGTCCAAGAAAGGTTTCTATCTCTATTTTAATTCAAATTGAATGCAGTCACCTGACCCCATTAGTTAATATCCCACAGACTTCTCAGTGTCAATCTGTGTGTTTGTGTGTGTGTAAACATCCCTTAACTTCTCTCTCATTTTAATCATGTTAATAAATTAACATATTCCATTCTTGATACCCTGTCAGAATATGCCCTCGATTATAGCAGCTTTGTATGGAATGCTAATTGTTTTCCTGTCTGCTATGGTCTCTGTTAGATTGGGAGTCTCTTCAGGAAAGAGCTAAGTCTAATTTATCTTTGTATTCTCAGTTGATGGCACAGAGCATTTCACAGGATCACCAAATACAGGGCTCTTATGGGAGTAAATAAATGAATAATGATTTAAATATATTTTTTTTATTGCTTAAAAAACCAACAACTCAATACTTTCCAGGCACATTGCTGGCACTAGGGATAGAGGAAATAATTAAAACAGAGTCCTTGAACTCAAGAAGCTCACAGTCTAGTTGATAAGGCAAACATGGAAATCAAGTAATTAATAATAATAATAATGTAGGCTAATTTCTATAACTTTGGAAGGATGGAGGAGGTCCCCTCACCCATGCTGAGAACTTCAGGGAGGGGTTTCTGGTGGCACCACCAAAAACACATTTCTTGGGCTTATTAACAGTTACTCATGTGAACAGACCTGTTTGTGGGAGCTGGTAATGAGGTGGCCAGGTGAATGGTACATGTGCCCATTAAGAGAGGGAGGAGGAGTTTCAAAATGGAAGCATAAGCAAGGACCTCAAAGAAAGGGAGACTTTTGTTTTTTCTGTGAACTGAAAGAACTGATATGACTGAAGGACAGGTGATGTGGAGATTGGAAGATTAATCAGGTCAATGACAACCAGATTTGCAATGCAGAATGCTCCACATGGGCTACAGTGTGGATAATGAATTGCAGGTGCATATAGACAGACTGTGGTGAAAACCAGTGGGTAAATACTTCAGATGAGCAGTGATTCTAGTTGGATGTAGACTGGAGATAATATGGAAAGACTGCAGAAAAATCATTCAAGAGATATTAAAGATATATGGATATGATGCTTGGTGATATAGTTTGGATATTTGTCCTTTCTGAGACTCATGTTGAAATTTCATCCCCAGTGTTGGAGGTGGGGCCTGGGAGAGGTGTTTTGGTTGTGGGGGCAGATCTCTCATGATGGCTTGGGGTCATTTTTGGGAGACTGAGTGAGTTTTCACTGTTAGTTCCTGCAAGATCTGGCTGTAAAAAACAATCTGGCATCTCCCTTCTCTCTTGCTCTCTTCCTCTCACCATGTGATCCTGGCTCCCCTCTGCTAGAAGCAGATGCTGACATCATGATTCTCATACAGCCTGCAGGACTGAAAGCCAAATAAACCTCTTTTCTTATAAATTATCCAGCTACAGGTGTTCCTTTATAGCAACGCAAATGGACCAAGACACAGAGATCAAGTTATAACACCAAGATGTTTTTCTAGATTCCTCCTACTGATTTGCCTTAACTTGATCTCTGATCTCTTTTCCACAGAAGTACTTAGCTTACCATGGGCCAAATGCTTTTCATGTATAAACTCATTAACCCTCATTATTATCCTATGAGATGGATACTTTTTAAAAAATTCTCATTTTATGGATAAGGAAACTAAGGCATAAAGAGGCTACACGGCTAGTGAGTAGAGCCAGGATCCGAACTCAAGCACATGCCCTTAAATGCTACCCCACACTGTTGATGGTCATTAGACAGTGGATTTAACAGGAGACAACAATCTGAATGGTAAGTGTAATGAACATACTTTTTGATGTGCTTCAGAGCATTTGAGGATCGATATCCGGTAGGTATGTATGTCTGGAGCCAAGATCTAATTGTAGATATAGAGACGAGAGACATAGGCACATAGTTTAAAATCAGATCTGTGGGTGTGGATGTGTTCCACTCAGGTGGGTGTGCAGAGTAGGAAGAGAAGGAAGGAATCACTGGGTGAAACAGACACATAAAGGATGAGGAGAAAAGGAGATGCCTAATGAGACAGAGAAGAAAAAGTCTGAGATGCAAGCACAACAGTGAGCCTGGAAACAGGATTCTGGAAGTTTAAAAAAAGTTTTAGGAAGGAGCAGGCAACAGAGGCAAGTGTACAGGAAAATAAGATTAGATAGGGACTGAAAAGTTTCCACTGGATTTAGAAACAAAGAATCTTGGCAACCTTAGTGCAAATGAATTCAGTGGAGGGCTGGGGGCAGAACTTAAGCTCCAGTTCTCTGAGGAGTAAATGGGTTATAAGAAAGAAGAGATAGTGTAGACAACTCTTCTGGCTGGGAAGGAGAGTATTAAGGATTAGTTTTATGTAATGGAATGATGATTGTAGTGTAGCAAAAGCAAACAAAACTAGGTTGAAATCTCAGCTCTGGTAGCTATCATCTTTATCAGTGAAATAGAAATAAAAATACCTACTGTATAGATTTATTATTAGGATTAGTGATTATTTTTGCAAAACACCAAACAAAAAGTAGTTAGTAAATGAGAACTATAGCCATGTTAAAAATGTAAAAATCTGAAAACCTTCTTCTGAATAATTTATTTGAATAACCTTTCATAGACAAATTAAAACTTTTTAAAATTATTTTTTATTATTTTTATCTGAATATTTGACATTATAAGGACATAGTATTAATGTCACTGTGGCTATATAAATTATTTAACTTTTAAGTAAGAATTTTAAGTAAGCTTTATTGAGATATAATTTACCTACAGTAAAATCACTTATTTAAAGTGCATTGTTCAGTGGCTTTTAGTATATTTACAGAATTGTGCAACCATCATGATGGTCAACTTTTAAAACATTTTCATAATCTCCCAAAGAAATCCCATACCCATGATCAGCATCTCCTAATTCCCATAGCCTCTCCCTCTAGCCCCAGGAAATCACTAATCTATTTTATGACTCTACAGATTTATTTGCCTATTGTTGACATTTCACAGAAATGGAATCATGCAAGGTGTGGCTCTTTGCGATTGTCTTCTTTTACTTGGCATAATCTTTTCATGGTTTACCCATGCGTAACACGTATCAGTACTTCATTCTTTTTTCTGGTTAAATAATATTCCATTGAATTATAAAGACATACCACATACTATTTATCCATTCATCAGCTGATGGGCATTTGGGTTGTTTCCATATTTTGGCTATATTATGAACAATGCTGCTATGAACATTTGTATACAAGCTTTGTAAGGATGTATGTTTTCATTTCTCTTGGGTGCATACTTATGACTGAAATTCTGAGCCTAATGGGAGATTTTTAAATTTAGGGTTTTTTTTTTGTTTTTTGTTTTTTGAGACAAAAGTCTTGCTCTGTTGCCCAGGCTGGAGTGCTGTGGTGTGATCTTGGCTCACTGCAGCCTCTGCCTCTCAGGTTCAAGTGACTCTCCTGTCTCAACCTCTTGAGTAGCTGGGATTCCAGGATCATGACAGTATGCCTGGCTAATTTTTGTATTTTTAGTAGAGATGGGGTTTCACCATGTTGGCCAGGCTGGTCTCAGACTCCTGGCCTCAAGTGATCTGTCCACCTCGGCCTCCCAAAGTGCTGGTATTACAGGCCTGAGCCACTGCACCCAGCCTAAATTTAGTTTTTAATAACAAAACTTAAACATGCTTACAGACAAAACAATTTAAAATTGTATAAAGTGAAGGATAATTTCTTTCCCCATCCCAATCATACTTCCCTGAGGTAAACACTGTTAACCTGAGGTAAGTTTTATTTCCTTCCTTCCGGTCTTGCTCTATGATAGGCCATGTTTCTTAACATGAAACATTATGGTAGATTGTGTTTAGCTGAAATTACAGGCTGGTGAATGAGAAAAAGCACTACCACCTGAAGTCTCTGACCCAACTGCTATATCCGTCACAGACTACTGGTGTGACTGTGTGATCTTGGGTGAGTCTCTTGATTTTGCTGGAGTTATTTTCTCAATTTTTTAAGTGTTTGGGTGGAAAGTTTTCTGATTCAGGTCAAGCATTATATGATTTAATAATACTAAGGGTCCTGAGGATGCACTATTAGCTTTAGGCTTATTTGCAATGTGTTTTTCTTTCCATTTCTTTTTACTTATCATTGGTAGAAGGAACTTCAGAGAAAGGCAATGACAATTACCCTCACCTTGCCAACCACTGACATTTGCTTAGCATGCTAAACAAACTTTCAGAGTTACTGGTGTTGAAAATAAAGTCCTTTTGCAGGTCTTAATTTGTTTCTTTTCAATCTTCTAAGTTTGCTGAATAGTTTTTGTTTTATTACCTTTTACAGAGTCAATCAGAGTGGCTGAGAATTTTGCTTGCTATGTACCTTGATTCTACTTTTCAAAGTCTAGTCATGCTCATTACAATGACCTAACCTATGTTAGAGGCATCCACATATGGTGAAACTTCTCCAGAGCATCTGATATTGACACATGTTTAGTATAGATGAAAAAGACTTTAACAAAAAGCAGACACTGTTATAGTACATAATAGATGGGTTGATGAAAATCAGTTTCTGTGTCCTAACTCTGAAATCAAAAAATCCCAGGGGAAACTATGTGCATCACCATCCCCCAAGAGAACAAGGATGAAATCTGACCCTGCTGGAAGGACTTCCCTCTGTCTGCCAGTTCTTCCGCACATATCCTTGAGCCTGAAGAAGAGCTTCCATTAAATGTGAACTCTTCCTTTGAGCTATAAGACTATAAATCACAGTCGTAGGTAAATACCCACCACTTGTCATTCCAATGAATGTCTACTACGTGCTCATGTGTCACATGATAACATACAGCATGGTTCCTACCTTTAAACAGATGACAGAAATATATTCTGTTTTCATAGTTATTACTAGAGTTACACAGTTATTACTAGAGGAAAATCTACAATTCGATTCTGGCTGTTCTTGAAGTTCATTATTCCCTTAGGCATTATGGGATGAAAGTGCATGAAGAAGAATGAAGGATTGTTTGCAAGTCCCCTTAGTAGCTGATTTTGAACCTACCAAGCAGAAAGGTAGGGTCTGAAAACAGTAATAATGTGAGAAGGCAGATGTCCCATTACAAAGAGCTTGGATCTTGAACACATGTGAATTTCTACTTGTTGACCTAGGGAAAGAGAGAGGGCTCCATGGCATTCCATGAAAGAGGTCTCACTGTGGGCTAAAGCAAGAACATGAGATACATTAGGGGGCCTTTTACAGAGAATGGAAAGAAGAAACCAACAGTATACGTATAGGTGAGAACTCAGGAGAGACAACTAGCATTGTGGAGCTATGATTTACAGCAGAAGGTCTTTGATCGGAGGTTCATAGGTGCTCTCGACCTATTGGATACCAGTAGCTGCCTGAGGCCTCAGTGGCCAAGGCATTCACTCACACCTATCCTGATTTCCTACAGTTGCCATCCCCATTCTTCCTGTGGTAATTCTTTAACTTCAGGGTTTTAAAAGGTATATCGTCTTCTAAGAAAAGGTTTGTTGCTCCTGAACCTGAATGTTAATGCTACTTAACAACAACAGAAACGTCCATGTTTGTCTTTTTTGTTTCTCTGCTGGGAAAAGTGCCTGAATTAGAGGCTGACTTTATGAGTCACAAGAATCCCAGAGGAAAAGGCTCCAGTATGAAAATCAGGGCAGGGAACCTGGCCAGCACAGGAACAGAGCTGCTGTGGAAGATAGAAAGTGAAGTAAAGTCCCTGCCTGAGGAAAGAGGCCTCAGCTGACCATGGGTCCCACACGGCGCCTGTCAAAGGGCAGAGTGGGGATCTCAGTGCTGTAACATGAGACTCCCCTCTGTGAAGTCACAGCCCAAGGTGGAAAAATCTTGGTCAAAAAAAAAAAGTCTTTGTAAAATAAATTGAAGGCTTCTCATCTTGCCTCTGCCAGACACTGCCCAGTTCTTAGAAGTCTAGCGTCAACATGGAGCTCCAGTGTGGACAAGAGTGGGAAAGGAGATGCATATCCAACATAACATCACTCAAAGCAATTGGGACAGTGACAAAGGTGAGAAGAGTAAGGAAGTTCTTGTAAGTGAGGAGATTTCTATGGGAAAACAATAAGGAAAGTGTTGTATTGTGAAAGTGTGGAAATGGTTGCCTAGGACATCTTGTGATTCACCAACAGGCCCTATAAGGAGGGAAAGAATAACCACAGAACTCCAGCAATTATAATGGTAGAAATCTGGTAGAGGCTCTGTTTTATATTTCACAGCTGCTTTCCTCATGTCCAGTGTAGCTTAGGGTCTACAGGTACCATAGGCCCTGTACTATTTCACTGATGGTGAGAATAGTAAGAACTTACCAAGTAACTGGTCAGATAGAAAGGAAAACGGGGCTACTATCTGACCTTCAGGTTTCCCATGCAGAGTCTCTGAATACCCAGCATTCAATAAATACAAATCTATATATAGCTATGGAAAAAAATCAGGCTGGATCCAAAATAAATAAGGCAGAAGCTGATTAAAATTCATACATATTTGAAATATTCTATCCATAATAAATTTCTAGACCTTTTATTTTCTTATTTCTCCTTTTTTACATTACAGGTGGCTGTTGACTATATCCACAAAAGAAACTCTCTAGGTCCAGTGGTCCCTAAATCTTCTGAGAACAGGGGTCAGCCACATCTGGATTGCATATCCTCAGAAGTGCTAACCTTATAATATGAATTTAATGCCTGTTTGGGGTCTGAGTGACAGTTTCCTCATCTGGAAAATATAGAGGTTGGACTAAACTGTTTAGTCCAATCTTTGTACCCAACCATCTCTGAACCTATGTTAGCATCTAGTTATTTTTTTCCCATAAGGCTGATGGAATAATATCTTTACAATTATGCCGGAGGCATAGGAAAGAAAACAGAGCATGAATTAGATGAATTTGAAGGAGATCTAAATAACACAGAGAAATGAAATTCTTATTCATATCCTGATATCCATCTTCATTTGGGTCAATTTATTATGTTAGGCAGGTTGCTCAAAGAACACTTGGTCACGGGGATGAGTTAGGGCTGAAATCTAGTCTGAATGCTGTTCACCATGCCACAGACCCTGACACAGTGCGTGCCAGAAGAAGGGGAGCCTTCGTAAAATTTGGACAAAGGCTTTGGCCGCTTAGTAGTGGCCCAGTGTACCCTCTCCTTTTAAAAGCAAGCCATAAAATTCCTCTTTACCCTCTAAGGTATTCATTTCCTCTGGCATAGAGTGATCTTAAGTTTTAGTATTCAATTTGGAACACACACACCTACTGACTTTAAAAGCCCTCTTCAAGAGATCCTTTAAACCTCATATGAGCTGAAGGTCTACAGAACCAAATTAAAGGGTTGATAGGGAAGGTTTATTTTCTCTTCTCTGAGAGGCAGATTTTAATCTTTTAATTAAAATAAAATTCTACATTCTAAAATATTTAGATCTCTATATAAATACAGGCAGGCTTGCACAGCCCTTCCCCCATACTGCCAACCCTACCATTCATCTCCCTTCACAATTCACTGGACTCACTATTAAGTTATGAATGGAAACAGTCTTTTATAACAGTCTTTTGAAAAAAAATCATTCTCACCTCAGCCTGAGGTATCTATTGGGGGGGTCACAATACATCATCTCACATATACAAATATAATGATAGCTAAAATTTATGGAGCACTTCATATTTATCAGGTATTGCTCTCAGCACTTTATATAAAACCTCTTGAAATCCTTATAGGTACCCCATGAGATTGATACTACAATAATTGCTACCTTTTAGAAAAGTCCCTTGCTCAAGTTTACAAAGCTAGAAAGTTGTGGAGGCAAAATTCAAACTCTAATATTTTGTGTTCTAGAGTCTAGTTTCCTAACCATATATTCATTGTCTGTCTATCTATCTATCTTCATATATCAATCAGTCATCTGTTGATATATCACCTATCTACTAAAAAGATGTGACTATTGTTTAATGGGGTGTACTTTTCTCTGAAGCAGAATTCAATACTTGAAGAATTACTACTATAATATTCAGTCAATATTTATTAAGCACATTTAAAAACACAGACTCTAGTACCAGCCTAGTTAGGTTCAAATTCTACCTTAGAAAGGTTAGCTAACTGTTTCATCACCTGCAAAATGGGATAATAATAACACATACCTCCCTGGGTTGCTGTGGAGATTAATGAGTTAATTTGTATAAAGTTCTGCTGGGTAGGTAACAAGATGATAAACAGTGATTGTTGTAATCATTATCCTCATAGTTGCCATCATCATCATCTGTATTGTCATTGTTACTATTAGTACTATATGCCAGGTACGATTTTTGGCACAGGGAATAAAATGATAAATAAAACAAAACTTCTGCTCAAATAAAATTAATATTCTAAGTGTAATTTCTGATGACCTCATTTGCAACTATCTCATCTCATTGTTTCCATTTGTTTCTCAAACCATGTACCGTAATATTTCCATAAAATTGGGATGATCATAGCTACCGCATAAGTCATTATAAGGTTAAAATGAGTTGGTACATATAAAACTTCTGGAATAGCGCATAGCACCTAAGGGCACCCAATACACATCAGTGGTTTTAATTAATATCTACGCAATGGGTGTTATGGTTTAACGTTACTATCTTGATTCTGAGTCCTACAATTTGTTGCCATGGTGATTTTTGCATAGAATTTTCTCATAGGTAGTTTCCTTCACAAAGGAATGCTTTTGAAGCTGTGCTTATTCTCTGTTTTCTTATTGCTACCCAATAATTTGATGGTTACTAAAGTAAATACAAAGATTGCTCCCAAAACACAAACAGACATACTAAAACTAACAGAAAATATTCACATCATCTCAGATAGAGATATTATCTCACTTTTAACTTTTTTTTAAAAAGCTAATCAATTAAATTTAGATTGCTTTATCACGGAGTTATTTGAACGTCACAGAATAGGAATTCTGGAGTAAAACCAATCTGGTTTCACTTCCCAACTCTGTTATCTCAAGGTATTTGACCCTCATGAAGCCTCCTGACTCTACCTGCCTGGGTTGTTGTGCAGAGTAAATAAGAGCTTTTAAAACAGGGTGAGTTCCTTGTTTTCTGTTGTCCTTTACATTACAAAATGTTAACTGTGCTTTTAAAACAATTATTGAATTCTTAATGAAAGAATATCTTCCCGCTAGTATCAAAAAATAGTGAGGGACAACAATGAATGCTGTAAATTTAAGAAATTATCTATTGAGACAATGCATTAATATAAAATCAAGGGGTATTTCTTTCCATGTAAACCCTTTCACAGATTGCATTGCAGAGGAAATAGGCTATAAAACCAAATGTAGCAAGAGTGGCCTCTGTCACTCTGGGAGTCAATTAATCTCTCCTTATTTTCCTTAATTCATATTGGGTTTAGTGATCACCTACTTCAAAAAGGGAGTGACAGCGTTTGAAAAATAAGCTACTACATAAACTTAGAAAGGGGCTATGCCTTGTGAGTCATTCTCAGAGGGCTCAGTCTCTTGGTTTTAATTAAAAGTGAAATAAAGAATTCTTTAAGATTATATCAGCCTTTTAAGGGCATAAGAAGGTCACTGATTTGTAAGCATCTTCTTTCTTTTTCTAATGGTGCTGTTTCCCAGATTGAATCGTGTGAACAAGGCTCAAATTTCCTTTCAGAATCTACAGATTCGTGGCAGAGTGGATGTGGGAAGTGGGGAACAGAGTGAGAAGCTACAGTGTACAGAGTGAACGTGATTAAGGCTCTGTGAGAAGATGAGCTTGGATGTGAGAATGCCTTGGGTACAGCCCAGATTCCTCCAATTGCTAGATCAAAACACACACTTTGCAAAATTAATGAGATTATTAGAAACAATAAACTACCTATGTAAAGTGCCTGGCTACTGATCTGTGTACCATAAAGCGGCTATTATTTTGTCCACACTCCTGAGAAGAAACATGTAAGACAGAAATACCACTATGAGTAGATAGAAAAGTATCTCATATAAGTATAAAATCACATATGGGATTAGACACATGCTGCCATTTACAGGGAGCCTATAAACGTAATAATAAAAGGAAAAATATGTGACATTGATTATGATGACAAGAAGGATGGCTGCTAAGAATGATAGAAGGTCTCAGCCCAAACAGCTTTCTTATGACCTCAGGGGATTTGCCTGAACTGATAAACATTTTCTACCTGATTTGTGATAGCAACAAAAATCAATATACATGAGTTCAAGGCTTTAAAATAGAATACACATATGGGAACAATTAATAATGACTAATGTGGCTAGTGCCTGGATGAAAATTCATTTGCTCAATTTCCCTTGATCATCACAGCAATCCTATGAGGGGAACAGCACAGATACAATTATTCTTCTCACTTTCTAATGAGGGAATTGAGGCTCTGAGGGTGGTAACATGTTTAGCTAAAATGCACATGATTAGTATGGCCAAATGGGAGGCTTCAGACCTAGACAGTTCGGGCACAATCCTTAGCTCCTCTGTGACTTCACCTTGCCACTACCTCAAACAAGGGACCCGATATATTTTGTCTCCCTTCCCTCCCATTGTTTTCTAAAGAGTTTTATGTTTAAGTGTACTTATTGTGGACAAGAGTGCTCATTCTGTCCAACAGGGGCAAAGAATCACCCTCCAGTAAATATCCCAAGCCAGAAAATTCTTCCCCTGAGTCAGTCACCAAGTACCACCTGTTTTATTTAATAAATAGTTCTGAATCCATTTGTACCTCCCTATCTCGATAGTCTCAGTTCAGTTCTTCATTATTTCAACCCTGCTCTATAATATAATACTAACTAGTTTCCCTGCATTCAAACTTTTCCCACACAGGTGGCAGAGTGATCTTTTTAAAAATGCAAAGCAGCTTGTGTCTTTGCTCAGCTTTAAAACTCTTCAACAGCTCCCCACTGCCTATAGGATAAAGTACAAAATCCTCAGCTTGGTAAGTAAGATCTTCTATGATACACAGCTGCCTTTTTCTCCAACCTTATCACCCACCCAATAGCCCTCAGCCACACAGGTAGTCTGGTAGTCCCAGAAGGCATTGTGTGCCTTTATATAACACGATGCTTAACTTATTCCTATTTCTTTTACTTGGAACACATCTCTTCCCTAATCCTACTGATAAGCTCAGTGTCTTCATGAAAATGCCCAGAAAAACAAGGGCAGAGTTAGGTAATTCCTCCTATGTTTACCTTTAGAGACTTACATGCACTTCTATTAGAGATTAGTTTTGGAATTTGTATTTGATTTTGTATTTACAGACTTTGAAACAGTTAAAACATTAAAGGCCCAGTAAATTTTCTGCCACTCTGCAAGGAAAGAAAGCTTGCCAAAGATAAGTTTTAGTATTCAATTTGGAACACATATACCTGCTGACTTTAAAAACTCATTTAAGGGATCCTATAACTTCATATGGGCTGATAGTCTACAGAACTGAATTAAAGGGTTAAAATGGAAGGTTTACTTTCTCTTCTCTGAGAAGTAAATTTTGAAGCCTTAATGAAAACAAAATGGCATGTTGTAAAATACTTAGATCTCTATAAAAATACAGGCAGGCTTGCACAGCCCTTCCCCCATACTGCCAACCCTACCATTCATCTCCCTTCACAATTCACTGGACTCGCTATTAAGCTATGAACGGAAACAGTCTTTTATAACAGTTCTTTAATACAAATTAAAATTCATTCTCACCTCAGCCTGAGGTACTATTCAGGGGCTTACCATAACTCTGGCATATGATTGAGGTCTTATAAAATAAAGATCTTGCTCTGCATCCCAAAACTAAGAATGGCTTGAGGCTGCCAACGTTATGATTTCTACAAAGGTGGTAAATTATAAATGTGGATTCTCTGAGCCCAGCAGAGAACAGTTAGAAGTTAGACCTATGAGAAGATGAGTGTGCATTTTTCATAGATAATGCTTCTTATACATGATTAGAAATTGATGGCTAGGTGTGGACGGGGCCATTTCTTTGTGTATGTTAATGCCTCTGCAGAAGGAACAGTCTGAGGTCATATTTGCTTCCAACACTACCGCTTGTAATAATCTGATTGTAGTTATGCTAAATTAAATAAGCAGGAGGCCCTTAGGTTAACGCTGTCTCCATACTCTGAGTTCCCACATAACAATCTGAAACCTAACTTAGAAGTGTTACACAGAGTAGCGTTTCAGATACTCACAAGCAGCTGGGTTTCAGTCAATTGCAGGCAGCCAACTCATCACACCGTGCCCAAATAAAGCAGATGCCTAGCTGTAGCCCATCAGGTGATTTCTCTGCTTTGCTTCTGTGTACAGGCTATAAAAGGTTGCTTCTCAAACTGCTCAGTGGAGCTCTCTAAACCTCTTCTGGTTCTGAGTGCTGCCTGATTCATGAATTGTTCTTTGCTCAAATAAACTCTGTTAAGTTTAATTTCTTTAAATTTGTTATTTTAACAGCTACCTAGAGATTAGGTACATTTGAGAAACTGAGGCCTTTTAGCAGATATATATCACATGGTAAGTAATTCTTCATTTATATGTCTGTGAGATATTTAAGGGGAGAGACCATGTTTTTTTCACCTTTGAATCCCTAACATTAAGGATGATGCCTGGTAACTAGTTGAAGTCCCATGAATATATATATCCTTCAGTGAGTGAAGATGTTTTATGACGATATAGTGCTTCACAGTTCATTTCCCATCCAAAACCTGCCAATATATTTTAATTAGCCTTCATCTGGTTTATCTCAGCCTCTGTTATCAACTGCAAAATAACAATAATTAGGACCTTTTATGTAAAAGGACAAATAAATGTATGCCATAAATATTGATAAAACAGCCAAGAATACTATTCTCCTTGCCCTAGAAATATCAAAAGCTGAAAAACTTACTCTCCCAAAGTAGAAAAACCAATTAAAACATCAAAATTACCTTTTTTCAAAGAAAAAGAGATGTACTAGATAAGCAGGAGTCCCATAGAAATCCTATTTGTTTTTCAAATTTTAGTTTGATTTCAGGCTCTGCACATTTCTTGCTTCTGCAAGCATTAAGAAGTCAATTCCTCCAAACATAATCTGCAGCCATAGGCACTGTGCCAAGTAATTTAAAGTGCTTTCCTAAGAAAAACTAACAACTTCTCTGTTTTCTTTTAAACGGTCTTACAGAAGTAAATTGTGTGTACAATTAATTCATCCCTGAATGTTTGCTATTAATTCAAAGAGCTGAGAACTTGGGTATTCCCACTGAAGCTCAGAAAATACAGAAGACTGACTCAGGTTGCTTTTGCTGACTAACCTTTATTCTTCTAAATGTGGATTAGGAATTAAACTGATGTAAATGTAAGGATGGTTTCACATGCTAACTTTTCCAGAGCTAGTGCATATTCTAATCTGAAGCCATAACTGCTATATCAATATGGGCAAGTTTCTGGAATAGACTTCAGGAATTTTTCAAAAGCTCTGAACAAAATATACATCATTATCTACTGCATCCTAAAAATCAGGCATTTCTTCAACATTTTTGGCTTTTTCACCTTGCACCTTTGTAAAAAGTTGTCCCATTATAGTAGCATCTTGCACTTTGTGGATGATCCTTGATAAGGCTTAGCTAAATAAATTAATAGATATATTTTTATAATATCTTTTTTAGGGCAAAAGATTCTAGAATATTTATATTTAACCATGAGGTGTAATAAGACGTAGACTGTGAAGATAGTAGATTGGGTTCCACAACATTACTAGAGTTGGATAAGGGTTTTTCTATCTAATTCTAAGTTCTCATCTACTTCCGAGGGTCTATATGTTATTCAAGAACACAGAGAACAGCACACAGGTGATGGTGTCAAAAATGGAACCAGAATATTTTACTTTGCCCCTGAATTATTGGCTGCATTTCAAGATACAGTGGCTTGGAGAGGTATTTCCCATTGGAAAAATAAATAATATCTGAAATGAATTACTGAGTCCTCACGAAGAACTGACAGGTGCCTAATGGATTTATAATGTAGACAATCACCATAGACATAGTTTATGGTGAAAGTACGACATAAAGTAAGTTCTAGTTATTATTTGTTTCTATGCATGGATTCATTCATTCATGGAGTAGTTTTATATACCTACTAAGAACTAGGTAAAGCGCAGCTTGAGCTTACGACTTGTTTTCAAACAGGTAACAGTTTGCTTGTTTGCAGATTTTATTTCCATGTTTATGTATTCATCCAATAATCCTGAGCTCCTGCTAGCCAGATACTGTACTAACTGTTAGGAATATAGCAGTGCCCAAAAATACACAATTCCACTCATTGCGCTTACAGTGTAGCAGGTGATACAGTCATGAAAATCACATAAATAAATGTACAATTATAAATTGCTTGAGTCTTATGAAAAATAGAAAGAAAATATATAATGGGGGCCTGATTTTCTGTTTTAGAGAGCTTCTCTGAAGACGTGCAATTTAAGCTTGGATCTAAGATGACCAGAAATTAATCAGGCAAAGTGTAAAAAGAGCTTTCCAATTCCAGGGAAAAGCATATGTGAAACACTTGAGACTAGAAGAGATTTAGTGCATTTTGTGAATAAAAAGAAGGCCAACATGAATATGTGGTCAGCAAAGGGAAGAGTGAAATGAGGTATCCAAGAGGCAGGCAGTGGCTAGGTCATGCAGAGCCTGGATGCTATGTTAATGACTTCGCATTGCATCCTAATGCAAAAGGAGATCTGATCTGTATTTTTTACAGATCACTTTGGTTGCACTGAGAATAAGCCTGGAGGTCAACAGTGGAAATGGTGAGACCAATTAAGAAGCTATTATAGGTGGGAGATGATGGGGGCTTGGATTAAAGTGGTGGAAATAGAAGTAAAGAAAAGTGAATAAATCTGAGATATTTTGGAGGTAGAATCAACAGGACTTGAAGATGAATTGAATGGCAGATATGAGGGAAAACATAGTAAGGATGACTCTCAAGTTTTTGGCTTGAACAATGCGGTAGATGTGTGTGCCATTTACTAAGTTGAGGAAGTATGGAGGAGGAGCAAAGTGGGGTGAAATTAAGATTTTTGGTGTCAATGCACTGGTAGTGACAAGGCCACTAAAATAGCTGTCTGTGTGTTTTTGTGTGTCTATGACTGTTTTTCTACAAAGATAAGATAAAGAATAAGATAATGGAAAAAGAAAAAAAGAAGGAGAAAGAAGGGGACCAAATTAGAATAAATTGAAAATAGAATACCCAAAAAGGGGAATGGTGGATGGGGGTTGGGGCCTGGTGCATATCAGAATTAGGGTGTGTAATTTGAAAAAAAAATTCAACATTGTACTATAATGTTTTTATTTGAAAAATAAATAACTATGGTATTCATGATACAGATGACAGAAAGCAAGCTGAAAAGAATCATATCTGGCAGGTGCACATAGAGGTGAACTGTTATCAGCTACTTCTTCGTGAATTTTTCAGGAAGGATGCTTCAAAATCCCCATTGGAATGGAAGGAAACCAATGTAACTTTTACATTCATAAAAAAGGAACACAGGATAAAAAGAAAAAAAATATTTACTGACACAGAGCCAGAAGAAGGGAAGGAATATGAGAAGTCGGGATAAAGATAGGGAAAGGATAGAAAAAGAGAAATGGGGGGAAATTTTTTTCCAGTGAGCAAAAATGGCTAATGGTCTGCCAGGTCAGTCATCATCTGGGTTTGAATCCCAGCTGTCACTTACTAATGGATGATCTTGGGCAAGTCAGGCAACTTATCAAGTCTCGATTTTCTCATTTGTAAAACAAAGATAATAATAACATCTACCTCAAAAAATTATTGTGAGGATTAAGAGAAATAATTCATAAGAAGTATTTAACAAAATGCCTGGCACAGAAGAGCTCAATAAATGTTAGCTACCCTTATGTAGCTGACTATAGGTACATAATTACTAGCAAGTCATTACAGGTATGTGGCTCTTCTCACTTCCTTACGGCTATGGTGACTTTGACCTTTCAGCTTTAAAATGGCATAGTTCACTGTATCAACAAATAGTTTTAATGATTTGTTAAAAATATAGGTGGACTTAATGAATATTTATAAAGTATTCTGAAATATTAGTTAGACTTTAATTATTGCAAATTAATAAAAAAATGCCCTAGCTGATTTACATAGTCAAAAATGTGTTTTCTCATTTATTTCTGGAAATGTTAGATGTAATTTAAAATTTGTTATTTAACTCTCCTAGAGAGAACAGTAATTGACTTCCAAACTTATTCTTTCAAAGTATCAAAAAATAAAGATGATATTCTTAGCAGACCCTCTTGATATATCCATCTTCACTCTGAATCGTTCTAAAGTCTGTATTTTTTCAGCTCTAACAATATTATGAAGATATTCCTGTCTGAAAAAATAACTATATAGACACCCCATTCTGTGTAGGAACATTACAATTGGGATCTCTGTTTAGACTGAATTGGAACTACCTTGTGGAACGCTGAATTCTATTTTTCTTGCTTTCCTCTCTCTCCAACTCAGGCTACTATGAAAAGAGGAGGTCTTTTTTGTTATTTATCATATATAGGCTTTGGAATACTAACACAGAATTGTGTCCAACTTTCAGACTTAGAATAATTTCTTTACAAAGTTGTTGAAAGACTCAAAACATTCTCAAAACATTCTAAGGTCAAATTTGGACTCTACATTTATTGGCAAGATCATACTGAGGGCAATACCTTTAACCACTCTGAACTTCTATTTCTTAAAATAGGCTGGGAGCAGTTAAATAAGAGAATATATATATATGTACATACATAGGATGGTAACATAATATAAACATTAATTTTACGTTCCGTGTGGTGAGATGGAACCAACTAATCCTGTAGTTTTGGACAAGTTGCTTAATACCTTAAAGACTCAGTTAAATGGTGATATTAATCTAATATTTTAGTTAAAATATTAAATGATAATAGTGCATATTTCTTAGGCCATGTTATGCCTGGAGCATAGTAAGCACTTATTAAATATTATTTAAAAATATTCAACAAATGTTCTCTTTCATCCTTCTGTATGAGTGAAATGGTGTTAAGTTCCAAAATTAATTCTTCTGGAAAAATATAATGAATGCCTTATTAAAATGTATAGGAACCAGGAACATGTGGAGCATCATGTGATCAATGTCTAAGTGCTCTGTGATCACTCCAGGGAATAAAACAAAACAAAAAGGCAATGTTCTTAATTTCTCCCATTGCACCAAGGGAACAGCAGAACATCTCTCCACTTTGGGGAAGATGTTTAGTGCAAGAGAAGTGAGCAGAGGCGGATTCTACCCATTTATCCTTGTGGAAGCACATGCAGTTCGAGAAGATGAAGTGAGGAAGCGCATGCAGTACCTGGTCATCTCAGAGTCAGGTAGCAGGCCTAGGTGGTAGTGGGAATAGGGAGCTGAGAGGAGGAAGCTTTTGTCACACTCAACAGGGGAATAGTGCCTGGGAGAAGCAGGCTTATCACATAGTTTGTTCACAGTGCTGTAAACAGGTTCCGGAGGCCTGGTGATACAAGAGGAAGAGAAAGATATGCATGGTTAGTACATACAAGGAACACCTGTGCAACCAGTAGCATCTCAGCATGTGCAAAAGTAAAAACAATGCCATTTTATCTTGATTTGTTACTAAAAGAAACCCAATTTTCCACTTGTAACTTTTCTTATAATAAAGACTTTATTCCTCAGACTCTTCTGTGGGTAAAAGTGGCCCCATGAAAATGTTCAGTCCAATGTGATGTGAGTGCTCTGAAGTATTTTGTGAACTAGAATAGCTGCTTATAAGGAAGCTCGTTTAGCCAGAATTCTTGAAATTTTGTTCTCTCCCATTTCCTCCGTTTACTTACCTGGAACACAGACATGATGGGTGGAGCTTCACTGGTCATCTTAGACCATGAAGCAAACTTGAGGATAAAGCCAAAAAATACACATAGTGGAATATAAAGATAGAACCTGTGTCACTGATAATATGGAGTGGCACTATACCAACTCTGGACTAGCTACCTTTGAATTCCTTCTATGTGGATAAAGATAAACTGTGTTGTTCAAGCTAGGATCATTTTTTTCTTATATAAATAGGACCTAATATTAACAGATATACTCCTACAAAATTTAAGACTGCACATCTAATACAAAGAAATAGTATAAATAGGGCCTACTACAAATGCTAATATATTTAATTATGTTTGGAGTCCATCTAATATCTTCTGTATACATAGGAAATGTAAAGAATGTTATTTTCTTTCCATATAATTTGGTCCTATGACCACTTGGAGAAATTTCTGCATCTTAATTTGAAAATATTATTATACACAAAATGGTAGCTGATCTAAACTGCCAGCACAGAACCTTAGAAGAAAGGATTCAATGACTTCTTTTAGATCATAAAACATTCTCATGATAATGTCATTTCGGTAACATTGTTGTTTCTGCCTGGGAGGGCTGATCCAATTTTCTCAGTCTGATGTTGACTCTACAGACTAAGAAAATGATGTTTCCAATTTTCTCCTAGTCCTTTTACCTCAGTAGCACCATATTCTGAGTCACATTTTCACAATCAAAGCTGGCTAATGGAGATCTTTTAAAAATTCCTGGTTATATTGTATTTAACTGAATTCTTTATTCAGTTTCTCTTTGAAAATATTTTACTTTCTGAAAATTACAATAAATTCAAGCCAATGAAAATGAGATCCTGTATTTTGTCCAGGGTTGAACTCTTGAAACTTTTATTTGAATCTTTTGGGAACCATTTTGTGAATATAATATTATCGTTTGATTCACATATTTAATAGATTTGGTGTTTGGAGCAGGCTTTAATACCTCGGATTTTAGAAGAAGGCTCTTATTTCTTTGCTTTCAGTCACCTTCAGGATGGTTTCATAGTGGACTGATATTTGCTAAGCTTAATTCTTCACCGTTCAAAGTCTTATCAACACAGAGAAACAGTTACTGATATCGCAGGTTCATTTTACCTTTGTTTCACCTTCTATTTCTTACCTATTTATTTACTTGTTATTTTGTACATTCACTGGCTAAAGAATAGAGATATCACATCCAGTTTCTTTTGTTGATTGTGAGAGCACTTAATATCTCAGAAGATGAGTAGATGAAAGTATACCAAAACATAACAAACCACTTGACAAATTTGACAAAGCCTTCTTGCAATACTGACAAGGTTCTCTTGCAATCAAACAACAACATTAAAAATATCAGTAAAAATCCCCTTTCAAGTGGCATAAAAATGGGGTTCACATTTGAAGATTTTTTTTTTTTTTTTAGACGTAATCTCACTCTGTCACCCAGGCTGGAGTGCAGTGGCGCAATCTCGGCTCACTGCAAACTCCGCCTCCTGGGTTCACGCCATTCTCCTGCCCCAGCCTCCCGAGAAGCTGGGACTACAGGCGCCTGCCACCACGCCCGGCTAATTTTTTGTATTTTTAGTAGAGATGGGGTTTCACTGCATTAGCAAGGATGGTCTTGATCTCCTGACCTCATGATCTGCCTGCCTCTGCCTCCCAAAGTGCTGGGATTACAGGCGTGAGCCACCGCGCCCGGCATATCTAATGGTTTTATTACAGCGCTAGGATTCTGTCATATATTCTATCATATAGTATGTATATTATGTACTAGAGCACAGTACAGTATACAGAAAGTACAACATAGGCTACAGTCTGAACACAGAAATGGCACATAGTAGGTATTTGGTAAATGTTTGAATGAATAGATAATTTTTTTTTTTTTTAGCCATTCTTTGCAGAGGGAAATTTTAAAAAACCTTCTGGTTCTTTCAAGGGAGCCATAAGCTACTCTAAATTTTTCAGGCCATTATAAATTCTCACAGGTTATACCAGAAGAACCAGAATCCCAATGTTATCATGAACTGAGTGGCTTTAAGTACTTAATTATAGCATGTGCGCATGGTTCATCTGCCCTCAAAGGGATAGGTTTCTTGTGCGTTTGAGTTTAGCCACTGAAATGCCTGCCCATAGTTCCTGTGAGAGTCGCTCCAATGGGCACAGTGGGCTCCTCACAGACTTCTCGGCCCTGAGTTCCAGAAGGCCTAATACTGGGAGCCAGCATTCTTAGTCTTTCCCTGCAGTTATATTCTGTGTGACCTCTGCCCATCAGACAAACAAGAAATGCCGTTTTATAAACCATCACTGAAATCTGGGTGGCAGAACAGATGCCACTATCACTTCCCATTTAGTTGGTAAGGAAGTGCCAAGGGGAAATGACTTTTGGCAGCGTGAATCAGCCAGTCATAATTGAAAGGGCCTGCTTATCCTATTATAAACTGCCAGAATGGCCTAGGTCAGAAGGTAGTGAATATGAAAATCCAACCCAAGAGGCCTATCTGTGGATGCCCACAGAGGGAGGGAAAAGTATTTGAAGATATTGGTACAATCTCTAAGTGAATTTATAAACAAATCATTTCTCTTGCTGTCCATTTATAAAGAGCCATAGATAATGACGTTGTAGCTCATCTGCTGAGCCATCAGCATTTATTTGCACATCTATGGGTTTATAATTGCAGGTTCTTATAGCATATAATTAGCACACCCTGGCCCTTGGTGATCTCTCTTTTCTCTGAACTCCATTAGCACTTGCTATTTGTTCTATTTCCTTGTCATTTTTAATTGCTAATCCACAATACTGGTGTATGTTGGAGGGAGGTGCTTCATCTATACCTTATTCTTAGGAAAACTACTTTGCCTATAACTGCTCCTTCCCATTTGGACCACTTGCACTATCAAATTCAGTTTCCTCCCTAAACAAAGCAGTTTAGACCATTGGATTAGGATTGGGCCCCTCACCTTGCAACCATGATCTGTATGGTGGGGCTCAAAAAAAAGAAAGAGAGAAAAAAAAGGCCTAGGCCATTTGGATTCTCCTATGGAAGGTGAATAATGTGAATAAAGGAGAAAAAATTTTCAGTTAACAGAAAAAGGAAAAGATGCAAACATGGAGAAGGTAGCTGTAGCTGTGTCCACTAATTATAGAGCACCAGAGTGAAGCTCTATCAAATTTTGTTGCTAAAATGTCTAGAGGTTCCTTGAGTCTAGAATAACTGTCTGGGTTCATTCTTACAGCAGGGTTATGAGAGCTCATGCTATTGAATTTCTTTGATGATTCCCATATGACATTAGTTGTCAATCAGCTACCCATCTCCCACCCTGTTCCCTTATTGGAAGTTAGATCTGATCTCATGTTTGCAATCACTACAGTGAAAATAAAACAGGCACCTTGTTTATTTTCACATCTCTTTCATATCACCTCAACTAGACTATGCCTCCCAAAGCCAACAGACAAAACCTTGGGCCTCTATGTAATTACATAGTACCTGAGACTAATACCAGACTGACTCTATCTTTAAAAGTTTGATATTTTGTTCATTATAAATTCTTTTGCATTAATTTTATTTTCTAAAATATTTCATTAAAGTATTTTTGTCTTAATTGCTGTTTCTCGGTGTCCCCTTAAATTTTGCACCCAACATGAGTACCTCACTCACCTCACTATAGTCCCTGCCCTGTATCAGAGATAATGTTTAAGACAGTGATAATAATGACTGTGATTGTAAATAGTCTTCATCTGTGTAGCACCTGAACCTACAAGGTCAAAGGAATATGACTCTCTTCTCTCAGAGATAACAATGAGAGTGACTTACACTTTATTGAGTTTTCTAACTCCCTACCAAAGAGCTCTCAAAGCCTTCAGGCTGTCTCAGGCAGGGACCTCACCTCATTGCACTGTCTTTATTAATTCACAATGCTCTCTCCTTCTCTAGAATATTAGACCCTGGAGGATCAGGACCAAATCTCATGTGTCTTTGTTTCCCCATTACTTTCCTCAATGCAAGAATGTATTACTGAAGTACTGTCATAGAAAATGAAAGGAACTGTGAAATGAAAAGTGATCAGTACCTTTTATTCTCTTTTCCCGAGCCAGAACTAAAAGGGGACATCTAAAATTACAAAAAGATGGATTTGGGTCATATATGTATATGATTTTGAGCATAAATTTCTTCATCATATAGACTGATATGGCTAAATCTGCAGAACTTTCAGATTCTCCAAAGGTTATCCTGCTATGGTTTTCTTGGGTTGCCATAATAGGAGGGGGCATCCAACCGCATGCCCTGTATTTGCAGAATATAGAACCAAACTGCATTAATTATAGCAGCTGGGACGTCAAGGGCTCAGATGCCTAAGTATCTAATATATTGCCAGATATCATTTGAGGAAAAAGGATTGTAACTTTAAAAGGGTGCCTCATGCTCCTCTTTACAAATAATACACTGTTTATTGGGCCAAGGATTTGGAAAAGTATAAGAGGATTGAATTCCAGTCCTGGGCTAATAGCTCTTAAGGGTGGGATTTTGGGAAGCCCTAAAAGTAATTAGGGGATAAAAGAGAATTAGTATCAGGCTGTGAACTATGTGGCTCAACATGTGAAATGACATTATAAAAATGGTTAAGAAAGAGGCTGACTTCTCTTATACTGAACTTTAAGCAGAAAGGTATTAGTCACTTGATTAAGGTGTTATACAGGCCTTAAAGTATGATATAGAGACATCTAGGGGAGGGATTGATCTAGGTGATTTGTAAGAACCTATTCGCTCCCCTAATTCCAAGCACCACTGAATTGGGCACTCAAGAATTTCCACGGGGGCAGTTGGAGTAGATGCCTATTTGCGCCACGCTTACTTAACTCTTACAAATCTTAGCTTTCTCATTTATAGACCTAAAATAATATTTAAAAAGATTTTTCTGTTTACCAGAAAAATTATAAATTGCAAAATTATGCACAGACCTAAATTATTATGAGCACCATGTTAAGTACAAGCAAACCAAACTAGGTTTAGATCTGGCTCTTTCAAATTCTACCTTGTATGACCTTATGCTATTTCTTAACATCCTCATCTGGAAAGTGGGAATAGTAATATCAGCCTAAAGATGATTGTGAGAAATAGGAACAATGTGCATAAAGCACTTAGTTCAGTCCGTGGCACTTACTCAGAGCTCACCAAAAAGGAGCCATTATTATTATCTTGATTATCACTCTTAGACACTCGAGCTCACAAGGATGCATAACCTCAGAAAATGTTGGTCCCCTTTGTGAGAATTCCTACAAATAATATTCTTCACCCACTCACTTAGAATCAGTCAGTTCACACGATAGCACTTTCATGTAATGTGAATTCTCTACAAGAGGGTTGAACCAAGGAAGTAACAATCGATGGCTTTTAGTCTCGCAAAAGGTACTGCACAGGTGCCTTCTAAAGACTCACTTTTGCTCTGTATATTTAAAAGGTAATTGATCCTCTTTAATAGCCCTGGAGGTTGATGACCACTTTCTCTGTACTTCTCAATTATTTTCACTGCCTCTAACAATATAGCAGCCCCAACTCTAACGCCCGATTTGTACCTGGATCTTTATAATGGTTTGCTTTCCCGTATGGTTCACAGCTGTGGTATCACATCAGATTGTTGGGTCATAAGTAATTTGTTATTAATAATAGTTTAGATACCACAGTCTGCAAATACTTACTATTTAAAAGTAGAAATTAGGATTGGTTCACTATTTTTTCTATGTAAACATCACTCTCAGTTATATTTTACTGTGTTTATTGAGGAGTTTATTGGAAGATTGAGGAGACAAAGGGCAGAGTAAGAGCTGCATCATTTAAAGTTGTTTTGAATATTAAGATGCTTTATTTCCTTAAAAAGTGTTTGGGTTTCAACAAAATTAGGCTCTCTCACGGCAGTGGGTTGTAAATGGGTTATGGAGTGTTTCATTGGAATAAGAAGTTGAATATTAATGACCTTGACAATGGTGATTGTAACAAAAGGGAGAGGGATCTCTGTTTTTGGTATTGGGTGAGGGTGTCCAGCTATAGTAGAATTTTTGTGGCTTTCTGAAAGATGTTTAAACAAATATAGTCTAAGAGTCACAGGGTCAATATTATGGCCAGATCAAGGCCGTTGAGACATGGATTTGAATTATTTGAGGAAGGTTCAATATGTCCTATACTAGTGTTTAAACTCTTACACTTTTGTAAACCTGCTTTTAAAGGCTTTGTATTGATTTTTAAAAAATTTTTAATTGAACTCATAGGATAAATATAGATCTACAAAATGTCAGGTTAGTAGTTACTAAGAATCGTGATGGAAAAAAAATTAAGCATGAAATAAATAGGAGGAATCACATAAAAGATGAGAGATTTGACTACATAAAAATTTGAAACCAGCCGGGCGCGGTGGCTCATGCCTGTAATCCCAGCACTTTGGGAGGCCGAGGTGGGCGGATCACGAGGTCAGGAGATCGAGACCATCCTGGCTACCACGGTGAAACCCAGTCTCTACTAAAAATATAAAAAATTAGCCGGGCTTGGTGGCGGGTGCCTGTAGTCCCAGCTACTCGGGGAGGCTGAGGCAGGAGAATGGCCTGAACCTGGAAGGCGGAGTTTGCAGTGAGCCGAGATTGTGCCACCGCACTCCAGCCTGGGCGAAAGAGTGAGACTCCATCTCAAAAAAAAAAAAAAAAAAAAAAATTGAAACCACTGAAGCAAGAACTCATAAACAAGCAATAAGCTGGGGAAAACATTTGCTCAAATATATTTATCAATATTTTAAAGATGCTCCTACAACTCAATAAGAAATGCAATAACATTTTAGTAAAAAACAAAGACAATTAGTATCCAATCACAAGAGAAAATACAAATGACAAATACACACACACATATAAATAACCTCACTAGGAATAAAAATAACACAAATTAAATGATACATCCCTTTTACCTATTTTTAAAAAAAGGATCTTGAAATTGACAAATCACAATTTAGTTGTGGTATGTTGAAACAGACACTATATTGCTGGTGCTATGGAGTGTAAAACCTCCTTAAAACATTTCAAGAAAGCAATTTGGCAATATATTTCAGGAGTTTTAGAAGTAATCCTGTCTTTTGGTTCAGCAATTCTACTCTAGTGTGCTATCTGAAGAAGAAAAATAAAAAATATGTACAAAAGTTTCTATAGAAGGAAAGTCATTGTGATTTGTTATAACAGCAAAACAGAATAAAACAAAACAATCAAAATGTCCAGCAAAAGAAGGGTATGGAATATAAGACACATTCACATGACGGTTTATTGTTTAACCATTAAAGTTAATATTCATAAAACATTTTAATGAGACAGGAAAATGCTTTATTTTATAATGTTGAATAAAGTTAAATACAAAATTGTATATGGGGCTGTGGGGACAGCAGGAAGTGAAAGCACCTAATTCTCTTACCATTTCAGAGAGAGACTGAGCTAAGAATATGTGAAAGTAAACACTGCTGAGAGTAGCAATTCTAGTGCAGGTTTGAAAGAGGGTGAAAGGGTGAAAGAGGGTGAAAAGGGAGAAAGAGAGTGAAAGGGGTGAAAGAGGGCTTTCTAGAAAGTGGTAACAGCACGTGCAGATTTAAAGAGGAATCTGCAAACATGTTCCATTTAGGGAGTTTGTTAATGGTTTGAGTAGATAATTGAAAAGTTAGGCAGGTCTTGAGTACAATTTTAAAATCCATAGTTGATAAGAAGTTATGGAAGACAGTGTTCTTCCTACTAGTTGGAATTAAATGAGTACAATCATTTTGGCTATTCATTTGTACATTCATTCATTCATTCATTCCACAAATATTTACCAAAAACCTACTTTGTGGCAGGTATATAGTAAAACAATTTAAAAAATGGTCCCTTTGTTTGTTGAACAAACATTTTGTTTGTAAGGAAATCTGATTGCAGGAACAGAGACTTATTTAATCTACTTTAGGTAACAGGACACATGTGCATAGAAACCCAGAAAAAGCTGTGTGATAAATACGGAAGAGTGAGATCTAAGGAGCTGGATCTCTACAGCTTTCCCTTCAAGATAACGCTGTTTCTTTTGTGCTACTTGTTCCTTCTGTCTCAAATCACCACTTTGACCTCTAATTTATAATTGAGATACTTTCTACCTGATAGCTTCTTCTTGCCCTCAGTTTCTGTTCTGTAATGACATCAGCTGGCATTAGACTCACAATGGATCATCGGGCCTCCTTTACATCATAAATCACTAGCTTCCCCTTTCACTGATCATTGCCTCGGTTGAACTGCTTTTCAATTAAACATTCCTAACTGAGTATTTGTTGGACTTAGTACACCTTTTTGAGTAAACCACCTTATTGGTTACTTGTTAGCCTCTGGATTGGCATCCTTTGGGCCAAGTACACTCCCTGTCTATTCAGCTCTCGCTAGCAGATGAGTGACCTGGTCCTTATGAGTTTGGTTTGCTTTTTCAGCAGACCGGTGGGCAGGGCACAATTGTTTAAGCTGGGTATCCCACTGGTATTTTCAGGTTTGTTCTGTTGAGTATACTCCCCACATCTTCATATTCTTAGCCAGTACTATGAAACCACAGTGTAGAGAAAAAAAGCAAGGCCATTCCTTTTTGAGAAAAACTTGGAAATAACAAAAGAGAAAGGAAAGTGTGAGGAACATTACAAAGGCCCCCAAAGAGAAGGTCTGAAGCTTAATATCACCTACAATTTCTTTCTTTTTATCATGGTGTCAAAAATATAATATTACAGAATAAATACTCTACCTCTAAAATAATTCTTTTCTTTCCTCGGAGGCTCGAGGATGATTGACATTAGTAACACCTAAAGTTGCCAAATCTGATAAAGCTTTGGGTTTTAAAATTCACACCCCCCACAAGAATTTCTGAATATATTTAGCAAAATCACATTTTCTAAAGTAGAATTCAAAATGTTTATTCATCTATATACTTCTGTAGGCCAATTTTACATTACTAAGACAAACTCTACAGGGGGGAACACTCTTATACCTTTAACTGAATAGATGCTAAGACTGAATATAACAGCAGCTTCCTAGATGGCAAAATAATGTTCAGATATAATTCTCTACTTGTGAACAGGAAGGATAAGGTGGCTTTAATCGAATCACTTAAATGGATTTCTTTCACATTCCTTGGAAGAGGTACATTTCCCTCTGTTTCATGCAGCTGTTTCCATTTAGTCTTCTGTGCCTGTTACTGTAAACAGGTTATGAAGATTGTTTGGTGGCCATGAGGGAAGGATAAGACATGCATAAGAACAAGAGATTGTTGTAGCACTGCCTTGCTCTCTTTAGAGAAGGCTTTTTGCTAAGAAGCACCTTTACATATATTGGTCCTTCCTTCCACCCCTAAACATTAGAAAGTCCCTGGTTTCTATCAGGGTCTAACTCCTACTTTCTCCATAAAGTCTGTTGAGTACACCTGATTGTAGATTTTTCTCTCTTCTTAACTCCCATACAGTATTTCTTCATGATTGCCACTTGGTTTTGTACTTTGATGTATTTTAAATAATAATAACAACTCACATATATCTTGAGAACTTACTATGAAGCTGGCCCTGTGCTACATATGCTTTATATACCCGATGTTATTAATCCTCCCATGAAACCTAAGACATATGCAATACTATTATCTGCAAAGGTTGGCATTAACCTGCCCCTCCTCACATACCTGACTTGTGAGTGGTAGCGCTTGGCTTTGAACCCAGATTGTCTGGGTTCAAACCACTAAGTGTTCTGTTGTCATTGTTTTAAACACTTTCTGTAGTATATACTTGCCCTCAGTGATCTGATTATATTTCTTGGTCATATTAGCAATTATACCTCCTATTTTAAAGGCAATAGAGAATAGGACAGAGGAAACAAACTGTGATTCTCACTATCTAGATTCAAGTCCGGCCCTATTCCTTTAAGACATGTGATCTTGGGCAGGTTGTTTACCTCTATGCCTCAGTTTCCTCCCCTAACCCAGGAATAGTGCTTGGGTCTTAGGGCCTTACGAGTATTAGACGAAATGATGCATGAATAGCACAGTGCCTAGAAGACAATCAGTAAATGTTTTGACTACTATAGATATTTAAATAGGAAATCTGGCTGTAGGCCATCCGGTTTATACATCTCTCTTGTCATGTCTGTGGATGTGAATTCATTCATGAGAGACGATTCCCTCTTATGAGGACAAAACCATGTTTCTGGCCATGTCTAGGGTTACAAGATTTAGCTAATAAAAATATAGGATGCCCCAGTTACATTTCTATTTTGGAAACATAACAAATAATTTTTTAGTATAAATACGTGACTATTACATGAGGCACATTTATACTGAAACTTATTCATTGTTGATTATTATTTAAGTTCAAATTTAACTGGGCATCCTTATTTGGCAATCTGCCAGCCCCATCACCTTGCAAGTTCCCATGCATTGCTAGTAACCTGCCTTCCAGCATATACATTTACTCTGTAATAAAATTTACTTGTTTACTCTGACTCTCCCTTTAGTTTGCTATGTTCTTTTATTTGTTTTTAAAATTTATTTATTTAATTAATTTTTTTTTTTGAGACAGAATCTTGCTCTGTCACCCAGGCTGGCTGGAGTGCAGGGTTGCAATCTCAACTCACTGCAACCTCTGCCTCCTGGGTTCAAGCCATTCTCCCATCTCAGCCTCTCAAGAAGCTGAGATTACAGGTGCGTGCCCTCATGACTGGCTAATTTTTGTATTTTTAGTAGAGACAGTTTAGTCATGTTGGCCAGTCTTGTTTTGAACTCTTGACCTCAGGTGATCCGCCGGCCTCAGCCTCCCCAAGTGATGGGATGACAGGTGTAAGCCACCACACCCGGTCTGCTACATGCTTTTAAATCAGCATATGTGCTTAATTTTGTATTTTCAGTGCTCATTAAGATGTCTCTATTTATATCTATCCCCATATACACATCTATACTCAAATCTATACATAAGCATGCAGATAGATAATTTTAAAATAAAAGTTGCTCATATTATACATATTATGCCACTGCTTTTATTTTTAAATTTCACATTGGATATTAGACGTTTTTCTGTGTCAGTACACATGGCACCGGCTACCTTTTCTTTAATGGCTGCAAAAACACTCTCCACACACTGGTGTTGGTAGTATAAACTGCTGAACCTACAGTTCAGAAATGTTACTTCCAGAAATCTGTTCTACAAAACTGAGTACAATAGGTGTTCACAGAATTGTCATTGTCACAGCATTTGTAGAAGCAAACCACTGGAAAAAATATTTATGTTCATTAGTGCTGAATATAGTTTTAACGTAGGCATTAAAAACATTCCTGTGTAAGTAAATTTGATGACATAAAAAGACAGCCACAAGATATTATTAAGTGAAAAAAATTCATTAGCATTGAATACAGTTTTAATGTAGGCATTAAAAACTTTCCTATGTAAGTAAATTTGATGACATATAAAGATAGACACACCATATTATTAAGTGAAAAAATCGAGTTAAAATAATATATATACAGTTTGATTCAGTTTTTGTGAATAATAAAAAATATTAAGTACGATCCCAATTTTACTTAGTAGAGAATGAGATTAAAAAGAGTCTAGAAGCATACGCCAGGGAATTTGTTCAATATCATTTATGAATGATATGTCTACATAAAATTTTTATTTGCTCCCACTATTTCATGTTTTCTAAATGACATTAAGAATTATTAATGACATAAACTGAGCAATAGTTATAAATCTGTATATATAGTTTGATGCCAATTTTGTAAGAGGCATATCTGTACATCTGTAGGTTAATATGGAAAAGTTACCAACATGTTAATAGTGCTTTCTCTGAATGGCGGGATTATGGGTACTTTTGATTTCCTTAAATTTTTTTTTGTATTTTAAATTAATTTTTTAAAAATATTTTTTGTACCCCATAAGGGGATAGATCTTGAATGTTATCACCACACACACAAAAAAGGTAACTATGTGAGGTAATGAATATGTTAATTAGCTTGGTAGTGGTAATCATTTCACAATGTGATATGGTTTGGCTGTGTCCCCAACAAAATCTCATCTTGAATTCCCATGTGTTGTGGGAGGGACCCTGTGGGAGGTAACTGAATCATGGGGGCAGGTCTTTCCTATGCTGTTCTCATGATGGTGAATAAGTCTCATGAGATCTGAAAGTTTTATAAGGGGGAGTTTCCCTGCACAAGTTCTCTCTCTTTGCCTGCTGCCATCCTTGCCTTCTGCCATGATTGTGAGGCTTCCTCAGCCACGTGGAACTGTAAGTCCATTAAACCTCTTTCTTTTGTAGATTGCCCAGTCTTAGGTATGTCTTTACCAGCAGCATGAAAATGGACTAATACACAATGTATACACAAGAAAACATCAAGTTGTACCCCTTAAATATATAAAAATTTGTCAATTATACCTCAATAAAGCTGGAGGAAAAAACTATTTTTTCTTGTAACTCCAGGGGAGGACTGTTAGGGATATGTATTGGGTACTTTTCAATTCAGCCCCAAAGATCCACACATTCTTAACCCAGAAACAGAAAATATGTATTTTTTCAAATTAGTACTGTTTCCTTATTAATGAGCAACTTTTATTTCTATGTAGTGCCTAGGTACTAACTAACATGGCATTATGAGAATAGTGAAAGTTCATTATAAATAACTGGTTATGACTAACAAGATGGCTTAACTGGTATCACCATATTTGCTATTTAAATTTGTCAATCTCAAATGTCTTCAGTTATGCAAATATATTCTGTTACTAACAAGATTCTACTTAAAGTTTAGTCTACTTCGGGGAAATTATGTGCTAGCTACAGCCATTTTATAGAAAAGATGACACAAAATTAAAGCAAATTTACAGCAAGTATAGTCTTTTTTACTGGTGCATCTATTCACTCAACATATTTACTGCCCTTAGAAAACACATTGGGAGGCTATGAACATGGTGGAAAGAGCGCAAGCTTTTGGGCTAGAAGATCTGGGTTCAAATACTGTTCTTCCACCTATCTGTGTGACTACAGGGAAGTATCTCTATTGCCTGAATCTTGGCTGCCTTATCTGGAAATGGCCTTTTAAGATCTACCTTATAGGACTGCTACAGGATTAAATGAGATAATATACGCAAAGCCTTCACAAATCACCTGCCATATGGTACATACTCAGGAAACAACTATATTTATATACCAGATACTAACCTATGTGATATGGAAGATAAAAATCTGCTCTTGACATAAATTCTTCCCTCAACCATTACTTCGTCTTGGAGATGCGTGTATGTATTTGACAAAATAAAGCTAAAAATGACTAAGCATTATGGGAGGGAAATAGACACTCTTCCCTCACTGACAAAACACATTCTTAAGGCAACCATACATATGGCTTTCCCGTTTATGCTCTTTTAAAGTCTCAGAAATCACCACTAAAGAATGTATTTATATAATCAAACACTGCCTGTTCCGCCAAAACCTTTTGAAAAGTAAGTAAATAAATAAATAAGAGCTGTTTTCTTGTACACTGTTGGCCAAAGTCTTTCATGCAGGTTGAGTAAGATCACAAATTAAACTGAGGGACAGATGACTAGTCATGAAGCCCAAGAAAGACAGCATTAATTGCCTATTGTGAGGATCTAGAGAAAACTGTGCTTTATTACCGATCCTGACTGGCCCAGTATAGCCGATGGAAGTCAGAGGTGCTGTTAAGTGAACTACTGGAATGAGGACACAGGGAATAACAGAACTAGATGGAAGAGATTTTTTAGAAAGACTAGCAATAGAGCCAAACCTTCTGTCTATTATATCTAACCAATCCGGAATAGATTCAACAGATGAGAGAAGTTTTAGGACAATACATTCCAATCACAGCTTAGATAGACACCAGGCAACAAAACTGCTAGAGTTGTAATAAAAGCCAGGCACAGTGAAAAGTAATGGTCAAAATATCAAAGAGCCAACGGGCTCCACAGAATCTTGAGGTCAGCCCAGAATAACTCCGTGCAGCAGGGTGGTATACAGAATATAGAATTTGGAGCAAAGTCACCCCATTATCTTCCCTTTTGTCTCCTTAAGAAATATTCTATAAAATCTATGTGATTTGCCTAAAATCTGGAATTGGGTTTTTTAGATGGTGAAGTAGAGGAGGGAAATGGTTGAATTCTAGATTATTACAAGAATGGAGGGTCCCCAAATTTCTCAGTCACTATATGGTCACAAATACCATCACCTTTAATCTGTACAACAACAAACTTTCACGGTGGATATTACATATAGCTTTTGCATAATGGTGGCACATGGTGGCGCACGCCTATAATCCCAGCCACTCAGGAGGCTGAGGCTTCAGAATCGCTTGAACTCGGGAGGCAGAGATTGTAGTGACCCAAGACTTCATCATTGCGCTACAGTCTGGGCAACAGAGGGAGACTGTCTCAAAAATAAATAAATACAAAAATAAGTGGGAGGGAGTAGGATAACTGAAATATTAATGTGAGTTTTGAGCTTCCTGTTTTTTCTTCCCAAGTGTGAAGCAGATAACCAGACCTTTATATTCCCTTGCCTCAGTAGAGATCTGTAATACAGAAGAAAAGCAGAATTTTCCCAAAGACTTCTCTCTTCCAGGTTTTCGTTCCTCAAAAATCTGAGCTCCTAAACTGTTGATGCTCAGGGTGAGCTCTGAGAGAAAAGGCAGGCAAGATAGAGCCTATTATTATATATTTGGATTTAAAGAAAATAAAATAATGCTCTGTCAAAATGCATTTATAGAGTGAAGTGCATATCCGCTACAGGTGTTTTTAAATAGCTGATGCCTTTAGTTATAAAATCTAAATACTGTTGTACAAATTCTGTGTTTGGTAACTCTTGCTCAGGAGCAATGATTTTCTTTGCACATTATCACTAGTAGTCTCAGTGGTTTAGGGTCGTCCGCTATTTTAATGAAAATTTATCCTATGAGAGAAATGCCTCTGTGTGTGTGTGTGTGTGTGTGTGTGTGTGTGTGTGTGTTTTCTAATGTGCTTTTACTTTTTGCATTTTGCTGTTACTTCTGGTAACATGATTTTCCTTCTCTTTCCTTCTTTCCTTCCTTCCTTCCGTCCTTCCTTCCTTCCTTCCTTTCCTTCCTTCCTTTTCTCTTTCTCTTTCTCTCTCTCTCTTTTTTTTTTTTTTTTGACAGAGTCTCAGTCTGTCTCCCAGGCTGGAGTGCAATGGCACAATCAAGGCTCACCGCAACCTCTGACTCCCAGGTTCTAGCAATTCTCCTGCCTCAGCCGCCGGAGTGGCTGGGATTACAAGTGCCCACCAACACTGCTGACTAATTTCCGTATTTTTAGGAGAGATGTGGCTTCACCATGTTGGCCAGGCTCGTCGAACTCCTGACCTCAGGTAATCTACCCGCCTTGGACTCCCAAAATGCTGGGATTACAGGCTTGAGCCACCACACCCAGCCAACTTCTGGTAATATGATTTTCTGAGGTCAAAGACACAATGAATTTAAGACAGTGATTCCCAAATCTACCTGTGCATCAGAATCACCTGTGGATATTTTAGTTCTGTTTTTGACACTTATGTCCCACTTCCACCCTGGACATCCAGATTTGGTAGATCTGGCATGGGGCTAAGGACTCTGTTTTCTAAAGAGATTTCACAGGTGACTAATGGGCTATCAGAGTTGAGAACTACAATTAGACCCGCTCTTTTTGAAAAAGGTCGGAAATAGTCACATTTTTGAATGACATTAACTCTTTCGGTACTATAGAATACAAATTATTGTGCTAACTTATTATGACTTAATTATATTCCATGGATAAATGTTAATATTTGTAGAGTGTAAATATTAAGTTCTTTTTTCAAGGGAAGACAAAAAATTGTGACTTTCATTATTTCACTGGCGAATACACACACGTGCACATACACATAATTTTTAAAAAATTTTTGTTAGCAGAATTTAAACAAATATTTCTCTCTAAGCTGCAGAAAACAATGGTTCTGGGGATAGCCCTACCTTGCTTTAGTCAGGCAGACCACATTCTCACTGTGAGTGCCACACTCAGTTGCAACTCCAACATAGTTTCCCTTAGTTCTCACAAATTTAAATTCGGTATAACCTTATTAGAGCTACTCTCAATATTATATGGATTTAGATGTATACTCTGTATGAAACTTCGACAGTATATGATCGAAACTAATATTATGCAGTGAAGCCATGGAATTAATGCCACTCCTAGGAACTGGAAAGCGTCATGATAGATGTTGCTATGCATATATTTAATTTCTGTGCTCATATAATGATGGTCTACAAAAATAACCACTGCATTTACTTTTTAAAGTTTATGATACCTGAATGGGAAATCTGAATATTTGGGGAATGCAAATATTTGTGATTACTCAACATTCTAGATTTTTTTTTTAAGTTTTTAAATGAATAATCAGTTTCTTTAACATAGACTTTTCTTTTTGCATGACTTTTACAATTAGGCCTGGTTTTTGACAGATTCTTCTTAATTAACATCAGTATATGTTTTTAAAAGGCATTGAAATATAGAGAAAACATCACTGAATCAATATAAAGTCACAAAATCTATTCTTAATACAGGTACAAGTGTAGTGTAAATGTATGTTTTATTAGGCTAGCTGTAAGAGTGTTTCCCCCGCATTCACTTCTTAACCTCACTCTACCACTCCCAGCTAGCTCAACTATCATCACAGCGGAAGCCAGTCCTATAATGACTATGGTTTCCTGGACTAAAAGTCAACATTAATAATAATAATGGCCACCCTGAATGTAGCTCATTTTGTGCCAGGCTCTGTTTGAAGTGTTTTACATGGATTAATTTATTTAATCCTGATAATAACCCGTGGCATAGGCATGGATGGGGAAACTGAGGCACAAAGAAGTTACATAACTCATCCAAAGTCAAATAGCTAGTAAATGGTGAGCCCAGACTCTTTTGAGTCTAACATCTGTTCTCTTAACCAAGATGTTATCCTCCTTCTGGCTTCTGGCTTCTGAGTTTGTCACTTACTTTCTAATTGTCAAAGGCGAAATCATGGAATCTATCATCTCAGGTTCCAAATCTGTACAACAGATATAATGGCATCTCTCCGTCCATTTTGTATAAAGTCATAGGAATTAAAATGAGAAACAGGAAAGTATCTGTGCAGTACTAGATAGCTGTGACAGTTTACTAGTACTATTATAAATTCAGAGCAAGGCTTCACAAAATTGGCTTTGAAATATTTGACTATCACATTTATTTCAGCTATTTCGTTTTGCCTTCATCTCTTATCTCAAGGTGGAAAATGAGACTTTAGAAAAAGATTAAAGCAAAACAAAAAATAAAATCTCAGGCTCCAATGGATCAGTTGATAACATTCCCATTAGGAAGGAGTATACATGAGAAAGGACTCACATTGTTCTACTTCAAGGTCAATCCAATTTTTTTAAAGAAAACCTAGGATGGGGGTGGATATTTAAATGTTTACATGCAGTGAGACACCCTCACAACCACAGCTAAGTTCTTTCAGCAAATGCTTATTAAGGCAGCCACATGGGGTCTATGTAATGGCCAGAATGACAGGCATTAAGGACTGACTCCCCACCCAGCACTCCATGGAAGTTGATTGCTTTCTGGAACAGGTTGTGTTTCTGGGAGGAGGCAACCACATAAAACTTTAGTTCTACCTTTCTAAGTAAAAGAAAAACCAAGACTAGCTTGAAACAGAGAGAAAATTCTAGAAATCTTAAAGTTAATAATGCTACCTATGTAGTACTGGAAAAAAAAAAAAAAGCCATACTTGAGTTGGTCTGATTCTTGACCTTGTTATATACCAACTGCATGTTAATAGCATAAAGATATGGATTTTGGAGCCCAACTGCCTATGTTTAGACACCAGCTTTGCTCATTACTAGCTATGCAGGCAAGGACTTAACTGCTCTGTGCCTAGATTTCATCTGTAAAGTGGGAATAAAAATAGGATTTACCTCATGGAGTGATGGGAAGGTTAATGGGTTTATATACTTAGAGTGTCTAACACATTGTTATGCTAGACAAATACTTATCTTTTCACTAATCTTTCTTGCTTCTGCTTACTCATGCATAAAGTGAAAATAATAACACCAATCTCAAAAATTAATTGAGATATTTTATGGAAAATACTTAGCATAGACTGGCATATATATGGTAGAAATTCAATAAATGACAGTAATTATTAACATTAATTCAAAATGAATTTTTACATTTTTTCTAATATTGTTGTCCCTATGGTCTCCAGTGTTGATTAGAAATAATTTACAAGAGAGTATGAAACATTCTTTTTCTCTAATGGGTTTAAAAGCACTGTAGAAACCAAGTAAACTAACTGAGATTGTAGACTAAATGTGATAATATTTGAAAGGTATCCAGCACCAAGCAGATCTCAATAAATGGTGTTCCTTTCCCATAGCTCTTTAAGATTCAATACCATGTTGTATGTGATAACTACACAAATAGGTTTTAACTCTAATGATCTTTTCCCTTCCTTACCCCCATTTTCTTGGATTAATGTCTTTTTAGATTATCAACAATAAAAAATAAGAATTGTTGCTCCTATGAGGATGGGGAAGGAGGAAGCAATTTAACATACGTTAAATGCCAGTTATTTGATTTCCACATGGTATCTCTATTTTTCAACACTACCCTGCCAACTAAGTTATTATCTCTTAATTACAGGTAAAGAAACCAAGGGATAAATAGTGCAAGGTCATAGAACTATTTAATGGCAGAGCCTTTAATTAATCTTTAGCAAATTTCTAGGATACAATGTAGTATTATTAACTATAGTCACCATGCTGTATATTAGATTTGTAGCATTTACTCATCCTGCATAACTGAAACTTTGTATCTTTTGACTAATATCTTCGTGTTTCCCCCTTGACATGTGCCTAGACTTATCCAGTTCCAAAAGTCATGCTACTTCCTTCCACTTACCTTCCTGCCTCTAAAAAAATAAATATCTTAGAAATACTAGAGTTGAAAAAAATTGAATTACACAAGATTATGGGTAGGGCCTTCAATAATGGACCTTTAAAAACAACTGGGATTAATCACCATAAGTTTTATAAGTTATAATTTGGAGACTAGTTCCCAGATGTTAAGCCTAATCTATTTACCTCTTATTTTCTATATGGACTGTACATTTTATATAATGTTTTATCGCTTGTAGCTTCCATCACTTACCAGCTGAGTCAGCCTTGGGTTAGTCAACATCAGTTACCTCACGTGTAAAAGGGGGTAATTATAGCTGCCTCCTGGAATTACTATGCAAATTAACCAATGTATATCAAAGCACTTTGTAAACTGAAAGGTATTACACAAATATCAGTTATCACTATTACCACAATTCTTATGAATTCTAAGAAGTATTTAATTAATATCTGCTTATAACTGAGGATGTTCTGGCCCTGAATATTGTTTGTAAAAAATACAAGCAAATGGCCAGGTGCAGTGGCTCACGCCTGTAATCCCAGGACTTTGGGAGGCTGAGGTGGGTGGATCACTTCAGGTCAGGAGTTCGAGACCAGCCTGACCAAAATGGTGAAACCCTGCCTCTACTAAAAATACAAGATTAGCTGGGCATGGTGGTGCATGCCTGTAATCCTAGCTACTTGGGAGGCTGAGGCAGTAGAATAGCTTGAATGCGAGAGACGAGGTTTCAGTGAGCTGAGATCGTGCCATTGCACTCCAGCCTGGGCAAGAAGAGTGAAACCCTGTCTCAAAAAACAAACAAACAAACAAAAATAAGCAAATGGCTTGGGCCACAGAATGAATAGAACTCCTGCTTAAGTATCCTTGCATGTAACTTTTACAATATTGTCTCCCATTATACCCTGGACCCTACTGAAGCTGTCACAAGGAAGTCTTAGATACTAGTGGCTAATTCCTATTGTTCTTTTCCAATCTCAGTCACCCCCTGGAAGAAGCTGTTCCTGACTCATCAGTCTGGATTAGATGCCTTTTCTGAGCTCCACATAGCTTTCAGTACTGCTCTCCAACACAGCATGTATCACCTCTATTATATTTTTGGGTTTATTTGCCTGCCCCCCCCTCCACACTTCCACTTTGCTGTCTTTTTGAAGATATTACACACTGGCAAATATTTGTTGAATAAATCAAAGTATGGAAAGTGAAAGATTGAATAAATGAAACGAGAGATTAACAAAATAAATGAAAAGAAATGTAGAGGAAAAGGAGAAAGAGAAAACATGGGAATTAAAGATAAATTAAGAGACATAAGCATTTAAATTAGATACAGTATTAAAACAAGCATTTCCATATACAGCTGATGGGAATGTAAACTGAGACCAAAAAAATTCAAATCAATCTGATAGCAATATCAAGAGTTCTGTAAATGTTCATTAATTATATTATATTCAGTACACAAATGTTTACTGAGTATTATATATGTTCCAGGCACTCTTACTTGTGCTGGGACTAATCAATATACAAAACAGATAAGTCCCTGAGCCATAAAGCTTATAGCCCAGTACAGGATGACAGACAACAAACAAATACTCAAATAAAAATGATGTCAAGCAGGAATAAGCACTAGAGAGAAAAATAAAAGGGAACACAGGACGAAAGGGTGATCGTGGATGGCTCATATTTATCTGAGGTCTGAGATGGCCTCTCTGATAAAATGGCTTTTGACCAGAGAGGTGAAGAAAGAAAAGCAAACCATGTGGACATGTGGATGTGGAAGGGAAAAACATTCAAGGCAGAAGGAGGGGCAAGCACAAACTTCCTGAAGCAAAGTATGCCTACTGTGATCAAGTAACAAGGAAGTCTGAGTATCAGTGAAGGGAGTGGTGGGGGATGAGGTCAGAGCAGCCAGCTGGAGTCAAATCATAAAGAGTCTCATAAATAAGGGCTTTAGATTTCACTCCAGATGACGTGATCTGAATTTAAAAGAGTAATGTATGGTGCAGCATGAGTAACAAAGGCAAAAATGGAAGCTGTTTAGGGAGCTATTGCAATAATTAAATGATAGATGATATGAATTGACTAGTGTGCTGGTAGTGGAATGTGGCACATTGTGGATGTATTTTGAAGGTAAAACCCACAGAATTTGTTGATGGACTGCATATAGAATATGAAAGGCGGAAAAAAAGAGAAGGCAAACCCCAAGGTTTGTGACCTGAGCAACAGCTCCCATAGAACCGTCATTTATTAAGAAGAGGAAGACAAGCTGGGTGTGGTAGCTCACACCTGTAATCCCAGCACTTTGGGAGGCTAAGGGCAGGGGGATCACTTGAGCTTGGGAGTTCGAGACTAGCCTGCCCAACATGGTGAAACCCTGTCTCTACAAAAAATGCAAAAATTAGCCCAGCGTGGTGGCATATGCCTGCTATCCCAACTACTTGGAAGGCTGAGGTGGAAGAATTGCTTGAGCCCCAGGAGGCTGAGGCTGTAGTGAACTGAGATCGAGCCACTGAACTCCACCATGGGGGAAAGAGTGAGACCCTGCCTCAAAAAAAAGAGAGTAAGACTATGGAAGGACAGACTGGGAATAAAAAGCAAGAGTTTGTGTTTGGACATATTAAATATGCAATGTTTATAAGACAACCAAGTGAGATGCTGATTAGGCAGTGGAAATTTGGCATTTATATTAAATACATATATAATCAAGAGATGAAGGCAGAAAGATTGTATAAGCACAATAAGAAAATCCTAAAAATAAATGTCTATTAATAGGAAAGTACTTATGTAAATTATGGTTCAGTTATACGATAGGCTATTATACAGCTACTAAACATGTTTTTGAAGACTAAGAACATTAGAAAATTCTCAAGATATAATGCTAAAGCAAAAAATAAAAGCAAAAACTCTCTCATTGCACATAGTATGGTCCAAATTACATGAATAAACATACAGACATGGAAAAAACTCAAAGGAAAATATTTCAAGTAATTATCTCTCTGTGGTAGGAAAAACAGTAATTTTAGTAGTTTTTCTTTATATTTTTATTTTACAGTTTTTCTACAAATATATATTACTTTTATAATCAGAGAAAATGAAATTAGACAAAAATAAAACATTGAAAGAAAAAAATTAAGGAGGGCTATAAGGTAGATCAGTAGGTAATAAAAAGCAAATGGATATAAAGATGGAAAAAATATCTGGAGACATATATAAAGCAGTATTTTCAAGATGTGTTTTTACACAGTTATAGTTTGCCCCATTATCTATATTAATACAATTACCTAGAAGTAAAAAATGAACGACATAACCCAAAACTTATGAAATTTATAAATTGATAGTGTCGTAAGAATGTCTTTGGAATGCAATGATTGTATCTCACAATTTTCCTATATTTTGTTCAGGTAATTACTAATATTAATATAGTAAACTCACCCACAGCAGCTAATGATATAGGACAGGAGTCCTCAACTGGTCAGGTCTATGGCCTGTTAGGAACTGGCCACACAGCAGGAGGTGAGCAGTGAGCTTTACTGCCTGAGCTTCCCTTCCTGTCAGATCAGCCCCTGGCATTAGATTCTCAAAGGAGCGAACCCTACTGTGAACTGCACATGCGAAGGATCTAGGTCGCATGCTCTTTATGAGAATTGAATGACTGATGATCTGAGGTGGAACCATGAAACAGTTTCGTCTGGAAACCCATCCTGCCCCTGCCACCTGTCCATGGAAAAATTATCTTCCATGAAAGTGGTCCCTGGTGCCAAAAAGGTTAGGGACCACTGATATATGAGATGGCAGGAAATCACCCAGGGATTGCAAAGTGTCATGGACAATTGCTAAAGTATACATCTGTGGGCAATTAGGAATCAGATATCTTCTTGTCCTATATTATCACCTTATGGATGTATGAACATGAAAATAAACTCCTAGAAGAACAGACCATGTCTATTTTCTTGAGTCACAGTATAAATCCTCTTTCAGTGTCATACAGATTATGGCCAGAAATAAGCTTCACATTGTGTTCATGATAGTGGTTAACTTGTAAGAGGATAGGGACCAACTGATGGTTGGCTTCTACAGCGGTCCCTCCAAAATTCTCCATTGCCTATCATCAATCCTTTTTTGCATCAATGAACTAAAGAATGAAAGCAAGGATGAACTTACTCCATTAAAAATGTAATGCAACATTGATTAAATTACTATTCAAATTTTACATGTATAGCAACAATAGCTATGTATATGCAATTACCATTTCCATAAAATTATAGAGCATAGTGTTGTGTGTTTATGTCTGGCTAACTCATGAGCACATAGGAAATGATAAATATCTATAGGAGCCGGTTTTAAATTTCTCATTAGTGTTGCATTTTTGCTAATATTTATTTCCTTGAAAGCAAACAGCAGCTTAACGTGTTTTCTAATATATATTTGGATGTTCCCCTTGAATTAAGATTTGTTAGATTCGCCATTAGCATACCCACTCTCTCTGCTTCCTACTTCTAGTAGGATAGTTCTATGAATGATTCTTCATGGTTTATATAAGTAAACCTATGTGGTTTAAAGTTTTGTGTGGTCAGTTTTCTCTTTATTGTTTATTTACATTAATAAAGAGAAAACTCTCCTTGAGGCTTCCACATAATGATCTATCTGTCTCACTAGTTTTGTCTCACTCCCCCCTTTCATTTCTACACTTTGCTTCAAAACATACATTATAGTACCAGTCTCTATGTTGGAGAAATCAGAAATGCAACACAGAGCAAAACAAAATCTCAGAGACATTTGTTCATGAACCTTTAATTTGGTTAAGTTTTATAATGAACTTTGTAAAGTCTGTAAGGAGTCTGATGTCATGTTTTGCAGAACTTTTTAAGGGAAAAGCTACCTAGAGTTAGCTATTGAGAGTCACTATGAATTTTTTAAAAGGGCAAAATCAACAAATTTTCCATCAAAAAATCATATTTTAGCCAGAGGGAAAACTGATAGACTAGTTTATACCATATTTGCTTCCACTGATTTCTGTATTAGATTTTCATTGCAGCTGGTATTAGATATTCATTGTAGTCATAAAAATTAAGATTCTCAATAAAGCAGTCAGACTATATGACTCTCTGTAATAAAATATTCTAATGTGTTCTACAAGATAAATAAGTTGAAAAATCCATATACGTAGATTACAACATGTTTGAGCAGCTGCGTAATATTGTTGGCTACAGTTCCATAAATAATTTGAGGATATTTGCCAAAAAGTGGTTTTATTTGTATCACGGTTCATCTTAAAATCCTTGTTTTTTCAATAGTATTAATAACAGCTAACAATTATCAGGTACTTATTTTTGCCAAGCACGTTACATGTACTAACTCAGTTTATTGTCACAACAAACCTATGATGTAGAAAGTATTATTTTGCCCCTTTTATAAACGGCAACACAGAGGCAAAGGGGAGTTACATAACTGATTCAAGGTCACACAGCTAGGAAATGGTGTGATTCAAACCTAAGCAGGGTAGCTCCAGGACCCACACACCTAATCACTCTGTTATTCTACTGTAATTCTAAAGCCGGGTCAGTTGCCTGCTTAGGGTACTCTAGCTGTTTTCCACCATACTTGACTAAAAGTGACAGTGACAGGAGGCAGCCAAACGCCTAGGCAGATAGGGGTGGGTAACCAGTGAAACCCCACCTTCAAGCAAAAATAACAGCCTGAAACCCATGGCCCAAAGTGATAACTTCTACTCCTGTTCACCCACTCTCCCCTGATTGGTTCTTTCTGGATAATGCCTTTTTACCAATCAAATGTTGCCTTTTCCAAAACTACCTATGGCCTGTCCTGCCCTCATCCTATGTATATAAAGACTCCAGGCTCAGTCAATAATTAGTGAACTGGGAGATGCAGACCCTCCCTCAATTGGAGTGGACACCATCTAATCAGCTGCCAGTGCAGCTAGGATAAAAGCAGGCAGAGGAACATGGAAAGACTAGACTGGCTTAGTCTTCCAGCCTACATCTTTCTCCTGTGCTGGGTGCTTTCTGCCCTCAAACAATAGACTCCAAGTTCTTCAGCTTTGGGACTCTTGGACCTTTGACCACAGACTGAAGGCTGCACTGCTGGCTTCCCTACTTTTGAGATTTTGGGACTTGGACTGGCTTCCTTGCCTCTCAGCTTGCAGATGGCCTATTGTGGGACCTCACCTTGTGATCATGTGAGTCAGTCCTCCTTAATAAACTCCCCTTATACATCCATCTCCTCTTATGCATCCATCCTATTATTTCTATTCCTCCAGCGAACCCTGACTACAGCCTGACTTCAGGGAAGAAGACCTGTTCTTCCTGTCCCCTCTCTAGCTCCCCTCCCTGCTGAGAGACGTTTTCATCGCTCAGTCAAATTATCCGCCTTCACTATCATTTAATCATCTGTGTGACCTCATTCTTCATGGATGCTGGACGAGAGCTTGGGACCACTGAGTGCAGGTACTCAGAAAGGCTGTCACACCAGACCTTGCCACCACCAGAGGAGGGCAGCCGCCCCACACCATGAGGCAAGGGGCCAACTGAGCTGCTAACATACTGCTGTCTACAAATGGCAGAACTAAAAGAGTACTGTGACACCCTCTCTGGGGCTATGGGATTATGGGCACCCTCACCTGGATGCCACCACGCTCCCCTCCAGGAGACATGCCTTGTCTGGCCATGGGCCCCACACGGAGCTTGCTCCTGTGCCAGTGCCTGAAGCAACCAGCTGGATCCCACACTCACTCACTCACATGCCCCCTCCCACAAGGGGTTGAGCACGGTGGGCCAAGTAGACAGGGTGCCCCTACCGCGAGTCCAGTGAAGGGGCCAAGAGAAATCCTGCATCAAAAGCATATAAGAAAAGATTTCTTTCCTGTATAAGAAGAAACTTCTAGTTCACTCAGAATGGTTTTAAGTCATTAAATGTAAACTAAAAAGAAGAGAGGCTAGAACATGCTTGTACTGTACTCTGATGAGGTGTTGTCTGATCCTTCGAGAGCTTGTTCCTAATGGGTACCATAAACCTTGAGCCATTATTAAGGGACAGTTTATATAAAACACAATTAATAATTGGCAAGTTTGTGTAACTTAGCTCAGTGTTTCTCAAACTTGGGTACTTAAGTGTACCTTGGGGTTTGTGGTATTTGCCAGGGATTACTAATATCTTCAGAAAACCTTTCTGGTGTGTCGACTTCATTTTAAGACTCGGAAGAAAAATAACGTAGTTTGTAATAAGAATATTTTTACTTTAAAGCAAACAATATTCTGCAAGCTTTTGTGATAAAATATACAAGATTTTATGTGTTTTTATGCTTGGGCAGAAATCTTCATGTTCTACCTCAGAGCCTGAGGAGAACAAGTTTATTTTCTAAGTTAAGGGCATGTGAGTAGAAACATTTGACAAACAGTGGGCTGGCTTCTAACCAGTTCTAATCCACAAAGTTAAACAATAAGAGATAAGAAAAACAGAACAAAAAGAAACAAATAACAGTGGCAAATACTTATGCTGTTCCTGAAAGACTACTCCATAGGTAATAAAAACTATAAAAATGGTCAGTAGTCAAAACAGTCTGACTAAGCCAGGTCTGCTCTTCACGTGGAACATGGGCTATTAAACCTTGCTCTGAGATATAGCTCGGATTTCTCTATTCCTCTTCTCTTCCATTGCTACCCTCACTTCAGTCCCAGGTGTCATAATCTTTTCCCTCTTTTTTTCCAGTGGTCTCTCTACTCCACACAGCAGCCAGAACTTTTTTTTTTTTTTTTTAAAAACATAAATCAGATCAGTTTTCCTGATTAGTACTCTTCAATGAATTCTCAATGAACTTAAAATTAGACCTACACTTTCTCATTACCTGTGAAGTCCTACTTCTGCTTCCTGCTTCCTTATCTAACCTAATTTTCTGCCTGCTCCCATTATCTCATCTCTTTCTGGCCAAACTGGACTTTATGTTGCAGGAACACAGTAAACTTATTCCTGCCTCAATGACTTTGGCTTTGCTATTCCCTCTTCTTGGAATGCTATTTCTCTGATCTTTAATCATCACCACTTTCTACTTTTTATTCAGGTCTCAGTCCATATGCTATCTCCTGAGAGAGGCACTGCCTGGTTATCCTACTTCATATTGTTCTCTTCCCCAATCACTGCTCATCACATTATCCTATTTTACTTCCTTTGTAGCACTTAGCACTAACTGAACTTAATGCATTTATTTATACATCTCTTATTCAATATACTAAAATGTAAATTCCATGAGGGCAAGCACCTTGACCAGTTTGTTCACCATTGTGACTATGTTGCTAATAACTATGCTTGACATGGGTAGAAGCTGAATATTCACTGAATGAGCAAATAACTGAACGAAGGAGAAAAGGCAACTTGAATATATATTAGATGACATGGCTAGTAAGCTAGTGTTCTATAATTCGGAGACAATAGAGTAGATGTGGACTCCAGACTGATGAGATTATGTCTGTTCAGTAAGTGACAGAGTCAAACTGGTGAATATTAGAGTTACAGTTTGGGGCAGTTCTTGTAAAGTGTCTGTGGACAAGAAATCTTTATTGAGGCTTTTTTTATATGATGCTTTTTAATGAACTAAATGATGTGAGGGACCAATAAGTAGAGGCAGCCAGAAAGACACACTAAATTCACAGCTAGGTAAACTTGGTTTCTAACACTGAGAAATATATCTTTTACAGTTATAATTTAGGTCCCTGGGTTTCATAATGCTATTTATCACATTCATAACTTGGGAAATTAGGTCCCTACATCTTGAAAGAGTAGTTTTACTTTGCATTACCAATTTTTTTGTTTCATTTTAGTACTGTTTGCATATCCTAAGTATTTTCAGCCAGATAGTGATGATGTGTGGTTTGCCTCTCTTCTGAGTAACTAGGGAAAACTTGGCCCAGTAAAGATAGAACTCATAGTTACCGGTAACATACAAAATAGACACTGTTACCAGGTAATCCTTGATTGAAGATAGTTTTTCATAATTGCTACTTTCTTACTCCAGCCAAAAAAATAGTGCACATATACATGGGCTCTAAATCTGATTATACTACTTACAAATACTGGACCAGGGAAAGCCAACAAATCACTCTGGGCCCTGTGTCTCTGGCCCAACCAGAAAGAGAGATTAGACTCTATATTTACTTATGGCCCTTTCTATTCTGACAGTCTATAATGCCTGAGACAAAAACAATCTCAGTATTGTTGTAATAGCTTTATTTTCCAAAAATTGAAAATCAGATATCTACATCACAATGAATGCCGATTTATAGGGACTCAGTGAGCATGCTACTAAGAGATTGTATCCAAAACTTTTTTTATTTGTGACTTTTCTTCTAAATTCATGGAAAAATAAAACTTCCCAGTTTATGCAGGTGTACATTTCTTTAATAGAAATAGATTAAAAAATCTACCTAGGTTATTGTAGAATTATTTGAATCAAAATTGCTTTAAAATTCTTACCGTACATCCATAACAAACGTGACTATAAATCAGGAAAGTAGAGAAACATTTATTACAATAGATTAAGATATGAATACATGGAACAAAAGTTTTCCAATTTGATGTGATTTTATAGGTTATGGGAAAGTTCCCATTTCACAGACATGTTTCCCTACTGGCCCAAGTTCCGTTATTAGAGATTTATTTTCTTGATTTACTATTTTAGGAAAATACAAAGTAGGTCTCAAACATAAGCACCTAAATGAACTTAGAATAATAATTTACAGAGCCTTCTAAAAATGACAACATTCGTGCATGTTAACATATTAAAACTTCACAATTCCATGAAGAAATTAGAAGATCCTTTATAGCGAATCTACGGATGAGAAAATCAAGACTCACAGAGATGAACTGACTTGTTCAGAGTTATCTAGGTAGTAAGTGGTAGGACGAGCACTACCAACCAGGGATGCAGGGATGGGGCCTTTGAAAACAGACAGACCTGAATTCAAATTTTGATTCTATTTGATTGCTGTATGCTATGAGGCAATTACTTAACCTCTCTGAGAATTTTTTAATCTGTAAAAATCAAGAATAAGAATATCATATAAATAATATAGGAGCAATAATATATATTACAGCACTTATTGTTAACGGTGAATAGTAATGATCCTTTTGTTTTTATTACTCTATGTATTGTTAATCTTACAGCTAGGGTGCATAGGAGAGAAGGAACAGGAATATAAAGATGATCCAAAGGTAGGTACCATTTTCCTTTGTGAGTCTTATATTTCAAGTTCTAATTCTTGCTTTCATTTTATTCTATTTCACATTCTTCTGTGAGTCTGCACAATCTATCCCACTACCACAAATGCCCTTCCTCATCTCTTGACTCTCTGACCAATGCCTACACAGTTTTCAAGTACTAATTAGAGTCATATCCTCTTTAAAACTTTCTTTGATGCCATAGGTTATTCCTATGGCATTCATGTAATACTCATACTCATTTAGCAGTATTTCCTAAGTGTCTCTTGTGGTGTTAGGGAACTCTGCTAGTGCTACATAAGGGCACTTTAGAGAACTGACCCTACTTTTGCTTGCTTGCTTCTGTTAGTAATTCTCAGACTTTTGAATTTTACAGATAGTTAACATTTAAAAAATGAAGACTAACAAAAAGTTGCCAATTTTTCTCTTCTAAGTAAAAACATAATAAATAATTGCCAAATTCTTTTACAAAAGAAAGGGCATTTTGATTACAAAATATATAATCTCAAGATTTTGAAAAAAATTAATAAATTAGGCTTTGTGGAAAACTTCATGGAGGGGGTTCTGCATAAATTAGGGAACAGGCATTGGGGAATCCATTGATTTACACATTTTTTTTTTTTGCCTCAATTGAATAGTTCTTAGATGCTATTTCTTATTCATTTGTGCATCTCTAGTGCAGCACCAGGTGTCTTATAGGAAGTATTCAATTAATATTTATGAATGAGAAAGTGAATCTGCCTCTGAGCAAATACCTCTGAGACCCATGGTAACGCCTACAGTGTGAAGCACCTATGAGAGAACACCAACAATGGTAAGAGAGTGGTGGAGGGGTGTGTATGTGTATGTTTATGTGTGTGAACTAACATAATTTACTTTAACAGTTTGCCAGGCACCAACCATTCTGATTTTGTAGGGAAATACTAGTGAGACTGTCCTCTAGGGGAACAGGAAAGGAGGCAGGGGCAGGATCTAAGATATTGAGGCATATCTCACGTGTACCGTAAAAATATTTCATGTGACATCTGAAGTGGATTAAGATTACAGTAAGTATAGTTACTGTAAATAGATAACATTCGTTGAGTACTTATAATGTGCCAGGCACCTTTCTAAGTTCTTTGCATTCATTAGCTCACTTAATCATCACAACAACCTATTGAGATAGACTCACTTTCTATTCCCTTGTACAGGTGAGAAAACTGAAGCTTGCAGAGGTTAAATGACTTGCCCAGGGTCACACAGTCAGTGGTAGAGGTAGGTTTCAACTATGGTCTAGTTGTTTTTAGAGCTCATCAAAACTCTGAGGTCCCTTTCTAGCCACATATTTCTATGATGAACATAGTTTTATATGACTTGGTTTTCATTTTTAATATTAGAAAATTAAAACGTTTTCTCTTAGCTAGGATTTTAAAGCTGTTAAGGCACTCAGTTTTTCTACTTATTAATAAAAGCTATGTGACCATAAGCAAGTTCCATAACCTCTTTGAACTTCAATGTCTACATCTCTAAAATGGAGATGAAAGCCTTTTTCTGTGTGTTTTTCGGAGGATTAAATGGATAGTGTATAAAAACAGCTAGCAGAGGGTCTGGATTATGAAGGGGCTTGAATAAATGTTAATTCGCTATGGGGCCTAGTAACATAAAGTGACATTTCTAAATTAAAATCATATCAAATATTAGTAATAGGATGAGAGCAAAGAGATCATCACTCTGGTGGATAAAGGTGCCTGTATTTACAGAATTCCTTAGAGAGCCGTGAGGATTATCTTTGCCGCAGCCCTCATTTTAATTAAGAGCATAGAGATCAGACATTTCAGCATAGGAAGAAGCTTGTATTTGATTTACATGGATGCACATTTTCAGCGTCTAAACATTCCATTCCTTGGCTAAAGATATAAAGAGCTACTTCAGCAAACCTGATATTGCAAAATAAATGGAAAATGCTTAATCATTTAAAAAGATACACCAAAGAACAGAAAGATCAAAGCATCCACATATACCAGTGAGGAAAGCTTTCCTCTCCGGCAGAAAGTCTCTACTTTTTGAAAGGCTGACAAATGACTTCAGTTAGACAGGCAGGGTATAAAACCAAAACAACCCATCTATCATTCTTTACACACAAACACATATCGAAATTAAGCACACATATGTATACATGTAATCTCATTTTTGATAAAAGTATTGTTCATGGAGAAAAATTGTGGAACAATGTGTAAAACATAAACTCATTTTGTAAAAATAATGTCAGGCCCCACGTATATCTGAAAATACATTTGTATATGTTTGTAAGAACATGGAGAAGGTATGAAAGGTTTATGCCAGGTCGTCACCTTGGGTACCCTGGGACAGGTCACTCTGGAGGGAGTTTGGGGGAAATTTTTGTTCCTTGATCTTCTTTGTATTCCTTTGCCAAATGTAATGACCAGTTAAAGACAAAAAGTTTTTACATTTACATTTCTTTATTATTCATTTACCCATTGAATTCCACTAACCAAATATATAATATTGGCATGCTACTTCCTTCCTTTTGAATCTCAGCACTATCTTCTCTTCTCAAGTATTAATACTTACCTTACACTATGGCTGTAAAGCTTAAATGTGATCAGATATAGAAAGTCTTAATAAATGGCAAAGTGATGTATAAGTGTATCTTACTATTTATTCACAAATATTTTGTGATTTTGCTGCCTATCAGAGGACAATGACACAGTTGCAATGCACCTGAGGCAAAACTACAATAAGGTTGAATGGGACCCAGAAGCTTTAGTTAGCATCCAAAACAACACCTGACATGTTAGGCAAATGTGATTTCTTTCTGGTAATAAGAGCAAATCCAATTAACTAACAGGCATATCTGACCTGGTGTAGTCGTCGTCAACAAGCATGTGCTTTGGAATTGGTGAGTACCTTCCTGGAGAGATGGGTGGCAGGGAGGTTTTATATTCTAAAGTGCCATTGTTGCCAGAGAGTAGATGGTTTTCCATTGGTGGAGAATAAGCTAAGAGGTGGGGGAAAAAGAGAAAAGAAACCTGTTATGTGGGTGATTCAATGTGTCATGCTATACTTCAGAAAAATGTATTAAAAACAGAAAGGCTTTGCTGCATGCCAAGGTTTTTCTTGTCCTCCCAGAGGGGGGAGTTGCAGCTTATTTGCATTTAATATATACAAGCACATGGTGACCTTTAGGATAGGAAAGACTTAATAATAGTTAAGTCTGTAATGCCAGTTAGTCTAATTTGGTGAAGAGAAGAACTGGAGAAGAGATCCAGCACACATATTTTCAGAACAATGATTAATTTTCTATTGAAATAAAATGTTAGCTTTCTAATTTCAGAGCTCACATTGTTTTCACATAATTAATATCCAATTACTGAGAGTAAAAGCCTCCTAAGGATCAGGTTCTCCTGTGAGACTTTCTCCCAAAATATACTCTATTCCCATCCCACAAAGGCCAAGAACTCTGGCCTTTCTTTTTCATTCCTCCTTCCTAATGTATCTCCCTTTTAGGTGACTAAAAACACCTCCTAACTGGGTCTCTTGCTCCTTTCTCTCTCCTCAAATCCATTTTATATGTTGAGATGAGGTAAAACCTCCTGAAATTCAGCTTGACCACACTATTCTCTTACTTAAATGTTCTCCATTGTTGTTATGTATTTAATATAGTATAAACTCTCCTCTTTGCCATTCTTGCAAGATCAATCAATTTTAATACCCCCCAACACATATCCTATCATCCGCAAACATAGGCTGTGCTTCCTGACATCTGTACCTTTGTTCCACTGTACCATCTACCTAGAATTTGCCTCTCCTACCTAACCCATCTCAGATGTTGAAATCTCATTCTGAAGATGCAACTGAAATGCCATCCTATGCATATTTTTCTGATGTTCCAAAGACAGATGATGTATCTCTTTTCTTTGAGTTCCCAAATAACATTTATATTCACCTCTCCCATGGCATATGCATACCTCTTATTCTGCCAAATATTGCTTTTATTTATATATCTGAGTTAGCCTTCCTCCCAACAAAGCTCTTTGAAGGCCATGATTCTATCTCCTCTGCATCCCACATATTACCTTACAATGTGCCTTGTACATACTGAAATTACTCAATACTTATTTGTTAGGTTTATTAGAGTCGTTTTCTCCCTTTTCTGTCTTTGACATTGACCTTATATGCCCTGCATGAAGTGGCTCACAGACTATCAGGGCTGATTTTGCTACATTCTTCCAGTTTGAAAAACTCTGAAAGTTAAAACTCTTTCATATTCTAAGGTAAGTCTGATCTCAATTTACTGCCAGCTTGAAAACATACATATTTTGGAGGTAAGTTGTTTCAGAATCATCATTAAGAAAAGCAATAGCTAATGCAATGGGCAGGAAATAAAATTGTTCAACACATTTCTCTCAAGAGAAACATGTAAGTCTGAGAGAACTTGAACAATTTGCTTGAGACCATAGTACTAATTAATGGCCAGTTCTGAAGACGTTCCAAGTTTCCAGTCTCACAAATGGACTCTCAACATTTCAGAATGAGCAAGCTTACTACTGTTGACACAACTATCCCTTACATTTACATAACAAAGTAAATTGCTTCTAAATCTAGTCTTCAAAGACAGAAACTTAGTTAAGATTCGTGTTGACCTATTAAGAAGAGGAGAACATATGAGGCTTATGCAACAGTGGAAATTTGAGGACCCCAGCATAGTCTCATTAGTTGTTAGTTGTTGCTGCAGAAGTCCCACTTCCAGCTCACCTCTATTGCCATAGTGACTGATAATTTTCTCCAGCTTACTTGCCAATATAACAAATTCAAGTAAAGTAAAAGCTATGTGATGGTGATTGAGGATCATAATTTCGCCATTCAATTGCAAGATCCCCTTTTTCAGGAAGAATCATAGAGCTACCTCTGGTCTATTTGCCAGTCTCTTTTCTAATCTACTACTACAGAGATCTGAAGTTGGAAGAAATAATATGATGGCATGAGAGTGATCATGCTTTAGGAGCTTGAGAAATAGCCTTTCAAAATGTATTGCCCATACACTACTTTAATCACACTGTCCTCAACATTAAGCCTTTCCATAATGGTGGGCATGCCAACTCATTAGGAGATCTCATCTTCAAACAGGAGGTAAGGGCCTGCAAGGCAACATAGGAGTGGAGTTTAGGATACTCCCTCTGAAGTATTTCCAGAAGTTAACCAAGAGGGAAGGTACAAGTAGAACACTTTGTCAACAGTTTTATAGAATTCCAGTTCTGCAAGTCTGGCATGCTATTTGAAGATGACAATGGTACTTACAGTGAGTAATATCAGGTGGACCATAAGGATCAGTCATATAAATGGTAGTGGGTTTGCCAACTTTTAAATAAACTACCTCTGATGTGTTCTTTAATATTGCTACTGCCTCTTCGTGTGTTACTTCTTCTAAACTGTAGTTGTTTACCTGAAAGGGTGAAAAAGATCAATATTAGAGTTAAATCTATGGAGCAGAAGAAAAATATTCAGGCAAGAAGATACCTGGAATTATAAATTGTGATAATTACTGTCCAGTATCCTTGACATAACAGATGAATTAAATGCATTAGTCAAAGCAGATAAGTACAATCAATGATTCTATAAAATAAGGTTGCTTCTGCCTTTTTTTAAATGAGGAAGTGATATACAGTAATGGAATTCAGAATAGTATTTGTGGGAAGGAAAATAAGGAGTCAAATGCCTTTTTTGTTATGCTATAGTTTCTATGATAGAAAAGTAACACATATTAGTGGAAGAAAACTTAAAAAAGAAGAAAATAAAAATCATTCATCATCTCCCTACTTAGATATATTGCCTTAAACAATTTTGACTTTATTATACACATTGTTTTGGAACCTGCTTTTTAAACCTAGAGTGACTAGTTGTTTGTAGCAGCAATGTAGTTTAACAAGATGACTTTTGTTTTCTGCAGAGCATTATGTTGCATGACTACAGTATAATGATCTAACCAGTTTCTTACTAGCGCATGTTTAGTTTGCTTCTAATTTTTTAAAACTATAAATAATGTTGCACTAATCCTTTTTCTATATTTGTGCACAACTCTGATAATATTTCTTTGATACACATTTACCCATACAAGTGAAACTGCTGGACCAAACTATATGAACATTATCAGGGCTTTTGATACCTAGTGTGAAAATGCCTGTTTCCCTCTGGAAAGATGAACCGGTTTACTCTCATACCAGCATTATATGAGAGCCCTCATTTCCTTATAGCTTCGCCAAACCTTGATTTTTTCACTTTAAAATGGTTCTCATCAAAATGTCATTTAATATGAGTCTATTCAGAACACGTCTTTTCAGGTGAGCAAGTTCAAGGGTACCCTATTGTCATTGTGTTAACAGAAATGCCTCTTTCTTTATTGCATGGAAAAGCCTGTGATACAAATGATACACTGACTTCATGGCAGTGGCATTACAGTGGGTCTCTGCACCACTTCTCTGAAATGATTTTAAGATAATCTCTCTAAAAAGACTTAAACTTTGAGGAAATTAGAATAAACGTTAATTCAGGAAGTATTTCAAATACCTAGGTTATCCGTATCTGGCTACTATATAAAAAAATAAATTTTGTTGTGTATATTTCAGGTTCACAGCATGATGTTATATCACACATATAGATAATAAAGTGGTCACTATAGTGAAGTAAATTAACATATCCATCATCATAGTTATAATTTTTTGTGACAAGAGCAGCTAAAATCTACTTATTTCGCAAAATTCCTAATATAATACAATTTTATTAACTATAGTCTTTATGTTACACATTAGACCTCTAGACTTGTTCATCCTACATATCTGCTACTTTTTATCCTTTCATCTGTATCTCCCCATTTTCCACCTCCCCCTGTAACCACTGTTTTATCCTCTATCTCTGTATATTTGACTTTTATTTTTTAAGATTCCACATATAAGTGAGATCATGCAATATTGTTCCTTCTGTTCTGGCTTACTTCATTTAGCATAATGCCCTCCAAGTCTACCCATGTTGTGGTAAATGGCAGGATCTCCCATTTTTTAAGGCTGAATATTTCATTGTGCATATATACCACATTTTCTTTATCCTTTTATCCACTGACAGGCATGAAGGTCGTTGCCATATCTTGGCTATTGTAAATAATGCTGCATTGAACATGGGAGTGCAGATATCTTTACAAGGTGGTGATTTCATCTTCTCTGGGTATATAACAAGACCAGAGATTGCTGGGTAACATGGTAAATCTATTTTTAATTTATTTAGGAGCCTGCATACTGTTTTCCATAATGGCTACACCAGTCTGCATCCCAATCAATAGTGTACAAGTGCTCCCTTTTCTCCACATCCTCACTGACATTTGTTATTCTCATCTTTTTGATAATAGCCATCCTAACAGTTGTGAAGTGATATCTCATGGCAGTTTAGATTTCCATTTCCTTGATGATTAGTGATATTAAGCACCTTTTTGCATACCTGTTGGACATTTTTGCATCTTCTTTGGAGAAATATTTATTCATGTCCTCTGTGCATTTTTAAAATCCTGTTAATGTTTTTCTACTCTTGAGTTGTATCAGTTCTTTATAAATTTTGGTTATTAACCTATCATCAGATATATGGTTTGCAATTTTTTCCCAATTTGTTTCATTTTGTTGATTGTTTCCTTTGCTTTGCAGAAGATTTTGAATTTAATGTAGTCCTATTTATTTTTCCTTTTGTAGCCTGAGCTTTTAACGTGATATCCAAAACAACATTGTCAATGACAAGGTCAAGGAAGCTTTTCCCCTATGTTCTTTTCTAGAAATTTTATGGTTTTAGGTTTTACGTTTAGGTCTTTTAGCCAAATTGAGCTGATTTTTGCATATGGCATTAGAGTCCAATTTCATTCTTTTGCATGTGGAGATTCCATTTTCCCAGTATCATTCATTGAAAAGACTAGCCTTTCTTCATCATGTTCTCTTATTTTCTTTGTCAAAACTTAGTTGACCATATATGTTTGAATTTATTTGGCTACTATTTCTTTAATGACATAATTGTTTAATTACTTTCCACTGGTATAATGTAAAATTAAAATAAATGTCCCAAAAGCATTGGACTGAATTCCTATAGTACACATTATCTATACTATCTAATTAGCACTTCAGCTATACCATACTTTGCAGCACTACTATTCGTAATCTTTATTATTTTGCTCCATGTTGCTATGTAAGTTCCATGTGCTAGTTAATCCTTGGTGATGTAGCCCAGGTTAGGGACTGTGGAACTGGAGAGAATTGAACCTGACTGATGTGTTTGAATGCTGGCTGTGAGTTCTCCATTAAGCCGTAAGCTTCTCTAGCACCTCTCACATTTCTCTTCTAGATAAGACATGTTCCCTTAAATCTTTTTTCATTTCAGTGTCTGGCATTTGTTTATTCACTGATCAAATGTTTACTGCATACCTGTTATGTGTCAGACTCTGGGCCAGATATTAGAGATATGATAAATAATAAAAATGATAATCAATAATCATAGTAAACACATATAGCCCATATTACATGCCAGGCACTATTTTAAAGTATTTTACATATATTAACACAATCAAACTTTCACGATAACTTATGAGGTAGCTATTATAATTACCTTATTTTACAGATGAGAAAAGTGTGTCTCCAAGAGGTTAAGAAACTTGCCCCAAGTCATTGATCTGGTAAGTGTCAGAGGCAGAATTCAAAGCTAGACAGTTTGGCTCCAGAAACCATGCTGTTAACCACTCAGCTATACTACTTCTTCCAGATAGACAAGGTCCTTGCTTTCATGAAACCCACATTAATAATACACAATTGTTTGTGGAATGAATGGATAGAAGAATAGACTCATGCAGAGAGGGAGAATGTAGAGGAACTTCAGGTATGGAGAACATAGTTGATAATGGCAGCCCTTAATAATACAGAAATAACACGATAATAATAATAACTAACATTTATTTAATACTTGCATGCCATATATTTTAGGAGTCCTATGTCACATATTTTGACATGAATCATATAACTTATCATGAGAAGAGCTCCAGGAAGTAGATACTATTAATCAGGCAAATTTTACAGATGAGAAAAACTGTTTTTTAAAGAGATTAACTTGCAACAAAGAGGTCACACTGCCTCCAATTGTCAAAGCCATCAATTGGATCACAAGCCTCCTTACGAGATGAAAATGAGATTATATTTGTATGTTGATTCATTAAAAGCTAGGGCTCATATCACCTGTTCTTTCTCCCTTTAGGAGAACAGGGTTTCTTTCCGAGTTTACATATAAAAGTAGAATAAATTCCAAAGTATTATAAAAGCTTGAGGAATCATTATATTTCCTGCTTAATCCAGTGGTAATAGTATACTGCATCATCCTAATACACTGACCAGTCAAAAAATAAATAAGTAAAATGGAAAGCAGCTTAACATATCTCACTGATCTCACTGTCTCTTCAAAACCTTCTTATACATTTGATTAATCATTTATTTTAGGGCCATTACCACTTGTGCTTAGATAATGATTTATTTTTTATTCTTTTTATTTTTTTGAGATGGAGTTTTGCTCTTGTTGCCCAGGCTGGAGTGCCATGGCGTGATCTTGGCTCACTGCAACCTCTGCCTCCCGGGTTCAAGCAATTCTCCTGCCTCAGCCTCCCGAGTAGCTGGGATTACAGGCATATGCCACCACTGCCAGCTAATTTTGTATTTTTAGCAGACACAGGGTTTCACCATGTTGGCCAGGCTGGTCTCAAACTCCTGACCTCAGGTGATTCACCCACCTCAGCCTCTCAAAGTGCTGGGATTACAGGCGTGAGCCACCACACCTGGCCGATAATGAATATTTACATGTGATGTTCTATGGTTTAAAATGTATATGAAAGTGGGTGTTTCCTCTAAAAAAAAAAAAGATTGCCTAAGGCAGCTTTTAATACTGTGACTATGGCCCACAAAAACATCTATACTGAGAGAACAGAAGAGAAACAGTATCTGGTGGCATAACACAGGGGGAATGAGAAGTCAATAATAATTAAAAATAAAAACCAAAGGCTAGAAACTAACTGGATTAGATTATAAGTGACAGCAAAGCTCTGTTTCTGACAAGGGCTCATTGTCTCTCTCCTCAGAGTATGGAAACTACACAGCTCATTAGATTATCAGTGAAAGAGAAATGTGGTCAGTGCTTATTAAATTGCACCTTTTGCCATTTTTAAGGTGGGCAGTGAAATGATCCAGAAAATATTACCTTCAACAACATTTTCATAGAGTGACTTTGCTAACAGAGTCTTCAGACCACGAGGAAAATTTTTAGACCATAAAGCAGAAGTTGAGGGAAAGGTAGTGGTGAGAAATGGGGAAAGAGGATACTGGGGAGAATAATAATAGTGGTTTAAAATAGTGGTAGTTCACTCAGTTTCTATTTGGTGACTGAAATATTGAAAAATTTACTTAGATTTCAGTCACAGAACAGGTGGTATTATGATACTGGCAACAGAATGTAGTGATTAAAAGCACATGCTTTTGAGTCACGCATACTGAAGCTTAGACCCTGGTGCTTCCTAGCTGTGTGATTTGGGGAGACTTGTTTAACCTTGTAAGCTTTAGTTTTGACATCTGCAAAACAGGAATGATAGCAGTTACTGCTTCAAAAGGCTATTGATTAAAATGTGTTGGCCTATATAAAGTGACAGGCACAATACAGTTCTTAATGTTAGCTCTTATCACTAATACTATTGTCATCATCTGTAAGCAGGATTTCTTGGTGAAAATTTTCGCTGATCATTTTCTTATAAACATCTGTGAACTGATGAGTTTAATTAGGGTGCTGCTGATGAAGCTTCTGTGTGGTCTTTTTAAAAATTCAGAATAGTACCGGATTTGGACCAAAAAGTGCTCTTTTGTGCTGAAGTCTTCAAAATGTTTTCCACAAAAGTGAGTTTGTTTGGGTTAATTATGTGTGTGCATTATCCTATGAACTCTCAAGATAAAGGGCCTACAGCTGGAGCTGATTGTATGCAATGAGAAGGGACATTACACTGATTGGCTAGTTGCTCTTGTCATTGTTTGTCATTGTCTTTTTTATTCTTTTTTTTCTCATTTGCATCAAATATCTGCCTATAATGGTGAACACTGAGCAACTGGCCTGGTTTCAAGGAAAAAAATCATGTGAATTTGATTGAAGTGCTCTCTGTGGGGTGCACCACACAGACGGGGACATATGTGCAGCCTGGCTGTGTGTTTGCTAATAGGAAAGAGGACTGAGGCCAAGAAAGAGAGGCTGGAGGTGAGATGACTCATTCTCTCAAACAGAAGAGGGAGCACTGAATTTGAACATGATGCAGACAAAGGAAGGCAAACCAGCTGAAGAAAGAGGTGCCAGGAGACTTGCAAGGAGACATGGCAAGTTTTGTGGGAATTCAAATGTGTGTAAGCAAACATAAATGTAATAATACAAAGGTGGGAGGTGTGGGGGCATGAGAATATAATAAAGAGGAATGAGCAATATAGAGATGGCAAGATACTGACCTTTCCATGTTCTTGCAGGAATATCAGTATGGTGGGATGAACTGGGAGGTGATTACAGACATTAAGGTTACCTAAGGCATAGTACAAGGAAATGTGGAACTCTAGAATCATTGGTAAGAAAACTCTAAAGTTAACTTTTAAACAGGAAACAAAGTGGCTGATCATTAGGTTGTAAGATAAATTAAAAAGCAGACCAATCCAATGTAGTAATGCCAATGCTATGAAAATAAATATGCATAAACCAAGGATTAAAATCTCCATAGTACTCTGAAATTAACTATTATAATAAAATGTATTCAAAATAATAACTATTAATAAATAAAAGGCATGTTAGTAATGGTTATCTTTGGATAATAAATATTTTCTTGTTTTTCATCTTTTCAGAAATGAATATGTATGTCATAGAGCAAAATTAACTCTAAATGAGCAAGAACAAAAACTTTAAGAAAGAACAGAAGCTAAGTACAGTGGTGTCATTATGAGACACACACAGCAGCATCTCATGAGTAATGAAAATCGGAATGGGAAAAAAGAAAGTTAATTTCTCAAGGCCAATGAATAGACTTAAATTTACTAGAAATAATATTCATATGTTAAACCTTGCTGTTTCTAGAAACGAAGGCAACTTGATACAGGGAGAATAATTTTGAACATAGAATCAGATCAGATCTGGTTTTAATTCCTAGTTTCACGAATTTAAGTCAGTTAACATATTTACTAAGAATTCATTTTCTTACATGTAAAATGGGAATTATACTTATTTGTAGATTTGTGTTTATGAGAAAAGAATAATACCATGAAGTTGAAAAGACTCTGTATGATATAAAGTAGCATACGAATAGAAATCAAACAGCCATAATCAGACATCATGCTTTGTTGATCCTGCTGCTGTTCAGGGCTCTTTATGTAGAAATTATCAATCCCTATATTGTGAAACACTTATTCCTACAGTGCCTCTTCCCACCTCCAAGAATGATCTTCTCAAGGGCAACTGATTAGATCATATTCATCTCTATTCCCCTAGCTGATGCAATATAAATAGTTGGCACTTAATAAGTGTTGAGGTATTAAGCTAAGTTTTAAAAAAATGATCGCAGAACACCAAAGGAAAAGCAATCAAAATTCCCTATTTTATAGAAAGAATGAAGCATTTGTGTTGCATTCTATTTTACATTTGTGTTGAGTCAGAGAGTAAAGCAATAAGAATGAAGGTCATTCAAGCAACAATACACATTTATTGGATACCCACTCTGTGCCAGGCACAGGATATAAGGATGAAAAGCTGGTACAGAATCTTAGCACCAGATCATATTAGTTTATAAGGTACACAGTCAAAGCTCCATCATTGTGATTCTATTCTTCCTTCATTAATCATTAATTCATTTCTTAACCTTTTACTCCATATAAAGAAAGAGAGCAAGCAAGAGTGATTGTTTTGATTTACTCAAATTTCTTCTCTAGCAGAGGTCACCAAAATGGACAGTATGATATGAACCCTAGGGCAATCCACTGGGTACAAGAGAAAAACATTTGCATTTCTATTAATATTAATCACATGGATATTTATATTTCTATTTCCATTTTCATATGTTTTAAAATGTAAACAATATATTAGCATAGTAATATATATGTAATTTAGAGTAGAGAAATATATTAGTGGCAACCTTTGGAGTGTGCTATTAAGATAATTTTAAAATGACAGCAACATGATACTTACAGAGCAGATTCTATAAAGAGGGCTATTACACTGAGTATAAGCAAAATAAAAAAGAGTGCAATAGGAGGTTCTAACCCTTAAATAAAATATGTCATAGCAATTACATTGTATTATAACTTATTACATTTGAGATAAATTAGAAGAGAGTTCAAGAAACAGTTGTCCAGGTTTTATCCTGTTGTTTCAGAAGTGACTTTAAACTCAGGGGACAGAATTTTGAGAGTGAACTGTTCTAAATTTTTTTTAGCCAATTGCAGGTAATTGCTAAATTATACTCTACTGGCTTGATAGAATGAGCACTACCACCAAAGTTGTCCTTAGGAGATGCAGTGGTAGCAGCAGAATGGGCTAGGATGTGGTTAGATCAAGGTAGGATGGTGGTTCTTAACCCGGCTGCACATTAAAATCATTTGGAAAACCTAAAAAAATAAAATAAAATGAAGCATGATCCCTACCCCAGAAATCCAGATTTGATTATTCAGGGTTGACTGAGGACTGGGTATTCATAGTGTTCAAGAGCTTATCTTGAGATTCAAATGTGTAACCAAAATCAAGAATCAGAGATGTTGACAAAACCAGTGAAAGGAATTTAACTTCAGGACATCAAAATCTATGTCTGAATCCAATTTCACAATTTACTAGTTATGTAATATTGGAAATCCCTTTGTCTAAGTTCTAACTGAGTTCTAACTTTCCTTCTGAAAAATAAGAATAACAGTAATGACTGTCCTAACTACCTCTCAAAGATGGGGGTTAAGAATAAATGAGGTGTTGTAGGCAAAAGATCTTTTCAAGATGAAAGCAATGTGTTGTTGGTAGGAAAGAGACATGCTCAGAGAGTTACAGGTCTTGATTCTAAGATATCTAAGGTTGGTATAACCAATGAATATGCTTTAACATCCCATTCATTATTCAGATAATTTCTACATATTCGCAATGTCTTCAATTTGATTTTCTTATTGATACTTGGATGAAATCAGGCAATTTTGTAGATTTACCAAAAATAATAACAATTTCAGTCATCACAACTAATACTCATTCAGAAACTTGCATTGTTTCTACTCACATTTCCTAAAGTATTTCATGGCTTTACTCTAGGATATTTATTTTCAAATAAAAATAAGATATGCTCACACATAGCACATCCTGAGTATATTCCACTAAACACTAGTTTTAGGTGTTTTGTTAAGTATTACTCTAAGAAGAAGGCTCCATGATAAAACAGATTTGTTAATCAAAATCAAATCACTTACTTGATGGCAGGACTTCACAGAATTTTTAATATGCTAAAATTCATTGAGAATCTTCAAGAGAATTGGGATACAAGTTGCAGAATTTAGCAAACGTATTTGGTCACAGAGTCTATTCACGTGACACAGAAAAGAGAACAATATTTTAAAGCATACTTTTGGAAATACCAATCTAATATAATGCTACTATGGTACAGAGGCCAAAATAGAAGACCAAAGATGGATGTGACTTGCCCAAGACAGATTAGGTAGAATCAGTGCTAGGTGCCTGTGACTGAAATCCAGCTTTCTCATCTGAGTCCAGTGTCTTTCCGCTCGACTTCAATGTCTCTGTTACTTTTCCTGTCACTTACTACTTCCCTTTAAGGAAAGAAAACACAAGAACTAATTCTCTGTAAAAGGTATAAAAGTTCTCTCACTGACAATTTTTTCTTCAAATGTCGAGCAGGGGTTATGGAAAGAAGAGGCTAAGATTTTAAACCTTAAATTACAATGTGCCAAGGGGCTTTGTCAACTAATAACTAATGCTGTCCCTGCAGAGAAGACAATCAAATTATCCTGGATTCAACATTTCTGGTTTATATAGAAAAAGGGGAAGAAGTTAACACTTTTCTAATATATTGGGCTATATGTATCACCTTGGAAGTGCTTAATAAAGCCAATATGTGAAAATATATGAAAGAATTTAAAAATCTGTTATGCTGTTAAACTCTGACTACCACTGAAATTCAAGGCCAAGAGAATCTATTTCATCTGAGACTACAACACTAAACCACTGGTACAATCCACAAAATCCAATGTCACTGTCACTTTACCATTTAAAAAACAAAACAAAATTCTAGTGAACAATAAATTCTAAGTGACAAAGGAAATTTTTAAAAATATTATTTTGCTAAAAAGAACATATACCATGTATTTGGGTGACCCATTAAACATCAGAGTGGTCTGATATTATGGTCATCTTATTTAAAATACCAAGAGGTTTATTGCAAAGGTAACAGACAGAGTAATTGTTTCTTTAAGTAGAATATTTACAAAGGTCACATACTATACTATTACATGGAATTTTTAAAGTAGGAAATAAAACTGTAAGGAATATAAAGAAGTTTTGTAATAAGTATAATCTATTTACAGAAGATAAATGAATATGTGATAAAATTTACTGGAAGAGAGAGAAAAGGTCTAAAACATCCTAAAAAACTGAGAAGTGGAGAAGTGGAAAGACATAGCTCTTTCAAACATATGTGGAAGAGGAATTAGTCTTCACCTTTTTGTTTTCAAGTGACAGAGCTATGAATAAAGGGGGACATTTACAGGAAAATATATTTTAACAGAATTTTAAGGAAAACATTTTAATGATACTTATTACCTAATAAATAGTTTTCGGGAGGTATTATCCATCCTTAAAGGAGGTTCTATGAGAGGTCAGAGACTGCTTCACATGCTTGCTTTTCTGATGCACCAAGCAAGAGTTGATAAAAGATGACCTTTAAGATACATACGTTAAATTCTGAGATATAAGAAGAATTTCAGGGAGAAAAAGTACCCAATATGGATGGTATGATTCAGGTGGTGCCCAACATTATAGCTATTTTACTTGAGAAACTAAAAGAGTTATTGTTATTACTAACTCTTTAAAAAATGACTGTGCTCTCAGTAGAGGGCAGTTGCTAGGAGACTTCCTGAATTGTGAGTATTCAGCCATGAAAGCCTAAAGAAATTAATGGAGTTTTATTTTAGACCAGTTTACTTACAGAACTCTGAGTGAATAATATATGGTGGAATTTTTCCTAAGAAGTGTCAGAAGGAAGTGGTGCAAATTGCTTTAGAAAGAATAGCATATTTAGAGAAAAATATGCAGAGTGTGGTACAGCTGGTACATCATAGAATCTAAATCATTTGTCCTTCCTTTGTGGGAGGAGAGTAGAAGAGGGGGAAGATACAAAGAATATGAATGTAGGGTAGTAAAGAGAAGAGGAGGTAGAAAGGAATGACAGAAGGAGAGCATTAATAAATATTTTTGGGTTGAAGCAAGATAATTGGTCTTTTAGGGTGGCTTCAGTGATTTTGTCTTTATTCTCCTTTTCAGGGTTATTTTGCTTGCAAAGTATAAAATGAATCATTTTCTTTCATTTCCAGTTTCAACTTGGAAGTACTAATTCTGTCTTCCTTACATAAGAGAGGAGAGACCTATTACTGTTGAAGTTTCTTTAAAAAAAACTATGCTTTAAAACTCAAAACAATTAAGGATTATGTCACAGCTATTTTCGAAATCATTTTTTTTTGAGAGTTCATCTTGACTTCTATTACACACTAGACATATATGAACTAACCAGAGATGTGAATGATTCTCTGTACTCTTAAAATCACAGGAAATATATTTCCACCTCCCCCTTTTTTTCTGATATTGGAGTAGCATTTCAGATTTTGGAGATTAGCTTAAGGCAAAGTAAAAGTCATGGAAGGCAGTGTATAAATAACATTAATTATGAAGCTACTTTTCAGAAGCTAGTAGTAACTTGCTTAGTAATAACCAAAAGGTTGTGCAGCGTTCACAATGCTAGTATTAATTAGCTACATATTTTGAACATCTACTGTTACTGGATACCAAAGAAAGTGGGTTATTTAAGAATCTTCCATTCTTGTTATAAGCTTCCTATGATCCAGTAACTTCTCAAAGGCTTTGCAAAAAGCATAAGTCCTTGCTTTTTGAGAATTTTTTTTGTGCACCCAAGAAATGTAAACGCAACCATCACTGCTTCTTGTGCAGGTGTGTGCTTTAACAATCAGGGCTGCTTTTGGCATCAAGAGTATGAGCTATTAAGAGTTTCTAAAAAATACTGACCTAACTAGTCAGTTGCCTCCACCTTATATACTATTCAGGCAAGCCTTCGGAAAGTACACTACTGTATTCCTAGTCCAAAATAAGGTAGGCATGAATATATTCAACCTTGTTTGCACATACACCAAGGAAGAATTTAAATTTTTGCCCTTAAGTAGTTTTGTTTTAGGCAGGAGGAAAAACATATTCAATTTTGAGGTAGGTAATCAACAGGAATGAGAAAAATACAAGACAGTCTAAGATCTAACCTTTGTCCGCCTTTCTAGGCTTATGTCTTAATACTCCCGAAGTGGCACAAGCTAGGTTATTTCTAGTTCTTAACAGACTACTGTGCTTTTGCACAATGCTCTCAAGTTCAGCTTAAGCAATGCTCCTCTGGAAGTTCACACCCTAACTCGACTGTCACTCTTCTTTGTTTTCTTCTAGAATCCTGGGATTATCTGAATAATAAATGCCATCACATTCTACTTTTAATACATACTTCATCTCTTTCACCTAGTGCACTATGAGTTACTACGGGGAAGAATCTGTGTGCCTATCTTTCTGTTTTCAGTGATGATATACTGAAAGAATGGTGTAGGAATAGAAATATTCTATTTACCAGTGCTAAGGCTTTTTCACAAAACCAGGCAGAGATCTGCTCATTTTTACTCTGTAAACTTGGAAAAGTTAATTTATTCAATCTCTATTTTGTCCTAACTAGACTGATCATTATATCTACGATGAATATCAACAAAATGGTAATAAAAAATAGTGTAGTGCCTGGAAAATCCTTTGACAGAATTATTTGGAGCAAGTTTTTTTTTTTTTTAAATTTGGAAACAAAACAAAAAATTTAAACAAAACTTCAAGAAATAAGCACATAGCATTTACCATGATGGTACAATAGCAGTGGATGAAGAAATACCAGAAGAGCTGCCTGCAACCAAACTCATATGGAACCGTGAGTCAAAGGTCAAACCAGTAACTATCTAAGACAGTCATTACTTGAGAACGAAACGGTCTTCATTTTTCAACTTAGCACTATGTAGAATATGGTTATCACAATTTATTCTATTCCCAAGACAACATTTCAAGCAATAAAGTTTATATTCCAGAAAGAAGTTGTTCAGGTCTTATACCTTAATGACAACCTTTGTTGTCCAGAAGATAGAACAACATCATAAGAACAAACTTTTACATCAAAAACAAACAAGCAAACAAACAAACAAACAAAAATTCAGAATTGCTTGAGAATGAAAGTGGTAGTGGCTTCAGGTGGTAAAGCAGCCCACAACTGTTAACTTTAACTTTGACTGAAGTCATTAATGGTATATTTTTTGCCCATCCAGTTTTCTCAAGACAAAGTTCCTTCCTGAATAGCAGCTACTGCCTGAGACACAGTAGGTGGGCAGCATGTACTTATTAAAAAAGTAATTAATGAATGACAATAATGAATAAAGGAGGAAAGGAAAGAACTGACTGACAAATTCAAGGAAACTAATGAAACCATGTTGCACAAGAGGCAGTATAGCTTGGTAGTAATGAGTGGTGCTAGCCAGATTGCCTCAATTTGAAACCCAGTTTTGTCCATTATTAAACATATGACTATGGGCAAGTCAGAAAACCTGTCTACATCTCAATTCTTTTTTGCTTATATAAAATGTACTGCTGTTAGAAATATGTTACATTACAAAAAAGCCCTTTATAAAAGAACATGGAACTTAGTAAATGCCAGGTCAATGTTAGCTATCAAGATTATTACAAAGATCTTATCTAACACAAAGCTTACTGAACACAAAGGTCATTGGCAACTATGAAATTAGACCACTGCGATTAAACACAGCTCTCTAAAGCTGAGGGAAGTAGGCAAATAAATATAAAATTTGGAGGTTCAACCTCCAAAACTTGCACAGGTCATAAAAATTAATTTTCTGTTGAGATTGGGGGTTGATCCTCCCCAGACACTTCTCACAAAATTGTTGGAGATAATGGCTCCTTGCAGACAGATTAGAAGTCCTGTTTTACAAGGGTAGACATGTGACTAGACAGATACACTAATCTTACTTGAGAGCTACCTACTATTAATTTACAATATTCGATTATTATCCTGTAGATTTTGGCATACAACAGTAAATGGACATAAGGCAGTTTTATTAACACAGTCCCAAATGCTTTGTTGCTTATAATCGCCTTAATTTTGCTTTAGGTTATCATATAACTCCATGGTTCAGAAAGACTGGCTGTGTGTCAATGTCAATCACTGCCTAGGACTACTGAAGCATGTGAGAAGCTGGCAAATGAAATAGCTATAACCCTGTCTAAGGGGAGGAAAGGAAGAGATCCATTTACACATGTAGCAGAACTCAGATTATAAATTCTTGGAAGTCAGGAGCTGTGTCTATACTGGTTGCACAAAGGACTGTGGAAATACGCTTATCAGTAAGCCAGGGTGTTGTTTCTATTGTTATGCAAACCCCACCTCTCCAGCAGTCTATAAATAGTAATTGCTCTCCCTAATAGGAGACACATTATGTTGGAAGAACAACAGATAATCTCTATGCCATGTGTATCTAAGAAAATTAATGAAAATTTAGATTTGTTTTGAAAATGTCAACAAAATAGATACATTGTACATGTACTTTTGAAATCTCTTACTCATAAATCTGCTGTCTCTTCTTTTCAATTTTTGTCCAAGTTCTAAATTGTGGACCCCTCACAAAATCATATGTTGAAGCCCTAACCTCCCTGTGACTGTATTTGAGGATAGGCTCTATAGGAGATAATTAAGGTTAAATGAGTTAAAGATGGTGCTGTAATCCAATAGGACTGGGCCTTGTAAGAGGTGGCTTTGTAAGAAGAGAAAGAGAGAGACAGATCTCTCTCTGCATAAACACCCAGGAAAGGCCATGTGAGGACACAGTGAGAAGGTGGCCACCTGCAAGTCAGGAAGAGAGCCCTCACCAGAAACCTAATCGGTTGGAACCTTGGACTTTGTAGTCTCCAGAATTGTGAGAAAATAGATTTCTGCCATTTTAAGCCACCCACCCTGTGGTATTTTGTGATGGCAGCCTGAACTGACAAAGACAGTCATACACTGGAAAACAAGAGCTTTATAAATATACACACAGTTTTGCTGGAGTCACACTCACCATTAGTAGTCTATCTCCTACTTGCAACCTTCCATCTTTTTGTGCAGCTCCTCCATCTATAATTTTAGTTACATAAATGCTGTTGTCTCCAGGAATGTGTTGGTTCCCCACACCTCCTGCAATACTGAAGCCTAAACCTATAAGAAAGGAACAGAAAATGGAAAGCCTTGTTTTGTTGTTGTAGTTGTTTTTAGAAAATGCAGTTAGCCACATTTTAACAGTTTTTAAAAATGAATCCTCAACTTATTGTAACAGCAATAAATAACACTAAAAACTGTATTTCAATCTCGTTATTTAAATATTTGAAGAATTGTTAATGCAAATGAGGCAAAGATTTTGAAGTCAACCCCATGTGAGTAGTTTTGTTCTATTTCCAGACTGTATGCCTAACTGCTGTTCCTCAGCTATCCTGTTTATAAGGGTAACTGGCCAGAGCAGGGATCAGGTGAAGGGTGTGGAGGAATCCTAGGTGAGCCAGGAAAAAGACAAGTATAGTCCTGCTCATTGTTGACTCTATGGGCTCATTTTCATTGCTGTTGTTACTCTAGCATAGAGAACAGAAGTACTGCCAATCACTTGGGCAGAGACCTGGATACTCTTGATATTTCAAGATGAGAAATAGAATTGTTCAAAAATTGCACAAATTCTGAGGCAAGAGCCATGAATAAGTTACACTGTTTATATACATGTAATAATTTCAGAGAGAAGATAAGGAAAAGAAGCTAGATGCTTGCCTTTCATGTTTTGTTCTCTTGCCACCTTGTCATATTTTATATTTCCTAGCATTTATTGTTATTAACTGATTAACTAATTGTGAGACTAGTCACACAAAAAAGTGAATTATTCCAGTATACAGTCTAAAAAATTAAAAATATTCCTTAAAAATATTCTATTGGAAAATAAAGAATAAAAAGAATGTTAAAAAATTAATTAATTAATTAATTAATTTAATTTTTGAGATAGTCTCGCTCTGTCGCCCAGGCTGGAGTGCAGTGGTATGATTTCAGCTCGCTGCAACCTCTGCCTCCCGGCTTCAAGCGGTTCTCCTGCCTCAGCCTCCTGAGTAGCTGGGATAACAGGCACACGCCACCATGTCTGACTACTTTTTTAAATTTTTAGTAGACACTGAAAATGTTGGCCAGGCTGGTCTTGAACTCCTGACCTCAGGTGATCCACCTAACTTGGCCTCCCAAAGTGCTGGGATTACAGGCATGAGCCACCACGTCCTGCCAAAAACTTTAAAATGTATACTTAGGCTATATTATTTTTATAACATGGCAGAATATCAAATCATTTTAAACATGGCGATTGTCTCTTTTAAGAGATGATTTTCACTGTACTATGGCTTATACAATCTTAACTTATATTAAACTATGAAGCAATAACAAGAATAGAGGACAGTCATGCACTGCATAACAATGTTTTGATCAGTGATAGAGTACACATACGATGATGGGCCCAAAAGATTATAATGGAGCTGAGAAATGGCTATTGCCAAGTGACATCATAGTCATTGTAACATCATAGCATAATGATTACTAAGGTGTTTGTGGTGATGCAGTGTAAATGAACCTACTGCATTTCTAGTCACATATATAAAAGTATAGCATATACAATTGTAAACAATAAATAATACTTGATAATGATAATAAATAACTATGTTCCTGGTTTATGTATTTACTACACTATGCTTTTTATTGTTATATTTGAGTGTACCCCTCTCCTTATTAAAAAAAATGTTAATTGTAGAAAAGCCTCAAGCAACTCTTTCAGGAGGTATCCTACAAGAAGGCATTATTATTACAGGAGATGACAGATCCATGCTGTAACATTTTACATGTTATTGCTCCTGAACATCTTCCAGTTGGACAAGATGTGAAGGTAGAAGACAATGATACTGATGATCCTGACCCTGGGTAGGCCTAGGCTAATGTGTGTGTTTGTGTCTTCATTTTTAACAAAAAGTTTAACGTGTAAAAAAAAAAAAAAAAAAAGAAAAGCTTATAGAATAAGAATAGAAAAAAGAAAATACTTTGTATAGCTGTACAATATGTTTGTTTTAAGCTAAGTGTTATTACAAAAGAGTCAAAAAGTTCATAAAGTAAAAAAGTTACAGTGAGCTAAGGTTAATTATTGAAACTTTTTAAAAATAAACTTAATCTAGCCTAAGTGTACAGTGTTCTTTAAGTCTACAGTAGTGTACAATAATGTACTAGGACTTCACATTTACTCATTACTCATTCACTGATTTACCCAGAGCAATTTTCAGTCCTATAGGTTCCACTCATGCTAAATGCCCTGTACAGATGTACCGTTGTTTATCTTTTATTTTTTACTGTACTTTTTCTATGTTTAGATATGTTAAGTTACACAAATAGTTATCGTTGTTTTGCAATTGCCTACAGTACGCAGTATAGTAACATGGTATACAGGTTTGTATCCAAGGAACAACAGGCTATACTACATAGCCTAGGCTTGTAGTAGTCTATTCTATTTCAGTTTGCTAAGTACGCTCTATTATGTTCCCATAACAATGATGACATTGTCTAATGATGTATTTCTCAGAATGCATGCCCATTGTTAAATGACACATGAATGTATTTTAAAAAGTTATTATGAGATCATTTTAAAGGAATAATTAATAGACTCTTTAAACGTATAAGAATTTTTAAAAATCTCTTTCAGAATATGTTTGAATGCTCATTCAGTACAATACTTGCAGCATACATTTTCATTGCATTTTACAATCATAAGATAATTAACATGCAAATTACTCAAGAAGACAGATATTAATCAAGGGCCTTTTGACTACAGACATAATTTCTATAGCTTACTTGGCTTAAGACTTTTTTAGAAAAACCACACACCTAGTAAAATAATAAAGCTATCATTAAAATATTTGGCATTTTATACAACAATAATAAAAAATACTTAAAAATATTAACTCTACTTCACTATACTTTTATTGAATAAATATTGGGTAAGGTTATGCACTCTTAAGATAGCATAAATAGTTAATTGAAAAATGATGGCATAGTAAATTATAAAGCAACATCTCTGGAATTATATTTGAAATGCAATGATCGTTAAATTAACCATAATAGTTGTTAAAAATAAATGGAAAATTGATTTAAATTGATAGGGCAATTAAAGCAAGTGTTATCTAATTTCCTTGTGATGTGAGTAATTATTTTTACTGATGCTTTGCCACCCCATGGAACAATGAATATATTTGTTTGCCTCAGATTTACAATTTGTTTATTAAGCAAATGATGACCAAAGAGTAAAATACCCCAAACTGGCTTTTCCTATAAAATTTAAAATACATATCAGCTCATGTTTCCCAAAACTGTTACTTTATTATACATGAAAATAGGGAAGTTTTAAAAAATGTATTTACAAAAGTTTCTTAGCCACGTGCTAAGGTCAATCTACCATATTTATAAAAGTACAGAGGTTATTCCAAACTCTGAAAAGAGAAGGCTAAAACAAATTCAGAGACTCCAATTTACATCCACTATGCCAGCAGTAAATGCCACGGTCTTAGCTACAAGAAGAGCTGTAGAAATAAATTACCACCATAAAAACGGGTAAGTTCAACAAACAGAGCAAGTATGTAGTTGACATTTGAAGTTGAAGACTGCACAAAGACAATGAAAGCACTATGGATACTGTAGATAGATAGATGATAGATAGATAGATAGATAGATAGATAGATAGATAGATAGATAAAAATCGAGTAACATTTTTTCTTGAGATTGGGTTTATGTGCTTCTTTTTAACTAGTGACTCTATTCAAGGTGAAGCAAGGTATTTTTAGTAAATGTTCCTCTCAGAGCCAGAGCATGTTTCTGAATGTACACAACTAGTAATTTTTCCAATTTCCTTTACTTTGACATAACATGCATGTGTTTAAAAACAATTAAAATTTATTTAACACTTAATCATATTCTAAATATTCAATTCAGATGATGAATAAATCTGTAGTTTATGTCTACATTGAGAATTTATGTTTATTTACAGGTGGAAATATCTATCTGTGCTATAAGATTGCATCTATCCTCATTCATTTATTCATTCACACATCCATTCTTTCAATAAGCATCTCCTGAGTACATACTGTGCGTTGTATTACCTGCTGCTATCGAGCACGGCCAAAGTAAATGTAAAGAATTTTTTTTCCATTTTTAATTTTTAGTTGTTATGGATACATAATAAATGTAAATAGGGTGCACATGATAATTTGATACAAGTATACAATGTGTAATGATCAAATCAGGATAATTGGGATATCCATTACCTTAAACATTTATCATTTCTTAGTGTTAGGAACATTTTAATTCTACTCTTAGTTATTTCGAAATACACAATACATTATTAACTATAGCCACCCTATTGCACTACTGAACACTAGAAAGATCTATTTCTTTTATCTAACTGTATTTTTTATCCATTGACCAGAAACACTGTAATAATAATGACCCAAAAGTGAGTTCATATGAGTGAGTGTAGTTGAAACATGTCTGAAGCAATGTTCTAAACCCAGATAATGCAAGCAATTTTTGGATAGCTATTCTATGAAGACAAATGTGGGCTAGGACCACTGAGCAATAAGACCAAACACAAATTACCTGGGTTTTTCTTGCATAGACTCTGTTAAAGCAGGGGCAGGCTCTCTACCTTATAAGACCTAGACTGGCTAAGGCATGCCATGACTAATGCCCCTGTCCCCCATCCCTGTTATTAATCTCACATGTCTTCCCTTCATTAGCTAATTTTTCCCTCCTTCATTCCACTCAAAACACACTTGCATCCTTGACGTTTCTTTTTTTATTTTTATTTTTTTGCCTTTAACTTTTAAGTTCTGGGGTACATATGCAATATGTCCAGGTTTGTCACATTGGTAAATGTGTGCCCTGGTAGCTTGCTGCAAAGATCAACCCATCAATGTGATATTAAGCCCAGAATCCATTAGCTATTCTTCCTGATGCTCTTCTTCCCTGCTTCCCTCCCCTTGACAAGCCCTAGTGTGTGTTGTTTTCCTCCATGTGTCCATGTGTTCTCATCATTCAGCTCCCACTTACAAGTGACAACATGTGGTGTTTGGTTTTCTGTTCCTGTGTTACTTTGCTGAGAATGATGGCTTCCAGCTCCATCCATGTCCCTGTAGAGGACATGATCTCATTCCTTTTTATGGCTACATAGTATTCCATGGTGTATATGAACCACATTTTCTACATCCAGTCTATCATTGATTGGCATTTAGGTTGATTCCATGTCTTTGCTATTGGGAATAGTGTTGCAATGAAAATACATGTGTATTTATCTTTATAATAGAATGATATATATTCCTTTGGATATATACCCAGTGATGGGATTGCTAGGTTGAATTTTTTTCCTCTAGGTCTTTGAGGAATTGCCACACTCTCTTCCACAATGATTGAACAAATTTATATTCCCATCAACAGTGTAAAAGCATTCCTTTTTCTCCACAACCTCACCAGTGTCTGTTGTTTTTTTGACTTTTTTTTTAAACCAATAGATTTTTTTATTTTATTTTATTATTATTATACTTTAAGTTTTAGGGTACATGTGCACAATGTGCAGGTTAGTTACATATGTATACATGTGCCATGTTGGTGTGCTGCACCCATTAACTCGTCATTTAGCATTAGGTATATCTCCTAAAGCTATCCCTCCCCCCTCCCCACACCCCACAACAGTCCCCAGAGTGTGATGTTCCCCTTCCTGTGTCCATGTGTTCTCATTGTTCAATTCCCACCTATGAGTGAGAATATGCGGCATTTGGTTTTTTGTTCTTGCAATAGTTTACTGAGAGTGATGATTTCCAATTTCATCCATGTCCCTACAAAGGACAAGAACTCATCATTTTTTATGGCTGCATAGTATTCCATGGTGTATATGTGCCACATTTTCTTAATCCAGTCTATCATTGTTGGACATTTGGGTTGGTTCCAAGTCTTTGCTATTGTGAATAGTGCCACAATAAACATACGTGTGCATGTGTCTTTATAGCAGCAAGATTTATAGTCCTTTGGGTATATACCCAGTAATGGGATGGCTGGGTCAAATGGTATTTCTAGTTCTAGATCCCTGAGGAATCGCCACACTGACTTCCACAATGGTTGAACTAGTTTACACTCCCACCGACAGTGTAAAAGTGTTCCTATTTCTCCACATCCTCTCCAGCACCTGTTGTTTCCTGACTTTTTAATGATCGCCATTCTAACTGGTGTGAGATGGTATCTCATTGTGGTTTTTGTTTGCATTTCTCTGATGGCCAGTGATGGTGAGCATTTTTTCATGTGTTTTTGGGCTGCATAAATGTCTTCTTTTGAGAAGTGTCTGTTCATGTCCTTTGCCCACTTTTTGATGGGGTTGTTTGTCTTTTTCTTGTAAATTTGTTTGAGTTCATTGTAGATTCTGGATATTAGCCCTTTGTCAGATAAGTAGGTTGCGAAAATTTTCTCCCATTTTGTAGGTTGCCTGTTCACTCTGATGGTAGTTTCTTTTGCTGTGCAGAAGCTCTTTAGTTTAATTTGATCCCATTTGTCAATTTTGGCTTTTGTTGCCATTGTTTTTGGTGTTTTAGACATGAAGTGCAACTTACAAGGGACACGAAGGACCTCTTCAAGGAGAACTACAAACCACTGCTCAATGAAATGAAAGAGGATACAAACAAATGGAAGAACATTCCATGCTCATGGGTAGGAAGAATCAATATTGTGAAAATGGCCATACCGCCCAAGGTAATTTATAGATTCAATGCCATCCCCATCAAGCTACCAATGACTTTCTTCACAGAATTGGAAAAAACTACTTTAAAGTTCATGTGGGACCAAAAAAGAGCCCGCATCGCCAAGGCAATCCTAAGCCAAAAGAACAAAGCTGGAGGCATCTTGCTACCTGACTTCAAGCTATACTACAAGGCTACAGTAACCAAAACAGCATGGTACTGGTACCAAAACAGAGATATAGATCAATGGAACAGAACAGAGCCCTCAGAAATAATACCGCATATCTACAACTATCTGATCTTTGACAAACCTGAGAAAAACAAGCAATGGGGAAATGATTCCCAATTTAATAAATGGTGCTGGGAAAACTGGCTAGCCATATGTAGAAAGCTGAAACTGGATCCCTTCCTTACACCTTATACAAAAATTAATTCAAGATGGATTAAAGACTTAAACGTTAGACCTAAAACCATAAAAACCCTAGAAGAAAACCTAGGCATTACCATTCAGGACATAGGCATGGGCAAGGACTTTTTTGACTTTTTAATAATAGCCATCTCTCTGGTGTGAGGTGATATCTCATTTTGGTCTTGATTTGCAGATTTGCATTTCTCTAATGATTACTGATGTTGAGCCTTTTTTCATACATTTGTTGGCAGCATGGGTGTCTTCTTTTGAGAAGTGTGTTTATGTTCTTTGTGCACTTTTTAATGGGGTTGTTTGTTTTTTTCTTGTAAATTTGTTTAAGTTCCTTGTAGACTCTGGACATCAGACCTTTGTCAGATGAATAGATTATACAATTTTTCTCCCATTCTGTAGGTTGTCTGGAACTCTGATGATAGTTTATTTTGCTGTGCAGAAGTTCTTTAGTTTAATTAAATCCTGTTTGTCAATGTTTGCTTTCGTTGCAATTACTTTTGGCATTTTCGTTAAGAATTCTTGCCTGTGCTTATGTCCTGAATGGTATTTCTTAGATTTTCTTCTAGGTTTATTATAGTTTTGGCTTTTATACTTGTCTTTAATTCATCTTGAGTTAATTTTTGTACAAGGTATAAGGAAGGGATCCAGCTTCAATTTTCTGCATGTGGCTAGCTATGGATGCCTTCAGCTTTGTTCTTTTTGCTTAGCAGGCTCTTTTTTGGTTCCATAAGAATTTTAAAATAGCTTCTTCTAGTTTTGTGAAGAATGTCAATGGTAGTTTGATGGGAATAGCATTGAATGTATAAATTACTTTGGGCAGTATGGCCATTTTCATGATACTGATTCTTCCTATCCATGAGCATGGAATGTTTTTCCATTTGTTTGTGTGATCTCTGATTTCCTTGAGCAATGGTTTGTAGTTCTTGAAGAGGTCCTTCACTTCTCTTGTTAGCTGTACTCTTACAGCCTTGATATTTCTAGAGTACTCCGACATAGTCATAGACTGTCAATTTAGGGTCTTTGCTACAGCTGTTCTGCTACATGGAATATGCTTCTTTCAGGGCTTTGTTCCAGTCTCAATTTCTGTAGGAGCTGGAACCTAAGCTCCCTATTTAATGCTGTCCCCTGACTATATATATTTTTTTCCTTATCCTGCTCTAGTTTTCATTTTCTCTTAGCACTTATTACCTTGTAATACACTATATAAGTCATCTACATATTTTGTTTATATGTTTTTTATGTTCTGTCTCCTTGGTGAAAACATAAGCTCTGTAATGAATGGTTTTTTGGTCTATTTTGTACTATGCAAGTAGAACAAAACCAGTTACATACTTGCCTCATAAATATGTATTAAGTGAAAGAATGAATGAACAAATGAATATAAGAGGACAAGGAAAGTCCCATGTCTCTGAGAAAGTCCCCCCTTAAAGATGAAATTAGTGGCTTTGAATGAGCAAGGGGCAGAAACAGTGAGCCATGGTAGCTGCAGTCAGTAACTGTATAAGGCATCACATTGCCTCAGGTAAACTTTGATGAGCTCTCCATCCTCAACCTGTACAGGGTTTATGGTAAGCACTGAGCAGGCAATGGGACAACAGCAGAGGCAGCTTCACTTTCTGATTCTTTCGTCTTATAACTATGCAAATTTGAGTTTCCATTTCTTTGTAATAAAGGAGTAAGTATATCTATTATCTAGCAATAATAGATACTTGATAAATAAAGTGCTCTCAATAAACTGTCAGGTTGTTGGGAAAACATGACACCAACACTTTGGCATAATCTGTCTGGTTTGGATGAGTTCTATATTGCTACCAGCATTATGTGAGGGAAGCATGACTTACTTCTTAGAGGAGAAGGAGAATAATTAACAGAAGTTTAGCATTTGGACTGGGTCTTGATAGGTGAAGTTAGAACTGATAAAAGAAAATGCACATTTAAAACCAACATGTCTTCAGATTCCAGGCTGGATAAATGACTAAAGAGTCAACCGTCCTGAGTTATGTCACACAGGGCTAATAAAGTCCCACTTTACTGATCCAAAAATTGAAGCAAAAATGCCTGGCAATCAAAACATGTATTTATGATACAGTAAGACAGGGTAGTCCCTACTGAAATGAATACAATGAGTTCCTGACTCAAATTGGATGAAGATTTGTGTAAGGAACACTTAAAATGGCCAAAATACTGATTTCGGGGAAGTGATAGTTTTGTAACAACTAAAGAAAATTGGTTACCATTTTGAAAAGAAGTGTCCATGAAAAAGAAATAGCTCTGGACCATCACATGATGACAAACTAGTCCATTATAAAATAAAGTCAGTGAACAGAGTTGGTAGTTCTCACCCCAAAACGCTGATTATAACACCACCTACTGTGGAATGTTGGGCTATTAAGAATAAGACTAAACATTACTGCATGTGGGTCATAAACAAAGCTGACACAGAAAAATGTAAGTAATCATTTCACAAAAGGAAGTAAAATCAGTGAATATTTCAGTACTCTAGTAAAAGAAAAAGGCATGCCAAATTTAAGCACCTAATTGCTCAAGTAATTAAAAATGACCTGTTTGGCAATCACTTGACGCACATACAGAATTTCAGGATTACATCAATTATAGAAAGCTGGGTTCATCTTTCCAATTTTCTTGCATATCTCCAAGCAGTGATTTCTCATGTCAACATAAGAAATGCAGGCATAAGCACAGGGAAGTCTGAACCTGATTAAAGCCTTTAACTGAAAGTTTTTCCACACAAAATCTTTTTCCCATCCTGTAAAAAGAGAACACCATGAACGGATCGTGGTTCACTCTTTTCCCTTGCTGCCCGCCTACGCTGAGGAGGAGGTGTCAGTGAGAGGTGGGGCCTGAAGCAGAAGCTTGGCAGCAGAGATTGATACTGTGCTGAAGCTCAGAATAAATACTCAAATGCTTTGAAAAGTTATGATTACAATGTACCCGAATATTCTTTGCGGGTGTAGAGAACTAAGCCCCATGATGTCTTATAATCATTCAGTGAATTGGTTCAACTTTATTTCATGTGACTTTCTTAGGAGAGAGCTCTGGGCCATCTCTAAACAATTCAAAATTATTAAGCATACTGGTCCTGTCAGAGTTTATTTAGGATCTGCTAGGTAAGGTGTTTACTGCTTTACAGAAAGCACTAGTAGTTTTCTGCACATTCTGTCTACATGGTTTTATTAAAGGAAACACAGAATCTATCTTGAACCCTGGCTGGCCCTGTCTGAGAAAACACCCACCCTCACAGGCAACTTAACTTATGAATGTGCATAAGTTTCAGCTAAAAAACAACAAAAAAACCCTTCCCTGTAGGAACTGGTCTACACTGATGAGAGACTACTTGTCATCTCTTCCTTTTTAGAAAGAAAATTTTGCTTTAACAAATACCAAAAAAAAGTATGTTTTATTTTAATTTGAGAGAGTAGTTAATCACACTGGCGACTGCCAATATGGTTAATTAAAAGCCAAAGCATTATCTTCTTACTCTTTGGATATTCTCTGGATTCCAAAGACAAAATCTGAGGTTGAAAGAAGTGATTCTGCTTAAAATTTCTAAGGCACTGACAAAGCATCTTCAATCCTGCTTGAAGAACTGCTCACAGGTCACCCAATTAACTTACTATAGCCACAGCCCAAAACTTTTTCTTCTATTACATATCTTGTAATACCCACTCATACCTTTAGCACATTGCTTTAATACCTATTTTATTCTGAAAAATTCACATTTCTATACCTATCCTTTCTGCTTTCCCTTTGTTCAAAGGAAGAAACATTATTTCTCTTTTGTAAAATGAAATCTTCCCCTGCACGTTAGGGCTTTACTTTTTTCTTTTTTCTTTTTTTCTCTCTCTCTCTCTAGAGTATTCAGTTCCTTAGCCTCAATGCTTTTCTTCTTTTATGGATTTGGCCATTCCTCTGTCCTGTCCTGAAAAGATCTCTTCAACCTGCCACAGCCTCCTTACCATAATAACTGAAGTTTTTAGACACTGATCTGTAGTTCCACCTCTATTTCTATATTACAAACCATCCTTAATCCCATCCATCTGGCCCCATACACCACAATCTACTCACATGGCATCTGTTATAGGTTGAACTATGTCCCCCAGAAAGATGTGCTGAAGTTCTAACTCCTGGTACCTGTGAATGTAATTAACCTTATTTGGAAAGAAGTTCTTTGCAGATGTGACTTAAGAAGATGAGGTTATATTGGATCAGGGTAGGATTAGGGTCCATTGATTGGTGCCCTTATAAGAAGAGGAAATTTGGACACAGAAATAAAAAATACACAGGGAGCAATTTATGTGGTAAGTGACACAGCGATTAGAATGATAAATCTGTAAGCCAAGGAACATCAAAGATTGTAAGCAACCACTAAAAGCTAGGGAAGAAGCGTGGAACAAACTCTTGCATTTCTAAGTTGTACTCCAGTAGAACTAACCTGTGCCAGCCTTTCTTCCTCTATTTAACTCATTAAACACTTACTGATGACTACTTATGTGTCAAGTAGCAGCCTAAATATTGTTGTTACATCAATAAATTAGAGATCTAGTGTTCTTGTCCTCATGCAGCTTATTTTCTACTACAGAATAGGACAAGTATAAAAATCATGAAAATGCAGTGTGGTAAGTGCTGCTATGAGAGGAATAGTGGCTATGGGAGCATATAGGTGGGCGGCCTACCTTGGGCTAGAGGGGGTAGTGTCAGAGAAGGATAACTTCAGGTCATTATATGCAATCTGAGACCTGGAAGATAACAATGAACCAAGAAAATAAGGGAGTGGGGAGACATCATCCCTGCAGAGGGAAATATATACTCAAAGACCCAGCATTGAGAGATAACATGGCTTAGTTGAGAAACTCAGAAATGTTTAGGTGAAAGTAATAAGTAGTTTTAGGCGGAGTGCAGTCTCCACAAGGAAAAGAACCATGACTGTAGAACCATGTCTGTAGAACCATTAATGTACATTCAGCCCTTGGTACTTGGATATCAAGAAATATCCAAGTATCCAATAAGTGAATAAATGAAGATAAGAGGTCACTCCCTCCACTGAATTAGAAAAGGAGGAAAGGACAGTGGAGATGAATGCTAAGATTGTAGGATAATAACAGGACACTAAAGAAGTTCTCATCTTCCATTTACTCTGGTAACAAGAAAGGATGATCATCAACCAAGAATGAGGGAAGTAGTGAGGTCAGAGAATGAAGAAATCACAGATGTGTTGGAATAGCTATTAGGGAAAATGGAAGATATAATTGCTTAGAGAATTGCATAAAATGGCAAAGAGCTGTGTTGATTGTCTAGTGAGGGTTTGGAGACTGTAGATTAATAATAGCACTGTTCTAGGTTTTTTTCCTCCAGTAATTCTCAGAAGTCTAGATATAAGCATGGAAAATATAGGCAGTTAGATTGAATTGCCTTACATATTAATCTCTTATGTGCACTAATCTTTCCTTTTTAACAAAATTATATGATCCTAGAAAGTAGGGGTTGCACAAAATAGACTATGTTAGCACAGTGCTGACATATAGTAATTGTTCAATAAATATTTGCAGAAATAATTAATGACTAAATTGTTCAAAGACCAAATGGTCACATCTCATAGGTATACTTTCAAATGTCAAGCATCCTACATTAAGAAAGATATGTATGCTTTAGTTGATTGCTTTAGCTCAAGGGGGAAAAAGTATATGTTGAGCATTTTTAATGTGCCAACTACTATATTGGCTGGTGAAGAATTAATGAAGAGTATGTCAGTCTCTTCCCTAAACGAACATTAAAAATGACCAATGACAGACACAATTACATTTCTTTACTCAAAGAACTATCATTGACCAAATTGTTTTCATCCTTAAAGATCAAATAGTCAAACCACAAGTTGACTGCTTATGGGGCTGTATGATAGAATGTGATTAGATGCTGTCCTACTTGTTTATGGACTACTTCATTACACTTGAAATGGAATATCCTCCAAGCTTCCATCATTAAAATATAACCAAATTATAGGCACTGCCTCTAGCTATCAAGCACATCTGTCTATGCAGTTTTTCCAAGTTAATTTTTGCTGCCATGCAAACCAAGGTCATTAAACACTGACCTCTGAATACTGTCTACACTGTCTTGGAAGTATACAGATTCCAGCACACAAAGCCACAAAAGTTACATAGATTATTTAAAAGATGTAAAAATCATCTCACATGTTGAAGTTTGATGAGGATGTCCCACTGGCAGGGTTGTTGCTGGAGAAAGCAAGCTGAAATATCTGAAGGGTAACTCGGTGGATCTTGAAAAATTTCCATTCACAAACGCCTGTATTCAGTAACATCTCCTCTGAAAAGTTCTTCCTCCTAGTCGCCACTCCTTTAACTTAAAAGTACTCTCTCTCTCCACTGACCACATCTAACGGTTTATCTGTCTTTATCTCATTTTTAGTGATACATCATTTTCTACATAGAATTAGAATATAGTTATTTATAGGAAGGGTTGATATTTAGAACATTTAACAGCTGGTATGAAATGAACACCAACTAATCACAATACGTAGCTGCCATAAATAACTGCTGTGATATGCACAAATATGTTGTAGGAATATCTCATTCCCCCACGTTGGATAGTTACCACTTTGAAGGTGGAGGGGAAAATAACCCTTTTATTTTGTATGCCCAGGGGTTTTATGGACAAAGTAGATACTTGAAAACTAATTTTTTATTTTTATTTTAAAAGACAGGGGTCTATGCTATGTTGTCCAGGCTGGACTTAAACTTCTGAGGTGAAGGGATTCCCCCAACCTCAGCCTCCCAAGTAGCTGGGACTATAGGTGAGCACCACTGTACCCAGCTTCAAAACTAGTTTTTAAAATGAATTACTGAACTAAATAAAAATCACTGGATCTTTTTTCCATAAGCATACTTTAACAAACCATGCAAGAAAGGGATCGGGGTAAAATAATGCAGTGAGCTACTTCATCATTCATTAAAACAACACTCAATTCCAGGCTATCTTAGTTTCCTAGGGCTGCAATAACAAAGTACTAAAAAGTAAGCATCGTAACTAACAGAAATTTACTATCTCAAAGTTCTGCAGGCTAGAAGACCAAGATCAAGGCATTAGCAGGGTTGAGTCCTCCTGAAAGCTATAAGAGTAAATCTATTCCATGCCCCTCTTCTGGATTCTGGTGATTTGCTGGCAGTACTTGGCACTCCTTATCTCATAGATGCATCATCCCGATCTCAGTCTTCATCTTCACATGAATTCTCCCTATGTGCATGTCTGTTTCTGTGTCCATTTTTTTTTTTTTTTTGTAAAGACACTTGCCATATTGGAATAGAGTCTACCAGTACGACCTCATCTTAACTTGACCGTTAGCAAAGACCTTAGTTCCAAATAAGGTCATATACATAGGAATGGGGGTTAAGACATCAACATCTTTTTCAGGGACGCAATTCAACTCATAATACTGGAACTGGGAAACAAAAATATGAACAGAATGCAGTTCCTATTGTCAAGGATTTCACAGACCAATGTGGAAAGAATTATAAATAAACAGCATATGTTAGTACATTGGAAAAAATGAAGAAAGGCAGGTTGTATCATGCAAAACTTCTGAACTTCCAGGAGATAATGACAGTCAAGTGCAAGTCCACATGTAGAAATAGAGGCTCATGAGGCTCCAGAAGTGCCATGTTAAAAAGTTTAGACCTTATATTAGTGGCAATGAGGAGAGAGACTTTGAAAAATTTTAACCATGAAAATGACTTGATCAGATTTGGTCTCCCTCCATTTTCCTTGTTAATACTTGCTGTTGTTTAAAAAATACATCAAGCTATCCTAAGAAAAAAAGAACAAAACTGGAAGAATCACATTCCCTGACTTCAAATTATGCTACAGAGCTATAGTAACCAAAACAGTATGATACTGGCATAAAAACAGACACATAGACAAAGGTAACAGAATAGACAGCCCAGAAACAAATCTATACATCTAGAATCAACTCATTTTTGACAAAGGTGCCAAAACATACACTGGTGAAAAGACAGTCTCTTCAATAAATGGTGCTGGGGAAACTGGATATCCATAGGCAGAAGAATGAAACTAGACCCCTAACTATTGCCATATACAAAAATCAAATCAAAAGGCATTAAAGACTTAAATCTAAGACCTGAAACCATGAAACTACTCTAAGAAAACATTGGGGAAGATTTCTATGACATTGGTTTGGGCAAAAATTTCTTGAACAATACCCCACAGGCAAATACAATCAAAGCAGTTAATGGACAAATGGGATCACAACAAGTTAAAAGGCTTCTGATAGTAAAGGAAACAATCAACAAAGTGAAGAGACAGTCCAGAGAATGGGAGAAAATGTTTGTAAACTACCCATTTGACAAGTGATTAGTAACAAGAATATGTAAGGAACTCAAACAACTCTAAGAAAAAAAACAATAATATGATAAAAAGATGGGCAAAATATCTGAATGGACATTTCTTAAAGGAAGACAGACAGACAGCAAACAGACATATGAAAGGTGCTCAACATCATTAATCATCAGAGAACTGCATATCAAAGCTACAATGAAATATCATCTCACCCCAGTTAAAATGGCCTATGTCCAAAAGAAAGGTAATGACAAATACTGGCTGGGATATGGGAAAAAGGTAACCCTTGTACACTGTTGGTGGAATGTAAATTAGTACAACCACTATGGAGAACAGTTTGGACATTCCTCAGAAAACTAAAAATTGAGCCACTATATGATTCAGCGATCCTACTTATGGCTACCGAAAGAAAGCAAATCAGTATACTGAAGCGATATCTGCACTCTCATGCTTATTGCAGCACTATTTACAATAGCTAAGATTTTGAAGCAACCTAAGTGTCGATCAACAGATGAATGGATACAGAAAATATGGTACACATACACAATGGAGAACTATTCAGCCACAAAAAGAATGAGATCTAGTCATTTGCAACAATATGGGTGGAACTGGAGATCATTATGTTAAGTGAAATAAGCAAGAGACAGAAAGACAAACATCTCATGTTCTCACTTAGTTGTAGGACCTAAAAACCAAATCAATTGAACTCATGGACATACAATAGAAAGTAAAGGATGGTTACTAGAGGCTGAGAAGGGTAGCAGGGAGCTTGGTGGGGGAAGTAGGGATGGTTAATATGTACAAATAAATAGAAAGAATGAATAAGACCTACTATAGTCCAAAAAGACAAGTAAAGTCAATAATAACTTAATATTTAAAAATAACAAAAAGAGTATAATTGGATTGTTTGCAACTCAATGGATAAATGCTTGAGAGGATGGATATCCCACTCTCCATGATATGCTTACTTCGCGTGACATGCCTGTATCAAAATATCTCATGTACCCCGTAAATATATATAACTACTATGTACTCACAAAAACTAAAAGTAAAAAAAAAAAAATAAAAAATAAAAATACTTAAAGGGGTGAAAAACTATTATCAGACTTACTGCCTTATTTCTGACTATACATTTAAAAACCTTTTATGCTCAATTCAGGCATTCTATTACTACACATTTCAAGTGACCATCATGGGCACTTTTAAGCACCTAACACATTTTTCTTTCTACAAACCTCACAAAAAGACCTGTCAAGAAAATCATTCTAGGTCCAACAATGCACAGCACCTCATGCCTTATTTCTACTTCTTTCTTTATGATAGAAAATGTAGTCAGCCTTTAACTTGGCCTGATAAAAACTGTAAAGACTATGCCAAATAAGACCAGGTGCAGTGGCTCACACCTGTAATCCCAGCATTTTGGGAGGCTGAGGTAGGCAGATCACTTGGGGTCAGGAGACCAGCCTGGCCAACATGGTGAAATCCCATCTCTACTAAAAATACAAAAAATTTAGCTGGGCATGGTGGTGCATGCCTGTAGTCCCAGCTACTCAGGAGTCTGAGGGATAAGAATTGCTTGAACCCAGGAGGCGGAGATTGCAGTGAGCCGAGATGGTGCCACTGCACTCCAGCCTGGGTGACAGAGCAAGACTCCATCTCAAAAAAAAAAAAAAAAAAAAAAAAAAAAAAAAAAAAAAGGTGTGCCAAATAGTCCCTCATACAAACAGGAAACCCAAATCGTTTATCAGGAAAGAAGAGGTGACAATTTTAGATACTGAGAATATTGAAGTACTTGCCAGAAGTCAGATTTCAGGCTTTGGGAGGCCATGGCGGGTGGATCACTTGAGGTCAGGAGTTCGATACCAGCCTGGCCAACATGGTGAAACCCTATCTCTACTAAAAATACAAAAAAAATTAGCTGGGCATGGTGGTGTGCACCTCTAATCCCAGCTACTCGGGAGGCTGAGGCATGAAGAATCACTTGAACCCGGGAGGTGGAGGTTTCAGTGAGCTGAGATCCCACCACTGCACTCCAGCCTGGGCGACAGAGTGAGACCCCATCTCAAAAAAAAGAAAAAAAGAAAGAAAGGAATACAATTAAAGTGGAGGAGGAGCACACTCTGGTCTTGGAATTCCATTTGAGAATTTAGAAGTGTCATGTTTATAATTTTTCAATTTTGTTTGTTGTTGGCTTGCTGTAAAGCAATATAAAATATTTTTGTTATAAAATAAATAAAAAATACATCAAATCAGGAGCAGCCTAATGATGGCTGACTAGAGGAGTTTTGTACTTGTCTCCTCCACACCAAAGAACCAAAGTAGTGAGTAGATAATCACACTTCGTATAGTTCCCTGAAGAGAAAATACTGGAATGTAATAAATTCAACAGAAAAGTGACACAAAATACCTAAAGCAAAGAAGAAAAAGGAAGCAAGGCATCCTGCTTGACCAGGATCAGCTGGGAGATGAGAGACTCCTCAATATGGGAGAAGTATAAATGAGACATCTTTAGTGGTCCACATTCCCACTGTGGACTCCTGCAATCCTAGACATGGGAGAACCCCTCAACTCTTGTGGGTCCTGAAACTAACATAAGGATCTATGCAGAAATTCTGTGATGGCACTGCTCCAAGAAGGGAGGTTGCACTGGGTCTTACACACTCTGTGACACCTAAGCAGCTACAGCAAGCCACCGTTTTAGAGTCCTGCCCCCAACAGTCTGTGTACTGCCCTGGAACCCAGCAGTGCCAGGGCTAAGGTGCAAGAGAATTGTGGACTGTAATCCCTGGGTCTGAGCCATAAGGAAGGTGTGGGCTACTTCAGCCAGGGCTCAGGCATGTAGTTCCTGAACAAGGCATGAACTACAGCTATTGGGGACTGAAGCATAAGTAAGGTAGTGGCTATCACAACAAGAATTGAGGCATGAGTGCTGCCAGGGATGAGGCATGAGTGATGTAAACATTCCCGCCTTGCCAGCAGTCCAACCTTCCACAGTGGCAGGACAGCAGTGTGGCTACTACCAGTCACACCTGAGCATTCTGCTGGTGGCCTGGGAATCATGACACCTCTGCCTACCATAGCTGATGCTGGCATCCACCATTAGGAAGCCTGAGGACAAGCCTGCCTGGCCTGGCTTTGTCCCTTCTTCCACCCTCTGGGCCAGGGCCCAGCCCAGTCTATCACCATTGGTAGGTGAAAAAATCCTCCCATGTGCTTGAGATTGGGTCTACCTAGCCAGCCACTTACTCCTCAGCTGGCACCTACCTGCATGTACCACCTGTGGGCCTGGAGACTGGCTAGCCCAGCCCATCACAGCCACTGCCAATGCCAGTGTATACCACTCAGGACCTAGAGGGTTGTCCTACCACTATCACTGCCATTGTCCATGCCATGCCAAGTTCCCAGGGGCCTAATAACCTGCCCACCTGCCTGGCTCACTGCTGCAACTACTGACACTGAATAAGTCAACTGGAGGCCCAAGAATTGGCCCACCTAGACCCCCTAACATTAGTGTAACCATACAGTATACTGGGGCTCAAGAACAGACATGCTCAGCTCACTGCTGCCACCCCTGGGGCCCAAAGATTGGACTGCTTGGCATCCCACTCCCCAGTAGAACTTCATCGTATCCTCCACTTATAACTGCACTGTACACCACCAAGGAAATCACAGATGCAAATAATGCTGTTTAAAGTCAAAAGAAAAATCATACAAAGACTACATTATTGCACACAACAAGAATCAAAGCCAAAGTGCCCTACACAACCAACACCATAGATACATCTTCAGGAAAAAAGTAATCCCCTACAAAAGCAAATTAAAAAAATGAGAAGAAGTGACTTATACCAGATCACACAGATATCAATGTAGTGACACTGGAAACATTAAAAAAAAAAACTCAATATGATAATGTCAAAGAAACACAATAATTCTCTAGTAACAGATCCCAAGCAAAAAGAAACATGAGTAAATCAATAAAAGAATTCATATTATCAATTCTAAAGAATCTCAGTGATATAGAAGAGAATTATGAAAACCAATACAAAGAAATCAGAAAAACAATTCAGGATATGAATGACAAATTTATCAAAGAGATAGATATCATACAAAAGAACCAAACAGAAATTCTGAAACTGACAAATTCATTGAATATATCAGAAAATACATTTGAAAGCTTCAACACTAGATTAGATGAAGAAGAATCTCCGAACTTTAAGAAAGGTCTTTTGAAATAAACCAGTCAGACAAATAAAGAAAAAAGAAGAAAAGAGAATGAGCAAAGCCTTCATGACACATGGGACACCATAAAGGGACCAAATATTCAAATAATCAGGGTCTCAGAAGATGAAGAAAGGATGAAAGGGTTAGAAAAACTATTTAACATAATATTGCATGAAAACTTCCCAAGTCTAGCAAGATAATTAGACATCCAGATACAGGAGGCTCTGAGATATCCTTACAGATACAATCCACAAAATATCTTCTCCATGGCACATTACAGTCAAACTGTCTAAAGTCAAAGACAAAGAATTCAAAAAGCATCAAAAGTGTCTAGTCACCTACAAGGGAATCTCCACTAGACTAAAATTGGTTTCTCAGTAGAAACCATACCGGGCAGGAGGAAATGCAATGATATATTAAAAGTTTCAAAAGAAAAACTGCCAGCCAATGATACTATGTACAGAAAAATTATCCTTAATAAATTAAGAAAAAATAAAGTCTTTTACAAAGAAGCAAAAACAAGAAATTCAACACCACTAGACCAGCTCTATAAGAAATGCTCAAGGGAGTCCTAAACCTGGAAGGAAAAGGACACATCTGCCATTATGAAAACACACAAATGTATAAAACTCACTGGTAAAGCACACATACAAAGGAAAAAGAGAAAGAACTCAAATAGCATCATGACAGAAAGCTACCAAACCAAAATGGAAAACAATAAAAGAAAAATAAAGGAACAAAGAACATACAGAACAACCAAAACACAATTAACAATATGACAGGAACAAAACCTCATATATTAATATTAACCTTGAATGTAAACAGATTAAATTCTTTACTTAAAAGATATAGACTGGCTGAAAGGTTACAAAAACATGATCCAACTATATGCTGCCTATAAGAAACATACTTTACCTATAAAAACACATGAAGACACAAAATAAAGGGATGAAAAAAGATATTCCATAATAACAGAAACCAAAAGTGAGTAAGAGTAGCGATCCTTATATTGGATAAAACAGACTTCAAGTAAAAAAAAAAAAACAGTAAAAAAGAGAAATCAGAAAATTATATAATGATAATAGGGAATCAATGCAGCAAGAGAATGTAACAATGCTAAATATACATGCACCCAGCACTGGATCACCCAGATTCATAATACAAATATTACTAGTTCTGAAGAGAAAGATAGATTCTAATACAATAATAGTGGGGTACTTCAATATCCCACTCGGCATTAGACAGATCATTTACACAGAAAATTAACAAAGAAACATTAAAGTAGACTTTAGATAAAATGGACCTAACATACATTTGCAGAACATTTTATCACATGACTGCAGAATACATTGTTCTTATCAGCGCATGAAACATTATCCAGGATAGTAGATATGTCAGGTCACAAAACAAGTCTCAACAACTTAAAAAATCAAAATCTTATTGAGTATATTCTCAGATCACATGGAATAAAATTATAAATCAATAACAAGAGCAACTTTGGAAACTATACAAGTACATGGAAATTAAACATGTTCATGTTCTTAAATAATCATTGGGTCAACATAGAAATTAAGATGAAAATCAAAAAAGTTCTTAAAACAATTGAAAATGAAAATACAACATACCAAAATCTGTAAGATACAGCAAAAGCAGTACTAAGAGGGAATTTTATAGCAATAAACATCATAAACAATCTAAAAATGCAACTCAAGCAATTAGAAAAGCAAGAACAAACCCATCCCCAAATTAACCGAAATAGAGAAATAATAAAGATAAGAGTAGAACTAAACAAAATAGGTTTAAAGAACAATATAAGGGTCAACAAAATGACATATTGGTTCTTCAGAAAGAGAAAATTGATAAACTACCACCTAAAATAGCAAAGAAGAGAGAACACCTAAATAAACAAAATCAGAAAAGAAAGAGGAGACACGACCATTGATACATGCATTAGTCTGTTTTCATACTGCTATAGATAACTTCCCAAGACTGGGATCTACCATCCTAGGGTCTGGAGGATGGGGGCCCTCTTCTTACAGCTCAACTAGGTAGTACCCCAGTGGGGACTCTGTGTGGGGGTGCCCACCCGACATTTCCCTTCCCTATTGCCCTATCATAGGTTCTCCATGAGGGCTCCTCTCCCACAGCAAACTTCTGCCTGGACATCCAGGCATTTTCATACATCCTCTGAAATCGAGGTGGAGGTTCCTAAACTTCAGTTCTTGACATCTGTGTACCCACAGGCTCAACACCACATGTAAGCTGCCAAGGCTTGGGGCTTGCATACTCTGAAGCAATGGTCTGAGCTCTACGTTGGCCCCTTTTACTCATGGCTGGAATGCAGGGCACCAAGTCCAGAGATTTCATAAAGCAGCAAGGCCCTCGTCCTTGCCCACAAAAACCATTTTTTTCTCCTAGGCCTCCAGGTCTGTCATGGGAGGGGTTGCCATGAAGATGTCCAACATGCCCTGGAGACATTTTTCCCATTGTCTTGGTGATTAACGTTGGTTCCTTGTTCATTATGAAAATTTCTGCAGCTGGCTTGAATTTCTTTTCAGAAAATTGTTTTATCTTTTCTACTGCATTGTCAGGTTGCAAAGTTTTCAAACTTTTATGCTCTGTTTCCCTTATAAACTTAAGTTCCAATTCTGAACTATCTCTTTGTGAATGCGTAAAACTCAATGCTTTTAAGAGCACCCAGGTCACAACTTGAACACTTTGCTGCTTAGAAATTTCTTTCACCAGATACCCTAAATCATCTCTCTTAAGTTTAAACTTCCACAGATTTCTAGGGCAGGGGCAAAATGCCTCCAGTCTCTTTGCTAAAGCATAGCAAGAGTCACCTTTATTCCAGTTCCCAATAAGTTCTTCATCTCCATCTGAGACCACCTAAGCTTGGACTTCATTGTCCATATCACTATCAGCATTTTGGTCAAAGCCATTCACCAAGTCCCTAGGAAGGTCCAAACTTTCTCACATCTTCCTGTCTTCTTCTGAGCCCTCAAAACTTTTCCAACCTCTGCCTGTTACTCAGTTTGAAAGCTGCTTTTACATTTTTGGGTGTCTTTATAGCAGCACCCCACTCCTGGTACCATTTTCCTGTATTAGTCCATTTTCATACTGCTATAAAGAACTGTCTGGGACTGAGTGATTTATAAAGGAAAGAAGTTTAATTGACTCACAATTCAGCATGGCTGGGGAGGCCTCAACAAACTTACAATTATGGCAGAAGGTGAACTGGAAGAAAGACACCTTCTTCACAAGGTGGCAGGAAGCAGTGCCAAGGGAAGGGGAAGAGCCTCTTATAAAACCATCAGATCTCATGAGGACTTACTATCACAAGAATAGTATGGGGGAAAACACCCCCATGATTCAGTTACCTCCACCTGGTCTCTCCCTTGACAGATGGGGATTATGGGTATTATATGGATTATAATTAAATATGAGATTTGAGTGGGGACATAAAGCCTAACCATATTAATTCCACAGAAATACAAGATTATCAGAGACTATTAGGAACAACTATGTGATAAAAAACTGGAAAAAGTAGAGGAAATGGATAAATTCCTGGAAACATACAACCTTCCAAGGTTTAGTCAGGAAGATACGGAAAACCTGAACAGACCAATATTAAGTAGGAAGTCTGAAATAGTAATAAAAAGTCTCCCAGTAAAATAAAGTGCAGGATCAGATGGATTCACTGCTGAATTCCACCACACATAAAAAGAACTAAAACCAATCCTCCTCAAACAACTCCATAAAAATTGAAGAGAAAGAAATTCTCCCTAACTCACTCTATGACCAGTATTCCCTGATACCAAAACCTAAGGACACAACAAAATAAGAAAACTATACATGAATATTCCTGACGAACACATCTTCAAAAAATCCTCAACAAAATACTAGCAAACTGAATTCAACAGCACATCAAAAAGATAATATACCATTACAAAATGGGATTTATACCAAGGGATGCAAGAATGGTTTTACATATGCAAATCAACAAACATAATATATCACATCAACAGAAGGAAGCACAAGAATCATATGATCATCTCATCAGATGCAGAATAAGTATTTGAAAAACTGAACATCACTTCATAATAAAAATGTTCAACAAGCTAGGCAGAGAAAAAATATACTTCCAAATAATAAAGGCCATATATGACTAACACACAGCTAACATCATACTGAATGGAGAAAAGTTGAAAGTTTCTCTCTAATAACTGGAACAAGATAAGAATGCCCACAAAATACTACACCAAAAAACTCTTAGATCTAATAAATTCAGTAAAGTTAGAGGATACAAAATCAATATAAAAAATCAGTAGCATTTCTGTACAACAATAATAGTCAAAAAACAAATTCAGAAGGCAATTTCATTTACAATGGTTACAGAAACCAAATACCTAGGAACAGATTTAACCAAGAAAGGGAAAGATCTCTACAAGGAAAACTACAAAACACTGATGAAAGAAATTAAAGAGGACATAAATGGAAAGACATTTCATGCTCATGGGTTGAAAGAATTAACATAATTAAAATGAGCTAACTTCCCAAAGCAATCTACAGATTCAATGCAATCCCTATAAAAATACCAGAGTCATTTTTTTTTACAGAAATGAGAAAAAGAATTCTAAAATTTATATAGAATCAAAAAAAAAAAAGAGCCAGAATAGCTGAAGCAATCCTGAGCAAAAACAAACGAACAAAAATCCCCCCAACCAAAAAACCCCAAAACCAAAAACAACAAAACAAAACAAAACACAAAAACAAACAAACAAAAAACAAAGCTGGAGGCATCATACAACCTGACTTAGAAATATATTACTAGGCATGGTATTGGTATAAAAATAGACACTTAGACCAATGGAACAGAATAGAGAAGTCAGAAATACATCCACATGTTTATAGCCAACTGACATTTGACAAAGCTGCTAAGAACATGTACTGGGGAAAGGACATCCTTTTCAATAAGTGATCCTAGGAATATTGGATATCCACATGCAAAAGAATGAAACTGGACCCCTATCTGATCATATACAAAAATCAACTCAAGACAGATTAAAGCCTTAAATGGAAGGCCTGAAATTATAAAACTCACAGAAGAAAACAAAGGGAAAACACTTCATGACACTAATCTAGGCAAAGATTTTATGGCTAAGACCTTAAAACCACGGACAACTAAAACAAAAATAAACAAATTGGACTATATTAAACTTCTGCACAGCAGAAAAGACAGTTAACAGAGGGAAGAAACAACAAATTGAATGGGAGAAAATGGTTGCAAACTATTAATCTGACAAGCGACTAATATCCAGAACATACAAAGAACTCAAACAACTCAACAACAACAAAAATAATCCCATTAAAAATGGGCAAAGGGCATTAATAGACATTTCTCAAAAGATGACATTCAAATAAAGATGCTCAAGATCATTAATCATTAGAGAAATGCAAATCAAAAACCACAATGAGATATCATCTTATCCCAGGTAGAATGGCTATTATTAAAAAGACAAAAAATAACGGACGCTGACAAGGACATGGAGACAAAGGGAACTCATACACTGTTAGTCAGAATGTAAAATAGTGCAGCCATTTGCCACTATGGACAATAGTATGGTGATTTCTCAAGAAACTAAAAAAGAACTACTATACAATCCAGCAATCTCACTACTGGGTATCTATCCAAGGGAACATAAATCAGTATATCAAATAGATACTGGTACTCACATGTTTATTGCAGCCCTATTCACAATAGCAAAGACATGAAATCAATCTAAGTATCCATCAATGAATAAATGGATGAAGAGAATGTGGTATCTATACACAACAGAATATTATTTGGCTGTAGAAAAAAATAAAATGTCATTTGTAGTAACATCGATAGAGCTAGTGGTCATTATATAAAGTGAAATAAGCAGGTAAAGAATGACAATTATTGCATGTTTTCACTTACATGTGGGAGCTAAAAAGTTGGCAGATACTAGAAGCTGGGAAAGGTTGGTGGGGAGAAGAGAGGTAAGTTAATGGGTGCAAATACACTTAGATGAAACGTATAAGTTCTATTGTTCAAAAGCAGAGTAGAGTGGCTATAGTTAAAAACAATGTATTGTACATTTCAAAGTAGCTAGAAGAGAGGACTTGAATTGTTCCCAACACACAGAATAAGTATTTAAGTATTTACGATAAATACTTAAGTATTTAACACTTTAAGTATTTACAATAAATACTTAAGTATTTAATACTTAAGTATTTACGATAAATACTTAAAGTGGTGGATGCCTCAAATACCCTGCTTTGATCATTACATATTCTATGCATGTAACAAAATATCACACGTACCCCATAAAGATGTAAAATATTACGTATCAATAAAGATATGGCAAATTATATTCTGTGTCATTGGTAATATGTTCTCTTTTTATAATAAAGCATCATTTATTCCTTCTCAAATTTGCCTTTTTTCTTTACTATATTCAGTAATCACTCATTAAAAACTCACTCTAGGAGACTTTTTCCCTCAATTTTCTCTCTGCTCATGATTTACTTTGAGCTTTTCCTTGTTCCCCCAACACTGACTGTTTGTCATATCTTCTTCACAAAACCAAATTGTGAAAAATAAAATATAACACAAAAGATGTCTGCAATCTGCTAAGAAACTAAAAGACTAACCTTAAATTTAAAAATTTATAAACATTTTAATTCACCAAAACTGTCAAGTGGGCATTATTAGTAGAAGCTAACTTTACTACCTCACTCGATCACCCTTATAGGGCTCTTTGTAAAAGAGATAATTGGAAAATCTGGACTCAGCTTGCATCCTAGGAAAGAGTGGAAGTTATGTAATTGAAACAATTATACAAGCATTTCTTTTTGCAAGGACATCTTGCTCACTATGAAACAACAGAGGGCTTACTCATTATGGTTCAGATTTATGAAGTAACTAAACAATATTTCCAGTATTTATTGTATGGTTTCAGACATGCCAAAGAAGGTGTCTGAAACCACTGGGTAACAGATGCTCCCTCATTATATTATGTGACAAGTGTTAATATTTTCAATTACACAGCAGTTGAGTTAAGGTATCTTTACTTTGCCATAAAATCTATTTTATTGCAACTAAATATCTTTTATATCAAATCCATTAATCTTTAGAACAATCTATCCTATCTTGCATATCCAATTGTACAAGGCTTATAGCATGTACCTTTTGTCTTTATTTAATCTTATACTTTTGCCCAACTTAGTTTAATTTACACAAATAAATTCAGCTACATAATTGAACATCTTTAATGACTGCTTAAAAGATATAATATTTTGCATGCTAAAATAATAAATGGACTATTGGAACAAGTCACTTTTAATGGATCTGTTTTCTAATACGTAAAGAGATAATATATGACACAAGCACCATGTGGAATAGGAGAAAGATTACTGGTATAATCCCTGGTTCTACCATTTAAAAACTGTATGACCTTGTAATATGTTGTTTAGCTTCTCTGAGAATCAGTTTTATCAGGAAAATGATATCAAGGAGGCTAATACTTACCTCATAATATCACAGTGAGAATTAATTATGATAATGTATGAGAAGGAACCACACAGTATAAGTTCCAGTATTGAAAGGATATCTATTCCCTTTGCATTTTCTTTCAAGATTGTAATGAGAGACAAATGTAATGTAATACATCATACACTTTAAACCATTTACATTTATTTAAATTTTAGGTATTATTAATATCTAAAGCAAAATACTAGAATATAAAATGAGTTATTAGACACACAAAACTATGTCATATCATGGTCACTCACATCATCTATTCTCTTATATTTTATTTCTCAAACTCTCTTAAAATACTTTCATTTATCCTCATAATTGGTTAATCCCATGAAATAAAATGAGACAAATTACAGATCTGGGTATAAAACCCTATACTCTTGTATCATCTTCTTAGTGAACTCCCTCCAGTTACTCTACCTTATGCTTAAATTGTGAATTCTTTAAGAGTCTCTATCAGTTTCATATGGACATAAATACAATTTAATTAATATGCAATGTTTGGCTTTTGCAGCACAATTCCAAATGTAACAGAATGTATGAAGTTATCTCAATGATTGATATAGTTAGCTCACATGTTTTGGAGATGGAGTTTTGGTAATTTTGGTATGTATCTCTATTCAGACAGCTGTTGACAGATGGAAATTTGGTTTAAGAACTGTTCCAGAACATTCCTCCCTTTCCAAAAGATCATCAAATGCTTTTAATAAGCATATTGGAGAAGACTAGAGAGACAGACATACAAAAATATCCACAACAGGTATTTTGATAATAGAGAGAGAAGGGTAAAAAGAAAAAGAAGAAAAAAAGCTCTGACAAGTGAAGTCAGGTGAATTCATACATATCAAAAATAAATTTGCACATTGGGTAGAGGCAAAACAAGATCTAAAACAAATTTGATCCTTTGGGTAGAGGTAAAACAAGGAGTACTATATTAATAGATCTAGGAGGAATAGGGGACCATTCAAATAAGAGTTCCTGGGATGACCCAGTTGTCATTAGGTGGATCACTCTCTTCTTTGTGCAGTTACATCTAGTGTCTGTCTTTATCTACAGATTTTTTCTTGTTTTTTTTTTTTGTTGTTGTTGTTTTTTGACCTAGAGTGGGAATCAAGCATGTACTACTCAAACTACCTCTCTTCTTGATGCTCCATACCTAGAAAATACTAGACTTTCAATAAATATCTGTTAACAGGATGAATAAACAAATCAAGATTGCTGCTGTTTTCTTTTTGTATCAGCATCTTAGATTTTTGATTCCTCTAGCTTTTAACTATGGTTTCTTATATTTTACTTCATGTATAGGACTAATAGTATACCATTTTGGTCCTGATTCAGGAATTTTAAGTTGGAATATGCCTAGAAGTTTCGAAATGTTAAGATATAAATCCCTCTCACATTTGCCATGATATTTTGGCATTCAAGATGCAAAACAAACAAACACCACCTTCGATCGCACAAAACCTATCCCCAAACCTATAGGAAATGATTCTAGAGGTGAAAATGCAGAAATATATCCATAAAGATGCTAACTCAAGCTTCTAAAGCTCACATACTAAAATGAGCATATTGTATGCTTCCTATTCTTTATATGGTATGATTTTTTTTCTGATCTATTCTTCAATAATGAGGTTGTATAACTTGAAGGGTGAATTTAGCAAGGAAAAGCTAAGCTGCCTATTTGTTTTTATCAAAAGTGAGTTTTTATTTGATTCCTACAAGGGTGAGCAGAGAACAGCTAAAGTGAAGGAGGGAAGGGCCCTTGGGTGGGTGACCAAGTTAATACTTCTGTCTAGTTTGATGCTGTGCAGTGTGGAGTTTTAAAGGTTATTCTCTGGAGAAAATAATATTGAATGAGATAACAATATTAAATGAGGGACAATAATGATTGTTTTTATTATTTACTATATGCTAGGTACAAAGAAAATTACATTTCATTCACTATGCCTTATCTCATTTCATCTCATTAAAATAAAACCAATGAGGCAGGTATTATAACATTTTACAAACAAGAAAATAAAGATTAAAGATGTTAAGTAGTTTTCTTAAGGTCAATGATTTAACAACCTGTGGGCCAAGACGCGAATCCAAGACTGTCTGGCAGCAAAGCCTTTCTTCCTAAGCTTATTGTTCTATTCAGCCTCCCAGTCTGTGCACTGTGTTCTGGTATCACAAACTCTGAAGCATTCTACAAATACATACTAATCTTAGTAGCAGAAACAATAAAAATGAATTTAAAATATATCTCAAGAAAAAATCTAAATAGTATGAAAATACTAATATTTCTCACACCGGCATCAGCTAGAACTCATATTTAACTGTAACACACGTTGCTAAATTTTAGATCTATATAAAGATTTCTGAGAATGACATAAATGATCATGACCACTGACATTTATTTTGAATGATAAAATGAATGATCCATGCATTTTAATTGTATTATTATTATTATTATTATTATTTTTGAGACCGGATCTAACTGCTGGAGTGCAGTGGCACAATCATAGCTCCCTGTAACCTTGAACTTCTGAGCTCAAGCAATCTTCCTGCCTCAGCCTCCCAAGTCAGTGGGACTCCAGGTGCATACGACTACCCCAGCCAATTTTTTTATTTAGTTTTATTTTTTGTAATGACAGGGTCTTGCTATGTTGCCTAGGCTGGTCTTGAATTCTTGGGCTCAAGTAATCCTCCTGCCTCCGTCTCCCAAGGTGATGGGATTACAAGCATGAGCTACTGAGTCTGGCTGATGTGTGCATTTTAATAAAACCAAAAGTTGATATGCTAGGAAAAGTCCTAGCTCCTTTCTCAAATATTGTACCAACTGAAGTATGACAACATAATTATTAAAAGGAATTGTTTAGTTTTAAATTTGATACCAATAGCAAAATGAGAGCAATCAAAATACCTACTGACATGATGTAAACACTTGAGCATTATTATCATTAATTATGTGCTTGTGTCTTTGCACTAGACAGTGGCTGCTGAAGTCTCGAGTCGATCAATTAATTTTAATGTGTAAACTGGGTATACAACTCTTGCATTATCAAATCTTTGCACTTGACCAAATTAAAAATCATCTTTAATTTCTAAGCAATTACTTTCCTGTATTTCGAATTAGTTCTAATCACAAACTATGTAATTTTCTCCTTCCTCTTGTCTTATAAGCTTTTAAAATTATTTTATTTACTTTGAGAAGCATGAAAAATCTTTTTGGCCACTATAAAAAATAAAAAATAAAACAGGTTGAGTGAACTTAAAAATGTTGATTTTGGTAATATTACTTTAAATGTGTATTTAAAGGATACAATAAGCCAATTAAATAAAGACAGCTTGGCTGGGCATGGCATTTTATGCTCATAATCCTAGCACTTTGGGAGGCTGAAGTAGGAGGATTACTTGAGCCCAAGAGTTTAGACCAGCCTGGGCAAAATAGCAATACCCTGTCTCTATAAAAAAATACAAAAACTAGCCAGGTGTGGTGGCATGTGCCTGTGGTTCCAGCTACTCTGGAGGCTGAAGCTGGAGGATCACTTGAGCCTGGGAGGTAAAAGCTGCAGTGAGTTGTGACAGTACCACTGTATTCCAGCTTGGGTGACAGAGTAAGGCCTCATCTCTAATAAATAAATAAATAAATTAATTAATTAATTAATAACAAGAAAAACCAGCTTTACTCTTCTAAATGTTACAGATTGTGAGAAGACTCATTATTGTCAGTTGGCATTTTTACTCCTTTAAGTCAGTTATAATTCAGGGTACTTTCTAGGGCTAAGTCAAAGCTCTGCATCTAATAATAAAAATAATCTGGATCTACATTTCTGAGGGTAAGGAAAAAGCTTAGTCCTTCAGTGACAGCTTTGCCCATTAAGAAATGAAACAATGAATGTGGCCAAATATAGCATTTGGACCATGCTATGCTCTATGAGTACAAGAGAGTTAAAACCTTGGCACTAAAAAACACTACCACCCTTTAGTGCTAATGTTTTCTGGTCATCAAATAAAGAAATACATGTCCATAGCACATTTATTTTTTAATTTTTAAAATTAAAAAATTACATGTGTTTCAATTCAAAGCTATAAAAATATAATGTGGATTGTATTGTTTATAAAATCCTTCAATCAATTGGATTTTGGAGCAATAGTTTGCTAGATGAAGATTGTTTTTTACCCTGATTAAAATCCAAAATGGGATATTCTCTGTGAGACTTACATATATAGAAAATAACAAAACAGATTTCCTAGCATTTAAATGGATAGTTCGCTTGCTTTTCAAGACTAACAAAATCTGCTAATGCTATATTTTGAAGTTTATCAACCTATGTCTAAGAATAAATAATTTCCACAATACAGTAGTAGCTGTCATGAAACATTTTAGTTATTGTTTCTCTGGTCTCAGGCTTTTGCAAGTGTCCTTATGTACTCCAGATCATTGTGTACTATTTGTAAGACAGAAGAAATACAGATCCTGATTTTTGGCAAGAAACGCACAGAGTAGGACAGAAGCAGGGAGTCAAGCTACTCTTGACTTCCTGTTTACTCTAATAGCCTTTGGAAAACTTGGTGAGACTTCCAACATCCACTGACCTTGACCACTGTTGGGTCATTCGATGGTGGCATTTTGTGGCATTTATATATTGCATGTAGGCATTACTACTGAAATCTTTGGAATATAGTTGGCAAATGCAGTTGGGATTCTCTCCAGTTTACCAGGGAGACTATGAGATTGTGGCTTGTTTCTGCTTTACTGTCAAAATATTCAGAGTTTCAAAACAGAGTCTGTGGTTAGGTTGAAGGGGAGAAAAGTACATTTAAGATTACTCCCCGTAGAGTAGCACATGTGAATAAACAGGAGGAAAGCAGGATCAGTCAGAAAAGTTAAATAAAAAGGAAGTTGAGCACTTTTGCTTCATTTGGCCCTTTGATTTAATAGTCAAAGAATCTTATAATTGGAAGGGATCTCGGGGTTAATCTAATCGAATACCCGCTCCAGGTCCATGCATATGGTCATCTAGCCTTTACTTAAATACACTGTAACCAAGGTGGAACCATTAACATTTCTTTTTTCTCTATATTAATTAATTGGCTATGATGTTATTACTTCTATCAACAGGTCTCAGATCTGTCTTTTAAAGGAAAAGAGAATAAGCTGGGTTGTCTGTCCCTATAAATGATGTCCCTTTAAATAGGTAGAACAACTACCTTTAGAAGGGATTCCCCAGATCATCTGTCTTACTTCTCTAATTTTTCAGGGATTAAACTAAGACCTCCAGAAATGAAGTAATTTCTCAGAGTTACAAAGCTGTTTAATTGCAGAACCTGAGCTAAAAGCCTGGCTCAGTTACATGGAAAGCAGAGATTTTGAAGCCAGCTATTATAGCCACCTTATCTTCTTTGCTCTAAGTGAAGCAGACCTAGTTTCTTCTACTTTTTCTCATGGCACTAAGCTTCTAGACTTCATACTACACATCTCCTAGTACCTACTATGGGCTAGGGACAAGCTTCACAAAGAGAACAAGTATCTAATATTGAGGAGCTCATGGTCTAGAATGGAAAAATAAATAACTGCAGCATCAGTGAGAAGTGCTATATTTATGAAATATGTTTAAATTCCTATGTGAACATAGATATCAGAGTGATTGCAGAACGTTATTGAAGTGATATTTCAGTTAATAGAACTGATTTGACCTCTTTAATAGCCTACAGCAATAGTAGTATTACATAACAGAAGTCTCCAGCTGGGCGTGGTGGCTCACACCTGTAATCTCAGCACTTTGGGAGGCCGAGGTGGTTGGATCATGAGGTCAGAAGTTCGAGATCAGCCTGGCCAATGTGGTGAAACCCCATCTCTACTAAAAATACAAAAATCAGCTGGGTATGGTGGTGCACGCCTGTAATTCCAGCTACTTGGGAGGCTGAGGCAGGAGAATTCCTTGAACCAGGGAGATAGAGGTTGCAGTGAGCTGAGTTTGCACCACTGAGCTCCAACCTGGGTGACAGAGTGGGACTGCGTCTCAAAAAAAAAAAAAAAAAAAAAAAAGCTCCCCTACTTCAGTTAAAAACTTCCTTAATTAACCAAAACTCATAACTGTCTTGACTGGACCTGGAGATGCTAACTTCTCATGGCTAGAAAGCTGCTCTTGAGTATATCTTCACAATGCTCTGCAAACAAGTAGAGTTGTACACTTACCAAATAGAATTGTATACATACCTAGTAGAGTTGTGTATTTATCAAGATTCATCTGAGTTTTTTACCTAACCCATTTATCTCCCTTTAACTTGTTAATTATGTCAGCTGCTGTTGCTGTTGCTGTAATTATGTAATTTGATTAAATATTTTGTGAAGTGATAAAATACTCATCTTAATGTTTCTATAAAATGTAAGGTGAATGTTTTGGAAAGGCTTGTGAAACACCAAATGTTTAAAACATGCTATTAATGTGGGCAAGATAATTATGAAAGGTTGAGGAGAAACAAAGTCTAGAAGTATTTGGACACTCATATTACTTTCCCAATGTCTTTTATTATCAGTCAATTTTCTTCACAAAAAATGGTTGAGACCCATGGCGACCATTTTAAATAAAAATAGGCAATTTAATATACATTAATGTTTTAAATGAAAATAAAATGTTTAAAGAATCTTCTCTGTATCTGACCAATCTGGTCAACTAGTCTTGTTCCTATTACACAAATGAGTTCTTATTGACTACGTACCATGTGCCAGGCACATTGTCTGAAAGAATTGCCTGCATAGTTTTATTTAATCCTTGGGCCAACTATTACTACAACTTAACATGTAATGAGTCTTAGAAAAGTTCAACAACATGTTTGTGTTCCCACAGCTAATAAATCAGGAAGAGGGCATTCCAATCCGCTGTTATGAAAGGCATGATTTTACAATGTACTTTCTCTTTCACAATCCAATATAAAATCAATGATGTTTCTTGCACAGGTGCACCTGCCTACATCCTAATCCTGATACAGACTTTTTTTTTTTTCTGTATAATTAGTTTTGAGATAAAAAAAAGGCCAACATCTACACAGCATATCTCCACCCTCGAGAATGTTACTTCTTGTTCTGGAAAGTCCCCTTCCTCGGTTTACCCATTTGAATACATACGTAATTTGGTGTAGATACTCATTAATTTCTTCCAAAAAATTGTTCCCAAAGAAACCACCTCACATTGATTTTTTCACCTTTACTTTTGTAGAATAGCATTCATTATTGGATTTTGTACATTTAATCATTCACCTATTCAATAAATAAGTGTCAAAACATATTCTCAGTACTCAATAAATATTAATTAGATTGATTTTACAAACAATTTATAAGCAGAGGCTACTATGGCTTAATTCATTCACATCATAATTATTAGTTGATCACTAAATATAAAGAAGCATGTGCCAAGTAGAAAGATGATTACGTATGAAAGCTCTATTAGCACTCACTGACTTAGCACTATCATTGCCAGGCACTTTTCTAAGACTTGTGTGTATTAACCTTTTACATTTTTTTGTTTAAACTTCCAACTTTTATTTTAAGTTCAGGGGTACATGTGCAGCATGTGCAGGTTTGTTACATAGGTAACGGTGTGCCATGGTGGTTTGCTGTACAGATCATCCCATCACCCAGGTATTAATCCCAGCATCTATTAGCTATTCTTCCTGATGCTCTCCCTTTTTCCACTCCCCACTCTCCAACAGGCCCCAGTGTGTCTTGTTTCCCCCCATGTGTCCATGTGTTCTTATCAGTCAGCTCCCAGTTATAAGTGGGAACGGGTGGTATTTGGTTTTCTGTTCTTGTGTTAGTTTGCTGAAAATAATGGCCTCTAGCTCCATCCATGTCCCTGCAAAGGACATGACCTCGTTCCTCTTTATGGCTGCATAGCATTCCATGGTGTATATGTACCACATTTTCTTTATCTAGTCTATCACTGATCAGTATTTAGGCTGATTCCATGTCTTTGCTATTGTGAATAGTGCTACAATGAACTTACATGTGCATGTATCTTTATAATAGAATGATTTATATTCCTTTGGGTATATATTCAGTAATGGGATTGCTAGGTTGAATTCTTTTGGCCCTAGGTCTTTGAGGAATCCTCACACTGTCTTCCACAATGGTTGAACTAATTTACACTCCCACCAACAGTGTAAAAGCATTCCTTTTTCTCCACAGCCTCATCAGCAGCTGTTGTTTTTTTGCCTTTGAATAATAGCCATTCTGACTGGTGTGAGATGGTATCTCTTTGCGGTTTTTATTTGCGTTTCTCTAATGATCAGGGATGTTGAGCTTTTTTTTCATGTTTGTTGGCCACACCTCTGTCTTCCTTTGAGAAATGTCTGCTCATGTCCTTTGTCCACTTTTTAATGTGGTTATTTTTTTCGTGTAAACTTGTTTAAGTTCCTTACAGATACTGGATATTAGAGCTTTGTTAGATAGATAGATTGTAAAATTTTTCTCCTATTCTGTAGGTTGTCTGTTTACTCTGTTGATAGTTTCTTATATCCCATATGTCAATTTTTGCATTTGTTGCAATTACTTTTGGTGTCTTCATCATAAAATGTTTCCTCATGCCTATGTCTTGAATGGTATTGCCTAGGTTGTCTTTGAGGGCTTTTATAGTTTTGGGTTTTACATTTAAGTCCTGAATCCATCTTGAGTTGATTTTTGTATATGGTATAAGGAAGGGGTCCAGTTTCAATTTTCTGCCTATGGCTAGCCAGTTCTCCCAGCATCATTTATTAAATAAGAAATAATTTCCCCATTGCTTGTTTTTGTCAGGTTTGTTGATGATCAGATGGTTGTAGGTGCATGGTCTTATTTCTGGGTTCTCTATTTTGTTCCATTGTTAACCTTTTCTAGATTGCCACATCACCTTATAAGATAGGTACAATTATTATTCTTATTTTGTTGAAGAGGAAACAAAGGACAAGAGATCAAGTAAAACATTCCCAAGGTCATACAGCAAGAATCTAGTACAACCAAGATTTACATAGAATCTGAGTCAAGGTTGCAGTATTAATTATTATACTATGTTGCCTAAATAAACAGAATGATGAGAATAAATACACCATACTTTGAGAACATAGAGGAGAGTATTCCCCAATGGAAGTAACTTTTTCTGTTGAATTCTGAAGGAAGATTAGGAGCCAACCCAGTGTGGTATTGGGGAGAGTACTACACAGAGAACATAGCATATGCAAAGACTTCAAGGAAAAAAAAGGAGAGAGATAGCATGGCAGTTTGAGGAAACAAGTATGTCAGTTCAGCATTGTAGAGAATTATTATTTCAAACTGGGAAGAGCAAAGAGAACAACTAGCCAATGAATTTTAAAAAGGGGTATTTTTAAAATTGTGTAAATAAGCATAGCCTTTTCAAATATTACTCTATTTGAATAATGCATTACATAATAAAGTATAGTCTTCTGCCTACAAATTCACAGATGATTATAAACAAATAAAGAGAAGAATAAAAATGTACTCATAGAGGATTTTGAAACCAATGTTATATATAAATTAAATCAGTCACAATTGGAAAGGAATTCTTTATTAAGCTTTTAAATGAAAATGCATTTATTTTTCCATTTTTAAATTGTTATTCTGAGATCAAATATTTGAAAAATATCTCACAAATTATGTATCTAATCAAAGTGAAGTTTATATATGTGTGCTTGAATAAAGAGAGCTACAAATTTCATGCAGATATTTTAATTTCATTTATTTAGCTAGCTCTTTTGGAATAATATCAATGAAATAGCTACCATGACACCTGGGGGCCTGGTGTTTCACACAAAAATTACATTTTCTTTTAGAAAGTAGCTCATTATATTGTCCTTTTAAGTACTAAGAAAAGGATGCCATATTCACTCAGTGGTCTCTATCGTCTTAAAGAAGAACATTGAAAATAAAGCTCATAACAATAATTACAACACTTAAAAAGTATTTAGTACCTACTATGTGCCAGGCACTGTTCTAAGCACTTTAACTTTCCATATTATCTTTCAGCTCTTTAAAAATGCCATTCAATTGGCTTCTAGGCTCTGTTGTTTCTGATGAGAAGTCAGGAATAATTCTTATCTGGTTCTCTATTTTATAATGCATTTGTTTTCTCTTACTGCTTTTATTTTATCATTGGTTTTCTGCAGTGTCTCTATATCCATTGTGGTAGTAGTTTGCTTTATTTGTTTGTATTTATCCTGTTTGAAACTTCTTGGATCTGTATGTTAACGTTTTTGATTAAACTTGAGAAAATTTTAGCTAATTTTTTTTCTTTTCTTTTTTTCTGGTCATTATCTCTTCCCTCTCCTAGTGAGGATCCAGTTACAGATATATTAAACTGCTAGGTATTACTGTACAGGTCACTGAAGCTCTGTTCACTTTTCCTTAATCCATTTTTTGTTCATTTCAGTTATGTTTAAATTCATTAGTTCAAAATAATACTTTTAATAATAGTCATAATAATACAACTAATTGTACCTTTCAAGATGACAAGGAAACAACTCATTATCTTGAGAACTGGGTAAGTAGTAAAAAAGAATCAATCACTTACAATGCCTTTCTTATATAAGCTCTACAACTATAATAAATGAGGATAAATGGCTCTTTGCAAAATTATTCCAGATAATAAATAGAAACAAAATTGATAGAAATATTATCACCTTAAGAATTGAACATTAATGGCTGCTAATGTAAAAAAGGGTGAAAATAATATTACTTGCTTTATTATAAAAGGGCGTGCCATCACCTATAGTCTAGCAAAGGGATCACACATGAGTCTGATAATACCTCTAGATCCAGCTGCCATTTTTTTTTCTTTTTTGAAAGAGTAGAGAGAGACATATTGAACTATATTATGGGTATACATTAGAGATGAGTAGATTTGGCAAACTATATAGGTCTAATGGCCTGAGTTCTTCAGCAGATAAACTATAAGGTAAATAAAATATAGAGTGGAATTCAACAAATTAAAGAAGACTGAAAAGACAAATTAAGCTAAAAAAAAAATGGGCAAGACTAAAATAGTGTATCCAGGAAAACATATAGGAATAGAGCATCCAGCTTAAAACATAAAGGAATAGATGAAAAGAACATAAAGGACTACTTTTAAAGTCAGATTAGTGGTTACTTTCAGAAGGAGAGAAAGAACTGTGATTATAATAGGCATGTAGAAGTGTTCTGGTAGCTGGCAAAGTTCTATTTTTGTTCTAGGTGGTAGTTACAGGATTTTTGTCTCATAATAATTATATAAAATAATACATTAAACAATATGTATTTTGTATGCTTTTCTGTATCTGTGTTTTATTGAATAACAAAATGGTAAAAAAAATGCATACACAATATGCCGTTCAGTATTCTCTATGTGTGCATGTATTTGTGTTTTTTAGTAAAGAAAATTCTATGTATTTCCAGGAGTTTGAGCTCTTAACCAGGATATTAAAGGAAAGGGTGATTCTAGAAGGCAGAGTTTTGTGACCTCAAGGTTATAAGTCCAAGTTTATATTGAAAATTTTAATTCTGTCAAAATAGGCCCCAAGAATGAACTAGAAGGGTGAAACAAAGAAAGGTACATTTCTCTACAAAATAACAGATCATGAATTTTGAATGTTTCCCTGGTAGATACATAGCGAAAAGACGTAAGGAGGATTTTTTGAGAGAGGGAGTGTTGTGGGTTTAATCTTGTTCTCCCAAAAGATGGTGAAGTTCTAATCTCCAGTATCTGTGACTTTATTTAGAAATAGGGTGTTTGAAGATGATTATGTTAAGATGAAGTTATTAGAGTGGTCCCTAATCCAATGAAACTGTGTTTGTTTTAATAAATGGAAAATTTGGACACAGAAACAGACATGCATACAGGGAGAATGACACGTGAAGACCGAAGGAGAAAGAAGAGTGATTCATCCCTAAGCCACGGAATGCCAAAGATTTCCGGCAAACTACTGGAAGCTGGGAGAGAGTCATGGAACAGATTCTCTCTCACAGTCTTCAGAAGGAAACAACCTTGCTAATATCTCGATCTCAGACTTGTACCCTCCAGAAGTATGAGACACAAACTTTGTTGTTTAAGCCACTTAATTTGTGGTACTTTGTTATGGCAGCTGTAGCAAACTAACACAGAGAGAGGGCATGCCAGAGGAAGAAGATGGCAGATTCTGGACTACAGGGAAAAGCACATGGAGAACTTGCCTGTGGGGGATGGCTAAGGAACTTCAGGACTAGAGGTGGCCAGGAGACAACTGTGAGAAATGCTGAGGAGGCACTGGAGGTTTCAAGCTGGGGGCTTGAACTCTAAATTGGGATATTAAAGGAAAAGGGGATTTGAGAAGGCAGAGAATTTTGTACATCAAGGTTATAAATCCAGGTATATATTGAAGTTGTTAATATTTAGGTATTCTTTATGCCTTTGAGTAAATACATGAGGAAGACTTGCACTGAAACAGAAAAGGAATATGTGTATGTTACGAAATATATATAGATATAGATGATATGTGTGTATATATATTCATATACATGCAGTATACATTCATGTTGTCACTACATACTTACATACATACATACAAACAGGTATATAAATAAAAATGAGTCCACTGTATGTTTAATTAATATTATACACACACATGTAATATTTGAATGTGAGAAAGAGAAAATGTACTCTTCATTCAGTGGCTTGTATCCTTCGCAGCTGTAAATAAAACAAGCTGAAAGGCAGCTAAAAAGATGAAATCACTGTCAAGGACAGACACACAGGAAAGCAGTTTTATTTTTAATGTTTTGAAGTCATAAGAGTTATTTCTGCAAGTGTACTGCTTGGTTATTTTTCCTTTTTTCATTTTCAGTGTTTGTCTTTCATGCCTTGTGGGCAAGGACATTTGTATTGCTATCTGCATAGCCCCTTCACAATAATGTCTTCCATTCAGCTCTCTCAGGACGGCATACAAAGCCCGTAAATTAGAACGATTGCCATTAAAAGATTGTGTGGGAAGTTCTTTCGGTTATAAAATTTTCAAAGCCTTAAAGTGCTAGAGCCAATTACTGGGGCAATTAGAGGGTGACTTTTTCACTATGGATACTACTTTAAGTGGCCCTAACACTAAGAGAGCTGGGCCCACACACTTTCTTCCTAAATCAGTAGGCCTTGGGCAGATTGATGTCCCAAATCAGCAAACAATATAGAAAGGGTATAGAAAGTTACAGAAACAGAAGGAGGGACTATAGAGATGAGTATTTAACTCTAGAACACATATAATAAGAACTGCCATTTGTGGAATATCTACTGGGTGCCCAGTACCTATTTTCTAGCCCCTTTATATACTATTACATTACTTAAACCAGAAAGCCACACTTTAACATTGGTATTACTGTTATTCTCATCTTACAGAAAAAGTAACTGAGACTCAGAATTTCTATGTTAATGGACATGTACAAATAAGAATCATATCCAGCAACTGAACCTAATCTGACAACCAAACCTGTACTATTTCAACTTCACCAAGCTGAGAAAGAAAAAAAAAAATGATTTACAATCTGTTATAAGCCCTTTCTCCCCAAAAGTTCATGTTTCAACCTATTCTTGACGAAAGAGCTGACCCTGGTTGTGCTGCTGCAGTAGTTCTCAAGAGAAGGAGCTGACAGGTCTTAGAACTTCTTCCAGTCTGGTCCTTAAGCAGCTGCTAATAATAGGATACTCCTCTCTGATATGCTTGTCAGCAGCAACTGCTTAGGAAGTATGAGTCCATGACAGTACCTGTGGGTGGAATTCCAGGTAGAGAAAGAAATCACTGCCGTCTAGATACATTGGATGATATCTGGTAACATCAAACTGGGGAAATAAGTTACATATTAGCGAATTTTTTAAACCTGAGTATATTATTTCACTTTTTTCTCATTGTTATTGAGAAAAACAACTACTTCTTTTTTTTTTTTGAGATGGAGTTTCGCTCTTGTTGCCCAGGCTGGAGTGCAATTGGCTCACCTCAACCTCCGCCTACCGGGTTCAAGCGATTCTCCTGCCTCAGCCTCCCAGGTAGCTGGGACTACAGGCATGTGCCACCACACCTGGCTAATTCTGTATTTTTAGTAGAGACGGGGTTTCTCCATGTTGGTCAGGCTGGTCTTAAACTCCCAACCTCAGATGATCTGCCCGCCTCGGCTTCCCAAAGTGCTGGGATTACAGGTGTGAGTCACCCCACCTGGACAAAACAACCGCTTCTTACTGAACACATCAGGAAAGAAGCAACCTTCAATGCAGGCACCATTACAGATGAAAAATACTTTCAAGTGTTACCACCATTATATCCACAGATGCCCTTCTGTCAGATTCCAGGAATTTGTCAGAAACAGCAGGACTCACAGGAAAAGCTTGTTAAAAACATTCGGGGCATCCTTTTCTCTGACCCCAAAACACCAAAATCAAACAAACAAAACCAGAATGGCCAACACATCCACTATCCAGCAACAGAATTCAGTCTCTGTTCATAAAAAGATTTGTAGGGAGAACAACAACATCATAAAACACAACCAAGCTCAACAACACTTAGTCTTTTTGACATTTACTCCTGCAAAATGTGCTGGGTGAGCAGAAACACAGGAGGAAGTGTTGCACACAAAAGCTTTTGAGAAATAACAGGGCTCTCTTCTATAGAAACAAAAGCCTCACTGGGCCAGCCAAACAAAAGGACTCAGCTGCTAGCAGGAGAGGAAAAACCTCTTCTTCATTCTCTTCTCCAAAGAAAACAAAGAAATGTTAGTGAGGCAGAAATCATTTTGCATTATCTGACTTTTGAGCAAAAGCATATCTTTTAATACTGAAAGAACGGTTCTTTTTGAGATAATATTTTGGAAAATGAAAAAGTAGAAAAATGGAGGAAGAAACATCAGAAACTTTTTTTGGGGGGAGTAGGGTGGTGGGAAGTAGACTGCAAAACATGCTTTTAAAAAATACATCTAGGGGTTAAAGTATATTAAACAAGCAGGTTTTCAAAGGTGGTAGCCAAAATGTTAATGGAATTCCTCAAGGAGCAATAAATCTCTCCTGTTATAATCCAGGATTCAAGGAGGGGAAACAATGATGTAGTAGCAAGAGCTGTTATTTGAAAAGGCAGCTTTTTAATCTTGTGTTGTTTTGAGAATTAAAGCAGATAATAAATGTAAGCAGTAGGATACAAAAAAAATGGTGATTTATCTTTATTTTTCTCTTTTTAAAAATACTATCAATCCAACCTGAAGATACCCATGGTCTTTGGGGAGTGGGGATAAAAACTAGAAGATTCAATGAGTTATTTCACTACTAAAATTATAAATAGTCTGCCAAAAATTAAGTAAACTGTTTTGAAATAAAAGATCACCAAACAAAAAACAGTTCTTAAATGTAGTATTCAATAAGTTGATTCCTGAACATTTTCCTAAATGATATTGACTGGTAATGATTTCCTAGCTACCATAATCAAAAGTCGAAGTCATGCTATTTGGTAATAACAGCAATAAAGACAAACATTGAGCAATAACTGGGTTAATTAATCTTCATAACAAACCTATAGATAATGTTGTTTCTATTATCTCTATTTTATAAAAGCTTGATAATATTTAAAGACATCACCTGAGTTCACTAAAGTAGCAAGTAGAAAAGCCAGGATTTGAACCTAGATTTACTTGGCTTCACAGCCAAGTAAATAGTTTTATTTCTACTTCTACTCTATATAATAGTACAGTTGGCCATTCAATAACATGGGTTCAAATTGTATAGGCCCATTTATATGCAGATGGTTTCTCAATAAATATATTGGAAAACTTTTTGGAGATTTGTGACAATTGGAAAAACCCCACAGATGAACTGCATAGCCTAGAAATATTGCAAACACTTAATATAAAGTTAGGTATGTCATAAATGCATAAAATATAGGGATATACTCTTCTATTTATTATTTACCAGAAAATATCTCAGACAGCAAGACCAAATCCTTCTCTTCATCCTTCTCCTTACCTACTCAATGTGAAGATGATTAGGATGAAGACCTTTACAATAATCCGCTTAATGAACACCAAGTACATTTTCTCTTCTTTATGATTTTCTTAATATTTTCTTTTATCTCACTTACTTCATTATAAGAATATCGTATATAATACATATAACATACAAAATATGTGTTAATTGACTATGTTACTGGCAAGGCTTCCTGTCAATGAATACTAGTAGGCTGTTCATAGTTAAGTTTTGGGGGAATCAAAAGTGATATGTGGATTTTCAATTGTGCTGGTATCTGAACCCCAACCCTACATTGTTTAAGGGTCAACAATACATGCTTTCCTGCAAAGAGAAGTCTAGGGATCTGAAGGCACGAGAAAGCACTGCATTCCTAACTCTCTCATATGGTAAAAAATGCATCAAACTCTCTGACCTATAGTTAATAATCTCAGAAACACACATCTAACTAAAGGTCCTTATCATCTTTAGTGCAGATTGAGGGTCAACAGAAGAAATACAGCCTTGCAGCCTAGCAGCATCACAGGCAAATAAATAAAACTAAAAACAGAATTATCATATGATCCAGCAGTCTCACTTCTGTTTGTTTACACAAAATATTTTGAAGTTAGTCAAAGAGATATCAGCCACCTCATGTTCACGGAAACAATGATAGCCAAGTTATAGAATCAACCTAAGTGTCCATTAAGAGATAAACTGATAAAGAAAATGTGGTTTATATAAATAATGGAATATGATTCACCCTTTAAAAAGGAGAAATTGTGTCATTCATGACAACATAGATGGAATTGGAGAACATTATGTTAAGCAAAATAAGTCCAGCAAATATAAACACTCTATATTCTCATTTATATGTAGAATTGAAAACAACTGAACTCATCAAAGCAGAGAGTAGAATGGTGGTTACAGAGGGTGGAGGTGAGGAGAATGAGGAGATGATGGTTAAAGAGTACAAAATCTCAGACAGGGGGAATATATTTTTTCTTTTTTTTTTTTTGGGTTCTATTGCCAAACCCGGTGAATATAGTTAATAATAGACTATTGTATATTTCAAAATCTAAATCTCAAATGTTCTCACCACAAGGCATGTTAAGTATTTGAGGTGACAGATATATTAACTAGCTTAATTGTTCCACATTGTGTTAATAAGTTATAATATCACTTTGTATGCCATAAATTTATACAATTATAAGTTGTCAGTTGACAATAAAAAATAAAGTTAAACCCAGTTTTCTCTGTTGAAAGAAAAAAAGACTATTCAGTGTATCTGTTTGTCATTCACAGGACCTTTTAGTTGTAGGTTGGTTGATGGGTCAGTTGGTGGTTGCAATTTATTTTTAATTTATTCAGGAAAATGGTTTAATGGACTCAGTGCTACATGGCTGGGGAGGCCTCACAATCATGGTGGAAGGCAAGGAGGAGCAAGTCACATCTTATGTGGATGGCAGCAGTCAAAGAGAGACTTGTTCAGGGAAACTCCCCCTTGTAAAACTACTAGATCTCTTGAGATTTATTCACTATCACAACAACAGCACAGGAAAGACCTGCCCCCATGTTTCAATTACCTCCCACTGGGTCCCTCCCCCAACACTTGGGAATTCAAGATGAGATCTGGATGGGGACACAGCCAAACCATATCAGCTCCTCATAATACAATGGGAAATTAAGAATACTTGAATATGGTTCTTTGAATATATAGAAATACTCACTAATAAATGTTTTATTATGGTATCATGATTTATTTGAATTGAAAACTTTTAAAATCTCATTGTGAATATTCTTCTAGAAACATGAATGGAAACCTTTTTCTCCAGTCACACGCCAGTTTACAACTCTGCTGGCTTGAAACCTAAAAATAACAAACACCATATTTTATTAAAGTATTTATAACTGACTTTTCTGTTCAAGGTGCTACAAAGCAGTTGATTTTTTACCATATACCATAACGTGGAACAGATATTTTGTCTTCTGTCTCCTGCTTTTGCCAGCATTTATGAGTCAAACAGCATCCAGACAAAGAAAGAAAGGACCAAAGCCAAATTGTGTAAGCATTCTTATATTGACAACATGTTTCCAAGAAAAAAGAGAAGAGGAGAGGGTTGGATCAGACAGGAAAGAAAACAAAATAAAACAAAGTAGTTAAAATTAGTTTATTTTTCTACTTCTGAAACTTAAAAAAAATTATTTCCAGAAGAAATTGAAATGAGTAGGCTGATTTGAGGGATGAGGTGCATAGATGTATGATGGTATGCTGACATGAAGAGTCCTAGCAAGAGAAGTTATAGGACGGAGGGAGGAAAATAGTAGAGGCACCAAGGCAGAGTTGTAAGACATAAGGAATGAACTCTACTGAGGTTGACCTTGCAGCTTATAATATAGTACAAAAAGCTAACGGGGAGTAAAGGCTTTTACCTCCCACTGAAGTGACACAAATACTGTGCATTTAAAGGAGTCGTGCCTGGTTTGGAAAAGACCTGTGTGTTTAGCAGAAACCACCCTAGTCATGGAATTAGGACCATACTAGACTCCTTTAGGGGAAAGGTAGTTAGTATAATACAATACTGTGGCCTTATAACGATTAGACTTGTAAAATCATAGAGCTGAAAGAGACTTCAGGACTTGCATAGTTTATTATCCAACCTTTACAGAGAATGGAGGATCAGAGAAATAAGCAAAATATTTAAGTCTATAATTTATTGGTAAAGAAGATAGAATTATAAATAAGTACTGTAAAGACACATAATGTTCTGTTTAATCACCTTTACAGTTCCACACTTATAGTTATATATCTATAGATATAGTGCCTAACTAAATTAATGTTTGTTTATTGACTCAATGAATAAATGAACACACTTAACCTTCCCCACTCCATATTCCCAGTGGGCTAATGTGGAAGAAATTTAACCAAAAATAATCCATCTAATGGAACATAGGCTTTGGATTCTAACAGGCTTAAGTTCAAATCCCAAAATTCACTATTTTTTAAATTTGTGAACTTGGGAAAATTGTTAAATCTTTTAATTTTTCCATCTGTAAATTGGGCATGAAAGAGTTGTGTACAACTTTGGCATTAAGAAAAAGCTCAAAAAGCGTTTTATATCTGTAGAATTATTATTTCTATTATATTCCTTATTATTATATTTTTTAGGCCCTCGGTCTTCTTTTATATTACTCTTCAAATCAAGTGTCAATGGGTTTTAGGGTGGGTCTAAAATAAACTGGGGTGCTAGGAGGTTCCCCAGCTACAGGGATGGCCACTGTGGGTAACAAAGGTATTGGAGATGGTGGGATAGAACTACTACTCAAAATTAACTATTGACCCCAAGGGCACAGGGTTGTAGCTAAGTAGGGCTTCAGGTCTCTCACTTCTGCTTCAATTAAAGTAACTTTGCTTTAAATGGACATAGGATTTGGTTAAGATTTTATTAGAAAAATAAAAGCAGAGTTTCCACTCCTACAGTAAAGTTTTGGCAACTACTAACTCATGTTTGATTTGTGCATATATGCTGCTTACTTAGGACATGTATCATACTTGTGCTCATCATTCTTTTCTTAATTGATAGTGAAGACAAAGGTAAGAGCAATCATATTTTTTCATAATGAATATACAATGATCAAAACATGAAGCCTCTTGAAGAAAATTTGAGACAAATTTAAAAAAAAATTCTTTATAGCTCTTCTTGCAAAATAGCTACCATATAATAAGCTCTAGACAATTAAATGAATAATGGATAAATCAACTTTAAACATGAAAGTGTTATAAACATATTACTTACAAAAAGTAAGTAATGAACATGCATCGGGAGAAACACCTTTTGGGATAAATGATTGATATTACCATTCACTTATTAACTCTCACCCTCATCTTTATCAGTTGGCCAATATTTAACTTTGTATATTAATTCAGCAAAAGTTGGATATCACTTAGTAGACTCAAGAATGATGTTTAAAATTTTACTCCTTCATGGCAGTTCAGAGTGATATTCCTTCCATAACACAAAGATTTGTAAAATAATGTAGGTCTATTTAAAATTCCAGAGCATTTTTCAATAAAATGTTTGTATATTTGATTTTGTTTCTAAAAATAGAAATAAGAATGTACAGAAGGACAATTGACTGCCAATAATCTACCAGTGACAACATTCTGATTCTGTAATTCATTCCCAAGTGGAAAAGTATAACCAATGTATTTTCTTATTAGTTCTGTTTACTTGTCCAGATTAAAAAAAAAAAAAACAAAACACCTATCACTGTATTCTAGAGAGAGCAAACCAAAATAGAAGACCTCATTGTAAAACTATGCTTTTACAATAACAGCAACAAAAAATCTCTCTTCATTTCAAATATTAACTATGATAATAATGTACAGAGTCAAACAAAACTCTGATCATGACATAGAGAGTCGAACAAATATAGAGTCATGATTTGTGTGTATTGATAATATCTGTCCTTCATGTGATCTCATATTCATGAATTAATAATCCTCTCAAAGTTATGAGAACTAGGTTATTAATATGAATTTTGACTATTTGGCTTGCTCATGATTAATCACAGGAAAGAAAACAACAACAAAACAAAACTCAATCTAGTCTCTATCACATTCATCTCAAAGTGAAACTCTGTAACACTGATCCTTGAACCATGAAATAATTTTTTTTGAACATGAGTGAGTGGTAGGCTTATTTTTTCACAACCTTCAGAGAACTCAACAGATGCAAACACACATGATAAAAAGGTTTGCTGGGTTTTATCATTAGACCAATTACAGATGAATTCTCTCTTGAAGCCATATAATTTAAATGTGCCCATTCTTACTCCTTACCATGGCCTCCTGCCTATTAAGGTCTTTGCTTCATGAAAATTCCTTTGGCTGGAGTGCCCTTCTCCAAACTACTTCTTGTCCCTGGAAAATCTCCACCTATCTTTCAAGCCTCAGTTCAACCTTCCTTTTCTCCCAGGTAGCAATAACCTCTCCTTCTTTTATGTCTCTTCTATGACACTCTTCTTGATTAGTACTCAAAATGATCTAACTATTTACATGTCTACTTTCCCAGTAGGGTGTGAGCCTCTTGAAGAAAATTTCAGAAAAATTTTTAAAAATTTTCTTTATAGCTCTATCTTCTTACAAAATATCTGTTATATAATAAGCTCTAAATGATTAAATGAATGAATGAACAAATCAACTTTAAACAATTACTGTTATAAAGTAAGTAAATCTAAAAGTCAGGATATGGCACCTTTTCTAACTCTACACAGGATTACTGCAGTATATTAGCAATTTATACCTATATTTCTTTTCAAATTAGTATTTTCTTTTCAGGATTAAAAACTAGAAGCTCAATCAGTTACTATTTTCCTATTGGAATTGTGGAGTCTGCCAGAAATAAAAGAAAATGCTTCAAAACACTGACCACCAATAAAAAAGATAGTATAATCTCTTCTTTATACTCAGATTAATACCCTACTTCTATCCAAATCTTAATGTAAATAAGATCAATGTTCAATTACCAGTTGAATGCTCACCATACAGAAGCAAAGGACACATCATCCACATTTCCTTGTCCTAATGAAATTCACACTCTTTGCAGAAATGAGAAAAAAAAATCTCAAAAGCGAGCGAAAATTTAAGGTCATATGCTAAAATGGGACATGGGTAGGAAGGGAGTGCACTCCTCCTCCAAGAGAGATAAATCATAGAGTATTAGTTGGAGTGGATGAGCTTTACCGATGAAAGGGAAACAAGTGATATGAATAATACAGTAAAAATACATATTGCATATTTGAGAAGCAATAATAATAATAAAAGTCCACACAACTCTAAGTGGCAGGTCCCAGGACTCTCGCCTGTCTTCTGGCCCACTTATCTGTCCAGCTATGCCTCTTGCAACTTCTCTCACACTTCACTAGGTTTAGGCCTGTGCTCTGTTCTGACCATGCTCTTTTCTACTTTGGGGCTTTTGCGCCTGTTGGTATTTCTGCATGAAGTGTTCTCTTCCTATATTTCATAAGGAAACAACATACTTAAGGAAATATTATACATAATGACTCAGTTTAATGATCACCTTCTGAAAAGGCCTTCCTTGACCTCTGTTCATTTCAGTTATCATTATACCCTGCTTTTATCCTTACAGCATTTCCTAATTTACAAGTAATATATATACACATACATACACATATATCTGTATCTATATATCTGTATCTTTATCTATTTGTCTCTCTCACACATTTGTTTCCTTACATATTAATTTACCTTCCGTCTCCCCCAAATAAATGAGTGTTTTGAGGACAGAGATGGTGTATTTTTCACTCACCAATATAAATTGTATGACCTTCTAGTAACTTAACTTTTCTGGGACCAATTTTCCTCAATTATCAAATAAAATCATAATAATCCTACAGGTAGACACTATTATTACATTACTGATAATTGAGGAAAATCCTCAATCCACATAGGATTGTTTGAAAGAACAAATTAACATAAAATGGCATCTTAAATATAATGCTTCCTATTGGTTAGAGTTTTTGAATAACTCCCCCAATTTTCCCATATTCAAAAGCATAGAACTATAAATAGCTATGATATACAAGTTGAAAAGAAGATCTCAAACTTGTTTTGTCAGTCTTAGCTGATCAATGCCCTTCCATGGCCTCCAACACATACCTTTATGGAAGGTGAAGTTGAAGAAACTAAAAAAAGAAAATTCCTTTGGAAAACATTGAATTAACAATATTTTTATCTGTACTCTCTTAAAGGGGAAGAGAGAGGGATGCATTCTCCTCAACCCAAGTTTAGAGAAAGGGGTTCAATGGGTTGACTCAGAATTCATGATATGTTTCCCAGATTGCGAGGATCATAAATCCAGATAGTTGCCTCCTCCTGAAAAAATATGTGATAGACTAAGGTTAGAGTTCTTCTACCTGAAAACAGAAGGAAGATTGGGAGCTGCATTGGAGAGGAGCTGGAATTCTTCTAACAACAGGGAAAATGTATGTTTCCCATGAATTAGATATGAGTTGAGAGGAGGGAAACTGACAAGGGGTGCTCATTAAAGAGACTCTATTCAAGATGACTGCCTGAATCTCAATAGAGGGGTGGACCAGTGGAAGCTCAGGGACAAGAGATAGTTAAATGTGGTCATCCAAAGGAAGCCTTGCTTCCATCCAGAAAACCATAGTTTTGTCAGCAGGAGGAGAGCTCAGTTCTATCCGGAAAACCATAGTCTTGAGTTTGCCAGCAGGAGGAACTCAGATGAACCCAGAAAAGCCCCAGAAAGGATAAAGACCTGCAGATTATACATCTATCACCAGAAGGGTATTGAAACTAAATTACAATTATACCACCCATAAAACTAAGTACTTTTCCCATGATTGCTCTCTCATCTCTCCTCTATTCCAGAAAGGTAAAAAAAAAAAAAAAAATGAATATAGGAAGCAAATAGGTTGAAAAAAGAATTAAATCTTATTCCCTTCTCTGTTGTAGATTTTTTGGCCTGAAGCAGGATAAGGTTGGGGAAAAGGATACATTTTAAGTCAAATAAGGGTTCATAGTTTTTATTTTGCATTTGACCGTGTTAAACTTATGAGACTATTAGACTTGAGTAGATTTTATTATAATAAATGATCTGCCTGAGATTGTATCAAAAGGAGGGATGAATTAATTCCTAGAGGGGTTTGTGAGAAGGCAGAGAGAAAACAATGAAGTTGGTTTCTGCTTTTACCTTACTAAGTCCAGCTTATTCAGTAAACTAGGTATGAATGTATGTACAAGGCTTCACACAGCATTGAAAGTTAACGAATGGCAACGATCTAAACATTTGTTACACAATAGGTGCTTCATATGTATGATTTCTCTGCTCCCTCTTTCCAGTGAAATATTCTTTCAAAAACATAGTACAGGCCTATCTCATTTTATTGCCCTTCTCTTTAGTATACTTCACAGATACCACATTTTTTACAAATTGAAAGTTTGTGCTAACCCTGCATCAAGCATGTCTATTGGCACCATTTTTCCAACAGTGTGTGTTCACTTCACGTCGTGTGTCACATTTTTTTTGGTAATTCTCATAGTATTTCAAAATTTTTAATGATTATTATATCTGATATAGTAACATGTGATCAGTGGTCATTGATGTTACTATCACAATAGTTTTGGGGTGCCACAGAATATGCCCATATAAGATGATGAACTTAACTGATAAATGTGTGTGTTCTTACTCTACCAAAAATATGTCCTTACCTGTTCTCGCTCCCTCTTCTTGGGCTTACCCTATTCCCCAAGACCCCGAGGCTAAATAATAACCCTTAAATGGCCTCCAAATGTTCAATTGAAAGGAGTAATCACACACATATCCTTTAAATCAAAATCTAGAAATGATTATGCTTAGTGAGGAAGGCATGTTGAAAGCTGAGGTAGGTAGAAAGCTAGGCCTCCTATGCCAAACAGCCAAGTTGTAAATACAAAGGAAGAGTTCTTGAAGGAAATTGAAAGTGTGACTCCATTGAAAGCAAAAGAGCTTTATCACTGATGTGGAGAAAGTTTTAGTGGTCGAGATAAATATCAAACTAGCCACACCAGTCTCTTAAGCTAAAGCCTAACCCAGAGCAAGGCCCTAAATCTCTTCAAGTTTGTGAAGGCTGAAAGAGGTGAGGAAACTGCAGAAGAGAAGTTTGAAGCTAGCAGAGGTTAATTTGTGAAGTTTAGGGAAATAAGCCATCTCCTTAACATGAAAGTGCAAGGTGAAGCAGGAGGTGCTGAGGTAGAGAAGTTGCAGCAAGTTATCCAGAAGATCTACCTAAGATCATTGATGAAGGCAACTATATTAAACAACAGATTTTCGATGTAGACAAAACAGCCTTGTATTGGAAGAAGATGACATTTAGGACTTTCGTAGCTAGAGAGGAGAAGTCAATGCCTAGCTCCAAGCCTTCAAAGAACACGCTGATTCTCCTGGTAAGGGTTTATGGAGCTGGTGACTTTAAGTGGAAGCCAATGCTTATTTACCAATCCCCAAATCCTGGAGCCCTTAAGAATTATGCTAAATCTACTCTGCCTGTACTCTATAAATGAAACTGCAAAGCCTGGATGATATCACGTCTGTTTATAGCATGGTTTACTGAATATTTTAAGCCTACTCTTGAGATGCACTGGTCAGAAAAAAAGATTTCTTTCAAAATATTGTTGCTCATTGTCGATGCACCTAGTCACCAAGAGCTCTTATGCAGATGTGCAAAAACATTAATGTTTTCATGTCCACTAACACGATATCCATTCTACAGCCCATGGATCAAGGGGTAATTTTAATTTTTAAAAGTCTTATTATTTAAGAAATACTTTCAGAAAGCTATAGCTGCCATAAATTGTGATTCCTCTGATGCATCTGAGTAAAGTAAATTGACAATCTTCCAGATGCCATTAGGAAGATTCATGATTCATGGGAGGCGGTCAAAGTCTCAACAAAAACAGGAGTTTGAAAAAAGTTGATTCCAACTCTTACAGATGACTTTGAAGAATTCAAGACTTTGGTGGAGAAGTAACTGCAGATGTAGTGGAAACAGCCAAAGAACTAGAATTATAAATGGATCCTGAAGATATGACTGAATTGCTGCAATCTCGTAATAAAACTAACAAATGAAGAGTTGTTTCTCAGGAAAAAGCAAAGAAAGTGGTTTCTTGAGATGGAACCTACTCCTCTGGTGAAGATGTGAATATTGTTGAAATGAAAACAAAGGATTTAGAATATTGCCTAAATTTAGTTGATGAAGCATTAGCAGGGTTTGAGAGGACTGACTCCAATTTTGAAGGAAGTTCTAATGTGGGTAAAACGCTACCAAACGGTACCACATGCTACAAATAAATCTTTCCTGAAAGGAAGAGTCAATTACTGTGGAAAACTTCAGTGTCTTAGTTTTAAAATTTGCCACAGCCGGGCCGGGCGCGGTGGCTCATGCCTGTAATCCCAGCACTTTGCGAGGCCCAGATGGGCAGATCACCTAAGGCCAGGAGTTCAAGACCAGCCTGACCAACATGGAGAAACTCCGTCTTTACTAAAAATACAAAAAACAAAAACAAAAACAAACAAACAAACAAACAAACAAAAACAGTTAGCCGGGCATGTTGGCACATGCCTGTAATCCCAGCTACTCAGGAAGCTGAGGCAGGAGAATCGCTTGAACCCAGGAGGCGGAGGTTGCGGTGAGCCAAGATCATGCCATTGCACTCCAGCCCGGGCAACAAGAGCGAAACTCGGTCTCAAAATAAATAAATAAATAAAAATAATAAAATAAAATAAAATTTACCATAGCCACCCCATCTTTCAGCAACCACCACCCTGATCAGTCAGCAGCCACCACCCTGATCAGTCAGCAGCCATCAACACTGAGGCAATATCTTCTGCCAGAAAAAGATGATTGACTCACTGAAGGTTCAGATGATCATTAGCATTTTTTAGTTATAAAGTATTTTTTAATTAAGGTTTTTTTGGATGTAATACTGTTGCATACTCAATAGACTACAGTATAGTGTAAACATAACTGTTACATGTACTGGGAACAAAAATAAATTATGTGACTTGCTTTATTATGATATTCACTTTATTGCAGTGGTCTAGAATGAGACTGCAATATCTCTGAGGTATGCATATATAAATTTTTTCAAAAATTTTGAAGCTTTTCCTTGAATATCCCACATAATATATCATACTATAATAACCTTTCAGTGAATCCTTTACAGCTTAAAAACCTAGGCAGAGGTCAGTCTTGCCTCAATATGATTTAGAATGGATGAGCAATGTGGTTCTGGGAAGTTCTTTCATCTAAAGGCTGAAATGCAGGAACAGAGTAAATTTGCATCCAGTGGACTATATCCATCATCTGATAGGAGACAGCAAGTAGCCAGAGTGCAGCAAGAGAATCAGGGGACTGCTGCCCTCTGTAAATCAGAAAGCCTCCTTATAGATACAATAACAAGCCTGTCTGGTGTCCTGGAATTGAGTGTGGATGAAGTGAGAAGCCACCTGGTATCTTTTTCTGGGGAACATTTTGCAGATTGACCTTAAATGATTATATCTGTGAATAAATTACCTCATGCCTCTATTATCCAATCAATCAATGCAAGCTTTTCTTTCTCTGCCTTTTCTTCTCCAACATAGGTGAACACGGCTTAAGAGATGACCCAAATGGAGCTTCCCTGTAGAACAAGACCTTTCCAACCTCTGCTTGAACCCTTCTGGTAACAGAGAACTCACTACGTTACAAAGCCTCATCCTCTAGAGTCAGGTACTGTTCATTTTTTCTCAAGCTTTTCTGTCCGCTAAGCCAAGGTCTGCTGCCCAGTAACACCTACTCTCCCTACCTCTGCCTTCTGGAATGACAGAATTCTTTCCTATTACAACTCTATTTTTCTCATGTATCCAACACTTATTGAGTACTTACTCTGTGTGAGAGCTGCTTTGATTAAGTTGTAGGTTCTTGGGGGCATAGCAGTGAACAAAACAAAGTTTTCTACCCTCCTAGAGCTTATATTCTAGTGTACACAAATACATATATTTATAATACAATGTTTGGTTGTGATACATACTATGAGGAAAAATAAAGCCCTTAATAAAGAGAGAAAGCCACATGAAAAGTGTGTTACAGGCACAAAGAATAGCCAACTACAAAAGCTGTAGGCAGGAACATACTTAGAACTTTGAAACAGTTGTAAGAAAGCTAGTGTTATTGAAGGTGCATGGGCAAGGGGAAATTGATGGAAGATGAAGCCAAAGAGGTAGCCAGGGGCTGGCAAACTATGGTAAGGCTGTGGAGTTTGATTAAGTGGGAGGGGAAGCTAGTAGATAGTTTGCAGCTGGGGTTGATATACCCTAATTTATGTCTTTAAAATATTACTCAAGCTGTTGTGTGAAGAGACTGTAGAGGGTGCAAAGTGGGAACAGGGACCAGTTTGAGTACTACTGCAGTAGTCTGAGCAAGAAACGATATGGTTTAGGTTACAGCAGCAAAGCAGAGTTGGTGAGGATAGACTAACAGGATTTGCAAATGAACTGGATGTGAGTGTGAGTCAGAAAGAGAAATCCGGGATGATTCTTCTGTTTTTGGCCTAAGCAACTGGATATCATTTGATGAGCCAAAACCAGAAAAAGCTGGTTTTGGAAAATAAAATTAAGAGTTGTGTTTTGTATACATTAATCTTAAAATGTCTATTAGATCTTTATCACATCAAAGATGATATTAAATATAAGCATAAAGAAAAATGTAAGCATAGGGATGGAACTTATGAAACCTGAAGCATAGGTCCTGATGAGACTACCTAGGAGAAGAGGTTGATAGAGAAATACGGAGGTACCAACACTGAATCTTCGGGAACTCTAGGCTTTAGAGGTTAAAGAAAAAAAAAAGTTTGAGAACCTCTGTAATTTCCTTATCTAAACTTATCTACTTGTATATCGTCACAGATAAATCTTGGGAGCACATTATTGGAAAACCAAACTAGCTTCTTCCCAGAATAGCTGATATCCTTCATGAAAATGAAATGTTGTTGCTAGGGCTTGAGAAACAAGGAAAAACAAGTAAGCCAGAAGCTCCAAAATGTTTTTTTTTATTTTCAATTGATTAATGAATCAAATGTTTCACTCTAACAGATGTCCCATCTCAATTCCATTACTAACGTTTTTAACTCAAAGGCATCATGAATACAAATGGCAGCAAAACTGAAGCTTTCACAATCAACTATTACATTTTCCATGATACCATTTCTCACAATTATGTTTTCTTACTGAGGAATTGCATTGATGAAAGCCCAGATAATTTTTATTTTTAAGGTTACTTAAATTGCAAGAGTTTTCTTAGAAAAAATTATAAGAAAATCTTCCAGCTAAAAGTTTTAAAACTTGTGAATTACAATAACAAGGAATTGTACCAACTAAGCTAATAGGAGAAGTAACTAGCTATGATTCCTCACTGAGTGGGTCACAGCACCTTCTGTGAATGAATACAGACTAATTTCAAAGTGCTGAAGTAAATATTTAGAAGAGAGCAATCCAATTTCATCAGCTAGGTCGGTGTGTTGCCAAACATTCAACTTTCATATTTAGCTTCCAAGGACTCATGCAAAGTACAATGCTTCTGAAGTCTGATCTAATGGAGCCATCAGGAAAAAGATCATTATCAATCTTGCTGGGGCCATCTGAAATGCTTATTATCAGTAACAATTTAGGGTAGAAATACATATGACAGATAAGCAAGTGAATACACTGCTTTGCTATTTGAAGCAGCGAGGAGATCCATGTAACAGGTAATATACCTAAAAGATTATCTTTTATTAGTGAATGCAAATGTGGAGTCTGAAATGGTTAGCTTCCTATTAAACAAATGAAAATATCAATTCTAGTCTGAATTTAAGCATGGAGAAAGATACTTCTGAAAATTATGCACCTTTTGTTCTAATGTCTCTCTTTTTAAAAAATCTTCTCCACACACTGCTTCAATTCATCAGAAAATCAAAGCATGAACACCTGGGAAAGAATAGAGTATCAAAGAAGACAGCTAGTTGAAATTTCTAAAGACAAGACTCATAAAATAAAGTCAGTTTCTTTTAGTTAGAGAATAGGTTTGATATACAGGAAAAACAATAGCTTTGATTCACTTTGGTTAATGTGAATCTGTTCAGACTGTTTATATAACATATTGACTTAAATGTAAAAAACTGTATTTCAAGACAGTTCTGATTAAAGGATATTCTTTAAAGGCTCTAATAATATATCATGGACAATGAAGGAGAGAGAAAAGTCTTCATCATTTATGTACTCCCTGTCTTTAGCACATTTCCTGGCTTATGGTGGTAGATACTAAATTAAATGTTTGTTGAATTATTTGAAATGAATCCACTTATTCTTCCTCTTCTGAGCCAAATGTCTTTCAAAATGTATATTAAATGGTAGTTTTTCCCATTTCTCCATGCATTTTTAACATTTTCAGTTTCATACATGTTGATGTTAATATTTCTATTAACTGGTTATAATTTCATGGTACATAGTATTTTTATTTGTATGGGCAAAAAGTAATCACTTTTTTCTTGCTGAGACTACTTCTCTTTGCATATCTTTGCTCACCTTTCCATTTTTAAACTTTGTGTTTTCTTTTTTTCCTTTTAACTTTTATTTTAAGTTCAGGAGTACAAGTGCAGGTTTGTTATCTATGTAAATTTGTGTCATGGCGGTTTGTGGTAGATTATTTCATCACCCAGGTATTAAGCATAGTGCCCATTAGTTATTTTTCCTGATCCTCTCCCTCCTTCCCGGCTCCACCTTCCACTAGGCCCCAGTGTGGTTGTTCCCCTCTATGGCTTCTCCACAACAAAATAAACTATCAACTGAGCAAACAGACAATCTACAGAATGAGAGAAAATTCTCTCAAAATATGCATCTAACAAAGGTCTAATATCCAACATTTATAAGGAAGTTAAACAAATTTACAAGAAAAAAAAACAACCCCATAAAAAAGTGGGCAAAGGACATGAACAGACGCTTCTCAAAATTAGACATACATGCAGCCAACAATCACATGAAAAAAAGCTCAACATCACTGATCATTAGAGAAATGTAAATCAAAACCACAATTAGATACCATCTAACACCAGTCGGAATGGCTATTATAAAAACTTTGTGTTTTTTTAAAAAAGTATTTGCTTATTAAAAATAATGTAATATATGTACATGGTAGAAAAATCTAAAAGGTATAAAGAACAAACAGAAAAACTAAATTTTCTTCCCACATAGCTTCCCTCTCTGGGGCAACTACTGTTGTCAGTTACTTTTCAAGATATTCCAGATATTATCCATATTCTATGTATATATAAGTCTGTTAGTCTGTTCTCACACTACCAATAAAGATATACCCAAGACTTGGCAATTTATAAAGGAGAAAAGTTTAATTGACTCTCAGTTCAGCATGGCTTGGAAGGCCTCAGGAAACTTACAATCATGGCAGAAGAGGAAGCAAACACATCCTTCTTCACATGATGTTAGGAATGAGAAGTGATGAGCCAAAGGGGAAAAACCCCTTATAAAACCATTAGATCTTGTAAGAACTCACTCAATATCACTGGAACAGCATGGAGGTAACTTCCCTCATGATTCAATTACCTCCCACCAGGCCCCTCCCATGACACGTGGGCATTATGGGAACTACAAGATGAGATTTGTTTTAAAGTTTTATTTGTTTTTTAAGACAAATCATATAACATTACGCATACCGCCCACAATGTTTAGGTAATTTAACAATATACACAGGATTTTGTTCCATTTCAGTACATTCATTTTATTCATTCAGTACTTTAAGTGCATTCATTCATTTAATATATTTATTTCAGCTCCTCATTTTTTTTTCTAGTTAATTTTTTTTTTATTATTATACTTTAAGATTTAGGGTACATGTGCACATTGTGCAGGTTAGTTACATATGTATACATGTGCCATGTTGGTGCGCTGCACCCACTAACTCGTCATCTACCATTAGGTGTATCTCCTAATGCTATCCCTCCCCCCGCCCCCCACCCCACAACAGTCCCCAGAGTGTGATATTCCCCTTCCTGTGTCCATGTGATCTCATTGTTCAATTCCCACCTATGAGTGAGAATATGTGGTGTTTGGTTTTTTGTTCTTGCGATAGTTTACTGAGAATGATGATTTCCAATTTCATCCATGTCCCTACAAAGGACAAGAACTCATCATTTTTCATGGCTGCATAGTATTCCATGGTGTATATGTGCCACATTTTCTTAATCCAGTCTATCATTGTTGGACATTTGGGTTGGTTCCAAGTCTTTGCTATTGTGAATAATGCCGCAATAAACATACGTGTGCATGTGTCTTTATAGCAGCATGATTTATAGTCCTTTGGGTATATACCCAGTAATGGGATGGCTGGGTCAAATGGTATTTCTAGTTCTAGATCCCTGAGGAATCGCCACACTGACTTCCACAGTGGTTGAACTAGTTTACAGTCCCACCAACAGTGTATAAGTGTTCCTATCTCTCCACATCCTCTCCAGCACCTGTTGTTTCCTGACTTTTTAATGATTGCCATTCTAACTGGTGTGAGATGGTATCTCATTGTGGTTTTGATTTGCATTTCTCTGATGGCCAGTGATGATGAGCATTTTTTCATGTGTTCTTTGGCTGCATAAATGTCTTCTTTTGAGAAGTGTCTGTTCATGTCCTTCGCCCACTTTTTGATAGGGTTGTTTGTTTTTTTCTTGTAAATTTGTTTGAGTTCATTGTAGATTCTGGATATTAGCCCTTTGTCAGATGAGTAGGTTGTGAAAATTTTCTCCCATTTTGTAGGTTGCCTGTTCACTCTGATGGTAGTTTCTTTTGCTGTGCAGAAGCTCTTTAGTTTAATTAGATTCCATTTGTCAATTTTGGCTTTTGTTGCCATTGCTTTTGGTGTTTTGGACATGAAGTCCTTGCCCATGCCTATGTCCTGAATGGTAATGCCTAGGTTTTCTTCTAGGATTTTTATGGTTTTAGGTCTAACGTTTAAGTCTTTAATCCATCTTGAATTGATTTTTGTATAATGTGTAAGGAAGGGATCCAGTTTCAGCTTTCTACATATGGCTAGCCAGTTTTCCCGGCACCATTTATTAAATAGGGAATCCTTTCCCCATTGCCTGTTTTTCTCAGGTTTGTCAAAGATCAGATAGTTGTAGATATGCGGCATTATTTCTGAGGGCTCTGTTCTGTTCCATTGATCCATATCTCTGTTTTGGTACCAGTACCATGCTGTTTTGGTTACTGTAGCCTTGTAGTATAGTTTGAAGTCAGGTAGTGTGATGCCTCCAGCTTTGTTCTTTTGGCTTAGGATTGCCTTGGTGATGCGGGCTCTTTTTTGGTTCCATATGAACTTTAAAGTAGTTTTTTCCAATTCTGTGAAGAAAGTCATTGGTAGCTTGATGGGGATGGCATTGAATCTGTAAATTACCTTGGGCAGTATGGCCATTTTCATGATATTGATTCTTCCTACGCATGAGCATGGAATGTTCTTCCATTTGTTTGTATCCTCTTTTATTTCCTTGAGCAGTGGTTTGTAGTTCTCCTTGAAGAGGTCCTTCATATCCCTTGTAAGTTGGATTCCTAGGTATTTTATTCTCTTTGAAGCAATTGTGAATGGGAGTTCACTCATGATTTGGCTCTCTGTTTGTCTGTTGTTGGTGTATAAGAATGCTTGTGATTTTTGTACATTGATTTTGTATCCTGAGACTTTGCTGAAGTTGCTTATCAGCTTAAGGAGATTTTGGGCTGTCAGCTCCTCATTTTTAAAAAGCTGAATGGCATTACAGTATACTATATGGATGCAATACAATTATTGTAGCTATTCTTTTGTCATTTAGATTTTTTTGGTTCGATTTTTGCCACTGGAAACACTGTTGCAATTAATATTGCCATTTCACTCATAGGCAGGTACATATATAGGATAAATTCCTAGAAGTAGAATCACTATGCCAAAGGGTTTAAGCAGTTATAAAGTTAAAGATATTTTGGTATTGCTCTCCAAGAATATGGAACAATTTATACTCCACCAGCCTCCTTCAGCTCTCAGAAAGAGCCTCTTTTACCACACCTCCTAACACAGTGCATCGTCACAATTTTTGAATGTGGGCAATTTGATAGTTAAAAAAATGGCATCTTGTACTTTTAACTTGCAATTATTTTATTATGAATAAGGCTGAACATTATATAAATGTATGATAAATTTACTGGGAATATTTTCTCCACTCTATGTCTTCCTGTTTTACTCTGTCAGTGACATCATTTAATGAATAGAATTTCCTAATTTTAATATAGGTCAATTTACCCAATTTCCTTTATAGTTGTACGCTTTCATTTTTAAAATAAACATTTATATTTAAATATAGAAATGTTTTTTGTATGTTGATATGGTTTGGCTATGTCCCCACCCAAATTCCATCTTGAAATGTAATTCCCACAATTCCCATGTGTTATGGGAGGAAACTGGTGGGCGGTGATTGAATTATGGGGATGGGTCTTTCCTGTGATGTTCTTGTGATAGTGAATGAGTCTCATGAGATCTGATGGTTTTAAAACTGGGAGTTTCCCTGTACAAGCTCTCTTCTCTTGTGTGCCACCATGTGAGATGTGCCTTTCACCTTCCACCATGATTGTGAGGCCTCCCCAGCCACGTGAAACTGTAAGTTCAATAAACAATTTCTTTTGTAAAATGCCCAGTCTCAGGTATCTCTTTATCAGCAGCATGAAAACAGACTTGTACAGATGTAGGTTGTGAAAAAGGGACACAACTGTTTTTTAAAGATAGATGTCCAGTTTTCCCAATATAACTTATTGAACAATCCATTTTTTCCCACTTAATCAAATTGCCAACTATATTATAAACTAAATTCCTTTATGTGTCTTGTCTATTTTCAGAATCTATAGTCTTTAACTTTGATATATCTTAATTTTTATTTTAGTTATTAAAATTTTGTATGATGTCTTAATAAATGGTAAGCCTGGATCTCTCTCATTATTGTTCTTTTTATAAATTTTCCTTGCTATTATTGCTCATTAATTTTTCATTTAAATTTAAAAATCAGATTTTCTTGCATAAAATTTTTGTTATTTTTATTTAAAATTTTTAGTATAAAAGTAAAAATTGAAATTTTTTGATGTTGCTCTTCTTTTCCAATGGCACATTATGGTATTCCTTTATTATATGTCTCTTGGTAGCATTTGAAAGTTACCTTTATATAGATCCCAAATGTTTATCAAGTTTATTCTCTTCTTTTTAAGTTCCAGGGTACATGTGCAGGGTGTGCAGGTTTGTTACATAGGTAAATGTGTGCCATGGAATACTATGCAACCATAAAAAGGAATGAGATCATGTCCTTTAGAGGGGCATGGATGGAATTGGAGCCATTATCCTCAGCAAACTAAAGCAGGATCAGAAAACCAAACACCACATGTTCTCACTTATAAGTGGGAGCTGAACAATGAGAACACATGGACACATGGGGAAAAACAACACATACTGGGGCCTGTAGGGGGTGAGGTGCAGGGAGGGAGAGCAACAGGAAAAAGAGCTAATGCATTCTGGGCTTTTAAAAGTGTATTCTTAAGATATTTTGGGGTATTGTAAATGATATACTTTCTGTCATTATATTTTTTAGTTGACTACTGCTTATATATGGACATATATGTATATGCTATTGATTTCTATATTCTGATTTTAAACTTGGCCATCTTATTTATTGCCTAAATAAATTAATTAAAAATTTATTGCTTAAATTTATTTAAGCAATTTATTAATTAATTATAAATTGAGCAATTTATTAATTAAATTTATTGCTTAAATAAATTAAATAAATAAATTTAAAAAATTTATTGCTTAAAATAATTTTTAAATTATTTCCTTTGGTTTATCATCATAAATATATTTTTTCTTCTTTTCAATTCATCATCAGATTTACATCTAAAATGATACAAATAACAGTTTTGATGAAGGGCATATTTTAGGAAAGAGTGATATGTTTTTTGGATTTTTAATTTAATATTTTATTTTAGGTTCTGAGGTACGTGTGCAGGTTTGTTATATACGTAAACTCGGGTCACAAGGGTTTGTTGTACAGATTATTTCTTCACCCAGGTGCTAAGCCTGGTACTCAACAGTTATCTTTTCTCACTCTCTTCCTCCCCAAACCCTCCACTCTCAAGTAGGCCCCAGTGTATGTTGTTTCTCTGAAAAAGTGATATATTTTTTGAATGCTTGACTAAATCAATACTCCTTGGGCCACTAGCTCATTTTCTTGAAGCTCTATAGCTCCTGTTTGGTATAGCTTTAAAGTTTTTCTCTCTTCTTTTTTTAATTTTTGTGAAGTCTGTGCTCATCATAATTATCTCAAGCTTTGCTCTTTGTCGCTATTTTCAGTGACATCTATTTTTTCTTCCTATTTGTAACATATTCATAAGTTCTGTAATGGTATTATTTAGGCCCTTTATTGGGTTCCCTGGGCTTCAATCTTTCTTTTCACCCCATTTTCTACCTTTATTTTTTGTATTTCAGCACTTTTTAATTGAATTTATTTTAAGTTTTCCTACAGCATAAATCATGAGCAATTAATTCCCTTCTGCCCCTTGAACTATAGGTTAAACTCTTTGTCTCCTTCCTTTGCTCCCTCCCTCTCTTCCTTATTTTCTTCTTCTTTTTTTTAGAGGTTATGAAGACCAAGATCACACAGGGTTAATAGCATGAGCTCTGGAGCCAGACACCAGTGATTTGTGTCCTGGCTCTGTCATCATTTGTATGATTTTAGGCAAGTTATTAAACCTCCAAACTGTACATAAAATAACAATACCTATAGGGTTTCTTAAAAGGACTAAAATATGTATGCATAAAACATTAGAACACCACCTAATACATACCAGGTGCTTAATAGATTAGATTACAATAATACGCTTCTTTCTGGTTTTGATTGCGGCATTCTTACAGAGTTACTAAATTCTTTCATCCTGCTCATGATTGGGCAGCTCAATTGGACATTCTATTTGCTCTGATATAACGCATGTGACTGGTTTACCTTTGTCCTTTGTGCCTAGAATTATTTTGTTTTCCCACGCCAAGTTACAGTGGGAGTGGAGGTCTGGCTATTTTGTGTTCTCATCACATTTTGTGCCTGAGCAATAGCTGGCAAGGGTGTTGGAAGAGATCTCGGTAGAGGCTACAGGCAAGTGTGTCATTTTTCTTGTAAGACCCCAATTCTGTTAGCTTTTGAGATTTTGTTAAATGTCCTACACCAAGTTGCATCTAATTGGAGAAATTTCTCTAATTTGGAGTGTGGCTAGAGAACATTTATTTCCACCAGAGAATATCAGCATAGCTACTCACTTTACCCCCTTTAGACTTTCTCAATCACAAGTTTCAACTACTCTTTGAAAAAGATAAGCCTACTAGCTCAGTGTGCTCTTCTCTGGATTTAATGGTATCAGTGAGAAGTCTTAGGATTTTGTCAATCACCCGTACAATCTCAGGAGGGAAATGGGAGTCAGGTAGCATCTGAGCCTCTCTAAGCCTTTCTGCTACAATTTCCTTCTTTTAGTCACAGGTTTTTAAGTGTATTGCATTAAGTTGTGCTCCACTGCTTCTTTTGTCACTGTAGGCAAAATTTTCTAATGGTTTTGGTTGCTAATTGTCCCTAAGTTTTACTCATTTTGTGAGTTACTGAAGGAGAAAATAACCTGTTCTCATAATCTGGAAAACAGTTCTTTAGTAGTATGCACATTGTGTTTCATAAAAAACTTTCCCTAAGGACATTATTTTTATGTTTATCTTTCCATTATTTTTATAACCAGCCCTTCCTTATACCTGTGGTATTCACTTTTATATCTATATGTGCTGGGTAACATATGCACTTGCCAAATTCCATCTTATTTCTGATAATCCAATTTGTTTACCTTCAGGTTACCTATAATTGATAGATGAGGAAAGGGTGGTGAATATAAGGAATTGCTGAGTCACTACTGAGATTGATATCAATAGGTCCAGATGCTAGGTGCAGTCCAACAATATTACATTCAATAGAGATAAAACAAGTGTATAAGTCTACAAATACAAAATTATTCTAAAATAAAATGTAATAGATCTGATAGCCAAAACTTCATATGAAATAATATTCAATTGTCTTATTCTTGACATGAACCAACAAAAAGATTCTTAAAAACAAAGCTAACACAATTTTATACTACAATAACAGAAGTAGAGTATGGAGCTCACGTGCACAAAATTCACTCACTATGGTCTGTGCTTACAAGCACACAAAGGGATCTGTATATCCAATTCTGTGTATTGTTACTTAGGTGGGATACTGCCAAAATTTATAGAAATTTGTAGAGAAAATTTATAGAAATTTGTAGAGAAAATTTCTCTACAGCAAAATAAAGGGATTAAAAATGATGATGAATCAAGAATGGTTAATGAACTGGGGGTCTTAATCTAAAGGAAAGAGTCCTGAAAGGAGACTTGACAGTGGCCTACAAATGTCTGAAGGGCTCTCTTGTGAAGAGTTGTCCGCTGTAGCCGTAGAAAGCAAAAACAAGATTAATGGAAAATTTTAGAGGAATTCTACTTTCAGCTCAATTATAGAAAAAAAAATCCAGTGATGGGCACAGTCTCCCAAGTGAACAGCTACCATTAGTATGGGAAAACTTTCTCTCCAGAGTATTAAAGCATAAATTGAAGACTTGGTCACGGTTTCCTAGAAAAAGCCTGGGCATATATTTATAGTACTGTCACATTTTACACACTATACTGTGACCACTATTTCCTTTGAGGGCACACCATGTTTCTATACCCAATTTTTAGTCTTGTCTTCAGAGCATGTTCAATTAATGCTTTGTTAAATATTAGTTTGGTGCAAAAGTAATTGTGTGCTTTTTGCTATTAAACGTAATGAGTGAAAATATATGAGTGAATCTGTGTATTGAGAGAGATCAGAATATTTGACATCTTAGAATTCTTGAACATCAAAATTATTATAATTAAAAAAACTGCTACCACATTCAGTTGATTCAAATAAATGGAACTATGAAGAATAAAATTTTCATTTTGACTCTACTACTACTAAAAACTCAATGACTATTTTTAGGTCCCTGGGAAGTAACTATTGAACTGTTGCTTCATGTGACTAATGGCTTATACTGAACAAATCATATGTATATACCTTCATTCACCACGATAAGGCACTGACTCTTCCAGAAATGTACCTAGTTTGTTTCCTGTGTCATTTTTACTCTTCTTTTTTCTTAACTACTCTTTCTTCAGCCTTGACTAATAATTCTCAATCTTGCCTAATATCAACCTTTATTTTGCAATTTTTCAATTTTCAGTGAACTCAGTGGGATCTCATAACTAGATAACCCATAGAATTTTCCATGTTTAAAAATGCATAAGCTGGTGTTCTTTACAGATATTAAAATAGATTTCATTTTATCTTTCCTAGTAAGTTTTCTATATGCGATAAAGTACCCAAAGTATCTATCTACAATTGAGTTATGTTCAGAGACAAAGTCTATGTAGTACAGGCTTTTGACTGACAGCTTAGTGGCATTAGGAGTCATGGTCCATGAATAGAAAGTACTGCAAGTTTTAATGTATTGGATCTCAGTGTTCCATAGAAGGCGAAAAATTTAACGGACATTGGTCCATGAGTTGAGGAACCAAAATGGATTTAGTCAGGGATCATGAAGAATTTAGCATGAAGTCAGTATCAGTCAGCAGAGGAGGACTGCATTATTTCAGTTTAGGTAAATGCCAGTCTTCTAAGAAGATACTTGGGAAAAAAGCCAAAACTACTTTATTTATTCTCATTCCTTTAATTTAGCATTACAACTTCCAGACCTAATATGTTTTTGAAATAAAATATTTATTGAGTGAATAGATGATTGTTTTCTGTGCATATTTCCTTTTAAAAAAGTAAACAAAAAGAAGAACACTTAAAATTTAATTAGATGCCGATACATACCCAATATCTCTAATGCTTATTTAAGTTAAGCAAGGATTTCAACTTAGGTCCTAGCTCCAAATCCCAGTCTTTTCATCAAATTGCTTTGCTGCTGGCCATAAATTTAAAAAATTTATAGTTGTATTTACCACAGCAGCATTTTTTTTAAAGCTTACAAACAATTCCATGTAGGTAAATATTTACCTTGAGTAACTATTCACAGCTTTTCACAGGGCTTGTTGTGTGAATGATAAAACTTTAAATGTTGAAAAACCAAAAGTACATTTAGTACAGTGCAATTATTTAAATCTGAAATTTTCATTGTAAAAATAATTTTGACTTCAAAAATTTGTTCAAGGAGCCATTGATCATATATTCTGTTAAAAAATTATAGATCAGCTTTAAACAGCAAATAAGAAAACTGTGAAAAGAAACAGTGGTCATGTTATCCCCAAAGGGCACATGACAGGAGTGGCATCATTCATTAATTTCCAAAAAGATTTAGCAAACATAATCATGTGATTAATTCTCTCATAATGTTGTATTATACAGAACAGTGGGAATTACAGTGGCAATATTTGTAGTTTGTTCTTTCATGATAAATGATTTGCTACACAATCTTAGGAGAGAGCTTGTTTACAGACATCATTATGAATATTGACCAAATATTAGCTTAGAGAAAGAGCCTCCCAATTCACAAGCATATGTCTTATATCCAGAAATAATCAGAAATTAACAACGTGCATGCACAAGAAATTCTACAGGAAAAGTACCTGGGAACAAGGTGAATTTATCAAATATGGTGTCCTTCATTTAATAATAATAATAATAATAATAAAAGATTTGCTCTCTGGTAGACAGGAGAGCGGTAATTTAGCTACAATTTATTTCTAAGAAGACTGTTTCCCTGGTTTAAGACAAATAGTTCACCACTTTCTTTCTTATTCCATATATTTTATTCCAATAGAAGGTTGCACTATATATATACTCAAGTAAATTTCCTTGTGTACCCCAGGGAACCATTGTGGTAATTCAAAAGGATTTAAAAAATTAGCACTAAAAGGAAAATGTAGTGTTTTGAGAACTCATGCCAAATAGTTAAATTTGCTATTCGTGCTTATTGAACAAATCATTGTTCCAGCATGGCCTTTCACCTAAAACAGGTCCACCTACCACTAGGAACTTGATCCCAGGACATGAGCCTGAATAAAAAGTAAACTGTTTCCTGTATTCAGAGACATTTTTGCACATGCATTAGAAAATGAATAAACATAGTAATTTACTCCATGGCAAGAAATAAGAAAATGCATGAGGTCCCCTGATACAGTAAACGGTTGGGTGCCAGTAATCAAACCAGTTGTACAAACTTTGTTTTTAGTTTCTACCAGTGGTCTGGTAAAATGCTTGGTCATGAACTGCTGAATTTCAGATAACTAATACCTTTGCTAACCTAAACATCTCCAAGTTATTATGGTTACAAGATAGAAAATCCAACTTGTTAAAGAAAAAAAAACACACACACACACTATTGACAAAGCTATCCATGGACAGATCAGGGAAAAAAGAAGAATTTTGGTGCAGACAGTCTCGGTACTAAGTGTTAAGAACAGTGCATTTAATTTTCAATTAAAATTTTAATTCATTCAGTGTTCATTCTCAATAAGACAGCTCTAGGCCTATCAATTAGCCAAATGACTAATGTCAGGAAATTTTCAGATGACTTCCTCACATCAAGACTGGATAGTTCACTTTGGCCATATGGGCATCAGAAAAAAAAACAAAAACCAGGAGCAGATGGAGGAGTAAGAACAGATCTGATAAAGGAAATGAGTATGATAAATAGAAAAGCTGGTAAAATTTATTTAAGTTAGATATTTAATAAATTCTCATCTATAATATCAGATGCAAGTCAAGTTGATATTTAGATAAGCTGGACATGAAATTTGTCACATCAGTTATACAATAAAGTAAAAATCAAATATCTAGAAATTGTTTTTTGATTAAGTGGACTGGTAAGCAATGTGCCAGATGCCTCCAATTTCTTGTACATACAATTTCTGTAAGGAGTGAAAAAAGGTAAGGTGCCAAAACATGGGCTTCACTCATACGGACTCTTCGCAGTTGAAAAACTGTCAGCTTCCATCTGAGCCATTCCTTTTCCCCTTGCCACATTGCTTTGATGGTTATGATCTACCTTGCACTCCCCACTCATCTCTGCCCCAATTCTTCCCATTTACTACCCAGAACTGGGTCACAGACTGGAGCTTGTACTTTCCTTTTAAGTATCACTTAATGCTTCAAATTTAGCATTGGCCAGGATAGACATCATTACATTAATGACTTAGGGTTAGAATTAGCGGTTTCTTTATCTCCTTAATCTGGGTTGTTGATATTCATCCTTTTCATGCCCTATGGGTTACTTGGCCTGATAATAAAAGAATGAACAGAAAAGGAAGAAATAAAGCACATCAGAAGTTGTTAGAAATGAAAGATTGCTTCTGATTGCGTCAATTAGTGATAGCTTTATGGAGAAGTTAACACTGAACTGGCTCTTGGGGGATGGATATGATGTCAGCAGATAGTGGTCACAATAGTAAGAGAAGACATTCAAAGTTGGGAATGAAATGAACAAAGGCTTAGAGGAAGGAAAATATGGCATATGTTTAAGAAATGGTACACAGGGCAGCTCACCTGCATCAGGAGAGATGTGAATGGGACAATGAAGAAGAGAAGACTGAAACCAAGTTTTGTGGCTGGAGGAGAAAGAGATCACAGAGTGCCTAAAATGCTACTTACTGGCAATGAAAAACTACTGGAGACTTTTTTTTTTTTTTTTTTACCAGGGGAGAATCATGAACAGTTTTGAATTTTTGGAAGATTGGTATAGAAGATATGTGTTGGTATGGAAGGGAGGGACCAGCAATGAAGCCTATTATAGTACGCCAGATAAGATATCAAGAATGTCGACAGGCTGCATAAATGTCTTCTTTTGAGAAGTGTCTGTTCATATCCATCGCCCACTTGTTGATGGGGTTGTTTTTTTCTTGTAAATTTGTTGGAGTTCATTGTAGATTCTGGATATTAGCCTTTTGTCAGATGAGTAGATTGCAAAATTTTTCTCCCATTCTGTAGGTTGCCTGTTCACTCTGATGGTAGTTTCTTTCGCTGTGCAGAAGCTCTTTAGTTTAATGAGATCCCATTTGTCAATTTTGACTTTTGTTGCCATTGCTTTTGGTGGTTTAGACATGAAGTCCTTGCCCATGCCTATGTCCTGAATGGTATTGCCTAGGTTTTCTTCTAGGTTTGTATGGTTTTAGGTCTAACATTTAAGTCTTTAATCCATCTTGAATTAATTTTTGTGTAAGGTGTAAGGAAGGGATCCAGTTTCAGCTTTCTACATATGGCTAGCCAGTTTTCCCAGCACCATTTATTAAATAGGGAATAGTTTCCCCATTTCTTGTTTTTGTCAGGTTTGTCAAAGATCAGATGGTTGTAGATATGTGGCATTATTTCTGAGGGCTCTGTTCTGTTGCATTGGTCTACATCTCTGTTTTGGTACCAGTACCATGCTGTTTTGGTTACTGTAGCCTTGTAATATAGTTTGAAGCCAGGTAGCAAGATGCCTCCAGCTTTGTTCTTTTGGCTTAGGATTGAGAAGACATTTATGCAGCCAAAAGACACATGAAAAAATGCTCATCATCGCTGGCCATCAGAGAAATGCAAATCAAAATCACAGTGAGATACCATCTCACACCACTTAGAATGGCGATCATTAAAAAGACAGGAAATAACGGGTGCTGGAGAGGATGTGGAGAAATAGGAACACTTTTACACTGTTGGTGGGAGTGTAAACTAGTTCAACCATTGTGGAAGTCAGTGTGGTGATTCCTCAGGGATCTAGAACTAGAAATACCATTTGACCCAGAAATCCCATTACTGGGTATATACCCAAAGGATTATAAATCGTGTTGCTAGAAAGACACATGCACACGTATGTTTATTGTGGCACTATTCACAATAGCAAAGACTTGGAACCAACCCAAATGTCCAACAATGATAGACTGGATTAAGAAAATATGGCACACATACACCATGGAATACTATGCAGCCATCAAAAATGATGAGTTCATGTCCTTTGTAGGGACATGGATGAAGCTGGAAACCATCATTCTCAGCAAACTATCGCAAGGACAAAATACCAAACACTGCATGTTCTCACTCATAGGTGGGAACTGAACAATGAGAACACATGGATACAGGAAGGGGAACATCATACACCGGGGCCTGTTGTGGGGTGGGGGAGGGGGGAGGGATAGCATTAGGAGATATACCTAATGTTAAATGACGAGTTACTGGGTGCAGCACACCAACATGGCACATGTATACATATGTAACTAACCTGCACGTTGTGCACATGTACCCTAAAACTTAAAGTATAATATAAAAAAAAAGAAAAAAAAAGAAGACAGGAACACCATAATAATGGCAGTAGAGATTTTAAAGAGAGGATTAATATTTTGTAAGTGGCTTCCAAAAGGTATATGCCTGATTTATTAAAGCAGCAAAGAAGAGAGAACCAAAAGGAAAAAAAGGACGTCCAAGGCCTTTTACTGTGGGTGACTAAGACAATCGTTTGAATAAATGGAGAGGTCAAAAGCAGGAGTAGGTCATATGGGTGAGGGGCGAGTGATGGAACCTGGTGCTAAGGAGATATCATAAGGCTAAGTTTTAATATACTTGGAGCTATTTCTGCACATGGCATACCCTGACACAGATGCCCAAACTGGGAAAACCAAAGAAAAATCCCAAACATATATGTGCATTTTCATAAAGCATAGAGTTATATGACACATCATAACTCAAACCTGTTAGAAACAAATTTATATAGAGCTAAAGAAAAAATACAGCTGTACATAACATATATGTGCATATACACATAACATAAATATATTTACATATTATATATATGCATACATGCATGCATAAGCCAAATATATATTGGTTCTATCTGGAATCGCTAAATATTAAAAGCTTTTAATAAATAGTCAATTCATTAATTCAACAAATATTCTAGTGCTTTTAAAGGACCTCCCCCAAATTTTTTTAATCTGTCCATCTGACAAAGGTCTAACATCCAGAATCTACAAAGAACTTAAACAAATTTACAAGAAAAAAAACAACCCCATTAAAAAGTGGGCAAAGGACATGAACAGAACCTTCTCAAAAGAAGACAGACATGCAGCCAACAAACATATGAAAAAAAGCTCAACGTCACTGATCATCAGAGAAATGCAAATTAAAACCACAATGAGATACCATCTCACACCAGCTAGAATGGCTATTATTAAAAAGTCAAAAAAAAAAAAAAAAAAACAGATGCAGGCAAGGTTGTGGAGAAAATGGAATGCTTTTACACTGTTGGTGGGAGTGTAAATGAGTTTAACCATTGTGGAAGACAGTGTGGAAATGGAATGCTTTTACATTGTTGGTAGGAACATAAATTAGTTTAGCCACTGTGGAAGATAGTCCTCAAAGACCTAAAGGCAGATGTACCATTTGACTCAGCAATCCCACCACAGGGTATATACCCAAAGAAATATAAATCATTCTATTATAAAGATACATGCAGGTGTCTGTTCATTGCAGCACTATTCACAATAGCAAAGACATGGAATGAACCTAAATGCCCATCAATGACAGACTGGATAAATAAATGTGGTATATATACACCATGGAATACTATGCAGCCATAAAAAAGGAAGGAGATCATGTCCTTTGCAGAGACATAGATGGAATTGGAAGCCATTATCATCAGCAAACTAATGCAGGAACAGAAAGCCAGATACAGCATGTTCTCACTTACAAGTGGCAGCTGAGCAATGAGAATACACGGACACATGGAAGGAAACAACACACACTGGGGCCTGTTGGAGGGGAAGCAGGAGGAAGGGAGAGCATCAGGTACTAGGAAGAATAGCTGTTGGATGCTGGGCTTAATACCTAGGTGATGGGATGATCTGTGTAGCCAACCACCATGGCACACGTTTACCTATGTAACAAACCTGCACATCCTGCACATATACCTCTGAACTTAAATTAAAAGTTGAAGGAAAAAAAAGAACCTCTCATAGTATTTTATATTAAATATTATATTAAATACAATCTAATCCTTTAGTCCCTTAGTATTAATGAGTTCTTTGCTACTTTTCTTTATTTCCCCTTCTGCCAAATATGGTAATAAGAGTAAAAAGATTATAAGAATTTATTAAGAATTTACAATTCTTATCCTGAAAATAACTCTATGAATTACATATTTAGATATAGCCATTTTGCAGATGCGGAAAGTGAGTCATAAAGTGGTTCATATCTTTGTTCTAGGCTCATGGCTGCTTGAAGATATCCAGGAACTTCTTCATTACATATGTGTCTTCTTTAATGGCTGAATTATGAACATTATAAGTGTTCATTGGTATAGTAACTTCTACAGTTTGTGCATTTCATAGTTACCATTTTTCCTGTACAAAACATAAACTCACAATCTTTACTACATTCTCAGTTTACACTGATACAGAGCTCTGTAATGGCAAAAAGTATGTATCTATAGAGATATGAGAATTTAAAAACATTTTAAAAAATAATGGAGGAGAATTGCTAAAAATTGTCACTACCTAGATTTAATCACTCTTTCAGTTTTTATTAATGAGTAAGGTGGCTAAAATAAAGCTACAAGCAAGACCACCTTTGGATATCAATTAATAAAACTGTAGCTTTCACATTTTTGGTTTTAGAACTTAGCCTTAAACCACTTATATGATTCCTAAGCAACAACAGCATCTTAAAAGAAGTCATCTAATTTCTCCTGTAGCTTTAGGCTTCTTTGGCCCAGGCCATAGAAACAAACAGTTCTGTACTTGTTTAATTATATATTAATAGCTCCTTGGAAGTTATGATTTAATGTGTTCTTGCGAAAGTCACTAGGAAGCCTTTTACAGTAAATCTATTTCCTGGAAACCCACATACACACTTCAGATTTCCTTCCTTTGCTTGATTTTTGGTTGCTTGGCAAGCCTAAATGGATTTGCCTAATACTTTCTTCCTACATATAATTACCTATTTTCTTCTCAATTGATTGCCCACATGCAGACACCCCAGGTGCTTACAATGACCAAATCTATAACTGTGATGTTAGCAAGGTTTCTACCTATTTTGAGAAAAGACATTCTAAGTCAGAATGAGTATTACCCAAATATCCATTACTGAAATATATGGCTATAAATCACCAATGAGATGATTGATTCTATCTGAGTGTTGGGAAGATTAGCTCTGCTATAAAGACAAAATCACATACATCAAAGGTTATCTCAAATTAGTAATTTTTGCAATAGACCAAATCAATACAGAGTACGAAATTGAAAAACTGTAAATTTAATTTGCCACAAATCACTGTTTCACAGAATCTCTTAATGTTTTACCTACAGCATACAAAGGGATAAATCTGTTTATCCTCTATTCTGTGCAAAAACAAACACAATCCCCAAACTGAAAACATTCTTGGCATTAATAATCTATAAAATCTATAAAATAGATTTATTAAATGCATTAACTCTTTAAAATAGCTGAAGTAGCCATATTCATATTTTTTATATTAAGATTAATAAAAAGGAAAAAAGTCAATTTAAAAATATTTTCCCAAACCCAGATATTTCACAAAATATAGTGAAAAATCAATATGTTAATTTGGCAGGGTTTTTAGACAGACCTTCTCCAGTTCTGCTTCCTTGAGATTTCCTTTTCAGACACATCAGAGGTTCCCTCTGTCCTCAGAGATTCCTTCATAATCTTCCCTACCTCACAAATGGCACCCCAACTAAAAAACTGAACCTCATCCTTGAAACACCACCATATATTTTACCAATAAATGGCATCAAGATAGCTCAAATCCATTTACTTTTTTCTCCTTCCTCCAAGTAACCCCTAACTGATCTCTGCTCTCACTTCTGCCCTCTTCAATTCATTCGCTTCATAGCAGCCAGAATGACCTTCTAAAAATTACATATTTTATCATGTGTCACTCATGCTTAAAATATCACAATAATTTCCCATTGCATTTCAATATAAACACAAATCTTCAAATATGGTGAACAAAGCTAAGCATGATCTGGCCCTTGCTCATCTCAGCCATATCATTTCATGTAATTAATTTTCATATTATTAGACTCCTAGAAGTTATCAAGATCTTTTCCTACACTATAGCCATCACACTCACATGCCTCTACTTCTATCTGGGATGCTCTCGAGACCCCATTCTTTACCTGGCTAAATGTCTGTTTTAATTTATATTTCAAAGCTTAGCTTAAGTGACACTTGCTTACAGAAGTCTCCTTTGACCCACTATTTAATTGGCACCCCCTTAACAATCTGTTACATTTATTCCTAGTACTTTTCCCAATTTATATTATAGGTGTTTTCCCCACCAGGCTATCATCTCCTTGAGAGCAAGAACTATCTGAATTTTCTTTGTGAATCTCTATTGTCTGGATCTGTGCCAGGTACATACTAAACAATACGTATTTGTTGAATCATTGAAGGACTACATTAATGTATATCTAGATAACTCTGTATTATATATACATAATTCAATCCAGTTAGCTCAGTTGGCTACATTTTTGATGCTTACTATATTGTACCCATGTGCTCAAGGAAGGTCAGATAAACTATGCACATGTTAAGTTTTTTTTTTCTTTTAAAGTTCTGGAATACATGTACAGAATGTGCAGGTTTGTTACATAGATATACATGTACCATGGTGGTTTGCTGCACCTATCAACCCATCATCTAGGTTTTAAGCCCCGTGTGCATTAGTTATTTGTCCTAATGCTATCCCTCCCCTTCCCCACAACCCCGGAACAGGCCCTGGTGTGTAAAGTTCCCCTCCCTGTGTCCATGTGTTCTCATTGTTCAACTCCCACGACTGAGACCATGTGGTGTTTGGTTTTCTGTTACTGCATTAGTTTGCTGAAAATTTTAAATCCTCTGGACCATTTTGTCTCTCCTAGTTATGACGAATCACATCTTCCACTTTGTTCCAGTGAAATCATGGCTCAGGCTCCATTATAGAGCTGAGTTCATTTTCTGTTGCATTAAAGGTAGTTGACTTCAAGTGCATCTCTCCCATTTAAACTTTCTGAGGACAGAGACGACATCTCATTTATCTTCACTCCAGGGTGCATAAGAGTTTCCACTGTATGAGTTAAACATTGGTAGGAATTCCCTTTACACATATTGTAATTCAAAAATGAAGAATTATAAGGTGCCAAGTGAAGTTAAGACCACGAGGTATCATCAGAGTTAGTGTAAAATCCAGTTTAAGTATTCAACTTACTCTGATTCAGCACTAGCTGTGTTTATGGTACTAGGAGAGGGATGAGGAATTTAAACAATGACTAAAATAGTTTTTCTGTAAATCAGTAAGCTTTATATAGAGAAACAAATCTCCATCAGTGACCTCTGGACAGCGACAGTAGAAAGAAGTATGACTGACTCAGCATAACCGCAACAGGCCCAATAGTCTCACCTCTCTCTACAGGAATTTCGCAAGAGCCTGCTTTTTAGGGATGCGAAGTTATTTCCAACAGTTATCTGGTTCTCCTCATCTCAGTAGACCAAGCTCACTTGTAACCCCATCTCCCATACACTGTATACTTTAACTGGGTTATTGCCTAGGTATACCAAGTTGATTAATACTCACTTCTCCCCATTTCCCCATTCCAGGTCCCACAGCAATTACTGCCCCACTCCGGGCTCAAGGAAGAAAGCAGTTCAGCATGAAGTAAACCAGCTGGAGCCCCAGTGTCAAAAATAAAGATCTAAAATATGTGTTCTTGGTAAAATTAAGTTTTAGTCATCTATAGCCTTTAAGTGCTCTGGATGACCTCCAGCTGCTCAGCTAGAAGAAGGTCTATAAATGCATGATGTTACTTTCTTTACTGAGTGGTTAAAATTAGTATTTGTCTTAGGGCTATGCTGAATAATTACAGTTAATTGAATTACAGAAATAGCTACATATAATATATATTTTTAATAGAAATAATGGGTATGGCCATTTTGTTTGGCTTTAAAGCTCCTTGCAATATGATTTTAGTAAATGTGAGGGTTGAAAGTCTTTCATACCACTAGAGACTGTGGCATGAAAATGCTTCACTTTTTTTTCTTTTTACCCAGATTTAGTTCTATGATTTTAACACATTTGAATTTGACCCATGAGGAATCTCTGAATATTTTCATTACATTACCAAACAATTGTTACAAAGTTTAAAACCATATGTAGTAAATAATAGTACAGATAACATGCATATGTAGCTAATTTTGTTGGTCGGTCAGTTTGTGCCAGGCCTTATTCTAAATACTTTTTGTGAATCAACTCATCTAATCCTCACAACATCTCTAGGAGCAAGTACTATTCTTATTTGCACTTTGTAGATGAGAAAATATGGCCCAGAGAGGTTAAGCAATTTGCTCAAGGCCAAACAGCTAGTGAGCTGCAGAGCCAAGGTACTAATCTAGAAACTCTGGGCTGTAGAGTCTGCATCTTAACCACCAGGCTCTATTGCTTACCATGTGCCAGCTATTGGCTAAATGCTTAATCCTCATAAACCCTATGGATTGATGCTACCATTATGATCCCCATTTAATAATGAGGGAGCAGGCCCAACTAAGATGACTCTGCTAGCAAGTGGTTGAACCAGGCTTTTAAACTCAGTCCTGAGATCTTAAATACCACCCACTACTGCCTCCTAGAAGAGATGGTAGGCTTATTTTTTCAATCTCATATAGCATTAGAGATTAAATAGATTTTAAAGAAATGAGAAATGATTTACTCAAAGAGTACAGTGATTATTTGGTCAAAATCATCTAAAATATTTAAATAATGTTAAGCTAATTATTAGATTTTTTCCAAAACATTAAATACTATTAAGTTACTACTTAATGTCATCATTCTGAAGAACAGAGTTCAAAGCATTATTCTTAAAAATTAGTATGGGCCAGGTACAGTGGCTCTCACCTGTAATCCCAACACTTTGGGAGGCCAAAGCAGGAGGATTACTTATGACCAGGAGTTCAAGACCAGCCTGGGCAACAAAGCAAGGGTCTGTCTCTACCAAAAAACAAATACAATAATAATAATAATAATAATAATAATAATAATAACCACATGCACTAGTGCATGCCTGTAGTCCCAGCTATTTGAGAGGCTGAGATGGGAGGATCACTTGAGCCCAGGAGCTTGAGGCTTCAATGAGTCATGATCCTGCCACTGCACTCTAGCCTGGGCAACAGAGTGAGACCCTGCCTTAAAACAAAACAAAACAAAACAAAAAACAAACAAACAAAAATTAGGGTGGTAATTCATCTGTTTCTGCAACTCCTCAGAGTAACTATAATAATCTCAAGAGATACGAGAACATTTCAAGAACATAAATTTTAACTTATTTTGGCTACTGCAAGCATAAAATGTCATGTAATATTGGGTACAACACATAAGAATATAACCAAACTTTAAACATATCACAACATTATAAAAATATAATTGTTATATTAGTACAGATTATTTTAATTATTATTTATATTACTATTTTGCCAAATGAGAGGATTTACCATTTGTATCTGAAAAATTAGTATTAATATGCTAGCTAAGTTATCATGACCCAGTAAGATTAAAAATTTATAGAAAAACATAGATGACTGTTAATATTTTTGTTTTTAAGGATGTTTCTACATAAATCTACTCTTTCCTTCTTATCTGAGTTCATATTTAGAGTACTGGTTTCCTTTACCCTTTGTAACCACTACTGTAGGATTTTAAATCTCTTGGTAAGCACTGAATGTCAGAGGTTAAAGAGTTCATCATACGACTATCGTGGCATAAACTTCAGTCAGATGGTTTGTCACTAGTGTCTGTGAGTCATTTATATTTTGATTACCTTTAGGGCCTTTGAACAGTTTGATTTCCACAACGGTCTCCAAAATAGGTCGTCTTCTACGCACATACAGCCGAACGATAGACCCTGCTTCCTTCAGGGCTTCCACCGCTTTACTGTGGGAAACCTCTGACACATCAACCTCATTCACCCGCAAGATACAATCATTGACCCTGCAAGGAAGGAAAAGAGTCAAGATTCAGAAGTGGCTAGCAGGATTTCTTAAAGAATATTATTATGTTTATCTGACCTTAAGAAGTGGGAAAGTAAAGAATCTAAAAAATTTTAAAATATTTAAATTTGGAAGGATGCTTCAAATGAAGGAAATCTAAAAAATGTCAAACTACTCAAGCCTCTTAGCCTTCTTCCTAACCACTTTTGACCATACTACTGGTCAGTTCCCATCCTAAACTCCAGTCCACTTTGACTGGGACTGCTTACACATACGGCATAGTTAGAAGGGCATGTATTTTAAGGCCTCTGTAAGTTACATCATTATTTTAATTGGTTTGACTGAAAGTTACAATTTGAGTGGTTCTCAGAACTTACTACCATGAACTATATAGACATAACAAATACAATTATTTACAGACTAATTTTCTCAAATTTTTAATTTACTAGTTATAAAAGTAATAAGTAATCATTTTCAAATATCTGAAAAATATAAAAAGGTAGAAGAAAAAATATACTTGACTCAATCATCTAAAATAAACCTATTAGGTTGGGCGCAGTGGCTCATGCCTGTAATCCCAGCACTTTGGGAGGCCAAGGTGGCAGGATCACCTGAGGTCAGGGGTTCGAGACCAGCCTGACCAATATGGTGAAACCCCGTCTCTACCAAAAATACAAAAATTAGCTGGGCATGGTGGTGTGTGCCTGTAGTTCAGCTACTTGGGAGGCTGAGAAAAGAGAATTGCTTGAATCCCGAGGGTGGAGGTTGCAGTGAGCCGAGATCACGCCACTATACTCCAGCCTGGGAGACAGAGCGAGACTCCATCTCAAAAAAAGAAAATAATAATAATAATAAATTAAATAAGTCTGTCAGCTTTCTGGCAAATTATCTTCCAGTGTTTCCCCACCCTCCTCTCCACCTCGATTCATCTTACAATATTATAAATACTGAAGTTCAGATTTACAAAGTTCAAGGAGAACCTCAGATAATCCTGTTCCTAGGTGCTTACTTTGAAAACTAAGAACCACAACAAATTCTACATCAAACTTTCCTCTTTTTTTTTTTTTTTCATTTTCACATGGAAAGGAATAATTTGACATTTCCATAAACCTTTCCAGGTAGTTTAAAGTTATGTGGCCATCGACTCCAAATATATTTTATTTTCATGATAATAATTAGTGATAACATTAATAATGGTTAAGAGCACGGGGCTTGAGATTACAAAAATTTCTTTCCCTCACTCTGTATATCCATTCTAGTGTCCCCAATCTCAGATCACCATGTTGCTCAGAGTCAAAAATGAGGGGCCTCCTTTGCTTGATGCTTCTTTTCCCCCACCACCACGCAGTCAGTTCTACCTGCAAGTATAGCCTCAGTCCATCTAGGTTTCTTCATCTTCATTGCTACCACCCTGGTTGAAATCAACATCATCTCTCAGGTGAACCACCTCCACAAACGCCGACCTAGCCTTCTTGGATTCTCTCTTGTTACCTTTCAATCCATTCACTACACAGTGGCCAGCGTACAGTGAACATGGTTGGTTTGCTTACTCAACTTGCATTCCCCACTTCCTCCTTCCAAACAGTGTCCCGTTTTGTTCAGGGGATCTTTCCTTAGCAAATATTTGTTGAATGTGTGAAAGAATAAGACTAAGTTCAATGATTGGGCCCTCCATTTCCTAAGTTTGTAACCATAGTTAATTTCCTTAGCCTCTCTAAGCCTTATTATATTCTCATCTGTAAATTGGATATAATAGTAATATCTATCAGGAAGCCTTTTGGGGAAGATTAAATGAGATAAAGCACATATAAGCACTTAGTACATACTCTCTTATGTAATGAACACCTAATAAATGTTTGTTATTGATAACAGTGCAATATTTGTTGATTTATAATATTCTCAACTATTGGATACTCCCTATAACTTTGTGGAATAAAACTTATTATCTACATTATAGAAATGAGAAGACTTCCAAGTGATTAAGTCCTCTGCTTAAAGCTGTCAGCAATTTGAGCAGAGATTGGATTTGATTTCAGGTCTTCCTATTTCAAAATTTGAGCTTTTCTCTCTTAGGACCACATACATCTAATGTGATGAATAGTTTCATGTATGTTGTGTATATCAATTCAAAATGATGACTACAATGATAATATTATATGAAAAGTATGGGAAGAATTTTGTATCTGTTTTTGTGCATAACTTTTCTATACCTGTTTAGTTATAGGAACTCTTGCCTCAGTAAGAACACAGAGCAGTCTCAAAATCTTGAGATGGAATATTTCACTTCCTAAGATTCGGCAATGTCATTTCATCATAACAGATGCTATGGCTTTAATAGACTTACACATACATTTCCTCTCTGATTGACAAAAAAAAAAAAAAAAAAGGGAAACTACCAATTAAAATAGTTTTGAGAATGTAGGCATCATGGGTGCCAGCTGCCCTGCAGCAGCTGGTCCTTTGAGAGTGGGTAATTTTGCCATCTCATGATAATACAAAACATAATGTTTACCATCACTCTATGCTCAGAATACTAATTATATCTTAAAACACTGCTTTTCATAGAAGGGAGTGGCTGACATTTAAAAAAAATTCTGGAGGCTATATATATCTATTCAAACTCTATTTTTTTCCTTTTGTATACAGTGGGATCCTTAATTGTCAATTGCTGGTGTGAGAAAATCATAGCCTAAATCAGATGTTCATTCCTGAATATGTGGATCAAGTAGGCAGCTTTAGGACTAGCAGTCAGGAGGCCTGGATTTGAGTCTCAGTTCTTCATCATCTGTGGGACCACGGTGAGGCCACTTTATCTTTTTGAACTTCAGTATCCCATAAAAGGAGAGAGACTATGTCCAGAGTCAGTGAGAGCAGTAACTGTACTGTATAGTACTGTGCAGGAGAGTACCCATAGCTGATGTGTGGAGATGTGTACATTGTAACCTACCATAGATCTGAAAGTTCTTGCTATTGAGTGGATCAAAGATGTGCTCAAGTATTTGTTCAAATGTGAACAGAATGGAAATTTAAACTTTTAAAGGACATACTATGTGCAATATCAGCCAGTCATTTCACTTATTTGTTCTTACTTAAACAATTTATAAAGTATGGATCCCATTTTAAAGACAGTGGAATTTTACTGACAAGGTCAAAGTGTTGGTGAAAACAGGGACATAATTTCAACCTGTTTTTACTTTTTCTAGAGCTTCTACTGATACAAAGATACTCAGACACTCAGAGTTGATTGTTTTAATTTTTTTTTTTAATGGTGGTGTTTGTAGGGGAGGTGGGGTAGTTTACATTCAAATTCTCAAAATAGAGAGGAAAGTATGTCAGGCCAAACTAGGGCAGTCAACTTCCCTTCCTCCCAGAAACTTGAAATAGATTTTGGCTAGAGGGTCATAGCTATTTAAAATTAATTTGCTCTCTTTACCAGTAGATAAACTTTGTGAGTAAAGCCACCAACTGTATTCATTTTGAAGCATGTAAGTATATAATTAGCTTCAAAGTCAAGGAATACTTTGTCACAGTAACAAATGCAGGCTTTATCATATTTCTGAGGGACATTGTTTTATGAAGCCGTGAGTTCAAGACCAGCCTGGGCATCAAAAGCGATACTCCATCTCTAAAAAACAAAATGTTGTTTACATATACAGACTTACTCTCCAATCTCACTCTACCAATCTAATTAAGTTGACAGTTTCACTCTTAGTACTTGATGTTATACACGTAAGTCTACAGTATTCATCTGCAGCAATTTCACCTTGTAAACCAGAATTGTCTGTAATATCCGCAGATTAATTTTAATATTCTTTCTAGAATTTCCTTTAGAAATTTTGGTGCATTCCTTGCCAAAAATATTTTAGAAACAAAAAGGATAGTCTATCGGTAGCCCGTATTCAAAGAGTCACATCTAAATTTTGCACTAAATCAAGTATTTTCTAAAATGGTATAGCATCACTGAAAAGTAAAACAATATTTAGTGAGTTATTTGTTCTACTTTGACAATATAATTTAAAGTAACAGGTAATATCTACTCTCTCAAGGTACTAAATATTTTCTGCAGTGTGGCTATTCCTCAGGGATCTAGAACTAGAAATACCATTTGACCCAGCCATCCCATTACTGGGTATATACCCAAAGGATTATAAATCATGCTGCTATAAAGACACATGCACACGTATGTTTATTGCGGCACTATTCACAATAGCAAAGACTTGGAACCAACCCAAATGTCCATCAATGATAGACTGGATTAAGAAAATATGGCACATATACACCATGGAATACTGTGCAGCCATAAAAAATGATGAGCTCATGTCCTTTGTAGGGACATGGATGAAGCTGGAAACCATCAATCTCAGCAAACTATCACAAGGACCAAAAACCAAACACTGCATGATCTCACTCATAGGTGGGAATTGAACAATGAGAACACATGGACACAGGAAGGGGAACATCATACACCGGGGCCTGTTGTGGGGTGGGGGGCTGGGGGAGGGATAGCATTAGGAGATATACCTAATGTAAATGATGAGTTAATGCATACAGCACACCAACATAGCACATGAATACATGTGTAACAAACCTGCATGTTGTGCACATGTACCCTAGAACTTAAAGTATAATAAGAATATATATATATAACAAAAAAATTTTTCCGCCATTGAAGTAAGATTTGTGATTTTACGCATTTTTAAGTATGTTAACTCATTTAAAATGATCATCAAGTCATAGTAAGTGTTAAAAATTTAAAAATTCCCATGCATTATGCATAAAACACACTGAAGAGAAAGATAGCGAAGTTTTAATTTGGGTCCTTTGTGGGTATGGAGATTATGAGCGCTTTAAAAAGCACATTTCTACTTTTATGTTTCTTTCAAATGTTTTATACTGGACATATATCACAGCACAGAACCTAAGAACATGGCTTGGGAGGCTTGGTCACAGCCAGATAGATCTGGGATCTCACCACAGCTCTAAAACTTGGGAGCTCTGTGACTACAGACAAGTCACTTGACATCTCAAAGCCTCAGTTTCTTCATCTGAAAATAGGGATAATGAGATTGTTATTGACTGATTGTTACTGTTATTGAGAGAATGCATGTGAAATACATAGCGTAGTCCCTGAAAAACAGTAAGCATCAAAAATGTTAGCTATCATTACGAAAAAGAGACAAGAAGCATTTGCATAAGAGAATATATAAAGAGACTATAGTGAGGGAAAAATACTAAAGGGAGAAAAAGAAAGAGCTACAGTCAAGATGCTGAAAGTGTTTTTAAAATTTTGTATAAGAAAGGGAGGAAGAGAAGAAAAGAATGGGATTTTCAGGAAGAAAAATATAAAAATAGAGCTTTTACAGCAAGGTACTGGTACAAAAACAGACACACAGACCACTGGAACAGAATAGGGAATCTAGAAATAATGCTGCACACCTACAGCCATCTGATTTTCAACAACATTGACAAAAACAAGCAATGGGGAAAGGACTCCCTATTCAATAAATGGTGCTGAGATAACTGGACAGTCATATGCAGAAGATTGCAATTCGACCCCTTCCTTAAACAATCTGTAAAAATAATCTCGAGATGAATTAAAGACTTAAATATAAAACCTAAACATATAAAAACCCTGGAAGATAACCTAGGAAATATTATTTTGGACATAGGACCTGGCAAAGATTTCATGATAAAGATGCCAAAAGCAATTACAACAAAACCAAAAATTGACAAATGGGACCTAATCAAACTAAAGAGCTTCTGCACAGCAAAAGAAACTACCAACAGAGTAAACAGACAACCTACAGAATGGAAGAAAATATTTGCAAGCTACTCATTCAACAAAGGTCTAATATCTAGAATCTATAAGGAACTTAAATTTACAAGGAAAAACCAAATAACACCATTAAAAAGTGCATAAAGGACATGAACAGACACTTTTCAAAAGAAGACATAGACATGGCCAGCAAGCATATGAAAAAATGCTCAACATTACTAATCATTAGAGAAATGCAAATCAAAACCACAATGGGGTAACATCTCACACCAATCTGAATGACTATTATTAAAAAGGCAAAAAATAACAGATGCTGGCAAGGTTGTGAAGAAAAGGGAATGCTTATAATTGTTGGTGGGAGTGTAAATTAGTTCAGCCATTGTGGGAAGGAGTTTGGGGATTTCTCAAGAACTTAAAACAAAATTACCATTCAACCTAGAAATCCCCTTATTGGGTATTATATCCAAAGCAATATAAATTATTCTACCATTAAGATATATGCACACATATGTTCAACACAGCACCATTCACAATAGCAAAGATATAGACTCAATCTAAATGCCCATCAACAGCAGACTGGATTTTTAAAAATGTGGTACATATATACAATGGAATACTATGCAGCCATAAAAGTAATGAGATCATGTCCTTTACAGCAACACAGATGGAGCTGCAGGCCATTATCCTAAGCAATCTAACACAGGAACAGAAAACCAAATACTCCATGATCTCATTTATGTAAGTGGGAGCTAAACTTGGAGTACGTATGGACACAAAGAGGGGAACAACATTTACTGGGTCCTACTTGAGAGTGGAAGTTGGGATGAGGGTGAGCACTGAAAAACTAGCTATCAGGTATTATGCTTATTACCAGGTTTCAGAATAAGCTATACACCAAACCCCTACGACATGCAATTCACCTATATAACAAACATGCACATGTACCCCCGAAACTAAAGGTTTAAAAAAAGAAAAAAATAATAAATGCATATTCACCTAAATATTAGAGCTTAAATAAGTCTTGTTTGATGAAGTACAATGTAATTTCCTTTTCATATTTCCCTTCCCTTGCCCACAGTAAAACTTATAGTTGTTTTGATATACAAACTTTACCTTTTATGGAAGCCTTGGTTAAAGATTCTGACCAGCACACTTAACTCAACCACACCTAACTGCACTCAGACCTCCTCAAGTTTTTATTCAAAAGTAGGTGTTTGGGGCCGGGAGCGATGGCTTATGCCTATAATCCCAGCACTTCGGGAGGCTGAGACGGGTGGATCACCTGAGGTCAGGAGTTCGAGACCAGCCTGGCCAACATGATGAAATCCTGTCTGTGCTAAAAATACAAAAAATTAGCCACGCATGGTGGCAGGCGCCTGTAATCCCAGCTACTAAGGAGGCTGAGGCAGGAGAATCGCTTGAACCTGGGAGGCAGAGGTTGCAGTGAGCCGAGATCGTGCCACTGCACTCCAGCCTGGGCAACAAGGGCAAAACTCCATCTAAAAAAAGAAAAAAAGTAAAAAAAGGTAGATGTTAGGTCACAGGGTCTGAAACAACTTTGCAGCAGCTGTTGGTTATTGAAGAATGTCCCCTAATTACCTTGCGCTTTACTGTTTCTATCAGTAGTATTCTCTTTCTTCAAATAAATGAATTAATTACAGACCAAAGGGCCACATCATGAAGAAAGCTGATCAATGTTTAATGTGCTGTATGAAGTGTAAAAATGCATGATGAAATTTTAAAAAACCACTAGCTAAGGAATTAGACTGCATGCACTTAAAGATAACAATCAATCACTTAAAAAACTTTCAGTCCCTGTAATCCCGGTGCTTTGGGAGGCCGAGGTGGGAGTATCATGAGGTCAGGAGTTCGAGACCAGCCAGACCAACATGGTGAAACCCCATCTCTACCAAAAATACAAAAAATTAGCCAGGCATGGTGGCGGGCCTCTGTAATCCCAGCTACTTGGGAGGCTGAGGCAGGAGAATCGCTTGAACACTGGAGGCGGGGGTTGCTGTGAGCCAAGACCGCGCCACTGCACTCCATCCTGGGTAACAGAGCGAGACACCATCTCCAAACAAAACAAAACAAAACAAAAATCTCAGAATCTGTTCAAAAGGAATAATTCCACACATTTTATGTCAATTATAATGAAAACAGAAGTTATGAAAAGGGTCTTGTTTTTCTTCTATTCCTGAAGTCATTAAAGGTAGGTTATGAACAAATAATAGAAGCCAAAACCTTATTAAGACAAGTAGTTTATGCTCACAGAGAGGAGAAAATAATACACCCCCCACCACACACACACACACACACACACACACAAACACAGGCTGACTCAAATGACTTCAAATCATAATGGCCTGCCATAATACATATACTTAATTATGTCTGCCTGTTATCTCACTCTTCCTTTTATGAAGTACATGGAAGTGTTACTGGGGATCTTTAAAGTCCATCACCAGTTAAGGTTCTCCCTTGTTGAAACTTCTCACCCTAATGATCTGTATATTTCACTGACCTCATTAGGCATTATTAGTTTATTAAAAATAAAAAATAAAAGAATAAAAATCAGCATAATTTAGCATTTTTCCAAGAAAGGAAGAGGAATGTTTTAGAGGCATCTGATATGGGCCAATGTAGTAATATCTATGAGGCTTTTTTTTCCAGCAAACATCCACATGGTTGTAGGAGGAGTGACAAGCTTATATGGCTTAACCTGGTTCACTTGTCAAGTCTGGCCAGTCCTGCTTTTGGGAATGTGGAATTGAAACCATGAGACTCAGAGGTTCTATGTGACCAGAAGAAATAGAAACTTGAGAGCTTAATATTAGAGGCCATTTTCTTCCATGTTGACTATAAAATTTCAAAAGACTATCTCCAAAAAGATGGGGAATAAAGTAGATCTATAGGAAGAAGTATGGGCTTCGGACAGAAGGAGGAATTCCTCTAACACCTGACAGTGTCTCAGTCCATGGCTATTCTTCCCAGCGCTTAATTGTCCAGTTTGAGAAGATACTTCAAATGTCCTTCTAATTAATTCTCCCTTTTGAGTAAGTAAGCTGGTGGGTCTTTTACTTGCCAACAAATATTTCTGATTAATACAGGCAGACTTTGTGACCAATACTTTACATGTGTTATCTCCCTTAGCTCATTCCTTTTTCCCTTTTAAAACTTAATTCAAGCTTATCTCATCTTCTAGGATGCCATCTTTGGCCCAGTTATTTGCTCCAGTGTTCCTCCATTAGGTACTTAGTGAAAAATATTAATGGAGTTCCCAGACTTAGCAAATAAAAATACAGGACAATCAGTTGAATTTCAATTTCAGATAAACATTAGTAATTATTATTTAGATAAACACATACATTTTAGTATAAGTATGTTCCATTGAAATTAAAATTTAACTAGGAATTCAAATTTATAAAAATACAGTATTTATAAAAGCACTCATTATACTGAGTTTATTTGTTTTATTCGAATAGCATTAATGCCTGGCACCTAGTGGGAAAAGTTTGTATTATATACTATGTTATATAGTCTTTAATGTAAATAGAAACACTGAAAAGTAGATATTGTCGCCTTCATTCCACAGTAGAAACTAAAGTTGAAATAGGTTTGTAATGACAGGTAAATGATGTCTAGGAAATCTCAAAGTTCATGCCCTATACCATCTACACTTCTCTGGTTTGTTAAAAATGATTTTGCGACTTACTTAAGGACCCACTGTCAGTCGGGTCCAGGACCATACTGTAAACCAGTAGAGCCAAGCCAAGTAACAAAATCTAGATCAATCTTTCTCACACTTTGGGGAGGGCTTGTTAAACTATACATTACCACTGAGCTTCCCCCTCCAGAGGTGCTGATTCAGTAGGTCTAGAGCAGGAGAGAAGAGTCACATTTCTAACACGTTCCTAGGTGATCCTGGTAATGCTGGACTGAGACCATACTCCAAAAACCACTGCTCTAGGTTTTGAAGGGTCATTCTACTTGGCTCATGTATGATTCATTCCAAAATAAACAGAAATACTCAATCTTATGTAGACCCAACTGAGTATGTGATAAAAGTCCTGAGCTCTGACTCCAAACCCAACCCCTCTATTTGCAGCTTTTCATTATTTGGAACAAAGCCTCTAAGGGAACCTGGACCAGGAGACCACAGCTGCCATAATGTGTAAGGCTGTGGACATGCAAACCATTTTCCAGCACTCATTTTCTACCTGAAACTCTTTTACTGACTCCCTTCCTTCAGCTAAGACCAACTGATAGCCTCTTCATTCCACATTTAAAAAATAGGGCTTCTGCTCTCGTCTCTAACTCTGAATGAGAGTAACTCGGGTTTATGATCCATAGAAGCCATCTCCTACAGTGAATGTACTGTTTTTCCCCTCTATTTGCCACTTCATTTCCCTTCTATAAAATGCTTGCAGGACTCTCTGCAGCTGTCATCTGGGAAGCATCACAGCTTTCCACAATGGGGACAGAAATTGCTATTTCAGCATCAGTGATTGGTCTTTTGGCACTTTCCTGGAAAAGCAGAGGCCAGTAACAAATTTCAAGCTAGGCTACTTAATGGGTACAACATGGAAAAGAGACATTGAATAGAAATTCCAAAGTGAGAGGGTCATGGGACTGGAGATTACTTAGCCCGCTCAGTTCAATACTGTGTCCACTGACAGGACTGCTTGTCAACTTTCAAGAGATGAGGTGCTGGTACCTACCACCTGGATTACTACAGTAGCTTCCTAGCTAGTTTTCCTGATGCCAGGCTAATTAGCCCCTCTCCATTTCATTCAAACACACAAAACCAGGTTCAACTTCCTAAGGCAACCCTTTTATCATTTCATTTCCCCTCTAAATTCAAGAGATTTGTAACATATATAAAATTAAAACTGTGGTTAATCTTTGTATTACCAGTGTCAGGTACACAGTTGTCACATAAGAAAAAATTAGCATCATTGTATGACTTCTAAACCAACCCCCTTTTTATACCTCTTACTGCCTGCTCCAGCCAGGACACTATATTTTGTTTCATGTTGCTTTCTGTCTCTCAAACGTTCAACCAAAGCTAGCATCATTCAAAGGCAAGTTCACACTCCATAGCCCATGAAATGTTTCCAAATCACTCAAGGCTTTATTGTCCATAATGTCCCAATTGCAAATACATGGCAGATTCTCATCAAGAAGCTATAGATTTATTTGTTACCTGCATAGAACCTAAAATAGTGAGTACTACACATTAAGAAATACATTTAACAATGCTGGATTTGATTTCCTATTTTCCTCTACTCAAATCTACTCCAATCCCAGAAATAGATGTAGATCAACATATATGGAATTCATAATTGTACATTTTCTCAGTCAAGTTCAATTTGGCATTAAATTGATGAACATTTCAGTGAAAAGTTGAGAACAACAAGGAGCATGGCATGGTGGGAAGAACACTGGGTTATAAGCTAGATATGAATTCTAATCCTGGGTTTCTGCCACTTTCCAGTTCAAGTCAATTTTTTTTCTCTGTGTGTTTGAGTACAGTGATCTTAAAATTCTCTTCTAGCTCTGGTGTTCTATAAACCTAAATTCAAGGTCAACCCAGCCTGGCACCTATCTTTACTTGGAAGTTGACAGTACATCTCAAATGGAGCAGAGTCTGAAATTAATCTTATCTCTTCCCCATAGACAACCCTTTACTTCACTTTTAATTCTCCATCAAGACAAATAATTTCATCACCAGAAAGGGAGGAGTGTTCCTTCTTTTTTAGCCACACATCCAATCTATCACATTTTAACATATTTTTATTTTAAAATTTTTCATTTTTAGTTAATTAATTACTTTGTATTTATTTATTGTTTTTGAGAAGGGTCTCATTCTGTTGCCCCAGCTGTAGTGCAGTGGCACAATCACGACGCACTGAAACCTCTGCCTTCCAGGCTCAAGCTGCCTCCTACCTCAGCCTCCCATGTGGTTGGAACTACGAGTGCACACCATCACACTGGCTTTTTTTTTATTTTTATTTTTTGTATTTCTTGTAGAGATGGGGTTTTGCCATGTTGCCCAGGCTGGTCACAAACTCCTGAGCTCAAGTGATCCACCCACCTCAGCCTCCCAAAGTGCTGGGATTACAGGCGCGAGCTACCATGCCTGGCCTGAACCTTTTTATTTTTAAAGATGGGGGTCTTGCTCTGTGGCCCAGGTTGAAGTTCAGTGGCAGGATCATAGCTCAGCGCAGCCTTGAACTCCTGGGCTCAATTATCCTCCTGCCTCAGCCTCCTGAGTATATCCTTTTCTTTTACTCTCATTTATTCTACCTAATTCTAGCCCTTATTGTCAATCACCTAGATTCTGGGGAAAAAAGTTGTAACTAGTCTTCTTGCCTCCAGCTTTTTCCCCTCTATTCCATCTTCCAACTTATTGCCAGAATGGTGTTATTGAAATATAAGCCTGAATGTTTTATCCCATATTTAATGGTCCTCAATTGCTCTCCATTGTCTACATTTAAAAAATCCAAGCAAAGAAGCCCTTTATTAAAATGAAATCTTACTTAGAAGTCACACAATGGATATTTATAATTATTTATATATAACAAATAGAGGGAGAATTTCTGTGATTTCTGCAGCATAGAGGAAAAGAGAATCAGAGCCGAGCCTGCTGCCTCATTCGTGACCCTTCAGAGGGCTCTGAGGAATCCAGTCAGGGTGCTATATATGACTGAGCAGAAGCTAGTGAGTGCAGAAAGAAATCCAGGCAAAACCCTTTCTCTAAGCCAAGTGCCTTGGCACTGAGCTGTCTCTGCTGAAGGGAGTGTCTAATGCACATAAAGGCTTCTTATGAGTTTTCTAATTCACATAAAAACTTCTTATGAGCTACTGGTAGCACTGATCACAGGGTTCTGTGGAACATAAATTGAATCCACCTGCCTTTTTGGATAAAGCCAAAGTACCTTCACATAACACCCAAGTCTTTCCACAATCTGATTGCTATTCACTTCCCCAGCCCTGTCTCTTGCTATATAAGTAGTTTCTTCAAACATTATGCAAGTTCATTGGTCAGGCCTCTTCCTCTGCCTGAATTAGCCACCTCCAGACCCGGGTTGTCTGTTAAGTACCTTTAAAGACAAATGCATATCCTGAAGTAGCTTCACAGTTTAGCAAGAGAGATAGGAAAAATGCTATTAAAATTCAATATAAGTGCTATGGCAAGAGAAATACAGGGTAATGCAGGAGTACATAACAGGAGAACCTTATTTGGTTTTTGGGGGCCAAGGAAAACTTGGAGCAACTGAGGCAGCTGAGACCTGAAGGCCAAATAGAAGTTAGCCAAGTGAATAAAGATAGGAAGAAGTGTTTCAGGCACAGTTTAGTGGCTGATGAGGTAAGGAGCACAGATCAAGTCTTGAAGGTCTTGGTACGACATGTTAAATAATTTGGACTTGAACTTAAAGGCACTGGAAAGCCATTGTACTGCTTATAGCTAGAATAATGTTTTAGAATAATTCTCCAGGTACAATGTGGAGATGTGGACTTGATTAGATTTGGTAGGTGGAGTTAAGGTAGAAGAAAGCAAGAATTGTTGTTAGAGGCTGCTATATAACCCTGATAAAAGATATAATAGCCTGCACTAAGCCAGTGGCAGTCAGGATAAAGAGAAGGGGACAGACATGGAGGGCTGATTAGAATCTAATAGATGTGCTGATGGATTGTATGTGGGTAGTGAGGAAAGGAAGAAAATGTTTTGTTTAAATGTCTGTCTTCACTTATAAATCATAAGTTTTGATTTGTGGTTTATGACTTGAGGGATAAAATCATTTGTCATTCATTTTTGTATTTTTAGTGCCTCACAGGGTAGAACAGAGTTGGCACAGAATATATATTTGGCAAATAGAGTGAATGAATTTTATAAGTGGGGAAGTTAGTCAATGACATCTTTGCTGCCAGTATCCACACCTTTTCCTCATCCTTTCCAGTGACTTTGTCCCATAAGAATGCTGTCTTCTCATCTCATCTCTTTCCTCCTGGTATAAAAAGAATGAATTCAAATTTAATCACCCTAACAAACAAGCTATCATTCATAGGCATATTAGCATTAAGAAAAAAAAAAAGAACTCCAGTGATAGGGCAAGGCCTAAACAAACACAATTGATCACCAATAATAAGACCTCAAATATAAGTTGAGAGATATATGTAATCCGCACATACATACATTCAACCAACATATATTGAAGACCTGCCACAGAGTACCAGGTATTGTATAGGCACTGAGGACACAGTTGCCAACGAGAAAGATACTGGCCCTTGACCTAGGGGATGAAGAGGTGGGGATTTACAAATTCACATCACAGGGTCAGAAGCTTATGTCACTTACATACAAAGCTAGTTCTACTTAAGCACATCTTTTAAACTTTAGCGGTTAGGCTTTAAATTAAAGTTCTTGTTTATTATTCTCATGATTATTTTAATTCTCAGAGCTTAATTTCCATAGAAACAGGAAAATTAAACCGTAAGTCTGAACTCAAGTATACCATGTGGCAAACTGTAATGTTGCTTCTTATTTTGAACTGTTCTTCATTTACCATGACTATAACAGGTGTGTCATAAGCCCCCCACCCAACCTCCAGGAAGTGTGGAGCATCTTAAAAGCCAACCAACATATACGTACGCAGGGAAAATACATATAATTTCATTGTATGTAATTGCAGCAGTTTATGAGATGTATAAAATATTTAAGAGAAAACATTTGGCATCTTTTAAAATTCTTGTAAATATCAAATCTCATGTTGTTATAGAGAATATCAAATCTCATTACCTGTTACAGGGAAGTAATTTTCAGCATTTGTATAGTTCAACAACAAATGAGATACTTGTATTACTTAAATTTATTTGTTTTCTTATTTATTATATTTCCCTGCACTAGAATATAAGCCCTATGACAGAAGAAATCTTGCCTCTAATTTTCCATCACCAGTGGCCAGCTCAACTCCTCACAAAAGACACCATCATACATTCAGTTTTTTTGTTATCTTTTATTTCCTTCACCCTCTACATCCAATCCATTAACAAGATTTTTAATTTCCTTCACCCTCTACATCCAATCCATTAACAAGATCAGTAGCTTCTAGCTACAATATCTATCCCAGTCCATCAACTTTTCTCCATCTCTACGACTATCACCCTTGCCCAAGCCACTACCAACCACTTCTACCCAAACATGTTGGCTCACGGGTTCCACTCCTGTTTTCTTTAATATATTCTCTAGACGGAAACCAGAGTTTCTAATTTTTTTTTTTTTTTTTGAGGTGGAGTCTTGCTCTGTCGCCCAGGCTGGAGTGCAGTGGCGTGATCTCGGCTCACTGCAACCTCCGCCTCCCGGGTTCACGCCATTCTCCTGCCTCAGCCTCCCAAGTAGCTGGGACTATAGGCGCCGGCCACCACGCCCGGCTAATTTTTTGTATTTTTAGTACAGACGGGGTTTCACCATGTTAGCCAGGATGGTCTCGATCTCCTGACCTCGTGATCTGCCCACCTCGGCCTCCCAAAGTGTTGGGATTACAGGCTTGAGCCACCGCGCCCGGCCCACAGTTTCTAATTTTTAAATTTAAATCAGATAATATCAATCATCCCTTACTTAAGACCTACGAGCTCTTCCTATGTAATTTAAATTAAAACCCAAAGCCCTTACCTGCCTTACAAAGTTTGAGCTCCTATTTATTCTTGTGCTCTCATCTTCTACCACTGTCCCCTAGCTCTGTCTCCTAGCATCGTCTACCATTGTGCCCTACATACCTAGCTCACTCCTGCCTTAGGGTACTTGTACTTATTGTTTCCCCAGCTTTGAAAGTCTTTTCCCTCATGTTTTTGGCTAGCTCCTATTTGTCATTAAGATCTTACCTTAAATATCACCTCCTCAGAAAGGCCTAACTTGATTATTTAATCTAAAGTTGCCACCAGGCATTCATCACTATATCACTCTGCTTCATTTTCTGCATAGCATTTATTACCATATGATATTTTGTGTAGTTGTTTATTTTCTGTCCAACAGACAGAAAATATATTTGTATATTTGTTTATCTTCTGCCCACCTTTCTTAGAGTAGGAGCCTTGTCTGTCTGGTTGACCATTTTATCATTAATGCCTAGGACAGTGCTGAGCTCCTAACAGGCACTAAGCAAAGAGTTGAATAAAAAATGAATTATTCAATGAAGGAATGAGTGAATGAATAATAGTTCTTCCTAGTTAAGATTGGGTTGGTCAGTAATAAAATATATGCAATTTTGCTGCCCAAATTTGAATTCTGATAGCTCTAGCTTGAAGAACTTCTTAAATTTATACCTATAATTATTGGAATTATTTAGTACTGCCAAAGGTTGTGAGCAATTCTCTATGCAACAGATAATGCTAGATTGCCTGGAGGTGCTAATTTTCTAGGGTAGATGATTAGTGATGCTGTTTTCTGACCTTTCCTGAGCTACAATAATCAGCTATTACTGTTTATGTAATTTCACAGTACTTATACTCCTCATCTCTTCCTAGGGTAAATCATATTTCATGAAATAAATTCAAATTAATTTGTGATGAAAAACTCATGACACATTTTGAGATTATTGGTGACATTTTATGATTTCATAAAACCAGAGCCGGAACTCCCTGACTTAATGGTTGAACTGGTATTTGCAAATGGTATGCTTAATCTATTACACTTGTTCTCATTTGTGGAGGCAAAACTCAGAGCCTGAGGATGGTGGCATAAAGGATTAAGGGCAACAAGAAGGGCCCCTTTGCTCACAAATATATTCTTGCTTTCCAGAAACCTGGTTTCATTTGAATTCATCAATTTTTCCTTTTGAAACACAAAGAAACCCACTGGTGTCAGTCATTCATATTTGATTTATAACTTTATGTAGACTGTATGACTTCAGTTTGAAGCATGGTAGACTAGGTGAGTCTATGAGGGACACTTACATGAAGGAACATATTAAAGGAGGCCATAGGCATGAGGGAAGCAGAAGAGAGAAGCTTCTCCAGAAGAGAAAGGAGATCAGACAGAAAGCCAAACATGAAATCACACATCTTCCTAGGACACCTGTGACAACAGCTGCAGGAGGCTCTGGTAATAACTTCTGTCTATCTAGCGCTCACTATTTACAAAACACTTCAACAATATCTTCTGTTTCATTGTTAAAATCAAGACCTACGCCACGCGATTATTGCTACATTTTCAAGTGAAAAAAACCTGAGGATTTGATAAGTTAAGCAACTTACTCAAATTCACACAGCAGATAACAGAAACAAAAATTAGTCTAATGGCTTCTGGTCTTGTTCACTTCCCACTTATAACTCCTATCTATGCTATTGTCACTAGTCCTTCTGTTGCAGTTGTCTGGCAAAACCCCAACCCTGACTGAACCCAACCCTCCACCTTCTTCACTGCCCCTTCCAGAAGTTAGTGGAGAAAATCCTCAAATGATGGAAGTCACTATGATCTCCAAATGTAACACCACACTTCGCCCTGCTCAGCTTGCTGTCCCTCTTTCTAAAAAGATAAACTCCAATGTTCTCCTTTCCTGCATCACTTCCAGAAAATATGTTTGCTAATAATTCCAAGAGAAAAACAAAGCCATGTGATGTGAAGTCTCTCAAATTATTATGCCAGATTTCTATACTTTACTGCATGCAAACCCACCGTCTCCTTTCTATTCCTATTACAGTGGAGCAAGTGTTCCCTCTGATACCAAAAGTCCATCAATTCATGTCTTTTTAAAGATCTCACCAGATCATTTAATCTCTCTATATTCTGCATCTTCAAACCCAGCCTCTACTTAAGTCATCTCTGAATATTCAAACATGTTCTAGTATCTCTTAGTTTTTAAAATGTTGTCTTGACCTGGCATCTCCCCTTGGCTACTGTCCTATCTCCTTCCTCTTTACCAGTCAAGCTTATCAGAAGATCTGTTTATACACACTCTCTCTATTTTCTACTTCTTCCTTCCCAAACTCTCTTTATCTCATTCTAGTCTGAGTTTCCTCACAAAGCCCCTACCAAGAAAAAGAGAAATGGTCCTACTAAATTCACCAGTAATCTTGATTTTGCCAAATCTAATGAGATCTCGTTAGTTCTCATTTTGGTCCATCTCACAACAGTGGGAAGCCCAGTGGCTCATTCCTTCCTTGAAACACTCTTCTGCATTCTGTGCCTCTCCTGCTTTTCTTCTGACCATGCTGGCCATTCCTTTTGTACATCTCTATTTTAATTCTTCCTCAACCTATTAATCTTCATACTTAAAAAACAAAAACAAGGAAAACAAAAACAACTATGTGCTATTTTTGCATGTTTTAGGCTGACAATTGTTATAAATTTAAATAGTAGCAAAGGATATCATTTCTGACCTACTGTGAATTGTAAAATTTTATTTTTTTCACAATTACATCACTATTTCAAATGTATCCCATGGGATATAAGTACATACTGATTTGAAGTCCACGCTCACAATTTAAAATATTAATAAACAATATCTTCTTGAGCAGTTAAAAAATCACACTTTTCTTTCTCCTTGAACTTATGTTTCCATTCTACTTTTACCATGGGAAGTTTTACTTCAATATATCACTATGTTAGAACATTTTCTATTGATCACCCTAGCATACTTATATAAAACAAAAACACATGTACAAATATAAATCTGATGATTTTTCCCTCAAATTTTCTGTGACCATAAGATTCCAAACAATAAAAATAATTTTCTAGACTGGGTTTTATGATTATTAGTGTTATGCAATTTATCAAAATCACTAAAATATATTATGAAATTCAACATATAAACCTAAAACAATAAAGATGAAATTGTATTGGGGATTCTTTTCTTAGTAGATTGAGTAGTGTTTTTCAAAATCAGTCCATGTTTCCATAGATTAATATGAATTAAAGTTAAGAGTAAGACAAGATTCAGAATTCCTTTTTTCATTTCTGTATATGTAAGTGATCAGAAATCTTGTTCATATAAACAGGTAGATGGGAATGGGAAGAAAACTGAATTCCTTCCAAGTTATATGCTCTGAATCCTGTGACCTATAATTAAAATTACTTTAATAATCTATCAGTTGACTGTTGCTTTTCAATTTTATTAAAAGCAAAGAATTGGAAACCACATGATTTAACAAAATGATTAGTTACCTAATCATTAGAGTCACCGACTTTCTCATGCCAGGCAACAGTATTTCAGATTGTTTCTTTATATCTAGGACAATGAATCATAGCAGAATTTAGGACGGTTAAGACATATACTTTATTTTTTTAAATGTGAAAATACCAATTAAATGGAAAAGTGAAAAAGAAGAACCATCATAAAGCTGCAGGCTTCTTCTTGGGCAGGTCAATTGAAGATCTGGATATTAAGTGACATAAATCCACCTATGTACTCCTAGAGGTACACCTTACTCAATTTAGAAAGCTCTGCTCTAACCTACATTAAAAGTCTGAAATATCTCAGGACTAAGTCCTAGCTTCTCTTTTCTTTTTATTCCATACTTTTTCAAGGCAATCTCTTAATTCACTTGGTTTTAAAGGTTCCCAATGACATTCCCAGTCAGATCTCTCAGAGTTCCATATCCACGTTCAACTGCCTATTTGATATCTCCATTTGCTTTTGTTGTAGGCATCTTAAATTAACATTGTCCAAAATGGAACTATTCAACATATTTTCCAACTTTACCTCTCCACCATTCCTTTCCAATTGTCATCCTCAAAGTCATTCTTTAATAATTCTATTAGATGGTGAACTCTTTGAAAACAAGGGTATTATATACTCAGCACCTGATATGGGGCCCAGGACAAAGAGGACACAGATGATTTATTTGAAGGAATACCACTTCCCTTTGCATCCCATTCCAATTAATCATTAAGATTTATAAAGTTTATCCCCAGTATATTTCAAAATATGTCTATTTCTCTCAATCTTTTTGCCAACACCTTAGTTCAAGTTACAATCTTTCATTAGCTGAATTACTATAATAGCTTCTATTTTTGGTTTGTTTTTTTTTTTGTTTTTCTTTTTGAGATGGAGTCTTGCTCTGTCACCCAGGCTGGAGTGCAGTGGCACAATCTTGGCTCACTGCAACCTCTGCCTCCTGGGTTCCAGCAATTCTCATGCTTCAGCCTCCCAAGTAGCTGGGATTATAGGCACCTGCTGCCATGCCCAGCTAATTTTTGTATTTTTAGTAGATGGGGGTTTCTCCATTTTGGCTAGGCTGGTCTTGAACTTCTGACCTCAGGTGATCCACCCACCTCAGCCTCCCAAAGTGTTGGGATTACAGGCATGAGCCACCGTGTCCAGCCCTACAACAGCTTCTTAGACTGCTATAACTGCAGGCACTCTTATCAGCTAAGCCAGACTTCCATGGCAGAGTGATTTTTATAGATAACAATTTAGTTTTGTCATTTCCCACATTGAAACATTCCAGGTCTCATGTTCTTTCAAAAGGATAAAGAATAAATTACTTACTATAGCACCCAAGGCTCTCTCTCCCTGATTTCTCATGGCCACCTCTCCACCTTCACCTTGTGCCAGTCTGCACTCTCCCACCACCTCCAGTCACCTTCCCTATTCCTCCTCAGGCCTTTGGGCATGCATTCTCTGCCTGAAGACTCCTCCAGCTCCATTCACTTGGGTAACAGTTACCCTTTATGTCTCAGCTTAAATATTAACTCTCTACAAGGCTTCCCCTGAGTATCTTAGGCTAGATTAGGTCATGCCATTACAGCCTTTCACAGCACTACGTCCTTTACATTCATAGAACTCCTTTTAACTCTCAACTTAGGTTGATTACCGTGTTGGGTTGAGAGGTCCATGGTGGCAAAGATCCTGATTTTCTTGTTCCCTTCTCTATTCCCAGCTCCAGATGTCTGAAGCACAACAGAATACTCAAGAAATATTTATAGGGCCAATAAATAACAACAGTTTGGGAGTAAAATAAAATATTCTGTGTCAGTTTAATAAACACTTGTTTTATCCCTTATGCTTATTATATCACTTAATTTCCCAATGACAGTGAATCAGCTTACTCAAGATCTATCTCACCACAATGAAAACCCTGAAACTACCTTCCCTCACTCCCCACATACAAAACAGTGACATAGCTCATATTCTTTTCTAAGTCAGGTTTGCAAGTTTGATGCTGCACTCTGAATGCTAGAGAAGTGAGAATGCAGAGGTGATGAGTTTATGGCACATAAAGCATACTCTCACATAAGGCACAATCAATCATTATGGGATGCTTTTGAACAAAGGTCTAAAATACATGTTACATTATTATTATGATGATGTATATTATTATGTATACCTGGACTAATGACTATCAAATAGATTGTGTTTTAATAATTTTATTCAACATGCAGATAAACAGGGGAAACAGCTAATAATTCATTTTTCAATTCATTGTTTTCTGAAAGAAAGCATTGCTTTGGGCTGGGCACAGTGGCTTACACATAAAATCCCAGACCTTTGGGAAGCTGAGGTGGGTGGATCACCTGAGGTCTGGAGTTCCAGACCAGCCTGGCCAACAAGGTGAAACCCCATCTCTACTAAAAACACAAAAATTAGCTGGGCGTGGTGGCGGACACCTGTAATCCCAGCTTCTCAGGAGGCTGAGGCAGGAGACTCACTTGAACCCACGAGGCAGAGGTTGCAGTGAGCCGAGATCGCACCATTGCACTCCAACCTGCACGACAAGAGCAAAACTCTGTCTCAAAAAAAAAAAAAAAGGCATTTTTGCTTCTTTTTTTTCAAATGGTCTACATTCCTCTGTTAATTTACAACTAAATCAGACTATAATATTTAAAGGAGTTAACAAACGATAGGAGAAGACAGAAAATTATACCAACACTTTAATTATTAGCAGTATATTGTGGATTATATCTTGTGGCTCTGATGTCTGTGTTGTAAATAACAGGCACATTTGCATAATCAAAAATGATTTGGGCCAAATTCAGGTAACATGAGTCTTCACAGGCCAATTCTAGGTCACTGTGCGAAGGATGATTTATACATTGTCTTAGCTCAAAATGTTAGAATAATACTGATATTGAGTGTTACAACCTCTCCAGAAGCTGGTTTTAATTAATAAACACTATTATTATTAATTCAATCAGACAAATGTTAAAAAATACTTCAGGTCTATAATTTACAAAGAAAAAAGAAAAAAAAAAGTAACAAGGAATACTGGAGCCAGTTAATTTCAAACCCAGAAATATGTAAGTAACAACAAATCCCCACACTGTGTCCAAGTGTTCTCATTGTTAAATTCCCTCCTATGAGTGAGAACATATGGTGTTTGGTTTTGTGTCCTTGTGATAGTTTGCTCAGAAAGATGGTTTCATCCATGTCCCTACAAAGGACATGAACTCATCCTTTTATGTAGCTGCATAGTATTCCATGGTGTGTATTTGCCACATTTTCTTAATCCAGTCTATCACTGATGGACATTTGGGTTGCTTCCAAGTCTTTGCTATTGTGAATAGTGCCGCAATAAACATACGTGTGCATGTGTCTTTATAGTAGCATGATTTATAATCCTTTGGGTATATACCCAGTAATGGGATCGCTGGGTCAAATGGTATTTCTAGTTCTAGTTCCCTGAGGAATCACCACATTGTCTTCCACAATGGTTGAACTAGTTTACACTGCCACCAACAGTGTATGTAAAAGCTTTCCTATTTCTCCATATGCTCTCCAGCACCTGTTGTTTCCTGACTTTTTAATGATCTCCTTTCTAACTGGTGTGAGATGGTATCTCACTGTGGTTTTGATTTGCATTTCTCTGATGACCAGTGATGATGAGCATTTTTTCATGTGTCTGTTGGCTGCATAAATGTCTTGAACTTTCATCCTGCCTTTTTCATTTAATACCATAACACAGTCATTTTATTTTAAAATACTTTGTAAATTCTGGCAGAAACTCTACAAGCCAAAATTTACAAAATATTTTTAAAGTACAATGCCTGTGTTATGGTATTAAATGAAAAAGGCAGGATAAAAGTTCAACTGTTTGAAAATATGCACTGAATATGAAGGAGTATAATAAATAGAGGCTTTTAGTGATAAGGTTGTGAATGATTCTAATTTACTTTGAAATGTCCGTATTTTTCAAATTTTCTATGAGGTACATCCATTACTTTATAATCAGAGAAATACATTATCTTCAAAAACAAGATTACTTAATCTTTTTCACTATCTTTTTAGATGGGTTTGTGAAGTGACTAAAACACCAATCCACACTGATCAGTCATTTCCTGAAGAGCTAAAAGAATATGGGTGTCACTTTGATGTATTTGTGCTTTTAATTTTTAATACTATGACATGAGATGTTGGCAGGGCTTTGTGTTCATAGATTCTTAAATATATGTTCAGTTATTTATCTGCAGATAATTGCAATTGCAGCCATGTGCTGTAGTGAGAAGAATATGGATTTTGGAGTCAAACAGACTGAGTATGAATTTTGTCTCAGACACCTGTAAATAACTGAACCTCTTTACACCTCCATAGGCTTCTGGAAAAAAATTTAATGAATGGTAGCTATCATTAGTTCTAAGTGTCTGCTGTGGGTGAGAGACATGCTAGATGTTATAGAAAATAGAATAGTAAATGAATAACATGGGATAGAAGACATATAGAATGGTGGTATATTAAGGAGACTTAGAGATTGCCATGTTTCTTCTCTTCAGATTTAGCTATCAAGAAAATAACTAAGTCAGTTGCTGGGTATGGTGGCTCACACCTGTAATCCCAGCACTTTTGGAGGCCAAGGCGGGTAGATCACCTGAGGTCAGGAGTTCAAGACCAGCCTGGCTAACATGGTAAAACCCCATCTCTATTGAAAATACAAAAATTAGCTGGGCATGGTGGCAGGCACCTGTAATCCCAGCTACTCGGGAGGCTGAGGCAGGAGAATCGCTTGAACCCAGGAGGTGGAGATTCCAGTGAGCTGAGATCATGCCACTGCACTCCAGCCTGGGCAACAGAGCAAGACTCCATCTTGGAAAATAAAAAAGAAAGAAAATAACAGTCATCTAATGTAAATAAATGTGGTATCATTAAGACAAAGGAAAGATTGCTCTATTAATCTGGGATGAAAGCCACAACTACCACCACAAAACCTAATATGAGAAACTAAAAGCCAAGAACTCTACCAGTCACAGTCTTATTGTTTGAATGTGTCCCCCAAAAGTTCATGTGTTGGAAATTTAATTCCCAATGCAACAGTGTTGGGAGGTCAGGCCTAATAACAGGTGATTGGGTCATTCGGGCAGAGTCCTCATAAATGGATTAATATTATCATGACAGTGGTTAGTTATTTAGAGAGAAGGTGGTTATAAAGCAAGTCTGGCCTATAGTATCTCTCTCTGTATTGTGTACTTGATCCTGCTTCTGCCCTGCCCTTTCACCAAGGGATGGCCTTTGTCAGATGCTGGTACCATGCTCTTGGACTTGCCAGCCTCCAGAACCATGAGCCTAAGAAACTTCTTTTCTTTATAAATTACCCAGTCTGTAGTATCCTGTTACAGTAACCAAAAATGAATATCTATTTATTTTATTTATTTCTGTTATATAGTAACAGAAAGAGAATACCTATTTATTTTATTTTTACTGTGCCTTAAAACTAAATAAATATAGTTAGCATTTAAGTGATCACTTCATGGAAAGTCTACAAGATCCCAGAGAGGCTTTACTCTCATTCACCCCAACAGACATAATCAGGAATTCCTTGACCAGAGGGCCGCAGTTCACTCCAGTAGATATGTGAACCTTTCTCCACAGTTCATACCTCTAAGGGTTGACAGTGCCAGCTTTATGAATAACCCTAGGCTCAAAAGTGACCAAAGGGCAACTATTTGAAGAAAAAGTAGGTGGAGTTTAGGTGTACAAGTTGTAGTATTGTAGGCATGCACTCAGGGCTCTCATGAGGTAAGAAGGAGCTGGGGCTAGAAAACGAAATGCATAAACTGGGGGCTGGGGACTGCTGTCGCTGTGCTGGAATTTCCTGGTGTAGAAATTTGAGAATTCTAAAAAGTTTATATTCTAACTTGGTTTTCCAGCGTTAGCTTCCTCTGAGAAACCAAAATGTAATGTGTTCCTTTGGAATGGAAGTAGGGATAGTGGTGGGGGAGAGGGAAGGGTATTTTGTGAATAAAGGTTGCCTGGCTCAGAATGGGTGGTATGGGAGAAACCGCTCTCAGAAGATATGCAAGATTTTGTTCTACTGTTGCCACAGTTTCTGAAAATGTCTGGGTGGGCCTGGTGCTTACCATTTTATAAGCTCAATGAATATTAAGTAGTGACAAAGATTCTCTCCTTGACCAAACTTTAGTCAGGCTCCTCTAAGCTCTCTTCTCAACTGGGCTTTGACCTTGGGTTTCAGTGTCTGTCCTTCTCAGGCCTGTACTTCTCAGTTTTAGTAGGAATTCTGTTAACTTACCTTTTTTGTTAATTTATTCTATTGATACATAATGATTGTACATTTTCTGGGATATAGTTTAAAGAGAATCCCTCACCATTGATATCTGATCACTCTGGCCCACTTTCAGTAAGTTCAATTGATCAAGAATGCCCCCTTACTCTTGATGTTTCCTCCTAGTAATTTTCTGTCCACTGATCTCCACCCTGCTCCTTGGCTGTAAATCCCCATTTGTTCATATTGTATCTGAAATTGAGCTTATTTTTATAGTGAGGTCTCTTTTCCTCTACTGCAACAGTCCCTGAATAAAATCTGTTTCTACCAATTTAACTACTGCCCAGCTTTGATTTTCTGTGACAGTAGCTCTAACATCTTTATGATTTGGTCATTTAATTGTTAAGCTAATTTGAAGTGGCTTGATGCTTGTGCAAAGCTTACCACATTATTAGACCTTTCTAAATAATGACACAATTTATAAACTGCTCAGAAAAACCAATTCTTGAAAATATTTAAGATTACCATTGAATTCAATTTCAGCAAATAATTTAAATATATTTTTCTACCTCCCTCAAACCATTTTCTTTTGTCTAGAGCCCAAAGAGCTATTTGCTAAAATCAATATAAAATTTGGTTTCAGAATGTTAGAATGACAACATGTGTCTGGAGAGACTATTAGAAATAAATAAAAACAAATGCCTTATCACCACTTAAAGCTGCAATCAGCTCTTTGGTATATGAATCTAATGAGCAGTGGATCTTCTCAGAGCTCTGAGTTTAACTGAAACAAAGCATTGATTTCCTGGCCATGATAATAGCATTCTGAACTTCTCAGGCTGTCAACAAATGTCAGATAATTAGAATATGATTTTAAAATGGAAAATTCCCCAAGATCCTGTATAGGACTCATAGCTAGTTAGTGGCAGAGATTCCTATGTCTCCTGCCTTCACTAGAGCAGTACATCTTGTTAACTTTTAGTCTGGGCTGGAAGTTTAGATATAAACCTACAAATAATTCCAGAAATTGCACCCTATACACAAAGCAGTGGCGATGCTTAAATCAGAATATTTAGAATCCCATAAAGCCAATCTTAAGGGATATGAATCATCACATCTATGTCTCAGCAATCCTGTTGTTCCTCTGTGAGGAATCAATATATCATTCTTTCTTTTCTTGATTATATTTGGAAAATTGGACCTTATAAAACACAACCTGAATTAATCCCCTAAATTGTAAAGCATATCAATAATTTGGTTTTGACTTTTGAAAACAGAAATGCTATTTATCAGATAATTTTTATACAATGTTGATGTTTTAGCAGCTGGAATACAGGGTCAAATACCTGTTTAGAAAATGTGAGCACCTTGTGATATTTGCTTGTTTAAAGATTACTTACACCATACAGACATGGAGCCCCAAACAAATGGTACTCTCTACTTGGTTAGATTTAAGAACAAATCAAAGATCTTCTTTAACAGATTCAAGAACTTGGTGAATGAATTCAAAAACTTTAAATAAATTGTATCTTTAAATGAACAACAATATGAAGAAGTTGTGAGCTTTCTGAAACTAGGAAAAAAATTTCTTAGATTTGTAAATGGGGATATTTATGCCCAAAAAGAATGACAGGGCACTTTTAAAGTAATATCTTTATTGAGATATAATTCACATACTTTAAAATTTGCCCTTTTAAAGTGCATAATTCAGTGTTTTTTTAGTACAGTCACAGAGTTGTCCAATTGCCCTATGTAATTTTAAACATTTTCTTTCTTTCTGTTTTTTCTTTTTCTTTCTTTCTTTTTTTTTTTTTTTTGAGACAAGGTGTTGCTCTGCCACCCTGACTGGAGTGTAGTAGTGCAATCATGGCTCACTGCAGCCTTAACCTCCTGGGCTCAAGCGATCCTCCCACCTTAGCCTCCCAAGTAGCTGAGGCTACAGGCATGCACCACCACACCTGGCTAATTTTTGTATTTTTTGCAGAGATGAGGTTTCACCATGTTGTAGAGGCTGGCCTCCAACTCCTGTGCTCAAGCAATCTGCCCGCCTTAGCCTCCCAAGGTGCTGGGACTGCAGACATAAGTCATGGTGCCCAGCCTAGAACATTTTCATCACCCCCAAAAGAAATCTTATATCTATTACTAGCCCCTGGCAACCACTAATCTACCTTCTATTTGCATGGATTTCCCTATTCTAGAAATTTCGTGTAAATAAAATTGTATAATATGTGGCCTTTTTTGTCTGGCTTCTTTCACTTAGCATGTTTTCAAGTTTCATTAATGTTGTGCCATCTGTCAGTACTTTATTCCTTTTTCAGCTAATAGTATCCCATTTTTGAATATAACACAATTTATCCATTCACCCATCAATGGACATTTGGGTTGTTTCCAGTTTTTGGCTGTTATGCATAATGGTGCTATGAACCTTAGTGTACAAGTTTTTGTGTAGACATATGTTTTCAGTTCTCTTGGGTATATGCTAGGAGTAGAATGACTGGTCGTGTGGCAATTCTATTTTTAGCTGTTAGATGGACTGCCAGACTGTTTTCTAAAGTAGCTGCACCATTTTACAATCCCACCAGGCATGCTGAGGGTTCTGATTCTCTACATCCTTGCCAACACTTATACTGTCCATCTTTTTTATTATAGCCATTCTTGTGGGTATAAAGTGGTATCTCCCTGTACTTTTGATTTGCTGTTCACCAATGAATAATGATGCTGGACATCTTTTTATGTGCTCATTGGCCATTTGCATATCTTATTTGAATAAATATATATTCAAATTTGTGGTAGGCTGAATAATGCCCCTCACCTCAAGAAATTTATGTCCCAATGCCTGGAACCTGTGAATATGTTACTTTATATGGCACAAAAGACCTTTCAGATGTAATTCAGTTAAGGATCTTGAGATGAGGTGACTTTCTTGGATTATCCTGGGGTGTCCAATATAATCACAGGAGTCCTTATAAAGAAGAGTTAGTAGAGTCATAGTCAATGAAGAGATAGGATGATGGAAGTAAAGGTTGGATGGAGAAAAGGGTTATGAGCCAAGTGATTCAGATGGCCTTTTGAAGTTGGGAAAAGGAAAAGAAACAAATTATCCCATATAGTCTCTGGGGTTCCCCTGTCAACATTCCAAGTTTATCTCAGTGAGTCTGATTTTGGACTTCTGACGTCCAGAACTATAGGATAATAAATTCGCATTATTTTAAGTCACTAAGTTTGTAGTAATGTGTTACAGCAGCAATAGAAAATAATACGAAATGATTGATCATTTTTAAATTGGGTTATCTTCTTATTGTTGAGTTGTAGGAGTTTTATTACACATTCCGGATACAAGTCGTTTATCAGGTATATTATTTGCAAGTATTTTCTCTCATTATGTGGGTTATCTTTTAACTTCTTGATAGTGTCCTTTGAAAGCACAAAGTTTTTAATTGACGAACTCCAAGTTATCTATTTTTTCTTTGTTGCTCATGCTTTTTGTGTCATATAAAGAAACCACTTCCTAAACCAAGATCATAAAGATTTACTCCTACATTTTCTTCTAAGACTTTTATAGTTCTAGTTCTTACATGTAGGTCTATGATCCCATTTAATTAATATTTGTCTACAGTGTGAGATGGGAGCCAATTACATTCTTATGCAGGTATATATCCAGAAGTCTTGATAGAATTTGCTAGAGAAAAAAAAAAAAACAAAAATCCAACGAGTCATGTTTGCCACAAAGTTATTAATATTTCGGTCAACTCATAGGTGGATTTCCTTTATTGGAATATATGGCAGTTGACAGAAATAGGAAAACTCCAGCTGCGAAAGACTACTTGTGGGTGCCTGATGTTCTACCAGATGTGCAGCTGAAATTATTCTTCTTGTATAGAAATTTTCTTGTGTAACATAATACTAAATTGTTGGGGACTTGTCGATTGCCAGTCACCACAGAACCACTTGCTAGGTGATTTTCTTCTTGTCCAAGTACTCTATAAATACAATTAGGGCTGATATTATGGACAGAGAAAATCAAAAGAGAGGGTTGTTACCCTTCAATACTTTTCACTTTTGTTGGGAGAGATGGAAAAAATAATCCTTAAGAATGAGTCCATTGAGATTTGCATCATACATCTTTCTAAAGAGAGCGCTGGTATCATTTATACTAGGTAATAAAGTCTCCCTTCTCATGAAGGTCTTCCTGTTCAGAGCAACAGCTGGGCTTGTATCCTGCTTTGACCCCCAAAACAATGATGAAATAAATGTTTACTTGGATTTGGAAGCACTAGAAGTCTCTGCCTTTGAATAAAACATTTACCATGATCATAGTCATTTAGTGCAACAATCAGTTGGGGTACAGTGGAAATTGACAGGTTGGATGTTGTGACTTGTGGGGTTTTTTTATTTGCAATCACCCAAACTCATGACAGTTCAGTATGGAGAGGTACTCTAAGAATTTAGCAATCTCTTATGCTATTTCCACTTCCTAGAAATCTTTCATTTTCTTAAACAATTGGTAAGTGGGTCTTGGGAATAAGTGTCAGACTGTGATGCCTGGAAGTTACTCCCTTTCCTCTGTTTGGTGCTTCTCATTTGCACAGAAAACAAAAAACAAACAAAAAAACCAAGCTGAGCTTTATCTTTTCCATTTCTAAGCCTTCATCTCGTGATGATTACCAATCATTTTTCTTCCTTCTTTTCCTCCCCTCTCTGTGTTTCCTTTTCCTCCCCTCCCCTTCTGTCTTTCTCATCGTGTTCTTATTTTAAAATCATCACTGAGTTAGTGGATATACATTAATGAAAAAGCAAAAAAATGAATTGACAAAGGACAGCCAAAGGACAACGTTGTTGTTTATACACAAGAACTGCATTCTTGAAACATTCGTCCTTGACCTCTCAACTTTGTCAGTACAGTCAAACCTCAGTATAATCATTATTCTTGTTTGAAATAAACATGTATGTTGTCTTGGTTTTTATGAGGACAAAGACAACCTTACCTGTAAACAGACACAGAAGTAATAAATGAAGCAATGGATTTAAAGAAAAGAAAACTTCTTTTTTTTTATATCTTGTCTGGGAGTAGAAATGATTATGCTGAAGGCTAAGAGATTAAATTGTGTCACTTGTCAGGAAATTGGCAAGCAGCCATCTTTTCTGCCTGTTTCTACATGGTGCTTTTGTGCTGTGGATGCCTTTAATAAACGCACTCTTGTGTAAAATGTCATTGCTGCATTGCCAAGTGGAGGCTGTCATGTGATAGCTCTTCCCCATGATGACATATCAATATTGGTCCCTGGCAATTCTAGGACTTCAAACTACACAGAGGGCATTTTTATAATTCAAATACAAGTGAAGAAATAAAAATCATTCTTCATATCATGGATGTATATCTATTTTGCTCTGAAAGAAAACCTAATGTTCTTTTCAAATACTGCTTAAAGATAGGTAACGCTGGCCAGGCGCGGTGGCTCACGCCTGTAATCCTAGCACTTTGGGAGGCCGAGGCAGGTAGATTGCCTGAGGTCAGGAGTTCAAGACCAGCCTGGCCAACATGGTGAAACCCCGTCTCTACTAAAAATGCAAAAATTAGCTGGGCGTGGTAGCAGGCGCCTGTAATCCCAGCTACTCACGAGGCTGAGGCAGGAGAATCGCTTGAACCCAGGAGGCGGAGGTTGCAGTGAGCCAAGATCGCACCATTGCACTCCAGCCTGGGTGACAAGAGTGAGATTTCATCTCAAAAAAAAAAAAAAAAAAAAAAGATAGATAATGCTATCAAATTTTAATGACTACTCTAGAAGACAAAACACAAATGACGAGTAACATTTTTTAAAAGTTTCATCTTACTCTTAATCAAGTAAATGCAAAGCAAAGCAGGGAAATATACCATTGTTTGCCTTGGACATACGTGTATGCCAAAATTACATATGTGAAACCACATGCAACACTGACAACATATTGCAAAGTAGGACCTCTCCAACATTGTTGGTAAAAGTAAAATTTGGTAGAATATTTCTGGAAAGAAATTTGGTAACATGCATCAAAAGGTTTTAAAATGTTCATTCTATCAGGTTCAGAAATTCTATAGTAGAAATATATACTAAGGAAATAATGAGGTACAAGGTTAATAATGTTTTCCAAAAGATGTCCATATATTTAAAATGCTCATAAACTGAAAATAAATTCCAAACAATGTGAATGGCTAAATATGCTACTTTATAGCAATTAAATTATTTGCAAAGGCTTTTTTACTGATACAGGGAAAGGTCTCTGAACTAAGGTTAAGCGAAGTTAAACAAAAATTAAATATCATATAGAGTATGATCTAAACTAAGTTTAAAAGGCAAAAAATATCAGAAAGACATGTACAAAAATGTTACTAGTGATTAGCTTTGTGTAGTGCAAAAATGAAAGTGCTGTGTTTTGCTTAGTCTTTGTCTACTCTTCTTTATTTTATATTTATTACACAAAGGACAAATATCACGGCCATAAACACACATACCCGAAAAGTTCTATTTAAAAAGAAGTTCTATCAGAAAATGGTCACTGTTCAGAGAAATTCATCTAAACCGCCATGTGCTCTTCTTGCCTTGCCTCTTGACTTAGCCCTCATCTCACATTTTCCCTGCAGTTTCTGGCTGTCTCCCTCACTCCAGCTCAGATTCACATCTCCAGCCAGTAGAGGGAAAACAGGTCTCAGTCTCCATCTCTGCTGTCCCTCCACCCGAGGGACTAGATTCCTCCCTTTTACTGGCGTGGGTCCACCTCTTGCTTTTGATTGATTGTGCTTTGGCCTCTTGCCTTTAGGTATTAGAAAGTCCCAAGTCCAATCATGAGGCCTGATCAGTGTTTCTGAAGTTTTGGGTGTGACAGTATTACCGGAGACCTGCAACAGCAAGCTACTCTGCAGCCCAGTTTAAGGGAATTTTAGGGTCCAGAATTTATATGTCTATATTAGTTTCTTGTTGTTACATGACAATTTACCACAAATTAATCAGTTTAAGACAACATATACTTATTATCTCAGAATTTCAGCAGGTCAGGAATCTAGACGTGACTCAGAGGAGTCCTCTACTTTGGTATCACGAGGCTGCATGCACTGATGTGTCAGCTGGACTGTATTCATTTTGGGAACTTGGGGTTCTCTTATAAGCTCATGTAGCAATCTGCAGAAATCAATTCCTTGTGACTGTATGTCTGATGTCTTCTATCTTGCTAGCTGTAGCCTGGGGACTTACTTAGTACGTAAAGGATGCCTTCAGGTCCTTACTACACAGCCCCCCATAGGTTCTTTAACAACATGGAAGTTTGCTTCATCCATGCCAGTAAGAGAATCTCTCTGTTTTTAAAAGTCTCATTACATGGGTCAGTCTGAATCAGGATAATCTCCATTTTGATTAAATCAAAGTCAAATGATTAGGGGACTTAATTACATCTGTGAAGTCCCTTTTGCCATATAAAGTAGCATAATCATGGAATTGAATCTGATCATATTCACAGGTCCTGTCCACATTCGAAGGAAAGGGATGTAGGTTATTAGGGGGCATCTTAGAATTTTGCCTACCACACTGTCCATCCCTGGCTGCCACAGACTTGTGGCTGAGGTTCAGCATTCTGCTAAATAGCTGGCTCTATAGATAACAGAGTTGTATTGCAGGCCTTGCCTTTTACATAACTCCTTTACAAACACTATTTCATGTAATCTTACTATATCTTCTTGAGATATATGTTCCTATCTCCAATGTACCAGTGAGGAAACTGAAGAACATAGAGCTTAAAAAGGGGCCCAAAGTCACATAGCTAGGAAGTAGTACCTGAAACCTTGGTCTTTGACTCCAAATATTGTGTTCTTTCTCCTATATCTCTTTTATGAGAAGTTGTTCTTTCAGGAGAAAGAACAACTAAGACTGGAGCTTGATTTGAAGTCTGGTCTACTTAGGGAGGAAGTCACTTCTCACTTTATCTGTGCCTTTAGTCTGCACTGTCACTTTATATTGGCTATGATTTCGCACACACAGGAAGGTTTTTCATAATGATTCCAGGGTTCCTAGAATTGTTTCCTAGAAAATTACCACAAACCGGCTGGGTACGGTGGCTCACACCTGTAATCCCAGCACTTTGGGAGGCTGAGGTGGGCGGATCACAAGGTCAGGAGTTCGAGACAAGCCTGGCCAACATGGTGAAACCCTGATTCTACTAAAAATACAAAAATTAGCTGGGTGTGGTGGCGGGCACCTGCAGTCCCAGCTACTCAAGAGGCTGAGGCAGAAGAATCGCTTGAACCCAGAAGGCGGAGGTGGCAGTGAGCCGAGATTGCGCCACTGCACTCCAGCCTGGGCGACAGAGTGAGTCTCCGTCAAAAAAAAAAAAAAAAAGAAAGAAAGAAAGAAAGAAAATTACCACACACTTACACACTTACCAACTTGAAACTATTTCTATTTATTAGCTCACTATTGGTGTATGTCATAAGTCTAGCACAGCGAGGCCAGAATCTCTGCTTAAGTTCTCACAAGGCTGTATCAAGATGTCAGCTGAGCTGCATTCTCATCTCAAGGTTCAGGGTCTTCTTCCGAGCTCATGTGGTTGTGTCAGAATTCAGTTCCTTGAGTTTGTGGGACTGAGGTCCCTGCTTCATTGTTGGCTGTCAGCCTGGGGGCCTCTGTCTGCTCCTAGAGACCATTCTCATTCTTTCTCACATGGCCTCCTTCATTTTCAATCCAGCAACAACGTGTCAAGTACATCACACATCTTTAACTTCTGCCACCAGCCTGAGAAAAGTCTCCACTTTTAAGGGCTCATGTAATTAGACCAGGTTCACATGTATATTCTCCCTATTTTAAGGTAAATTATACCATATAAAAATCATAGGAGTGACATCTCATCATAGTCACAGGTTCTATGGATTATGGTATAGAATCTTGGGGAGTGGCATTTTTATTTTTATTTTTATTTATTTTGAGATGGGGTCTCGCTCTGTTGCCCAGGCTGGAGTGCAGTGGTACGATCTCAGCTTACTGCAACCTCTGCCTCCCTGGTTCAAGCCATTCTCCTGCCTCAGCCTCCTGAGTAGCTGGGATTACAGGCGCCCACCACAACACCCCGCTAATTTTTGTATTTTTAGTAGAGATGGGGTTTTACCATGTTGGCCAGGCTGGTTTTGAACTCTTGATCTCAAGTTATCCACCTGCCTCAGCCTCCCAAAGTGCTGGGATTACAGGCATGAGCCATCGCGCCTATTCGTGAGTGGCATTTAGAATGATGCTTACCACAGTGGGTCTTTTTTTTTTTATTTTTTATTTTTTATTTTTATTATACTTTAAGTTTTAGGGTACATGTGCACATTGTGCAGGTTAGTTACATATGTATACATGTGCCATGCTGGTAACAGTGGGTCTTTTAAGCGTCGTTGTTGTTTTTCTGCATTATAGCTTAGAAGATAAAAACATGGACACTGGAGTCAAACTGCTTACATTCAAATTCTGGCTCCAATATTTACTAGCAGTACAAACTTAGGGAAGTTGCTTAACCTACCAGTTCCTCAATTTTCTTATCTGAAAAATGGATAATAAATAATAGTGTGAATTTTATTGAGTCATTTAACACTTTAAATGAGCTAATGTGCCAGAAAATGACTTGGCACATTGTAAGCACTGTGTTGGTCTTTATTATTAGGATTATTATTATTGATCTGATTATTACATAACCACTAATTTAGAGTTCAGATTTACTACTCTCCTTGGAGCAAACCCATCACCTTATTTCTGTGGACCTTAGTTTCTCTGTAAATGTTAGTGTTATTTAACTGTCAAAAATATAATTTATGTCTTAGTCTGTTGGGCTATTATAAAATAAAATATCATAAACTAAATGGCCTATAAACCAAGGCACTGGCAGATTTGATGTCTAGTGATGGCCCTCTTCCTGGTTCATAGATAATGCCTTTAGATATGTCCTCACATAAAGGAAGGGGCAAGGAAGCTTTTATGAGGGCACTAATATAAGCCAGGGCTTCTTTTACAGAGACATGCAGGAGTACTCCACCTTCAAAACCTAATCATCTCTCAAAGGCCCCACCTCCTGATATCATTACATTGGGGATTAGCTTTCAACAGATGAATTTTGGGAGGATACAAATATTAAGGCCATAGCAATTTATAATGTAAAGGTACATTTTAAAGAAATTTAAGTGTCTCTAACTCAAAGGAAACACCAAGGATTTGTTTACATAAAAGAAAACTGTGTTTAATTTATAGGGGTTTTTTTTAAGCAAAGGAAACATAGCAGATTCAGTGGCTTACATTATAAACTTGAGAATAGAAGTACAGAACCGTTTTTTGCACCATACCTATTTTTTAAAAATGGTCTTTAATTCCATGTTATGACCAAGAGAAAAAAAAGTATGTGAAAAATAGGGACAGGAAACTTAGGGAAGAACACACAGGGTGAAAGGAGACTGCAGAAGGAAATGTAGAAGGTATAATAGGAAAGGGGATAGAGAAGAAAAGGAACAGAGGCAAGAGGAGAGGAAAAACTGCTTAGAGACAGAGAGGGAAGGTAAGGAGAAAGGGGAAAACGGTGGTAAAATTTATTGAGCACCAATTATGTGCCTGCCATAGCTAAGGAGTTCGGTTATCTCACCTCAGAACATCTCAGTGAAGTAGGTATTATTGTCACCACTTTACAAATGAGAAAATAGCTATTAAGTGAGTTTAACTTGTGTCCAAGGTCAACTGTGTTACATACAGAAGTTAGAACCCACATCTTTCCAGAGCTAATTACAATGTCCTTCTCCCATGTCCTTAAGGACTAATGGTGAGATAAAACATACTCCTCATGGCTTGTTGGTCCAACCTCAGTGTTCCTGTCACACTGAGAAAAGACTTAGTCTGACTTAGTTGAGGCGATGGTGTTACTGTCTCTTAGCACTACCTAATAATCTTAATTATTTGAGTCAGGACATTTGGATTTTAGTTAAATAGGATCCCCAAATGATTTATGCCTCAGGATAAGTCACTCCTCTGAGCTGCAGAATCCCACTCTATAAAATGTATGTCTTGGACTAGACCACCTGCCAAATACTGAAAATTATTAGCTGTCTTCACATAGGCAAAGGCTGTAATGTGGATTGGGGAGAAGGTGAATTTTGCTGCTCTAGTTAGAAGCACTGTACAAAGTTTTGCAGGTTGTTTATTGTACAACCTTAGTAGGCAATATTCATATACACAGTCATAGGCCATGGCCCTGGCTCCAGGAAGCCAAAATAAAGACCAATGGGTAGAGGCCAAAAAAAGGGAAATTGTGGCTCAATAGAAAAACAGCAAACTCTGTTATGTTCAGAATTACCTCTTAACATTGTGAAAGCTTTACCTTTGGGGGTTTTTAGGCAGAGACCACATGATGTAGGGATTCTACCAACACATGAGATTTTAGAGAATACCTAAGCGACATTCAGAACTGGATTTTTAATGTGGTCAAAGCTAGCTGGGTGATCTTAAAATCATTAAGCCTTAATTTTCTGAATCCTTATTATTATGGCCACAATAATAGTACCTACTTATATGGCTACTGAAGTAGAAGATTGTGTGTGTGTGTGTGTGTGTCTACATCTGACATCTCTGTATCTTAGCACAATGTCCTGCACATGATAAAATGTCAAGAAATGTTAGCTTTCATTATCAATATTATCTTTTCAACTACGAATGAATGAAGTTTCTAGCACAGCAGAACTTTGCTTTACCTCTGTAGGCATGGGGCTGCCACCATGTTTGCAGGCAAAGAATGCTGGCATTCTCAGAGATATCACTTTTCATTCTTAATTGTAGAGCAAACATATATAAACATATAACATAAAATCTATTTCAAGCTTAGAGCCAGAATTTGGTTAAAGGGTGGAGGTTCTCCCCATCTTGTAGCTAAACAGAGTGGTGAAAAATTATGATTATGGCCCGCCATAATGATAATTTAGAGATAATTTCTAAATTATCCTCTAACAAATCTATTTCTAAACTTTAAAAATAGAGCTTCTTTAGGGTCCAGTGTTAGCAAACAGAATCCCCACGATGACTCATAGAATTACACAGCATCTTTTTCAAACCTTTCACTCTAGTGGGGATATGTCCTCATTCAGAAATTAATTTAGTTAATTCAGCTTAAAAATTCTGTTGTCAAAAAGCTTATTTCATGTGGGAGTATCTTTTTTGTTGAAAAAAGATGCACATTTACCTGAAAAAAAAAAAAATGTGATTCTCTTCATCAAGCTGTAAACATGCAGCTGTCAAAAGTAATCACTACATCAGAAAAACTGGATAAGGAATAAAAGTATCTTTGGTTGATTCATAAGAAAAACAGCAAAGTAGCTTATATGCTTAATGAAAAAACAGACTGAGGAAGTGCTATGAAGCTTACATTTCGCTCCTTAAGTCACAGTCCTCAATGTGGCTCCATGCACGCTAAAGTCATTCTTACCTACAGGACTTCACTTGCTTTATTTAATAAGACTCCGTCCTTGATTAAATTTGAATCAGGCTTCTCTGGGTCCTATTCTCAATTAGGCTTTGACCTTAGGCTTTTTATTTGGCCTCGTTAGCCCAGTTTTACCAAGAATCCTGCTGAGTCAGTTTATGAAAAATTTCTCTCCCTTGGTATCCGATCAAATTCCTTATCCCATACCCTTGATAATTTATCAGCTTGGCCTGCCTTCAACAAGAATCCTGCCAAGTCCCTTCAGCCAGAATTCCCCTTACCCTTGACGTTTTCTCTCAGTAATTTTCCATGCACTAACTGCCACCCCCCACTCCACAGCTCTTTGGCTATACATCTTCACTTATGCTTTCTGTATTCAGAGTTAAGACCAATAACTCTCCTCCACTGCAAAATCTCCATTGCAGTGAACCCTCTTGAATAAACTCTTCCTTACAGTCATTAACAAGTGTCATAAATATTTTGTATTTCACATATCCTTCCTATCTTACCTCCCACAATAATTTTCACTTCTCCCTCTTCTCCACTTTATTTATTTACTTACTCAAAAATTCATTTCTTCAGCAAGAGTTTATTGAGCCAGTTATACATATGTAACTGCTTGGCCTGAGGGGATTTACAACCTAGCAGGGGTGCTAAAAGTGACATTAGGGCATGTTATTCTTCCTGAAAAATCTCTCCTAATTTTTCCAACCTATAGTGCCTTTTAGCTAAGGTTTTGATCCCATAGCATTTTATGTTATTTACCCCATGAGGGTAACTCTTATTTCCCACAATTAAGTTCCTTAAAGAAAGTAGCCCAGCTCAAGCAGCTACTACTCTCTATCACTGAGAAGTACCTGGCTGCACTCCCTCCACCAACCTAAACTCACCATGTGCCTTTTTTTTTTTTTTTTTCTTTTTTGCTTTTTGAGACATGGACTCACTCTGTCACCCAGGCGGGAGTGCAGTGGCATGATCTCAGTTCACTGGGATCAAGTTCAAGCCATTCTCCTGCCTCAGCCTCCAGAGTAGCTGGGATTACAGGTACCCACCACCATGCCCAGCTACTTTTTGTATTTTTAATAGAGATGGGGTTTGGCTATGCTGGCCAGGCTGGTCTCAAACTCCTGACCTCAAGTGATCCATCTGCCTTGGCCTCTCAAAGTGCTGGGATTATAGGCGTGAGCCACTGAGCCAGGCCATCCTGTGCTCTTCATCCAGATGAAGCTGCTTTCCCTTTTTTTCTGAGGGACAACTTGTTCTTTTCTCTGTGTTCCCACTTAGATTTGTAGGGTTAGTGGACTCAGAGGAAACCTTCCCAGGGAATGGTTTTTTTAGACTCTTTTTCCCTCTCTAAACGCCTAGAGAAAGCCCTATAAATGGTTGCCGAATATGAGAATACATACAATATCTACAACGTTGCTTTACTTGCTAATGCTACTTATAGTGTATCCTTTTGATAATTATATTATTTGCCCGTTAGTTCATATTTATGTTCTTTCCAACTAGACTGAAGGCCTCATCCAAACAAAAGATTTATCTTCATCCCCTCCTCACAGTGCCTGGCCCAATGTTCAATGTGGTACCTACCAACGAACACAAATCAAACACTACTGAAATTCAATCAGTAGCAAAAGATCTGCAAAGTCATTTCAGGAAGCTTGCCTTAAAAATCTCTTTCAAGTACAGAACTTTTGTAGAATTATTATTCTTCAAAGGTACAAATGTGTCTCATTGATGCAGCAGATTTACTTTCAAAATCATTCTAATGTTTCAGATCTTTACCTGAGTCTGCCATCCTCTGCTGCAGCACCTCCTGGTATAATCTTCGTAATAAATATGCCAGGGTCATCTCCAATGTGGGGATTATCTGTCCCCCCAGCAATACTGAATCCCAGGCCAGAATTCCCCTATAGAAACAAAAAGCAGATATTAAATGATGTGTCTGTCACCTAAAACCTAGTTCCTCTTGCACTCTGCATTATCATGTTACTACTCAAATGGAAATCAGGTGACAACAGTCTTGTATGCTAAATCATAAAGTGCACAGTTAGCAGACAAAGGAAGGTCAGGAAAAACACTGAGGTTTATTCCTGCACTGTAAGAATGCAAGAGCATTATATTTTTCTTTTAAAAATTGCTTCCTTTATGCAGCAATTAAAATCACATTTATGAAGCAGGAAATAAAAACTTACAAATTGTGTAATATGAAAAAATATAAAGAATCATTAGAGTGTCAACTGTAAAAATTATACATTTATATGAAAGAGGAAGAAAAAAGTTACATGAAAGAATTTGATTTAATAGAAGAGTGAACTTGGGTGTTTCATTTTCTTATTTCTGGTATTGTTGTTCTAATATCACTTATCTGTCAAATAATGTGTTTCTAAGTAAAGAAAACTTCCACTTCAGAAGACAAGGCCCCCTTCTAGAATCATAATACATGAGAGATACTTTTGAACAATAAACAGGCTTTAATTTGCAATAGCAATAGAAAAGGCATGCAATAGTGCAGCAGCATGGAAATCTGAGTAGCTTCTATTCTAATAAAGCCTTTACACTTACTCCTGTAGATTATAGTAACTGATATCCTGTGGGTGTGTATATATATATACATATATACATATATATACATACATCGCTTTCTAAAGATATATATATAAGGATATATATATCTAAAGAGATATATATATCTAAAGCGATATATATATATCTAAAGAGATATATATATCTAAAGCGATATATATATATCTAAAGAGATATATATATCTAAAGCGATATATATATATCTAAAGAGATATATATATCTAAAGCGATATATATATATCTAAAGAGATATATATATCTAAAGCGATATATATATATCTAAAGAGATATATATATCTAAAGCGATATATATATATCTAAAGAGATATATATATCTAAAGCGATATATATATATCTAAAGAGATATATATATCTAAAGCGATATATATATATCTAAAGAGATATATATATCTAAAGCGATATATATATATCTAAAGAGATATATATATCTAAAGCGATATATATATATCTAAAGAGATATATATATCTAAAGAGATATATATATATCTAAAGAGATATATATATCTAAAGCGATATATATATATATAAAGGATATATATATCTAAAGAGATATATATATAAAGGATATATATATCTCTCTCTCTAAAGGATATATATATCTTTCTAAAATTTGTATGTAAGGCATAATTAAAAGTCCCCCCAAATCCACAAACCATATTGTTTATTTCTTATTTCTATAGTCTCCTTTACTCCCCATCTCCCATCTCCACAGCTACATATGTTTTCATGGTTGTGTTGTAATTTTTTCCAAATCACATTATATTTTATGCCCTTTCTGTATAGCTAGGCAGTCTTTATAAATATTCGTCTTAAATGGCTAGTCATGTTTCATCAAGGTCACATATTACTTATTTAACCAGTCCCTTGTCACTGGATATTAAATTTCTCTACATATTCTTACAAAAAATATAGCTTACTAAATTTATGATCATTTGATTAATTTCCACTCTTGGGTAAAAAGAGATGAGGACTATGAATTCAGTAGTTATTTCAGAAAAAGTAATTAGGGTGCTTGATTAGTCAGAAAGGTTCAATGTCAAGATAAGATCAGCTATAACTTGACACCTATACCACTGCAAATGTCAAGGTAATGTTTAGCAATTCTTATTGACTAAATTTATAAAACTGATTTCCAGAGGGTTGTTTTTACAATTGTATATTTATTACATATGTTGAAAGGGTGAAATGAATAATTCAGCTATGGCAACTAAAATCTCATGTGTTTATACTTCTGATGTTTTCTCTAATTCTGTTTGCTCTTTGAAAAAGTCCAGTGTTCACTGAACAGAGTTATTACTTATTAGCACTCATATAATCATGAATTTATTTAATATTTATTAAACACCACCTCTGTACCTGGCACTAGACTAAGCCCTGGAGCTACAGGAGTAAGTATGTCAGTTTATAAGGCACATGAAGGGGAAATGCAGAGTGTAGGAGTGGGTAGGAGAACCAAACACAGTGACCTGGTGACATAGAGAAGAACATTTTGACATAGAGGGAAGAACTTGTGTAAAAGCCCTTAGGTGAGAAAGGGTATGCCACACCCAAGGAACAGACAATAAAGTTGGAACAAAGAAAGCAAGAAGAATTGGATAGATGTACCTTAATCATGAAATTGACAAGAGCAGAGTGTACGAGAAACCATTTTGGATTTTAAATACTTACTGACACCAAATGACTGTGTTAGTATTGGTTGAGCATTTCGTATGCAACTGACTCTAAACTAAGACTGCAGAGGTTAAGGCCAGATGGTTTCTGCCTTCATGGATATTCAAAGCATAGCAAAAAAAAGCAATAATACTCTGGCATCTAGTGATCAGTATATTTCACGTACTGTATAACCTCAACTGCATTGTCAAGTATGTAGCCATGGAGATAGTGTTTAGGGGACTTAATGAGGCAGTTCTCTAAGATCCAGAGGTTTGGGAAGAAAAAATGGGAGGATGAGTATTTTCAATGTAATTTGGGTCAAGCTCTAAGTACATCAACTAGAGTATATTGGTCTCACTGTAGTTAGCATCTCAGGGATAATAATGTCTTGATTAATGAGAGTAGGGAAGGAGGCAAGCAGAGATTGGGAGATACCCAAATGCTTTCTCCTGATACTGTCAACATGTTTGGAGAGGGTACTCAAAACTTTGTCCTGTGAGAAAGATATTCGTGATCTAACTCTTAACCTTGTCAACTTTATTTCCAGCTTCACACTTTACCCCCCAGGAACAATGAAGTGAACTGCAGGCTCTTTACTGCACAGACCTCACTATAATTCATCTATTGGTGTTTATTTATGCTGTTTTCTCTACCAGAAACTTCACATCGCCTTCTTGACTATTTCAATTCTTCGCATTTTTGAAGATGTGGCTCAGACGGTGTCTGCTCAAATTAATACTAAATTATCACCCAACCCTTCTCTAGATAGATCACATTTCTGTGTTTTTGCAGGTTTTTATGCTTACTTACATTATGCATTGTGTTATTTTGTAGTTGTCTGTTTCTGAGTCTGTCTTTCCTTTAAACTGGGCTTGTAGAAGGCAGGAACTGTGTAGTATTCATCTTTGTTTTTTTGGAGCCTTGTCTAGCACATAGTATTGACAATAAATACTTGATGAATGAAGTAACAGAAAAACAAGCCTACTGAGAATGTTTGTGCCCTAACAGGAAGACTCAAAAAGGCCACAATAGAAATCCACAATGTGTTAAGGAATACAATATGGAAGTAGAAGCCATTTTGCTCTGTGTCATTACAAGAATAAAAAAGTAGAAAGCTCAGGCATTCAAACTGTGGTGCAGCTAAAGGCTGACTAATAAGACACAACTGTTCAGATTGGAGATGCACTACTCTGTAAGGGATAGAGGATCCTTCACTCAGGAGGTATTTGGCTAGTCACTGGGCGTGAAGGACCCAGGCATTTATTGAAAGGTTAAACTGGATGATTTTAAAGGATTCTTTTGGGACTCTGGCTAGATATAGGAAGTCTGCTCTTGCCAACAGAGAAAAGGGGATGTTTTAGGGACATTTAGTGGGGGAAGTAGATCACTGTCAAATTCTTGGAACTTAGTCTGTGAATCAATATGTCTTTGAAATAATAGCTTTGATAACAACCTAGAAACATTTAACCACTGTTTTTCTTTTGAATTGACTACAATATGGAGAAAACTGTGGCTCTGGCATTTTCTAATATACATTCCCCTGTCCCCAGACCCACTCTGAGGAAAAGAATGAATATATTTAGGAAATTTACAGTGGAAACTAGGTAGGTAGAGACAGAATGTAACTTGCCCTGTGTTTCTGGTCCCAAAGCATCCCTGAAAGCTTTTGTGTTTCAATTAAAACTAGTCTACCAGCTGGGTCTGGCCAGTCATCATGGTTCTTTACAAGAGATTCATCTGAATTCAGCTAAGGAAATGATTTAAAGAGCTTTCACCTCCCTTTATTGTTCTCTTCCAGCCTTCCCTTTTAAGTCTTTGCTACCAGCCAGCAGCATTTAGCAGAGAGAGGGACAGATGCAAAAGTGTCATTGAAATTGCTGCCTGCTGCTCTCTATGGCTGAATCACTTCAATCCCCTGACAATTGTCCCAGAGCCTGCCAGCTGCAGGGACAGATCTCAGCTCCTCTCTTCTCTGAGCAGCAATCTCTCCATGTGAACAGGCAGACCCCTGGTTGACACTCTTAGATCCTGAAAATTGTGACTAATTAACCGAGTGTTGATCCCTGATGCAGTCAATGGAAACTTCAAGGTGCCATGCTGGTAAGGGCAGACCCTGTAAAGGATTCTGGGTGGGCTGCTGTGTCCTTGCAGTTGGGAAGATTCCATGACAGATGAATGTCACTGACATGGACCATTCTTTCTCTTAATTGTTCATATTTGCTGACTCTTCCCCACGAGCACAAACCCATTTTCTAGCCAAATGACACTTCTTGTTTCATGTACTGCACACCATCTCCTCTCAGAGAGAGAATCCACCAAAAGGAAAGACATTTCACAAATATAAATATAATGTCTCTGGGAAAGCCCCACTTTTATTAAAAGTTTATTTCCCAAATGAAAATTTCTCTCAAAATGGGGTTATATATAATAAAAAAGAGGAAAATAAGTAGTAATATTATAATCACATTCATTTATATATAATGTTGTACCGACAATGATTTTTTTTTGATTTTTAGAATTTTTCTACTTTAAAATACTGTTTGACCTGATCATTCGATTCTAGGATTTTATCCTAAAGAAATAATCAGAGAAACATGAAAAGATTTGTGTTCAAGGTTTGTTGCATTATTTTTCTAGTGTTAAAAAAACACAACTGAAAACTGACATCCATATCATGGAGAAATGGTTAAAATATTGTGGTACATTTATCTGAATGTGGGGATAGTTTGGAGTCATTAAAATTGTAGTGCTTTTCAATAATAAAGACATGGAATTAACCCAGGTGACCATCAATGGTGGACTGAAAGAAAATGTGGTACATATATACCATGGAATACTACACAGCCATAAAAAAAGAATAAAATCATATCCTTTGCAGCAATATGGATGCAGCTGGAGGCCATTAAACTAAGTAATGCAGAAACAGAAAACCAAACACTGCATATTCTCACTTATAAATGGGAGCTAAACATCGGGTACACATGAACATAAAGATGGGGACAATAGATACTGGGAAATATAAGAGGGAAGAAGGAAGGAAAGGGAAAAAGGTTAAAAAACTACCTATCTGGTACTATGCTCACTTGTTAGGTGATAGGTTCAATTGTATTCCAAACCTCAGCACCACATGATATAACTTTTTAATAAATGTGCACATGAACCCCCAGAATCTAAAAGTTATAAATTAAAAATAAAATTTTAGTGCTGTTAATAAAAACGGAAAATGTTGATTATATAAATATGAGAAAAAAGTGACATTTTAATTACAGTATGATTGCCACTGAAGACATTTAAAATGACTTAATTTTAACAAGAAAATTACTAACTTTAATTAATAATAGTAAAATTGCTTAAATAATTTAAACTACATAAGAAGGAGATTTTAAAAAATTATAAAGCCCCTAGTAAAATACTAAAAGCATTATTAAGGGAACTAACATTTATTGCATGCTTATTCTATGCTAAACACTAATCTATGTTTCTTACAATTTCCTATGTGGTAGATTGTATTATTCTCTTTTTATATATTAGAATGAAAAACAAACAACAAGCAAACAAACAAAAACTGAGGCTGAGAGGAGTGAAGTAACTTACTTAAAGACGTGAAGCAAGTAAATAGTGAATTCAGATTTAAAAGTAATTCTCAGACTTCAATTACTATTTTCTTTCCATTATATCACATTGTCTCTTCTGAATTCAAAAACTAATGCAATGGTAGGGAAGTAATACAAATTTTAGTTATAAGGAACCGCTTCATTGGATTTTTGGAAAAGATTTAAACTTCTATCAGTATCATGAAAATATTTCAAAACATTTCTAATAAAGTGATACGGTTTAGTGGAAAAACATAGATCTGGGTCGTTTTAACCTGGGTTTGCACACTGGCTCTGCCATTGACATCTGCATGGTATTGGATACATTTTGAAACTAGACTTTGAGTCTAGTTTCATCATCTGTCAAATGGAGATAATGAGATGAATTCAAATGACACAGGCACCAGCAAGTGCTAAGCACAGCACATGGGTGATGATCAAGCAATGTTAGTTCAATTCCTTTGGTTTGATGCATAGCACTGTTTAAAGGGTCCTTACGAGTTTGAGGACAGTAAGGGAGAACAGATGTCAAACAATGTATTCTTTAATTCATGCCTTATTTATTGATCCAACAAGTATGGATTAATGCATTTTAACCTACACTGATAATATATGTTACTTTTCTTTGTTAAAACAAAACTTAGCTAGAAGTACTAAATTTGGGGTAAAGATTAGGTTATAGTATTGAAACCTTAGATAAAAAACAGCTAGATAAAAAAAGACTCAAATAATGTTCTTTTAACATTTTAATACCCATGTTCTATTTGATAAATATTGAAATGGTATATTCCTCTCACTAACCCCAAGATTCCTATATGCTTCCCTTAACCCAGGAACACCTATCTGTTCCTTTTGCTACTTGCCAACCATCATCGATATTCAAGTTTACCTTCTGTATATTTGTTCCAGCAAAGCCATTTGTTTATTTTAATTTAATATAGTTTATACTACAAAACTATATGTTGTTTTCAAATATAACATACCTCAGCCCCTAATCTGTAAATTTCTCATATGCACCCTGATCGAAAATTACTAGGCTACCACTTGAACATTGGCCATGAAGATAATAGGACAGCGAACAATATAAGTAGGTAGAATAAAGATATCAAAAAAGATTAAAACAGGTAATAAGAAGTTAAAATAAAGAACCATTTAGGCTACATGCCAGAAGAAGAAATGTCCCTTGATAGAAAGGTCTGTTGGTTGGCAAATAATCTTCCAAATTGTCCTGGAAGTCATTTTACTTTGAAAAGTAAATCTGGAGTGGCACAGGGAATAAAAAGGTGTCTTTTCATACACATTACTTGTTAAAATTATTTAAAGTCTTTCTCACATCCACTTTCTGTCTCATGTTACGATATCTAAAGATGAACAGCCCCAGGTCTATTACTAGGATGTGAAGGTGAGAAAATAATGCAGACATTTCTAACTACCATTGCTAAATAGAGATTTTTTTCCTCAAATTTTTTATTTAGTTTTTAAATGCTATCTAATAATGTATGTGTCCTGGAACAAAGTGCTTAGTCCAGGAATAAGAAATGCCCTTTTCACAATTATACAATCTACAGGAATTGCATTTAGGATGCCCCATAGTTTGTTCTATTAAATTGTATTTTTCTGGAAGCTGCTGGGTAGAAAAGCCATCAGGAGAATACTTCATTTGGGGATTGGTAAATGTTTACATAAAAATGCTTTAACAAGATGGGGGATGGTAGAGAGGAAGCAGTTTAATAAATAGGCCAAGAGAGAATGCCAGATTATTGTAGACCAAAGAACTCCTGAGAAGCAAAGAAAAGTAAACACAGTGAAAGTAGATTATTATCTGTGTGTGTGTGTGTGTGTGTGTGTGTGTTTGAGTGAGTGTGTGTGTGTATGTGTGAGAGAGAGAGAGAGAGAGTTTTAGCTTTAGGGGGTGTGTGTGTGAGAGAAGTGTGTGTGTGTGAGTGTGTGTGTGAGAGAGAGAAAGAGAGAGAGAGTTTTAGCCTTAGGGTGTGTGTGTGTGTGTGTGTGTGTGTGTGTGTGTGAGAGAGTTTTAGCCTTAGGGGAGATATGTGGCAGTATCGAAAGAGAAGGAGAAAAAGCAGAGGAAAGATTTTGGAGGATGGCAGGGAGGGGACTCAAGCATCTCTTTAGTCTAAAGGAAAGAAGCCCCTGGGAAAGGGAGATTGAAGGTACAGGAGAGAAGAGAGCACACAAAAAAACATAATCTTGAAGGAGGAGTGAGAATGGGGCCCAGAGTTCAGACTCTTTGAGTCCCACCATAGGTACTACTTAATTTCATGTAGTATAGCCACAATACAACAGTATTGTATAAGTTTATGTGCTGACATGAAAAGATCTTTACAAAATAGTTGTAGATAAAGTAGGAGACAATTTAGGATTTAAACTTTGACCTCACTTTACAATATGCATGCATTATAAAAGTTTGTAATTATGCTGATTAATTTATTAATAGTGCTTTGTAGATCTTTTTCTTTTGTCATTTTGAGCACTCCATCTTTAATTTTCCTTATAAATATATCTTGCAATGAGCGCATATGCATGTATACACATGCACATACACACACATTATACTTGTACAACATGTGTAACATTAGAAAAAATAAGTTCGCTTTTGACACAGCATAACTCAGCCATGGGTAGGGGGAGGAATACTTCGCCCTCTGAGATAAGAGTAACTGAGTTCCTACGGTAAGTTATAGTATTATTTTAAGGTGGAAGAAATTAAAGGTCATTTTAAGGTAGAGGAGAAGGAGGCTGAAGGAAGTCTTAACTGATTAGATGTCTTTACTCCATATATTTAGAAGTCAGGACATCAGAGGGAAAGGTCTAGAATGAAGTTGAAAACTTAAGTAAAGCTGTAAGTGATTGGAACTGCAGCTTTGAGGCAAGAGAGAGACACTTAGGGATCAGCTGGAGCCTGCTAAGCAGCACCATGGTGGGATGCCATCAACGTGTTATGGGATTTTCTCCCACAGAGCTTAGTAATCTTGAACAGTGAAAGGGATGATTTGGTTGCTTTAGGGGTGAGGCTTGGGGAAAAAGATATGGTTTACTTTGTAAGTGATGAGTAACATGTTAGAAAAGATAGGAAAATATGAGACGTAAGGGAAGATACTCAGACTGGAAGAACAGAAGAGGGTGAAAAGATGGAGATACGATAAGGTGAAAACATAGATTTATGGGGAGCAGGGGAAGGAAGAGGGAGCAACAGGCTGTGGATATTGGCAGATTTCAGGGTTCAATATTTTGGAGATAAAGCAGCACTCAGTGTTAGTCATGTGAGTATAGTAAAGGTCAAGTTATAAGAGTGTATTGAGGTGATGATCAAGTCAGGGTACTTTGTAGCTGACACTGAAGTTTCCCAGTAAGACAGAAGGAGATTTAAAAAACAAAAAGATGGTAAAGACAGAAAAAATGGCTAACATTTTTCATTGAAACTGAAGAAAGACCTAGGGTAGAAGGAGAGAACAGTGAAAAGATGAGAAGAGGAGTATGATGTGAGGTAGTGTGGCAGTTAAGTATTCTTGGCAGAGGAACAAGATGTGCTAAGGCCTAAGGAAAAGAGAGAGCTTGACTTGTTCAAGAAACTAAATTGAGACCAGAATAGCTATGCAGTGGTAAGAAAGGGAAGGAAGAGCTGAGGCAAGAGAAGGTAGCAGGGGGTCAGACACTGGGGACAGTAAGTTTTTGGGTCATAAAAGGCTTAAAACAGGGGAATTACATTATCTGATCTAGTTTAAGATTATACTTTTTATTGTGTACAAACTTATTGGAGAGTGCTGAAGGGGAGAACAGAGAGGCAAGTTGCTGTAGTCCAGGTCAGAAATTGATGGCATCTGAACTAGGCTGATAGCAATGGGGATGGCAATATTTGAGGCATAATTTGAAGGTAGAAATGACTGGACTTACTGATGGCTGGAACGTGAAAGGTGGAAAAGAGAAGAATCAAAGATGACGTGACACATAGCTGGACAGGGATGCTGTGTATGAGATAAGAAGACTGTGGTGAGGATGAGGAAAGCAGTTTGGGAGATGTAAATCAAGACTTAGGCTTGGGCCTTTTTCAGTTTGAGAAATATGTTGGTGTTAATGGAGAGAAAGAAAAAAAATACTTACATCGTCAAAAAAAAAATAATAGGTAACACTCATTTAGTGCTTGCTATATATCAGATACTGTGTTAGACCTTACAATTGCCTACTTAAGGAAGTCAAGATGCTGGCCAGAAAATAGGGTGGGTTATTGCAGGAATATCAGGAAAAAGTTCTAAGCAAAGTTATCTACTTTGGTCCCCACAACTGTAAGGGTATATGAGAAAGTTTTCTGAGTGACAGACCTAGGATTATGGGCTTTCCTGGAGAAACTAGGTTATCTGAGTAAGGAGCGATATGACAAATGTGATGCTTTACCATGATTAATTCAAGGGCATTGTGTGTTTAGAATGCTGAATTTAGAATAGGCTGGGTGGATTGAGTCAGAAAGCAAGGAGAGCAATATGGGATCAAATATAATATTTAAGCTGTTAATTCTTAAGATCTGATTTAAGATGTTGTCAGTGATACTCCAACTACAAAATTTCTAAGTAACATCAGTCTTCTGTCCTGTAACAGTATGTATCCAAAATGCTACTGGCAGCAAATATGTACTTCTCATTAGCTCCCAACATAGTTTCTTAATTTGTTGATCATTTTTCCAGTGTAAGCTGGTAATAATGGAGTGAGTTCCTCTTTTGTAGTCCCATCAAATCTTCTACTCCTAATGACATCTCTGCTTGTGTTCTGAAAAGGATTAAAGCAGAGATGTCTATTTAGACTGGTTTGTGTATTGAAAATAAGGAAGAAACAAGAATGCTCAACAATTCTTATTACCATAGCAAGAAATCTGATAGTCATCCTTGACTCCTGCCTCCCCATCGGTCCCTACATTTTATTAAAACTCAAATCTTGTTGATTCTACCCCTGAAATACCCCTCAAATCCATCCAGCTCCTCTCGACTTCTGCCATCACTCTCTAGTTTAGAACATCTTTAGTTCTCCTCATTGGTTTTCTGGCTTCCACACCTGACTCACTTCTCTCCTTCCTTCTCATGCAAGGATGTGCTCAAAAACAACAAATCTCAAACTCCAATGCCTATGAAGGCAGAAAACACATATAGGAGGGTGAAGTAATCCCAGGAGAGGTAAAACAACAGAGCAAGAATGTGAGTTAATGACAACTGATCTTCGTATTGGAAACAAAACAGAAGTGCGGGTTGAGAACGTATCTCATCTAAAGCGATAACCTGCCATTCAGCTTTTATGGGTTATTGCCTCTCTGAAATGGGGTCCTCTTACTGGATGATTGTCTTACCCTCCCCACACCCCAGAGAAGCCAGGAATCAAATTTCCTTAAGTAAAATATCAATTTTTAAATGTTAGAAAATTATTGAATTTATATCTGTAAATATATATTAGGCTGTACTAGTCCAAGTCCTCTGAGAAGCAGATGTCAAGACAGGATTAAATCTAAGAATTTTGTTAGGGGAAATGCTTGTGAAGGAAAATGGGGAAGCATCCAGAAAAGGCTAGAAGAGCTATTAGATCACCATGCAAGTCCGATCCCAAAGAGGAGAACAGAAAGAAGGAAGATAGGTTGGAAGTATCCTTCATTGCTTTTCTCTGAGTCCATCAGAGAAAAGGCCCCACCTGAGTAGCCATGCAGCACTAGGTCACTGGCTCAGAGGAGCCATTGGGGCAAACTCAAGAATAGATTTCAGATTTTAGAGCTTAGCAGCTGGGTTCCAGGTGAATTATGCTCCCTGTAGTTGGCAGTCTGTGAAGCACATCCTCATGACTGCCCCACAGGCCAACAATGTGAAGAGCAAACACATCTGCAAGCCAGAGATATAGTCTGAGGGTCGCCATTTTGTAAACTGCTCACCATTCAGTGAACTAGCTTGTACTTTCTTCTGTGTAGATTTATATATCCCGAGGAACACATAAAGAAAAGTGCTTGACTCAGAGTAACTCCTCACTTTCCCCTTCATTTTCCTCCTCTATATAATTCTCTAAGTGATTCACAATTCATTACTGCACACAGCACATTGTTTTGTACTTGTTTATATGTTTATTTTCCCTATTCTATTGTGAGAATCAATGCAAAATATCGAAACTTAGTTATTCATTTTCCATGCCAGGATTGCATAGTACCTGTACATGAACAGAACTGAATAAATCCTTGTATAAACTGAATTGAACTGAACTATTTCCTATTCTGCAATTCTTCTTTTCTTTGCTGTTGAATTTCTATTCAAATATCAAACTCCACCTCAACTGCTCTCTCATGTTTTCTCCAACTGCTTCAGGCAGATGCGAAGGCCCTTCCTTCTGGGCTTCCGTAAAACTTCATTCATAACGTGAGAGAGACACTATTCACACTGTGTCTCTCTTTCTCTAGATCCTCAGCATCTGGAAGGCAGGGGCCCCACTGTATTTGCAATTGTATTTCTCTCTCTCAATCTAATGCCCATTGACAGCAAATGCTCAGTAAATGTTTGATGAGTTAAACTAAACTGAAGAATAATCCAAAATATTTGCATGATTGAGCTAATAAGGAAGGGTCAGGTGAAGGGGTTTACCTGAAATTTTAATGTAGGAGGGCTAAACTTTGAATCACCTAATTAATTCTGCATTTGTTTCTTTGAGAACCTGCTATCTGTTCAACATTGTGTCAAATTCTGCAAACCAAATAAAAGACGTACAGTTCTTGTTCTCAAGGAGCTTACAGTCTAGTTGGGGAGATGTGCCATATACATGGGGAACAGCATGAGTACGGCACAATATTTCCCATTTTCCATTGGCTCCTCTCTCCCTGGGTCCTCTCATCCATCATTTACCAAGTTTTATTGATTCTATCACTTGAGTAACTCTTGTTTTCATCCTTTTATTTCTATTTCCACTGCCTCTATTTCCTCATTTTCTATTGACCAGGATATCATAAATTCTAAGCATCTGAGAATGACTTTTTTTTTAACCACTTTTTTTTCCCTTTTTCCCTTTTTGAGACAGAGTCTCACTCTGTTGCCCAGACTGGAGTACAGTGGCGCGATCTTGGCTCACTGCAAGCTCCGCCTCCCGGGTTCATGCCATTCTCCTGTCTCAGCCTCCCCTCAGGCGCCTGCCGCCACACCCAGCTAATTTTTGTATTTTTAGTAGAAACGGGGTTTCGCCGTGTTAGCCAGGATGGTCTCGATCTCCTTACCCCGTGATCCACCCGCCTCGGCCTCCCCAAGTACTGGGATTACAGGCATGAGCCACCGCATCCGGCCTTTTTTTTTTTCTTTTTACTTTTCCTTTTTTTTTTTTTTTTTTTTTTTTTACCACTTTTATGACTACCACTTTTCATTCCAGAAGTATAATTTTCTCACTTTCTCTCAAATCAGTTTAGATGTTCCTGCTGTTTTTTTTCTATTCCAAATCTTTAAAAACTTCTAAATGTTGAATAAAACAATATCTTTTTACTCTTTACTCTGTTTTTACTCTTTACTGAACCATGAGAATTTTTTTTTTTAGGCAGATAACTAGAGATTTTTTTCTGGCGGTGTGCACTTATTATTTCTTCTAGTATTTCTTGGCAATACTGTAGGTTCTCATTTGCTACAGCCATAAATTTGTATTTCTTTAAAATAACTTCCCTTTAAAATGGTAACATGCGATTAACCAACTGTACTTCTGACTTAACAAGACTTTAACACCCTTTCCTTTACCAACCTTGACTAGGCAAGAGGGATGGGAATGGACACTTGCTGTCATCTATTAGGTGCTACTCCCTTGGAACGGATAAAGAAAATAAGCTCTGTAATCATTTCTGCTGTGTTCAGATTCTAGCTTTACTATCTCTTGACTTGTGACCCTGAACAATTCTCTTAAGTTTTCTGAACTATAACTTCTTCACCAGAACAAACGGAACAATAATACCTTTTGGATTGGTTATAAACTAGTAGTACTCAAAATATCTTCAAGATCAAATAATAATATGTTATTTGTCTTTTTCACTGTGTTCACCTGTGTGCTGATGGTACAAAAGCAATGGAGATAACTGTTGGTGTCTTAGTACAAATCAAGGTAGTGGTGCCGAAGTATGCTAGTAAGCATAGAGTTCTTCACTCCCATACACTCACACAAAAAATTAATTTTACTTAAGAATATCTTTGATGAGGCATTAAAAATTATTAATTTTCTTAAATATTGACCTTTGAGTCCATAACTTTATAATATTCTATGTGATGCAGTGAGATATATGCATAAAACACTTCCATTGTATAGTGCACATGGTTTTCTATAGAAAAATAAAAATACTGTGCAATTATTTCAGTTGCAAGCTAAACTAACCACATATTTACTGAACATCAGTTTTACTTAAAAGAATGACTGACATACAAACTGGTTATTCAGTTTCGGGTATTTCACAAAAACATTCCTGAAAACTAATAAAGTGAGATTGTTGTTTTAAGGAAAATAATTGCCAATATTTGTGGTCAATAGCAAAATTTGAATTTTCAAGCACACATTAGAATTTGGAAACTTTGTATTCACCACCAATGAGCTGACAAGCTTTCTGACTTAAACTTTTTTTTCTGATAGGATGGGTGATAATAATGACAAATACTATTTTTTGATATTATATAGGGAAGTATGTCAACATTTGGAGAATCTGCATAGCTCAGTGAATCAATAAATCAGTAATTTTCAATCAACCAATACATATTATACAAAAATACATGAGTAAAAGGTTCATTTAAAGTGCAAGATAGATGAACGAATTTTAATGTAATGGTAATAAAAGTTCAATGATAGAGTCTCAGATTCCACCTTGCAGCTAAACTTTAAAGAATGACCATTTGTCAAGTTTTAATGTGGTATCAAAGAATATCCACAGTTATCTGAAAAGCCTATGAAAACATTCTGCCTTTCTCCATTCACAGAAGAGTAAAAAAAATGTCCTATAAAGATATGAGAATCCAACTATATTAAATTAAGCCAGACATTAAAAAGATTTCGAAAATGTAAAACAATGCCCTTCTACTTACTACTCTTTTTGGCTTAAAAAAAATAAAACTAGTTTTAATTTTTTTAAGTTACATTAATATTTAATGGGTTTATTATTATTTATAAATAAATTATTACTTATAAAAAATTTCAGTTTTAATTTCGAATACGGTAAATACTGTAGACAGAATACACATAAACTATAGGAGCTCTTCATGAATTTTAAGTGTAAAAAGGATCCTGAGACCAAAATGTTTTAGAACTGTTTTTGTAAATATTTTGTTACATAATTCTGACAAAGCATTTAACTTGATACATTGGAAGGGCTCAGTAAATATTAGTAAGCTTATTTACACCAAGGGCTCTAGGTAGTATTAGCCAGCATTATAATTTCTTGAAATCACCCTTGACTATCATCCATTTTTCTTAATTTGAAAGCGAACTCAAGGAGCTGAGGCAGCAGAGTGCTTGAGGAGGGGAGGATGGAGATGGATCTATCATAGTTGAATGCTTATCAAATTAATAATACTATTCACCACCTCAGAACATGCTATAAGGAATCAACTCCTAAAGAGAAAAGATTTTTCAATATGATGTGTTTTTCTGCGGCTGCACGGAGATTTTAAAAGCATGCACCCAGGTTTCCTACTGCCTCACGCCTAGTATGACTTCACATTCTTTTTCTTTTTTTCTTTTTGTTTCTTTGAGACAGGCTGGAGTGCAGTGGCACGATCTCTGCTCACTACAACTTCTTTCACGTCAGCTTCCCAAGTAGCTGGGAATACAGGCACAAACCATGAAGCCTGGCTATTTTTTTTTTTTTTTCATTTTTTATAGAGACAGGGTTTTGCCATGTTGCCCAGCCTTGTCTCGAACTCCTGAGCTCAAGCCATTCAGCCACCTCAGCTTCCTAAAATACTGGAATTACAGGAGTGAGCCACCTCACCTGGGCTGACTTCACATTCTTGTACCAAGTAGCTATTAGTTACAGGCTTCTTAAAGCTATGCTTAGTCTGTAGTTTTATATTCTATTTGTTAAATGCAAGGCCCATTGGCAGTGGTAAGGATTTCAAAGACCTAACTTTCTGTTTTACACAACTTTATTTGTAGAGTCTATTTCCTTACTAAAAGATGTCATGTGTAAATGTCAACGCTAGGTTAAGATTAGAACTTATTTGACCCAATAATCCAAACTCCCCTCAGCCCACCATTCTCACTGGGCTCAAAATCTATTCATTGGTATTCAAACAATTCTAACTTCAGAGTGCTGCCCATAAAACCTCTACCCAGGAAAAAGAAATATTTTCTGGAAGCAAGTGAGTTCAATGTTCCATCACAGGTATATGTTGGGAGACGGGAGGTGGAGGTAGGCAAAGGCTGGATTGTGTGCACTCCATTCCCCTTAGGAGTATATTTGCTTTCTTTGCAACCCTGAGCATTTTGGTTAATATCTAAATCCTTTAGTTTTGCAGGGGACAAAAAAAATTTAAGTCACGGACACCTGTCTCCTCTTTGACTTCTTGTATCCTTCTTCTCCCTTACTAGACTGCAATTATCATGTCCCCTTTTATGGTCCTCCAACATTTCAAGTTTATTTCTATCTTGGAGACTTTGTATTTGCTCTTATATCTACCTCTAGCATTTTTACGTCCTTATTCTTCAGATCCCAGCTCAAGCGTTACCACCTCAAAGGAGCCTGCCCTGATAGCAACAAACTACTCTTCTCATTACCACCTTTGGTCACTTCCTATCTTATCACCCTATTATTTTCTTCATGTCCTTTATCACCATCTACCCTTATTTTGTTAACTGCATATATATTGTATGAGTACCTCACTAGAGTATAAGCTCCAGGAGGCAGGAACCTTTCTGTCATTTTCACCACTAACTGTATTCTCGTTTCTAGAACAGCACCAGACACATAATAAACATTCAATAAATATGTGTTTAAGAAATGAGTGTCTCAATCAGTAAGAAGCGGTAATAGAGTGAAAAGTGTATAAGTTTTAGAGTTCACAGACTGGAATTTCATTCCTGCTATGAGCTCAATATGTCCACCAAATTCGTGTGTTGGAAACTTAATCCGCAGTGCAAGAGCACTGGCAAGTGGGGCCTTTTGGGAGGTAAGATGATCCTGGACTTTATTTATTAAGTGTGTGACCTTGGGCTAGCTTCTTAACTTCTCTTAAATTCCTCATTTTAAAACAGTGATTGTTAAACTCTTGTGAAGAATGATGTTTTCAAATGTAAAAGCATTCGATACTGTTTAGCACATAAAAGGTACTCAATAAAAAGGATATCCCTGTCCTGCTCAATCGAAATACTTTCCATGTTTTGTTAGTCCATTCTCAAGTGGCTAATAAAGACATATCTGAGACTGGGTAATTTATGAAGGAAAGAGATTTAATGGACTCACAGTTCCCTATGGCTGGGGAGGTCTCACGATCATGGTGGAAGGTGAAGGTCTTACATGGTGGCAGGCACGAGAGCCTGTGCAGGGGAACTGCCCTTTTATAAAACCATCAGTTCTTGTGAGACTTATTCACTATCAGGAGAACGACATGGGAGAAACCTGCCCCCATGATTCAATTACCTCCCACTAGGTCCCTCCCATGACATGTGGGGATTATGGTATCTACAGTTCAAGATGAGATTTGGGTGTGGACACAGCCAAACCATATCACATGTGTATGACAAGTAAAGCTAAAGTCCTAACACCACAGAATTTACCATTTTGTGAAGAAGCAGGATATATAAACATAAAATGACATTAAATGTCAGTATATTTTAAGTGTCAAATGAATGTTAGAGGGACAAGTGAAACGTGCATTGGCTCCCTACTGCTTAGGGAATAAAGTCTAAATTTATTAGGCATAACATTTATGGCACTTTGTTATTATGTTGCACTTTGCTTTCCAACGCCTATTTCTCACTGTGGTTTTCCACTTAAGCGTCACCTAATCAAACCCCAGTATTCACTTTACTTTGTAAATATATGGTCCTGATAAGCCTTGCAACTTTGCTCTCAGACTTTCCCTCACCTCTTATTCTATTCTTCCTTTAGGGCTTGAATTAATTGTCATTTGCTCCAAGAAGTCTCACTTGATCTCACGCACCCTAATCCTTACAAATGAAAGCAACTGCTCCCACTTCTAAGGTCCTAGAGCACATTGGGTTATACCTTTCCTAAAGCAATTTATCTTTGGCTTTATGTTCGGAGTATATGTGTATTTGCCTTATTTTCTAGCCTGCTTTAGTTTTTAGCCTAACCCTCTGGTTGTCTCTGATCTATCCTAGTCATTCCGAAAATTCTGCACATATCATATGTGCTCCCTCATTATAGTTAGATGAATAAATCAACTAATTTAAAATGAATGAAAAGGAACTAAGTGGGAGACTTGGTTTTCTACTTGGGTCTTTCAGCTTAAGTCTGGGCTTTTCTCATCTCCCTTCATTCCTCCTCCCAACTCCTACTTATAGATTCCTAAAGACACTCATTCCATTTCCATTTCTAAGCCTTCTTTCCTCATGTATCTAAACGTGGTTTAAGCATCATCTGCTCTGTGAGGCTTGTGTGACTCACCAGTTGGGTTCAGATAACCAGTTGGGTTCAGTTACACCCAGAGTACATTGAACTTACTTCTGCTGCCACATGTATCAGTTATATTATAAGAATTGTATTCATTGAGAAAAAAACTATGTTAATGTAATTTATGGGCACCTCTAACCATGGCTGGCATATAATAAATATGCAATAAGTATTTGTTGAATAAATAAATTAATGCAAACTTTATTTTTATTGATATTATTATCGTAAGCATTTTATAGGCTTTATTTATTTATTTATTTATTTTTGAGACAGAGTCTCGCTCTTGTTGCCCAGGCTGGAGTGCAACGGTGCGATCTCGGCTCACTGTGGCCTCTGTCTCCCAGGTTCAAGCGATTCTCCTGCCTCAGCTTCCGGAGTAGCTGAGACTACAGGCACGTGCCACCACCCTCAGCTAATTTTTTGTATTTTTAGTAGAGACGGGGTTTCACCATGTTGGCCAGGCTGGTCTTGAACTCCTGACCGCAGGTGATCCACCTGCGTCGGCCTCCCAAAGTGCTGGGATTACAAGCATGAGCCACCACCACCCAGCTGGCTTTATCTTAGTAATTCCTCTAATTAGTATATTTAAATCCATGTTTATTTATGTTTACTCATGCTTCTATCAACTACAAAAGATCAAGCAGTTCACCATTTGAAGAAGAAAAAATTTGTTCAGCCTCCTGCTGCATCAAATGTGTACTAGAGTAACAGTTTGCCCGATGGAAGCCTGAGAAACTAATTTGCCTCCATGGTTTCTCCTTAATTCCCTAATCACAGGCAAAATCCGATCAGACTTTAAGAGAAAATAAACTTTGAAATCTAATTCATATTTCTCTTAGAGTCTTCTCCCATCTACTAGAGTGAAGTATAGCCTAAATCATTTTTCTCTAACGAGTTCATATTTGACAAAAGATTTAAGAACACAATATAAAACTTTTCAATTCTCAACATCAATTCTAATGTATTTCTACACCTGAAGGTAAAGTAAATAAACTGAATTAAAGTGCAGCACAGAGGTATATATTTCTTTTAGAAGGTACTTAACCCGAGTATAAACAATTTCTTTTGTTCTTTACTCATCCTTTCAGCAGCAGAAGCAGGAAGATGGGGTACTTACTTTCTTCTAATTTGCGGTAGAAATAAAATTCATTTTTATGATTCTGCCACCAAAAAGATATTTTCCAGTCACTTCTTTGATTCCCTAAAGTATCTTCCTACACTGAAGTCCAAGGGTAAGCAGAACTCACAAAAAATGTTGTTCTATCTTGTACTTTAGGCAGGTTAATAATTCTCACTGAGGCATAAATATGACTTGCCACATTCTGCCACTTTCAATCCTTTGTGAATACACTTCAAAAGCAAAACGTGTTTATAAGCCCTCTAATATCTGCCACATTACAATAAATGATAGACCAACCTCCAGAGTATTGGCTTCGACCTCAAGCAAATTATACAATAATGTTTCCCTCAAAGTTTTTGTGCATGCAGCTCCTTCTCTCCCAGAAGAAACATCTACCATATGGCAAAAGTGACAACCTCAGAAAAAAAAAAAATTAAAGCTGAGTTGAAAACGACAGCTTCTTCAGAAGGTCAGGGCACAAATCTCTGGTAGCAAAGCACAACACAGCATTTTAGAGATAAAACCTTATTACCCAAATACCGCTATTTCACAGCACTTAATATTGGATGGTAGTAAATCTGCCTGAGGACATATTGCTCTCATCCTAGGATGAGTCCAAAAGATTTTAACCACCACGGCAAAGTAGGGGTGGATGAGACCATATGCAGATGAGCGTTTTAGTTCATTACAACTGGATTCATATATATATGAATTTCATATATGTTATATATATAAATATATATCATATATTCATACAGGTAATATATTCATACACACACATACGAATCACATTTAAAAAGACTGAACTTGTACAGTAAATAAGGGTTGTGTTTGCTTAATAGTCATGGTGAGAATTAAAGCAGGAAATCTTAAAGAAGTTATACAGAAAAAAGCATCTTTATTTTTTGATGTGCCCCATTTTTACCTACTTTTTACCTCGCTCAAACAAGCACATGTATCAAGCTTCACAGAACAGAACAAACCTCTAAGAATTTCACTTCTTAAATAGATATTTAGAAAGAGTATACGAATCTTTTTATATTTGGCTTAAAACATCTTATTAGTTACCTATAATAAGGCCCAACTTAGAAGCTAAGAAACCCTTTCTTGAAAAGCATGAGTGTGTTTCTAAACAAATACAAATGCAATGAAATGAAAGAAAAATTCCTCTGATATGAAATGCCTCCTACTGACTTTGTACTGGAACATTTATTTTCTTTGTGTGGAAGATGTAGGCAGCATACTTTGCATTAACTGATTATTTGGAGGTATGGCTGGAAGGAGGGGACTAGGAAGAGAATTGGCTTGATGCCTGAACTAATTTCAACTTCATTTCATCCAAAGGCAAAGGGAAGAATTGGCCAGTCTTTCAGTGAGGTGGATATTCTTTTTCACTCCTCAAAAAAGTAGATAATTCTCAAGTGTGCCTAATGTCTGTAAGGCTCATTTGACATTCCATCCCCCATTTATCAACTATAAAACCTTGTCCCTTGTCTCGGTATTTCACCATGTTAAAAGGTATTTACATACCAGTATGCAACCTGAAAATAGATAAACTAAGTAGACCCAAATGGAAAAAAGGGTAGGCATTGAATCACTCAAGAAAGCTGCTATCTTGTCTACCCCATTTATTTCTTTTAGCCCCAGGGCAAAAATTTTTAAAAGACAGTGGTTGAATTATATTAAAGGGGATACACCGGTAGTAATTTAGCATTCATTCTTTTAAAGTTGTTCTTCACAATGACTCTGAGAAAGGTTGTAGCAGTATCACTGCATCAAAAATAAAGCGGGGAAAAAGCCCAGATAAATTAAATAGTGGTCTAGACAGACTCACATGACAGTTCTGCCACAGAGTGGGTAAAGAGACTGGATGACAGACACTGAGCCTGAAATCATTTGGGTTATAAAGATAAAATAGGTTTCCTTCATTAAAAATTAATCAAATAATCTAGACTGGGTGGCTTAGAGTAACTTAGTAGTTTGCACCACTCAGCAAATTTGTATTATGGCAACCAACAAAATAGAACTACAGGCATGTAAGAAAGAGGCTAACATAGTCATGCTACACAGGTGACAATGTTTAATTTTTGAGCTGAGTTTAAAAGCACAGTGTGTAAACTTATATTATGTATGTATTCTTTCGAATAACTATATCCTTACATTCAGTCACTAATTATGTGGTTTTAGTGGTCAGTTGGAGAATATGTATATAAACATGCACATAAAATCAGTGGATTGTAAGCTACAACACTACTCTAATTTCTTTTGTCTTTACTCTTGCTCATTCATTCAATTCATTAATTTATTCATTCATTTATTCACTCATTTATGTATTTAAAAATATTTATTGAACACCTTCTCTTTACCTGGCAATAGGTGACATGCTGGATATATACGGTGAACAAAACAGGCACAGTCCTCACTTTACTGGGTTCTCATTAACCAAAGAAGTTTTATAGATGGAAAGGATTCACAGCTATAATGTTATATAAGTTATTTAACCGCTTTGAGTCTCAGTTGTCTCTTCTATAAAATGGGGTTAGTAATATTTTCCTTCCAGAATTATTATGTTCCCATCTTGTTCATAATACGTATCCCTGGTTATCTGGTATATAGCAGGTACTCTATGTTTATTACAGAACTAATGAATGCATCAAAAATGAATATATAGGTCACTTAAGCAATGGGTCCACATTATACAGTAGCCAGTATTATGGAAAATATTTTCTCCTCCTTTTTAAAAGTCACTGTCACAGATAACAACAATAAATGTGACAACTCATATATGTTTACTCTCACTTATATTCCTTGCTAATTTTTTTTTTTTTTTTTTTTTTTTTTTTTTTTTTTTTTGAGACGGAGTCTCGCTCTGTGGCCCAGGCTGGAGTGCAGTGGCACGATCTCGGCTCACTGCAAGTTCCGCCTCCCGGGTTCACGCCATTCTCCTGCCTCAGCCTCCTGAGTAGCTGGGACTACAGGTGCCCACCACCACGCCTGGCTAATTTTTTGTATTTTTAGTAGAGACGGGGTTTCACCGTATTAGCCAGGATGGTCTCTATCTCCTGACCTTGTGATCTGCCCGCCTCAGCCTCCCAAAGTGCTGGGATTACAGGCTTGAGCCACCGCGCCCAGCCTTTCCTTGCTAACTTTTAAAGATAATATGTATAATTTTTCAAATTTTATATTTGAATAATGCTGAGAGATAGAGATAGAGTAGGACTTATCAGCCCCATTTTCCAAGTTAAGCTATAGAAACTCAGTGGTCACTTGGCTTTCTCAAATTAAAACAATCAGTGGTGAAAAATAATTCTGGGCTGGGTGCGGTGGCTCATGCCTGTAATTCCAGCACTTTGGGAGGCTAAGGCAGGCAGATCACCTGAGGTTGGGAGTTTGAGACCAGCCTGGCCAACATAGTGAAACCCCATCTCTACTGAAAATACAAATTTAGTTGGGTGTGATGGTGCACACCTGTAATCCCAGCTACTCAGGAGGCTGGGGCAGGAAAATTTCTTGAATCCAGGAGGCAGAGGTTACAATGAGCCAAGATCGCGTCACTGCACTCCAGCCTGGGTGACAGAGCTAGACTTCATCTCAAAATAAAATAAAATAATAATTCCTGAACCCAGATTTTCTCATTAAGCTCTCAGTGCTTTCAGAGAACACCTGGGGAGAGGACATGTCAATGTCCCATTAAGTTGGAGACTGATTAGTCAACTGATGACCAGTGATGCCTGTCTTCACCAAGATTTTTGCTCCTAAATTTTGCATGAGGTCAAGCAGCCTATGAGTTCACAACTCTCAATCTACTGCACACCAGACACTTACTTTTGAACTTCCATGCTCCTAGGGCAAACAAACAAAAAAAAAAGTTGTCGGGCTGTGTTTCGGGAGATGTTGACTCATTTTCAGCACATATTAGAGGCTTAAAAAGTGTTTATAAGCTGAATAAACTAATGTTCTTTTCACTAAAGCAGTGCTTGAATGTATTGCTTAAAATGAGGCAGAAAATTACATTCAATTTGAGGTAGCAAATTAAATTGCCCTTGAAGGTTTTTTATAATCTCGTGGTATTCATGGAAGAGACAGACCAAACATATAACACACACACATAGACACACACACGCACCCCACACATTAGTGAAGAGGAGAAAACAATTTATTCTACCTAAGAAGAGGGGAAGGATTATGATTCTAAAGTTCTAAAGTCTATGCTCTTTTATAAAAGGCAATTTGTTACAAAAAAGAGAAGAGTGGAAGGAGAGCAAAGAAGAAAGAAGGAAAATATTGGAAAAAAAACCCCTAATATTTGCAGAGAGACATGACTATGGGTCATGGACTATGCTAGGTACTTTCTTTATGAAAAAAAGTGAGTTTAAAAGTCAGTCCTCAATAGTAGCATCCTCTGCTACTTATTATATGTTTCATTGGTAAGATACTATTTTCTGAGTCTGTTTCAACATTTGCAAAAGGGCATAATAATACTTCATAGAGTTGTTGTGAGGCTTAAAATTGGTTAAAATGTATAAAGCATCTGTAATGCACTTTGCAATAGGCATGCAATAAACTACTCCTCTTTCATATTGATAATTTCATACTGCCTTGGGTTATCAGATCTTGGTATAAGGTCACATATTCTCTTTATAATGCAAAAGCCAAGTCAAAGCCAAGTCTATGCTGTGCTTGGAGTCATAAGACAATATTACTTTTAATCCTCCATTAACCCTGGATCCTCTACAGCTGAACCCTAGAATCAAGGTATAAGGCCTCATTGGCAGATGAAGACACTTTAAATGTAGTCCTTTCACTGAGTTTTGTATCTAAGCTCCTCTGCTCCGGGTACTGTATGAATCCTGCTTACATTCAATCCAACTCTGTAGTAAATTGTTATTCAGAGTCTCCAGTGTGATGCTGGCCTCCTACTTCAGAAGAAGTGCTCCAAAAAGTTAAGCCTCAAAGATATATTATTTAACCAATCCCTTAACCATTTCTTTTGCATGAAATAGCGGCCCAAAAGGCAACTAAGTACATAGAGATGATTTTTTATATCTTAATATATTTTTCCTGGCAACCACTGTAAATGCTCCATAAGCAGGTCTACTTACCACATCAGAAATATAGGAGAAATTTTCTGAAGTTGAGGCATGTGCTTTCATTAGTATAAAAATGTGTTTCACAAAATTATTTTTAGAATGTATTCTACTCACAAAGAACTAAGCAAGAAATTGTCAACATTCTATTTTGTGATTCATGCATGTAAAAATAAAGTCGGTTGAGAGCTATTTTGCAATATTGAATCTAGCAAACTGTCATTCAAAAGAGCTCTCCTTTCAAGAAAACAAAAACAAAAAACTTCAGTGAAGGATACTTTACTATGAACCTCAGGTGATAGATGGTATTGTTGGGGCCACAAAGCCTATTCAGGTGGCGTGTTCAGGTATTCACCTTTGAAATGTACTGACCACTACCAGCACATGTTTTTTTCCTATGTTATAGGTTTAACCAGAAAAGCTACATCATCCAAGAAAGCTCTGGAGAGGTGACATAAAATGTGATCTCCGTGTCCTCTGATAAAACAAACCTCTCCATGAGTTGTTATTTCTACCTGACAATGGAAAAGAGCAGACTCCCCTTACCTCACAGGTTGTAAGATCCAGAAATTCCACTGTGATTCTAAAGAACCTCATTCTCACGCTTCTATCATATCAGTTGCTACATAAAGAAACACAATATTTGTTGAATATTTACCTCACTAATCTCTCTAGCAGGGTGGAAAATAATTTGTATTCATCTCTGGATCTTTATTGTGGAATAAAGGTTTCTGTCATGATAGACGCTTAACAAATGTTTAGTGAAGGATCTCTCTCCTTCCCATTTTCTCTCTTTCTTTACCATAAACTTGACAATAGCAGTCCCACACGGTACATGTCAAAGAGGTCCTAGACTTCCATAATCAGGGACCTCTTTGATTATTTGATCTCTCATGGATATCTTATTTTGAAATATTGAATCTGCCAAACAAACTAGATTTATTGTCTTTAGACATGGCACTTAAATAGTGCCAACATTTTTTTGCGTAAATGTGATAAGAAATCATATTTGTTGAGAAATAACTTGTTTTCACTTTTTTTTTTTTTTTTTTTTGAGAGGGTGTTTCGCTCTTGTTGCCCAGGCTGGAGTGCAATGGCGTGATCTTGGCTTACCGCAACATTTGCCTCCAGGGTTCAAGCGATTCTCCTGCCTCAGCCACCTGAGTAGCTGAGATTACAGGCATGTGCCACCATGCCCGGCTAATTTTGTATTTTCAGTAGAGACGGAGTTTCTCTATGTTAGTCAGGCTGATCTTGAACTCACGACCTCAGGTGATATGCCCGTCTCGGCCTCCCAAAGTGCTGGGATTACAGGTGTGAGCCACCGTGCCTGGCCTGTTTTCACTTTTTATTAGTCAAATACATATATTACTGCCAGACAAGGCTCACGTGCTAAATTCCAGTATAGTACAGTTAGAGGTGGTTGTATGCAAACCAAGGGGGATTAAAGCTGAGACAGCACTTATAATACTACAAATCCAACCTCACACACACAAGTTTTTGGTTACCCATAGCTTTTATGTAGCATGGACCATAACAGAAGTTGCCATGTACTTCCGATGGTGCTTCAAAGGCAAGCAGGTGAGAATCAGTGGGCCTTCTGTGAGATTATTATGCTGAATAAAGTGACCCTCCAAACAGAGGCTTCTAGATAAACAACCTAAGCCACTATAATTTAGAAGATGTAGTTATGATGCTGAGGATCTTTAGGGTCAGCAAATTTTGAGATGGGGGCAAGTCAGCTGTAGGGGGGTACTAGGATCTCACAAGGCTGAAAGCCTAGATCACAAGTTCTACCACTGTAGGCTTCAGGCACAGCTGTCAATAAGAAACCCAGTGGTCAGGAAAGACAAAGAAATAGCCATGCAGGCAGCAAGGACTCAGAGGACAACACAAGCTACAGGTTCCTATCACCATAGAGGACACATAAGATTTCTTATCCTTCCAAGTTGTTTGGTCAAGGCAATGTGAAGATTTGTTGACATTTAAAAATAGCCCTGATAAGAAATTTGAACAGTGAAATTAATTGTTTTTCTAGTGTGATTGTTAAATAGTAAACCAGTGTGATTATGGAGTAATATAATGAATTTATCTGAAAAAGACTGCTTTAAATTGGAAGAAATCAAGATACCTTTGATTCTAAAATCAAGTTTTTTCCTCCCTTTCTTTTTTTAATAAAGAGGATAAAATCAGCTATTGAAAGTTTTTAAAAATTGCATTTTTACTTTGCCATCTCTGAATATGTCAAATCCCGTTTGATTAAACAACATGGAGGTCATTGGAAACCTTAGTAAGAACTGGAGTGTAACTCATGGGGCACAGTAACCATTGCAGGGTGGTTTGTGGAGTGAGACGATGATGAAGAAATGGAGGCAGCAAGAGAAATGCAGCCACGAAGGGTCAGGAGAATTAGTATAGTTACCTGGAGGGATGGAAAAAAGGACTCTTTTATGTTAGCGAAGAACTGAATAAACTTAAATAAATATTGATGGCAGAGGTCAAGAAACAAAAAGAAAATTTATGAAGACTGTAGATGGAAAATACAGTAGAAAAAAATGCAGAGACATGTCTAACTTATCTCAAGGAGAGGCTGGCCTTTTAAAGCATAATACCAAAGAAAGAAAACTCTAAAGGAAATACTAACAGAGTTAACTACTTGTATGCATTGGAAATCATCTGATACAAAATATAAAAGACAAAATATTGATGGGTTGTATATAAAGATTTTAAAACTCAATAAGAAAAAATGTAAACATGCCAACTAAAAAACAGAGGTGTATATATATCGATTTCAGAAAAGAAAAAATATTTCAATCCAATTTGTAAACGTATGAAACTATATTCAACCTCATTAGTAATAAAATGCAAATTTAAACAATAAAAAACAATTTTGCCTATCAAACTGGCAAAGATAAAAATTAGACTATGTTTTTTCCTTTGTAGTACTTAATTTACAATTATTTTATAAACTGATCTGCTCAGTTATTTTAGTCTCTTACCCACTAAACTACACATTTTTGGGGTAATAGAATGTCTGTCTAGTTAACTTTTGTATTTACAATTCCTTGTACAATGTTGGGCACATGATGGGACTTCCATAAACATATATTAATGAATAAGTGAATGTCAGTGAGGGAACAAGGTATTTGCATACTCTGTGGGAGCAGCAAGTGGTACAAACCAATCTAGAGAGCAGCTTGAAAATATCTAGCCAGTGCCAATGCCATATTCGTCAAGCTAGCCATTATAGTTTTAGGAATTTATCCAAAGTAAACAATTTTTGTATAATCTAGGACAAGGATGTTTATCAAAGGGCTATCTATATTGTGATTATAAGTTATACATTGTGATACACGTTAGAAGGTAAGTCTGCATGACTTCAGAGAGTGCGCCAAACCACTACACTGATGGCTTTCAGAGGAAACCCAAATGGTGAAATTTGTTGTTTAGGACTAGGATTGAACTCTCAGCATACCCAGTTCTGACATACATTCCAATACTCCCCAGTGATCAAAAGGTTTTCCTTTACATTTAGCTCCGAATTAACCTTTCTAATCCTTCTTCTGCTAAAGCTCTATGTAATCTTTTAGTGCTCTAAATAATAATTTTACTGTCTCACAGTACTGGAGGCTAGAAGTCTGAAATCAAGGTAGTGGCAAGGTTGATTCCTTGTGAGGGCTATGAGAAATGATCTGTTCCATGTCTATCTCCTAACTTCTGGTGATTTGTCGGTAATCTTTGGTATTCCTTGGCTTGGCAGATGCATCACTCTGATCTTGGTATTTATCTTTTCCTTTTTTCTGTACAGACAAGGTCTCACTATGCGGCCCAGGCTGCCTCCAACTCCTGGGCTCAAACTATCTTCCTGCCTCCACCTTCAAAAGCCCTGGGATTACAGGTGTGAGCTACTATGCTCAGCCTTCTGTCTTTGCCTTCACATGGTGTTCTTCTTATGTGCGTATCTGTCTCTGTGTCTAAATTTCCCTTTTCTGTAAGAAACAGTCCTTATTGGATTAGGGCCCACCCTAATGACCTCATCTTAACTTCATCATCTACAAAGACCCTCTTTTCAAATAAGATCATGTTTACAAGTACTGGAGATTAAGACTTCAACATCTTTTGGGAGGGACATAATTCAAACAATACCAACGCTTAACATCTTCTAACATATTCTAAAAGCTTTATTTGCTTATTTATATTATAGATGTTCCCCCTTTTCAATGTTTGCTCAAAGGAGGCAGGAACATTTTACTTATTCATTGTTATATCCCAGGGCATAAAATCGTAGCAGCCAACAATAGATGTTTAATAAATAAGTGTGGAATGAATGGACTATAAGCCATTTAATAGGGGTAGAGAGTTGGATAAGTAGGAAGAAGGTGTGAGATGTTAGACCAGTAGCTGGGACTCAGATTAAAGGCCTTTTGTAACCAATACACTTAGAAATTTGTCTAGCTAGTTGTATCCAATATCTGCTTATATGAAAACATACTGATTTACTGTGCTAAATACTGTCAATGTATACTTTGTTGGAGTATTTTGTTAATTTGCTGCATTTTAGTGATTTAAAAGTGATAAGGTATTTTTATATTATTGATCTCTCATACAATCCTATATTTTATTCACTCTCTACATATTTAGTATTACCTACAGATTTACCAAAACAGCTCTTTACCACTTAGGAGCCTACTTGTCCCAAAAACAATTCTTCCTTCTAGAAATGTGAATAATATATGTATGACTGGGTAAATCTAACTGTTCTAATTTGCTTTTTCTCTATCAGGTTTCTTTTAAATTTTTTCGGTCTGCATTGGGATTGACTTTAATATATTCAAGATTCCCCCAACCCCCCTTAGTTACATCATGGTATAAAAAGTTTTAGTCTTCAGCTAATTGGATCAATCAGGCATTTAGGGGGCAATATACACTTCATTGATATAATCAAGCGAGGCTGTGCAGCTGGGTAAACCAAAAAATCACAAGGGGGAAAAAAAACACAAGCAGTAGCCATTTAAGTTGAAAAAACGTGTATGGTTTTAAAAGTACTTCCTCCAACTTCAGAGTTCAACATACAATTTATAAAATAGATCACCTTTTTTGGCATGTTCTGCTAGAAACTTCTAAGTTGTCAACTCGTTTTCTTAAAAGCAGTCTTTTTATTTCAGCCTAATGATGCTGAGCCCAGAGAAAGTCATTCAATCTGCTGGCAGATGAAAATGAAGTGAAACAGTACACTAAATGGGTCAGAGGAAAAGTTGTTTCAGGGACCTAAACAGGCTTTCTTTTACAGTTTTTTTCAGGATGACTGAAGAGATAGTATTATAGTTAGATGTAATACAACAGAACGTCCTTCAGGCCCAAAAGAAAACTTTGAAATCTAGGAAGGACTAAGAAGTCATCTACTGAACCATGACACATTTACAGACTAGATGGCATATGTCCAAAGGGTGAAGTCCCTGCAGTCCTTCTGGGGGAGCTTTAAGAGGATGGCAGCAGGAAGAAGTTTGGGTATTCAGGAAGGCATCTGTGAGAGACCTTAGCCTGTTACTTGAATTTTCCAGGGTGATCTCAAGGTCAATTATACAGTCTCATTATCTATATAAACTGTCCAAATGTCCCCCAAATTTCAATGCCCAGGCTACATGTCTCAGTACTACTCAAACCTGAATGTTGTACATAATTTCATTTTCAAATGATATATTCCAAAGACAGGGTACATGATGTGAGATGGCCTGTCATCTTGCCTCAAAACAGCCACGTCAGGCAGAAGAGTGTATGGTAAGAAAAGAAGTATATAGTTGCTTTTTTTGAGAACGTAAATTATGCACCACTAAATTCATTTACCCTGAAAATATTTATAGTATTTTTACATTGTATTAGAGACAAACTGAAGAGATAATAGTAACCTTAACCTAAGGTTTACAGGGAATAAGATCTACATTTTGCCGATTATGGGGTCTTAAATATGAGTACACTTTCCCTGCACTCCTCCTTGCCCCCAAAAGCACTTATGAAAGTGAGTGAACTATGAATTATATCTCAATAAAGGACTAAATTTCTAGAAACCTGGTCTTTCTACAATCTCGAACTTAGAATTTTCATAAGACAATTACCATATAGTAATATATAAATCCTATATTAAATAGTTAATATTTTCAAGTACTAAAGAAAGTACAAACACAATATTTAGTACTATACCAAGTATTTAGAAATTTCTCAAAAGTTCTTGCTCATAAAGCTATTCCCTAACTTTATCAATTAAAAAGGTATTCTTGAGATAGCACATAGTGAATTTATGCCAGGACACACAAACAACAGGCCCAGATAGGCCTACCATAATTACAATCTCAAGAAGGGGGAGTATGAGTCTGAAACTATGTTCTACACACAAGTTTCCAAAAATTAATAAAATGTTTCAAAGTAAGTCAACCTATGACGTTCTTAAAAAAATCATTGCAACATTTTTATTCTACATAGAAACACAAGTTAAACATTTGCTTATCCCCTTGGAAACAAGAGAAGAAATCACACCTTCACCAACACCTACAGTAGGCAAAGATTTATTTTAGGCATTGTCAAGGATACAAAGAAATACAGAGCACAGTGGCTACACAGGGTGATCTGTCAGCTCTGCAACTGTAAGAAATTATCAAACATCAAACATGTACAAGTGGAAAAGTATATATATATATACACACACACACACACACATATATGTGTGTGTGTATATATATATAAAGTATATATAAGTATACGCACACATAGACACACACACACACACACACATATAAAAATCTGTATATGATCGTTCTTAAGCAGCTACTAAGGTAAAATAATCATGTATTACTGCTTCTTTAGTACTCTATTTGTGTCCAACTTGTGACCTAAATGGTCGTAACAGCAGAAATAAACCACTGCTCTCCAAAACAGACAAAACCAAACTACAGGGTAAAGATGCATGAAATTTACACTTGTAAACTTAGAAGCAAATGGCCCCAGTTGCTTCTCTTCTTCAGTTTGCTTTTAGAGAAGTATCTCATTGAAAGTGGAACTACCTGTTCTGAGAAACAAACTCATACAGAGAAAAAAAAAAAGTAAGAAGAGGTCATTATTAAAAAGGCAAACATATTACAAAACATAGGGTTAAGATGATGCAATTAAGATATTTAAATCAGAAAAACCAACACATACATGTACTTCATAAATAGACCAGTATATGTGTAGCACACCAACACACATTCCCAATAGTGATAGCCAGGGTGTGTGGTGTCTTCTTTGACAACATCTAGAAAGGGATTAGAGAAAACATAAGTGGTAAAGCTGGTTTTAAAAGAAGAAAAAGATGAAGTTCACATACAGGCAGAAGGAGGCAGCTTAGGAAACATGAGCATGTTGAAGAATGGAGAAACAGCTGTCCAGAGAAACAGGGAAGACAGGTCAGTGAAGTGGCAAATGAGTCAGCTTAGATTATTGACGCCTAAGATAAAGTTCCAATGTTCTAATGGTAAATATGCCATAGCATCTTCTAAAGTAGGTCTGAGCCCTTTGAGTGGATTTGTATGTTGCGTACTTGTATGAATGTTTATATATACATACATATACATGTATACACACACATACATAAATAAATGGTATCTATTTTTTCGTGTTCCTACCATGAGCAGGAAGTTTTGGTGTTTCTTTCACCCTATAGAATTTCATTCATTCATTCATTCATATTTGTCTAGTGTTTACTCTCAGTCAAGTATTAGGGCACTAGGATCATAATGATGAACCACATCTGAGTGTATTGCAGCAGGTATGAGGTGGGGGTCATGGGAGATGCAGATGGAAAGGTGACTCAGTTGTAATCACAATGGGCCTTATATGCAAAGGTAGGGGAAAATATTTGGGTTGAAGAGCAAGAAATCAGGAAACAAAAGGACCAACAAAAAACCCAAACAGTGATGTTTTTTCTAAACTTAAAGTCACCAGTCACTATTGATTTTCCTGTACAGAATGGTTTTCTTTTGTGATTTTTCAAAATTACTTATTTATCTTTTAAATTGACATATAAAACTGGATGCATTATCATGTATGACATTATGTTTCTGGCCATATATGTATGTGAATATGACCCTTCTTCTACTTATTGTTTTTTTTTTGTCATAAACTACAAAACGTTTGAACACGTACACACACAAATAAACAAAAGCACAAGAGAAAGATATTTATTCTGATTTGTGTATCAGGATTACCTCTTTATTTTAATTTTGATGTCTCACATGAAGCTTTCCAACCCTTTCTACATTCTAGATGCTTACATATATCAAAAGCAGGGCATGACCTGTTTTTTGTTCTGGCTTTAGCTTTAGTCCAAACGGTTAAACAGCTGGAGGTAATTATCAAAGAATTTAGTATATGCCCAGCCTATTCTAAGTGATTAAAAAAATGTTCAGTTTCACATTGGATTACCACTGGGGCAAAGCAGATTCATCAGGGTGTTGGCAAGATACCTGATATCTATAAGCTTTAAGCTTGTAGTTGGAGAATTCCACCATGCGTTGGGGTGGTAATGTGCAGATGCTTAGAAACATACAAGAAGCATGATAAAATAATTTGACTCCCTATTATAGTCTCCTCACCTTCTCAGTTGGCAATGATTCCTGAACACACACATCACTTAAAGAAATGAGCACAAAGATAACGATACATAAGAAAAACTGAAAAAACTCTGTCACTGAATACTAACAATTTTTCTTTTAATATAGCCCTTAATTTATTGAGAACCTACTATGTGCAAAACACTGTGCTAGTAAACAGTATATTCACTGGTAAACAAAACAAGGATGATTACCTGATTTCAGAGTTTAGTATCTAATGACAGAAGCAGATATTAAAACAAGAAATAAGCAAATAGGAATAAAATAGCCAGTACTAAGTGAGAGAACAATAACAGGGGATAGCTAATTTGAATTGGAAGGTCTAACACAGTTTCTTTGAGGGAGTAATGGTTAAACTAAGACCTGAAGGATCACTAAAAATGAAGTGGATGAAACAGCACTTCAACAGAATTAGCATTATTTTAAATCTTGGATTTTTACGGCATGAAAATATCCATGTGTCTTAAACAGGAAATGGAGAAAAGTAATCAGATTATTAGAAGTAAGCAAACAACCAGAATATCTTTAAAGAAAAGCTATATTTACAGAAGTAGGTCTGAACATCATTGCCTTTGACCAAAAGTCATTGTAAATGTATTGAATAGTTGTAAAAAATAAATGAAAGTTTAAACAGTTAAGTCGAGGTTGGCATGCTGTAGCATAGGCAACCAGACAGGAACTTTGAAGGAATACTTTTCCCTCAAATGTTTTTCTTCTGAGATAGCAATAATATGAGGCCACAAGAATCAGAATATATTTAAAATGTAAAAAGCAAATCCAAAGTCTAATATCTTCAACAAAACAAAATTCCAGTGAATCCCAGGGCAACCAGAGGAGGAAATATATTCTATTCTTATTATTGATGTTTTTAGTTTTAGAGGTGTAACTGAGGTCACATGACTTCTTAGGATAGTGACAAACAAAGAAACTGGTAGAAGTATCATCTCAAAATGGCCAGTGTGGGCTATAGGAGGTTTGTACCTGCTAAATATTTATAGGATTATTTTATTTAAAGCATTCTGTTTTAGGTTAGAGTTGGTTCCAAACCACATACAAAAAATTGTGTAAAAAGTTGGTAGCTAAACTGGAAGCAGTTCATTTCCATTTAAAACTACTTCACTATAAAATTAATCATTTTTGTTTTGGATCTCTTGAGAGAGAATAATTTTTTCCTTCTTCTTCTTCTTCTACTTCTTCTTCTTCTAAATAGAGACAGTGTTTTGCTATGTTGCCCAGGCTAGTCTTGAACTCCTGGGCTCAAGCAACCCTCTCACCTCAGCCTGTTTAATAGCTGGGACTATAGATGTACACCCCTATGCCCAGGTAAAAGAAGACATATTTTGTTCAAATATTTCATATATTTCATAACCAGACAAGGAACAATATAGGATATCTGGCTTTTAAACTAATGAGGTAGCTGTGTTGAGCCTGGGTAAGTCCTTGTAACTCTGTGACATTCCATTTCTTCATTTGCCAAAATCCGTAAAAATGATAGTGTTGAATTAGCTGTCAACCTTATCTAGCTCTAATATTTTCTGATTCATGATATGGATTTCTTACTTTGGTAGATACCCATTTTCCTTTCTTCCTTCAGGTATTTCTTACTATGTGCCTGTACTCGGTTAGATGCTGGGAATTCAGCTACAAAAGATACTACCCTCAAGGAGCTCTAGTTGAGCACAGGGAAGGAATGGGGTGACTGCCTAGGAAACAGGCTATCATGACATAGCGTGAAATGACCTTGGGTGCTACAGTAACATCTAGGGAGAGCTTCTGATCCAATCAGAAACTTAGGTAGAAACAGTCTTCCTGAGGAGGAAGGAATAAACAGATTCATTTTGCAATTATCATGTCACAGCAACAATACAGTTTACTTCCTTGGACTATTTTCTTAGGCTCACACAAAAGAATACAGGTAATTTCAATTTGGGTTAAGAAGTGCTATTTATTAAAGCCTAGGTATCTACTGGAACTCAGTGGATGGGTATAGTCAGCATGTTATTTCAGGGCTTGACAATGCTCAAAAGCACATTCATATTTAAAGCTTAGCTTCTTATCTTCTGAACACCCAACTAGGCACACACACAGTGTCTTCTAACCTGGTTAATTCCAAGTCACCCAGTCAGCAGGGAACTAGGTACAGTTCCCACCACCAAAGATTTGAAGGTCTCTCCTTCCCAGATAAAAATAGAATTACATCACATGTAGTCTTGTCTCAAGAGACCTCTTTTGTTATCTGTGTGTGTGTGTGTGTGTGTGTGTCTGTGTCTATGTGTGTACCTCAACTAATTTGAAATGGAGACTGTTTTTATGTTTGTACAACTGATATATTTGTGGAGTGTCCTGATACTTCTACAACGGAAACACCTGCTAATTCCACCCTCTCCCTTTTCTGATGGTGCCTGAAGTCCAGCCAATATAGGGTAGTCATTACAGCACCCACCCAGACTAGCCAAGGGGTGAAGGGCAATGATCATTTTGAATGGCAATTGCCATCTTAGGAGGAAACATAAAGTGGCTTTCTTCTGTTTGGGTGACTAAAGTCAAAATAAATCTGCTCTATTCCATTTCATTTATTACTATCTAATATATTACTTATCTATTAGGTTAGTTTACTTAATGTTTACCCCACTAAAATATAAGCTTTCTGAGAGTAAGAATTTTTGTTTACTGCTATATGTACTAAGCCTAGAACAGAACAGAACAGAACACATGATAGGTGATCAGTAAATACTTATTGACTGACAGACTGAGTGAATAAATGTTGCTCAACCAGCAGAGACTCAACATTTAATTCCCTGACTAGGTAGAATCTAGATGGAAAATTTTCACCCATAAATGGCTACAAAATTGTGGCAGGGAAGATAACTAGGATGCTATTTTCTTTTCTATTTAATCAAATATACGTTTTTTAAAGGACAAGAAAAATGGGGCTGTTATTATTTTGAGCAGTTACCAAAGGAAATCAACAAGTACTGGACAGGGGTCAGTAAATCTTGACGAAGACTTTTAAATAACAACAGAGGGGAAAGAAGTCCAAGAGTTAAGGATTATGTCAGGGAAGGATCCTAGAAGGACATAATATCAAGTTCACATATGAAGTTTGAGCAGGCAGTAGTCAGGCAAAGAGAGTAGGGCATGGAGAAGGGCATTTGCAGAAAAGAAGAGTGAGAAATGCAGGAGCCCATGAGTTTGAAAAATTCCACGTCATGCCGTGTGGTTGGAGTACACATGCAAGAAGGGAGTGGTAAGAAATGAGCTGGAAGCTTCAGTGAGAGGTCGAACATGTAAGGCTTGGTTGCCTTATTCCAAGAAGGTCGGAATTTATCTAAAAGTCAGTGGGAGCATAATGAGTATTATGGTTTATTTGAACAAAGATCACACTGGGCGCAGTGTGAGTAATACATTGTGGGGACTTAAGCCTGGGACATAAAGACTAGTTAGGTGGCTGCTCTAATTCTGATGAGACATAATGGTGGCTTGAAGTGGGTAGTTGTGTCTGGGAAAATACAGGTGGAATTTAAGAGTAATTTGAGAGGTGGAATTTATAGGACCTAGTGGCTGACTAGACGCAAACAGTGAGGGTTGTTTTCTGGCTAATCAGATGGCGATCCCAAGGTGAGAATATAAAAGGAGAAAGAATGTTCTAGATATCCACAGTTGCATGATTTTTCTCTATCCCTGGCTTTTTCATACAAACCCTAAATATTGAGTAACTTACTTAACTTACTAAGCCTTAGTTTCTTCATCTGTATAATGGTTTAAATAACATCTACCACATAGGTTCACAGCAAGAAAAATGACTTTCATAGAAGTTATCAAAATAGTAGGGATGAATTCTGACCCTACCATTTAATAAAAATGTGATTATAAATTTGAGTTACTTTACTAAAATCTTTTGTTTTCCTATTTTGAAAATGAAGATAACAAAAGGTAAATGCTTGTTTTTTGTGGAATTTAAATAACATAATGGAGGCTTCAGTAGTACATCTCACTATTTAGGAGCTGTTATTACATCATCATCACATCTGTGCTATAAGAAAATGAGATATGAGAATCTATTCTATCTAGTGAATAATCTAACGAAGTGAAGGATATGGTTTCATAGACTCGAGAAGGACAATATGTAACATGTTAATAGTAAGTACATGAGACAAAAAGATGAACAGGACGTGACTGGCTAGAACTGAGATTTTTAAACAAAATATGACCGTAAACAGTGGGTCAGAAACTTTGCAGTTGGCTAAAAGTTAATTGTGCTTATGGTCAAGGCAAAGTCTCTGGAGAGCTCTACGTGGCATGGGAAGTAGATAATAGTACTTTGTTAAAACATAGTGTACTCTCATTCATGCTCAATAAAACAGGAGATTCATTTGCTGGGAGCTGAAAGATCTATTGCACTTACTCTACTCATACAAAGTAGGAGGTAAAAATGTCTCACTGCATTTTTCTTTTGGAATTTCTACCAGGGATTCTGGCCTATTCAAGGGAACCTCATGCCAAATGCAGAACTGAAGGGAGGAGGCACAGCAGAAAAAAAACACTACAAACTATTCCACAGGCTCATTCTAACCAGATTGTGGTCCCAGGGCAGGAAAGGGGGAGCTTTTGATGAGAATCACAGATTTTCTGGTATGCAGTATGTCTTTGGCTACAACTGTGTAGGTTGTGGCAACTTACCAGACAGCCAGAAAATTCTGTGGTGGCTTGGGGCCTGGCAATTCAGTGGTGGCTTCTAAATCTTTAGAAGGCTCAACTTTCTCTTGAGGTTTTGAAACTATGCAGCTTTGACATGCCTCATATGAAACTGTCTAAGCATGGTTATTTAATCTCCTTTTCTGGACTTTTTAAAACTCACAACCATACTCTATCATTAAAGAGAAAAAAATAGCCCCATGTATTCACAAAGAAGCTGAGTTTTCTGTGAATGAGGTTTCGGCAATGCTGGAGGGCATAATTTTCAGGTGACATGACCAAATTTTATGTGTGTGTGTGTGTATGTGTGTGCGTGCATGTTTCAAATGCTGTCTGCACATCTTGTGTTCGTTATTACAGGAGATATTTCATAGCTCAAACAAATTTAGGAAGCACCAATTTGTTCTCAAGGTTATTATCAACAGATGTTTTATTATTTTGATCACACAAGACAAGTCTCTGAAAAGACCTGCTCTATATGGGGCACTCAACATAAACTAATCTGAAAGTATGAAAGAATGCTTCCACCATATGGTTCAGTCTGCATGTGGCTATAAATTGTGCATTCTAGATGTGAACTGGGTTAATATTCAATTTCCTTTCTCAGGATTCTAAGAATGATACACAGCCTTCTAAGACTAATTCATTAATTCAATAACCTTGAGATTTAAAAGATAGCTGATTTCACAGTCAGTGCTGCCTTCATTTAATGCCATTACTCTTTCTTCCCTACTGATCACAAATGCAGATTCTATGTTCAAAGTGAGAAACATCCCCTTAGAAACCAGAGGCAAGAATCCCCTTGTTAGCTGTTCAAATGCCAAGCTTTCCAAAGTGAAAATTATAATACTATGTGAAACAATACAGTCAGCCCTGATAATCAGTAGAAATAGAAACACTGAAACCATAGAGCAAGTGGTTCTTTGTGAAATTTTGGATTTGAACAAGTCTCAGTTCAAATCTCAGCTCTCCCACATCCTGGCTATGTATGCAATCTTATACTAGTTACTTAATCACTCAACACCACAGTATGCAAAATAGATATGACAATAATTACTTCAGAGTTGCTGCAAGGAGGATTAGGTAAGGTAATACAATGGATGGATTTAACAACAAAGATCAGATTTCCAGAACATTTGGGGAAAAAATTCCCTTCTTATTCAGAACAGCCAAGTCTGAGTGATGCATAGGTTGTCCAGGCAGAGCAGTATGCTGCATTTCAACTGCATCTGAAAGTGTTGCCAAAGGATTTGATCAGTTCACCTAGGAGCATCCTCGAGGTTCCACCAAACATGATAGGTCAAACGTGTGTTGTAATGTCGATCAAACCAAACAGGCTGAAGACAGCCCGTCCCTAAAGTAATATGCTTGAAGAGAAGGGGATTAACTAACACTGACACAAGTTTAATTTTGAAGCAGTAATAAATAGTTCTCACAAAATATTTTGTCACCTGGATATTTTATCATTGAATTCAGGAATAGAGAAACATACTACAACTAGGAAACATTCACTTTAGGCCAGGCACGGTGGTTCACGCCCATAATCCCAGAACTTCGGGAGTCTGGGGCGGGCAGATCACTTTATGTCAGGAGTTCGAGATGAGCCTGGCCAACATGGTGAAACTCCATCTCTACTAAAAATACAAAAATTAGCCTAGCGTGGTGGCACATGCCTGTAATCCCAGTTACTGGGGAGGCTGAGGCAGGAGAATTGCTTGAACCCAAGAGGGGGAAGTTGCAATGAGCCGAGATCATGCCACTGCATCCCAAACTGCATGGCAGAGTAAGACTCCATCTCAAAAAAAAAAAAAAAAAAAAAATTCACTTTAACAACTGGCCAATGGAAAAGGCTGGGTTTTCATTTTACCACAGCAAAGTGAATAAGAAAGATTATTTTTTCCTTTTATCAGGTTTGTATCATGGAATAGTTACATAGAACAAGAAGAGTCAAGTCTAGTTGACATTTTATGATAGCTTGCCCTGATCATCCCATTCACATGTCTGTCTCCCCTTCTACCTTTAATCTCTCTGAGGGCAGAGACTGTCTCATTCATTTCCTATTCACAGCATCTTACACACCCGCCACAGAGGTGATCAATTTACACTTGTTGAATAAACAACCCATGAATTCCAGGCACCACAGTAGGCATTCAATGCATATTTATAAAATATGATAACATTTTAGGAGGGAGAATAATAATCAGGAGCATTGCCAGAGGGAGGAAACCATATAGGAAATAGTTAAAGAAATGTGGAGGTAGATGAATCTTCAGAAGAGAAGACGAAAGGGAAGAGATTGACGCTGGTTTCTCAAGGCCTATAACATGAATAGCAATTGGACTAGTAGTAATAATAATAATTACTATTAACAAATTATTATATAATACTTATTAGGGCTAGGCACTATTCTAAGCAGTCTATTTTCTATTTTTGGACTTACTTAGTCGTCACAGGAATCCTTGGAGGTAGGTATTATTATCATCCCTGCTGTACAGATGAGAATACTGAGCCACAGTGGGGCTCACATTCACAAAGCAGGTAAGTGTTAAAGCTACAGTTTGATTTCAGGCTAAATGACTACAAAGGCCACACTCGAAACACTTTGCTGTATTTGTAAAAATACACAGAATTTAGTAGAAGAAAATTCAAACCAGTTTAAGAAAACGCTTTCAAACAGTAATTGTTCCAAATTTAGAGGGCTAAAGAGTTCTCACTGGAAGTACAAGATAAAAACTTGGTATGTAGAAATGTCTTTCATAGTACTTAATATTTATAATTGTTGCTTTTAGAAAAGTAAATTTAAATACTTTGGGGTGATTTAAAATCCAATTTTTTATAAGAGAACTATTTCTTTTGATTTCAGCTTAGTTTGGATGAGAAATCAATGACCATATTTTGACATTTTCAGTTAGTTTCACCTGAGTAGGATGATTAACTGAAATTGTATGATATTAAAATAAAACAAAAAAACCACAGTCACAAGAGATAATGGGAAAGGAATCAAGCTGTAAGTTAAAGATGTGAATTTCAGACTGCCCTTTGCTATGTATTGAGTGACCCTTGGGAACCCATGTAAACACCTCCTGAGCGTTTGTTTTCTTATTTGCAAAATGAGGAGCATCATGTTTCCTTTTCCTATTTCACAGGGCACTTTGGAGAATAAAATGAATATCTAAGAAATAATTTGAAAATAGTGACGTAATATGAAATATGAGATGTATCATAATATATACATTATGTCAAACAAGTAAAACAATAATGCTGCATGCATACAACTAAGCATCTCATTGATTTTAAGTTTCAGAAAATATAGATACGTTTTTATGAGAAAAATGTCTACAACACAATTGGAACACTGATTTAACTGTATTCCTATTCACGAGTTCCAAAAATGCTAAACATGCAGGATGTGATGTCACTTTTGTTATTGTTTTTCCCTGGAGTTAGGGCAATGTTACGGAGCTTTGAATAAGTTAGGCAGATGAGCAGGGAGAAGTATGGCTTATTTCCCAAACATTAAGGAATAATCACAAACAAAAATAAATGTATCTCTATCTACCTACTGTTTTCATCTTTCTCTCTCAGCTGCTTTCAGGCTTTCAATATTTACCTTTGTTATCTGGCTTAGTTTTCCTTTTGATAGGTGGGCTTAAGTCTTGAAGGCAATCTGACTATATCATGACTAGTGAGAGAATGAATATATTACTCCAAAAAGTCTTCCATATTTTCCATGTTTGCTGGTCACATCTTAGTGATTTAAGACAGATTAACCAGCTCTGCCATATACTTGTTATGTGACCCGGGACAAATGTGTTAACTTCTTTGAACCACAGTTTGCTTATCTATAAAACAGAGGCTCAAAACTTATGTAACATGCTTATTGTTAAGATATAAAAGAGCCATTGTAGAGTGATTAGAATATAAGGTCCAAACTTCAATAAACAATAGAGAGTTATACTTACTGTTACACTGCCACTGCTACCAGCACTAGAAACAGATGCACTGAGCATTGGTCCCAACCTCCAAAGAATATTCTTTTTTCTTATTTATTTTCCTATCTATCTATCTACCTACCTACCTATCCATCCATTTACTATCTAGTGACATGCATAACTGCATACAATTACATGAAAGAAATATATGCATATATATAATATAGAATATAGAATGTATATAAATATATATGAAACAACATACTTATTAAAAAGTATGTAAATGAAAATGTATAGACATATGCATACATATATTTGTACATATATGTTTATACTTGTATATACATATTTGTATATCTGTTACATATATGCATAAACAAACACACACTCTCAGGAGGAAAAACTAGTTTTTATCCTTTGTCTTTTGCTGGAAAGCTAAATTGATTATTCTAGTGATAAAATGCCAAATGAAAAAAAATAAACTAAGGAAAAATTTAGCCCTTTAGGGCCTTAAACTTTTGGACTCCAGATTTTCCTTTGGTTCAGCTAAAATCAAAGTGAACAGGAGCCAAGTTAGTTAACATTCTATTAGTGGCTGCAGGTGTCTCCTCAAAAAAATTATTTAACTACTAGAGGCTCATCATTGAGTAGTGATAAATCTGCTTAGTTACATTGGTTTTATTGAGCCATATTTTAGTTCATAGGTTTGTATATTAAAATATCTACAGGTTTTTTTTAATCAATAGAATGTGAAATAATAATCTCTGGAAACTTTAGTTTTCTAATCATAATTCAGTGATTCTAAGAAAAGAACAGTACTGATTCCATTGTTTTCAACCTGGAATTTGTATATTTAACTTTTTTGTTGGTTATTTTTGCTGTACCCCAAATATATCTGACTTTCCATCTTTCTAGCTCCAGGTAGAAAGGAGATTTGCTGGCCGGGCATGATGGCTCACCCCTGTAATCCCAGCACTTTGGGAGGCCGAGGCAGGTGGATCATGAGGTCAAGAGATCGAGACCATCCTGGCCAACACGGTGAAACCACATCTCTACTAAAAATACAAAAATTAGCTGCACATGGTGGCACATGCCTGTGGTCCCAGCTACTTGGGAGGCTGAGGCAGGAGAATCGTTTGAACACAGGAGAATCATTTGAACCCAGGAGGCGGAGGTTGCAGTGAGCCGAGATCGCTCCACTGCACTCTAGCCTGGAGACAGAGTGAGAATCCATCTCAAAAAAAAAAAAAAAAAAAGAAAAGGTGACTGGCTTTCAGGCCAGTAAAATGTGAATAAAGCATTGTGTGTCATTGCCAGAGATAAATTTAAAATCCAGGTTGTGATTACAAAGGTGAACACATCACGATGAAGTCTTGGTCAGTGTGATGATTAATTTTATGTGTCACCTTGACTGGCTTAAGGGATACCCAAATAGCTGATAATAACATTGCCTCTGGTGTGTCTGTGACGGCAGCTCTGGAATAGATTAGCATTTGAATCAGTAGGCTGAGTAAAGAAGTTCTCCCTCACCAATGCGGGTGAGAGTCATCCAATCTGTTGAGGTCCCAGATAGAACAAAAAGGCAGAGGAAGGACAAATTTGCTCTCTTCTGGAGGTGGGACATCCATTATCTCTTCCTACCTTGGAACATCAGAGCTCCAGGTTTTCAGACCTTTGGTCTCTAGATTTTATATGGATCCTGCCCCTTGTTTTCCCCTCTTCTCAGATGTTTGGCATCAGACTGAATTAATTGTACCACTGACTTTCTTAGTTCTCTGGATTGCAGATGGCAGATTGTGTGACTTCTTGTCTTCCATAATTACATAAGCCAATTCTCATACTAAATCCCCTCATATATATATATATGTCCTACTGATTCTTTTTCTCTGGAGACTCTAATACAGTGAGTCTCTGTCCTTGGAAGACTAAAATAGGAGTAAGATATAAACTTGCAATCTGGTAGGTCATTGAGATTTTTCGGTAACCTATCCTGACTGATACAGTGTCTTTGTAGAATTTCAGTTTCAACGTTGAGCATCTACCTTGTGCCAGGTGCTGGGAATATAAGGCGAATAAAATATGATGCTCATTTTTTAGTCAGTATATAAAAGGTAGGCACATGTGAACACATGATGAGAAGAAAGCCTTGAAGTAATGAAGAGAAGGGACAAGCTAACTCTGGGGATATTTGACAAGGCTTTTCAGGGGAGATAACATATTAGCTGGGTTTTGAATGATAAGAAGAAGTTGATCAGTTAAAAATGGTAATAGAGTGAAGAATAATTTTAGAATCAATAAATCTGATTGGTAATATTGAGTTAAATCCAAGGTGACATTTTTCTAAATGACTACATGTGCATTTTTAATTTAAGCTAAGTCTATATAGACCAAACATCTTAAACTTTAAAACCACGTAATTCACCAAACAGGTTTTAATGCCTATTTTCATAATACATACATTCTTTTCCTTCAAACAATAGATAATTTGAGAGTTTAAAATGCATCAGGCTCATCAACATCAAGGTAAATGGATAAAATATAAGCTTGTAAACTCTGAATTCTAACAATTGCTCAAATGCTTGAAATAATTTCAGTTTTTCCTAATGTACATCTCTGTGTAACTAGGCTCTATTTCGAGCTACTAGTGTTTTTATTACTTCTCTGTGCGTTTTTCCTTTTCCTTTCTTCCCACTGAAGCAGGTATTCATTGTAGGAGGAAGCAGGGAGAAGCAGGGTTGAACTCAGAAGCAGCCTGTAAAGATTTCCCTGCTTTTGTTTTCAAAACCTAATAAACACGTTAGAAAATTAAAGGGTTTGGGGATAAGGTACAATGGAGAACAGGAATTCTCTACAAAAGCACAAAGTCTTGATGAAGAAGAGAACAAGAGTGAGGTTTCCAAAATTGGGGGTGGGTAGGGTGAGGAATGATTATGTTGACTAAGAAAGGGGAGAAAATATCTGTCAGAGATGGACATTTTAAAGCATGTCTAAGAAGTTGGGGCCCTATGCAGTTTCCTAAAAATTTCATGACCTGCTATGTAATAGGGTTTTGTTGTTTACTTTCATATGACAAAAGCACCAATGCAAACTGGCTAATAAACTGTATTCATAGCTTTCTGTAATAAAAATTCAGAAGGAAAGTTTCAAAGATGGTTTGATTTACGGTCTGTAGATGTCACCAAGCCTGTTTTCTTACCTTCATTTATCTATTCTGCCATCTAAAATGCTGGTTTCATTCTAAAGATGGAAACCCCTACAGTCACAAAACAGCTTCAAGCTACTCTTCCAGATACAGGGTTCCTTACTTCGTGCTCATAGAGAAGGGTGGGCTTCTGCCTCAAAGTTCTAAGTAAGAATCATGGAATTTGCTCTGATTTTACTGGATTAGGTTGCATATCCACCACTAATGGAGGCCAGGGTATCAATTGGCCTAAATCAGTAAAAACCCACCCTTGCAATTCAGAGTCATGTCAGCTTCTAGCAAAGCACAGGGATTATCTGAACCAAAATCTAGGGACAATTAGGAAGGGGTAGGAAGAATAACATGAGGAGATAACCAACAAAGGTCCACTATTGAAAGAAACAACTCAGAGAGGGGTAATGACTATCACAGCAGTTATTTGTGAGGATAAACCAAACAATGTGTGGGTTGTCTTGTCACTGTGTAAGGACATAGAACTGCTGGACAATTCTGCAGATGACTGAAGTAGTTGGGAAAGCACTAGGAATGACTGAAGTTATATTTTTTGCCAGCCTGAGAGTTAAGCTACAGAAATATAGAGCCAAAGCTGTTATGATTTGTTCAGTTGCAAATAGCAAAATTTCCAGCTTTACCATTTCTCAAGACCTGTAATCTAGTGACCCAGGTATTATTCAGATGTTAGACCTCTTTGTGTATTCCCTGGATCTTTGTTATTTCCAATATTCTCAGAATCTGGTAACTCCATCAGATCCTAAACTCGTACCCCTGAGTTAGATATTTTCTTGCCAAATCTCCTTAGCCACCCACACCTTGTTTTTACAAATTATGGAAATAAATCTACTTTGATTAGAACATTCAACTTGGGGATACAGCTTTGTCATTTCTATGCAAGTCTTTCCATTGCAGATTTTGTCTAAAAGCTGTTAGTTTTAAAAGTACCCTTATACAGTCATGTGTTGCTTAATGACAGGGATATGTTCTGAGAAATAGATTGTTAGGCAATTTCATCATTATGTGAACACCACAGAATGTACTTAAGCAAACATAGATGGTATAGCCTAGGCTACATGGTATAGACCATTGCTCTTAGGATACAAACCAGTACAATCAATATGTTAATACTGAATATTATAGACAATTGCAACACAATAGTGAATATTTGTGTATCCAAACATAGAAAAGTTACAATACAAATAGGGTATTATAATCTTATGGGACCACTGTTGTATAGGCAGTTTGTCATTGATCAAAATGTTGTTATGTGGTACATGACTGTCCTAGCATTAGATGTGCTGGTAAAAATCAGGGCCATGTCAAAGATGGGGTAATATTGTAACAAGTGATTCGCAGAAGAAAATATATTGGTCAGTTTAGATGATGTGAGGGCAGTAAGACTTGGACTAATGAACTGGAAGACAGCACTTGTTAATAATCAGGTGGCAGAGGGTTTGTGAGGCGAGAGAAAGGAGATAACTCAGCTGAGCACTTACAGAGAAAAATGGAGAAGGCTGGAGTCAGCAGCTGAATTTCAGCTAAATGCATTTTGTGCCGATTCATCTAACTCAGCCCTTTGAGGTATGTTTACTAGGCACTTCTCATTCCTGACACTTTGATGCTTACATCTAAAGAAAAGTTAGATTAATGCCCCTCCGAATGTCTGTAAACTATATTTCTAACACACACATTTTTTTCCCTGACATCTGACTCAGATAGTTAACACTGCAAAAGCACTTTGCACACACAAAAGCCAGCTGGTTTCCAAATCAGAAAGGTTTCTAGGCAGTGGAGACCTAAATTTGCAGACCTGTCCCTAGTCATTCTTTTTACTTGCCACTTTAAGAAAAATTGCTCTTTCATTCTTGGAAGTTAGGACACAGTAATGAGTTAAAGGAGACTATATGTATAAGCTTTGGGGTATTAAGGTTTATGGCAACCTGCCAATGTTGTTCTACTGGAGAGCTTTGCTTTATCATCTTACTCCATGGTGAAAGACATGATTAGAATTTAGAAAAGGTCTAAATAATAATTTAATTGTACATTTTAAAATAACAAAAAAGTATAATTGGATTGTTTGTAACACAAAGGATAAATGCTTGAGGGATGGATACTACATTTTACATGATATGTGATATTACACACTGCATGCCTGTATCAAAACATCTCATGTACCCCATAAATATATACACCTACTATGTACCAACAGAAATTAAAAGTAAAAATTAGAAAAGAATTTAGAAAGAATTTAGAAAAAGAAATTAGAAAAATAATTAGAAAAATAATTTAGAAATGTTGCATTGCATGAAGAATCTATGCAATGCAACATTTATTTTGAGAACAGGCTGTGGCAATATGACCCTAGGACATGACCTACCTGACAACTTCAGAATAGTGATAGCTAAAGTACAACTTCAAGATACATTTGTATAAAGCCCCACTTGTTGGCAAGTTATACATTCCTGATTTGGGGTACCTAGATATAAGAGGAATTTAAGGGAAGGCTCATGTAGACATAGGAAAGAGGGTGGTGGTTTCTGATTGGGTCCTTGGGACAGTTATAACATGGGAATTGGAAGTTGCCAGTTTTCTCTTTCTCCTTCTTTCCCTCTCTCTCATCTCCAGTCTCTAGCTTTCTCTGCAGGAAGGCTCATTATTTCAGATGACATTACTTCATATGGCAAAAAGACCACATAGTGGCCACTTTTCTGTATTGTATGTCACACTTTACTACACAGTGGGAATGCTGCCCCCTCTCTGCTCCCATACTCCACTGTAGAAAATCCTGAGAAACAATCTGCTTGGCTTGATTTCGCTCAGGTGCCAGCTTCTAAACTGCACATGTGACCACCAAGATAGTTCTAAAACTAAAGATTTTCCATGCTCCAGCCCCAGAGGTTCGGATCCATTGGGTTTAGTTGAGATTCATCTGGTCTAATTATCAGTATTATTTCTTACTAGCTAACCTGGTTATTCCAATGAGCAGCTCTAGACAAATCAACTGTGTGACCAGGGGTACTATGACTGCATTCTTTCCCAGAATCACGGGGTTGGAAAGAGGAGAAGGGCAGTTCCCTAAAAGGAGGAGGATGCTTTTTAAAAAGAAGAGGTGCTTTTAATGCACGACAAAACACTAGCTGTTTAGCATTTTATATGCAGAGATTAGAAATGGGGAGTCATTAAAATAAAATATTTTAAAAAGGTATCAGAGCAAAATATCATAGTCTCAAACTATTGAAAATAAAACACTGTAATTTCTTATCTAGCCTGGAACTAAGTTCTCATGAGTTAATAAAGAAAAGAAAAGAGTTGCAGAGTGCTATGTTATTCTAGAAAAAATTATGGTTGTAAATCAAGGACAGATTCCACTTATATACTTAACATACTTAAATATATATTAATAATTGGGCATACACACATTTCAGAGATCACTTAAAAAGCATACTATTAACCACAAATATAGTCACATATGTGCACACATATACACACGCACACAAAGTAGAAGCATATATTTGCCTTTTGATATAGTCAAATAATCATAGCCTAAAGTTATACAAACAATGTCATCTTTAAAAAGGTGGGGGTAGATAAATGTTTGTGTATAAACATTATAATAGCTAATAATACTGATAATCTAGTATCTAGTTCTAGGAACTCTTTTAGGCATTCATATGTTATTTTTATTTTTATTTTTTTTACCACAATGCTATGAAGTAGATAGTAGTACCCCATTCATTACAGAGAAAACTGAGGCTTTAACGGGTTAAGTAATGAACGGTCATTCAGGAAGTGGCTGATTCTAGACTCTAACAAGGTCTGAGTTCAAAGACTGTGCTTCTTTCCACCATTTTTATTTTTATTTACTTTTTGTTTTATAATAAAAAAAATCTTCTAAATTTGATATTTCTGATTTTTCCTTGGAATTTTACAAATTATAATTTTTTCCAGCTATTACTGTAGATTCCAGGGGACATGTGCAGGTTTGTTATAAAGGCATATTGTGTGACGCTGAGGTTTGGAGTACAATCAAACCTGTAACCCAGGAAGTGAGCATGGTCCTAAGTAGGATGTGTTTCAGGCCTTGCAACCTTCCCTCCTTCCCTCTCCCCTCTGATGTTCCCCAGTTATCTATTGTTCCCATGTTTATGTCCATGTGTATCCAATGTTTAATTCTCACTTATAAGTGAGAACACACAGTATTTGGCTTTCTGTTTCTGCGTTAGTTTGCTCAGGATGATGGCCTCCACCTGCATCCATGTTGCCACAAAGGATATGGTTTTTTTATGGCTGTGTAGTATTCCATGTAAATGTATGTATATTTTCTTTACCCAATCCACCACTAATGGGCACCTGGGTTGATTCCATGTCTTTGCTATTGTGAATAGTGCTGTGATAAATATATAGGAGCATGTGTCTTTTTGGTAGGATGATTTATTATTCTTTGGGTAGATACCTAGTAATGGGATTGCTGGGTGAAAAGGTAGTTCAACTCTTAGCTCTTTGAGAAATCTCCAAACTGCTCTTCACGGTGGCTGAAGTAATTTACATTCCCATCCACAATGTAAAAGCATTCCCTTTTCTCCACGTCCCTACCAACATCTATTATTTTTTGACCTATTATCAAAAGCCATTCTAACTGGTATGAGGTGGTATCTCACTGTGGTTTTGATTTGCATTTCTCTGATGATTAGTGATGATGAGAAATCTTTCATATGTTTTTCGGCTACTTGTATGACTTCTCTTGAGAAGTATCTGTTCATATACTTTGCCCACATTTTAGTGGAGTTATTTGTCTTTTGGCCTGTTTATTTGTTTAAATTCCTTGTAGATTCTGAATATTAGACCTTTGTAGATGTATAGTTTGCAGATTTTTCTCCCATTCTGTAAGTTGGTTGTTTATTCCCTTGATAGTTTCTCTGGTGTGCAGAAGCTCCTTACTTTAATTAGGTCCCGTTTGTCAATTTTTGTTTTTGTTGCGATTCCTTTTGAGGATTTTGCCATAAATTCTTTGCCAATGCCAATGTTGAGAAGGGTATTTCTTGGGCTTTCTTTTAGGATTTTTATAGTTTGAGGTCTTATATTTAAGTCTTAATCCATCTTGAGTTAAATTTTGTATATGATAAAAGGTAAGGGTCCAGTTTCATTCTTCTACATATGAATAGCCAGTTATCCCAGCACCATTAATTGAATAGGGAACCCTTTCCCTACTGCTTATTTTTGTAGACTTTGTCAATGATCAGATGGCTTTAGGTGTGTGGCTTTACTTCTGGGTTCTCTATGCTGTTTCATTGGTCTATGTGTCTGTTTTTGTGCCAGTACCATGCTATTTGGTTTCTGTAGCCTTGTAATGTAGTTGAAATCAGGTAATGTGATGCCTCCAGTTGTGTTCTTTTGCTTAGGATTCCTTAGGCTACTCAGCCTCTTTTTTGGTTACATAAGAATTTTATTTATTTATTTATTTATTCATTCATTTATTTATTTAAGATGGAGTCTCACTCTGTCACCCAATGCAATGACATTGCATCTCGTGATGCAATGACATGATCTCGGCTCACTGCAGCCTCCACCTCCCGGGTTCAAGTGATTCTTCTGCTTCACCCTCCTGAGTAGCTGGGATTACAGGCACACGCCACAATGCCTGGCTAATTTTTGTATGTTTAGTAGAGATGGGGTTTCACTATATTGGTCAGGCTGGTCTCAAACTCCTAACCTCGTGATCCACCCACCTTAGCCTCCCAAACTGCTGGGGTTACAGGTGTGAGCCACTGCACCCAGCCACATATGGATTTTAGATTAGTATTTTCTTATTCTGTGAAAAACAATGTTGGTAATGTGATAATAATGGTATTGAATTTGTAAACCACTCTGGTCAGTATGGCCATTTCAACGGTATTGATTCTTCCAATCCATGAGGATGGAATGGTTTTCCATTTGTTTGTGTCATCTCTGATTTCTTTCAGCAGTGTTTCAGTTCTCCTGGTAGAGATCTTTCTCCTTTTTGGTTAGATGGATTCCTAGGTTTTTAAATCTTTTTGTGGCTACTACTGTATCCTGCTGTAAATAGGATTGCATTGTTATTTGGCTCTCAGCTTGAACATTATTGTTGTATATAAGTGCTACTGACTTTTGTATGCTGATTTTATATACTGAAACTTTACTGAAGTGCTTCATCAGTTCTAGGAGCTTTTTGGTGGAGTATTTAGGGTTTTGCTAGATAGAGAAACATAGTATTTTATACTCTCATAGAATATACAGTATACATAGTTTTCTATTCTCTCAGTAAAGAGAGACAGTTTGACTTCTTGTCCTATTTGGATGCCTTTTATTCCTTTCTCTTGCTTGATTCTTTTGGCTAGGACTTCAAGTACCATGTTGTAAGAGTGGTGAGAGTGGGCATCCTTGTCTTATTCCAGTTCTCAATGGGAATGCTTCCAGCTTTGTCCATGTCATATGTTGACTACAGGAATTTCATAGATGGCTCTTATTATTTTGAGGTATGTTTCTTTGATGTCTAGTTGGTTGAGATTTTTTATGATGAAGGATGTTGAATTTTATCCAAAGCTTTTTCTAAATCTATTGAGATCATCATATGAATTTTGTTTTTAGTTCTGTTTATGCAATTAATTACATTTATTGATTTGCATATATGGAGCCAACCTCACATCCCAGAAATAAAGCCTACTTCCTTGTAGTGAATTACCTTTTGGATGTGCTGCTGGATTCAGTTTGCTAGTATTTTGTTGAGAATTTTTGTATCTATGTTCACATCAGGGATATTGGCTTGAAGTTGTCTTTTTTGCTGTGTATCTGCCAAATTTGGGTATCAGGATGACGTTGGCTTTGTAGAATGGGTTAGGGAGGGGTCCCTAACCCTAGATTTTTTTGGAACAGTTTCAGTGAAACTGGTTTCAGTAAGATTGGCTTTTTTTTTTTTCTGATTCAGTTTCAGAACTTATTATTGGGCTACCTAGGGTTTCAAATTCTTCTTGGTTCAATCTTAGGAGGTTGTATGTTTCCAGAAATTTCTCCATTTTCTCTAGATTTTCTAGCTTGTGTGTATAGAGGTGATCACAACAGTCTCTGAGGATCTTTTGTATTTCTGTGGGATCAGTTGTGATGTTATCTTTGTCATTCCTGATTGTGCTTATTTGAGTCTTCTCTTTATTTCTCTTATTCTGGCTAGTGGTCTATAAATCTTGTTTATCTTTTTAAAGAAACAACTACTGGTTTTGCTGATCTTTTGTATATATTTTTGCATCTTGATTTTATTCACTTCTGCTCTGATTTCAGTTCTTTTCTTCTGCTAGCTTTGAGGTTAGTTTGTTCTTGTTTTTCTAGATCCTCTAGGCGTAATGTTAGATTGTTAATGTGAGATCTTTCTAACTTCTTGATGTAGGCATTTAATGCTATAAACTTTTCTGTTAACACTGCTTTCACTGAATCCTAGAGATTTTAGTATGTCACAGCTCTGTTTTCATTAATTTCAAAGAATTTTTTATTTCTGCCTTAATGTTATTATTCACCCAAAAGTCATTCAGGAATAAGTTGTTTAATTCCTATGTAATTGTGTGGTTTTGAGAGATCTTCTTGGTTTTGATTTCTATTTTTATTGCACTGTAGTTTGAGAGTATGTTTGGTATGATTTTTATTTCTTTGCATTTATTGAGTCTTGCTTTACCAGTAAAGCATGTAGTAGATCTTGGAGTGTGTTCCATATACAGACAAGAAGAATGTACTTTCTATCAATGTTGGATAGAATATTATGTAGATGTTTATTAGGTCCAATTGGTCAAGTGTCTAGTTTAAGTTCATGATTCCTTTCTTAGTTTGCTGCATTGATGATCTATCTAATACTGTCAGTAGAATGTTGAAGTCTCCCACTATTATTATGTGGCTAAGTATTTTCATAGATCTAGAAGTACCTGTTTTACAAACTGGGTGCTCCAATGTTTGGTATGTATATATTTAGGATAGTTAAGTCCTCTTTGAATTGAACTCTTCATTATCATATAATGCCCTTCTTTGTCACTTTTGACTTGTTATTTTAAAATCTGTTTGTTTGTTTGTTTTTTCTGAAATAAGAATACTGTCCTCTGCTCTTTTTTGTTTTCTCTTTTTTTTTTTTTCAGACGGAGTCTTGCACTGTTGCCCAGGCTGGAGTGCAGTGGCGCAATCTCGGCTCACTGCAAGCTCCACCTCCTGGGTTCACGCCATTCTCCTGCCTCAGCCTCCCGAGTAGCTGGGACTACAGGCGCCCACCACCATGCCCGGCTAATTTTTTGTATTTTTAGTAGAGATGGGGTTTCTCCATGTTAGCCAGGATGGTCTCGATCTCCTGACCTCGTGATCTGCCTGTCTCGGCCCCCCAAAGTGCTGGGATTACAGGCGTAAGCCACCGCGCCCGGCCTCTTTTTTGTTTTCTATTTGCATGATAGGTCTTTCTCCATTCTTTTACTTTGAGACTGTGGTTGTCATTATATGTAAGACAGGTCTCTTGAAGACACTTGGGTCTTGTTTTTTTATCTAGCTTGCCACTTTGTGCATTTTAAGTGGGGCATTTAGGCCATTTATATTCAAGGTTACTATAGATATATGAAGTTTTGATACTGTCATCCTGTTGTTAGCTGTTTTGTAGACTTGATTATATAGTTGCCCTATAGGGTCTGTGCTATGCACTTAAGTGTGTTGCTGTGGTAACAGGTATCATTCTTTGATTTCTGTTTAGAACTCCCTCAAGGACCTCTTGTATGGCTGATCTGGTGGTAACAAATTCCCTTACGCTTGTCTGGAAAGGATTTTATTTCTCCTTTGTGTATGAAACTTAGTTTGGCTGGATATGAAATTCTTGGTTGGAATGTCTTTTCTTTGAGGATACTGAAAACAGACCCTCAATCTCTTCTGGCTTGTAAGGTTTCTGCTGAGAAGTCTGCTGTTAGCTTGATGAAATTTCCTTTGTAAGTGACCTGACCCTTTTTCCTAGGTGCCTGTAAGATTTTTTCTTTCATGTTAATCTTGGAGAATCTGATGACTTTGTTTCTTGGGGTTGGTCATCTTGTATAGTATCTTGCAGCGGTTTTCTGTATTTCTTGAATTTGCCTGTCAACCTCTCTAGTGAAACTGGGGACATGTTCATGAATTATATCCTCAAATACATTTTCCAAGTTGTTTACTCTTTCTCCTTCTCTCTTGGGAATACCAGCATGGGTTGTAGTTTAGTTCTCCTTACATAATCCCATATTTCTTGGAGGTTTTGCTCATTAAAAAAAAATATTTTTTCTTTATTTTTGTCTGACTGTGTTGATTCAAAAGACCAGTCTTTCAGCTTGAGATTCTTTCCTCAGCTTGGTCTATTACATTGCTAATGCTTGCAACTATACTATGAAATTCCTGTAGTGAATTTTTCAGTTCCAGAACTTTAGTTTGGTTCTCTCTTAAAATGGCTCTGTCATCTTTCAACTCATGGATAGTTTTACTGGCTTCCTTGGATTTCTCCTGAATCTTGTTGTGTTTCCTTGTCATCCAGGCTTTGAATTCTGTGTCTGTCATTTCAGCCATTACAATCTCATTAGGAACTATTGTTGGGAAGCTGTTGCAATTATTTGGAGGTAAGGAGACACTCTGAATTTTTGAATTGCCAGAGTTTATGCACTGATTCTTTCTCACCTGAGACGGCTGCATTCCTTTATCTTACATTGCTATCACTTGGACAGGCTTTTGAAGTTTATTTTTATTTTTTTGAGACAGAGTCTTGCTCTGTCACCCAGGCTGGAGTGCAGTGGTGTGATGTCAGCTCACTGCAGCCTCTGCCTCCTGGGTTTAAGCGATTCTCATGTCTCCGCCTCCCAAGTAGCTGGGACTACAGGCACACGCCAACATGCCCAGCTAATTTTTGTATTTTTAATACAGATGGGGTTTCACCATGTTGGCCAGGCTGGTCTCAAAATACTGACCTCAAGTGATCCACCCACCTCAGCCTCCCAAAGTGCTGGGATTACAGGCGTGAGCCACTGCACCCAGCCATTAATATTTTTAAATACAAAAGTAATACATGCTTATTCTAACAATTGAAATCATATAAAGATACATAAAGTGAAAGCAAATCATCTCCTTTAGCCTCATCTTCAACCCCATCCCCTTGAGCTGCCAATACTCACACCTGCTGTAGACTTTCCACATTTTCCCCTTGTTCTTTCAAACAGATGCAAATGCACATTTACATACAGATAGATACTTTTAATACTTTAAGTTCTAGGGTACATGTGCATAATGTGCAGGTTTGTTACATATGTATACATGTGCTGTGTTGGTGTGCTGCAACCAGTAACTCGTCATTTACATTAGGTATATCTCCTAATGCTATCCCTCCCCCCTTCCCCCACCCCACGACAGGCCCTGGTGTGTGATGTTCCCCTTCCTGTGTCCATGTTTTCTCATTGTTCAATTCCCACCTATGACTGAGAACATGCAGTGTTTGGTTTTTTGTCCCTGCGATAGTTTACTGAGAATGATGGTTTCCAGCTTCACCCATGCCCCTACAAAGGACATGAACTCATCCTTTTTGATGGCTGCATAGTATTCCATGGTGTATATGTGCCACATTTTCTTAATCCAGTCTAAAAGCCAAAATTGACAAATGGTATCTAATTAAACTAAAGAGCTTCTGCACAGCAAAAGAAACTACCATCAGAGTGCACAGGCAACCTACAGAATGGGAGAAAATTTTTGCAACCTACTCATCTGACAAAGGGCTAATATCCAGAATCTACAAAGAACTCATACAAATTTACAAGAAAAAAACAAACAACCCCATCAAAAAGTGGACCTATTTTTATATTCTTTATTTCTTTTAGAGTTGAATTGTGGTATATATTGAGTATAGTTGATTGGCTTCATTTCTGGATGCTTTTAGAGGGTTGAGGCTCTTCATTTGTGACTAGATTTCTGCACTGGGTTTCACCAGCAATGTATGCCCTTCTTTAGGTCCTATTTAGGGCCAGGAACTGGCCCTGGAGCTTGTCAACTCTGTGCAGGGTTCCCAGTTTCCCCCCTCTTCTACTTTGGTTTCTATGTCACCTCTCTATAAACTTTCAACGTTTTATTTCAAAAGATCTATTCGAAGTGTGATGATTTACTCGATATTTTGGTTTCCTTCAGTGCAAGAGGTGCTCCCAGCTATATCTAGTCAGCCGTCTAGTCCCCTATGTTACTTCAGGCTGACCCTACCAGTGCTGGCTGCAAATTCCAAAGCCTGGTGATCTAAAGGGTCTGCCCCTGGAAATACACACCCAATGCCAGGTGCAGATTAGTGGGCAGATGTCTTGGGTATGGGGCCACTGGTAGTCAAGTACCAGCCCCCACTGTTTTTATAAGCTTATTTTTCTTCTCAAATTATTCCAACACCTTTAACCAAAACCAATAAACCACTGATTAAAATTCACACATATTATATAAATGTATTTCTGTAACTGCAAGTAGTTCAGAATGACTGCACTTCAAGATATGAACTAGGGCTCCAAGGGAGAAATGAGGCTGGCAAGATGAAGAGGACATCCATGGATGCCTTAAATAATATACCAAGGAGTTTAAACCTTATCCTAAAGACAATAAAGAGCCTCTGGAGAAATTTTAGGATAAAAATGACATAATCATTTTTATGTTTTAAATACATCACTTTGGCTGCAATATTGCACATACATAGTATTTGGGAAAGGATGAAGGTATGCCATTTAAGACAAATAATTAATGGCTAAATTCTGCCAAGTTGATGGAGGAGGAAATAATTCAAAAATATACTAGGAACGATAGAAGAATATATGTGGTGTTTTGCAGGACAGGAAAATACAAAAGAGAAGGGAAAATTCAAAGATGCCTAGAGTATAATTCCACAAATTCCTTTTACTATCACAATCTGAGCCGCTCAGCCATAGACAACTTTGATATCTCAAGCTTTCCTGACTCCCTGGATTCTTATGACATTAGCAAATGCAGCTAAGTCAAGTCCATGTCTTTGCGTACTCTGAGTAATTTATACATTTTCCATGTATGAAATTAATAGCTTATATAACCCCAACATGATTTGTATCAAGAGTAGTTAGTTGACCGAGCATGGATAATAGATTTATGATGCTTTTATAACCCTGACCAGCACGCATGATTACAGTTTTGCAAAGATGCTAAAATGACTATCAGCTACCTTATTTGACTCTCATATTCCTCCCATCCTCACTGAAGAAAAAAACATTTGGAGTGCTCTCCCAACAGCTGCAGAATGTATGGCCATGTGATACTATTTGAACGTTTTGTCTGACAAGTTAGGGATTCTTTTTGCAACTAATAAAATAATTTAAAAATCTGAACCATTTCCTGAAATGTAAATTACTGACTTTTGTTAGTCATTATTTCACCTCTGCCAAAACAAAATGACTTATAGAGAAAAGAAAAATGACTGATTTATTGCATCATGCAAATTCCTACAGAAGAAACAAGTTTAGGATATAAGGTATGTAACATGGGAATTTTAAAAACAGTATTAGTGAATTGCCAGGTAAGAAGAGACCCATTAAAGTTGTCTAATAGTGGCCTCCCCAGCTCTCCAGATATCAAAATAACTAGAAAATCATTAGATATCTGATTTATTTAGACCAAATTCTTTTATCTCACATTGTTGATCTTTTTGAAAATTCCTAATTTCTAATAGAATTAAGGATCTGTTACTTCAAATAATATAAAGCTTTTGAATTTCTAAATTCCTCATTTTTTCTAGGTCTCTTTAGCTATTTTTAATAATAGTGACAGGAATAAAAAAACAGGCACGGTTTGAGTAGATATTTGATAGAATTTCAGTTTTTATATAGTCAACTGTATTAAAATCTTATAGTTTAATTAAATAATTTTGGTAATAGATACATTTCTTAACTGAACTCCAAAGTTTATGTATGTGCAATCATCACTGTATATTTTGCATATTTGAAATATATGCAAATGTAAATATTAAATACAAAGGTACCACCCAAGCATGTGTGTATTTATACATAAATGAATATATTTGTATAATACTTGTGAATTTTTATTTAGCATGTTACTTTTCCATGGGCCCATTAACATTTGCACCTGCTACTCCCTATCTGAGAGGCCGTCATCCACTACTTTTTAAAAAAATTTTATTTTTTAAAGATGGGGTCTCATTCTATTGCCCAGACTGGAATGCAGTGGCACAATCATAGTTCTCTGCAGCTTCAGACTACTGGGTTCAAATGATCCTGCTGCCTCAGCCTCCTGAGTAGCTGGGACCTCAAGCATGAGCTGCTATGTCTGGCTTTCACTCTCTTTTACATGGCTTGTTCCCTCTCACCTCTCATAAGCCAGCTCAGTTATGATGCCTCAGGAAATTACTTCATGCGGACCACATATTGAGAGCAATCTACTTATCGTCATAGTTTTTGTGCATTTACTTCTGTGTCCTCCACAAGGCTGCAAAATTCTTTGAAACAAGGTCTGTGCCCTGTACCTATGTTTAACAAGTGCTTGACAATTAAATGTACAAAAGATATTCATGAAGTTCACTCTGTGTGGCAAGTGGTTAATGCTTTAAACAATGCTACTGTAGAGGAGGAGTCGTCAACTTGTTTACAAATTGCCCAAGGGCTTTTTCTTTTCTTTTAATGTCACCATGATAACATAAAGAACATTATGAGAAAATTCCTTTCATCATAGAATTCATAGGCCAGTGGAAGAAATAGATTTTATTTATCATCTAGTGTGATAAATTCTCTATTTGTGTTTTGTTTTTTTGGTTTTTTTTTTGAGATGGAGTCTCACTCTGTTGCCCAGGCTGGAGTGCAGTGGCACCATCTTGGCTCACTGCAAGCTCTGCCTCCCAGGTTCATGCCATTCTCCTGCCTCAGCCTCCTGAGTAGCTGGGACTACAGGTGCCTGCCACGACGTCCAGCTAAATTTTTGTATTTTTAGTAGAGATGGGGTTTCACCGTGTTAGCCAGGATGGTCTCGATCTCCTGACCTCGTGATCCGCCCAGCTTGGCCTCCCAAAGGGCTGGGATTACAGGCATGAGCCACCGCCCCTGGCCTATTGTTGTTGTTTTCAAAGAGGCATATTGCCCAAGAGTGAAAGTCAAGAAAATCTGTTTGGAGGAAATGATATTTAAGCTTAATTTTGACAGCAGTCTAATTCAGTGGTAATAAGCTCAGATTCTAATATCTGTTGGACATAGGGCTGAATCCTAACTCTATCTCTTATAAAGCTATGATTTTTGGCAAGTGATTTAATCTTTGAGCCTCAGTATCCTAATATGTAAAATGGAGTTAGCAACATCTACCTCATAGGAGTGTTACTAAATGTGATTATTACTTAAATTAAACGTTACAGAGGTTAAACATAGCAAAAGTATAAGCTGTAAATGCACGTGGCAAATACCATAACTTATTTGTCATTGGGTATTTGACATCTAATAAAGAAAAGAAAAGCAGAAACAAAAGAAGTTCTTGTTAGATTAAGTTGTTTGTTGAGAGTGGAATGCTATGTCTTTAATAACTTCCTCAATTATATTTATAAATAATTCTTGTGAGAACTACCATGTTAACCAAAGAAAATATTAAGAATAATTATATATGCTGCTCTAAACCTTTACGTTAACTCATGTATTCATCACAACGGCCTTATGGGGTAATTATAAACAGTTTAGCCTCATTTTCAGATGTGGCAACTGAGGTACAGAGAGGTTAAGTATGTAGTTCAAGGTCACTTGACCAGAAAGTGCTAGAGCCAGAATTCAAACCTGGATTCAAACCAGGCCATGTGCGTCTATGTTACTGTCCTTCCAGTAATACAACCAGGCCAACTTCATTTAGATGCCAACCACTCCCTGAGTATACACTAAATTTCAGATGTTGTTCTAGAAAAATTGTATATAAATCACTTTATATTTATATACTGCATATATTTACAGGAAGGAATAGATGTTAACAAAATAAACTATAAATAAATAATATACATTTCAGATACTGGTGAGTGCAATTAAGTAATAATAAAATGGGAAAAAAGAATGATGGAAATGCTACTAATTTAATTACAGTGAACAGGGAAGATTTTTCTAAGGTGATGATATTTGAGCAGATATTTAAATAATAAAAAGAATAAACCATGTAAAGATATAACGGACAATTTTTCCAGGCAGCTAGAATAACATACATATAGGGCTTGAGTTAGGAAAAGCTTGGCTTGTTTGAGAAACGTCAAGGTCACCGTGGCTAGAGTGAAATTTATGAAGAGTTGGTGGTGAGCACATAATGTTGGAGAGAGGAGCAGGTGTCACATTACAGAAGGCCTTGTATGTAATGATAATGAAGTTAATTATCACCTTTGGAAGGTCTTAAGAATATAAGTGGTATGATCTGGCTTATATTAACATTTTGAAAAAAGATAACGGGTTACTTGGAGGAGAACAGCAGGGTAAAAGTGGAAGCTATTATGGTTGTTGAGGCATGGGATGAAATTGGTTTGGATTAGGATTCAGCAGAGCAGGTGGTAAGATCTGACTGATTTTGTAATATATTTTCATGGTAGCACAAGCAGGACTTACTCATGAATGCTGAGGATAAAGAATAATTGAGCAAGACTTTTAGATTTTAGATTATTTTTCTGGCATAAATAATATGGGAAATGATAGAACCAATTAGTCAATATGAAGAATATTAGGGCAGCAGTTACTTTGGCCCTGAGAAGAGGGACTGCAGGGAAGGGGCTTTCTTAATAATCAAGCAGCAGAGATGCCAACTGCACAGTTAGACATATACATTTGAAGTTCTCATTCAGGGAGATGTCATGGCTTCAGAATTGGGAGTCATCAGTTGACAGTTGGTATCTAAGGGCATGAGTCTGGATGAGGCCATCTAGGGAATGAAGAAAAGATGGAGAAGAGGTCTGTACACTGGGTATCTGGAGTGCTGAAACCTTTAGAGGAGGAGCCAGCAAGGAGGCTGAGAAAGGGCAGCCATTGAGGTGGTAAAAGAACAGGAGAGTGTTTTGTCCTGGAAGTTAAAATGTTGACATCTTTGAGGAAGGAGGAAGCATCAAATCCTGCTAAGAAGTCAGTTAGGTCTGAGAACTGATGCTTCAATTTAGCAAGATGGAACCAGTAATGACTTTGATATAAATGGATTTATGACTATTGTGGGGATGAGAACATGAAACAGGTTAAAATTTAAAAAATGAGGTAATAAGGGGGAGCTAATGAAAATAGACAATTTTCTTAGATTTTTGGTAAAGCAAAATAGAATAATGAGGTAATAGTGGAAGGAAAACATAGGGTCAGGGGACGGTTACTTATTTTTTCTAAGATGAAAGATATACTGTGCCTGAGTTAAAGTTATTCAGTAAAAAGCAAGATAGGGCTTGATATTGCAGAAGAGAGAGGAGATAACTGCAGAAGGAAAATCATTCAATGGATAACTGGTAATGGAGTCTAGGTAACAAGTAAAAAGTTGGTCTTAGAATGGAATAGGAACTTTCCTTCATTGCCATGGGAGAATATACTAGTAGACCTGGTAGTAGGAAAATGTGGTTTTCATTTGATTGCTTGGATTTTCTCAAAAACATATTAAGGCAGGTCAACAGCTGAAAGAGAAGATGAGAGAAGAGAGTGCTTGAGATTTGAGGAGATATGATAAGGTATGAAATTGTTGTCCCAGAGTATGAGAAAGTGATTTTTTCTAAAGAAGTGTATAAGAATTGCTAGAAAGTCTTGAGAGTTCACTTAAAATCAATGGTTAAATATTTAAAGTGAGATGAGTGAGTGTTTCTCTAGCCATATCCAGTTGCTGAGGCAGTGGCATGGAGTGAAGAGGAAAGTGTTGGCTTAACCAGCGTAAGCTAACTTGGACTGGGGTTTTGCTGGATGAGCACAAAAAGCTAGAGAAGAGAAAAAAAAGTGCATGAGAGGGAGAATTAGAGTGAGGGACCAGGTAATACATGCTAGGTGGGGAGGGAAGAGAGGGCATAAAGAAAGGTGAAAGCTGGGTAGAAATGGTGAAATCAATGATCTGAGGTTCCAATGGGGCTAAAGAAGTTTCAATGAGAAGGTACTAGAATAAATGATATGAACAGAAGGGAGGAAGTGTTCACAAAGATATTGCTTGACATAGAGGCTTTGGAGAGGGGGCAGTTAATGGCAGTAACAAAGTTCAGAGTATGGTCATGAACCCCAAGGCAGGAAGTTAGCAAGGTAAACTGACATGCTGAAGATCAGGAAACAAGTAAGATCAGAATCCAGACTAGAACCCACAGTTGTCTGACTCCTATTGAGTGTTCTCTCTCATACCAATGTTAGCTTTTATTTTTTGACCTCCAATACCAGGGCAACTAAATAGTGTTCTATTCAAGATGGTGATGTACATTGGATAAGGAAAAAGGAGAAGGCTCAGCTTCACGGGCATGAGACCTGTTCAGTTGCATTGAGTCCTGTGTTTAGAAAGGCCCCACGTTTTCATGTTGTACTGCACTCCATAAATCATATAGCTTGTCTTGGAGAGAAACTTAATGATTCAGGAGAAATGTGTTTTTTTGTCTCATTTGAGCTCATTTTCCATAAGCCTCACTTTTCTCCAGTTAGCATACCATTAAAATTTTATCAAGTCCATAATGGAAGTTTTAAAGAACCCATCTGTCAAACACTTAAGTTTCAACGTATATTTTGGTTTAAAAGCACTCACACTTGATAAAAATCAGCCTGAAGATGAGAAATGCTCTGACTCAGGAAAGTGAATAATTAGTAAACTAAAAACGAGATATAAATTAAAGTGCAGGTCTACAATCTTCATTTATACTTGAATGATAGCTTAGTGAAAATATTTACATTTTTATTTCTTATACTAAATGTGGTATGCGTTTATCATAGAAGGTTTATGAAATAAATATAAGCAAGAAGGATAAACTAAACATTACCCCAAAATCCTTAACAGGAGTTAGCCACCAACATGTGTAACATTTGGTGTACATCTTTCCAGGCTTTATGAGTGTATTTATGTATATATATTATATTATATAGCTTTGTGTCTACTGAATTATATTTTAAATACCATTTTAAAACTTAATTTTTAATTTAATAATATAATCTAGGTAGACCTTCTATCCTTGCAATTACATATTTTTCTAAAGTATTATTTCAGTATATTTTAATATAATTTATATTACATGAATACATAATAAACACATTATCCTTTTTTGTTTATTATTAAACACCTATGTTTTTCAATCTTCACTATTATAAACCATATCAATACACACATTCATCGTGTATTTGTCCGCTACTGTAAGTACAATTTCTGGGTCAAAGAGTGTATTCATTTTAAAGGCTTTTAATCTATGTTTCCAAATTGCTCTTGTAGGGTTGTACTAATTTTCAGAACCTCTCACTGGCATTGAATATTCACATTCCTTTTAAGTTTCTGTCAATTGGACAGGCAAAACTTGTTTGCTCTCATTGTCTTCCTTTGTTCTTAATGAGGTTGAACAGGTTTTCATTTGTTTATTGGCTTTTTCTTTTTTAATGAATGTCCTGTTAATGCTTTTTGGTCACTTTTTTCTACACGGTCTTTGGCCTTTCTCTTATTGTTCTGTAAAATATCTACATATATTAGGGTTGTGTTGCACAGTTTCCTTAATTTGTCAAAGCACTTTGCCAGGACCCTACCAGCATATTTGCAGAGCTCTATGGGGTTGCTGTGTTTTTTCCTATGGGAGTAGTTTTAAAATGCACCACTTGTTTTTTAAACTAAGTAAGAAACACATGGTAACTATAATTATGATGATAGTATCGATATCACACAAATGAAAACATCTTGTAACATATCTAAATAATGTATAGCCAAAACACTAATAATAAAACCATTAAGAACAAAGTGCTGTACAAGCTCATCAAACATTTCTCTTTTCCATTCATTTCTCCAAATCCTGGCAATGAAATTTACATACTAAACATTCAGTTATTTGGTCTGCTGTCTCAATGCTTTCTACTGTGAGCATTTCATTAATATTCTCATTGTGAGTCCTGTGGGAAACTTCCAGGTTATAAAACACAATTGTATAATTTCACAAGACAACTCATTAAGATTAGAATAGAATGTGAAATGCAAGATTGGGGCTTTGGATTTTTCAAAATTTTTTCTTACCCTCTCCAGTGTAATTTCTTCAAATTCATATTCAATTTCTGTCCCATTGACCTGTAAATAGGGAAAAAATAAGAAGAGAACTATTAAATACATGTTGAGGAGGAGACAGCTGCATTTTAAATAATGCTTGGGGGTGAAATTTTCATTCTAGCTATAAATAACCACATTTTCTTGATATTTCTGATTGTGCATTTTCATTCAAGTGAAACATAATCTATGCTATTCTAAAATATATGACTGAGATGCTACAAAAAATACTCAAAGATTATTGCTTCCCTTAGTAATTCTGTGATTTTTTTGTAGTGAGGTATAATAACACAAAATACATATTGTGAGCTTACAAAGAACAAATCATCTAGGGGCAATGATACAATTATGAGGAAAATAATTTTCTTGTTTTTTAAAAAATGTTATGTTTGAACACTAAAATATGACCTTAAAAATCAGTGATAATGGCAGAACAACATTGTTCCATTTTTGAATAGAAAAATAGCATGAAAATGACTGCATCATCTGAGAAATACCTTTTCTTTAGTGGCTCAAGCTCAGGTAAATCATCCCCATCATCCTTTTATTATCTTTATTGGAAAGCCCTGGACCATATAACCATACCTATGTACCTCAGTAGCAGTAAGAAATGAGCAAAGTAAGACACATTTTGAAATGCTTAGTGACGAATTGTTTCAACCATCCAACCAATCCTTGTATTGATTTGAATTTACAGAGAGAAATACATTTTAAATACAGCCAGGCACCTTAGATTTCCACAAATGTGCACAGAGGCCATATGAAAAGTTGGTTTAAAATAATCTAACAAATATTCCTTTCTCATTTTCATCTATCTCAGAATTCTTCTCAACCAGGCAAAACCTCTAAGCAAGAAAATTCTCAAATCGGTTGTTTCTTATTTCTGATACGTGTCTTGGCAACATCATTGGAATTTAGGAATCAGCCAGAAGGACTACATTTTAACTATAAAGCCATACTTTTTATAGGATTCTAACTTACATTTACTTTTCTATCTTAGAAGAATTTATACCCAGTACCAGGGATTGAGAGTTCTATGCAGGCAAGGCCCAGACAGCCAGCCCTGTTGCCTAACACAGAGCCTGGCAAGAAAATAATGAGGGAAAAGATAGTGAATGAATGAGTGACTGAACTAAGTAATTAATTTACTTGTGTAATTTATAAACATAGATATTTGTGGATTCTCTTTTGTAACAAAAAATTGAATGTAGTATCATCACCTAAAGGTGTAATTATAGTTATAATCAGTGAACATATAGAATGACAATGACAATGGACTTTACTTAGGTGTGTCCACCACCCACTCACAGCATGTTTTTGATTTTCTAATTACGTGAGCTAATTGGTGAATCACAATTTACTGTTTTACTACATTATCAAACAGCCCTAAACTAAATTTGATTTTCTAGGCTTCAGCAACTTAATGACTCACAGAAAAGGACTTGATGATGTCAGAAAGCTTTAGCAGCTTTCTAGAGGGTTTTGTTTTGTATATGCAAAAGTAAAACACACAGACACACACACACACAAACACACTTCAAACTCCTTGTATGTTTCCATATGAATGATTTTTAAAATAATTTTCTTTGATGGATAGGAAGAGGACAATAGGGGAAGGCTGAATTAACGAGATACATTTTCATTCCCTCAGTATGGCTCCATGAGGCTTTTCTTTGCTTCAGTGCTTCTCCAAACTGAATCACTTCACATTATTAAAGTGCTGCAAACTGGGGAGAAAAAAACAACTTCCAAGAGAGAAAAACACGCCTCTAATAATAAATGTCTAAAGGCTCAAAGAAATTCTTTTAGGAAGTGCTTAAAAGACAAGAATATTTTAGTGGCATACACTGCATAGTTGTGGCCTATCAAAACCTACGCTTAACATTTCTAGGATCCTAAATGCTGACTCTTAGATTTTTAGAAGTATTATATATGCATATCCTAATTGGTATTCCAAAGTTCCTTAGTCAGCTACATAAACTATTGCAGGCTTATATTTACCTCATGGGTCTTTCATTTTCAACTCAAGAAAATAATATCATTTGTCTAATTCAACAGTATCCAGGTTCTTTTCATCAGGAGAGATGATGCCATCAAGGTTGCAATGTAACTTTGCTTTTAAAACAAAGCATCCCGGCTGGGTGGTTCACACCTGTAATCTCAGCACTTTGGGAGGCTGATGCAGGCAGATCACAAAATCAGGAGTTCGAGACCAGCCTGGCCAATATGGTGAAACCCCGTCTCTACTAAAAATACAAAAATTAGCTGGGCATAGTGACAGGTGCCTGTAGTCCCAGCTACTTCAGAGGCTGAGGCAGAAGAATTGCTTGAACAGGGGAGATGGAGGTTACAGTGAGCCGAGATCGCACCACTACACTCCAGCCTGGGTGAAAGAGTGAGATCCCGTCTCAAAAACAAAACTAAACAAACAACAACAACAACAACAAAGCATCCCATGTCTACAACAAGCTTTCGTGAACTCGTAGAAGCATGAAGGATTTTTAGCATAGGTGAGGCATCATTTCAACCTTTTACATGAGGAGCATTTAGAGCACGGAATCACAGGAGCCAGTGAGAGAGTTCAGAAAAGACATTGGAAAGGCCCTAATCTCTATTCTCTCATTACAGGGAGAGTGTGGTCTATGTTCTGCCAAAGGACTCCTAAGACAAGAAATGGCAAATATCTTGAGGGAAAGAATGAGACAGAACAAAAGAACTAAGAATACCCCCCCAGGGCTGGGCGCAGTGGCTCATGCCTGTAATTCCAGTACTTTGGGAGGCAGGAGCAGGCGGATCAAGAGGTCAGGAGATCGATAACATCCTGGCCAACATGGTGAAACCCTGTCTCTACTAAAATACAAAAAATTATCTGGGCAGGGTGGCGTGCACCTGTAGTCCCAGCTACTCAGGAGGCTGAGGCAGGGGAATGGCCTGAACCTGGGAGGCAGAGGTTGCAGTGAGCCTAGATAGTGCCACTGTGCTCCAGCCTGGTGACAGAGTAAGACTCTGCTTCAAAAAAAAAAAAAAAAAAAAGAAAAGAAAGAAAGAAAGAAAGAAAAAAACAATACCTCGATCTTAATTTGTGAAAATTTGGTGCCTTTTCAAACGAATATACCAGTACAGTATTAAATAAGGATTTAAATACTTATTTCGACTTTATTTCTAAATAAACTCTCTACAGTGGTTGCTTACTGAGTGATGAAACACTGAGAGGTATCTACAGTAATTCACCCCTAACCATAATCTTGTGTATCCTCACTCAGCAAAACCAAAACTGTTATAAATGGCTCCCATCATCTTTTGGGTGGTTTGCAAACAATCCATTGTTGTTTGAACTTGCCTTGGTGTCTCATATAATATTCCCAATCAGGTTATCGACATATGATTTTCAATTCCTTTTCCTCAAAAGAGTTCGGCCGAATACATTTTTTTTCTTGTACAGTAACACTTACGGTAATATTTAAGTACCTTGGTCATATTTTATGCTACTGATAGTTTGGGGCCCGGAGAGCTTCACAGTTGGGGTTTCTGTTATTCCAGTTCTGGCCCTAACTGTCACAGCCTCCTCTCTACTTTGAGAACTAGAAAAATCAGAGGATTGACATTTTCATAGACTTGGAGAGTCAGTCAAATAGATTAAACTTTTCAGTGTTTGAAAAATGTGTGTGCATGTTTAAGATACTTGATTTTTCTGAACTTTATGGTTCTGTGGTGACAGCTGGTAGATTTCTCTGGTGGCCAGAAAATCAAACTGATGTCACACATTGTCCTGTGCTGTTCTGAGCATGTAGCCTTCCTAGAATCATATGGCAGTTAAGCAAAGAGAGTGACCCACAGCCAACTCAAATTTAAACTTGGTATTTAATTTAAAGCTCTAATTTAATGAATGTTGAATGCATTAAATATTTGTTTTTCTCCAACAGCTTTTAGTTAATTTTATGGCCTTTTTTCTACTTCAATGATATAGTAATCACCTGCCTGGATGATGATATAATTTGATTTTGAGATATATTTTTATCTCCTGAAAAGAGGTTCTCCATACATAACAAATGTGAACTATCCATATTTTAATGTTGTTTCATTGGAATCTTAAATAATAATTTCTCTGAAATGTTTTGCTTGTTCTTTGCCACCTTTGTAGCTTCATTAAGGCTAAGGATATACTAAACTCCAAAATGAATAATTTTTTTTTTTTCGAGACGGAGTTTCAGTCTTGTCAACCAGGCTGGGGTACAGTGGTGCGATCTTGGCTCACTGCAACCTCTGCATACCAGGTTTAAGTGATTCTTCTGCCTCAGCCTCCCAAGTAGCTGAGATTACAGGCATGCACCACCATGCCAAGCTAATTTTGTATATTTAGTAAGGACTAGGTTTCACCATGTTGACAAGGCTGGTCTCAAACTCCTGACCTCAGGAGATCCACCCACCTTGGCCTCCCAAAGTGCTGGGATTACAGGCGTGAGCCACCACGCCTGGCCCAAGATGAATAAATTTTTATATATCTCTGTGTCACATATTATAAAAGTGCTGAAACAAGGATATCAAAGCATTCACTTTTTTAGACTAAACACAATTCTACCCAAAGAGCAATTATTAAGCATGCATAAAGTGTCAAGAACAGTGACAGATACTGAGAAAATATTTTAAGATACAGCCATATTCTAGAGAAACACACAACCTTTAAAGAGGCACCGAAACACAAATATATTAAGGCCTCATACAAGAGTGATATCTAATATTTAAAATATAGAGGTAGACTAAAGCTGCAGCGCCACTATTGCCACATGCAAGGTATGTGCAGATCTATTTACTCTTTGTCGTTTACATAGATTAAGTCAGTAGTAGAGAATATGACAGACGATGTTCTAATCCTTCTCCTTATTATAAGTAATTATGATATAGTTAACAAGGTATACCTCTGATTATTATTGTTTTAGCATCTAGCACTACAATTGGACTTTGGGAGGAATGTGATCATCATGCAAATTGGGACCTCCAGTTCTTGTGGTCTCTTGTCACTTCCAGAGTAAGGTGGGGCAATGCCACTTTGCTTCATCCACAGATGCAGCATATATTACAGTGGCTAGCAATGATGACTATGTGAGTGAGTAAGTAGATAAATCAGTGAATCAACAAATGAAGTTTTTGGATGGGTTAAACCTGATGCACTCAAAGAAGACCTTGGTTGCTAATGGGGATGCCATGCCTACTGGGCCCATGCCTTTTGCCATTCCTTGTTTATTTATCCTCATCTCTGAGCTTGGCTCCTCTCAGAAGCCCTGAATTACAGGGTCACACCACCATCAAATGCCACAGCAAATCAACACACACACACACATACACACACACACACACACACACACAAACACACACACTCATTTGCATTCCTCTTTTTTAGTACCTTGCCAATATTCATCCTTCCCTTCTTTTGGAGTATCTCTTATAGTAAATATGTCATGATGCATTACTGCTCTTTACACTTGACCTTACATACAGTGTGATACTCGGTAGGCAAAAACATGGCTTCCAGAGTAAGAAAAGACAGATTTGAATCTTCTTTCCAACATTTTTGATGAGTGCGAGTTTGGGTAAGTTCCTTAATCTCTTAAAACCTCAATTTCTTTATGTGAAGAATAGTACTAAAAATAGTTCTTCCTCGTATGGTTATTGCAATGATTACATTAGGTAATTTATATGAATTATCACACATCTTAAGTGATTAAAGAAATTTTAGCTAAAATCCCAAACAGTTTTCTTCTCAGTTTCTACTTCATAAAATTCTTGGTAGGAATAAATAATATTACACATGTTAACTGTCTGGCACAAAGCAGATCTTCAATAATGATAGCTATTATTATTAGTTCTGGATACAAATCTATAAGGGTCACAAAATTTGTCTGATCAAATACTGAATGTTTGCTAATTTCTCCAGTAATACATAACTTAAGCAAACAAACTTGTCTTTTTCTATATATCCACTAAAAGGCTTTCCTAACTCAAACATCTTTTTCTTGAACCAATCTAAGATGCACTGCCTTGTGTATAGGAATTACCTTAGCTTTTGTTCTCAAACAAGTGTGGCCTTCACTCAAAATATTATTTTGGCCATGCGTGGTGGCTCACCCCTATAATCTCAGCACTTTGGGAGGCTGAGGCAGGTGGATCACTCGAAGTCAGGAGTTCATGATCAGTATAGCCAACATGATAAAACCCCATCTCTACTAAAAATACAAAAACTAGCTGGGCATCATGGCTCACGCCTGTAGTCCCAGCTACTCTGGAGGCTGAGGCATGAGAATCGCTTGAAGCAGGGAGGCAGAGGTTACAGTGAGCCGAGTTCACATCGCTGCACTTCAGCCTGGGCAACAGAGTGAGACTTGGTCTCAAAAAAAAAAAAAAAATCTCAACTAAACTTTCTCCCAATCTTGTGTATACTCACTTTTCATTTAAAAAAAATATTCCCTTGCCCAGTATTGATCATTATGTTGCTCTGCTATTGGCACTCACTTTCTTAAGGCTATTCTCAAGGCATTTCCTATATCCTCATGTTCATGAGAGCACAGGTTGTATATTAACCTTTTTTTTACCCTTGTACCTTCTGACACCATGCCTTGATCAAAGCAGGTCTCCAGAAAAATCTTTAGACCCAAGTCACCTATGAACTCCAAAAATTGAGTTGTGTTTAAACTGTATCTTTGCCTAAGTATGGGCAGCCCCTAACAACAGCTGCCCTTTCCTGTGAAATATGGCTTGAATTTATCCTCCCATCTCAGGAAATTTTTGCAAATTTTAAAAATAATTTCCAACTTAAATACTGAATAAATTAAAACATCAATTAAATACATTAATACTTAGTACCTATCATGTACTTGGTATAATGATAAGCACTGGAGATACAAAGTTGGGTGAAATATGGTTCCTGCCCTCAAATAACTCAGTCTAACAGATAGAGACAAGTGAATGGAAACATGTAACAAAGCGATAGGAGTGCTATGGTAGATGTCTATAGACTGCAGCAGCTGCAGAGGTGACATAAAGGAGGCAATAGGAATAGGTGATTCCACCGGCAGTGAGTCAGAAAACTTTTCATAGAGGAGATGGGATGAGCTGAGTGTGTTCATGGCAGGTGTTCATGAGAATGTGTAGGCCTATCAAAACAGAGACAGCAATATTAACCACATCTTCAGAATGTTCTACTGGAGACAGCACTGACCTTAAGAGTCTGATGCTTGCATTGTACTCCTGAGTCTGTGATTTAACATGCTAGGTAACCTTGGGCTTGTCATGATGCTTTAATTTTCTCATGCAGATAGATAACCTCTGAGGTCCCTCCCAGCTCTGACCTAGCAACAGGGCTTTTCTTCCCATCTAGTGCACCTGACCAATTGTTACTGTGATTTTTCTATTACTCTTTATTCTAAAGATCCTAACTGGCAACCCATAATTTTGCCAGGTGATATCTCTCTGACCTCTGAATATCTCTGTCTTATCTCTTCTCTTTAACCTATAAAAGGCCTCAACAGGGAGGAAACTAAATAGTGGTATCACTTTCCGTCTTGGCTCCACTCGAGGACATTACCATAAGCATTTTTTCCATTTCTACTCCTCAAAGATCTCAGGTTTCTGGAGGGAAAGAGTAAGTAGCTGTTTCTCTCTAAAAAGGAAAAAACGTAAGAAAGTTTTGCTCTACTTCAAACCAAAAGAAAAAACTTGAGGAGGCTGATGTTCTTTACTCCCATCTTTTTATCATATTTCGCTATATTTTTAAAATTTGTATGAATTTAAGGGGTACAGGTGCAGTTTTGTTACATGGATATATTGCTTAGTGGTGAAGTCTGGGCTTTTAGTGTAAGGATCACCTAAGGTACACTGTATCTATTGGGTAATTTCTTATCCCTCATTCCATTCCCACCTTCTCATCCTTCCAAAGTCTCCAATGTTTATTATTCCATACATTACATAGCTCCTACTTATAAGTGAGAATATGTGGTATTTTGACTCTGTTTCTGAGTTATTTTACTTAAGATAATGGCCTCCAGTTTTATCCTTACTGCTGCAAAAGACTTCATTCTTTTTTATGGCTGAATAGTATTCCATTGTATACATATACCAAATTTTCTTTATCCAATCACCCACTGATGGACACTGAGGTTAATTCCACATCTTTGCTATTGTGAATAGAGCTGCAATAAATATATGAGTGCAGGTATCTTTTTGATACGATGATTTATTTTCCTTTGGGTAGATGTCCAGTATTGGGATTGCTGGGTCAAATTTTCTCTGCTGAATATATGAAAATCAGTTGAGTGCTGAAAAAGTGAGTCATTCCACCAGAATGTAAGCTCTAAATAGGACAAAACACATTACAAAAGCCTGAGGCTTGCATTAATACAACTAGATTGTCCATCACCACCTTTAACTAATGTCCCTTCTCCTAGACTATCTTCACTAAAGATAGTGACCAAAAACAGGCCCTTTTTTCAAGTTACAGCGCATTATCACACAGAAATTAAAAGTTTAGATTGTGGAATCTAAAAGACCTGGATTCCATAACAGTTCTGTACTTACAAGCTGTTAGAATTCATCTTTGTTATGCATTACACACATTTGTGTAAGTGTCAAAATTACTTATTTAAACACTTAGTAGTAAGCAAAAGATTTTCTGCTTAAGCTTTGTTTAGAACCTGTTTTAATGTAAGGTATACATCTGGTTATTTTATGAATACTATGAAGTTATAATAAGACTGGTTTAAAATATGCAGTTTTATTAAAAACTCATCATAGTTCATTATTCCTTTCTTTAAATAAACGCTCACAAGCTATAAAAACAATCACTGATATTCTTAGTTAAGATTCTGAGTTTGGTAAGATCACTATTCCTATTATTCACCTGAATTTGTTCTACCAGTAAACTCTAATTTCAAGTTAAAATTTCTAATCTTAATTACAAAAACTTCCGAGCTCAGCGAATGCTAAATCATAGCTTCTACCACATAAAGAAAAAATCAGTATACTATAATTTTTTCCATTCTTATTTATTTATTTATTTATTTATTTATTTATTTATTTATTTGAGGTGGAGTCTTGCTCTGTTGCCCAGGCTGGAGTGCAGTGGTGCAATCTCGGCTCACTGCAACCTCCACCTCCCGAGTTCAACCAATTCTCCTGCCTCAGCCTCCCAAGTAGCTGTGATTACAGGCACCCGCCACCATGCGCAGCTAATTTTTGTATTTTTAGTAGAGATGAGGTTTTGCCATGTTGGCCAGGCTGGTCTTGAACTCCTACCTCAGGTGATCCAACCGCCTTGGCCTCCCAAAGTGCTGGGATTACAGGTGTGAGCCACTGTGCAAGGCCCTTAAATAACTTTTTTTTTAAAAAATTATCTGCCTTTGTTATGAAGTATTTATAACACACGCAACTTTGGGTCTAGAAAAATAATCACAGACTTAATAACTACTATGTTTTTAAAATTTTAATTAGAAAGCACACGTTTTTTTGTAATTAGCGGCTTTTTAGCTATAAAATTATAATAATTTTTATCAGTATTTCCATCAGAAGAAATTAAGAAAAATAGCTTAGGGTTCTTATATGCATAAAATAATCATTTTCTATATACAAAATTGTCTTGATTAAAGGCTTTTGTAACAAAGGAACAAATATAGTTACTTAGTATGTTCAAAACTGGATTTGCCTGATTTGGAAGGAGTCCATTTTCTCTCAGCTTTGCTCCCTTGTTTTGCACCATGTGCAGGATGGAGAATAACAGGTGGTTTTAATGCATTCACTTGGCTCCAGCCTGATGCAGGCTGTTTTGTTCTTTGGGTTTAAATATTTCATGAGTTTGTACATGCTCTTTGAGAACAGTAAATGGTGTTAAGAACACAATTGATCAATGGTTGTAAGGCATCATGATACACAAGGTTTTTGTCCCAACAAATCTCCTCCCTCACCTCACCACCCATCTATGCAAATCATGTGGTCATTTGCAAGCAAGTGTCCAAAAGTATCAAGAACTCAAAGCACATAGCCAAAATATTTAGGGAAATAAAAACTGGGTGCTAAGCCAAAAGATGAGACTTTACGAATATGATGATCTAACCAGATAGTCAAGAATATTTTCTTTTACTTGAGTATAATATGACTGTAGCATGAGGGAAAATATCAATGTTCTCTACTTCATCCCCTCTCTCTCCTCAATCCTCTGCAGCTTTTGTTTGTGTTCCACTATTATACAAAAGTTGAACCCAAAATAATCAACAAAAGCTTTTTCACATTTAAATACAATGATCTTTCCCAGTCTTCATTTGCCCTGGCTTTCATACAGTATTTGGCACTAGAGTGACCACCCACCACTCGCAACTTCCCTTTCCTTCCATCACAGGGTCTATCCTTGCTAGTCTCCTCCCTACTGCTCTGTCCACGGCAGTGATGACCATTTATTTTACTCCTGCCAGATATGAACATTTGCCAAGCTCTGTCCTTTGTTGCTTTTATAATCTACCTGAGTTTTGACTTCACCCCCCGGCCTTTTTTTTTTTTTTTTTTTTTTCTGAGTAAACACTTAAGTACTGCCCTGGTCTCAATACATCTAAAACAGAACAGATGCTCTTGCCTAATTGTAACCATAATTTCCTGCAGTCTACCACTCTATATCTCTGTTAAGGAGATTTTTTTTTTGTCATATACATCCTTTACATTTGTTATCAATTCCCGCCATCCTATTTCATGTTCAAATTATCACTTTCTTAAGAACATTGGTATAACTTCCTAAAAATACTTCTTCCCCTATTGATTTTCAACATCAATCTATTCTTCATATCCTTTGAGGTTTATTTTCCTAAAATGTTTCATCAAGGAATTTTACTGCTCAAGTAGCTTCAATAATTTTTTAATCCCCAGAGAACATTTCATACCATCCACCAGCTGTCCCCAACCTACCTTTCTAGCTAAATACCCTGTTTCTCATCTTCAAAAACGTTTTCTAGCCAAGTAATTGAGCTGAACACCTCCTCCTTTTGGTATCTTTACTAATGCCACATACGCTGCCTTAAATGCCTTAATGCAATTTATGTTTATTAAAATTCTAATTAATGTAGAAAAATATTTTGAATGCCTAAAATTTCCCATGTATTAGGTTAGGTCCTAGGGCTATAGTGGTAAACAAAAAAAGGCCTCTGCCTTTATGGAGCTGCATTCTATTGGTGGTGTGGGAATCTCCCATTTTTACCAACTAAAGACTGTCTTGTCCATCGAATCAAAAATATTTTTCTTATCGATACCCTGGAAATCATAACCCTGTTATCTCCAGAAAAAATGCTAATAACAATAAAAATGATTACTACTACTGCAGCTACTATTGCTACTACTGGATTTTGTTAAATATGTAGTACATGCCAGACACTATCTTAAGTTCATCTAATAATTGTAACAATTTTGAGAGCTTAGCATTTTAATGTTGATTTTACTATCAAAGAAGCTAGTTTCTAAGTTAAACAATTTTTTCAAGGTTATGCTTTCATAAGCAATGTGAAACCAGGAGAATCTTGTTCATCCTCATCCTTACTTACTGATGGAAAGTATGTGCTCAATATAAATTTGTTGAACAAAATTAGCAAATGAGTGCCTATAGGGATGGAGAAAGAAATGGAAATATCTAGTGTTTGAATCCAGTATCTGACATTAAAACAATAATTTTTCTTTCTGGTCATACATAGCAGAGCACCTCTCTTACTATACTTGTGGTCTTCCTCTTGCCAGCTCCTCACATTGTGATTTCTCTTCCCTGACATACTGTCCTCTTGCTCGGATGGGGAACTATCTTTTAAATTTGTGTTTCTTTTATGGCACCTATTATAACTGAACTTATGTTTGCCCCTAGTAGCCGCATTATAAATTGTTATTAAAGAAATAAATGGATTGACTCTTATGCTAAAGGCTTTTTATTTGCTGTATATCTTTAAAATCCCTTTTATTCAAAAATCTTACCACTGTCAGTTTCCAAAGGCGTGAACTGCCTTAATTTCTCTCTAATCATTTTACTTCAAATCTTGCTAACAATGAGCTGCATCCCTTTTCATCTAAATATAGGTCACCCTTTCAGCAGTTTTCAAGATCAATTCATCAATCAACAAATATTTATTGAGTGACTACCCCCACCTTCTTCGCTATCTCATATAATCTCTTTTCATCCCATTTAAAAAGCACATCACTATCTTCACAACCTTGGGAAAAGAGCTATAGAGCCACATCACCCTGCTCCTTCATCTGAAGTTCTGTGATTTTGGAAAAATGCTTCGGGCTGCTTGTTACAATAAAGGTCATACCAGTATTTCCAGATCAGATACTAAGGGAAAGCATTCTGCTGCTTTATTTTATTTCACCTTTTTCAAAGTACTTTAGGACCATGACAAGGACTGCTTATTAATAGGTTTTGTCCCCTACCGAATGTCTGGCCCAGGTGATAACATAGAAATTGTAAGGTTTAAAGTTGTTTATATCTAACATTTTTAGATTATGGTAACAACAGTATTATTAATTTTCATACTATTTTCACATACATTATTGCATTGGATTCTTATAACAATCGTATATATAGTGATGTTTTAAAAAATTTCCTGCAAGCAATAACCATCAGTTTCCTGATGGTTACCTGATGGTTCACTTACCATCCCCCTCCCCCTAGCAGACATGTACATACATGCCACACTGGTCTCTTTTAAGAAAGGTGAAGAGGTAGAAATTAAATAAGCCAATAGCAGACCTGGAAAAAACCTTTTAAATAATTGTAGTTAATATTGCTGAAGATTTACTATATGCTAAGCAGTAAAGCTTATATATATATATATATATTTGCATATATATAATTACATATAATTATATATAAGCATATTTCATATATAACATATAAGCTTTACTGCTTGGTGTATATATATGTATATATACATATATTCACATACGTATATGCACGGGGCAGTTGTGTTCAATATTCATACAGAAGACCTGACTTACCCTGTTTTTTCTCTGTTAGATTCAATTAACTTAGAAGTCTAAAGTGACAAAAAAGTATAAGCAATATATTTTTCAAAGAAAAATGTAGAAGTTTCTACATATCTATTAGTGTTTCTCAGACTTGATCCAGGAGTTTGAAAGGGGTCATGCATACTCAAGTTGTGATAGCTAGTCGGATTAAGGCGTTCTGGACTCTGAATTTTATGCACCAATTCTATCTCTAGAAGTCTCAGAGACAGAATTTCTCTCTCTCTGGACACTTTTCTTTGTTGACCTTTAAGTATTCTGTCACAGGGTCAACTGGGACGCTGATAGGATAAGTTTCTAACAGTTCATGCTCAAGCATAGCTCACTGCTGCTTGCTTGCTTGCTCTCTCTCTTTTCTTTTCTTTTCTTTCCTTTCCTTTCCATTCCCTTCCTTTCCTTTTCTTTTCTTTTCTTTTATTTTCTTTCTTTTCATATCTTCTTGGAATAGGAAGACTCAAAAGGGTACCAGAAAAATTTTCACTTGCATTCTATTAATTAAACTACAGATACTCCTTTAATATAGTAAACAAATGTTAATCAGACAACAAACTTACAGCAAAAAGCACCAAGGATTGAAAGCAGTTGGTAGGGCAGGGAGAAGAGATGGAAGAAAATTCAAATCATGTTTTCATTATACTCTTTGTTTTCTTAATCATCCTCTGCTTAGGATGGTCTTGCTTGCCAAGTTTTCCCTGTATAACTCCTACTTAGCCTTTAAAAACATCTTCCATGATTCTCCTCTCCTTCCATCTAATATCATCACAAACCCTGCCTTTCTTTCTCTAGCCCTCCTACGCACTCTAATACACACATATGCATGCACATATATACACAGGCCAGGCTCTGCTAATGCTGTTTCTCTGTGTTTACAGACTACTTCTGTAGATTCTTTTTGCTCTGATTATATTATCAGGCTGTGTTAAGTATCAGCTCAGGCTTTGGATTCAGTCAGACATGTAGGCTAATCCTAAATTGGCCTCTTAATAATTTTTGTGACTTTAGAAAAGTTAAATAGCCTGAGTTCCTCCTCAATAAATTACGATACTACTTATACTTACTTCAATAAGGTTGTTAGGGATTATAAATGAAGTAGGAAGTAAAGTACAGTTCTCAACTGCTCATAATCTAGAGACATTTCCTAAGTTTGACTCTGCCAGTTAATAGCTGTCAGATATCTGCCTCAGTTTTCTGATCTGTAAGTGGGGTCAAAATGAATATCATAGGATTGTGAAGGATAAATGAACTAGTAAATTAGTGTAAATTAATTTAAATAAATTAGTAAAATACTTGGAACAGTAGTCTGGCACATGATAAATGTTATTATTATACTGTTCATTATTATTACAGACTGGTGGAATAGGGAGCTCAGCAAATCCTGTCCCCAAAGAACAACTTTAAAACTGGGCAGAAATTGCCAACAATAGCCATTTCTGGACTTTGAAAACTGACTAAAGACATATAGCAAGTTAAAAATGATTGATTAAAAAAAAAAACTGCTGAATGTTAGTTAACAACTGTGAGAGCCTGTGTTATTCCAGTCTGGGGCTGCACATTGCCCCATCTCTTCCCACCCCACAAAATTCTGTGGGTACAGTAGTTCTACCAGCAGAAAATGCTATGAAAACCAGCAGCTTTACTGCCAGAGGGGGCCAACTTCATTTGGAGCAGAATGTGGGAAAATCCCATGCATAGTTTTTGAAAACAATAGTGATTTCAGTGGCAAACTTCAGGGAAAGCAAAAATGGAAGTAGTCTAAGGTTGCAATACTGGCTGGTGCAGTCAACATGCTGTCTACAGTAGCCAGAAATTTAACAGAACAATTTGGGTACTTAGAGAGTTATGTCAGGCTTTGAGAGCTCCTATATTTCCATGGAAGACTGGAAGTTTGAGTGCATATGAAAGGTCGTGAGTATCCTCAAGAGACTACAGAAGGTCCTAGCAATCAACATATCCCTGCCTGAATGTGAGACCTTGCACACATGCACAGGAGATAGGAAAAGGAAGGCCTATTCGAAAATAAAATCTCAGGCCAAGTTGTAGGCTGCTTGAATGTAAACACATTCCCTGGCCCACTCACAAATCCATTGGTGAAGGATGGAAGGCTTACTGGCTCAAGGTGTTTCAGCATAACCTCTCACCAATCACTGGCTCACCATCTGGCTACGTTGATCTAAAGGCACTGCTATGATGCCAGGCTTCAAAAACAACAACAACAAAAAAGAAAAAAAAAACAAGACAGACTCATCAGAGACATCAGTAGCTATATACTGCAGGGGAAACAGACTACAGATCTAGCATGTGACTAAATGTTAGTTTTTAAACCAACATTTAAAAACCCTCAAAATCTGGAGCTGGTAAGAGAGAAGAGGGCAAATCAGAATCTCTAATTGCTTTTATCTTATATGTAGAGTTTTCAAAAAAATATAGGAGACACGCAAAAAAGGAAAGTATGATGATCCATACATAAGAAAGTAAGCAATAAATAGAAGCTATTTCTCAGGCATTCCAGATGTTGGAATTAGCTAACAAAAACATCAAAGCAGCCATAAATATGTGCAAAGAACTAAAAGAGCCATTTAAAAAAATTAAAGTATGACAACAATGACACATCAAATTGAAAATATTAACAGAGAAATAGAAATTATAAATCAAAATCTCATGAAAATTTTGGAGTCAAAAACTGAAATAATAAATTTGCTAGAGTTTGGGGCTGATGGCCTACTACATAAATAGCTTAGAAGTTGCCATTCTGTTCTAACAACAAATAAAAAGCTAAACAAACTGAAAAATCAACAACTATTGTTAGATCCATCAGAGAAGTTAAGTTACAAGGCAAATCACTGTCCCCAAAATCAGTCAGATAGGTAGACACAAAGAATCACCAATTATCAGAGCAAAAACCAATGGGCAGATACCTCTTTGGGAACCAGTGCCAGGGTAGAAAAACCTGAACTATAACTGATGAATTGTTAGATGCTCAATGTGAAAAACTCTGACAGTCATGAACTCCAGAGGGAACAGTCACAGGGCCGCCACGCTTTTGTGAGTTTTACTGCCTAAAGCTCTACGAGGCCTTCGTATTGAATATTAGAAGAAAATCTACTAGTGCTCTGGCAGGGAAGAGGAAAAGGAATCATTCTGAAGTAGGTTAGAGCATTCAGTGCTTCTTAATAAGGGCTTCTCTCAGGAGAAATTATTTTACCAGAGCCTAACCTGTCGGGGTTTTACCAGGGCCTAACATAACTGGGGAAAGGGAAATACCCAAGTCCAGACCCTCTAGCCATCCTGTCTCACCTAAAATTGGGGATAAGGGGGACAACAGAGAAGCACTGGTGAAATTTAGAATCCAGATAGACAAACTCACCAAAATACTGAAACCTAATCACAGGAATAAAGCATGCTTTCCTCCCCAATACCTTGCCACTACATTACCAAAGATCTATTCAAAACAGCTCCTTTTATTCAGTTCATTATGTCATTTTAAATAAAAAATGACCAGGCATACTAAAAATTAAAAGAATACAGTATGAGGAGACTCAACAAGCATCAGAACCAGAGTCAAATACGGCAGAAATGTTTGAATTATGATTAGTATACTAAAGGCTTTAATGAAAAAACTAGACAACTAGGCAAGGACAGACGAATAATGTAAGTAGAGAGATACATTCTAGGAAGGAATAAAAATGGAATGCTGGAGGTAATATAGTAAAGAAATGAAGAATACTTTTGATTCTTACGTGGCTGAGAAAAGAATCCCTTAGTTTGAGGATACAATAATAGAAACTTCCAAATTGAAAAACAGAGAAAAAAAGACAAGACACAGAACAAAATAACCAATAGAGAACATTTAAGAAATGTGAGACATCTACAAAGGTGTAACATAAGCATAACAGAAATTCCAGAAGGAGACAAAACAGAGAAAGAAACAGAAGCAATATTTGAGGCAATAATGACTGAAAATTTCACCCAAATTAATGTCAGACAACAAATCACAGATCCAGGAACCTCAGAGAACACCAAGCAGAATAAATGACAAAGCAAACAAACACACAAGCAAACAAAAAATCCTCCTACTCCCAATAACTGGCATCTAGGCATACCATATTCAAACTTCAGAAAATCAAGGATTTTTTTAAAGTCTTGAAAGAAGCTAGTGGGGGCAGGTGGGAGCCATATCTACGGAGGAGCAAAGATAAAAATTATATCTGAACCCCCCCAGAAACCATGCAAACTGGAAGAGAGTGAAGTGAAATATTGAAAGTGTGGGGAGAAAAAGACCAAAGTAAAAATTTATAAAATTATCCTTCAAGAATGAAAAAGAAAAGACTTCCTCAGACAAACAAAAATTAAGGAAATGTTTCTGTCAGTAGACCTATCTTGAGAGAAATATTGCAGTAAGTACTTCGGAGAGAAGAAAAATCATAAAGGTCAGAAACATTGATCTACATAAAGAAAGAAAGAGCTCTGGAGAAAGAATATATGAAAATAAAACAAAATAAAAGTTTTATTTTTCTTAATCTAACAGATAACAGTTTGTTCAAAATAATAATAGGAATAATGCATATGATTATATATGTGCTTATATATACACACATATGTATGATCACTTATATATAATCATATATATGCATGTCACTTATAATCATGTATGATTATATATAAGTGAAATGAATAATACAAGAAACTATGGCAGAATGGGGAATATTTTGTTATAAGACACTTGTACTATTTGTGAAGTGGTGGAGTGTTATTTGAAAGTGAACTTGGATTGGTTGTAAATGTGTAGTGCAAATTCTATGGCAACCATTGAAAAAGTAAAAGAAGAAGTATAATTGATATATTAATAAAGAAAATAAATAATATAAAATGCCATTTAAAACGAAAAAAGGCAGAAAAAGTGTGGAAGACAAAAATAGGATGAAAGAACAAGAACAGTAATTAGAACAGTAATTAGAAAATGGTAACAGATATGGCAGATATTAATCCAAGTAGTAAATACATCAATAATCACTTTAAATATCAATGGTATAAATACATCAATTCAAGAGCCAAGATTTTCAAAGTACATTAGATTAAAAAGCAAGACATGACTGTATGTTGTCTACAAGAAAAACACCTTAAATGTAAGGAGAACTATACATAAAAAGTAAATGAATGGAGAAAAATATATCATAATAACACTAATCAAAAGAAAGTGGGAGTAGCTATATTAATTCCAGGTGGAGCAGATATCAACGCAAGATAAATTATCAGAGATAAATAGAGGCATTACATAATAATAAAGTAGTCAATACTGGGAGAAGATGTAACAACCCTTAATATGTATGGGCTGAACAACAGAGTGCCAAAATACATGGGGGTAAAAACCCATAGAATAGCAAGAAATAAATGAATCCACTATTATAGTTGGAGACTTGAACGCCCCTCTATCAAAAATGGATGGGCCTAGCAGGCACAAAATCAGTAAGGATATATTTGAACTCCATGGAACCATCACACAACTGATATCAAGCACATCCATAGACTACTTCATTCAATGACAGCAGATTACACATTCTTCTCAAACTTACATGAAACAGTCATCAGGATAGACCAAATTCTAAGCCATAAAACAAATCTTAACAAGTTCAAAAGAATAGATACAATGTCTGTTCTTAACACCACAATATAATTAGACTAGAAATCAATAATGGAAAGACAGCTGGAAAATTATGAAGTACCTGGAGATTAAACACATGGGTAAAAGAAGAAATCTGAAGAGAAATTGGAAAGTATTTTGAACTAAATGAAATTGAATACATGATGTTTTATCCAGCCTGGGCAACATAGGGAGACCCCAACTCCTAAAAAAAAAAAAAATTAGGCAGTCATGGTGGCTTGTGCCTGTGGTCCCAGCTACTTGAAAGGCTGACGCAGGAGGATCACGTGCCCAGGAGGTTGAGGCTACAGTGAGCCCTGATCATGCTACTGCACTCAAGCCTGGGCAACAAAGTGAGACCCTGTCTCAAAAAAGAAAAAAAAAGAAAAAGAAAAAGAATAGCAAATAGAATGTATTAAAATTAATAAGCTTCAGTAAAAGCAGTGTTTAGAGGGAAATTCATAGCATCGAATGAATGTATATAAATGAAGAAACATCTAAAATCAATAATCTAAGCTTCTACTTTAGAAAACTAGAAAAGGAAGGGCAAATTAAATCCAAAGTAAGCAGAAGAAAAGAAGTAAAAGTTAGAGAAGATCAAGAAAATTGAAAACAGAAAATCAGTATAGAAAATCAACAAAATATTGGCTATTTTTTGAAAAGATCAGTAAAATTGATAAGCCTCTAGCTAGGCTAATTAAGAAAAAAAATGACAAAATTGCTAATATTAGAAAAGAAACACAAAACATCACCACAGATTCCATGGTCATTAAAAGGATAATAAGAGAATATACTGAATAACTTTATGCTGGCAAATTTTATAACCAAGGTGAAATGAACTGTTTTCTTGAAAGACACCATGTACCACAACTCAAAGAAGATAAAACAGACCATGTGAATAGGCTTATATCTATTGAAGAAATTGAATCAATAATTAATAACCTTCCCAAACAGAAAGAACCAGGCCCAGATGGGTTCAAAGGTGAATCCTAACAATCATTTCATGAATAAATTACACCAATTATCTACAATCACTTCCAGAAAAGAGAAGCACAAAAAATACTTTCTAACTCATAAATACTTTCTAACTCATAAAATGTTCAAGAACAAAAGTGAACTATACTGTTAACTATGGACTTTGAGTGATAATGATGTGTCACTGTAAGTTCATCAGTTGTAACAAATTTACCACTCAGTTGTGGATGTCAATGCCCGTGTGAGCAAGGCCTGTGTGTGTGTTAGGTGGGGAGGAGGTGTATGGGAACCCTTTGTACTTTCCATTTAGTTATGCTATGAACCTAAAACTGCTCTTAAAAAAGTTATTAATTAAAAAAATTCACTAGAGCAGCTCAACAGTAGATTTGAGTTGACAAGAAAAAACATAAGTAAACTTGGAAATATATCAATAGAAATGTTTCTTTTTTTTAAATTATACTTTAAGTTTTAGGGTACATGTGCACAATGTGCAGGTTAGTTACATATGTATACATGTGCCATGTTGGTGTGCTGCACCCAGTAACTCCTCATTTACATCAGGTATATCTCCTAATGCTATCCCTCCCCACTCCCCTCACCCCACAACAGGCCCCGGTGTGTGATGTTCCCCTTCCTGTGTCCATGTGTTCTCATTGTTCAATTCCCACCTATGAATGAGAACATGTGGTGCTTGGTTTTTTGTCCTTGTGATAGTTTGCTGAGAATGACGGTTTCCAGCTTCATCCATGTCCCTACACAGGACATGAACTCATCCTTTTTTATGGCTGCATAGTATTCCATGGTGTATATGTGCCACATTTTCTTAATCCAGTCTATCATTGTTGGACATTTGGGTTGGTTCCAAGTCTTTGCTATTGTGAATAATGCCGCAATAAACATACGTGTGCACGTGTCTTTATAGCAGCATGTTTTATAATCCTTTGGGTATATACCCAGTAATGGGATGGCTGGGTCAAATGGTATTTTTAGTTCTAGATCCCTGAGGAATCGCCACACTGACTTCCACAAGGGTTGAACTAGTTTACAGTCCCACCAACAGTGTAAAAGTGCTCCTATTTCTCCACGTCCTCTCCAGCACCTGTTGTTTCCTGACTTTTTAATGATTGCCATTCTAACTGGTGTGAGATGGTATCTCATTGTGGTTTTGATTTGCATTTCTCTGATGGCCAGTGATGATGAGCATTTTTTCATGTGTCTTTTGGCTGCATAAATGTCTTCTTTTGAGAAGTGTCTGTTCATATCCTTCGCCCACTTTTTGATGAGTTTTTTTTTCTTGTAAATTTGTTTGAGTTCATTGTAGATTCTGGATATTAGCCCTTTGTCAGATGAGTAGATTGCAAAAATTTTCTCCCATTCTGTAGGTTGCCTGTTCACTCTGATGGTAGTTTCTTTTGCTGTGCAGAAGCTCTTTAGTTTAATTAGATCCCATTTGTCAATTCTGGCTTTTGTTGCCATTGCTTTTGGTGTTTTAGACAGGAAGTCCTTGCCCATGCCTATGTCCTGAATGGTATTGCCTAGGTTTTCTTCTAGGGTTTTTATGGTTTTAGGTCTAACGTTTAAGTCTTTAATCCATCTTGAATTGATTTTTGTATAAGGTGTAAGGAAGGGATCCAGTTTCAGCTTTCTACATATGGCTAGCCAGTTTTCCCAGCACCATTTATTAAATAGGGAATCCTTTCCCCATTGCTTGTTTTTCTCAGGTTTGTCAAAGATCAGATGGTTGTAGATATGCGACATTATTTCTGAGGGCTCTGTTCTGTTCCATTCGTCTATATCTCTGTTTTGGTACCAGTACCATGCTGTTTTGGTTACTGTAGCCTTGTAGTGTAGTTTGAAATCAGGTAGCGTGATGCCTCTGGCTTTGTTCTTTTGGTTTAGGATTGACTTGGCAATGCAGGCTCTTTTTTGGTTCCATATGAACTTTAAAGCAGTTTTTTCCAATTCTGTGAAGAAAGTCATTGGTAGCTTGATGGGGATGGCATTGAATCTATAAATTACCCTGGGCAGTATGGCCATTTTCATGATATTGATTCCTCCTATCCACGAGCATGGAATGTCCTTCTATTTGTTTGTATCCTCTTTTATTTCATTGAGCAGTGATATGTAGTTCTCCTTGAAGAGGTCCTTCATGTCCCTTGTAAGTTGGATTCCTAGGTATTTTATTCTCTTTGAAGCAATTGTGAATGGGAGTTCACTCATGATTTGGCTCTCTGTTTGTCTGTTATTTGTGTATAAGAATGCTTGTGATTTTTGTACATTGATTTTGTATCCTGAGACTTTGCTGAAGTTGCTTATCAGCTTAAGGAGATTTTGGGCTGAGACGACGGGGTTTTCTAGATATACAATCGTGTCATCTGCAAACAGGGACGATTTGACTTCCTCTTTTCCTAATTGAATACCCTTTATTTCCTTCTCCTGCCTGATTGCCCTGGCCAGAACTTCCAACACTATGTTGAATAGGAGTGGTGAGAGAGGGCATCCCTGTCTTGTGCCAGTTTTCGAAGGGAATGCTTCCAGTTTTTGCCCATTCAGTATGATATTGGCTGTGGGTTTGTCATAGATATCTCTTATTATTTTGAGGTATGTCCCATCAATACCTAATTTATTGAGAGTTTTTAGCATGAAGGGTTGTTGAATTTTGTCAAAGGCCTTTCCTGCATCTATTTAGATTATCAATGGAAATGTTTCTAAGGCAAGACTGCTAAAAACAAATTCAGTCTTTTGTTTATTTGGGATTGTCTTTGTTTCCCTTTTAATTTTAAAGGATTGTTTTTCTGGATCCAAAACTCTTCGTTATCAGTTCTTTTCTTTTAGCATTTTAGATATGTTATTCCAATTGCCTGTGGCCATGATTGTTTCTAATTAGAAGTCAGATGTTAAACTTATGTAGTTACCTTCTATATGACAAGTTGACTTCCTCTTGCTATTTCTAAGATTTTATCTTTGCCTTTCGCTTTTCAGCATTTGAATACTACATTTGTAGCTGTGGGTCACTTTGTGTTTATCCTGCTTAAAATTTGTTGAGCTTTTCAAATGTGTAAATGAATGTTTTTCATCAGGTTTTGGAAATTTGGGTCCTTTATATTTTCAAATAATTTTTCTACCCATTTCCTTTGTTATTTCTCTGTACTTCCACTATACATATATTAGTATGCATAATGTTGTCCCACAGGTTTCTGAAAATCTATTCATTTTTCTTTAAAAATGAATGCAAATATAAACCTAAGAGAGCTGGAGCGGCTATACTGATATTAGACAACTTAGAATTTAGGACAAAAAGAGTCTTCCCAAAGACAAAGTACATTTATAATACCAATTCAACAGAGAGAGAAAATAATTATTATTAATAGTAATACTATATAATAGGTATTCTATAAATATTTGTTAGATTGAAGTTTGTCAGACCTAGATCTTTCAGGCTGGGCAAAATCCTAGGGGCATTATGAACCACCTCTAATACCCCACAGAGTTCTACGAATATTAGATAAGTTAGTATATGATCCGTCTCTGAACACTCCTCCTATCTAGATTGCCAGTTCGAGTTACAGGCTGCAAATATAATCAGAATGAATGAGAATGGATTTTTTGAACAGTATATTTATATAATCAATTTGCCAAAATTATCAGCTTCAATAAACTACTAGTAGTATGTTAAACATTGTATTAAGGCTGGAAAATTATTTTTGAACCAGAAATAAATAAGCTTAGGTAAGTGAATGGTAGCTAAAAATTACCTGCTGGTAGCAAAGCTGTAAATATAATTACTAAAAATGTCCTTCTGAAAATATGTATGCACCCCTCAGTTGTCCATCTCAACTGGCTTTTAATCTCACAACCAGAAAGAAGTATGGTAAGTGTTAAGGGCGTTAATAAAGTACACTTCACACTGATGTTTAATGAGTTTGCCAAAATTCCCAGGCATAATTTTTAAGTATAAAATAAATTAAATATTATATCTTTATATAAATATATAAGTAAAGTATTATATATAAATAGAAATTAAAATTGAGATGTAGACATTTCCAGCTGAAATAAAGTGAGAAGGTGATAGCATTATTTCTTACTAAAAATTGGTAATAACAGAGCTGGTATATCTTTATTATATTCATTAATGTCATGATACTTTTCCAGATATCTAGACTTACAAAAGAAGGTAAATAAAATGTGGTTTCTACTTCAAGAGTATATATTTAGTTGTAAAGGCTCTTGAAGGTGGTTTGTCAATTTTCTTTGAAATCAAAGGGCTTATAAAGATTCAGAGGTAGTGTACTTGTGTGGATTTTCTCCCTTGTCATCACAAAGAATAAAAGAAGCATCCCCCTTTTCTGAGTTAGAAATCAAACCTTACCAAGGACTGTTTCACCCAATTGCTGTTTTGAAATTTGGTCATCTTAAAACCAAGAGAGAAAATTCATTTTACACACAAGAACCCATTTCTTCTTATGTCTACCTCCAAGAAAAATTTTATCTCAATGTTGCTAAGTATTCCTGGTATTGTCATCAGCAAAATCTGCTCATATGAACAGGATTTTAGGATAAAAAAAATAAAGACTGCTTTACACCTCTTGTCTGTTAAAGGTAATGATGGGTATCTGGATGAGAGTTAGTGGTAAAGACCTTCAGGCTATGTAAAACCATTAATCAATAGAACAGGAATATTCCCTGGCTAATTTATCTGACTGCTTTAAACATAGGACTAAAAAATAGGAAGTGCTCAGCATAAGGGAAATTACCTTGGCAACGTGGCATATATTCTTTTGGAGAGAGCTGTAGAAAGACTCTAAAATGTAACCACTACTGCCTGAAATCTTTGCAGAATGCCCACAGCCTTCAGCTTTTCCCAAAATCAAATAGGATACAATTATTGCTGCTGGTTTCCAGTCAACATTCAAATCCATTTAAAAGCAGATTCCTATAAAGTTGCCTCTATCCAAATATGCAAAGTGGTCTTATGAAAAATAACATTTATGACCCAAGATCCAGTTACTAGTTTTAGCAACCTTGAGGGAGCCACTTAGACTTCAAAATATAGTTATACGCTTTAGGTGTATATGTTTATATAGGGATATATGCAAAGAAAAGCATTTGAATACTCAATATGCTTGTCCATCTAAAAATCTGAATTTTAGGAAACTAACAATTTGGAATTTATTTTTAACCTCTCAATTACAGTCACATTTTTAAGTAATAACCATTAGTTTTCATGATTGCATCTCCAGATGCTCTCACATATATTATCTTACTATGAAGTAAGAATGATTTTATCTCCACTTTAAATATGAAGAAACTGAGGCTTAGAGAGGTTAAGCACATTGACCAAGTTCAGCTAATAAATGTATGGAGTTGAGCAAGCATTCTTGTTTTTTAACTCCTGGTTCCAGACTCTTTCAGAATCTTTGGGAACTTCAGTGAATTTTCCCAAGATTGCAAGAAAATTTCTTCCCACTGAGCTAATATTGGAGTGAAAAATAAAGACTTATTCCTTACAAAAACTGGCTTCAAAATTGCAAACCCAAAGCCACAGCTCTCCCTAAATATTCTCTTTTGCTCCTCCCACTTCTTCAACGGGAATGCTTTGGCAAAGACATGCTTATTCTTTTGCCAGATTATCCTTAAAGAAGCAGCCACTAAGCAAAAAGCCTGGACTCAGTGATTATTTATTTAAAAAAAAAGGGAGGACAGTCTGTAGCAAGGCTTGCCTGAGTATACCCTCAATAATCACCCAGAGCCTTCTTTTTGAAAGCCCTTTGAAGTGTCACTGATTTCTCTATTTCACTAGCAGAAAAGTTTCACCAAAGAGTAGTAAGCTATGCAATGAAGCCCATTAACTAATAAAATTTCCTTATTTGTTTATTTATTCATCTATTCAAATATGTTTTGGTCTACCAGGTTCTGGAAATATTGAATACTGCAGGTGCAAAGATGGTCAGTTCTAATTTTAGGACAATGGATGGATGGTTGATGCTAACGTCTTACTGCTTAAGCAGCTTTCAAGAATCTTGGGTAAATAACGAAATTAAGTCAGAAGTCAACAAGACATACATGCAGCCAACAAACATATGAATAAAAAGCTCAACATCACTGATCATTAGAGAAATCCAAGTCAAAACCACAATGAAATACCATCTCACACCTGTCAGAATGACTATTATTAAAAAGTGAAAACACAACAGATGCTGGCAATGTTGTGGAGAAAAAGGTACGCTTTTACACTATTGGTGGGAGTGTAAATTAGTTTAATCACTGTGAATGTGTGATGAGCCCTCAAAGACCTAGAGGCAGAAATACCATTTGGTCCAGCAATCCAATTACTGGGTATATACCCAAGGAATATAAATCATTCTATTATAAAGATACATGCAAGTGTGTGTTCACTACAACACTATTTACAATAGCAAAGACAAGGAACCAGCCTAAATTCCCACCAGTGATAGACTGGATAAAGAAAATGTGGCACATATACACCATGGAATACTATGGAGCCATAAAAAGGAAAGAGATCATGTTCTTTGCAGGAACATGGATGAAGTTGGAAGTCATTATTCTCAACAAACTAATGCAGGAACAGAAAACCAAATACTACATGTTCTCATTTGTAAGTGGGAGCTGAATGATAAGAACACATGGATACATCATGGTGAAACAACACACACTGGGTCTTATCAGAGAGGCCTATGGGGGGAAGGAGGGCATCAGGAAGGATAGCTAATGGACACTGGGCTTAATACCTAGGTGATGGGATGATCTGTGCAACAAACCACCATGGCACACGTTTCCCTATGTAACAACTCTGCACATCCCGCACATGTAACCCAGAACTTAAAAATTAAAGGAGAAAAAAAAAAAAGCTTGGAGACTAGTGTGAAGGACAAACCGCACAGTAAGGTAAGTGTCAAGATAGAAAGATGGTAGTATGGGAGTCCATAGAAGACACATATAGCCCTGTTTGACTTAAAGGAAGTAGCCAGATAAAGGTCTTGCACAAGTGATAATGCTTAGTCTAGAAAGTTAAGTAGTCAAAAAAAAAAAAGTGAATTGGAGAGAGAGTAAGTATACTCTAGAAGTTTATTTAGAATTCCAGATAAGTGGCTCAGCATACATAAAGACAGAAAGAAAAAGATATAAGCATCAAATGCACTCCTTGTACTACAAGGACTTTACTATGACTAGAAAAGGTTACAAAGTTTAAATTTTGTATTTTCCAAATTGCATCCGATTTAATGAACCTCAAGGTTACAAAGTTGGATTTGGAACCAGAAAGCAAGTGAAAACACGCATTACTGGGTCTTTTTCCCCCTCTAGAATTGTTAGTGATGATGCCATGTGTTGAAAAGTCAAATCAAAGAAGAATAATTCTTGGAACTTATTATGTAAGTCATGTTGCATACATAAGTTTGCTGAAGTTATTCAGAGTTGTACAATTTTCAGACATTTTAATGTTTTGAGAACATGAAAATTCCTTTTTCAGAAAATTGGCTAATATATACATTCAATGGAAATAGCAACTGCCTGGGCTGCTTCTGGAGGCCCACAGGCATTTCCTATTAGGAGATGCACAATCTGCAATGTTCTGGAGCTAAAAGGAAAGGGTAGTTAAGTGACCTTTTGGCCAACATTTCCTTCCAATCAAAATTACTTCCTTCCTCTTCCCTCACTCCCTTGTCAATTGGTAAGTTTCTCTCAAGATTTCAGAAAAATAGGAACAGCTATCGTAATAATCTAGTTGGATATACTAGTTTATTGATAAAGAGAAAAAATGAATGCTGGTCAATTAGTATTGCACACATCAAAATAAACACGTTCATTAAGTATGTACTGACCAAACTTTGATATTACTTTAAGGGAAGAATAAAGAACATCAGTTCAAAAAAATGGGTAAGAAGTTAAAACTTTGTTCATTTAAATTGCAGTTTGGTTTGTGGTGTAGGAATCTGAAGACCTGGATCCTAGCCCTGACTCTACTGCCTACCAAATGTGCAATCTGGAGAAAGTCAGATTTTTTTATGTGGATTTCAGTTTCTCAATTTCTATATTCAGGTAACTGAGTTTTGATCTCCACTTTTTTTTAATGTATAAAACATTTATATCAGAAATTTTAATTTTAAGACCAAAGGAAAATTATTGTTCATGTGACTTTGCAAGATATGACTACACATAGAATTATTCAAATGGACTTAGTCTTTCCTTCCTGAGTCTACTGTATATGACTTTAACTGGCAATCAGAAAGAAAAATAATTTGTATATAGCTGCCTTTTAAAAGGAAAGAATGCCAGATTTGTGGACAAGATGACTTTTATTACTCTTTCAAAAACTACATTAGAAACTGCAGTAGAACATTATTTCATTTGTTAAACAAACCTCGCCCAAACTTCCTCAAAGTTAAAAGAACACATATGTGGGAACTAGAAAAGCCTGGTTTGCAAATGAACTAATACAAATATCCAAAGTTAGAACTTTCTGAAATACCTTATCAAACCGTTTATGACACTTTCTTAAAGAAAAGTCTTAGCTGGAAAAAGCAGCTTACATTAAATAATTGTTTCAGGGATCCTGAAATAGATGGCAATTAACAGTTAATAAATAATCATTGACAACTGCATACAGTCTGTTACGCAAAGCCACAAAGTGGGTAGAGAAAGTGGAGTGGTAGGGAGAACTGTGGACATTTAGTTAAGCTTAACATTCTGTCAAACAACTGAAGAACAAACTGTAATTTGTGTATAGAATCTTCTGTTAAATCTGCTGCTGAAACTTAAAAAAAAAAAATGCTGAGCACGGAGTAACATTTTGGAATTTCCCCTGGCTATTCTTATCAACTAGCCCCATTTGTTATAAAAGTGGGTCATTCTAATAGCACTATACAGATTTGCTAGAACATAAATGAAAATTTTAAAGGACACATTAATCCAAAGAATTCCATTAAGATACTACTGCTGCACATGGGACAAGTAAGAAAACTAATGTGATACAGAAGATAAGGAAAAGAGGACAAATATTCTCCACCCCAAGGTAAAAAATAAGGTAGATTATAAGGAGAAAATACTTTTAGTAAACAGGGGGTGGGTGAGTATATGACAGTTTCCTTCTAGATAACTTTTGACAGTTGGCCTCCACATAATGGTAAGATAATTTGGGGTTTGCTAAGTAACAGCGACATCTAAAACATGTTCTGAGTAAAGTTAACAGCATCTAATATCTGTTCTTTTAGAAAACTACATGCACGTAAAGAATATATGGGCCTTTTTATAATGAGATATTTTATTTTATGATCAGAAGAGATTGGCAAAGAAAGGCTGGGCACGGTGGCTCACGCCTCTAATCCCAACATTTTGGGAGGCTGAGGCAGGTGGATCATGAGGTCAAGAGATCGAGATAATCCTGGCTAACATGGTGAAATCCTGTCTCTAATAAAAATACAAAAAATTAGCTGGGCGTGGTGGCAGGCGCCTGTAGTCCCAGCTACTCGGGAGGCTGAGGCAGAAGAATCTCTTGAACCCAGGAGGTGGAGGTTGCAGTGAGCCAAGATCGCACCACTGCACTCCAGCCTGGGCGACAGGGCGAGACTCCATCTCAAAAAATAAAAAAATAAAAAAATAAAAGAAATTGGGAAGTAAGGAAATTTAAATCAAATGTTTCTTATGAATTAAACTATATTGACATCTCAGAGGACTGCAAATGTAAACACTCCTAATCATGATGAATACAATACATATTCCTCTTTAGGTAATGTCAACTCTTTAGAAATTGGGGAGAGAAAGAACTATTCCCACATGAAATCATAATAAACTCTATATTAGAAACTACTCTATTGAAATGCCTGCTTTAAAATTAAAAAAAATTAGTGAATTTTATATTCATGGAATAGTGATTTTTATATCTGCTGAAGTGGCTAACAATGCATGTAGTTGATAGGTCAGTTAATCAATTAGAATTTATTGAGCACCTAAGGTCTTGGACAGTGGTACTGGGATATCTATTTGACATTATTAATGGAATCCTAGACAGTCATTGTTGAATAATAATAAATGAGGACTACATCCCTGGCCCCGAACTCTGGCAGGAGCTTAGGAAGGGAACATTCACTACAATCATGGATCTAGATAGTGATTCAGGGAGGCCAATTTTAAGGGAAAACAACCCAGCCACATCACCTGGTGTTAGACTGGACCTGAGATTCGAAGATATTAAACTAACACATAAGCAGGACAGAGAGAAGATGCCTGGATGGGAAGTGTATGGTGATAATTAAAACAGGAACTCTGGACCCGACAGTAAGGGTTAAATGAGTCAAGATGTGAAAACAGTGCTTAGAAGAATGGCTGGCATATAATAAATAATGGAGAAGTGTTCATTGTTATTATACAGTGAATCATCCACCCTAAGAGCAAAGCTAATGCAACTAATTCTGTCTTCTATGGAATACTTCAAAATTATTTTCCACTTTTGATTAAACCTCATATTTGATTTTATTAGAATTTTACCTAAGAAACATCACAGTTTGTTCTGGGTCCTATGCTGTACAGGGAATAGCCTACAGTCTGGTACAGGTCAAATTAAACTATCCTAACCAGTTCAGCTGAAATTATGGTCAAAACAACAATAATGTAGATGTTTCATAAGAAATATCATCCTTTGTTACACTGTGTCCCTACTGAAGCTTGTACAACTTTTGGATTTTTTATGAAGGCACTGATCCAATTACTCTACCTTTGGGCAAGGGGTGTTGTTGTTTCACTTCCTCAAAATAAGAATCCTACATTACCACAGAATCATCAACACATAGAGGACTGCTGGCGTATGGAACATGCTCAGGAAATATTTGCTGAGTGGATTAATGGCCAAAGGACCACAGACTCAAAGATGGAAGAACCAGAGACAATATAATTCTTCATCCTATTTCACCTGCAAGGAAACGAAAAACTAATACAGGGTTGAAGCCAACTTAATCTGGATGGGGAATCAATCTTTCGATGATCATAATTAGGGTAATGCTTCTCTTCCTCCTATACTCTATCCTTTCTCTTTTCCCTTCTCTCACTCTCTATGTCCTTTTGTGTCCAGAATTGGTGGGTTCTTGGTCTCGCTGACTTTCAAGAATGAAGCCGTGGACCCTTGCGGTCAGTGTTACAGTTCCTAAAGATGGTGCCTCTGGAGTTTGTTCCTTCAGGTGTTCAGATGTGCCCGGAGTTTCTTTCTTCTGGTGGGTTCATGGTTTTGCTGGCCTCAGGAGTGAGGCTGCAGACCTTCATGGTGAGTGTTACAGATCATAAAGGTGGCACAGACCCAAAGAGTGAGCAGCAGGAAGACTTATTGCAAACAGTGAAAGAACAAAGACCCGAGTGGCTTGCGCTGTTGGCTTGGGCAGTCTGCTTTTATTCCCTTATCTGGCCCACCCACATCCTGCTGATTGGTCCATTTTACAGAGAGCTGATTGGTCCATTTTGACAGGGTACTGATTGGTGCATTTACAATCCCTGAGCTAGACACAGAGTGCTGATTGGTGTATTTACAAACCTTTAGCTAGACATAAAAGTTCTCCAAGTCTCAACCTGACTCAGGACCCCAGCTGGCTTTGCCTAGTGTATCTGGTGCCTACTGGGACCCACGCTGGGGCCGCAGGCAGAGCTGCCTGCCAGTCCCACACCCTGCGCCCACACTCCTCAGCCCTTGGGCAGTTGATGGCACTAGGCCTCTCACTGCCTGGGGCCGGCGGCGCTGGCCAGCTGCTCCAAGCGCGGGGCCTATTGAGCCTGCGCCCACCCGGAACTCGTCCTGGCCGCGTGCAGCCTCGGTTCTCACTCGCACCTCTCCCTCCACACCTCCCTGCAAGCAGGGGGAGATGGCTCCTGCCTCGGCCAGCCCAGAGAGGGGCTCCCACAGTGCAGTGGCGGGCTGAAGGGCTCCTCAAGCGTGGCCAGAATGGATGCTGTGGCCTGAGGTGCCCAGAGCAAGCGAGGGCTGCTAGCACACTGTCACCTCTCACTTTCCCTCTACTCTTCATTTTTTTATTTATTTATATTTTTTTGAGATGGAGTCCCACTCTGTTGCCGGGCTGGAGTGCAGTGGTGCGGTCTCAGCTCACTGCAATTGCCGCCTCCCAGGTTCAAGCAATTCCCCTGCCTCGGCCTCCTGAGTAGCTGGGACTACAGGCACACGCCACCACGTCCAGGTAATTTTTTTTTATTCTAGTAGAGACGGGGTTTCACCCATGTTGGCCAGGATGGTCTCAATCTCTTGACCTCGTGATCCACCTGCCTCAGCCTCCCAAAGTGGTGGGATTACAGGCATAAGCTACCGTGCCCAGCCTTGCCTCTACTCTTCTCCGCCTACCCAATATTTCTCTGCCTCTCCTTTGGAATTGAGTCTTTCTGAAAGGGAGGTACTGTGCACAAAGAGGTCCCATAGTTACACAATGCTAGGCTCAAACTCTAACCTTGCCACTTATATTAGTTCCTCAACAATTCTAAACCTCAGTGCCCTCATCTAGAAAATTGGGATAAAAATCCATACTGTGTAATTACGACAATTCTTGATAAATACATGTTTGCGCATATGTCACTTCCACACGAAACTTCTGCAGCAACCTCCCCAGTGTAAGCCAGGTTCTTCTGTTATATGCTCTTATGATGCCCTCCACTTTTCCTTGCAGCTTTTAACATAATTATAATAAATTATGTGTGTGTTTGTTTATTTAATGTTGGTTTCTTCCATTAGATTATTAAGCTCTGTAAGTGCAAGGATCATGCCTGCTATATTTGCATTTATAATTCTAGGACATAGAACTCCTGACACAACTGGACCAACAATGTATACATGTTGGATGAGGAAATAAAGAAAACAAGTGCTTAACATAAAACCAACACCAAAATAAAATTATTTGTATGTAGATCATTATTAAATCAATGAAATCAGGGAAAAGTTATAGAAGCCATCAAATATTTATTTCCAGTAATTTTTAAAAAATTTAACCCCAATTTCAAGAAAGACTTCATTCTTTTGAGTGCTTTTTATAATTTTTAACCCAGCATTAAATAAGTGTCGAGTTACTTTTATATCTCATCTGGAAGATAACTGTCATAAAACATGGTCCCCTTTGCTATCTGACTCAAGAGACAAGAAACAACTTACAATCAATGTCACAGGAACTCAACAGACAGAAAAGATTGAACTGGACTACCACAGATGGGTATAGGGGTAAGAGAAAAAGAAATCAGGACATTCTAGGCAAGGAGAACTGTGTGAGAAAGTGTTGAGCGGCCAAAACAACTCTCAAAGAGAATGAAAGACAATTAAAAAGCCAGTTTGTACTGTAAAAAGAAGAAATACTACTGAGGAATAATGGAGTATACTCCAGGGAATGAGATGCAGGGTATTATTTCCTAGTCAGTTTTCAGAAATAAAATTTTCTCCTGCTGCTAACAGGAAACTTGAAGAATTTTAAATAATTTAACTAACTGGTATTTTAGGAAGATTGACTTTCAGTATATGTGCCAGTATAATTTACCTTAAATTAAAAGAAAGTAGTTATTTCTATAATTTACATTTATTTATGTTTATAGAGTGTTTCCTAAAGAAACAAGGTTAGAAATTAAAATAATGATGGCCGAGTGCAGTGGCTCACACCTGCAATCCCAGCACTTTGGGAGGCCGAGACGGGTGGATCATTTGAAGTCAGGAGTTTAGATCAGCCTAGTCAACAAGGCGAAACAACTCTACTAAAAATACAAAAATTAGCAGGGCATGGTGGCCCACGCCTGTAATCCCAGCTACAAGGGAGGCTGAGGCAAGAGAAGCGCTTGAACCCAGGAGGCAGAGGTTGCAGTGAGCTGAGATCACCCCACTGCACTTCAGCCTGGGCAACAGAGTGCGACTCTTTCTCAAAAAAAAAAAAAAAAAAAAGAAAGAAAAGAAAAAAAAAACGAAAGAAAGAAATTGAAATAATGATCATTCCAATATCTTTTTTAAATAGAAGGCTTTGAACCATATGTTGAGTATTTTTATACTAAGCTATGACCCAAGGTATATTAAATATACAGGAGAAGTGAAGGTTGATTTCCAAATTATCTCTAGGTCCACATACCTAATATATTCATTTCCTTTGAATGGGTCCCTAATGACTCTTACATTATGCCATTTTTGAAAAGGAAGGCTCTATGATGTGTGAGGTGATCTATATATATAATCAAAATATAAAACACAAATCATTCATGCACAAAATGATGATAGCATAGTTAAAACTCAATGAATTTGTATAGCCATTTTTAAAATTTGTTCTCCAGAAGTTAAGGATCTTCTGTTATTCAATCCAGGACCAGGACAATGGAAAGAATGACATCATGATTCCCATGCCACCCAGGGAAACAAATCAAATACAAATCACTAAAAAAGCCTCCAAAGAGTCAAGACACAATTAAAATTTTTACAAAGGAAGGTGCCTAAGCAGAAGGTATTTGAATGCTATTGGACTTAAAAATGATGTTTGGGAATTTTAATAAAATGTTTCATATGAAAGGGAAAACAATCTAAATGTTGACAACAAAGCGTGGCACATTACTGACTAAAAAAAATTCTAAAGCTAAATTATGTCCCAGGTATTCACTCAATTAAGTAACTAGATAAACAGCTAATCCTAACACATACTGTGAGCCAAATAATTCTGGTCACGTTTTATAGGTCAGCCTAGAGTTTCTCAGATATTTTCACTAAAATACTTCTCAGGGGCTACAGAATAATTACATATGGGGATATAGGATTTAGAGGGATGGCTTCAGCGGCCCCACACCAAATTTATTATCATTTCATACTTCATCTTTAAAAAGTATTTTTTTAAATATGTAATATTAAGATACTTTTCCCTCAAAACTCCACATAATGATCTAGGAAAGTCAGCCATACTTTTTCTGGGTTTGTGTACCTTCTTGGACAACTTCTGTATAAATACAGGTATAGATATTTTGCCTTGAAAACTAATTTAAGCTTCACAGCCACTCTATGAAGTAAATACCATTACCCCCATTTTATAGATGAGAATATGACCAGCCCAAGGTCACAAAGCTATTAATACTAAGAGGTAGAGAGTGTATATTAATCCCTGTTTTTCGGAAACCAAAGCCCTTGATGCTTTTTCTATAATACCATAATACTTTCACCACAAAATATAGGAGTAACAAAGTTAGAGCTTATACTTATTGGAATTTTGTTTCTTATAGTAATTCTCAAAAGAAGCAATAGCTTTAGGGAAATATATTTTATAAAAGGAAAATCAATTTTTCTTAATTTTATTTTAAAAAATTGAAGCATACTAAATGGCCTCTAGCTAAAAGTTTATTTTTGTTGTGGGGAAGCACAAGGAAATAAATACTATTACAATGTTATATTTACCAGGTAATGTAATGTCAAAATACCAAAATAAAATTTATACTTTGTAAGTAAATTGCATGTATTCTTAAGAAAAAATATAAAACCATGACAATTATCTACAATTAGTCAAATAAATGGTATACCTGAATATGAGTAAAATAAAAATTATAAAGTGGAGTGCTAACCCTTTATCACTATTGGGGAGACAAGGACTTAGAGAGGGAAGTCAAATAGAAAAATTCTGCCTGTGATTTAGAATGTAAAGAAACATAGATAGTTGACTTTGCACTCATGGTAACACCAAGAAAATCTAGAGAGTATAAAAGACATACATTTTGTAGGACTACTGATATGTGGTGAGTTACAGCAGCTTTCAGGGGCAAATGGTGCAGGTGCAGGGAACAGAAAAGGAGATCTGCCAATGATCAAGAAACTTACCTTGTTAAAAAATGGTCAACAGAGCTATGGATAACGGTAGGATCAGCCAGGAAAGATGGATTTGAAAAATTCTCAAGTGCAGTATTATTTGCACGTCATAAAAAGTCTTCCTACCTTATTCTTTCCCAAGTTTACTGAGAAAAGGGAAGTGAAGATAGGCTTGAAAAGCAACAAAGAATGTATGTATTCTTAAGAGAGTATGTATTTCTAAGAGTGCTAGAAAGCTTTGAATCTAGGCTCACAAACTAGTCAAAAAGACAATTTCCTAGGCAGCTACTACAGTGAGATTGAAGTTGACATAAACAAAATTGAACATAATCTGCTTAAAGTTGAGGCTCAATCACACACTCACCCGATATTAATAATTTCTGAATTATTACTGCCTCCCTTTTGTTACCAAATGTAGGGCAGAGCTCTCACTCTCTGGGAAAAACGTTTTCCTATAAAACATGTCTAGTATAATAAAATACAATACATGCAAAAAAGCAAGAAAATAGGATCCAAAAGAAATCAATCCATAGATCACCAAAATAGTGGAACAAGTAGACAAAGATTTTTGAAGTAACTAATACAAATATGTTCAAAATTTACATAATAATAAAGAAAAAATGGAAGAACAAATAGGAATCTTGGCAGTAAACTGAAAATAATTTTAAAAAGAACAAAATCAAAATTGTAGATATGAAAAATACATTAAATTATCAATACACTGAAAGGGTTCAAAAGAAGAATGAATGAATCACCAAAGAAGGGTTTACTCAGTGGGAATATAGGTCAATAGAAATTATTCAGGATAAAATCTGAGAGAAAAAATACTGCAAAATAAACCTACAGTGTCAGTTATCTGTTTGACAATATCAAGTGGTCTAACATTCATGCAGCTGGAGTCTCAGAAAAGAAAAAGTGGGAAAGACAAAAATATGTGAGAAATTATTTTTCTAAAACTTTCCAAGTTTGATGAAAAAAACCACAGTTCTAAGAAGTCCAATGAATTACAAAGAGGATAAATATATGGAAAAGTATGCCAAGAAATATTCTAGTCAAAATATTATAAATTTTAAAAAAGAAAGAAAATCCCAAGACTACTAAGGAATAAAAAGATATGTCACATACAAAGGTACTATTATAAAAGTGACTGAAAACTTCTTAGAAAAAATAATGCACAAGACAAACCAGTGATGTCTTTGGAGTACTCGAAGGGAAGGAAAAATTAGTCAAATTAGTATTCAATATGAGTAAGAATATTATTAAAAAATGTAGTCAATAAGTAATTTTACAATAGATCATATCAGAGAGCATTAATTGCCAGCATGTCTGCACCAAATAAAACACTGAAGAAACATTTCAGGGGAAAGAAAAATAATAGCAGTTGGAATTTCAGATTTACAGAAAAATTTTAAAAGTCACATAAAAATTAGTCACCCGACTAATTTTTGTATTTTTAGTAGAGACTAGGTTTCACTATGTAAATATCCAAGACTTTTTAGCAGAGACTAAGTTTCACTATGTAAATATCCAAGACTTTTGATAATGCTTCCCAATTTCATTGAAAGATGTTTAATTTTATAAATTGCTTTGGGCAGTATGGCCATTTTCACGATATTGATTCTTCCTATCCATGAGCATGGAATGTTTTTTCCATTTGTTTGTGTACTCTCTGATTTCTTTGAGCAGTGGTTTGTAGTTCTCCTTGAAGAGGTCCTTCACTTCCCTTGCTAGCTGTATTCCTAGGTATTTTATTCTTTTTGTAGCAATTCTGAATGGGAGTTCATTCATGATTTGGCTTTCTGCTTGCCTGTTGTCGGTTTAAAGGAATGCTAGTGAATTTTGCACATTGATTCGGTATCCTGAGACTTTGCTGAAGTTGCTTATCAGCTTAAGAAGCTTTAAGACTGAGACAATAGGGTTTTCTAAATATAGGTTCACTTTTTTTGCAAACAAGATGGTTTGACTTCCTCTCTTTCTACTTGAATACCTTTTATTTCTTTCTCTTGCCTGATTTCCCTGGCAGAACTTCTAATACCATGTTGAATAGAAGTGCTGAGAGAGGGCATCCTTGTCTTGTGCCTGTTTTCAATAGGAATGCTTCCAGCTTTTGCTCATTCAGTATGATATTGGTTGTGGGTTTGTCACATATGGCTCTTATTATTTTGAGGTATGTTCCTTCAATACCCAGTTTATTGAGAGTTTTTAACATGTAGGGATGTTGAATTTTATCAAACACTTTTCCACCTCTATTGAGATAATCATGTGGTTTTTGTCTTTTGTTCTGTTTATGTGATGAATCACATTTATTGGTTTGTGTATGTTGAACCAATCTTTTACCCCAGGGATGAAGCCTATTTGACTGTAATGGATAAGCTTTTGGATGTGCTGCTGGATTTGGTTTGCTAGTACTTTATTGAGGTTTTTGCATCAATGTTCATCAAGCATCGTGCCCTGATATTTTCTTTTTTGTTGTTGTATCTCTGCCACATTTTGGTATCAGGATGATGCTGGCCTCATAGAATGAGTTAGGGAGGAGTCCCTCCTTTTCAGTTTTTTGGAACAGTTTCAGTAGAAATCGTATCAGCTCTTCCTTGGACCTCTGGTAGAATTTAGCTGTTTATATGTCTGGTTCTGGGCTTTTTTTTTTTTTTTATTGGTAGGCTATTTATTACTGCCTCAATTACAGAACACATTACTGGTCTATTCAGGGATACAATTTCTTCCTGGTTCGGTCTTGAAAGGGTGTATGTGTCCAAGAATGTATCAATTTTTTCTAGATTTTCTAGTTTATGTGCATAGATATTTAATGCTATTCCCATTAAGCTACCATTGACATTCTTCACAGAGTTAGAAGAAACTATTTTCTTTTTTTTTTTTTTTTTTTTTTTTTTTTTGAGATGGAGTCTCACTCTGTCATCCAGGCATAGTGTTATGGTGGGGTTTCGGCTCACTGCAACCTCCACCTCCCGGGTTCAAGCGATTCTCCTGCCTCAGCCTCCTGAGTAGCTGGGACTACAGGTGCATGCCACCACACCTGACTAATTTTTGTATTTTTAGTAGAGACTAGGTTTCACTATGTTGGCCAGGCTGGTCTCGAACTCCTGACTTCATGATCCTCCTGCCTTGGCCTCCCAAAGTGCTGTGATTACAGGCAGGAGCCACCATGCCCAGCCTATTTTAAAATTTATATGGAACCAAAAAGAGCCCAAATAGCCAAGACAATCCAAGCAGAAAGAACAAAACTGGAGACATCACACTATCCAACTTCAAACTCTCCTACAAGCCTGCAGTAACCAAAAGAGGATGGGACTGGTACAAGGACAGACACATAGACCAATGGAACAGCATAGAGAATCCAGAGATGAGATTTCACACCTACAACCATCTGATCTTTGACAAACCTGATGAAAATAAGCAATGAGGAAAGGATTCTCTATTTAATACATGGTTCTGGGAGAACTGGCTAGCCATATGCAGAAAACTGAAACTGGACCCCTTCCTTAAACCTTATACAAAAATTAACTCAAGATGGATTAAAGACTTAAATGTAAAACCCAAAACTATAAAAACCCTAGAAGAAAATCCAGGCAATATCATTCAGGACATAGGCACAGGCAAAGATTTCCTAACGAAGACACCAAAAGCAATTGAAACAAAAGCAAAAATTGACAAATAGGATATAATTAAACTAAAGACCTTCTGCACAGCAAAAGAAACTATCATCAAAGTGAACAGACAACATATAAAATGGGAGAATATTTTTGCAATCTATTCATATGACAAAAGTGTAACATCCAGCATCTACAAGGAACTCAAACATTACACACACACACACACACAAATTAAAAAGTGGGCAAAGTACAAGAACAGACACTTCTCAAAAGAAGACATCACGTGGCCAACAAACATATGAAAAGAAAGCTCAACATCGCCAATTATTAGAGAAGTGCAAATCAAAACCACAATGAGATACCATCTCACGCCAGTCAGAATGGCTATTATTTAAAAGTCAAACAACAACAGTTTCTCACAAGGTTATGGAGAAAAAGGAAAGCTTTTACACTGTTGGTGGGAGTGTAAATTAGTTCAACTGTTGTGGAAGACACTGTGGTGAATCCTCAAAGACCTAGAGGCAAAAATACCATTTGACCGAACAATCCCATTACTAGGTATATACCAAAAGAAATATAAAAAATTCTATGATAAAATCACATGCACATGTATGTTCAGTGCAGCACTGTTCACAATAGCAAAGGCATGGAACCAACCTAAATGCCCATCAATGATAGACTGGATAAAGAAAATATGGTACATATACACCATGGAATACTATGCAGCCATAAAAAGGAATGCGATCCGCCAGGTGTGGTGGCTCACGCCTGTAATCTCAGCACTTTGGGAGGCTGAGGTGGGCAGATCACGAGGTTAGGAGATGGAGACCATCCTGGCTAACACAGTGAAACCCCGTCTCTACTAAAAATACAAAAAATTAGCTGGGCGTGGTGGCGGGTGCCTGTAGTTCCAGCTACTTGGGAGGCTGGGGCAGGAGAATGGCGTGAACCCGGGAGGCGGAGCTTGCAGTGAGCCGAGATTGAGCCACTGCACTCCAGCCCGGGCAACAGAGCGAGACTCCGTCTCAAAAAAAAAAAAAAAAAAGGAATGAGATCATATCCTTTGCAGCAGGGACATGGATGGAGCTAGAAGCCATTAACCTCAGCAGTCTAACACAGAAACAGAAAACCAAGCACTACATATTCTCACTTATAAGTGGGAACTGAATGATGAGAACACATGAACACATGGAAGGGAAAAACACAAAATGGGGCTTGTCAGAGGGTGTGGGTGACAGGAGGGAATGCCTCAGGAAGAACAGCTAATAGAGGCTGGTCTTAATACCTAGGTGATGGGATGACCTGTGCAGCAAACCACCATGGCACACATCTACCTATGTAACAAGTCTGCACATCCTGCACATGTGTCCCTGAACTTAAAATAAAAGTCGGGGAAAAATATTTTTTATTTTTTATTTTTGAGACGGAGTTTTGCTCTTGTTGCCCAGCCTGGTGTGGAATGGTATGATCTCAGATCACCACAACCTCTGCCTCCCAGGTTCAAGTGATTCTCCTGCCTCAGCCTCCCGAATAGCTGGGATTACAGGTGCCCACCACCATGCCCGGCTAATTTTGTACTTTTAGTAGAGACGGGGTTTCTCCATGTTTGTCAGGCTGGTCTCGAACTCCCGACCTCAGGTGATCCGCCCACCTCGGCCTCCCAAAGTGCTGGGATTACAGGCGTAAGCCACCGTGCCTGCCAAGATATTTGATTTTTAAAGCAAACAACGTTTTGTGGGGATGTACAGCATAGGTAAGAGTAACACAAAAAATAGAAATAGAGAAATACAGTACAATAAATTTCTTATATGTGGCAGGGCACGGTATTGATTCATCTAAACTGTAATAGGTTAAAGATGGATAGTATAATCTTCAGTGCAACTACTAAAAATTAATACAAGAAAAATTTTCAATACAGGAAGATAAAATACTACAAAATATGTGATTATTCCAAAAGAAGGCTGGAAAGGAAGATCAAAGAAACAAAAAAACAGAAGAAACAGATAAATTACTAATGGTGGACTTAAATGAAACATTATAATTATTATTTATATTAAATGCAAATGAAAGACATTTCAATTAAAAGGCAGATATCAGAATAGACATTAATAAAAACACTCTACAATGCTTGCCATTGATATACTTTTTAATTTATTTTATTTTATTTGTTATTATTCTTTTGAGATAGAGTCTCATTCTGTCTCCAGGACTGGAGTGGTTCACTGCACCCTCTGCCTCCTGAATTCAAGCCATTCTCCTGCCTCAGCCTCCTAAGTAGCTGGGATTATAGGCTCCCGCCACCACACTTGGCTATTTTTTTTGTATGATTAGGAGAGATGGGATTTTGCCATACTGGCCAGGCTGGTCTTGAACTCCTGACCTCAGGTGATACACCCGCCTCAGCCTCCCAAAGTGCTGGGATTACAGGCGTGAGTCACCGCACCCAGCAGCCACTGATGTACTTTAAATTAAAAAACATAGATAGAAATTAAGAGGATGGTAAATAAAGCTAACACAAATCATAATAATAGTGAACTGCGTTATTAAAGGAGATGATGTAGACTGTAAAACAAGGAGCAAAACGGAAAAAGAGGGATATTTCATAAGGACTAAAAGACAGATTCAGCAGAAAGACAAAGCAATCTTAACTGTATTCATACCTAACCATAAAGCTTCAGAATAGAAGGAGCAAAAACTTACAAAACTAAAGGGAAGTATAGACAAATCTACAAATATATTTGGAGACTTTAATATTCCTCTTTGAGTAATTGAGTGAACAAGTAAATAAAAAGTAAGAATATAAAAGATTCAAATAATACTATTGACCAAATTGGCACTATATATATTATAGAACACTCAGTATATGCATAATACAGATTCTTTTTAAGCACACATAAAACACTCATCAAGTAAGACTACACTGGGCCATAAAACAAATCTCAATAAATTTCAAAGGACTGAAAACATAGACTAAATTCTCTGAGAATAACAGAATTAAATTAAAAAAAAAAACAAAAATAAAGTAACATATTTCTTAATTATTTGTGAGTCAAATAAAAGATCATAAAGAAAATAAAAAATATTTTGATTTGCAGCATAATAAAAGCATAATAGATAACAAATTTTTTTGGACTCAGCTAAAGTGGTGCTAAGGAAATTCATTGCCTTAAATGCTTGTAATGGAAATCAAAAAAGATCAAAAACCAATGATCTAAGCTTCTATCTTAAAAAGCTACAAAAATGAAGATGGTATATTCAAAGTAACTAAAAGAAAATAATGAAGGACAGAAGTCAGTGAAATAGAAAGCAAGCAAACAATAGAAGATGTCACCAAATACAAGGTAGTACTCTGATAAAAATCAATGAAGTTGATAAACACCTAATAAAACTGATTTTTTTAAAGACAGATGGCATCAATTCCAATATCAGGAATAAAGGGAGAACATCATTACGAGTCTTAAATATATTAAACAGAAATGAAGGCAATATTATCAACATTTCTATGCTAGTAAACTCTGCAGCTTAGATGAAATACTGTAATATTTCATCTAAGTTGCAGTTTCTTTGGCATAGAAACTCTTTTCAATGGACACAAACTACCAAAGCTTATTCAAGAAGGAATAGAAAACTGTTTAGTCCTGTATAGTCTTGTATAGTCCTGAATCGTCCTGCATCTGTTGAAAACATTGAATGTGAAGTTTAAAAACTCCACAAAGTAATTCCATGTCCACATGGCCTTGCTTGTAAATTCTACCAAATATGTAAAGAAGAAATAACACCATTCTTATACAAACTCTTCCACAAAATAGAGAACAAAGGAAAACATCCCAAGTCATTTTTTGAGGCCAGGGTTAGTCTGATAATATAACCTGACAAGAACACAATGAGAAAAGCAAAAGATCAATATCCTCCAAGAACAAAGATGCAAAATTCCTAAACAAAATAGTAGCACACCAAATCTAATAATATATAAATAGGATAATACATCAGGACCAAGGGGAATTTTTCACAAGAATACAAGGTGGGCTTAACATTTAAAAATCAATCAGTGTAACTCAACATACTAATAATATACAAGAGAAAATTCATATAGTCATCTCAATAGGTACAGAAAAATAATCGGACAGTATCTTTATACCTATTTGTGATAATGCTTCCATTACTTTGATTCAACATTATATTGGAGACCTTAGCATGGACATTATAATGGACAAAGAAAATAAATAGAAGGCATAAAATTTGGGGAATAATGCATAAAAATGACTTTGTTTGCAGATGACACAACTTTATATGTAGAAACCTCCCCCAAATCTAAAACAAACAAATACCAAAAAATTCATATAAAATTAGGTTAATAAGGGAATTCAGTAACGTCTTAGGATAAAAGTTCAATGTAAAAAGTTATTTGCATGTATGTATATTACCAACCAACTGTTGGAAAATTAAATTTAAAAAATCAATGCCAATTCATCAGCAACAAAAAATACAAGATATATAAGAATAAATCTCTCTCTCTCTCTCTCTCTCTATATATATATATGTATGTATATATGACTACTCCTACACTGAAAATTACAAAATACTGCTGAGATAGCTTACATAAATGGAAAAATATACCACGCTTATGGGCTGGAAGACTCAATATTGTAGAGAGGTAAATTATTTTTAAGTTTACTTGAAAAGTCAATGAAATGCCAATGAATATCATAGCAGGCTTTCTGCAGAATTTGGTAAGTTGACCCCAAAGTGTATAAAGAAATATAAAGGGTCAAGATAGCCAATACAATCTTGAAAGAAAAAAAAAATCAGATAATTTGCACTACTTGACTTTAATATTTATTATAAAGCTATACTTACTAAGACAGTATGGTATTGGCATATGCTAGACATATAAATCACTGGAACAAAATACTGAGTCCAGATATAGTACCATAAATATATAGTAAAATAATTTTTGACAAAGGCGCCAATGGCATTCAGAGGGGAAAGAAACATCTTTTTGACCAATGGTGCTGGATTACCTGGATATCTATTGGAAAAATTGAACCTTGACATCTTCCTCACATCATACACAACAAGTATTTTGTGATGGATTAAAAACCATTATGTAATAGTTAAAACTATAAAGTTCATAAAAGAAAACATTTTTAAAATTCTTTGTGATCTAGAGATATGCAAAGGTATTTTAGAATCCAACTCACTAACCATAAAAGAAAATTTTATAAACAACATGATAAAAATGTAAATGTCTCATCAAAAGTCACTCTTGAGAAAGTGAAAATGTAAGCCACGGTCTGGGACAGAACTGCAAAACATGTTTATGAAAAAGATTTGCATCTTGAATATACAAAACAATTTTCATAAATAAATAATAAAAAAGTAAATAGCTCATTTCTTTACATGGGGAAAAAAGGCTCACCTGAGTAACTTTAGAAAACAGTGTTCTGTATCCCTGAACCTGAAATAAAAGTTTTTTTAAAAAAGGATCTATGAATCCACCTCTAACCTATAAGCTTCTGCTTCAACATATCTCACCTTTGCAGTCCAAACCAATGTATACGTTTCATGTATACATTAGTATTTGTATTTTACTTTTACTATATATTTATGGCACTATATCTTGACTTACAATTTTGTTCCATTGATTTATGTCTTTGCCTGCAACTCCTGTCTCCCTGAAATGTGTAAAACCAAACTGTAACACAACCGACTTTGGTGCACTCTCTCAGGACCTCTAGAGACTGTGTTTCTGTGGGCCATGGTCACTCATATTGGCTCAGAATAAACTTTTTTTTTTTTTTTTTTTGGTGAGATGGACTCGCTCTGTCATGCAGGCTGGAGTTCAGTGGTGCAATCTCAGCCTACGGCAACCTCTGCCTCATGGGATGAAGTGATTCTCCTGCCTCAGCCTCCTGAGTAGCTGGGACTACAGGTGCGCGCCACCACACATGGCTAATTTTTGTATTTTTACTAGAGACAGAGTTTCACCATGTTAGCCAGGCTGGTCTCGAACTACTGAACTCAGGCAATCTGCCCACTTGGGCATCCCAAAGTGCTGGGATTACAGGCATGAGCCACCACTCCTGGCCAGAATAAACTTTTTAAAATAAAAAATAATGAAAGAAAAATAAAGAAAATGGTGTTTTGGCTGAAAACTATGTATTTAAAGATAAAAGGAAGTGTACACTGTACATAAACACTGTACTTTAATTGATAAATTTGTTTATCATAGGGATTAAGGTTAAAAGTTTTGAAACCAGTTTACATGTATACTGGTATTAAGTAAATAGTGGATGGTAGAAAGTGGGAGTCTAGCTTCTCACTTTTGGAGAGGGAAGTAACCGATAAGCAGAAAAGGAAGGTTAGAATAGAACTGGAGTATAGTCAGAGACATCAATATGAACTCATGTTTAAATATAGACTCATATATGCACCCAAATTAATAGATTTAAAAATTATAGATATATGTGTATACATAGGATAATATACATACATATATTACCTAGATTTGTCCCTTGAGAGAATCTGGAAACACTAGTTTAACCACGTGATAAAGGTTAACGTCACCAGAAACGTCAAGTAGATATTACACATCACCTCATGTGATGTATTGAGAAGGACAGTTGACCTCTGTGATATTCTTTTTAAACACTCATAAAACTAGTCTGATCATTAAAGTAAAAACATTAGATAAATCTAGATTAGGCACATTTCACAGGATACTTGGCCAGTATTCTAAAGATAATCAAGGTCGCAAGAAATAAGAAAAGCCTGAAAAATTGTCACAGGCTGGAGGACTTAGAGTAACATGACAAATGAATGCAATGCGGAATCTCGGACTGAATTCCAGAAGAGAAAGTATACGTTAATAGGAACACTGGTGGAATCCAAATAAAGTTTGGAGTTTAGTTAATAGTAATATATCAAAGTTGGTTTCTTAATGCTGACAAATATTCTATGGTAATATAATATGTTATCAATGTGAAAAACTGGTTCACGGGCATAAAGAAATTCTCTTTCCTATTTTTTTAACGTTCCTGTAAATCTAAGATTGTTCCAAAATAAAAAAAAAAATTTGTTCGTGAAGAAATGGACAAACACTTGGACCAACACTTAGCAAGATGGGATATATGAATAAACAATAAACACATGAAAAAGATGCTCAAAATCTTTAGTCTTAGTGGAAACACATGCCAAAAGCGCAATGAGATGCCACTCACTGGAATAGCTAAAATTAAAAAGATGAACAACATTTAATGTTGAAGAGGATACAGAGGAACTGGCTCCCTTATACACTGCTGGTGCAAATGTAGACTAGAACAACCACTGTACCAAAATGTTGGGCAGGTTCTGATTAAAGATTAGTATCTTCTTATAACAGTTAAACATAACACCTATCTAAGGATCCAGAAATTCTACTTCTAGTTATCTACTCCAAATAAATTAGACTGGGTATGGTGGCTCATGCATGTAATCCCAGCACTTTGGGAGGCAGAGGCGGGAAGAACATCTGAGGTCAGGAGTTCAAGACCAGCCTGGGAAACATGGTGAAACCCTATCTCTACTAAAAATACAAAAATTATATGGTCATGGTGGTACATGCCTGTAATCCCAGCTACTCAGGAGGCTGAGGCAGGAGAATTGCTTGAACCTGGGAGGTGGAGGTTACAGTAAGCCAAGATAGAGCCACTGCACTCTAGCCTGGGTGACAGAGTGATACTCTGTCTCCAAAAAATTAAATTAATTAATTAATTAAAACATATGTCCACAAAGTGTCCTGTAAAGATCACATGGACACAGGAAGGGGAATATCACACTCTGGGGACTGTGGTGGGGTGGGGGGAGCGGGGAGGGATAGCACTGGGAGATATACCTAAGGCTAGATGACGAGTTAGTGGGTGCAGCGCACCAGCATGGCACATGTATACATATGTAACTAACCTGCACAATGTGCACATGTACCCTAAAACTTAAATTAAAAAAAAAAAAAAAGAATCTTCATTGCAGCTTTATTCAGAAAAGCAAAAAACTGCAAACAACTGAAATGTCTATTATTGGGAACATGGATAAACAAATTATTGTATGTTTAAACAATAGACTACTACTTAGAAATAAAGGAACAAGTTCTTGATACAAATAACAATATGAATGAATCTTAAAAAACATGTTGAGTGATAGAAGACACAGCAAGTATATACTGAATTATTTCATTTTTATGAGTTTAAGGAACGGCAAAACTAAGTAATGAAGAAAGAAATCAGGATACTGGTTGATTCTGGGAGGGCACAGACTGAAAAAAAGAAAAGAGAACTTTCTAGGGTGATGTCAGTACTCTATATCTCAGTTTAAAGTGTTACACAAGCGTATTCGTTTATCAAAACTCAGCAATCTGTACACTTTAAGATCTGTGCATTTTGCTGTATATAATTGTACTTCACTTAAACATTTAGGTAAGGAAAAGAAAAGCTCTGACTTGAACTCTTGAATCAAGTTTCTAAAGTATATCGTTGGATGAAAAGAAACAAAACAACTGTAGAAACAGATATAACAGAAATATATGACATCTGTTAGTTCTCACTGGAGCATAAACTACTGTAAAAAGTGATTATAGTCATCTCAGACTCTCCTGATTGCAATTAAGCCCTCTCATATTGGTGATACAAAAGTACTTTCTGTATTGCTGTATTCCTCTCTTATGGCATTCCTATTATTGCAGAGATGAATGCAAATGATAACCCACTTCAGCCTAGGTAATTGAGTATTATCCTATTATACTTGTAGTTCACCTCCTTCCCTGCTCAGATTGAGACCAGTGCCATATTCTCTATAAGAGAAGCTTTCAAAATTAGTTTGAATAATTATTTATTTAAGAGAGAGATTGGGTCTTACTATGTTGCCCAGACTGGTCTCAAACTCCTGGGCTCCAGTGATCTGCCCACCTTAGCCTCCCAAAGTGCTGGGATTACAGGTGTGAACCACCAAACCCAGCCAATTTAATTTGTAACAGGTTTTAAAAAGGGAAAGCTTATGGGTAAATATAATAAATGCATGCCCACTTCCCAAATTTTCCCTATTGCTTTAGGTAAAAACAATACTAAAAAATGGAAGACAAAATTTTAATTCAAGATAAAATAGACTTTCCTTAGTATTATAACTATGTTTAAAACTATTTTATTTAGTTTTATCACCTATAGGAAACTCAGTCTATAGGATCAGATTTAACTCAGCAGAAAAATCCCTTTTGTTAAAGGGAAAATAATGGCTGATTATATTCAGACTTTTTTTGCTGTGAAGATAAGATATATTTATCAAAATTAGAGTAGATGGCTCCAACATTTCCAAACTTAGAATATATGCTATACTTCTATTCTATATAAGAGGATAAATAGATGTGTATATAACCTCCCTCAAGTGTGAGCTGGAAAGGCTCAGTGCATTGCATATAAACAGTTATGCCAAGACGCTGGTTTCATTATGAAACATTTACACTAAGCACTGTTTGCAGCATGCATGCCGTTCTGTGTTTTTCTATTACTTTCAAATGAAGTAATCTATCTGTAGAAAATGAGCAAATGGAATATTCATGAGTTAAGAGATAATTTTTATCATCCCTGGAGACCGTCTTTCTTTGGGTTATTACCTGCAGAGCTCAACTGTATGAAAATTGATTAAACATAATTTACCAATTATAGTGATACCAGAGCATATTCCTTAAAGCAAACACTAAAAGCATAATGATTCTCACAATAGAAGGTATGTTTGCAGGGCTGGATCCAGGTTCTGTGGGGCTTGAATCTTATATAATTTGGGGACCTCTTATTTAAGAAAAATGACATAAAATTACAAAAACACAATTGCTGCAATCCCCCTTGGGGCACTGGAAAGAGCCATGCAAATGAATGGCCTCTAAGTTTCATTTGCTTAAAGGAAAATCTGCCTTTGTTAATTTTATTTTAAGAAGTAGTGGCAGTAGATCAAAGAATTTGTCCATTTAAACCTATTTAAAAACTAACAAATAAGCCTTTGAGTTTTCGTAATTGACTTGAAAACCAGTGGCTAATGATGCTTTTCTAAGGGGTCATTTGACTGAATTCAAGTACGGTACTTACTTTCACTTTTTTTGAGACAAGAGTCTCGCTCTGTTACTCAGGCTGGAGTGCGGTGGTGCAATCTCGGCTCACTGCAACCTCCGCCTCCCGGTTCAAGCGAATCTACTGCCTCAGCCTCCCGAGTAGCTGGGACTATAGGTGCATGCCACCACGCCTGGCTAACTTTTCGTATTTTTAGTAGAGATGGGGTTTCACCTTGTTAGCCAGGATGGTCTTGATCACCTGACTTCGTGATCCGCCCACCTCAGCTCCCTAAAGTACTGGGATTACAGGCGTGAGCCGCGGCGCCCGGCCTTACTTTCACTTTTATGAGACGGGGTAGGTAGATAGTTCCCGTCTGAAAATCCATGCTGCCACATTGTGTGAGCCACACTGTTATTATTCTTTACTTTCAGGAGGAGCTGCTTACACAGTTTACCAACTCCCTAGGCCTTGTTCCAGCAAACATAAATCTTCAAAATGAAAAGAACTCCTAGTCCTTAAGAGTTAGGTCAGAGGAAATCTTCCATTGCCACCCCAACTCCCTTGCTACACCACAAGAAGGATTAATCACCCCCATCTAACCTTCCATACCCTTTGTAGTCATCTCATTATATCACTTTTCTCATTTTCATTAGTTATCTGTGTATGAGCCTGACTTTGCTAGGATGTGAGCTCCTTAAGAGCAGGAAATGCTCTATGAACTTAAAAGGCCTAGTTCACACTGGGGGCTCAACAAATGTCTATTGAATAAATTAATGAATGACTGCTTTAGAGGTAAGCTACTCAAGGTATGATCCAAAGTATGAACTAGTAGCATTGGCATTACCCAAGAGTTTATTAAAAATGTAAAATTTCCAGACTTAAGACCTACTAAATTAGAATGTATGTAAGAGGCCAGGCGCGGTGGCTCATGCCTGTAATCCCAGCACTTTGGGAGGCCGAGGCGGGTGGATCACGAGGTCAGGAGATCAAGACCATCCTGGCTAACATGGTCAAACCCTGTCTCTACTAAAAATAGAAAAAATTAGACTGGCGTGGTGGCGGGCACCTGTAGTCCCAGCTACTCGGGAGGCTGAGGCAGGAGAATGGCGTGAACCCGAGAGGCGGAGCTTGCAGTGAGCCGAGACCACGCCACTGCACTCCAGCCTGGGTGACAGAGCGAGACTCCGTCTCAAAAAAAAAAAAAAAAAAGAAAAAAAAAAAGGATGTAAGATCCCTAGGTAATTCCTATACACAATAAAGTCTGAGAAACACTGTGGTTTTTGTTATTGCACTAGCTTGAATGGAGGACTCTACCAAGAACCATATCATTTTATACATCACAATTGTTCATTATTGGTTATTAATATGTTTGGCTCTGCTGATCACACCCACAGAGGGCAAATAACCCAATGGACTATTATCCTGCTTACTCTTTCTTTTCCTTAACAAATTAAAACAGTAATTTAAAAAGCCCAAGCTTAGTAGAATTAGTGAAAAATGATGATGAATATTTCAAATACTAACCTGAAAGTTCAGCTATCAATTCAGAGCCAAAACTAGGGTCTTCATATATATATACATATATATATGAATACATATATACATATATATGAATATATATATACATATATATGAATATATATACACATATATGAATATATATATGAGAGAATATATATTTCTATACATGTTTATATATGTTTTTATGTGTACATACATATGTATATGTTTATATACAAACATACATATAAATATGTTTTATATATGTGTAAACATGCTTATATATACATGTATATTCTATACATGTTTATATATGTATAAACATATATGTCTGAGTATATCTATATGTATGTTTTTATAAACAAATCCTCAAGAGTTCAACCTCAGTTTTTGTAGACCAATGCTTCTATATCTCAGAAACTTGAGATGAAGAAATAATCTTGGAAAATTACGTAAAATTAAATTTAGCCAGATTGCACTCTCAGTACAGCTTCTAAAAAGTATGTGTCAAATGAAATCTCAGGTTGTAAATTACAACTCACCTAGTTTTAATTTCATGAGAGAAACATAACTAGCATATTCAGTTTACAGTCCACTTCCACACCCTCTTGTTAAGCAGATTAACCAACTGTCTGGAATTTTTCAAGCAAAAAGAGATAAAATGATCTTGGCTCAATTTTAAGAGTAGTTATCTTTTCAGGCACTTAGGTAATCTATTGAAAGAGCAATCATATATCAGAAATGTGATTAAGTAGGAAAAGGTATAAATATATCCATTTGATGAAGATACATTTCAATGCAAGTCTTGAAGAATAGAAAGAGAAATTAAAGATTGCAAAGAACTGTCACCTATGGCAGAAGCTATTAGTCATGTCATGGTGAAGAAATAATGACTGTCTTAGAGTTGCTCAGTTCTTCAAGGTGAACTTCAAAAGAATAAAGTAACTTCAAAGAAAAACACAGAAAGAAGAATATGAATCACAGTAGACGTGTTGCTGGTGGAGTTAAGCATGTACCTGTTTTAGTTGATACATAGGTCCGAAACACGTCAAAGCTTATTTTTTCCTTTTCAAAAATCATACTCTGAATTTTCTCTGCAACATGAGCTGAATTAGAAAACTTCCACCTGATCATAGTAGGCATAGTATCTTGGTCTGAATGCTACATAATGAAGGATAATCCAGAAATCTAGTAAAATATTGTCACTGGGAAGAGCGTGTATCTGTTTCTGGATTAATCAGGATAGGCTAGGTTACACTGTTGAGCAAAATTAACACCTAAATTTCAGTGTCTTAACACTATCAATTATTTTTTTTTCCTTACAAAAATCTTCTACAAGTTGAGCAGTTTCCAGGCTGTTAACAAAGAGCTGGAGGTCAAGAAGGGGCTTTTTGCTGGTTCAGCTTAAAGTCCATTGCCTAGAACAAAACATAAGATCCTGCCTAACTTCAAAGGAGCTAGGAAATGTAGTGTCCCATCTACATGCTCATGAAAGAGAGGAAAACCAGATATTGAGGTGCAGTAATGATGTTACTAGTGAGCATATGTTAGATGATACCTATAGAGGGTCCAGCATCAGCATCAGAAACAAACCTCTCTGAGGAAAGTAGGTAGATAAGGACATACTCTGAGATGAAAAGATAAAAAAATAACATCACTGGTCATGAACAGGTCATTTTTAGTGTAGAAATAGTCCAGAAAAATGATGTATTGGACAATGTCTTAGAATCAGCTTATAAATTGAATGCATTCCAATTGCTCACTGCTTAATGAATTCCAGAAGTAGTGGTTTTGGAAAGGGAAGAACTGACTTGTTCGGTAAGTTTTGGTTTTCTATTGATTCATAACACCTTACTGCAATTTAGTGGCTTAAAAAATAGCCATTAATTATCTCACATTTCTGTAGGTCAGAAGTTTGATATGACATAATGGGATTCTCAACTGAGTCTCACTAGGTTACATCAAAGTGTCACCCATGGCTGTGTTCCTAATATAAGGCTCTGGGTCTAAGCTCACTGGTTGAAGTAATTTCCTTCTCATGCTTTCTTTGTGGGCCCCTATCTATTCAAGCAAGCATCAGCAGGCCAGTCCTTCTCATGCTGTGAATATTTCTGAGTTTCTCTTCTTATTTTAAGGCTCATGTAATTACAGTGAATCCCCCCAGAAAATCCAGGATAATCTCCCTATTTTAAGTTTAGTTGATTAGCAACCATAATTATGTCTGCAAATTCCCTTTGACTGCATTATGTAATATAACCAAAGGAATAACGCCAAGCAGGAGAGATCACGGGGGGCAAAAATCTGCCTACTACACTATAATAGGAATCTTTAAGCCTAATATTTGTTTTACATGTAACGATTTTGTTTATCTAACAGGATATTGTAAAATGGACACATACTTTCAATGGATTTGGGTTGGGATGAGTGATGAATAAGAAAGAGAAAGTTATAAAGAATAAGCTTGTCCAACCTAGAGATGAGGGAAAACGAAAAAGAGTAGGAAATAGGGCTAAGAGTAAGGAGAATAAAAGGAGCAGCGGATGTGCAATGGAAAGCATGAAGGAGACATCAAACTTAATACTAGCAATTGGTGGAGAGACCATATAGTGGGCTATAATATAAATCATTAGCAACAAAGAAATGTTATATTGCTCATAGTAATTCAGGTACTAAGAAGCTTAAATATGGTAGGAATTTCCTGATTTCCCTACTACCTAAATAGATTATAATAAATAAAGTGTATTTGTTTTTCTGAATTTACCAGCTGGCATTATGGAATCATGAAAATATAGTAAAAATTCAAGGGGACAGTATGTATACAAAGTGGCAAGCTCACATTTAGCTCCTAAAAAATAAATGAATGGAAGGAAAAAAGTTTGATTATTTAAAAACCACTAATTGTCATTAGTTTATATCAAATCAATAGATAAGACTTAGCAGAATGTTTCCTAAAACTAACTGGTCAATGAATATGTTCAAACTCTCCATCAATATGAACTTCTTTCCTTATTTCTGTCCATTCTCTGGTACAGGTTCTAACACCTCCGAAAGAAGCCAGAAATAAGGTGTCAGAAATATCATGACCATTTATATGGGTTGGCTGTGTCCCCACCCAAATCTCATCTTGAATTATAGCTTCCACAATTCTCATGTGTTGTTGGAGTGACTTGGCGGGAAGTAATTGAATCATGGGGGCAGGTCTTTCCTGTGCTATTCTCGTGATAGTGAATAAGTCTTATTAGATCTGATGGCTTTATAAAGGGGAGTTTCCCTACATAAAGTCTCTTCTCTTGTCTGCCGCCAAGTGAGATGTGCCCTTCATCTTCCACCATGATTGTGAGGCCTCCCCAGCCACATGGAACTTGTGAGTCCATTAAACCTCTTTCTTTTGTAAATTGCCCAGTCTCACATATGTTTGTATCAGCATCATGAAAATGGACTAATACAACCATCAATAGCACACTAATATTATCTCAAAAACAAAAATCAACAACAAAATGGGGGAGAAGGGATTATGTGGTCAAATAAATTTCAGGCGTGTTAACTTCAAGAAAACTTAACAGACACATTCCATGCTGGATTGCTCAGAAACTTTAAAGTGCTAATGTTCATTGTGAGTTTTTAAGAGAGATATTTAATCTGAAGAGTTTCCAAAAATATTTGGCTAGGAAACATGTTTTCAGTCAGACTATGGCAGAGGTTGCTAGCTGTTCAACAAATTTTGTGCTCTCTTTTCCATAGTAGAAAGTAGAACCTGTGGCCTGGTGCAGTGGCTCACACCTGTAATCCCAGCACTTTAGGAGGCCAAGGTGGGCAGATCACTTGAGGTCAGGAGTTAGAGACCAGCCTAGCCAACATGGTGAAATCCCATTTCTAATAAAAATACAAAAATTAGCCAGGTGTGGTGGCATGTGCCTGTAATCCCAGCCATTTGGGAGGCTGAGGCAGGAGAATCATTTGAACCCAGGAGGTGGAAATTGCGGTGAGCTGAGATTGTGCCACTGCACTCCAGCCTGGGTGACAGTGCAGGCTCTGCTGAAGAAAGAGAGAAAGAAAAAGAAACAAAGAAGGAAAGGAAGGAAGGAAGGAAAGAAAGGAAGGAAGGAAGGAAAGGAAGGAAGGAAGGAAGGAGGGAGGGAGGGAAAAAGGGAGAGAGAGAAAGAGAGAAAGAGAAAGAAAGAGAGAGAGAGAAAGAAAGAGAAGGAAAGAAGGGAAGGAAGGAAAGAGAGAGCGAGAGAAAGGGAGAAAGGGAGGGAGGGAGGGAGGGAGGGAGGAAGGAAGGAAGGATTGACAGAAGGATGGACCTGGGAAGCAAGCTTCCAAATAAGAGCGTATTTCCTGGCTCCTCTTGTATCTACATATTACTGGGTGATAGGTTCATGACATTGGAATTTGAGCAAAAGACATATGAGTGCCTGAAGCAAGGCTTTTAAGAAAACGGTATCCCTTGTCTGTGATCTCTTTCTCCTTTCTCTGCTAGTAGAAAGAAGTTTGGCAGACCCTTAAAATGAAAGGATCCTGGGTCACTGTGTGGAAGAAAGTTCTCAGTGATCAGGAATACATATATTAGACCAGCGATTTTCTACTTGGTGTGATTTTGTCCCTCAGGAAACATTTGGCAATGTCTGTAAATATTTTTAGTTATCACTACTGAGGAGTTGGCATTACTGACATTTAGTGAGTAGAGGCCAGGGAAGCTGCTAAACATTCTACAGTGCATAGAACAGCTCTTCATGACAACAAATTATCCAATGTATCAATAGGGCCAAAGCTGATAAACAATTTAGACTGTTAAGTGAGAGAAAAATATTTTTCTATTGTATTAAGGCACTGAAATTATGGGGTTTATTATGGCAGCTATTGGTACCTTAACTTGTATCTCCTAGAGTTGATGTTCCAAGGACCATACTTCAGGGAAAACACATTACATAATCAATCCTGTAAATACCATGATTTACTGGTTGTCAAGATGCGCTGACTCTACCTTCAGAGAATTTCTGAATGTAATTCCAACCTCTGTGTTTTAGCTGGCACAATCCTACTAAGATATGCATTTCCTCTTTCCTGAGGTATTACAATAATTTCCTAAATGAACTTTTTGTCCCTAGTTGACTTGGTTATTTTTACAACATTAAGCAGTGACAGAACTAGAACTTGAAGTCAAGTTTCTACATCTAAATCCTTTGTACTCATTCACCAATGTGTGAGAGGTACTCTATTGTTACGGGGAGATTTTGAACTTGAGAATTGAAGAGACCTATCTTTAAATAGTCTTGATTCTTAATAAAATCATAATTTTAGAAAAACCACAAAGTACGTGTCTGAGTTTGGCCTCAACTGTAAAATAAAAATTTTAAATTTAGATTATTTTTTAGAATTAATATACTTCTTGGGATATGGTAAATTCGCATGAAATTGTAACAAATTATTAGGGAAAAAGAAATGTGCATTGCCTCAGGCTTACTGACCTATATTTTTTCACTGAACTATTTGCGGATCCATCTAGGTAGATGTTTTCTTTCCCTAGAAGGAGTGTTTTCAGCGAGTGGGAAATCTCTAAGTTGTTCAAGCACTGTCTTCCTCCCCAAAGCTTACATATGTGCGCCTGCACAGAATACTCAGACTTATGGCCATCTTCTTGTCTTTGTGCCCCTTAAGACCTGCAGCCAGCTTACGGTTGGGCTTCATTTGTAATCATTCACTCATTTTATTGTATTGGTTTTAAAGTTGCTCCTCTGTGTTATATACATGTACTGTAACTTGGTTCTTATTTTTGGCTGTTGATGTTAAATCAATTTGCTTTAAAAAACAATTATGGGGAAACAAAGAAGCAGCACAGGCAAAATCTCACATTGTTCCACCTGTCAGGAATACTTACATATCTAAATTTTACCACTCTACCAAATGTCTCACTTTTACCCTGAAAATGTCCCTGACATAGCTGCTAAAAATAATCGTTCCCTCTATGGACTTTCCACTCTCCTTAGTGTCTCTCTTTATTTGTATATTAATGTGTTCGTATATTCATTCCACAAATATTCATTAAGTATCAGGCTCTGTACTGAGACTCATCACTTCATAACTTGAACTCTGGTTATGAACTTCTCTTATATCTCCTAGACAAAATTCCTTATGGTACTAGACCACAGATTACCGATTTATGTACTCCTCTCACAGAACCTGGAGCTGCACATAGTAAGTGCTTAGTAAGTATCTATAATACTCACTGCTTCACACAGAAGCTAGAGATTTACTATTTACCATAGGTTTTCTAATTACCTTAATGACTCTAAACACAGAATCACAAATCACACACATACACCAAAACTTACTTATGTTGGTTTCTATGTTTCACTCCTGGTGCTAGCAAACTCAATTAAAAATTAAAAGAGGGATACATAAAACAAAACTATAATTTGGGCAATGCTATTCTATAATTTTATGTGCTGAGGGAATAACATCAATCTTCTAACATGGATAACAATTACACACTTAAGAAGGTTTCCTAATGAAAGAGAAATAAAAGCTCAATTATGTATAAAAATTACAGCTACCAAATGAGTTTAGGGGATTAAGAATACCAACCATTTATATGACTAAGAATTTATAAGAGCTTAAAAAGTGTCACGTGCTTTTTTTTTCTTTTTCTTTTCTTTTTTTTTTTTTTTTTTTTTGACAGGGTCTAGCTCTGTTACCCAGGCTGAAATTCAGTAGTATGATCACAGCTCAGCGCAGTTTTCACCTCCAGGCTCAAGCGATTCTCCCACCTTAGTCTCCTAAGTAGCTGGGACTACAGGTGCATGGTGCATGCCACCATGCCCAGCTGATGTTTTTTTTTTTTTTTACTTTTTTTTTTGGTAGAGACAGAGTCTCACTGTGTTACCCAAGCTGCTCTTGAACTCCTGGGCTGAAGTGATCCACCTGCCTCAACCTCTCAAAGTGTTGGGATTACAGGCATGAGGCACTGCACCTGGTCACATGCATGAACTTAAGCATCCTGATTGGGTGAAACAAACAAATCAAAACGCCTGTATCTGTGTAACCATTAAAATTTAATGTTAGGCTGGGCGCAGTGGGCCTGTAATCCCAGCACTTTGGGAGGCCAAGGTGGGTGGATCATGAGGTCAGGAGTTCAAGACCAGCCTGGCCAACATAGTGAAACCCCATCTATACTAAAAATACAAAAATTAGCCAGGCATGGTGGCACGCGCCTGTAGTCCCAGCTACTCAGGAGGCTGAGGCAGGAGAATCGCTTGAACCTAGGAGGTGGAGGCTGTGGTGAGCTGAGATCGCACCACTGCACTCCAGTCTGGGCAACAGAGTGAGATTCCATCTCAAATAATAATAATAATAATATTAAGAAGCAGCTATTCTCAATTAATGCTATCTATGTAAAGTGCTAAGTAGCAAAGTTTCTTTGTTTCCTCCAGGCCATTTTCTATCAAAAGTTTCCTTCTAGCTGGCTGCCCAGTTTAAGTCACCTGTACAGCATTTTAAGAAAATTTTCTTATCATGTCAGATCCTATTATCAAGAAGAATGTTCAACTTTTAAAGAAAATATCAGCTAATATTTTCTTTTACGTGAATTGGGAGTTGGGGTTAGCATTACAATTTGAAGGCAAGGACTCTCTTTGCTTATCCACAGTGACTACTGCCACGTTTGTCTCATGTAAAGAACTTAGCAAGTGCTTACTAAGTGAAGGAATGATAGATAAATTTGGCCCTCAGATAACATTAAAATTGAAATATATACACAATTATATTTAATATTTTTTATAACTTCTAAGCATTTATAGATATTATGTTATTAGATAAATTACTAAAAACTAATAGTAACAATATTAGCATAATAATACTATATTAAAATTAACATAGCAATGTATTACAGGTAAAATTTAAGTTCTATTTTTTTTATTTTTTTTTAAACAGACTTTCACTCTTGTTGCCCAGGCTGGAGTGCAATGGTGCGATCTCGGCTCACTGCAACCTCCACCTCCTGGGTTCAAGCGATTCTCCTGCCTCAGCCTCCCAAGTAGCTGGTATTACAGGCATGTGCCACCACACCTGGCTAATTTTTTGTATTTAGTAGAGATGGGGTTTCACCATGTTGGCCAGTCTGATCTCGAACTCCTGTCCTCAGGTGATCCACCTGCCTTGGCCTCCCAAAGTGCTGGGATTACAGGTGTATGCCACCATGCCCGGCCAAGTTCTGGTATTTATATAAATATTACTTTCTGATGACATTTAATTGAGACACTGTACTATAATATCTTTTTTACCTTTTTACATCTATGACTACAATTCAGAATTCAAATACGATTCATAAATAAGGCATATGACAAGGAAGACATAAGAAAGGGCTATAAAATGTCGATTTTCTCTTCCTTAGATACTTAACAACAATTATAGTACTATCTAAAATCTTTTCTGAGCAGGAAATTTTACAAAATATTTTGCACATGTATCACCTAACCTTATGTCACCACAGCTTGGAAGATGAGTAGCAGTATTCTGCTCTTATAGCCTGAGAACCTGAGGCTCACCTGGAGAGATCAGTGGATGTGTACAAAGTCACACAATGTAGCTTCCACTTACCCCACTCTCATCAATTTATAAAAATTCACTCTAGAGCTTAATGATGGATGCAGAAAGATAGGTTTAAAACTAATTTACTGACTATTAAAAATCCTATTAATTGGAAAGATACTAAGAGCAGATCACCAATTTGGTAAAACTGCAAATGAACAAAAAAAGTGATAAAATCCTTGGCTAATGTGTGGCATAATGAAGATGTTAATGAGTTTAATACTTGGGTATATTTTGTGAAACTCATCATGTTTGCATAAGAGCAACTTATAGCTCGTCCTTTGGTTGTTAAACCTTCCTCCAGTGTGGTGAGTACAACTGGGTCAGGTTCCTGGACAGGCCAAAATGTAGTAGGATCTATTATTGTTCAGCTCCCAAATAATATTAAGATAAGCACTAACTGGGACTTATAAGGAATGATTCAATACTGAGATGGGATGTCAACAGGATTTGTCATGCTTCCTTGTGTAGGGCTCTCTAAAAACAGGACTTACTGTCCAGTAGTGAGGTAGGAGTTGAGAGTAGTCAGACCAAGTAGCATCATGGAATCGAGTAAAATGCTTTTGCCCTTGATAAGACATTGATTGAGAGAGAATAATGTGTTTTTCTGCGCATGGGATTCTAAACAATATATTTTCTAAAAAAAATTAACTGCTGGTAAGATATTTCTCTGTGTTTTCTAGCCACTAAGATCCACTTTTATTACCCTACGTACAATGACCAGAGTGTCATGTTACTTGGTGGTGGGTCACAGCCAGCCCATCACAACCTCCTGTTTCTGCCTGTGCTCAGAGGCACACATGTCTTTCTCATAAGATCATTAATTGGGAAAATTTATGTGACTTTTTTTTTTTTTTTTTTGAGGCAGAGTCTCACTCTGTCATCCAGGCTGGATTGCAGTGGCACAATATTGGCTCACTGCAACCTCCGCCTCCTGGGTTCAACAGATTCTCCTGCCTCAGCCTCCCAAGTAGCTGGGACTACAGGCGCATGTCACCATGCCCAGCTAATTTCTGTATTTTTAGTAGCGATGGGGTTTCGGCATGTTGGCCAGGCTGGCCTCAAACTCCTGACCTCAGGTGATCTGGCCCCTCAGCCTCCCAAAGTTCTGGGATTACAGGCAGGAGCCAGTGCATCTGGCAAAAATTATGCACCTTTTAATCATGCACAAATATAAAGACCCCATCCTCTCTTCCACTCCTTCCCTGGCACACATGCTTATATTAGCCCATTAAGGAACCCAGCCTACTTTAATGGAGGCCTGCCTTTCCACTCAAGGGTGAGGGTTTAGGCCTCCAGGTTTATGGCAGAAAGACGTAGAGGGTGGAGGACAGAGTGCTTCCCCACCCATGCAACTTCCTGCCTTCCCCTAACTCCTCCCACATTGTCTGTCCCCACTGTTCCCCAGACATAACTGGCTATAAGGTTATGAAGACTTTGAGGAAGGATGCAGCAGAGAGTTCTGACCTATGCTAGAAGAAGTTGAGAGCGGTTATTTCCAGATTCCTGAGAGGTCCAGGCATTGACTGAAGTTGCATCAGTGAGAAGCTTAGCCAGCTAACAGTCAGATGCCCCAGTTGAGTCCAGTCAATCCTAGGCTGCTTTTGTTACACTGAACCAGCCTGACAAACCTCCTAAGGTCTTAAGAGGCTGTTTGTTTGATCTTTCAATTTCTACTTCACATTTTTCTTAGGAATTATTGAATAAAATAGTAAGTTAGAATGTCAGAATAAAAGATAAATGGTCTTGCAGCTGTGTACATCATTTCCTAGGAATTGGCTGGGGAAAATCATGATAATGACAGCTAAGACATACACTTTGTACTATGTGCCAGGCACTTTTCTCAATATTTTATACATATTAACTGATGTCATTCTTAATCCTATGTGATAGATATTATTATTACCCCCAACTCACAGAAAAAGAAACTAAGTCCCTGCTCAAGGTCACACAGGTTGCAGAACCTAAATTCAAATCCCTGCAGTTTGGCTTGAGTCAATGCTCTTAACTATTATACCATGCGCTCTACTGCTGCAGGAACAGCCACCTGTTCTGCATCCTCTCACTGTTTCTAATCTTACGGATCTTATTCCTGAAACACCAAACTGAAAACAGTTTACTGAATTACCTATCCTTTTTCATGTATCTGATCTTTCTTTGTATATGACTGTCTTATCCCCATGGATTGTTCTTCCCCCAAGTCCCCTCTCCTTTGAAGACAATTTCTTGCCCTTTAAATTTAGTTTACAAAGATGATTTGCCTTTCCTGAACTCCTAAACAATACTAATTACTCCCTTGTTTGCATTCCAGTGTACTTCTTACTCCCTCTTCACAGTTACCATACTAAGTTTTGTTGGTCTGTTTACATATCTTTATCATCTACAAATCTAAGGCCTTCTTGAAGCCATAGTCTCTATCTCATTCCTCTTTGTTGCATCAGTACCTCAGCTAAGGTCTGGCACACAGTAAAGTCCCTCAGTGAATATTTCTGTAATACATTAATGGATTATTAATAACATATTTGAATAGCATTTGAGAGCTTCTAATATGTTTTCTATGCATTCCCTTATTTATCTAAGTAGACAAACATGCATATCACACACACATACTGTACAACAGAGATTATTCAGCTTCATTTGACAACTGAGAAAGCTAGGTTCAGGGAAGTTGGTCACAGTTTCTCCAACTTAAAATCCTGCTCTGTATATCTGGAGACAGTTGTTCCCAAAACCAGGAAGATCTCGTGTCACGATTTTTAATTGTCCTGAATGACCTGCTCGATGGTGCTCACAATATTCTAGTATTGATTATTCCACTAGAATATCATTCAAGGGCAGTCGTTTCCTTTAGTGGACTCTCTTGCTATCAGTGATGCCACTGTGATAGAATAAGAACAGTGACAGGACATTTAAACTCTCATTCCTCCCTATCGTGTCCTTTTCCCCAATGTATGTTCTTTAGAGGACAAAAATTCTCTATATTTTTCATCTTTATGCATTCCATACCATTAATCACACTCTATATAGAGAAGGTACTCCAAAATATATTTCTTAAATAAATATATAACATGAAACATTTTCTTTTGTCTTTTTTTTTTTTTCCCCTGGGATGGAGTCTTGCTTTGCTCACTTTGTTGCCCAGGCCGAAGTGCAGTGGCACAATCTCAGCTCACTGTAACCTCCTCTTCCAGAGTTCAAGCAATTCTGCTGCCTCAGCCTAACAAGTAGCTGGGATTACAGGCACAGGCCACCACGCCTGGCTAATTTTTGTATTTTTAGTAGAGACGGAGTTTCCCCATGTTGGCCAGGCTGGTGTCAAACTCCTGACCTCAAGTGATCCGCCTGCCTTGGCCTCCCAAAGCGTTGGGATTACAGGCGTGAGCTGCTGCACCCAGCCTAAACATTTTCTTTGGATAGTTTATTGTTTATCTTTTATTTAAAATTTGGTTAGACTTCTAACTAATTTTTAACCAGGGTTCGCACATTTTTTAAGTCCCTAACATAAATATTTTTTGTGCTATGATGTTACTAGGGATGATATTTATTTAATTTTACTTCTTGGTTTTCATTTGTTTGTAACAGCAGATTACAGATTCTCTGTTAATTCAGCTCTTCAGAGTGGTCTGCCAGCATGTCTAACCACTCAGCTACCTTAAACAGGTACTCCCTAAAAGTAGCATGAAGTTTTAAGAAAGTTAATTGTTCACACAGGACTCGACTCACACATCCTAATTCAGGGATCAAAATGTCACATAAATCCCTAACAATGTGAAGGTAGGTCAAACAAACAGGACTTTAAATTGCAAATAGGTCAGTGGAGGATCAAATAAAAATACTATTTCTAATAACATATGCATTGTACAGTTCATAAACTGACTACTCATACTATGTGCCCAGAAAGTAATTAGGTTCAAGAATGATTTTAAATCAATTTGTTTAATCCTTTTAACTATCAAAAAAACAAAAATAAAAACAATTTACTACAAGTCTGTTTAATCCTGGGGCAGATAAGGAAACAGTGTTTGCCTCAGGGAGTTACAGATATATAAACAAATATGATGTGATGTGTGCAAGTTTAATGTGCCTTGGAATGACTGGGCACAGTGGCTCACATCTGTAATCCTAGCACTTTGGGAGGCCAAGGCAGGCGGCACATGAGGTCAGGAGATCGAGACCATCCTGGCCAACATGGTGAAACCCCGTCTCTACTGAAAATACAAAAATTAGCTGGGTGTGGTGGTGGGCGCCTGTAATCCCAATCACTCCGGAGGCTGGGGCAGGAGAATGGCTTGAACCCAGGAGTCGGAGATTGCAGTGAGCCGAGATCGTGCCACTACACTCCAGCTTGGCAACAGAGCCAGGCTCCATCTTAAAAATTAATTAATTAATTAATTAATTAAAATTTTAAAAAAGTACCTCAGAACAAGGAAGAGGGTGTACATGGTAGGAGGAGGGGTGAGGCTTCATGGAGGAGGTGGCATTTCAGGAGATCCCACTCCAAAAATAAACCACATTTTGACAGGTGAAATGAAAGAAAAAGACATATTAGACGTAGACAAAAATTAGTGCAAAAGCATACAGGTAGAAAAGATCAGAGAATTGCAAAAGGAAATTCTGTGTGATCAGAGGGAATAAGGCCTAGGAAGAGAGACACACAATGGATATGAAGGAAACCAGGCCTTAGAGGAGGTCATGAGTGTATATCATGGAAAACTGCAAAGAGGATTGAACCCCCTTATGTTTGTGCCCCCACTGAGCCATTTATTTTCTTTAATCACAGCATCTGTAAGAATATAGTTATTTGTTCACAATAATCTTATATTAAACTATAATCATCTTGAGGGCAGAAACTACCTCACTTATCTCAGTATTTCAACAGCTAGCCCTGTGCCAGGCAGAGTTGGTGCTTTAAAAAATATGTATATTGGCTGGGTGTGGTGGCTCACACCTGTAATCCCAGCACTTTGGGAGGCCAATGTAGGCGGATCACAAGGTCAGGAGACCACCCTGGCCGACATAATGAAACCTTGTCTCTACTAAAAATACAAAAATTAGCTAGCTGTGGTGGTACACGCCTGTACACCCAGCTGCTCAGGAGGCTGAGGCAGGAGAATCACTTGAACTCGGGAGGCGGAGGTTGCAATGAACTAAGATCACACCACTGCACTATAGCCTGGGCGACAGAGTGAGACTCCATCTCAAAAAAAAAAAAAAAAAAATGTATGTTGACTGAGTAAATTATATTTTTTCACACCACAAAATCTGGACTCAAAGTCTTGGATCTATGGTGGAATGTTGTATTATCTGATTATCTGGTGTTAGATATATTTAAATCAGTATCACAAACTATTTCATGATTGGTTTCCTCTAAAACTCTGACTCATCTGGTTGCATCACTGACATGATGGACTCTCTTATTTCCCTAATGCCCTTAACTATCCATCTCTTCCGTACTCTATCTCCAGCCTCCACTGAACTTGCTTATTTGGAAACATTTTATGGAATTCCCCTATTGCTTTTTTTGGTTAGAGTCAATCATGGCTGTTTTAACTGCATTGGTCATGGACTTACTATGATTAAAAGGGATTTAGGGACTAATTGTTCTCAGTACATTAGTCCTTGACACATTCATCTTGGATCTCATTGGCACTTATTCAATTGGTGCTGTTTGGCAGCTGCTCAATTGTTAGTTATTATCTATCGGGAACAAGACTTTAATCAGAATTTTACTCCCAACTATGTATTGCCAATTTATATGTAGCTCATGCCAATTCAGGGAAAAATAATTCCAAGTGGTTCTTGGAGTTTGGTGAAGTGATCCTAAGAAATGAAGCCCACATATTTCTAAATAAAGTTGGCACATTCGGATGTGATATGATACATGAAAGAAAAGTGGGTTGTTTGAACATTAAAATGCTGGAAACATTTATCATTTTAACAAAGCATAATTTTGAGAGACCAAAATCAAAATTCATAAACACAGGTAAGATAATAACTGTCTTTTAGAATCCAGAAAAAAAATTTAAAGGACTACCCTACTACTGCTTATGCTAATTTCAGCCCAATGCTTGTAATGAAATCATGGCAGGCCAGTGTAGTACATTGGTAAAGCTGGTGGGCTCTGTATTGATGTCGCCTGGCTTCAACTTTAGCTTCAGTGTGCCTAAACTGGGAGCCTTGGGTATAGTTTTAAACATTCTGGGCCTCAGCTTTCTCATTCCTTGAATGAGGTCCACAATCATATCTCCATTAAAAAGCTGTGGTGAGGATCAAATAAATTATCTAAGGAAAAAAACCACTTGGCACAGTTCCTGCTATATCATATGTACTCTATAGATGCTGGGAATTATAATTATATCCTGGTAAGCACTCAAATAACTGAGAGACAAAATGACAAAGTCCTGTAAGAAAGGTCCAGATAAAATTCTTTGGCCATATTGTCTTTCAAATTATTTTTTAATGGAAAAGTTATAAACCAGAAAAAGAAGAAAATGATGCTGGCAGGTATCCCTGTAATAAAAAAGAGCGAACACAGAGAAAGAAAATCAATGGAGGATTTAAAATGTTCTTCTTGCTTTGGCATCTAACCTCCTGCTTCCAAATTTTTTCCAGTATCATGGTTTAACTACTTTAATGAAGCGATGATACCATATTTCTCTTGATCCACGTAACCCAAGTGGTTTACAGAAACAGAGGTCAACAGGGTCAATATTTCTGACTAATATTTTAATTAAATCTCAATAAGTGGGCAGATTCCCAGAATTGATGTAGCGTTGTGATATAGAATAAGAGAAATGGAAAGCAGACTCTCTGAGTGAGCACTTATGTGGTATCTTGTTAAAATGCAGGGATCTTGTTAAAATGCAGATTCAGAAGGTCTGGGTTGGGCCTCAGATCCTACATTTTTACAAGCTCCCAAGTGATGCTAATGCCACTGGTTTGAAGACCCCTCTCTCAAGTAGTAAGGGTTTAGAGCACAGTCACTGCTTGGGTTTGAGTACTGGCTCCTTCTCTTACCAACTACTTGACCTTGGCCACATTAGTTAACTTTTTCTTGTATCATTTTTTAAATCATCAAATGAGGATAAGATCAATATCTAACTATAATGGTGGTTGTGAGGATCAAATTAATTAACACATGTAAAGCATGTAAAACAGTACCCAGTACTGAGTAAGCACTCAATAAATATAAATGATTTTTATGATTAAGTGAAGTTTTCTCATTATAAACATTTAAGCTAGTCAAGAGAGATGAATATCCCAGAATTTTAATCATGTTTAATTCAGCACAATAATTTATTTTAAGGCATTAATGTCAAGAATCACATAAATCTCCACATGTGAAGCTTTGCAAGTTATAATTTTTCAAGCCAATGAACTTAAAGAAGGTAATTTACAATTTTTTTGGTGGTAGCCATACACAAAGGCATGAGCCTGTCATGATAGAACAGTAAACTTCTTCATCTACCTTTTTCATTAAGAAAGAAGAACTAAATATGTTTACAAAATAACTAAGATACAACCTACTAGGAGCCCCACAGCATCATTAGTAGTTTGTTTTCTTCCTGCTCTGTTATTATTCTCTCTCACAACTATAATTATCTGTTGTTTATTATCTCTATCCCTCAACATGAATTTAAACTCCATGAGGGAGGGGCAATGTTGATCTTGTTTGCTGCTATATCTCAGCATCTAGCTTGCCGCATGATATTTGTTATGCCAGTAATAAATAAATGTTTGTAAAAGTATAAAATAAATGAATATGTACCTTAGTTGTACATTTTATTAATTTATTCAAGAATGCATTGAGTAGCTGTGATTTTTTTTCCTGGTTCTAAGTGCTGGGAATTTTTAAATACATAAGACACAGTATGTTCAAGGAGCTTATGGTCTACTTAGGGGAAAGATATGTGAGCACAAAACTGAATACATGATCAACTCCATATGGAAAGCGGATGAATAAGGAAAGAGCTCATAAAGTAGAGGTGGGAGTGAAATAAGAGCTTTCCAGTTAAAGAAAAAAAATTATGCAATTTCACAAAAGTGTGAAACAGTGAGACGAACAGGAAACCTTAGATAGGATATGCACTGGAAATTAACAGTGGAGACAAGGCAAGGTCCAAATCATAAAGACAACATGAGTATCTTCTATAGCAGTATTGGTTATAGTGGAAATACAAGAACTTGAAGAATAAAAAGAATAAACTTCTTCATGAAGGATACTAATAATACTGTTCAGAGAATGTAGCAAAGACAATTAACTACCTCAGAATATACATTGTCTTCTTCTCATTAGAAATTGTTACCCTGCTAAAAAATTAAACACACTAGCGTCTCTCAGCTAGGTATAGACACGGGATTGTCTTCAACCAATGGATGAATTGATTCTTCTGGGTAACTTCTGGAAGTGTCCTTAAAGGTGAAGAGCACAACCTTCTTATTGTCCCTTCTTACTTCCTGAAATGTAATATAATGGTTGGCGCTACAGCAGCTATTTGAACCATTAGGTAACCTAGCAAAAGGGAGCCTCAAGCTATGATGTTAGAAGAGTTAAATAGAATGATGCTGGATCTTAACTATGGAGCACCTTACAAGCCATGGGTTGTCTAGCTTACAACTTCATTTACATGAGGGGAAAAAAATCATTTTTTCTCACTGATTTTGTCACTCTTACTTTGGGAGTTGTATGCCACTGATCCTAATTCTCAGTGATACAACTACAGAAATGGGGAAGTGCTTCAAGAATGACTGGCTTTTGAAGTAGATACTGAAGGACGGGTAGGAGATTATCAGGTACAAAATAAGAGATTGGGCATTAAAGAAGGGCTATTGTGTTCATGGAAATCATCAAGAATACAGTGTATTCAGGAAACTGGGAGAACTGTGTAGTGGAATCATAGGGAATATTGTGTGAAAGGAATGGAGGAAGATAAGGCACCAGTAAAAACTCTGAAATATCATACTAGTGAGTTTATATTTTATGAGTCAATGCAAGACCACTGAAAACTTTCAGGTAGTTAAAAGATGGGACCATAGGTAGTTTTCTGGAATAAGAACTCAGAGAGCTATGTGGACAGGAGGAAGGAAAATCAAAATCAGAGAGACAAGTTCAGAGGCAAATGAGGGAGTCCAGGAGAGTAGTAGACCAAGGGTCTTGACAATGAAGAAGAAGATAGCACAGAGACAGGACACATTTAGCAAACATACTATGTAAGGATTACTGATCACATACACACCAGGACAGAAAGACTCCCAGAAATGTAATGTGAGTTGAGTTGATAGTGAGGTAATTTACCACCAAGATGGGGAAGGAAGAGAAACAAACAACATAGAAACTAAAGCCAGACTATGTGAAATAAGGAAAAAAATATATATAAAAGAAAAACTGCAACACAAGGATCTGTGCGCAGTAGGATTTCTCTTGTATTCAGGTTACAATTCTCGTATCACCTTCTCCAAGAGATCTTTGCCATACTATCTTTCTAAAGAAGCCACTGCACTTCCCTCCCCTCAAAGCACTTTGCTTCATTTTTTTCAGAGCGCTTACTATTTTATAGCTTCCTTTTTGTTTGTTACCTACTTTGACAAGAATGAAAGCTCATAATTTCCACAAGAGTGGAAATTATGTCTTGCTTACAGTAAACCTAGGTAACAGTACCTGGCACAAGTAGGCATTCAAGAACTTTTATTACATGAGTTAATCAAATTACCTTGGAGTTGTTTGAAATTCAGAGATTTCTACGGACTGAATCACCCTAAAATTTTACCCCCCTAAAATTCATATACTGAAATCCTAATTCCCAACAGAATTTTCAGATGGGGACAATGGGAGACCATTAGGTTATGAGGTGGAGCCCTCATTATGGGATTAGAGTTCTTAGAAGAAGATGAAGGAAAGAGCTTGCTTCCCACTCTCTGCTCTTCTCTATGTGAGGACACAGCAGAAGGATGGTTATCTGCAAACCAGCAAGACAGGCCTCACCAGAACCAAACCATGCTGGCACCCTGATCTCAGACTTCCCAGTCAGCATGATAAGAAATAAATTTATGTTATTTAAGCCACCCAGTCTTCAGTATTCTGCTATACTAGTCTGAACTAAAAGAGAGTTTATAAATAAGAATAAAATATTGAAGAGATCAAGGCCATGATATAGGAGAGCTCCCCCATCTGATGAATGACAAGGAAGCTTAGTTCCAGCAATGCCCATAAAGACCTGCCCAACAGAAAATAACCATTTAGGTGGGAGGAATCAGAGGGCCTGAGCACAAGTCCAATTTGCCATTACAAAATGATATGAACTTGGAAACTTCACAACCTCAAAGCACCTTTCAGTTTCCTTAGCTAAAAAACGATAGCTTCCTCCACAATTTTGAGAACTAATTAAAGTAACATGGATGAAAGTGTTATAGTAGGTAGCTAGTCAGACATGAGCAGGGCAGGAGAGACCTCCTCCCTAGCCACAACCCCTACTACTAGAAATGTCAGGTAACCATCAGGTGATGGTCAGGTAGTTAACCGCTACTCTAAAATAATAATTGGTCACAGTCAGTGATACAGGAGGTAGAAAGAAATTGTTTAGGCAGATAGTGAGGGCAAAGAGTCCTTGGCAGAGCGTCCCTTCTAGCAAAACGCAGCCCAAGAAATTATTTTTCTCCTAATAAAGAGCAGCCTGAAAAATCAAGCTGAAAACATAAATAAGCAAGCTGGAAGCTTGCACAGGGGAATGCTGGCAGCTGTGCCAATAGAAAAGGGCTAGCTGGGGGCCAGGCATGTCCAACATGGATGCTCCATCTTCCCTTTCTTTGCTACCACATGTACAGGAACAAAGAAATGGGTAACATGGCATAGCTCAGGCAGAGAACCTGCCTGCAGGATAAAAGATTAGGGTGGGGCCTACAAAAAATTCATCCCCTGTGCAAATGGCACACCTGGTCTAACCAGTTTTTTGCACCCTATGTAAATCAGACACTGCCTCCTCACCAGCTCATCTGTGAACCCCAATGCATTTCACCACAGATCCAGCAACCCACTTTTCTGGAACCCCTTTCTGCAGGAAAGAGCTATTCTCTTTCTTTCGCCTATTAAACTTCCACTCTCAATCTCACTTTTTGTGCGTCTGCATCCTTGTCATCTGTGAGACAGTAAATCTCAGTTGTTACTCCAGACAACAAGGCCGTTTCACCAGTGTCAGGGAAAGGCAGCTTCCCAATAAATAGCAAAAACCTGACACTGGTGATCAGCAGCTTCCTGACAAGATCTTAGGAGCTGGCAGAGTGGGCTCAAAGATACACATTAAGAGGCAAAGTGGCATTTTAACTGGCATAGGACCTTCTAGGGACATTGGGCTGGTAAGGGAAGAATGCCTCACATGCAGCACCTGCTCCCCTCCCAACTGCTGACAGGCCACTGCACATGTGGACAGCCCACCCCGAGGGAAGAATCATGGGGGAAGAGATGCAAGACCCTGAAAGGATGCCAACAACATATAAAACCCCAAGTCAAAAGATCAAGCCGTGCACATGATCTCTCAAATTGCCCACTTGGCCAGCCTCCAAGTGTATTTCCTTTCATTCCCACTCTAAAGCTTTTTAATAAACTTTCACTCCTGCTGTAAAACTTGCCTTGGTCCCTCCTTCTGCCTTCTGCCCATCAGTTGAATTCTTTCTTCTGAGAAGGCAAGAATTGAGGTTGCTGCAGAACCCCGTATGGATTCACCACTGCTAACGAAAGTGCGTTGGTTCAGGACTTTCACCCCATGTGTCCCAGATCACTCTCAACTTCTAATTATTATGTATTAGACAAAGTGACATCACTAATGTAAACCAAAAATAAAATTCTAAGCCCCCCAACCAACCAAATGGACCCCTCCTCCAAGCCAAGTGCATTCTAAAGTAAACCCAAAACACTAGTTCAGGCCATGATGGGAATGGGTGGTTGGACATGCTTCATTAATCCCTCCTCCTCCTCCCGTTGGAATTCAGGCACAGCTGACCAGCATTAACGTTACAATAGAAGACTGACAAAGCTGACTATTTAGAGTAATAAAATACCAACATGACAGAGAGCAGGCCCTGAAAGAAATTAAAGCATCTTACCCCAAAATATATTTATTTGACATAATTTGAAATGGCCACACAAAGTTTTCTCTTATGGGGAAAATCTACATTCTGTAGAAAATCCCCTCCCCTTTCCAGGACTTTTTCATGATCCAAGAGAGAATTAACTAAGAGTCTGGCACCTTTTAAAGCCTGATAAGAAACATTTACAATCTATTATTCGCTGTGAAGCCTGCGGCCTGGAAGCTTCACCTGCCTAATAAGAACCTTGGTCTCCACAACCTCTTACCTTAACCCAGGCACTCCCTTCTATTCATTCCAGGTCTTTAGATAAACTCTTTCAACCAATGCCAATCAGAAAATCTTTGAATCCACCTACCAACTGAAAGCCCACCCCCTACTCTCTTCAAGTTGTTCCACTTTTTTGGACTGAACCAATGGACTGAACAAACAAATGTATTGATTGATATCTTATGTCTCCATAAAATGTATAAAACCAAACTGTAGCCTGACCATCTTGGGCACATGTTCTCAGGGTCTCCTGGAGCTGTATCGAGGGCCGTAGGTTTCATATTTGATTCAGAATAAATCTCTTCAAATACTTTACAGAGTTTGACCCTTTTTGATGACACTAACTGCATTTTAAAGATCTCTTCTCAGCACTTTGAGAGCCTAAGGCAGAAGGATCACTTGAGCCCAGGAGCTTGAGGTTGCAGTGAGACATGATAGCACCACTGTACTCTAGTCTAGGTGACAGAGGGAGAACCTGTCTTAAAAAAAAAAATCTCTTCCCAGGTTGACTTTAAACTTTCACAACATGTATACTCGCAAATTTCCTGTCAACCACAATCTCGAACAATGTGTTTCTCTTTGTAGCACTTCAACCTTTTATTAATGAAGTGTTCAACAACACTGTGCTGGACCTTAGTTGCTTTTAAGTGTCTCCTTCAGTCTGTTAAATAATTTAGCAAATTAACTTTTATTACAACTACCGAGAGGCAGGGTAGTATAATGCTATTCTTATTACAAGCCCCTTACTATCTGCTGTGTGACCTTGGATAAGTTATTAATCTCTTTGCCTACAACTTCTTACCTATAGAAGTAACAATAATATACTTTGTATGGTTACTGTGAAGATTGAATAAATTAACATATGTACAAAATTTTAATAGTGCCTAGAGTATGGTTCAGTAATAGCTATTTTTATTCCTACAATGACATTGTTCAGATCATTTTCATATCTGTACTGTGAGATATTTCCACCTTTCTCCATTTTATTAAAAAAAAAAAAAAACAACTAAGGCTCAGAGAGCTTAAGTAATTTCCTCAAGTTCACAAAAGAGAGAGTTAGTTCTCTTAGATGCCAAGTCTGTGCCCTTGGCCATACCAAAATAACATTCCATTTTAAAGAATCCAGATAATTTCACTATCAAAGCATAAATTTATTAAATCAAACTGCCATCGAATAAACCTGAGTTAAATAAACTTTTGGCCATTGTCCTTCTTAAAGTATGTGCAATAGACATTCAAAGACAGGGAAATATCAGTGAGGTTGGTTGTCAGAGAAAGCTTCTGGTGGACTTGGGCAGGGTTTTGATATTTGATTTTTTTCTTACATTGAGCCTCAGGTTCTACAATAACCTACCTCAAGGTCAACCCCAGTCTAGTTTTCAGCTGTAGTTTGGCTTGCAAATTTCTTCTCTCAGTATTTTTGGGGGCCCTTAGGCCAAACTGCTAAAGCACAGGCCATGACTCCTTTTTTAATAAACCCAATTACAACTCATAAATGGTGACATGTGTCAGCAGAACAACCCTTGGAGGGGTGTTTCATTAACTTGATCAAGTCTGAGCCTGAGGGCATGTGCCTTGCATAGCTAGCTAGCTTTCTTAGCAGTAGCTGTGTCTGTTACCAAGTTAACAGGTGGCAGCTCAGTTTATTGCCTATATAATAAGCACACTAACCCAACCACCCATTTCTGTTGGAAGGCCTTCCCAGAATCATAGTAGGTTAGCAGGTTAGAAGAACTAGATGCTTTAACTTAGTTATTTAGTTATTTATCACTTGGAGAGATTTTTTAACATCCCAATTCTTATACCCAGACTCAGACCCATTAAACAGGAATCTTTATTCCTGGGGTTGAAGCATCAGTATGTTTTTTTTTTTGTTTTTTTTTTTGAGATGGAGTCTCACTCTGTCACTCAGGCTAGTGTGCAGTGGCATCATCTCGGCTCACTGCAACCTCCGCCTCCCGGGTTCCAGCGATTCCCCTGCCTCAGCCTCCTGAGTAGCTGAGACTACAGGCGCGTGCCACCACCCCCGGCTAATTTTTTGTATTTTTAGTAGAGACGGGGTTTCACTGTGTTGTCCACGATGGTCTCCATCTCCTGACCTCGTGATTCGCCTGCCTCGGCCTCCCAAAGTCCTGGGATTACAGGTGTGAGCCACTGTGCCCAGCCCAGCATCAGTATTTTTGAAGCGGGAAGCAATTACAATGTGGGGGCAAGGTTGAGAGCCACTGCTTTGAGACATCAGCAAAAGTATTAGCAATTTGCTTTAAAAACAAGAAAACCACGAAAATTTCCTGAGATTGTCTTTAAAGAGATACTGATTATAATGCGCTATTGTTTATTCGTTCCTCTCAGCATGCCATTTGACCTATCTGAATTTGTTATTTCATTACTACTTTTCCTTCATGTGACAGCTCATTAGATTGGTAATGTTTCAGTTTTATGCTACTGAGTTTCCAAAATAAAATACTTGGGGGCAAAACATCATTTAGGGCACTTGGTAGAAATTAGGATAATCAAAATGCATTTCCATTAATGCTGTTCATGAAGAGGAAACTATACTTTGTCACCAAAAGTAAAGTTCATCAAAGTTCATCCAGCTCTTCGTGTATTTAAACAAACTTGGAACTTCCAAGTGACAACTGAGGGGAAGTAATTTAGGGCTGAGATATGATACACTTAGAAAAGGAAAGACACAGCCGGGCATGGTGGCTTATGCCTATAATCCCAGCACTTTGGGAGGCTGAAGCAGGTGGATCATGAGGTCAAGCGTTCAAGACCAGCCTGGCCAACACAGTGAAACCCTGTCTTTACTAAAAAGAAAGAGAAAAAATTAGCCGGGTGTGGTGGTGGGGCACCTGTAATCCCAGCTACTCAGGAGGCTGAGGCAAGAGAATCGCTTGAACCCGGGAGGCAGAGGTTGCAGTGAGCCGAGAGATCACACCACTGCACTCCAGCCCGGGCGACAGGGCAAGACTCTGCCTAAAAAAAAAAAAAAAAAAAAAAGAAAGAAAAGAAAAGAAAAAGAAAGACACTAGAGGGAAGTCAGTCACTGAAACAAGGTAGCTGCAAGGTAGCTGTCTGATTTCACAGAGAAAAATACCTATAGTTATCCCTCAGGAACTGGCCCCTAAAAAATATCAGTGTCAAAAAGTCAATTTAAAAGCCCAGCAAGGCCAGGCATGGAGGCTTACACCTGTCATTCCAATACTTTGAGAGGCCGAGGTGTGCGGATTGCTTGAGCCTGGGAATTCAAGACCAGCCTGGGCAACATGGCAAAACTCTATGTCTATGAAAAATACAAAAATTACCTGGATGTGGTGGCACACGCCTGTAGTCCCAGCTACTTGTGAGGCTGAACTGAGATGAAAGGATTGTTTGAGCCCAGGAGGTCCAGGCTACAGTGAGCCCTGATGGCACCACTGCACTCTGGCCTAGGCAACAGAGTGAGACCCTGTCTCAAAAAAGAAAAAGAAAAAAAAAAAAGCCAAGCAAGATTTAACAAGGGAGAGATGAAGTTATAAATTACCCCAAGCATCACATAAAGTTCCTGGGGCCCCAGAAATATGTTTTAGTATTTGCTTTTTTTTTTTTGGAAATAGAGTTTTTAGCTCAATCCAAATATTACACTGTTAAAATTGAGGAAAGTAACATAAAAATGTTAAGCCATTTCTCTTTATTACTCCAGTCTCATTTCCTCTCCTTGATTTTTACTCAACTGTCACTCTTCCTCTTTCTTTTCACTCAACTAGCCACTGTCTTCCCTGTCATCATCTATGACTGCCTACATTTTCTTTCAAATATATATTTGAGAAAGAAAAAAGCATTTGTAAACGACCACACTTTGAAAAGAGTGCTTATCTATGAGCAAGTTAAACTATAAAGAGCCAATAAATTGGGCAGCCCACTTTTAGGTGGTCACATGCACATTGATCCACATGATCATGTAGATTAAATTAAAACACACATATTTACCTGATGAATTACTTTTCAAATAAAAATTCACTCTATTAAAACAGTCAAATTCAAATAAACAATTGAGTGTAACATTGAAAAAAACTTTTATTGAAATCCCACTACATGCATGGACTATGGCTATTTATGGAATTTATTTATTTTATCATTTTTATTATTATTATTATTTGAGACCAAGTCTCTGTCAACCAGGCTGCAGTGTAGGGGTGTGATCTCGGCTCACTGCAACCTCAACCTTCTGGGTTCAAGTGATTCTCATGCATCAGCCTCCGGAGTAGCTGAGATTAAAAGCAGGCATCACTACAGCTAGCTAATTTTTGTATTTTTACCAGAGACAGGGTTTCACCATTTTGGCCAGGCTGCTCTTGAACTCCCTGACCTCAGGTGATCCTCCCACCTCGGCCTCCCAAAGTGCTGGGATTACAGGCATGAGTCACCATGCCCAGCCTGGAATTTAAAGATAAGTAAAGCACAATTGTATCTGGTGAATATCAAGTACTAAGAATTATTAATAAATAGAGAGGAATATGGTAAATACTAATTTAGGACTGCAACAATGGCCAATGGCCATCATTTGTTGAACATCTATTATGAGCCAAGCAATGTCTAAATATTATCTCCAATGCTTACAACCAGTGGTTTCTGAAAATTTTTTAGTGTTCCTACCAGTAAAATGTTTGCAAGCGTGCTCCCCGATATGTGCTAGTCTGTATAGATATAGTATACTGATACAATTGCAACAATACAGTGTTTTATATATAAAATGTTGAAATTAGAAATGATGAAAAACTATAAAGGCTAGCACTTGATGGATCTGCTTCAGCATCCCCTGGGCAGAAGCTTCCGACATTGAAGAATACTACTAACATGTTGTGTGGTAGAAACCGCTGCTTCTCCCCAATATTCATTACCCTTTTCTCCCATAATAACGGGATCCCTCACTTTTATCTGAGCCCAGGGCATCTCAGAATAAAGGTTATATGGCTCAGTCTCCCTTTGCATCTAGGAATGGCTTTGTGCCTAATCTTTGAGGTATGAGGGAAAAATCATGCTTACAACTTTTCAGACATTGCTTTAAACGGACGAACAATGTCCATCTCTGTACTTCTTTTAACCTGCTATTTAGCACGTCAGCATGGTGGTAGGCCTCTTGGACTACATGTGCAAGGGCAACCCCCAAGGGTGGTAAAAAAGAAAATAAAAGGTACTTGGGTCCTTTTAAGACCTTGTGGAGCAGCATAGACATTCTAGCTCTGGACAGCTAACCTAGGGACTGTCATATATGAAAGAAATACATTCCTATCTTGCAAACACATCATTATTTTGGTCTCTGTTATATGTAACTGAACCTGTCTCCTAAAGAATACAATATGCAAGGTAGTTTTTATTGTCTCTCCTTACAGCTGAGGGAAAAGGGTCAGAGAAGTTAATTTTTTTAGTTATCCAGCTGGTATATGGTTGAATCAAAAGAGCCCAGACTCCATTCTCTTTCTACTAAAATAACAATCTCCCATGATTGAAATACTATGGAATCAAGGAGGAAGGAGACATTAATATGACCTGGAGGGATTGATGGAGGCTTCCTGATGGTGGTGGCAGTTTATTGAGATCTAAAAGATGGGAATGGAGGAAAAGGCATTGTGGACTAATTGAACAGGGTGAACAAAGGTAAGGATATAGGAAAATGTAGAAAAGGCTCAAGAGGAGCTTGTGTCAGTTGTTCTTAGGTGATCACTATTAAGTCTTTGGCTTTATTCAAAATATGTTTCAGGGCACCTACAATATAGCAGATAAAAATTAAGACCTAGAAATAGAGTGATAAAATCAGATGTCATAATATCCTAAATATATGAGAAGATAATGCTACCAGCAATGCCTACATGTTAAAGTCCAAAGCCGATACCAAGCAAAAAAGGCCTTCACAATCAGACTCAACCCAACCTCATATTATGCTATTGCTCTGTGCTCCATATGGATGAAACTCAGGACATGTGAGTTGCCTGAACTCTGACCTTTGTACTTGCACTTCCCTCTTCTTGGAATGCCTTTTACCTACTTTGCCTAGAAATGTCTTTTTATTCTTTAAGAGCTAGACAAAATTCTCCCTTTCTCTGATTCCTTGAAATAGGATGGCTTATTATTGTAGTTTCTTCCCTTCCTGCCTGTCTGCCTGCCTTCCACCAGTCAGTAAAAATGTGCAGGGTTTCTGAGGTATAACTGTGGGAAAGATAAAGCAATATTTTCTTTGTGCTTCATGAAGTTTACATTCTAGAGAGAAAGATCAACTATTAATGAAATAGCTGCAATTCAGTGTGATAACTACCTTGATAGGAAGAAGAGCCTTCGGGGAAGCTCCTAAGAGGAACTCTACCCTGAATCTCACTTTCCTAGAAGAAGCATAATTTAAGCTGAACCCTTTAGGATATGTAAGAATAAGCCAGGCAGAGATAAGCAAGGCGTGTTTAACAACATGTGCTTTTCACCATGCATTATCCATTTTCATTAACATGTCTATTCATTAGACTAGGAAACAATGTGTTTAAAGGTCCCAAGTGATTCAAAAAGAAGAAAAAAAAAACCCACCAGGATTAAACACTCATTCAGATTCATGCTAAATGTCTGATCATTGTGCCTTAGATATGTTTATTTTGTCCTTCCTGTATGCAGTATTTCCTACTTTCACCTCCACTTCAGTTTAGCAACTAGAGCTGCTTAAGGTCTCCCACTAGCTTTTAAAAATCTCTTGTAAATTGTAGAGCAGCATCTCTCAAACTTCAGCAATCCTAAGAATCACCTGAGGTACTTTTAAGAACAAATTTTTTGGTTCCACTCTCAGAGATTCTGATTCTATAGCTTTGGGGAGGAGCTGGAGATCCCACGATTCTAACAACCTGACCTGTGAGACCTGACGCTGCCAGTTCACAGACTGCACCTTGAGCAGCTTTATGCTTGAGAAGCTACACAAATATTTTTCAGGATTATTTCCCCCTTGTTCTTAAAAGTGCTCTGCTAGGTTACACTTCTTGGAATAAGAGTGGTTTCTCTGTCCAGGTAGGTAAGGCTTTTAGGGGAACCCCTCTAAGAAAGACGGGCCAATATTGCTACTTTCACATAACAGTCACATTCTTCACTTGGACAACCGTTTTATTTTCCCGTTGGCTCTAAATCCAAAATGACAAGCCTAAGTAAGGGCTTCCCAGTAAATGAGAAGCTATGAGTACAGTAGTCAACAAACTGCCCTCTGCAAGGGTAATGCAAGGCAAAAAAAGTGAATTAGTTTGTGAATGGTAAGTAGGTCAGGTCTTCTGTTGGTTTTTTTTTGTTTTTGTTTTTGTTTTGACTTGGCTTTTAAAAAATCATCCCAATCTAAATAGAACTTTTTTTTTTTTTGAAATGGAGTCTTGCTCTGTCACCCAGGCTGGAGTGCAATGGCATGATCCCGGCTCACTGCAACTGCTGCCTCCCAGGTTCAACTGATTCTCCTGCCTCAGCCTCCCAAGTAGCTGGGATTACAGGTGTCTGCCACTGTGCCCGGCTAATTTTTGTATTTTTATTAGAGACACGGTTTCACCATGTTGGCCAGGCTGGTCTCGAACTTCTAACCTCAGGTAATTTGCCCACCTCGGCCTCCCATAATGCTGGGATTACAGGCGTGAGCCACCGCACCTGGCCAAAATAGGAATTTTATAATTTTACAATAAGAAAATGATGAATCACTGAACTTTTAAGAAAGCTTTCAGTAATTGCTGACATTTGCCTCCATGTGTATCATGTTTAAGAGTCTTCAAAGTTAAGCTTTTAAGAGCCATGAGAACAGGGATCATGTCTCCATGTGAGCATATCCCACAATTCCTGGAGAGTGCTGACTATTTAGAAGATTTGAAAATAGTCAACTTAAAAAAGGAGGAAATTAAACCAACACACAAAAATTGGAAGGATAGTTTTGATGATTAATTAGGTTCTCTCTCTCTCTCTCTCTCTCTCTATATATATATATATATATATACACTCTCACATATAAAGAACCTAGAGTATAATCATTTCTTGATAACAAATTAGCTCCCTTATCTCTTCTATTTCTTTCTTATTATGTATTGCCTACAACAGCTCTGTCTGATAGAACTTTCTGGAATAATGGACAATTCCATATCTGCATTGTTTAATACAATACCCATTAGCCCTACTGGCTACTAAGCACTTGAAATGTGGCTAGTGCAACTGAGGAATGAATTTGTAATTTTGTATTATTTTATTTTAATTAAATTTAAATAACCATATGTGACTTATAACTACTTTTTTGGAAAGCAAAGGTCTAGAAAGTAGGACAACATAGTAGTTGTTCATAGTGTGTTCAATTTGTTGAATAAATAGAGCTCTTTCCTTATAGATGTGTATATGTTTAAAGTAAAAGAGTTAGAAAATGGTAGCTATCTCAACTGCAGGCCAAAACATGTAGTGAAGGAACAAAACATCAGGATCCAAACCAAAAAATAAGTTTCTTATTGAGCAGTGTTTCTCAAACTTAAATATGCATACAAATCACTGAAGTTTTTATTTTAAAACATAGTTTCTGATTTAGTAGGTCTTTGGTGGAACTTTAGATTCTATTGCTCACAAACTCCCAGGTAATATCACTGCTGTTAGTCCATGGGTCACACTCTGAGCAGCAAAGGTCTAGATGTAGGTAAGCCATGGACCTATGTAACTGCTACTGGCCCAACTCCTGAACTAGCAGTGGCTTCTCATTTTGACTCACCAGTTCAAGATTCAGTCAGAGAAATGTTTTATTTTATCATAGATACACCCACCTTACCCCCAGTCTCACGATGAATATTCATTAAGCCCCTTCTGCATACTAGGATGAGTATTCATAACAACCCCTGCAAGGCAGGTAGTATTATTCCTATTTTATATATAATGAAACAGAGGCTTAGAGAGGTGATGTGACTTAACCAAAACTCAAGAAAAGAACTAACTGGCAGAGGTGGGTTTACAACCCAGTCGTGCATAAAGCCAAAGGCTAGTTTCTCTCTTTATACTCTTTTGTTACTCAAAGTATGATGTACAACTAAGCAGCATCAACCTCACCTGGCAACTTATTAGAAATGCAGACTGACGCATCCCAGACCTAGTGAATCAGAAACTTCATTTTCTTTTTTTTTTCCCTGAGGTGGAGTCTCACTCTCTCACCCAGGGTGGGAGTGCAGTGGCACAATCTCAGCTCATTGCAACCTCCGCCTCCCGGGTTCAAGTGATTCTCTTGTCTCAGCCTCCCAAGCAGCTGGGATTACAGGTGCCCACCACCACACCTGGGTAATTTTTTTCTATTTTTAGTAGAGACAGGGTTTCAGCATGTCGGCCAGGCTAGTCTCAAACTCCTGACCTCAGTTGATCCACCCGCCTCGGCCTCCCAAAGTGCTGGGATTACAGGCGTGAGCCCACCTCTTGCTTATAAAGCAAAGCAACAAGCAGTTAAGAGTAGGGATTCTGCTGATTGTGGCAGTTGAGAAATGAATTTAGATTGGCTAGGTTTGACACCAGAGCAAATATTGACAGCTTTGCCTCTATTGCTAAATTCCTATTGCTTCATAGGAGTAGTTGAGACAAAATAAAGCTGTTTCCTGGTAAGTAAGGATTTTAAAATTTGGAACTGCATTCCCAATAGATGAAAACATTAACAATATAGTTTTAACAATGTCCATGGGAAAAACCACAAAAAGAAGAAAGCATGTTTGTTGAAAGATAAATGTACTAAAATCAGCAAATTCTTCCAAAATATCATACCATTATTAATCACTGCCAGGATGGTTCAAAGGAACACACATATTTCTCCTTTCTTTCCCATCAGAGGCAATTATGGAAAATGGTCCAATCAAAAGTGAATCATAGCCTAAATCATAAGAATATGTTATTTACACTCAAATAAATTAATGTCTAAATGTACAGACCTACAACAAGTGCTTGGTCACCTCACTTCTGTAATATGGCAACTTCCTTCTCAGAGAGCTCTTGTCCTCAGCTTCCTGATGCTGGTATCAATCAGCAGTGCCATTTAAATGTTACTTAAAACATCTCTTAGACACAAACCCATTCTCTGGCTCCTGAGTGAAGCTCATTGCTAATTCAATTGTGTCTCTATGTCACTGAACCCATAGTATCCTTTTTCTTGTCACTGACACTCATGTGTTCAGCCTTTTTTTTGGTTCATCTTTTTCCCTTTAGTTCACTCTCTTGTCCTTGGCCCCAGAATCATAGTTTTGTTTGCATCCAATGGCCTTTTCACATTGAAAGCACTCTGTAAAAATGTTGCTGATATTATATGATATTATAATTGTCCACAAATAACTTTTACATAAATAACTTTCTTGGCAGCCAAATCCAATGGGGGATATACTACTAAGGACCCACTCATATTCTTCATAACCTAACTCTTATTTGTGTTCTCTTTTTCTTCTACTTTTCTCTCTCCCTTACTTTCCTAGGAGGGTTTTCCAAGCAAGAGACCTGAAACTTCTCCCTTGTCTCCACTATTATTTCTACCTCTAGAAACAAAATTTCAGCAACAAAGTGTCTTATAGGAAAGTAAAGGCATTGTACTGCCAGTACTTGCTAGATGTTTCTTTTACTTCTCAGTGTTTGCCCTTAGACAACATACAATAATCTACACATTCACTCTCCCTATCAGTTGAACCAGGTCCCTCTGACACTTTGTTTAGTGCCATTGACCTACAATATAAAGTACAAGATTTTTTCTTTTATATCTGCTTTGTTTTTATTTTTTATTCTCATAAAGGGACATACACAGATTCTCAGCCCTTTATTTAAGGCCCTGATGTACTAGTTTATTGTTTAGCAAATACTCACTCTTCCCCTAATTCGAGCTTGGCAACATGACTTATTCTGGCCAATTGGGTGTTGGTGGATGTAAGGTGAGCAGAAGCTTTAACTGTGTTTGTGTCACGGGCTTGATTTCTTGTCCTTTGACTATCACAATATGAAAACATACCCTGGATAGCTACTGTCCCACCTCCTGGTCCCCAGAATGAAACTTCTGAAGCAGAGATGCCCCAGCCAACCTGGTACAATGGCACCCCACTCACCCACTTATTCGTGGTTTCACATTCTGCAGTTTCAGTTATCTACTGTCAACCATTGTCTGAAAATATTAAATGGAGAATTCCAGAAATAAACAATTCATAAGTTGCAAATTGCTTTCTATTCTGAGTAGTATGATGAAATCTCTCACTGTCCCACTCCATCTCTTCCAGGATGTGAGTTATTTCTTTGTTTAGGGTATCTGTGCTGCAGATGTTACCTGCCCTTTATTCACTTATTAGCTGTCTGGGTGATCAAATTGACTATCCTGGTATAGTAGTTTCTGTGTTCAAGTAACTCTTATTTTACTTAATAATGGCCCCAAAGCACAAGAATAGTGATGCTGACAATTCAGAAATGCTTAAGAGAAGCCCTAAAGTGTTTCCTTTAAGGGAAAACTTGAAAATTCCTGACTTAAGAAAAAAGAAAAGAGACAGCATTGTATGATGAAGCTGCTAAGATCTATAGTAAAAATGAATCTTTCATCCATGATATTGTGAAGAAGGAAAAATATAATCATGTTAGTTTTGCTGTGGCACCCCAAACTGCAAAAGTTATGGCCACAGTGCCTGATAGTTAAGATGGAAAATTCATGTATATAGGATTTGGCATTATCTGCAGCTTCAGGCATCCACCAGGAGATTTGGAATGTGTCATCCATGGATAAGGTGAGACTACTGTATTCTGCAGCCTGAAGCAGCTGTCCTAGCTAACTGATAGAGAAGAAAAAAATGCTTATTGCCGCTGATTTTTTTTTGGTTGTGGTTACACACCAAAAATTGGCAATTACATGAGGTAACAGTAAATGGTAGATCAAGCACTACCATTTACTAGTTGAGATAGAAAATCCATATCTTTAAAATGAAAGGTTTGTGTTCATTGAACTCCAAGATATTTAACAAGATGGAAAACTCATGATTCTCAAGTATACCTCTCTCAACAGTGCATTTCTATCAAAGAGGTCAGAATATTACCAAAATATAAAAAGAATATTAGAGAAGGTTAGAGCAAAATAAAAAAGCATTCTAGAATCTCTCTAATTTTATTTTCTAAAGCATAAAGAATACTATTTGTTAGGGTGCTGTTCAATATTGAACTCTAAAGTGTCTGCTGAAAGGAGAGGAGAGCGCAATGTCAGTTGGTTGCAGAGTACCAGAGAGTAAAGCATTATTATTTGGCTGAGTCAACCTTCAGGGAACTGGATTCACAAGCAGGCTCTAATCACTCTGAGCTCCCTAAGAACAAAGTACTTTCAGTACCTGGCATGAAACACTATTCAACATGTAATGGGGAAGAATAAAAATATTGAGCAAAAAATAGAAACTAGAGAGTATTGAAGTGGAAAAATATCTTTCCTTGTTTCTGCTTGGGTGATTTTAATTTTCATATAGGGATTCCTGCTTTGCATGAGAAGCTAGACTATGTCACATTTAAGGTCATACCCAACCCTAATATATCATGACCTCATATAAGACAGAGCTTACTTAAGGCATTTTCATGTAAGAACCTCAGTGACCCCTTCATTAATGCAAGCTCTAATGTCTCTTAACTTACCTTCCTTAATAAAAAGAAGTCTCTTTAAATATATTTTGTACTTTTGTTTGACACTTACATAAAAATTCCCTTTGGCCCTAGAAATTTCCTGTAGCTATTCAATTGTCATTTGCATTTGTGCCAAGGAACCATTTTCACAAGAACCATTTCTATCAAAAATCAAATTTGCTAATTAGCAAAATTAATACATTTACTTGCAATGAAATTATTTTTTAGAAAGACTTTAATATATGTTAAAGCTTGGCATTCTGATAATATTTTTAAGAAGGAAATGTTCTTACGCAACATGACTAAAATGCCCTAGGGAACTCTGAAATCGTTTTTTCATTAAATAGAGCTGAAATTATGTGAACAACTAGAACATGAGGAAGAAAAGAGGAAAACAAAGTATAGAACACTGGGGAATGAGAAAATAGACTGTGAAAGGAACAGTAATTTGTTCAAGGTTACCCCGTGAGTCAGGAACAAAGGGGAGAGTTGGGACTCTGCCAAGAACCAAAGCTTATCCACATTAATGAGTATGCACTAAATCTGCCATTTTCAATACATAATGTATTCATGTTTTTTCTACATCGGGGAAGGTATTCATATTTACCATTCTCCTAGAATTTAGCATGTTTTACCTCATAAGTGTTTATTTTTTTTTTCAAAAAAATGATAAATACTTTAGCTGCTATCAACCAGAAGCTAAGAAAATCTCTGAGGCAGGTATTATAAGTCCTCTCTTATAGGTTAATTTAGGTGCATAGAGATTAAATAAATTACTTAAGAACATACTACCATGATAATTGGGCCATTTTCATCATATCAAGCTCCTCACAAACCACTATAAAGATCCTTACCCTTAAGGAAGCACAAAGTGGGTTACATTAAGTATGAAAAAGTTGATTAGGCCAGGAATAGTGGCTTACACTCGTAATCCCAGCACTTTGGGAGGCCGAGGTGGGCAGATCACTGAGATCAGAAGTTCAAGATCAGCCTGGCCAACATGGCAAAAACTCGTCTCTACTAAAAAATACAAAAAACAAAAAAAAATTAGCCAGGCATGGTGGTGCACTCCTGTAGTCCCAGCTACTCGGGAGGCTGAGGCAAGAGAGTCACTTGAACCTGGGAGGCAGAGGTTGCAGTGAGCCAAGATCAGGCTCCAGCCATTTGTACTCCAGCCTGGGTGATAGAGCAAGACTCTGTCTCAACAGCAACAACAAAAAAGATGATTAAAAATAATTTTTGAAGGACTCAAAGTCAGATACAAACCTGGTATTTGGAAGAATGGGAAGAATTTTGATGAATTTGTTATTTGCGACTCATTTTACTAGCTAATCATTTGGGATACCAATTGAACATGTCTACAAAAGACCCTTAGATCTTACTGATAAATTATTTCTACATGAGGATATCTGGCAGTTACGCCACCAGAACCCTAATAGGAGGCTTTGAAATAATTTAGATCCACCACAAGAAAGTGGTCTTACTTACAAAATCAGCTCTCTGTGCTCCAGGCCTACTTCTTGAGAGCACTGCTTACATGCTTTGACAATGGCTATAGTGAAGAGATTTTTTGGGACATAGGATTCCTTCATATATAAATGGATCCCTGTCCTGAATATATTGAAGCTTCTGTGACAAGTTATCTCTCATCCAAATCTGCATGTATCAGGGGAGTAAGTAAGGAAACTATGTTCCCAAGCTGACAGGCAGAAAACAAGGGAGGGAAGAAAGAAACACAGGTAACAGCATGTTAGAAATTAAATAAGACTTCTAACTCTACAGCCAAGCTATCTGGATTGACTCTTGACTCTGCCTCTTACTGTGAGTCCTTGAACCAGTTACTTGACCTCTTTATGACTCATTTTTTCCCAAGTGTAAAAATAGAGAAATTAATAGTACCTACCTCATAGGATTGTTATGAGGATTAAATGAGTTAAAATTTGTTAAGTGCCTACAGCAGTGTTAGGCATACACTGTTACAGAAGTTTGGTAAGTAAAGAAAGGTAGGAAGAGTAAGAGAATAGTGGATGTAGGTACCTTTAAGACATTGCTTTGTTTGCTTCTACAGAGCCCTTTACTTTCCAGTGTTGGGGTCTCTTGGCTCCTTCCAGTAAGCCTAACCTTGTTTCCGGTCTGGTCCCAAACTATTCTTGTTCAGAAAGATTTAAGAAGCCCTAGTTCAGTAGTTCAGGTGATTCAGCATTAAGTCAAGCTTGCTGTTATTCTTGTCCTGACCCTGTGTCCCAGTTTTAGTTCCTCATTCTTATAATCAAGTCCCAACCTTGTACTCCAGTTCTGACATTCTGCTCCCCTGTGGCTGAGTCCCGGATTGCAGAACCTGCTCAGGACCGCCAGAACCTGCTCAGGACCGCCAGTTCTTTTGAGGTATTTGAGGTAACATCTCTCAAAAGGCAGCCTATGGACTAGACACACTTTGTTTGGCAGACACAGTGTTTGCACTTTTGAAAATTAGTTGCCTGTATTTAGAAATTGCAAACATGTACAAATTTCCATCTTATTTTGTAAAATGATCTGGCACCAGTGGATTCCAAGTGGCAGTTGCTCTCTTTAAATGGCCATGTGCTTTCTATTCCCCACAGGCCCCACTCTGACTGCTCCATTTGTTTCTGTGATTTGCTTGGTCATTGAAGGGATTTGAGGCTGTGGGCTAAAACTGAGAAGAGCCAGTACTTACCAAGCACTTACTTTGTGCTAGGTACTGTTCTAAGTGCTTTCTGTGTTTTACTCATTTAATCAAAGGCCAGGAATCTGTTTGTTGTTGTCCATTACCCTTGTAGCCCTTCTTCTCAGCTTCATACCCCCTGTCTAGCATGCATCTGTGGCTATCCCATCTTGTTTGATCACTATCCTCCACTCATCAGCTAGCGCCCACTCACAAAGCCTTGTTGGACCTCCATAATGTCAACCACTCACCCACATTGTGGCCTATAGCTGGTCTCCAATCTTCCCTGCCCAGCCAGACTCTATCTTCAAGAACTTTTGCCATCATAGTGGTTGTGTTACAGGTACAGAATCCTAGGCTTCATTGGTTTGCTTGATCCTATTATCTCATGCTCATGCTTTCATAAAACCATAACTTTCATTATATATAGATAGGCTCTACCCTCACGAAACTTTTGGCCACTTCTTATTAGAAGCCCAATAAAATCCATAAAAATATTTATTGATTACTTACTTTAGGTTCCAGACTATCACAGAAATTGACTTGAATATTCCTTTTATAAGAAACCCAAAGAAGTTTGCTAGTGTCTATGAGCAATTCAGTCTCTTTTCAGTGAGCCACTTAGCAAACTAACACTATTTAAACAGCGTTGTTTATTTTTGTTTCATAATGGGCCCTTGTGTTTTACAAAACATGAATGAAAGAGGGAAATATTTGATGACTAAGACAAGATTTAGAAATTATTAAAAGAAAATTTACAAAACTACATGTCATTCCATAAGATTATTTAGTTTGGGTGAAACTAAATGTGAATTGAATTTAAATTCAGCCAATTAAGTTCTACCACAGTTTTAAAAGAAGGTAGTAATGAAAAAGTTACTTACATAAGGAATTGTGTCCAAAGTATCTGTGTTGACAATTATAGGAGCAGGACTGGCCTGAAAAAAGAAATAGAAAAAAAATTAAATAATGAATAGTGTATTCTGAGACAGATTATTTCTGTTAACTTATTTAACAAAGAGCTCAACAGGCATTTCTTGAGGACCTCTACAGGCACCGTGTCAAGTGTTAGTAGGGTAAATAAAATGACTAAGAGTTTCTGTACCTTCCCCCAACTCAAATATTTGTTACATTTACCACATAAAGAAATTAAGTAAGCATTCATATAATTTACATTCATTTTCTCTTACATTCTACAAAACAATGCAGGAGGTGAGGATTTCTGCTATGTGTAAGGCAAGGATTTCTAATAAATTGGGTAAGAGTTAAAACTTGTATCTTTTCTTTCTTTTTTTTTTTTTTTTGTGAGACAAGAATCTCGCTCTGTCACCCAGGCTGGAGTGCAGTGGTGCAATCTCGGCTCACTCAGCCTCCGCCTCCTGGTTCAGGCAATTCTCCTGCCTCAGCCTCCCAAGTAGCTACGACTACAGGCACACACCGCCACACCCAGCTAACTGCTGTATTTTTAGTAGAGACGGGGTTTCCCACATTGGCCAGGATGGTCTTGATCTCCTGACCTTGTGATCTACCCACCTCGGACTCCCAAAGTGCTGGGATTATAGGCATGAGCTACCGCACTCGACCTGTATCATTTCTTTATGAAATGACTTTGCTAAAGGAATTTGATTTCTCTCTCAAGGAAGCAAAATTAAACCTAAACCAATATTCATAGTTATTCTCTTCAAACTGCCTTTTGAGAGTATGCTATATTCAATACAAAAAGGCTTCACTTATCAACATCTACGTTTACACATTATGCGTGCTGTATCCTGTATTTTCTTTCTTTCTTTTTTTTTTTTTTTTTTTTTTTTTTTGAGATGAAGTGTTCCTCTGTCGCCCATGCTGGAGTGTGCAGTGGTGCAAACTCGGGTCACTGCAACCTCTGCCTCCCCAGTTCAACGATTCTTCTGTCTCATCCTCCCGAGTAGCTGGAACTACAGGCATGTGCCACCATGCCCAGCTAATTTTTGTATTTTTAGTACAGACGGGGTTTCACCATATTGACCAGGCTGCTCTCAACTCCTGACCTCGTGATTCGCCCGCCTCAGCCTCCCAATACAGGCGTGAACAAGCATGCCCTGCCATATTTTATTATTTATGCACCTCTAATCATAAACCTCTAAATCCCTAGATAGAACATTGACAGTCAAATATGACAGAAAATCATATTGGATATGTTCAACTTTCTTTTTTTTAAAAAAATTGTACGATTTGCAGTAATTCTCTTTAAAGTTTAGCGGGAATCTGTGTAAAACTGATACAGGAGTGCTACAAGGCAAATCACTAGAAAATAAGAGATTGCAATCTCTATTTGCATCACCAGTCTAACTTCATGAATATTGAGTAGAGCTATCTTTACTTTTTAGTTTCTAGAATTTTCACAACAACTTTTGCTTTATCCTCCAAAGGATCTTTCATCTTTGTCTCAAATTACAGATTTCATTTAGATAAAGGACATACTTTCATCTTGATTAATAGAGAACTCTTCTATACGACATGGTGGTTTTGGAAAGTGCTCAAATTTTGGGGTATTTCATTAGCTGTGCCCTCTGGAGTTAACAGAGTTAACAGCTTTTTAATGTCAATCTATTCTGTGGAATCCTAATCAAATGATAAAACAAATAGCAATCCAGCAGGTTTTACAAAACAAAATTTCATGTCTTTACCAAAAACACTGGGCATGGAAAACATAACCTTGGCATACATATGTATATAATGGATCAACTAGTTAGTCATAATATTTTCATGATTCTCAATGGGACGTATCTTGTGGGTAAATAAAGACTCTGGAGAAAGACAGTTTTTACTGGATCTCATTAAAAAAAAATAATAAGAGGCATGTAGAGAAGAGAAAAAGGTATGAGGTCTGCAGTCAGAAGACATGGGCTCAAGGTTGGTTTAGCAACTTTCTGATTGTATGATTTGGGGGCTCAGTGACTTCCTAGTGGTGTGATCTTAGGGCAAGTCCACTAACCCTCTCTGATTAATTTTCCTTCCGTGTAGAATGGGAATAGTAGTAACAACTTTCCAAAAAGGTTGAAGATCAAATGAGGTGATATAGTTGAGTGTGCTTGGTAAACAGTACATTTCAGAATTAATGTTAAATATTATTAGTAGTAAGTGTCTCTTAAGATAGACTACTGTAAAGATATATTATTGGATGGCTTGTAAACTGTTTACACTGCAGAGATCTCAATGCTATGTTGGTGGCTACAACTGCACTAATAAGAGGCCTGTTTAGATTGTGGTTCTAAAACAGCTCATGTCAAAGGCAATAATAACAATAATTACTGCTTATTAAGTATGTATTACCATTTATTAAATATATACATAAGCATATATATCCTCATTTAATCTCCACAAAACCTTACTGATGAGGCATTATTATCACTATTTCTATGTTATATATGAGGAAAATGAGGCTCAGTGAAAATGAGATTTGACATTTGAATATTGTTTTTTCTGACCTCAAAATTCATTTTTCCCCACTAAGCTGCTTCATAATCCCAGTATCTAGGTGGTTCTATCACAAGAGTCTTGCAGTGATATGTCAGCCCTATACTAGAGTACCATACAAGAACTAGACAAAGCAAAGACCACCCTGAAGGCAAAAGATGCCTAAGGATATTGCAGGTTAGACGTTGAACACAGTCTGGTGAAGCCTTAGTATGTATTTTTAAAAAGGTTTTTAGTTTTGATGACATCTCTCCTATGCTTTCTGTTTGGTTTCCATGACTCACAAAAGTGTGCCTCATATCCAAGAATAGACTGAAAACTCTCTGAATATCACATGTAATTCTTGTATTTCCCCATATTTTCTAGTATAGCTTTGATTAATAAATAGGTATTAATTTTATTTGGGGCTTTCATCCCATCTTTGCTTTTTTTCTTACAGATTATAATAATGTGTTATGGGAATAAATTTTATACATACGCCTATTTCCTATGTAATGCCATTTAAAACTTTTGTATGTTTATGTTGCTATTTTTCATTTTTTAATGTAAATTTAGTCTTTCCAAGAAGACTGTATGTCTAAAAATTGGCAAGTATTGTATACTTTTCTAGAATTCTCCACAGCACTTGGGTATACAGAAGGAGCTCAAAGAATACTGAGAAATACTTAGAATTTATTGACTAAAGGTAGTGATAAAGTATAGAAGTAGGTATAAAGGAAAGTAATATATCTTTACGAGCTTTGTAAAGCACTTCTAAAGAACTGGAACCCCAAAATCTCATGATACCAAGACTGTGACTACTTTTCCAATATCCAATATCACTTTCTTTCTTTGTTTAGTTACTATTACTTAACTAAATTCAGCTTTTATAAAATAATAATTAATAATTTCATAACTCTAGGATGTAGAGTCTGTGAATGGACTCCACTTGAAGTAGAGGACAAGAATTTGAAGGATAAGATCTATGTTATGTGGAATCTATGTTATATGGAAAGTTTATTATTCCTTCTTGGTGCCAAAGGGATCCAGAAGCCACTGCTAACACCTACCTCTCTAAAAGTCATTAAAAATGCATGAACAAACAAGATTGTGTAAAAATAAACATATATCACATACACCTGACATTGGTAACGCCCTGGTGTGACTGCCAAAGAGATGCCACGGTAGGCTCTTCTGAATGACACACTACCCCACTGTGCTGCTACACCAGGCTCTCTGAAGACTCTCCCACTGCCCTGCTCCAGGACCTTCACAGCCCACCCCAGACTACACAGAGCATAGATGAATTCTGAGCATGGCCTATGAGTGTGCTCTTCTCACCAGTTGGTAATTCCAAATCTTCCTTTAGCTCATCTGGCTCCTGATTCTTTGTTCACTTTTACAGTCAAGAGAGGCTATGACTAGTTTGATCTAGTTTGTTTCTGAGTCCTAAAAACCAACTATCCACTTGCTTTGATAGTTCCCACCAAGTATTTTCTCCACATTTCACACTGCCCTGCCATATACACCCTCTTTATTTTATTATTATTTTTGAGATGGGGTCTCGCTCTATCACCCAGGCTGGAGTACAGTGGTGCAATCTCGGCTCACTGCAAACTTCACCTTCCAGGTTCAAGTGATTCTTCTGCCTCAGCCTCCCAAGTAGCTGGGATTACAGGCACCTGCCACCACGCCTGGCTAATTTTTGTATTTTTAGTAGAGATGCAGTTTTGCCAGGTTGCCCAGGCTGGTCTCAAACTCCTGACCTCATGTGATCCACACGCCTCGGCCCCCAAAGCGCTGGGAGTACAGGTGTGAGCCACCACGTCCGGCCATACACTCTCTTTCTTCCTTTTGGATATCCTCTTTAATTGGATGCCTAAATCAAACTGGTGACTCAGCAGATTCTAGTGTCCTTCTTTAATATGCTTTTTTCCATTAACTGGAAGGAGATTTATGAAAAATCTAGAACAAAATCTTTCTTTAATCAGAAAATTCAAGATTTATCTTTATATACATCTAGGCAAGATTTTTGAAACTATAAGGGATGAAGAAAAAAAAATTCTTTCTTAAGTAAACCAAACTATGAAGCCTTTTTTTGTGTTGTTTGCCTTTTACATGACATTCTCTTTCATGCACAGAAAGCCAGTTTTCAGCATAAGGGACTAGTACAGCTAATTACAGAGAAGCAAGAAGCAAGCAGAAGGAATACTGATATAATTTAAATGATAGATCAAGTTATTAATGAATGTCAGCCACCTTCCTATCCTTGGGCTTCATGTGACATACAAATGTTCTCAGATTACATGAACAATTTTGTTTATACTAGTAATAGATACACTTTTTTTTTTGCTTGCTTCCAAGAGACTCTAAATAAAAAATAATCTGACAAAATGAATGCAACTTTACAAAGGAGTTCATTGATTCTGACTAATGTGGTTACCTTTTGATATGTGTTAAGTGTCAGATATGGGAAATGCCTCTGACATATGTGGACAGGTGGTCATGAAGCCAACTATGGTGAAGAAGCCTCCTCAAGCAAGGTATTGGCAGGAAATGTAGAGTAGCTAGTCAGCCAAGAAACACTCTCATGTAGCTTAGCTCCGAGAAGTGTAGGCTAATCAGTGGGAAGGTCAAAAGACTTAATCTAGTACCTAGACTTTTAAGAAGCAAGGTAGAAAAGGAGAGAACTAGATCAGCAAGAAATTAACAGTAACACTCATGGTACTAGGAACTATGCAGGGATTTCAGCTGACCCGGGACATGCAAATGGAAGGCAGGTGATTGTCATTACGCCAATTTAAATAGGTGGTAAAATAGTGCAAGAATAACATATGAGCTGTTTTTGGATACCTTTGGCTTATCTTATCAGCCTTACAGGACAGGATTACTGAGTGGGCAAGATTTCTTGTCTATTTAGAGGGACACAGGCCCTATAAATGACTTTTATATATGGTATGGCATGACATTTTGAAACAAAATGGAAGCCACTGAAAGTTTGAAAATGAGTCCTGTATGTGGGTGTATGTGTGTGCATGTGTATGTGTGTGATTTCATTATGAGAGGTGGAGATCCCAGAACCTCAAGGTAAATATTAGCTGTTTTAGACTGGCAGCTACAAGATAGCATGCTAGCAAACTTTTTGCTTCACAATTCACACAGAAGATTTCCATCGGGATGAGCCCCAGTCAGACCATATGCTAATCCTGGCTAGGGAAGTAGAATATTGGGGTTACTATGCACATACCCCATCAACTTTGAAGTAAGACATCTAACATTAAGTACCGGATTAGATATGCTGAGTGTTGAACACAGGATAACTGTATTGTGTATTAGATTTTCCCCCATAACCCTCTATTATGTTGGCTTACTCTGGAAAAAAAAAATGTGGCATGGTTGGGGGAGTGACTTCCGCCTTCATTTCCTGAATTACATTTTAGTTCTCCATTGGAACGAAACTCTGTCTTTCCTCTCCTTCTTTTCCACAATCTTTTAGGCTGGAGTTCCACATCTCTAGGTGCTAGTAGGACCCTACTCCTATTTGGAGGATTTACTTGGAACCTACAATTATCACTACCTGAAGGTTTGTAGTATTATGACCCTGCCACACCTAAATCCCCTGATATATTAATACTGGGACAGATAATAATAAGTGTATGTACTTATATAGCAAATACTTTATGTGAATTAACTTATTTAATCCTCACACAATTCTATGAGACAAACACTGTTATTCTCAAAGTAGAGCTGAGGAAACAGAGGTTAAATAACTTTCTCAAAGTCACACAGCTGGTAAATAGCTGGTAAATCTTCAAACCCAAGCAATCTGGCTCCAGAGCCATGTTCTACTGCCCCTTAGAATGAAAACAGATTTCACCAGTTATCTCTGGATTTTTTTTTTTTTTTTTTTTTTTTTGAGATAGGATCTTACCTTGTCATGCAGGCTGGAGTGCAGTAGTCCCATCTTGGCTTACCACAACCTCTGCCTCCCAAGCTCAAGCCATCCTCCCATCTCAGACTCCCAAGTAGCTGGGACTGCAGGCATGTACCACCATGCCTGGCTAATTTTTGTATTTTTTATAGAGACGGGGTTTTGCTATACTGCCCAGGCTGGTCTCGAACTCCTAGACTCAAGTGATCCACCTGCCTCAGCCTCCCCAGATGCTGGGATTACAGGTGTGGGCCACCGCACCCAGCCAGATCCTAATTTTTGCTGTTGATCAACAAGTTACAAGCCAGTTCAAATCTAAATTTATTTAATGTGCCTTGATCTTGGCTGGCCCAAGAACCTTCCCCTCCTTCCTCTGGTGTAGTTGCTGAGGCCCAGTGTGTCATAAGAAGAGGCCTGTAGGAGGCATGCCTAGGAAAAGGCTGATGGCCCCAGCATACCCAGGCTGACTGATTCAGGCATTCTTTGAGCAAGCCCCAAATAAATGGGTAATTGACTGATTAAAGACACATCGATGGTTGTGTAAGAGAGGAAGAACAAAATAGGAAGAACAAATATATTCTAGAATCATAGAACTTTTAAAGCTGAGATCTTAAGGAACCTTTAATTACACTCTTACATTCTATAAATATGAAAATGAATACAAAGAATATGACATAACCCAGATCTCACAATTACATAGTATCAAAACTGAGGTTAACAAGAATAACAATAATAAAGTATTAAGCATATATAAGGTGCTTATTATGTTTCAGTAATGCTATAAGTACTTTAAGATATATGAATGCATTTAATTTTTACAATGTTCTAAGGAAAACATTATTGTTCCCATTAAAAAGAAGGAAGGAATGAAAGAAAGAAAGGAGAGAAGAAAGGAAGAAAAGAAGATCCCAACTGAGCAAGTCACTTGCCTAAGGTCACAAATCTAAGAGGTGCCACAAGCAGTTTTTAAACCCATGTCTTTCTAACCCCAGAGTCCATAATGGTAACTCCAACATTTGATTTTTTTTGCCTGAGTTTTTCTAGGCGACCAGACTGAAAATGCAATTATTTTCTGCCTGGAAACTTGTTAGTTTCTCTTTTACAGTCTGAAGAGAAATTTATCACCGTTCTGACTTAGATTCAATTCCCCAGTTATCAGAGGTTTCTGGGTCCCTTAATGTCTTGCAAACCCCCACTTAAAAATGGGACAGTGCTATTTTCCAGTTAACCTATTTCTCAAGAATTTAGCTGAATAAAGAATGCATGTGTAGGCCAGGAACAGTGGATCATGACTGTAATCCCAGTGCTTCGGGATGCCAAGCCAGGCAGATCACTTGAAGTCAGGAGTTTGAGACCAGCCTGGCCAACAGGGTGAAACCCTGTCTCTACTAAAGATACAAAAATTAGCCGGGCATGGGGGTGGGTGCCTGTAACCCAGCTACTTGGGAGGCTGAGGCAGGAGAATGGCTGGAACCCCTGGAGGTGGAGGTGGCAGTAAGCTGAGACTGTGCCACTGTACTCCAGCCTGGGGAGACTGTGTCTCGAAAAAAAAAAAAAAAAAGGTTCTTAGGTTATTATACTTATTACTGGAGATTAGTTTTTACTTTTTGCTTTCCTAGATTTTCTTCTCCTTTTAAGTTCCTTCTCTACAAGACAACTAGGTGGGTGCAGTTCAATCCAGCCCAGCTCTAAGTCATCACTACTAATATCATCCAGTGGCTTTGGCTTGTCACCTGCTTTGCCCCTGCTCTACGGAGACATAAGACCGCTGGACTTACTGAGACACGAACAGTGCTGAATAAACTATGTGAGTGCCTGAGGGCGTGGCTAGTTCATCCTGCAGACTGTGTCAGGATGTCTAAAGGAAGCAACTTTGGAGGAAGCTAAGATTGTGGTCCCTTTCCCTAGCATTTAATAAAATGCCTGGATGGTTACCTACCTAGCTTAACACCAGCCTAGCTCAGAAAACAAGGTAGCAGGATGGAAGATTCATGTTTTGGCTTGAAATCAATTTGACTCTGCTTGCCTGAACTCTTAATAATAAAAATAATATTACCCTCACTTTCAGATAACAAAACTAATAACAGTAAGTAACTCGCCCAAGGTCATTCAGCTGGTAATAGCAGGACCAAGAGTCAGACAACGGTAGCCTGGCTCCAAAGTGGATAAATCCTAACCACTGCAATACATTTGCTTCTGCACCCTATTAAGATTTGATAAGTAAAGTCTGTTCTAGTCAACACAATTTGTCTTACTTATCCTTGAACACTCACCATTAGTATTTTTTATCCCCTTGGACTGGAGAGTTACCATCTCTGTTTGATCCTCCTTTAAAATACAAAGTAGTAAAATATTTTGCAGAAAATAAATGAATATCCTATGAATATCCTAAAGACCTCAGATAGGCTGAGTTGGTCTTCCCTTTTTTTTCTAGTGCAGAAATGATGGAGCAGCCTGGAGAATGAAGCACAGAAAGTAGAGACCAGTAGATCCCACAAAAAAATTGAGTCATTAGCTCAAATCTCAAATGTGGTTTAGTCAATGTGCCCCATGCCAAACAGAATTTTCTTCACTTTATAAGTTTTTTCTAGAATCAATCCTATTTGGATGAAGAAATGGGGATTGCTTGAACTGTTAGTATGAAGATTCTTCAGATCTCCATCCTGCATGCTCGCCATATACGTACTTACACTTAGTATAAAAGGCTAAAATAAATTACTCACTAAAACTACATCTACAGATCAACACTGAAACACAAATTGGCAATTATATCAACCACCAATGTCATGCTATATAAAGTATATCACACACATTCAATCATTTAATTTCCATAGTGAGAGGAAAGGGAACTAACATTGATTAACCAACTACCTACTGTGTGCCAAGCAAATATGGTAAGCTTTTTACTTGTGTTTTATTGTTTACTCCTTACAGAACCCCAGAAGGATTGACGGAACTTTCTCTTGTCTATAGAGAAGTAAACAGAGGCACAGAATGATTCTGTGAATTTCTCAAAATGTCAGATGGCTAGAAGGAAGCAAAACTGAGATTCAAACCCAGGTGTTCTGACTCTAAGCCCTTTGCTTTTCACCATTAGGCCATAATGCCTCAAACCCCACTGACTCACACCGAGCTTTTACAAATCTGCTTTATTTATGCAAATGATTTCTGAAGATCCCACAAAAAATGGAGTCAATAGCTCAAATCTCAAATGTGGTTTAGTCAATGTGCCCCATGCCATAATAACCATACCTACTTAATTCACTGATTCACTCTATGTGGTGCTATTCCTGGAAAGATCCATGTGGATACCATCTGTTCCTCGTTGCTAAGCTACTAAAGAGCTATAATCTTAGCAGTACAGTTGTATTATCCAGATTTAGGTGCCAGAATTCAGAGCAAGCTGCCAATAACCTGGTTCTTTAGGTTAAGGTAGGGCTTATTTCTTCTGTAGTACATGGATAATGGTTTTATACACAATGTGGGATCACTAAATTATTGCTATTTAGTTTCCATCCTTCTTCTCTCTTTTCCTCCCACCAGGCAAGGATCCTTACTACTCCAAGCACATACCTTGCTCATGCCTACCGCAATGTCTTTGTTTTCATTTCTTCCTTTTCCTACATCCTAAATCAGTTGCAGTCCTCAATCTTATCTCTCTAACCAAATTCTTTCCATCCTGCAAGGACAATCTAAAGTTCCAGATGCTTCATGATACTTTCCCCATCATCACTCCAGGACTCAATCTATACATCCTATTCCCCACATTTTAAAGCACTCATTATTTGTATTACTTCAGATCACACTGAATTTTAAATATTAAAGGAAATAAGTTATGTGAAAGCACTAAACCCTGACATTCTGAATGAATATTTCTTTATATTTTTATACATGTTGATAGCTAATTGGTTCATGTGTGATATTCATGTCTCCGTGCAGAAATTGTAATCATTTTGAAGTCAGGGTCCTCCTCTCTATTTCTTCATCAGCCACTCCACCTACACTCCTAACAGTGCTGGGCATACAACACACACTCAAACACTCAAACAGTAATTGTTAATTGATTTTTAGACCTATTGGACTAGAGCCACAGCAATAGGAGTTACAATTCATGAGAAACTCTTGGGGCAACAGAATTAGATACAATGGGTAGAAAGGGGTAACTGCATGCTGCCCTCTGGTGATGAGCTCTTATACCACACTGCTTGATGGTGTCCATGTGTGAGCATCTGGAGCCTGTCATGCACTCCAGACCATGCTATTCACTGCAGAGCATGAAAATTAAGGAAAATTATAAACAGAAAGACTCCTCTATGCTAATTATACACTGGTACTTTGTGCTTATTCTTCCCTATTCCTCATTGCAACCCTATGAAGTACATATTCCAATTATGATTATCTTATAGATAAGGAAAGTGAGGCATGGACCTGTAACACAACTTACCCAAGATCACCAGACTAATAACCAGATGGAGCCAAGGCTCACTCCTCTTGACTCCAAATCCATATTCTTGTCTTACCATTACCCTGCATGGAACAAGGATGGTAGCTGCTGGCAGTGTTACTTGTTCTAACTTATTATTCCACTGTACATTTCAGGAGAAGTTAGGTGGGAGGAAGTATGGGATTTGGAGAAAAAACTAAGAACTCAAAAATCACGACAAAGCAAAATGACATCTACAGCATTTCTCAAACTTTCCAGATAAAATGTGAGAATATATCCCCAAAGACTTACCCAAAACTAGACATTTATTCAAAGCCTCATGTCTTATATTAAAAATGAATGCAATTTTCATCCTTTACTCCATAATCATCTTTTTTTTCATAAGTTATTGGGGTACAGGTGGTATTTGGTTACACAAGTAAGTTCTTTAGTGGTGATTTGTGAGATTTTCGTGCACGCATCACTCGAGCAGTATACACTGCACCATATTTGTAGTCTTCTATCCCCTGACCCCCTTTCACTCTTCCCCTCAAATCCCCAAAGTCCACTGCAACATTCTTAGGCCTTTGCATCCTCAGAGCTTAGCTCCCACATATCAGTGAGAACATACAATGTTTGGTTTTCCGTTTCTGAGTAGCTTCACATAGAATAATAGTCTACTGTCTCATCCAGGTCACTGCAAATGCTGTTAATTCATTCCTTTTTATGGCTGCATAGTGTTCCTATTTTTAATAGAAACATAAAGTTTTGAGTCATTGATAATGGAATCAACCTGACAACCCAGGTGGTTCCTGCATGGCTATAAAAAATCAGGCACTCTGTCTCCCTGGAAATAACCACACTCCAGTCAAGGAATTATGTTCCTAATATAAAGATGGCAGAACTAGGGAGTCAGGAGATCTTAGTTTCAGACCCAGTAAGTTAAGTAATTCAGCAGTTTACTGAGTCTCCCCAGTTAGTTTTATTTTTTAAGGAATAAAGAGGGAAATGGCTTCTGAAAGTCCACTTCTCATCAAGGATCTAATTTTACTCTTGCAAAGTTCATCCTGCTAGGAAATACTGTAAAGAAAGCAAGGATGCTGTATAACTTTTCATTCTGGGAAATGATCTCTGTTTTTACCACTCAGACATAGAAAGTTAGGAGACAGGACATTAAGAAAAGCATGCAGAAATAAAAGACAAAAGTTAAATTTGATAAGGAACAATTATAGAAATTGGTTTCTAATGACTTGGCTGAAGCATAATGTCCTGTATGCCTTAGACAAGGCACCTCAAAAATCTATATATGGTCCTGTTGTTCTATGTTCATAGTTCATATTTTGTTTTTCTTGTAAACAGGTTAATTTTCTGGCCTAAGAACTATGTAATCAGCAGCAAGGAGTTCTCTTCTATATAAAGAGTAAAAAAGATTTGAAGTGAAGCTGAGAATTATTACCAAGCTCTTTCTTCCATTATTGCCTCTATCCATTTTCTATAAGGTATAACTCCAGAAAAAAAATCCCTCTGCCTTCATTTTTCCCCTACTCACCATAATTTGACACTAGATCATACACTAAGATTTGAAACATAACAGGTGAGGCTATACAGAAAGTCTTAAAATATTTTATATCTAGAATGATTCTTTTGTGTGAGAAGAAATTTTAGGGAGAGAGGCAAAGATGAAGTATGAGTTTTAGTTTGCTGTTATCCATCAGTAATCTGTAATGTGCTTATGTTTATGGTGGGCCTGGAGGATGTTCCAAGACTTGTTTCTAAACAATGGCACTTGGGCGCTCATTACAAGACGAACAGGGTACAGGATATTTTAGTTTCATTTTCCCTTATTTTAAATTCTCATAACATCTGTAAGTCTAAGAATCTCCCCTCAACCCATTTTTCTTCAAAATTAATGTTCAATTTGGAAACATTTCCAATGAGGAAAAACATGGAGAAAAATAACAGATAAAAAGGAGACGTGAATGGGGACTAGAAACATAGAGGTTCACTAAATACTGCTGGCATTTGCTGATGCCAAAGAATATACTCTGCAGATGTGTTTCTATATTGTCATCAACTAGGCAATGAAGTCTTTGTTCTCCAAGCCAAGAGCCTACAAATCTCTGGATCCAAAATGCCAACCAGTTCCTAGCCCCACAGCTGTTCTAGCTTCCCACAGTGGCAGTGTCTATGTTACTCTTGCTTTCTCAGTTTTCTGGTGGCTTTCTTACTTTAAATTATTCTATAAAGCAAGGATACTGCTTGTTCAGTTTACCTCCTAGTAGGCCTGGCATAATGCTACAACTGTGTGTTTAACATAAAGAAGGAGGAATATTATCTGTTGCTGTGGGCTAGAGGAGAGATGGGGAAATAACAAGAAAAAAGAATGAAAGAGAAGGAGCACAGGGAGTAGGTTGTTTTCTGGTATGTGGGGACTCTGTCACAAGTTGGAGAGTGAAATGATGATTCCCAGGCTGGGACTCTCTCTTCTGTGCTCTCAGACTCCTTTTTCCATTGGAATTGTAATCTCAGGTACTCTGGAACCTTCATTTGTTTTATAAAGGTTTTTCCTAACCAACTAGAAAGGAGATGATAACTTCCTTATGAATATATTTGCAATCATCTCGTGACTGCTCCTCACCCACCGTTACTGGATAAGAACATTTGTATCTTATGCTTTTATGTCATAGGATGAGCATCTTCTAGTCCTGCACTTGGATTTAGCAGACGAGGCTTCTAGGACTGGCTGTGGCCCTGTAGAACTTAGTCAAGTCACTTAACTCTCTGAATTATTTCTAAGGTTATATACAACTATAATGAGAATCGTATGATTCCTGATTTTAATACTAGTCTAATTTTGAATATCATAAAAGTAGTAATAAAAGAGTTTAGAACTTGGATTATCTGTCTGGGATTTAAGATCTTTCTCCTCACTTCTGCAATGGTCTTAGCTAATTAATTTAATCTCTCTGAAAATTTCTATTCATGTATAGATGTTAAAAGTTATTATTTCATCAATATCATGTGGTTCTTCAAGAAGCAAATGTAGCCATATATGAGGACATTATGCAATTTGTAAATGTATATATTTGGGAAAATATTTAAAAATTTGCAGCAACAGTAATAACAACCTTTACCAGGCACACTTTTGGGTCAGGCACTGTGTTAAGAGTTCAATTCACATGATTTTGTTAGACTTCGAACAATGCTAAAAAGTTATATATAACATCTAATTTTACATTGGATGAAACTTAGGCTCAGAGAATTTGAGTAATTTACCCAAGATAGCAAATGGTGGAAGAAGGATCCTTCAAGTAGCTGAAATTCTGAATCAGAATAAAAACTGAACTCGGATTTTAGTCCTACTACATTATGTCTTACTGTTTAACCATTTCTGATCCTGGCCATTTCAACTTTCTAAGCTTTAATTTTCATATAACTACTATGAAGATGATAAAACTCGTCTTGCCTAATTGTGAAAGTTGTAACGAGAAGTAATCTAGTTTATACTACTTTGAAAATTGTAACAAGATAAATAAATATAAGGAAGATAGGTAGTAGTAGTAGTAGTAGAGGTAGTCTTAGCAGCAGCAGCAGCAAGAGTAAAAACATTGGTGTAATTTTTTCAACTCTACATGATGAAAATGAGAATTCCCATTGCTCCTAAGCATCTTCTCGCTAAATAAAAATATCTAAATGAAGCTTCAAAAACTATGGCATATCTAGTATTAGCTCATTAAAGCTTTTCAGATTTTAATGTGTATATATTTTTAAATTTTGGTTTGCTACATGGAAGAGGACTGCCATTATTAACTCTGAACAGCTGTCTATTTTTCTGTTCTGTAACAAATAAGCTTGGCGTTCTATTTTTGCAATTTCTGGGATGGGTATGGAAAGTGGAAGTGGCAGAATGTAAGCTTTACTCTATTGTACAATAACTATATCAGTGCTAATACTCCATTTTAATGAGTCATCAAAACATTTTATAATGAGCAATACTGGAATACAAAGAAGGCACCCTGCACCTGGTGTTAGTTTTTCGTGGCCTCCAGATGTGTATGCACAGGCATCACAAGACCGGTAGTCAAAGAAAATGCAAACTTCACAAGTGAGGAAGATATAAAGATAGCAGGCTCTTGCTTTTTTGTTAAAAACCTAAAGTGACAATTTCATTCCACTTTACCAGCAATCTGCAAATGTTCTTGCAGTCCCAAGCTATTGTAATTATCCAGGTCGCTTCTGGTGTAGTTCCCCTCTCTGCCTTAAATTGAACATCTCCATAGATTAAGTGTCATCTTTATTCCTATACTAATAGAAATTCCATTAATAGCCTTGTTCATATTCTTCAGAAGGAAATGGACTAAAAATTGGGGTATTACTAAACAGAAATGCAAAGCAAGGTTAAGAGGAAGGAAACAGGGAAATGAATCCAACATGATTGAGGATGATGAGTTAAGTACTATTTAGAATCCAGAAAGGACAAAACGCACTTGGAACACCATGAACTGGGACTGAAAGTCATCACTGAACAAATCCTATTTAGAGCTGACCTCAACATATGATGGTTCAAACTATACATCCAGGGACCACAGAGGCAGAGTTGGTGGATGTGATGCTGGAGCTCAGGAGACATAGTTTAAGAATTTATCTGAGGCAAGAAGGATCATTTCCTCATTATCGTTTCATTGTTGCCTAAATTCTCCCTTCTTAAGTATTCACCATTCCATCTATGCAGATTTACTTAGGAAACATAATATTTAAGAAACCATACTTGGCACTGCAGAAAGTAGGAAGAGGAGAAGTGCATAGTCTTGCCCTGCAAGGAATTCATAATGTCATGTGGAGATAAAAGAAACCTCCCAAATGCTTATAATCCAAAGCAGAAAAAAATGCACGAGAGAAATAGGGACAAAGTCCCATGACAGGCATGAAGAAAGGCAGGTGGGATTACGGTTGGAAGACCTAGGTTCTTTCCTGGTCTTACTGGCCACAAGATTTTAAACAAGGTACTTAACCCCACTAATCCTCTGAAATGTAGATAATAACAATGATCCATTTCATGTTGGTATTGTGATGATTGCGTACAAAAGTATAGATTAAAGTAGTTGGTAAGAAATTTCCCTACTCTTATTTTTCCTCAGGGGGATGTTAATCAGGGTTGAAGTAAGGAGGGAAAAGGCATGTCTTCTGGTTACTAGGCATAAGGAAAGGCTTGTGGAAGGGGATAGGAGTTAAGTCCTGAAGGATACAACCTTACTTTGAAGACCACTGTCCTCAGCTGATCTGTTTATCTTCTCTTCAACTCCGTCCTTCATCTTCTTTAGCACTGTATCCTATTCCTGTACCACTAGTCACTAACTGGCCCCTATCTTAAAGTTCTGTGGCTGTGGGTATAGAAACTCACTTGCACTGGCTTAAGCAAAATTTGGAATTTGTTGTCAGGCTAAAAGGACAAGAAGCACAGCAGGGCAGGCCGTCTGATAAACTGGAACTAAGAACTGGGAGTTTTGGGGGACCCAGAAAGTCACAGTCCAGCCTCTCTTAGTTCTTTTCAGCCTCATTTCTCTGTGTCTTTCTTTGAGACCACATAGTTTCTCACCTCCTTTTCTTTTTCTACATTTGTTTCATTCTTTTACATTTCTGCACAAACGTTCTCTGCTTCTCCATGGATATACTCAATTCTAGGCACCATTGTCAACCTGTAGGTCAGGCCACACATAGCAGGGACAATTAAGCCAGGTTTCTGAAAATAATCTCTTTCTTGAGGTTCTCTTCTGAGGCTCCAGTGCCTTTGTCTGTGGGCTTGAATTATTTAGTGTTGTTTTTATGATTTACCTGTATAATTCCTGACCTTAAATATGACCCAACTCTCATCCTGGTTGTTCTGACCTTGCTTCTGTAATGCTCAAAGTGTTAGATCACAAGTTGGAGAAAGTTAGTAACATACTCTCATTTCATACTGCTCTTTCTTGCCTTAGTGACTTTGTTCCAGTTGTTTTTAACCTCTCACCTCCCTCATCTTGTAAACCCCTGTTTTAAAACTGTCTCAAGACTTTTCTCCTTTTTCTAGCCTTCGCTGGTTATCTTTCCTTTCCATCTCACGCAGATGGATCACTCTTCCCTTGCTGCATTTACCATGGTTTGTACATCTTTTAATTGCTGCTCCTAATCACACTGCAATATAGTTTTCTTGGTTTTAGTGTTTTCTTCTTACTCTAATGAGGTGGTTAAGAATAACGCTCTCTGAGGTTGGAACACTGAGTTCAAGGACCAGTCATTCCATTTATTAACTATGTGACTGTGGGAAAGGTACTTCACCTCTTTTTTTTTTTTTTTTTTTGAGACAGAGTCTCGCTCTGTCACCCAGGCTGCAGTGCAGTGGCGCGATCTCGGCTCACTGCAAGCTCCACCTCCCAGGTTCACGCCATTCTCCTGTCTCAGCCTCCCGAGTAGCTGGGACTACAGGCGCATGCCACCACGCCCGGCTAATTTTTTGTATTTTTAGTAGAGATGGGGTTTCACTGAGTTAGCCACGATGGTCTTGATCTCCTGACCTCGTGATCCGCCCGCCTCAGCCTCCCAAAGTGCTGGGATAACAGACGTGAGCCACCGCGCCCGGCCCATCTCTTTTTTACAGTTTGTAAAATGGAGATGATAGTACCTACATCAGAAGTTGCTGACAGAATTGAGATAATACATGTAAAATGCTTGGAACAGTGCATGGCATAAAATTGGTACTCAGTAAATATTAACTATCACTTTTTGAACTGCCAGTACCTAGCCCAGGGTGTGGCAAGCAGGATGTGTTGTTTGCTGGATAAATGAATTATATTTTAAAACTAAAGCATATTTGGGAGGATGTTTTATTTCTTTTGTTTTGTTTGTAGTGACTGAGAAAGTATCTACTATTGCTACACTTTCTGATAATTGATGTTTATCTGTGTATGTATACATGTAATATTGAATTGCAATTGTGAGAAACACTGTAAACAACTTGCATAGGATAGTATTCAAGTGTGTAATAGAGATACATGTGTAACTGTTTATTTAATGTCTGTCCCCACCACTAGAAGGTAAATACCCCCAGGGCAAGGTTTGACTGTGCCCTATTTATTATTAGATGTTCCAGGCATATCGTAATTTCTGACACATAAAAGGTATTTAATAAGCATTCATTGAATAGACGAACACATGGAAAAATAGACTGTGTTTACACAATTTACAAGTGCCTTTTCTGTTTCCTCCACTTGGAATGTCCTCTTCTTCCATCATTACTGAGCGTCAAAATTCTGTTTAACCTTCAAACCTAGCTGAGACAGCCTTCCATGAAGCTTGCCCCTTCTCTGAATTCTTGTGGTAATTCATAGACTCTTAGGATACTCTACATTTTGCATATGGTATTACAGTGATTTGCAAATCAATTTGAAAATTCTTGGGGGCAGAATTCCAATTAGGGGTTCTCCTGATTTATACACGTTTATATCTCTCCCAATGCTTAATAAGCCGCATAACCTTCACATTAGGGTCAGAATAAGTTTTTCTGAGATGAATGAACGAATGAATTAATAGTATTGCGACTTCTTTTTGACTGACAGAAGCCCCAAGTCTAGCAGCAAGATGAGCATAAGAACTGTACTTAGGACCCACTGATCCCTGTGTGAATGTTTTTATGAAATCCAGATATGATTGTTAGCAGTATAAGGAAAACCAAATTTGTACATTGCAGCAAGAGATATTAGGGCACCATTTGGTAATACTATCTCTCTTACAAAGTGATGATGTCACAAAGAAGTTTTAAGTTTACTTTTGGGCACTTGTCCTGTCTAGAATAGTGTCTGACACATAGTAGGGGCTCTAGAAAATGTGAGTGAGCTGATTGAACTAACAAACGAATAAAAACACAGGCCAGTCTCTATGAAAAGAACTACTAATTATGAGACTGTTTTTATAAGCATATCTACTCATTTGAATAAAATTGCAAAGCCTCTGATTTGCCTAATATCCAAAAATACTGACTGCCTAGAAGAATGTCCTTATGCCTCCAATGATGGAACCAATTTAAAATACTTCATGAGAACTTTTTATTATTCATGCATTTAATAAATATTTAGGAGCTTACATTCGCCAGACACTTAGGCTAAAAGATAAGAAAAGTTCTGTGTTGCTGTTTTGCACTTGTGGCTCTTGGATCAGCAGATGAACTTGCTTGAGACTCCAGATTTTATTTACATCTTGTTAACTCTAGGGGAGGATCTAATATGTGAAATCAAATCCTGAAACTTTGAAGGACTTCATAGTTTGGTTTCCTTCTTCTCTGAAGACTGTTTTGAGCAGCACTATCCAGGTATCAGCCACTTTAAGGTTCCTTTCACCAATATGAATTTTATATGGGAGGTTCCCTGGGGGCAGATTATATCATGACTTGAGATTTTATGTCAGGTTTATTGTTAGTTCACAGAACTACATTGACTGAAAAACCAGTTGTGATTCATAGCTTATGGTGTGTGAGTGAGATGATCCGGACCATCTAGGTGGCTCCGCATTCTAACGATGCGTTAGGAATCCACACTCACAGTAGATGCACAGAAGAGCATTTACTTGCTTACGACCTTTTCAGGTCAATTCTCCTAAGATTAACGACATCAATATGTGACTATACTTTATAGACATTGTTCATTTTCAAGTATTTGATTTAAAAGAGAACAAGGTTTATTTTAAAGGAGGCAATTATTTGAGCCGTATATTTGTCACTGATTTAACATAATAGACTCAGCATGATAGGATATGTATACTTCAGGATTTATTACGATACTGTAAACAATGAAGTGTATCATTAGTACAAATTCCATACAAGTGAAAATACATGTGTGTACATGAAATACATATCATTGGGTTAAAAAGTGCATAAAGCAGGGAATACATAGAGTACCTTTTCTGCTGACAAAAAAATAAATTGAGGGTCAGTTTATAAAGAGTTATTCTTAACTGATAATATTTTAATAATGGCTATAATTTCTAAAAGAAGCTCTCATGAAATTGTGATGATATAATCATATGTTTAATAAAGACTTGGAAGATGCTTGAGATATATTGGCAAATTCCCAATATGTTCTGAAAAGATTTAGAGCAGTCAAAACTAAAGCAAACCTGAATGATAATTTGGGCATGATTTTATATATGTGTGAATTAAGCAAAACTGGAAACACACTGGAATCAAAGACAGAGTAGCCCACGAATTATGAGAATTGAATCCAAGGTTAACTGGACACATAGGGGTCTATTCCATGTATTAACACATCCCTGCCCCTACCACTACACCACCACAATGCTATAGTCAAGGTTCTGAGTTTTCTCCAGATGGACTTTAATAGAAATAATTTTATGAGATCAGTAAAGACAAAGCTAATAATGAAAACTGTCAAGCATTAATTGGAAATTGGAGACGCTTGTTGGTTGATTTAGTCATTCCTCACTTGCTCACCAAGCACTCTTTATGTGCCAGGCACTGTGCTAGACACTGGGAATAGATGCACTTCTGTATTTAAGGAGCTCAAGACAAGACAACAACAACACAAACAAATAAATGTTAGTTCCTTTCTCCAACTTACTTTCCTATTCACATTTACCCCAAAAGTAACAATATAATTAGAGAGACTGAGAGGAAACACTTAAGAATAAAATGTTAGGTGATAAATCAGAGATGCACACAAGAAATCAAGAAGGGGGAAGATAACCCTGCCTGGCAAGGGATGGCTCCGTGAACGAGGAAATACTTGAGGTCCACAAGGAATATCACACTTTGATAATAACAAAAAAAAAAAAAAAAAAAAAAAGGAAGAGAAGTCTCATAAACATAGGAGAAGCAAACTATACTTTCTAGATTCTAGTTCAAAGCAGGATCCTTATAGCAAAATGATTTAGAGAGTTTCCCACCATTAGTTTTTTAGACTTCTTACAAAAATTATATAAGCTTTATGGCTTTAGTAGTCAAGATCAACTTACCGTGATCCAACTAAAATATAGTGGTTCAATTAGAAGAGCTTCAAATATAGCCCAGAGTTTGTGACATTTAAGTGATTTCGAAGTTACAGGGAAAAATATGATGGCATCTAACTTGAGTCACTTGAAAATAACATGAACTTCAAGGAAGATTTATTCCAACTGTTGAAAGAAGCATATCTCTTGAGTTTCTATGTCAGAAATAATGTTTTTCTTGAGAAGGTACCAAATAAATTTTAGCAGAGATTATTTTTTAAGACTCTTCTCTCATAGCTAATTGGTGATCTCAATTCTTCAAAGTAGATCTAATGAAAATAATCAAACATTTTAATATTCTTCTTGGTAGTCCTATTTACCTTATCTCGGCCTATCAAATGTTGCCAGCCTGATTCCTCTGGTTAAATAAATTATAAACACAAACATTATTTCTCCAAAATAAAACACAATGACACTGATTCACTAATTCACTTTACATAGCTATACACAACTTCTGTCAGAAATTTTTACAAAATCTAAATATTGCATCACTACTTTACTAAAGAAGCAATTATACTTTTCAAGATAACTTTTTTGGTGGGTTTTACTTGGAGTAAAGAATAGCAATTTTGGTTTCTTGATCTATATATCAAACCTAACTGCAAAAGATATTCAAGTAGCTCTGGGGGAACCAATGGGGAAATAAACATTGCAGTTTATTTCAAACATTAATATATGGAATATCAATATTGTTTCCTTTCTTTAGTACATGCCACTATTAGAAACTACTGTCTTCAGTGGGATGAGTTTGATTGGACCACTGTTTATTCTTTCTCACCGATTAATGCTTGGACATATTAAGAATTAGGAATTCATACAGAGAAAAACCATATATTTAGCCTGAATGAGAACTACAGAGAAAATAACTATGATCATCAAATGCACAGAATTTATACATTTCTCTATAGATACAACAGGAGAAAAAGGAAGAATAAATAAAAGAATCCCTAGGAAAATAAAAGAAAATTTTCCTTACCGGAATAAATGCATGTTGCATAGCTTGTTCACATTGTTTTAAGGAAGCAATAGTATCCCACAAAAGCTGATAATTCTCAGCCCGAGAAACACTTGGCCGTTGCATAGCGAAAGCTGGTAACACTCAAACTGAGCTCACAGAACCCAGTTGAAGAGGAAAAAAAAAAAAAAAAAAAAAAACCCTGCAGATCTGTTACATAAACTTCTTAATTAGATCTGCTACACAAACTGCTATCTTAAGACTTAAAAAAAAAGTTAATCAGAACATTTCTTTTGGGGGATAACTGGGCATGACTTGAACAGAGACAGATGTTTTCATCGGGAAGAATTTTCATTCCTACACTTGTGAAAAGCAATCCCATCAGTGCTCTCCTGTCTTCACACGGGTCTGGTGAAATGGCACATACCATAAGCGTGTAGGGGGAAAGAAGTAGGAAGAAGAGAGATGTGAAAAAATATTCCTACCAGAAGATTTGGGTGGCAGGTCATGGTGGTGGAATTTAAGTAGCTTGTGAAAAGTAGTAACATTGAAGGGAGTCGGTTATATACACACATATATGTACATATACAGATGTCAGCACTTGTTTGCTGTGTCAGAAATACAACTATATACATGCATACTCACAGTGTCATTTAATATGTCCAGCTCTCCTCTCAGTTTAGTTAAGAGCTAGATGTGACATATTCTTCACCTACAGAGTATTACTGTCTTAATGGCACTATGAGTTGTTTATCTGGGATTATCTCTAAAGACAAGCCAGAAGGCATCATAAAATGTAAGAGTAACTAGAAGAACTTTATGTTGCCTATATATTGAAGAAAAGTCACTTTTATTCCTTATTCTAGATAAAATTTACATAGATAATACAAGGAGAATCGTGTCTTTAAATGTTCTCGGGAAATGAGAGTAGGCTGGAATGTGTTAATTCCAAAGAAATATGCATGTGCACTTCGACAACAAAAAAGACTCGTATAAGCATGAAATAAAATATGAACAGAATTTAGGGACATATTCTCAATTCCCTTCACCAAGGACAGTACCCACACAGGGAGGTGAGGCTCCACCAGTCCCTAATGTCTCTGTAGGATTGCTGAGCTAGAAGGTGCTAGGAGGTAAGGCATCTTGGAAGGTGATGCTCAGAGCACTTGGAAGTTCCAAAGGAATCCGTACTCTAAGGGCTGGTTGCACAGTCAACAATGGTGATATTTACTCAAGCATGTCAAGAGGTAAGAGGCAAAAGGAGAGAAACTCACAGCATAATAAATTATGCATTTAATTGACCTAGAAAATCCAAGGAAGACCAAACAAGGTACAAATTGTAGGAAACAGTTTGATAACATACACGAAATATTTTCCCTGTATTATTTTTGGAAGAGCAGCATGATTTGGGTTACCTAGTTTTCCTCCATTTGTACCCTGATGATGGTAGACTGGTTCATACTAATGCCCTTGTAGTGTTAAAGTCTCAAAGGCTGACACCAGGGAAGTTTTCCTCTTACCTTCATTTCTTTTCAATTTTGAACTGAAGGAATGAAAAGTAGAACTGATCTTTCAAAATCTTTACCTAATTTGTAAATTTTACCTAATTTGTAGGGAAATTGTTTTTCCTTAGTACTTCACGAGCACACACCATAAGGCTATTGCCATTAGACAGTTTGTTTTTCAATATCAATTCAACCAACCTTCTCTTTTTCTCATTCATGGTGTTCTGTTCAGCTCACACCCACAGTCCCTCCTCTGCCTTCATTCCTGCCCTTATAGTCTCCCATCTGCCCCAGCCACATGCTTCTTCTCCATGCATTGTCGACCAGCCAGCCCACAACTTTCAGAAAATATTCCTTCACTAGTAAATGTTCTGAATTTCTCAGGAAACAACAGGAAAATAAAAAGCTGTCTTTTAAGTTACCTTCCAAAATCCCAGTCATTCCTCTCTGAAATTCTTAAGCAAATGCTTATCATTATTCCAGACCCCACTTGCTGGGTCTTGTGAGGCTTTTCCAACCTCCTGTTTATCAGGTTCCTTTATTCTTTCCTTTAAAGAGCATGTCCTAAAAATCCTCTTCTCTTTAGTTTTTGGGGAAAAAAAGGTAAAGAATTCATAGTCTTTGTGTGTGGAAACAGTTTTAAAAACTGCCCTTTGAATCTTGCATTCATTCATTTATTCATTGATCCAACAAACATATCAAGCATCTCCCATGTGCTATAATTTTTTTTTTTTTCTTGAGACGGAGTCTCGCTCTGTCGCCCAGGCTGGAGTGCAGTGGCACAATCTCAGCTTACTGCAAGCTCCACCTTTCAGGTTCACACCATTTTCCTGCCTTAGCCTCCTGAGTAGCTGGGACTACAGGCACCCGCCACCATGCCCAGCTAATTGTTTTGTATTTTTAGTAGAGATGGTGTTTCGCCATGTTAGCCAGGATGGTCTTGATCTCCTGACCTCGTGATCCACCTGCCTCAGCCTCCCAAAGTGCTGGGATTACAGGCATGAGCCACACACCCAGCCGTGCTATAATTTTTGGTAGTACTTTGGACAAATGAATACATCAGATGTTGCCTCTACCTTTAAGGAGAATCTAACAGAAGGGATGGTAAATCAGCACAAATAACAAAAAGGCAAATTTAAAAACGTGTAAGTACCATAAAAGAGGTAGCATAAACTATTTAGAAAGCAATGAAAAAGAAGAGATTATATCCATGGTGGACATTAGGGCAGGCTCATGGAAGATTTAGCACTTTGCTAGAGTCTGTTGTTAGGGTAGTATTTAGTTATACAGATATAGGGGGAATTCTGAGAAAGGAAAGGTACAGCAAAGGCACAGGGTGGGAAAGGCTTCATTGATTATTGTTTTGGAAGAAATGTGACACCAAGAAAAAAATTGTAAATCAATGATTACCCAGCTTAAAATTAAGATTTAGACCAAATTTGAGCTTATTCTTGATTGAAAACTAATAGCTTCCTATTCTTGATGCTAACCAATATTACCTTTAACCAACTCACAGATAATTCATGTTCATAAATTCAGTGAAAATCTTCTTAAACCTCTTGAGGTGATAAGTTCTATGTGTTTATTCCTCACTGTTTGAAATAGGCACATTGATATACGTTTGGAGGCCCTAGGTGGCTCAATCATTTAGGTTATATTACTTATTATTTTTCATTAAGCAAATATTACGTGTTTTGTATTCCTGCCCACTTTCATAAGTTCTAAACTTCCTACTTTCTAAGTTCAAGTGGGGTCCACTATAAATCCAATATTTACCTTATCAAATATTTAACTTAGTTCAATTTGACTCAGTTTAACAAACATTTATTGAGCTCTACTATGTGCCAAGAACTGTGCTAGAAATAGAGAACACAAAGATAAATGTAATATTATGTCAATCCTCTGTTTCTTTTCTACTATCACTCAGTGTGCAACTGTCTCTGCCCACAAGTGGAGCATATGTATTTTCTTCCTGTTAGCACGATGCTTGATAAGTAATTGCTACCATTTTTTTTCCATTAAACACGCAGTCACTAGGCTACATGTCTATCACATCTAAATATGTCACGATGCTCTAACTTAGACTGCAGACCTCAGAATACCTAACGGTACCTTTGTATGGTGGGACTACCATACGTTGAGTGCTTTCTGCTGGTGAATGGTTTAAATTTAACTTCATGACAATTGCACTTCCAGTAAAAATAGAGTAACAGGGCCTGGATTTGCATTCCCACCTAAAATAACCAAACAAAAGGACACAATGTAGGAAAGAATGGGTTTCAAGAATGCACATGAGACAAAAAACAATGAACACAGAGAGAAAAGAAACAAACAAGGTGGGCCCTGTGATTTCTAATTCTTATAGCCTTTAACTTCCAGGCCATATTCCAGAAAGGAGGAATCCAGTTGTGGCCAATGGACTTGTTGCGTTGAGAAGACAGAATTGGTTTGCTGGGAAGATCAAGGCAGCAAGTAGAAATAGATAAATCCACAATTATAATTGAAGATATCAACACCTTTAAATAATTAATAGAACAAATAGAAAATCTGTAAAGATAGAGAAGACTTGTATAAAACTAGGCACCAATTTGAGCTAATAAACCTTTATAGAATATTTTACTCCACAACAGCAAAATGTACACATTTTTAAGTGCTCAAATAGTATTTACCAAGATAGAACATATTTTTAACTTGAAATCAAATTTTCATAAATTTAAAAAGATTCACGTCACAGGAAATATAATCTCTGGCTATAATAGGACTAAGTTGAAAATCAATAACAGAACAATCTCTGGAAACTCTCAAAATATTAAGAAAATAAATGACACAATTCCAAATAGCTCACTGGTTAAAGAAAAAAATTAAAAATGAGAATATATTTTGAACTGAATGAACATAAACTACAATATATTGAATTTGCTGGATTCCCTTAAAGCAGTAATTAAGGAAACATACATATCACTACACGCTTATATTTGAAAAGAAGGTAGTGTCAAATTACTGACTTCAGCTTCCATCTTTCACGAGAAAAAAAATATAGCAAATTAAACCCAAAGTAGGCAAATGAAAGGAAATAAAAAATAACAGCACAGAAGATAGAGGAAAACCAATGAAAATGAAAGCTGGTTCTTTGAGAATATCAATAAAATTGATGACACTCTAGCAAGACTGATTAGGAGAAACAAATTATCAAAATCAAGATGGAGGAAGATGACATCCCTGCCAATCCTACAATCCTACAAACATGAGGAGCTAATAAGGAAATCTTTATGTATGTAGGTATATATTTATTTATTTATTCTTATAGACAGTCTAATGTTATGATCATGGCTCACTGAAGACTTGAAATCCTGGCTTCAGGCAGTCCTCTGGCCTCAGCCTCCTGAGTAGCTGGGACCACACGCCTGGCTAAGTTTTTTTTTTTTTTTTTTTTTTTTGAGACAGGGTCTCACTTTGTTGCCCAGGCTGGTCCTGAACTCCTGGCTTCAAGCAATCCTCCAGCCTCAGTTTCTCAAAGTGCTAGGATTATAAAACATGAGCCACTGTACCTGGCTGAGAAAATCTTATAAACAACTTTTTCCCCCCAAAAATTAATACCTTAGATGAAATGGACAAATTCCTTGAAAGATGCAAACTAATCAAGAAGAAATAAGTACTTTACATAGTCACATCATAAGCTATTAAAGATATTTGTAATTAAAATCATCCCACTAAGAGAACTCCAGGCCCAGATGGCTTCACTGATAAATTCCCTCTAAATATTTTAAAGAAAGAAATAATAACGATTCTACACAAAATTTTTCAGAGAACTCAAGAGGAACAAATACTTTCCAGATCATTTTTTTTTTTTGAGGCCAGCATTACCCTAATCCCAAACCAGATGAAGATATTACAAGAAAAGCTAATATCAATAAACCCTCATGAATATACAAGCAAAAATTCTTAAAAAATTTTTTAGCAAATTTAATCGAACAATATATAAAAAGGATAATGCATCATGACCAAGTAGGCTTTATCCTGGGAATACGAAATTGGTTTAACATTTACAAATGAACCAATGAAATTTATTAAGTTTTCTTTTCCTGAAAATTAAATAATGAATTTATTCATATGTTGAACACCTCGTTAACTATTTTCACAAATTGTAATTATGAAATAGTAAACATTATTTTATTTATTTATTTATTTATTTTATTATACTTTAAGTTCTGGGGTACATGTGCAGAACATGTAGGTTTGTTACACAGATATACATGTGCCATGGTGGATTGCTGAACCCATCAACCCGTCACAAAAACACCAAAAGTAATGGCAACAAAAGCCAAAATAGACAAATGGGATCTAACTAAAGAGCTTCTGCACAGCCTATGAAACTAGCATCAGAGTAAACAGGTAACCTACAGAATGGTAGAAAATTTTTGCAATCTATCCATCTGACAAAGGGCTAATATCCAGAATCTACAAAGAACTTAAACAAATTTACAAGAAAAAAACAAACAACCCCATCAAAAAGTGGGTGAAGGGTATGAACATACACTTCTCAAAAGAAAACATTTATGTAGCCAAAAAACATATGAAAAAAGCTCATCATCACTGGTCATTAGAGAAATGCAAATCAAAACCACAATGAGATACCATCTCAAGACAGAATGGTCATCATTAAAAAGGAAACAACAGATGCTGGAGAGAATGTGGAGAAATAGGAACAATTTTACACTGTTGGTGGGAGTGTAAATTAATTCAACCATTGTGGAAGATAGTGTGGCGATTCCTCAAGGACCTAGAACTAGAAATACCATTTGACCCAGCAATCCCATTACTCGGTATATACCCAAAGGATTATAAGTCATTCTACTATAAGGACAAATGCACATGTATGTTTATTGTGGCACTGTTCACAATAGCAAAGACTTAGAACTAATCCAAATGCCCATCAGTGATAGACTGGATAAAGAAAATGTGGCACATATACACCATGGAATACTATGCAGCCATATAAAAGGATGAGTTCTCATCTTTTGCAGGGACATGGATGAAGATGGAAACCATCATTCTCAGCAAACTAACACAAGAAGAAAAAACCAAACACCACATGTTCTCACTCATAAGTAGGAGTTGAACAATGAGAACAAATGGACACGGGGAGGGGAACATCACACACTGGGGCCTGTTGTGGCATGGGGGTGCTAAGGGAGGGATAGAATTAGGAGCATTTATTAACTTTTTTTTAAAGAAACAAAACTAATTAACAACTTAACGATTATCTTAGTAGGCACAGAAACAACATTTTACAAAATCCAATATCTATTTCTGGTTTTAACAAAAAACTCTTAGGACAAGATAAGTACGTCCCTTCTCACCACTTATATTCAACATTGTCGGAGAGGTTCCAAACAGTGTAACAAGGCAAGTAAAATAAATACAGATTGGAAACAAAGAAATAAAGATGCTTTTATTACACATGACATAATTATCTGTGGAAAATCTCATGAATTCTAAAGAAATGCTAGTAGAATCTTTAGCAAATTTAACAAGGTTGTAGAACACAAGATTAATATCCAAAGATCAATTGTGTCTCTATATACTAGCAATAAATTCATAGAAATTAAAATAAAAAATAATGCAATTTACGACAAATTTTTGAAATATTAACAACTTAGGGATAAACCTGATTTTTTTTTTTTGAGACGGAGTCACGCTCTATCACCCAAGCAACCCCTGTATCCCGGGTTCAAGCAATTCTCATGCCTCAGCCTCCCAAATAGCTGGGACTATAGGCGCACACCACCATGCCCAGCTAATTTTTGTATTTTTTGTAGTGACAGTGTTTTGCCATGTTGGCTAGGCTGGTCTCAAACTCCTGACCTCAGGTGATCTGCCTGCCTCTGACTCCCAAAGTGCTGGGATTATATAAAACTGATTTTTAAAGTGTGCAAGGCATGTACACTGAAAACTACAAAAAAAGAAAAAAGAGGATATAATATTAAGATTTCATGCTCTGAAAACTGAATCCCAGATAGTGACTACAGGGGTTGAACCATACATCTATAAATAACTGTTTTTTTGTTTTTTGTTTTTTTTGAGACGGAGTCTCACTCTGTCGCCCAGGCTGGAGTGCAGTGGCACGATCTCAGCTCACTGCAAGCTCCGCCTCCCTGGTTCACGCCATTCTCCTGCCTCAGCCTCCCGAGTAGTAGCTGGAACTAGAGGCGCCTGCCACCATGCCCAGCCAATTTTTTTTTTTTTTTTTTTTTTTTTTTGTATTTTTAGTAGAGACGGGGTTTTACTGTGTTAGCCAGGATGGTCTCGATTTCCTGACCTCGTGATCCGCCCGCCTCGGCCTCCCAAAGTGCTGGGATTACAGGCGTGAGCCACCGTGCCCGGCCTAGATAACTGATTTTTAATGAAGGTACAAAGGCAACTTAATAAAGGAAAGATAATATTTTCAATAAATGATGCAGGGACAATTGGTTATCCATATGCAAAACAACAAACTTTGATTCACACCTCTTGTTACATGTTAACTCAACGTGGATTATATACTTAGATGTAAAACCTAAATAAAGCATCTAAAGAAAAACATGAGAGAAGATCTTTATGACCTTGGGTTAGGTAGAATACAAAAAGCAAAATCCATAAAAGAACAAACTGATAAATCAGACATCATTAAAATTAAAAATTTCTGTTCTTTAAAAAATATTGTTAAGAAAATAGAGAAGCCACAGAATGAAAAGAGATACTTACAAATCATACATCTCATAAAGGACTTGTTTCTAAAAAACAAATAACTCTTTTTTTTTGTCTTTTTTTAAAATTATTATTATACTTTAAGTTTTAGGGTACATGTGCACAATGTGCAGGTTAGTTACATATGTATACATGTGCCATGCTGGTGTGCTGCACCCATTAACTCATCATTTAGCATTAGGTAGATCTCCTAATGCTATCCCTCCCCCCTCCCCCCAGCCCACAACAGTCCCCAGAGTGTGATGTTCCCCTTCCTGTGTCCATGTGATAAAACAAATAACTCTTAAAATTCAATCAGAAAAAAAAACCCAAAAATGAGCCAAAGATTTAAACAGACACTTCACCAGTGAAGATATAGGTATCAAATAAGCATCTGAAAAGATAATCAACATCATGACTTGTTAGAGAAATGAAAATTAAAACCCCAGTAAGATACTACTACATACCTATTAGAATGGTTAATATTTAAAAAGACTGACCATATCAAGTGTTGGTGATGATGTGGAAGATTGGAAGTCTCATACACTGCTGGTGAGAATATAAAAAATTGTACAACCCCTTTGGAAACAGGTCAGTATTTTTTTCTTAAGTTAAATATGTACCTACCCTGGGATTTAATGATTCTGCTCCTAGGCATTTACTGAGGATAAATAAAAGCACATGTCTATTCAAAGACTTTTATACAAATATTCATAGTAGCTTTATCTGTAATAGCCAAAAGCTTGAAATAACATCAAAAGATGAATAGATTAAACAATTGTGGTATTTGCATGCAACAGAATAGTGTTCAGCAATAAAAAAGAATGAAATATTGACACATGCAAAAACATGGACTAATCTTTAAATAATCATGTTGAGTGAAAGAGGACAAACAAAAAGTACATACTATATGATCTCACTTATATAAAATTATAGAAAATGCAAGTTAATGTATAAAGACAGAAAGGAGAGTAATAGTTGACTGGGAATGGGGAGGTAGAGCAGGTAGGATAAGGTAGTTGGAGGGAGGGATTACAAAAGTCTGGAGAGATTACAAAAAGGCATGAAGAAATTTGCAGAGGGGTGATGGATATGCTTAGTATCTTGAATTGATGGTTTCATATGTGAAAACTCATCAAACTGTACCTCAGTGAAGCTATTTAAATTTTTTTAAGTTTCTAGAGAAACCATCAGGAAGTCTTATACTCCTGGGGCTTATCATAAGTGATAAGCACTCATCATTTAATGCTGTAATCTTGCAGTTCAATCTGTCTCCTTGAAGAGGGGTTGGGGGAGAAAAAAAAGCTTAGAAAGCAATGACCTTCCAGCAGGAAGGGAGGCAGAGGATATGGATAAGTTTAATCAGAGAAAAAGACCAAGACTTTACCATCCAGGACCTTACTTCTAGTTATGGTTCTTGCTCTAATTTAGCTGTAAGATCTTGGTTCAGTCATTTTGCTTTGACATGCTTCAATGACTCAATTTTAAAATGAAAGGATTAGATGCAACCAACTCTCAAGTTCTTTCAGAGCCATAACTCAATGATCTATAGGTATATTTTAAACATCAACAATCCCATTTTCCTCACAACTCAGCACTTATAGGTATGGCCCTAAATTTAGCAGAACCACTTCATGTAATTTTGAAGTATGTACTATGTCATATATGCTGGTAATCTCTCTCCTGTGATAGAGTAAACTCTCTGGAGGGTGAGGTCCTCTATCCTAAAATTTCTAGTTTCCCCATAGTATTTAAAGTTCAGAGCCTACATCATTGTAATATTGACTTTACAACTGACACTAAAATTATAACAATGCATATCTATCATTTTACTGCTTAAAAAGCTACTTTCCCACATGGCATCCCCATGAAGGTCTTATTCGTAATATACAGATAGAGAAATAGGTTCACAGAGGCTAAAGTAACTGACATCACCACTAACTAGCCTTGTGACCATGGCCAAGTTCCATAGTTTCTGTAAATAGAGCCTGTGAGATAATAGTACTTATCTCATAGGATTGTTGAGGATTAAATGAGTTAATATTGATAAAACTTTAGAGCAGAACCTGGCACATAGTAAGCACTATTATTAGTGTTTATGAAATTAATTTAACTTTACTGATTTATTTAACAAGTAAGAATTAAGTAATAGATCTAAGATTAAATTCACATCTTTTGGTTATTAGTCCAACATACATTTGACCAGTGATCAGTAATTATATAAGGTAATTGTAGATTCACCTTTCCTAACCACCATTACACCCTAGTCTAAAGGATGTAACCTCCTAGTTTTCTTCCTCCCTGAATCCTATTTGCTTCCTTTTCCTCCATAGTATTTACTTTTTAATTTTCTTCCTCCTCCACTAAACTGTAAGCTCAGAGAGCAGAAGCCAATGTACAGCCAGCTCCAGCACAGTACCTAGAATATAAGACTCTTTAAAGGTTTGCTTGATATTATTACTATTAATGGGGCCTAAATAGATAAAAGCTAATTACAATTTCAAAAATATATGTTAGTATATTTACCAGGATTTTCTGTATTAAAAAGATCTATGGTGAATTCAGCCATGACTCTTAAAAACAAAAAAACAAAAAATGGTCCAGGCACGGTGGCTCATGCCTGTAATCTCAGCACTTTGGGAGGTAGAGGCAGGTGTATCACCTGAGGTCCAAAACCAGCCTGACCAACATGAAGAAACCTGGTCTCTACTAAAAATAACAAAATTAGCCAGGCGTGGTGGTGCATGCTTGTAATCCCAGCTACTCTGGAGGTTGAGGCAGGAGAATCACTGGAACCCAGGAGGCAGAGGTTGCGGTGAGCCGAGATCGCACCATTGCAATCCAGCCTGGGCAACAAGAGTGAAACTCTGTCTCAAAAAAAATCAAACCTGGCATCTGACCCATTTTTTCCTATTTGAGAGAGTGATACCTTGATGGGCAAGACTCACATGACTGTGCCATGGCAAAATGGCAAATGCCATATTTTATAAGGGGAATTATATGACCTGTGGTGTATTGAAGTCCATATAATATAAAATTGTGCTACATATTCAATCATTCAGTCATGTCTCAAACCTGCTTAAGAGACGCGAGTCATCGTATTACAGTGATATCCTACACACACTGCAGAGTCTCTGGAATCATATGCCCAGTACTATAAGGGAAAGAAAACAAGAGACCTGAGAGAAGTTGACTGAAGTAGGTGGGACCCCAGGTCTTGTTTGCACATAGTTCTGCAGAATGCTAGATCACAGCATGTTAAACTTCAGACCAGAGTCAAGCCAGGACTAACCTAGATAGAACCGTGAGGCAGATGAAGTGTGTCTTCACCATCTTCTTCCCCATCTAGAGCCCTCAGCCATTCTCTACTGGACTTTCTTGACAGAAGGAAAGCTACCTGAACTCAACTGTAGGGCAGTATTAAGAATTTAATATGCCTCTCCCCCTACTTGCTTTCTTGACACTTTTCAAGGCCAGGTGTTAATCATATTTATCAGCTTGTTCTCAGCCTTTAGTGCATTGCCTGGCATATAACAAAGGACACCAAAGGTTTCTTAAATAAATAGGTGGACGTAGAAAATGTTTTACTTGATGTTGATGTTAGGAATTCTTTATATTTGCAGAGCATGTTTCGATTGACAAAACACTTTTATAACTAGGACTTCTCTGTTACTTTTCACATTCTCCCTATTTACACATTTAAACATTATTATGTAAGTGGCTCCCTTGTTTATTTTTTTGGCTCAGATTTCTCTCCTAAATTGAATATCCTGTTGCTTGCTGGTCATCTCTGCTCAGATATCTCACAGACCTCTCAGATATAACAGCTCCAAAAGCTGAGCTTTCATCCTCCTTCTTCCCTCCTCAAATCTGCTTCTCTTTCAACTTCCTCATCCAGTAAATCCCAGCTCCGCCCACTCCATTTCTCAAGTTAAATCTCAGGAGCCTTCACAACCACTTCATCAAGACCCTCTGATGGAATAATTTGGACCTGTCTGTCACCAGGGTCAGCTTGGCCCATCTCCCCCTTCTCTGTGACCTAGCCCCACAGGCCCTCTTCCATTATTTAGGATATAATACATCCCATTCTCATTTTGGTTCCTATGCAAATGCCAGTTCTTCTGCCTCAAATCTTCTCCCACCTGTTCTCCAGAATGCTCTCCCACTTATCATTTAAATCTTAGCTTCACTGTGCATCGTAGGAGGCTTACCAGATCCCTGTCCTCTATTTGCTAGATGCCAGTAATCCTTCCTTCTTCCAGATGTGAAAATTAAATAGGTCTCCAGACATGACCTAATGCCCCCTAGGGAAACAAAAGTAGGCCCAGCTGAGCACCACTGCCCTATACCTTACTCACGACATCCTGTTATAGCTTTTCATGGAAACTAGTTTGTAAACCTCTTTTGTGACTATTGTGTGATGTTTACATTACATACCTGAATTACTTCATTATGGATAAAAACTAGTTCTTTTGCTTACAATGTATCATCTATATATAGATAGTGTCCAGCATGAGTAGGTACTCAATAAATATTTGTTGGATAAATGAATGAATTTCATTCTCATACAAACTCTATGGAATATGCACAGCCAGAATTAGCAACCCTATTTCTAAATTGAGGTAGAAGACACACTGAGTGGTTCAATGAGAGGCCCCTGAATCACATCATCAATAAACGGTAGACCTAGGAATCCATTAACCTAGGTTTTATCACTCTCAATTCCTCTTACCAGCATGTATCCTTTTACTGCCATTACCATGTTTTTAACCTTCTCAGATTACTTCATCTCCTTTCTCTTCCAAGTTCTTTATCACGTGTTGTCCTTGTAGTCCATGCACAGAAATATACACCTAGCTCTATATCAAGGGCTGAAAAGCTCAGACTTTACAGTGGCTTCCAGTGATGCTCCACTCTGCTGCTTTTAAAAACTCACAGCATATTAAATATAAGAGAGGTGGTTAGGGCTTCTCATGTAATAGGAGTGCAAGGGGGTAAAAAAAAGTCAATAGCTCTCCTGAGTAAATTTGCTTTCATCATACACTTAGCTAGTCTTGTGGTCTACTCTAGTAAACAGTTAAGATACTCTAATCTTAAGGAAGCCATTGCAATATTGTTAACTAGAACATGGAATAACTTTTAAAGATGGCTGGCTAAAATTATCTTTTACTTTCATGCTGCTTAAGTATGGCCAAGCAGAAAAATCTCATTTGAAAATGAGAATTCTCTTAAATGGTACTTTTAGCATGCTAATGCACTTCCATGTTCCAAGGTTTTGAATAGCAAGATCTATATGGCACACTCAATTTTTTCCCTCAAATAAACTATTTTTCAATAGCCTAAGGGCCATAATGGTCAACAAGTGTCTGAGTGAGGACAGGGAATGCTGTTGAGAGGTAAATTTGACTCAGAGATGCCCCTGAGCCATGGAAAGGAGCTGTGCTGGTGGGCTTTGTAATGTTAGAATCCCTTTACTGTTACCAAAGGCTGGGGTTGACGCCTAAGCTTTCCCATCTCTCTGCAGAAGCAGAGAGGATAGTTAAGCGTACATGATCTGGAGGTCAACTTTCCAGATTAGAATCCTAACTTCAACGCTTTTTAAATGTCTGATCTTGACCAGATTACTCTACACTTTGGGCCTCAGTTTCCTCATATGTAAAGTGGGTTTGATAATGATGTTTATGTCATATAATTGTTGTGGGAGATTAAATGAGTTGATTCATGCATCCAGCATAAAATAAGTACCAAATAATAATTGTTACCTATTATCTGTCTTCTTTACATGTACATATTTCTATTTCTGTGTAAATAAAAGTATTTGGTGTTTTAGTAAGCTCTGCCCATATCCCAGATTTTATCATCTCACTAATTCACAAGCACCTTTAGGGCCTAACCTCCATTACATTTTCATCATCATAAAAGTATCACATTTGATTCTTACAACAATCCTAGGAGGTCGGGATGGTTATATCCATTTTACAGATATGAAACTGAGATCTAGACTAGTTGGACTGTGCCTGTGATTATGCAATTAGATAGTGTTGGGGGGCCAGGGCTAAAGCTTTGGACTTCTTAGGAATACTCTTCTTTTCTTTTCAAACCATAGAATTTTCACAGACTCAAGTAAGACTTGTCTTAACACTTTTAGGATATTAAAATGACTTCAGAGCAAAGCTCCCTGGGAATCTGTTCTCCCTACTCCCTGCTCTAATCAATGTATCTTCACTGGGTAGCAGCTGCATGTTTTAGTCAGTGTTGCGTAAGTCTCTGTTTCTATCTCTCTCTCCTTCTTTACCTCTTCCTCCCTCCATCTCTCCTTTCTTCTCTCTTCCTTACTTCTACCTCTCTCCTTCTCTCCCTCCATATTTTTCTCTCTCTTAGACACACACACACACACACACACACACACACACACACACAAATACTTTATTCGTCTATTTCATATAGAAGGAGAAGGTGTCATTAATAATGACTTTGAGGTTTCCAACATCTGTAATGAGACAACTGTGATCAGGTGAGAGCCAATAGGTGAACTTGGATTACTAGTGCATGGAAAGGTCATGCATTAAATGAAAAAGCAAAGAAATGGAGTTTGGATTAAAAAAATAGTATGGAAACGGGAGAGAGCAGTCCTTGATTCTAGTAAAGCTTGTAGGCAGTGGAACAATAATAATTAATTAAAAATATTTCTGAGGGAAGGTAGATGAGTCTGGGTAGCTATTCACTTCACTAAATTGATATCATATGATATTAAATAATTAACAATCCATTAATTATTTACAATGTACATTTGGAAAATTTAGTTAATATCACCAAGCTTTAGTTTTCTCTCTCATAAATTGTGAATAATAATTAATAATAATATTAATCTCCTAGGATTATTGTCAGGATTAAATGAATACTTACACTTAAATATTTCTTAGAGTATAAGAAAGTACTAAAGATTAATAAATAAATGTTAGCTATTGTCAACAGTATTATTATTTTATTAATGCTATCAGGAAGGGACAAGTATAGAAGGCCTCCAAGATGAGGGTGATAATAGATTTCTATTTGATACTTTAGGCAATAAGAAGCTATGAAGATAGAATACCTATGACTGAAAAGATATTTTGCAGTTATTTGTTAAAATAAGTATTTAGATTCAGGGAGTTCAGTTAGAATTTATTTGAAAGAACCAAGTACTTCTAAGATAGAATAAGATGTGTAACTAAATCTCAGAGTCATTAAAAGCATTGATCTCCAGGGCTCATGAGATCTAGGTCTATTCACCCCCAAATGAAATTGCATAGAGAATGCTAATGTATCAACAGAAAAACCCCTAAATGAAACGAAATAAAACATTTGAAATTATACTATGAAGTCAAGACAGTGATATGTAAACTCTTCCAAAGCACCATAGTCACAGACAATGGATTCCACCAAAATAGGCCTTGCAAACTTTGCTTCATTGAACTATGTTGACATAATTAAAAGTCAGTTAATGTAGGGATCACAAACATTTATAGTGGGGAGAAGCTTTTGTGATATTTACTTTTATAATGAACTGAGACTTAAATATTGCTCATGCACAGAAATATGTTTTGTGAACTTCGCAAGAATTCTTTTTTCATCAGTAATCTCTTCATTAAAAAGTCGAAAAGCAAGGCCCTTAATCATGTCATATTCTTTTGGAGTCCTTTACTCAGCAATAATTTCATTTAAAAACATTTCAGTGAACACTAATTGAACAGAAACTGTCAACTTCCTTTCATAATGAAAGGAAAACTGCCATGATGAAGAGTTTCTAATCATTATATCTAATTAAAAAGTTAATCCTTAAGTTTTTCATGTTTAAGTTCTTTCAAATGTAACAAAAGAATTTCTCTTTCAAAAATGGGAAACAAAGCACAGTCATTAACGAACAATGCTTCTGTGATAAAGCTACAAACTTGGAATTAAAAAATATTGGCCCAAGCTTTTATGAGGAAATTAGGAAAATTACAAGAATCAGCCAAACCTTGGCCTTCATTGACCTATTTTTTTAATACAGAAAAATTTCATTGTAGCACTGACAGTGAGGGATCAAAAAATAATTGGAATTTAAGCCTTTTGAAATACAGAGAGAAAAATGGCCTCTGCATCTCAGCTCATGGGGGAAATGAGACATGACTCACTCTCTCAGTATGAGTAAAGGTAATTCTTTTAGGTCTAGAGATAGAGTTAGAAGCAAGTTCTTCTAAATAAGTGAGGCTTTACCCCAAGATTCTGACTCACAGGAAAACCTTTAAAGCTACAGTCTAACCTCCTGAAGCCTAGTAGAGAAAGAGAGGATTCCTAGGCAAACATGGGAGATGATCCACCCAGGCATGACTGTCTCACTCTGTTCGTAAACAAGGCAGAAGTGGGAGAAATAGTTCTGAAAGACTAAATGCAAACTGCAAGATGATGAGCAGATTGCTTTGACTATCTCTACTTCCAGCCTATGCGTGCAAAGTATTTTAGGATACTGTGTGATGATCAGAGAAAGAAAACTTGTTTGAAAGTACCGTTTTCTGGATGGTCAGGCCCCTCAAAGTAGTAACCAGATCCAGAATATAGTAATGCATTACATAAGGGGCTTGCAGATTTCATTAACAAAGACCAACAAGATCACTCCCAATAACTAAGTTTGCTCATTCTGGTATTACCCAATGTAGCCTCTAGCCTATTATAAAGCAGTCCTCGGTAAAGGCTGAGTATCTATAGCGCTGAAATAATATGATTAGATGTCAACTCAGATCATGGTCTTCACTGAGCAAAGGCAAAAATATTTCTAATGCAATATAACCTTATTTCATTCTATATTATTGCCTCTCAGGGACAGGAGGGACAGAAGATTGAGCAAAAGTTTTTGTAAAATAATTTTTTCACATAGGCGCCTTTTAGATTTCATTGACATCCTCTGCTTTCTGCCTTCACTTTACATGTTTTTCCAGGAGGCATACATGCTATAATGAAAACAAGTGAGAAATGTGAAGTCTTTGCTCTGTTGCTTATGAGGTGTGTATGACCAAAAGAAAGCCTCTTGGTTTTTCTGAGCCTTTATTTGCTCTAATGAGAAACAGGGATAATAATCCCTGTTATCGCAGGGTTCTTCTGAGACTCAAATACAAAACGTGAAAACATTTTTGGAAACACAGAAATGAGTTTTTGTGTGTGAGGGAAAATGATTTAACATTGATTGAATATCCACCAAGTACCAGGTACAGCACTAAATTCTTCATGTACTAGGTCTTTTCATAAAGTAACCCTGTGATATAGGCATTGTACCCATCTAAGAGGTGAGAAAAGGAAGTGGGAGAGATATTGAGTAACATAACTAGGGTCTTAAAGCTTGCTATTTGTAGAGATAGAATTAAATTCAATTTTGTCTGTCTCCAAAGACAGTGATCAGCTCCCAGAAAGTAGAAATTGTTCTTTTGGTAGTACATTGTTTAAAAAAGCAAGGTTTTAATGTGAGTCATCCAAGGTTTGAATTCTAATGCTAAAATCACTCAGTGTTGCTATGAGTAAGTTGCTTAAACTCTCTCTGAAGTTTTATTGTCTCATCTAAAAATGGGGAAGAAAAGTAACTAACCCCTATATTTTTGTGAAGATGTCTAGAAAAAAAATGCACATCTAGCAATTAAAAGTGTTATTTGGCATACATTATACATTCAATACATGTTAGCTACTATTGTTTAAAAATTACTACTTTTTAAATTTGTTAGTAACCAATTCAGTAAATTATCTAGGAATCTCATAACTTTTTATAATTTACTCTGTGTATTCTAAAGATGAGGCAGTTTTTATTACATATGACTGACCATTGACCAAAAACAATTAAAGGCTAGCTAAGTTAGCTTAGATATATAAAAGAAATAAATCCAATCAGGTACAAGGTGAGAAGTTATGGTTAAAATAAAACAGAATTAATAAGGTTAGGTAGACAAAAAAGAATATTGCCAAGTTAGACTAAATGGGCAATGCGCAAATCCTAACTATCTCAACTGACAGTACGCTACCTTTTGAGTTATCATTAATGAGTAGTATAATTTACATTATGTATTATAAACAATATGGAGTATATATCCCCTCATTGAAAACATGAAAAAGTCAGTATTAAAGTCCTAATCTCTAAATTTATATTCTCCCTTAACTGTTTTATATAAGCTTATTAAATAAAGCAAAAACACATTAGAGCATGAGTTTTTCTCCTCATGCAATGACCTTTATCTCCGTTTGATTTATATGCAGAAAAACAAAAGTAATTCCAGCTGACAGATGACACAAAGATCAGAGAGGCACAAGGGTTCATGTAAAAACAAGTCAATTTGTTATTAAATATTGGTAGCACAAATAATTAGCTAATTAGGCAAAGTTTTTCTATAAACCTATTTCTTCATCTGTAAAATGGAACTAATATCTTCAGTCTCACACAGTTGTTGTGTAGGTTAGATAAGTTAATACGAATAAATTTCCAGCCTAGCTCCTGTCATTTAGTAGGGAATCATCAAAGTAGGTTATCTTCAATAGTTTCTTTTAAGTATTTTGGAAAACACCCCCTCTATTTATCAAATGCTTACAGGTTCTAAACTTTGTCTTAGGTATTGGTGACACATAATACTGCCCTGCCTTTAAGGATTTCACAGACTACAGTAGCTAATCATTTCACTAAATTGACATCATGACGGAATGACTATAGAGTGTGATGAAAAATAACATGGCCATATTGGTTGGAAGTCTAGGCGAGGTTGGGAAAAAGTAGACCAAGGAAAGCTACAGACAAAAAGAAATGTCACTGAAGCTGGATTTGCAGAGGCGGCAGGAATTTGGCAGAAAGACAAGAGAGGAAATGATTTTCCAGGCTCAGAGTAACGACATATGTGGTAAGTTATTCTCACCTCATGCCTATAGTTACCAGTGGAGAGACTTCTCCAGGCTAATTCTCTGGACCTCTTTCCCCATCCCCAGAAGATGGGAGTTTTATGCTAGGTAAGTTTGAAAAATGGGACTAGGAAAGCTCAGCTCACCCCTGCCTCCTGGGAGTCAGCCTGCCTGCTAGAGCCTAGCATTCCCTTTTCACTGTAAGATGAGGTTAGCTAGGAGAAGCTATGCTTCTGCAAGAGAAATTGATAATTTGAAGGGTAAATTGAGTTCAGGGGTATGTTAGCAAGCCCTTTGGCTGCCTACCATAGCCAATTCTTCCAAGCTAGCTTTTTATCAGTAGTAGTTCTGATTTTTATAAGCTATCAGAATCTGGCACCTATATCTTATCTGGGTTTGACCTTAACATAAAAAAGACTCTATTAAGCCTTGTCAAACTTGATAGAGAATGAAAGTTTAGATGCGAGAAATTACATACTATATCCAAAAGGTGGTACTTCTTATTTTTTCAGAAGAATAAAGTACTTCAGAAGTGGGAAGGGAGATAAATTAGATGTAAAGGCAGGGGGGTCCAATCCTTGGCTTCCCTGGGCCACATTGGAAGAAGAAGAATTATCTTGGGCCACACATAAAATACAATAAAACTAACAATAGCTAATGAGCTAAAAAACAAAAAAAAATTGCAAAAAATCTCATAATATTTTAAGAAAGTTTACAAATATGTATTGGGCAGACAGGCTGTAGGTTGGACAAGCTTGATTTAAGGTTTAAAGTTGGTCAGTGAGTAAGTTATAGGGGTTTCTCTGTCACACTAAGGAATTTGGTCTGTATCTGAAAGCAGTGTGGAGCCAATGAAGGATCTTAAGCAGAATGACAAGGCAGTGTGTGTGTGTGTCGGGTGTGGGGGTGTGGGGCGGGTGGTGTGTGTTGGAAGTATTCTGGCAGCTTTAGGTGGATAGATTTTGTGGTGCACTGGAGGCAAAAAGCCAGTTAAAAGGCAGTTCTAATAGTCCAGGCAAGATCTCTGCAAGTAGATTTAGTCATTGATTCATTTTTTATCTCAACTTTTTTTTTTAGATTCCATGAAATATAAGACAAAAGGTCATCACACCCTACTTTTCAATCACAATTTAAAGATATCATAGGCTGGGCACGGTGGCTCACGCCTGTAATCCCAGCACTTTGGGAGGCCAAGGTGGATGGATCACCTGAGCTCAGGAGTTCAAGACCAGCCTAGCCAACATGGTGAAACCCCATCTCTACTAAAAATACAAAAATTAGCCGTGCATAGTGGCAGGCACCTGTAATATCAGCTACTTGGGAGGCTGAGGTAGGAGAATTGCTGGAACCTGGGATGCGGAGGTTGCAGTGAGCCAAGATCACAGGCCATTGCACTCCAGCCTTGGTGAAAACAGTGAGACTCCGTCTCAAAAAATAAATAAATAAAAATAAAGATATCATAAAGGCTCAGATGGGTAAAAACTTCATATAATGAGAGTTCCAATAAGAATGATTCTCTTAAACTAAGCCGTTGCTGAAGTGAAGAGATGATTATATGGACAATCTAGAACTCATCACAAATACTCATACCTAATTTAAAAAACATTGTCTAAAAGGCAAGCTAAATTTCCCCAATTATGCAATAACTAGATATTCTACAGAAAAAAACAAAATGGGGAGGACATGAACCTCCTGTCTAACGCCATCTTTCCTTCCCTCCCTGGACCACGCATTGCCACCACCAGAAAAAGAGTCTGCATGTAATAGCAGCCATATAACAGACTAGGGTATAAAGGTTCATGAAAGATAATACAGTACACCATTCACCTTGTAACACTGTAACACAATAGGAGGTAAGTTCTAGAAGATACAGAGCAAGACTGGAAATTGCAGCTGTTGGCCTAACTCTCCATATTCTAACCTAGGTCCTTCTTGCTAAACAACCACTCTGTTTTTAATTTATTGAGTTGTATGAGTTTATTATCTTAAAGTTATTAAGTAATATCTTAAAGTTATTATGCATAAGTAAAAATTAGGAAATTGAGCTAGCTTTTTAAAGAACACCTCTTGGCCAGGTGCAGTGGCTCACACCTGTAATCCCAGCACTTTGGGAGGCCAAGGCGGTGGATCATCTGAGGTCAGGAGTTTGAGACCAGCCTGACCAACATGGTGAAACCCCATCTCTACTAAAAATACAAAAATAAGAAGGGTGTGTTGGCGCATGCCTGTAATCCCAGCTATCCCAGAGGCTGAGGCAGAAGAATCGCTTGAACCTGGGAGGTGAAGGTTGCAGTGAGCCGAGATCGCGGCACTGCATTCCAGCCTGGGTGACAGTCTGAGACTCTGTCTCAAAAAAAATAAATAAATGAAAATGAAGAACATCTCTTGCTCTCTATAAGAGACAAAATTTAGGAATATAACGCCATATTTTTTATTCAGCAATAATTTATTAAGGACTTAATGAACGTTATCTTCTGTGTTAGGTAGGTCACCAATCTGTCCTTTGGATAGAACTGCGGTAGCCACACTGGGCTCTGAGCTTGGGGTAAGGGTGGAGTATGCCTAAATTATATCTAGTTGTCTTCCAAATTTCAAAGGAGGTCAAAAATATTTTATTTATTTCAGAATTTGACACATTTACCCCAATAAAATATGATGAAGTCTCAAAAGGTAAAAGAAACGTTAAATAGAACTTTCAGAGGTGTAAGTGAATTATTTTGAAAACTATATTGTTTTTACTTCATCATTAAACATATTAAATTTCCAGAAAACCCATCAGCAATAATTAATTTCTGAGCTGTATAATTACCTAAATAAGTATAGTTCTCTGATCATTTTCATCAACGAATGCAGGCTTGCATAAAATTAGTATGAAAGCAGTGACTCTTTGGACTCAGAACCTGAGCTCTGATTACAAATCAGTTCCTTGGTCATGGTATAAATTAAGGTAAGTTACTTTGCTTCTAAAAGTCTACTTGTGCATCTATAAAATGAGGATAAGATGACCTATCTCCCTATGTTATTTTGGGGGTTATGTTAAAATAATATTAATAGTATATGAGAAATGCTTAATAGTTGGTAGTTGTTAGTATAATTATAATAGTAACATAAAGCCATCACATAAAGCACATGGCATTATCAAATGCCAGGGCTATAAAAGAAACTATGCATCCAGGCTGCCACTTTTTTCTTTCTTATGCATGGCTATACTAATTTTCACTGTATTCTCTTCTGGGGGTGCCTTGATGAAGTCTCATCATTCTTCTGAGCACCATAATCCAGACAATCACTAGGAATCAATCGGAGCTGACACAGTGAAACATGAATCATTTTTTAAATCTACTTGAACTTCCTCATTTTATAGTTGAGATGTAGACACTAAGATTCTGCGAGTTCACTAGGGTGATTCAGGGTCCAGAGTAGTACAGATACTAGAGTCCTGGTTTCTACTTCTGTGCCTTTCATTTCAACACACTCACTCATTTTCTTCTGAATTGTGAAATTCAAACATGAATTCACATTGGGGGGGTCAGATCACTTGATATAATCTGCCACTATAATATTTCTGCTGATCTTTGAATTAAACCACGACCCTTGAAATACACAGCTTACAGAACTGAAACAAGAATCTGTTCAGAAGACTATGCACTCTGTCAAGGCAACTATAATGGTATTCTATCATACAGTAATTTTAGTGATGTGATAATGGATATTATGCCAAGCTACTGCCACTCTGGATAAAGACATCTCATGATGACAGGACATTTTCAGATAATGACAAAATGTGGTTTATCAATTTCTACATCAGTTTAGTCAATTGGTCTGGAAGGTGCAGAGGGAATATCTGTTCCCAGTGGCTGAAACGTATTCCCGAAAACACAACTTGTTTATTACTATCTTAAAATCGAACTGAAATTTAAAGGAGGAAAAAATTTTAGAGCAATGTTTGGCTTTTTTTTTCAAAATTCCTCTTAGAATTTAATTAAAATAATCAATATCGACTCTTGAAATAAAATACTTAGAATGAACAACAGACACAGGCCTGTGATATGATTTTGTTACTTGAAACTTAATTGTGAGAAACAGACAGGATTCCACTGTAAATGTTCTCAATCTCTTACCCTGTTTCTCCTTCACGTTTGGAGGAGTTGTTAATGAACCCAATGGATGTGTTCCAGAGATGTACTTATGATTTTTTTCTCTCTTTGAGTTGGGGTCTTGCCTGTAACCTAAGCTGGGGTGCAGTGGTGGTGCAATCACGGCTCACTGCAGCCTCAAACTCCTGGGCTCAAGGGATGTGCCTGCCTCAGCCTCTGGAGTAGCTGGAACTACAGGTGTATACCACCATGCCTGGCTATGTTATTTTACTTTTTGTAGAGATGGGGTCCCACTATGTTGCTCAGGCTGGTCTCCAACTACTGGCCTCAAGCAAGCCTCTCACCTTACCCTCCTGAGTCACTGGGATTACCATGCCCAGCTGTACTTATGATTTCATATTTCAACTTGAGAGAGAGAGAGAGGAAATAATATGCTCAAAAAAGCTAAAATATTTTTTCAGTAGGGTGAATTGATGATTTCCTTCTCAGCATTCCCCCCAAATTCTTTTTAGCAACTTTCCAAAGGAATCTGGGATATACATCATCCACTGTATTTAAATAAGATATTCCAAATATCTTTCATGAAAGTATTAGAGAAAGGGTCAAGACCTAAAGAGGGGGGAAAGGGTCAATAGCAGATATTGGGTGGGGATGATCTACAGCCTGTGGTCAGTATCTGGGGGCTTTATTAAGATACTCTCCCAATTTCCAACTTAAAATGTGGTAAATTATAATTGACTTCATAAGATCAATACTCACCCATGTGAGGTAACCTCAAAGAATTTGAAAAAAAAAAAACACCTAGACGAGCATGATTGATTAATATATTAGCCTGTCTGAAGAAAAATTGAATCAATCAGAAGTTTGGGAGGAGGTTAAGGGTTAAGAATAAAAGAAAAGAACAAGGGTAGTGAGTGAGAGAGGCAAGTATTGTCTAGAAATCTAGGAACTTACTAGATGAGAAGGAGTGTGAACATTGGAGTTCAAACATTGCTGCAATTAAAATTTTCTGAAGATGTTTTGACTCCAGGAAGAGATATATAATACCTGCAAGTTATTTTTGGCTTCCTTTATTTTTCTTATCTTCTCACTGTCATATTCTGCCTCAGGAATCCACACTATTTAATCCATCCTTTTTGCTCTACATACAAAATATATCCTCAGTCTCTACAATAGATCCCCATCCCCATTGCTGCTACCTGAGTCCAGCCATCATTATCTCTCGGTTACAAGTACTGCAAAATATCATTCTAACTAGTCTCCCTCCTTCCATTCTTGCCCCTCCCCTCAAACTCATTCTCACTGTATACAATACATCATCTCATGTCTTTGTTTAAAGGAGTCCAATGGCTTTTTGTTGAACTTTGAGTAAAATGCCGACTTCCTTCCATGCCCCCAGTCTACCTGACCCAGCCTTACCTAACCCTCCAAACTCTATTCTCAGCCTTCTTCTTGACACTTTCTCTTGTCCACACTAGCCTTCTTCTATTATAATAACTTGTCAAACTTTTTCCAACCCTGAGGTCCTTGCGTATGCTAGTCTTTTATCTGTAACACCACCCAAGAATTGTCATAAGGTTGCCCCCTTTTCACCTTTCATCTCTCAAGTAGGAACTCAATTGCCTCCTCATTAATACTTTCCTTACTTTAATGTCTATCTAAAGAAGCACCTCTCCAACCTATCCTCCATATCACATTACCATAATTTAATTTGTAATAGCACACCCCTGTCTGAAGTAATCTTATTTGTCTACTTGTTAACTTTCATATTTCTCTACTACAATGCCTGTTGTATTTATTGCTATGTTTTCAAGTTCCTAGAACAGGGATTCTTGGTTATACTATCTATTATCAATATATGTTTGCAAATGAATAAACAAATGAATTTTATGAACATGGGCGTTTCCATTCATGTGAAAATTATATGTTTCATGCAAATCAATGACTTTTGCATACCTTGATATAAGGTATATTTTAACTAGTCTGAGTCAGTTTCTTGGCCTCAAATCTCCCTGGACACTTAGAATGATTGTCTGGGCTTTCAAAAGGACAGAATGTGAAGTTCAGAGACCCAATCACAGTGTTACCTAAAGAAGCCCCTTGCGACCCCGCCTTGCCAAATATAACACTGTTCCACCTCTACCAATTTTTAAAGATACCACCCTTTCAATCACTCATAAACATTTTCAGGTCCTATCCTGGCAATAAAGTTACAGAAATAAATAAGGTATACTTTGTTTTCTCACAAAGCTTCTAATACGATAGTTGAAACAGACCTGTAAGTAACTACAATGCTAAGTGTAAAGTGGGCATATTTTCCACATTTTGTGGGAGCACAGAGAAATGAAGCCCTCAAATAAGATAACATTAGAAATGATCCTTGAATGATGAGAAAGATTTTATCCAACACAGAAATAGAGTCATTACAGAGAGAGAGAGAGAAAAGCATGAGCAAAGATTTGGCTGGAGACTGCATGGTGGCTTCAGGGAATCAGAGAACAGTGAATAGTTGGGTGTGACCAGAACACAACAGTAGTGGTTGGAGATGGAGCGGGAAATACAGATTGGGGCCAAATTGAAGACAACCTTGAATGCTTTGCTAGGGAATCCAGTTTTATTTTGTAAACTAGTGGTTGGCAATCTGTTTTCTATGAGATGTTCATAAATAAACGTTCACGAAAAAGGGATTTCATTATCACACACATTTAAGAAACGTTCCACATATTTTACCAGTCTCTTGGAGATATAAGCCCCCAAGAGCTTTGAAAAATCCTAGGATAAAAAATAGAGAACTGCTTAAAACATGTTTAATCCAACATAGACCACTCATTAACATTTCCAAAGATACGTAAGTGTAAGTCAGATTACACTTAAAGTGAAGCCTTCTTTAAATGATTTGAAGTTGTTAAATCATTTAAATCAGTAAGTGATACAAATAGAACTGAGTGTTAAGATAAATTTGGCAGCAATATTCATAATGGATTGAAGAGATCTAGGAGGCTACAGGTTATTGCAAACAGTTTATGGGAATGATAACACACCAAAACTCAAGCACGGAGAGCAGAAATGTAAAAAGGGAAAATATTTGAAACACTCTGGATATAATTCTATATCAATTAGTGATTGATTAATTCATGAGGGCCCTAGGAATAGAAATGTAATGGATCTGGTGATGACTTCCTGATTTCTGACTTGGCACACTAAGTGAATTGTAAAACAGGTTTGAGTGCAATGAAGAGCAAGAAAGAAGAAGAATGATGAAAATAGACTGAAGGCTCTGAGTGAACTGCAAAGAGTGGTAGGGATCTTAAAGTCAATTGTTATACTTGCGTTTGATTTAGTTATTGGAAAAACGAGTCCATAGGGAACTCCCAATTATGTTGGGTTGTTTTGTAAACTCAAAAGAATCTCTTTCCTCAACGTACTTACAGTCTTCAACCTATTTAACTGTTATCATTCCATTCAGTCCTTCGAAAATAATGTTTCTTCTACTAGAAACCAGACTGCTGTCATGCTGCAGGTATGTTGTTTTCACTTTTCCTTGGAACAACCAGAAGGTGCCCAGCTTTGATGAGAAGAGTCAAGAGAGTTGTTGCATCTGTAAGTTTTATTCTAAATATTAGAATCAGCAGTATAAGAACAACGTGTTTGTAACAGATAAAATGTTATACAATCAAAACCATATAATGGTTTTGATTTTGGGTGGAGGCTGCCTACATTTTAAGACATGTAGACTCAAACTTATCTTTAAATGTCTATATTCAAATTTCATAAAATTCCTATCCCTATGTAAACATACTAAAATAGGAAATTTCCAGGATATTTCCCTTTCCCATCTGATCAGTCACATTGTTTTTCCTCTTCAAGCTCTCTTACTGTCAATTTAATGTCCATATTGCACTCTTCTGCAAACTGTCTACAGATAGAGGCAGATAGCCTGTCTACTTCTGTCTGTTGCATGAACTATTTTTTCATATGTCACTCAATTTAATCTTGCTCACTTATATCAGGGTGAAAAAAAAAGAACATTCAGCTCTTTTCCTTCCAGAGAACAGACACAAGGAAAGGGGTTTCAGTGACAAGAAAGACAGGTGCATAGATCACTCATGACGATGGTTAAGAAGACCCTGCTATATTTAGGATAGGTGGAAATTTATCTTACTAGGAATTTTAAATGGGAACTACTTTCCTATTTGTATTTATTTCCTTAATTCCTTCCTACTTTCCTTCCTTCCTTCCTTCATTCCTTCCTTCCAGTCAAAAAATTAAGCATGTTTTAAATTGCCAACTGGGCATAGTAATCTATTGTGGCAGGTATTATAGAAGACATCATAAGAGCTTCGTAATAGAATACAGTCATAGGAAAGGTACTCATTTTAATTACCAAATAAAAGCAAATTACTATAGCAATGTTCTTCAATTTTTAACCTATCAAATTAATAAAGGATTTTACAAAGATAAAAACATCAAGAGTACAGGCAGAAAGACATGTTCATACACTCTTCAAATGGGGGAATCATAAATTGGTAAAGCAAATAGTTTTAGAAGCAATTTGGCAATTAACTCTAAGCTCCATGGGCCAATAATCAGTCTCTCTTATTTTCCAGTATATCCCCATTTATTAACCTAGTGTTTTGTCTTGTGTTAACTGTTTAATAATGAATTGCTGAATGAGTATTGACTGAATGACTATGTAAATATTATGAACCTTAAAAAATTCACACCCTTTGACTCAACAATTGGTCTTTTTCTAAAAATATATCCTCACGAGAAGTGTAGTCAAAAGTTCTAGTACACCAAGGTTTACTTCACTATTGTTTATATTAACTTAAAGAAAGGTAACCTACATGCCCAACATTATGGGTTTTGGTAGAAAAAGAATATTTGGCAGTCATTAAAAAAGATGTCAACAAGCAGCCAACAAACATGAAAAAAGCTCATCATCACTGGTCATTAGAGAAGTGCAAATCAAAACCACAATGAGATACCATCTCATGCCAGATAGAATGGCGATCATTAAAGTCAGGAAACAGGCCAGTGCGGTGGCTCACGCCTGTAATCCCAGCACTTTGGGAGGCCGAGGTGGGTGGATCACGAAGTCAGGAGATCGAGACCATCCTGGCTAACATGGTGAAGCCCCATCTCTACTAAAAATACAAAAAAAAATTAGCCAGGCCTGGTGGCGGCGCCTATAGTCCCAGCTACTCGGGAGGCTGAGGCAGGAGAAGGGTGTGAACCCGGGAGGTGGAGCTTGCAGTAAGCCGAGATCATGCCACTGCACTCCAGCCTGGGTGACAGGCGAGACTCAAAAAAAAAAAAAAAAAAAAAAAAAGTCAAGAAACGACAGATGCTGGAGAGGATGTGGAGAAATAGGAACACTTTTACACTGTTTTACACTGTTGGTGGGAATGAAAATTAGTACAACCATTTTGGAAGACAGCATGGCAATTCCTCAAGGATCTAGAACCAGAAATACCATTTGACCCAGCAATCCCATTACTGGGTATATACCCAAAGGATTATAGATCATTCTACTATAAAGATACATGTACACATATGTTTATTGCAACACTATTCACAGTAGCAAAGACTTGGAACCAACCCAAATGCCCGTCAATAATAGACTGGATAAAGAAAATGTGACACGCATACACCAGGGAATACTATGCAGCCATAAAAAAGGATGAGTTCACATCCTTTGCAGGGACATGGATGAAGCTGGAAACCATCACTCTCAGCAAACTAACACAGGAACAGAAAACCAAACGCCACATGTTCTCACTCATAAGTGGGAGCTGAACAATGAGAACACATGGACACAGGGAGGGGAACATCGCACACTGAGGCCTGCTGGGGTTGAGGGGCTAGGGGAGGGATAGCATTAAGAGAAATACCTAATGTAGATGATGGGTTGATGGGTGCAGCAAACCACCATGGCACGCGTATACCTATGTAACAAACCTGCATGTTCTGCACATGTATCCCAGAAGTATAATTTTAAAAAATGATGTCAACAAGAAAAATATTTTTCTAACTTAGAAAAATGTTCACAATATGATGTTAATTTTTAAAAAACATTGCAACATGATGCTAATTTTTAAAAAGAAGTTATATTCTTAACTTCTCACTTAACAGACATATATAAATGAGACTCAAGTTTAGCTAGATCTGTGAGCACGTGTCAATAAAATTTGTATCTTTCACTGAAGATACATATACAGAGACAGATAAAAGGACTAAAAAGTTGTTACTACATTAACTGTAGTTAACTCTAGGTGGAATTACAGGTGACTTTTAATTTTTTAAAAATAATTAATTCATACTATTTTTTACCATAAGCTTGTATTATATTTAAACTAAATAATACAAATTGTTTTTTAAGTAGCTAAAATATTCAGTTTTAAACTAAAAGGATTTATGATTAACTACTAGTTTTTATTTTATTAAAAAATAAAACGTGGGCCAGGCATGGTGGCTCATGCTTGAAATCTCAGCACTTTGGGAGACCGAGGAAGGTGGATCACTTGAGGTCAGGAGTTCTAAACCAGCTTGGCCAACGTGGTCAAAACGTGTCTCTACACCAAAAACAAAAAAAAATACACACACAGACAGACACACACACACACACTAGCCTGCCATGGTGGCGTGTGCCTGTAGTTCCAGGTACTCACAAGGCTGAGGCAGGAGAAATGCTTGAACCTGGGAGGGCAGAGCTGAGATTGCACCACTGCACTTCAGCCTGGGTGACAGAGTGAGACTCTGTCTCAAAAAATAAAATAAAATAAAACAAAACTTGAAGTTGGAAACATATTTTTAAAAATTGTAATTAAGTATGATAACAGGTATTATAGAGATTGAGTAAAATAGATTAGAGAAATGAAAAATCAGTGTGTAAACATAATCAACTTTAGAGCTAGTATATAAACTGAGCTTTGGACAATGAATGTCATGGATAACTAACTATAATAACCATAACTGTAACAGTCAATGTTGACTGCTAACTGAATAGTGCAGCCTGTCAGAATAAAATGCAAATGTGTTCAATCATAGATTTTTTATGCAATGGTGGTAACTACTGTACTCCAAGCACTTATATTTAATGATGAAAATGATGAAGAAAAAGGTCATGTAGTCTACAACAGAGTATACAGAAACTAATTATAAAATGTATTTCGTGACATTATTTCAACCTTACAGAGAACAACTGACTCCTAAGTTAAACTATGATACTGTGTAAGATCAAAATTTTTGTCCGATTTCCTCTCAAACTATAGTACTCTACCTTTCATCACTGAAATAGTATGACCCACTTGAATATGGAATCTAATTTCTAACCAATGATTCCAATATTTCAATAGCACCACAGAATTGAATAAGAATCTGAGTTAAACTAAAAACAAAACAAATAAACAAAGGAAACAAAACAGTAAATCTGTGTAAACTTAAAATAATATGCTTGTTATTAAGTTGAGCTACTGTGGGAATAGAAGGTGTCATTCTTGATCTTAAGACACCTGCATAATCAGTAATAATAATAAATTCAAACTGATTGAGTGCCTTTATATACAAGGCCCTGTATTAATATACATTCAGAAATCAAGAACACTTTATTAACTTACTGTTACGTGCTAAGCACTAGGGAAACAGGTAAATAAGACAGGTCATGCTCTAAGGAAATTCAGGTTAATGGCGCAGAAACATATTGAAAAGTATCAATACTTATCCATACTATGGTAAAAAGTGATAAATTGTGCAGGTTATCCTGCAAGACATACAGGTATTGAACACATAGTTCCTCTTCTCTACAGTCATAAATGCAGATAAGTCTTGGCCCCAAATCATAATTTAATAATGATGCTACATGAATTGTCACAAAGAGGCCACAAGATTGAACAGCTATGCTACTGTGAGTTAGGCTACATTCTGGGAATACGAGGAATCTCACACTCTCTAATCAGGGAGACTGAGAAGGAAACTAACCGCGATGTAAGGCAATACTCTAATTTTGCAGGATCGCATGTTAAATAGCAACTTTGAGAGCTCAAATGAAAGGATTAAAGAGGAAGATGTGCTTAATCCAGACTTTTTAAAAAATGGATAGGCTTTGTTGGGCAGAAAGGGACATTCCATCAGGTGGGAAATGGAAAGCCGATAACCTAGCACAGAGGTCAGCAAACTTGTTTCTTTAACGGGTTGGATAATAAATATTTTTCTGACTTTCTAGCCTTACAGTTTCTATCACAACTATTCAACTCTGCCATTGCAGCACAAAAACAGCTACAGACAATATGTAAACAAATAAGCATGGCTGTGTTCTAATAAAATTTATTTATAGATAGCATAATTGGAATTACTCATGATTTTCATGTCTGAAATATTATTCTTTTGATTTTCTTCAATATTAAAAATAATTCTTAGCTCTGGAGCTACACAAAACGAAGTATCAGGCTGGATTTGGCCTGTGGCTGTAGTTTGGTGACTCCTGGACTAGTTGGAAGGCAAGCTAAACACACAGATATAATGGTATACAAAACAATATTGAATATCTCAACAAATGGTTCCATTCTATCAGATTCAACCTTTCCATTTGATAATGTTTTGTAATGTCCTCCTTTTTTCATCTGAAATAAAATTCATAGATGATACAACTGACTACACATATTTTTTAAAATGTAGTGCCTTTACCAAAGTAAAAGAAGAAATAAAAAAAAAGTAGTTTATATTAAAATAGTGTGTTGAAAACATAGTGCAGGTTATCCTGCAAGACATATAGGCATTGAACACATAGTTCCTGTTCTCCACAGCCATAATGCAGATAAGTCTTGGCACAAAAACATAATTTAATAATGATGCTACAAAAATGAAAATATGGCAGTCTGTGAGTCCTACTATGCCAGACAATGTAATGAGATAGTGAAATGCCTGCATATATTTATAAAGAATAAATTTGGATTTAAATGGAATAAAAAGACCAGATACCATATTTTACAAAGGGTACAGGAAAATAAAACAGCAGATATACAATAAATTCTAGGTTAAAAATTAGTGTTAGAAAAAGTAATAGCAGACCATTTGTATTTGATAAAACGTCAGAGGAAATAACTTTAGTAGCTGAAATACAGATAATTTAACAAGGAAAATTGCAGATGGTAGGAGTAAGTTAAAAATGTGTCATTCTTGCAGATAAACTGGGTCTTACTGATATGTTTAATGTCAAAATAGGGCATGCCAGTAAGAGAGTCATCTAGCTAGTTATCTGTCTATCTATCTATTTATCTACCTACCTACCTACCTATTCCTGTTTGGAATTCCTTCTCATGAGAAGGCATATATTTGATTTCTAGCACTCTAAAATTCTATCCTTTGATAGGTAATGAGGAATGATAGATATAAACTCTGAAACCTAAGGGCTTATGGGGAAGTGGAGTTTTGATACAAGTTGAGTTTGAGATTTGACACAATATCAGAATAATATTGAAAAAACAGAAAACTCTAAAACAGAGTTTTATTATCTGACTTGATGATGTCAAGTAATTTGCACAAATAGATTTCTTATTATGCTTTAAAGTGCTTTAAAGATTAATGTATGGTATGGCAATCAAATAAAATATTTTAAAAACAACTTTATTAATGAAATTTGGTGAGATCCCTGTATTTTATGTTTCTATCAAGTTAAAATATTTGATTCTAGATCTTGTGACCAACATCACTCCTTTTCTGTTCACTAGGGACTAAGGTTAATGATAATGTTTTGTATATTTTAAAGTAGTTAAAATAATAGATTTCACACGTTTTTTTCACATGACCACAAAGAAATAATAGATGTTGGAGATGACTGACATGTTAATTACTCTGATTTAATTATTTCACAATGTATACATGCATTGAAACATCACATAGGGCCCCATAAATATATAAATTATTATTTGTCAATTAAAAATAAAATAAAACTTGAACCAAAAAATTAAAATATTTGGTTCCAAATCTATTAACAGGAGTCTCAAATCTCTTTACTTGCATATTTGCAGATGAAATCTATACACATAGATTGATGCAGGAGAGGTGTGTCAATACTAAAATCAGCATTATGTTTTAAGGATATGGTCTTCCAAAATGGGGAACAACTGACAAAATTGCTAACAGAACAAAGTGTAATGGTCCCTTGATTTTCGCGGAGTTATAGTCCCAGAAAATGTAATAATCATTGAATCCTTGCAAAAATACTTGTTTGTAAAATTGAGTTTGATTTTAGGCTTAGATAATAATAAACTTTTTTCGTTAATATTCATGACTGTCTAGTGGAACGCTAAAAATTGTGCAGTACATGGGGCAATTATTTGTGGGGCAAGACCACTCTGCACAGGGTGTCTAGCATCCCTGACCCTCTTCCCCTAAATCCCAGTATCACTTCCAATCTTTAACAACACTTAAGTACCTCTCTGCTCTTCTGAAGTGCTTTCTCACCAGTCAGAATGGCTATTGAAAAGTCAAAAAATAACAGATGTTGGCGAGCTTGTTGAGAAAAAGGAATGTTTATACACTTCAGTGAGAGTGCAAATTAGTTCAGCCACTTTGGAAAACAGATTGGAAATTTCTCAAAGAACTTAAAAAAGAACTACCATTCAACCCAACAAACCCATTACTGAGTATATACCCGAAGGAATATAAATTATAAATTATTCTACTATAAACACACATGCACGTGTATGTTCTTTGCAGCACTTTTCACAATAGCAAAGACATGGAATCAACCTAGGTGTCCACCAACGGTAGAATGGATAAAGAAAATGTGTACATTGATAACATGGAACACTATGCAGCCATAAAACAGAATGAAATTATGTCCTTTGCAGCAACATAGATGCAGCTGGAGGTCATTATCCTAAGCAAATTAACACAGGAACAGAAAATGAAATATCGCACGTCGTCACTTATAAATGGGAGCTAAATATTGAGTACTCATGAACACAAAGGGGAACAATAGACACCAGGACTTACTTGAGGGTGGATGGTGAGAAGAAGGTGAGGACTGAAAAACCACCTATTGAATATTATATTACTGTGTCCAGAACTGGTGTGTTCTTGGTCTCACTGACTTCAAGAATGAAGCCGCAGGCCAAGGCGGGTGGATCACGAAGTCAGGAGATCCAGACCATCCTGGCTAACACGGTGAAACCCTGTCTCTACTAAAACTACAAAAAATTAGCCGGGCGCAGTGAAGGGCGCCTGTAGTCCCAGCTACTCAGGGCCCTGAGGCAGGAGAATGGCGTGAACCCGGGAAGCAGACCTTGCAGTGAGCCGAGATCGCGCCACTGCAGTCCGGCCTGGGTGAAAGAGCGAGACGCAGTCTCAAAAAAAAAAAAAAAAAAAAAGAAGCCGCGGACCCTCGCGGTGAGTGTTACAGTTCTTAAAGGCGGCGTGTCTGGAGTTTGTTCCTTCTGATGTTCGGAGGTGTCTGGAGTTTCTTCCTTCTGGTGGGGTTCGTGGTCTCGCTGACTCAGGAGTGAAGCTGCGGACCTTCGCGGTGAGTGTTACAGCTCTTAAGGCGGCGCGTCTGGAGTTGTTCGTTCCTCCCGGTGGATTCGTAGTCTTCCTGGCTTCAGGAGTGAAGTTGCAGACTTCTGCGGTGAGTGTTACAGCTCACAAAGGCAGTGTGGACCCAAAGAGTGAGCAGCAGCAAGATTTATTGCAAAGAGCGAAAGAACAAAGCCCCCACAACGCAGAAGTAGACCCCAGCAGGTTGCCACTGCTGGCTCTGGGAGCAGCCTGCTTTTATTCTCTTATCTGGCCCCACCCACATCCTGCTGATTGGTTCATTTTACAGAGAGCCGAGTGGTCTGTTTTGACAGGGGGCTGATTGGTGCGTTTACAATCCCTGAGCTAGACACAAAGGTTCTCCAGGTCCCCACTAGATTAGCTAGATACAGAGTGTGGACACAAAGGTTCTCCAAGTCCCCACCAGAGTAGCTAGATACAGAGTGTCGATTGGTGCATTCACAATCCCTGAGCTAGACACAGGGTGCTGACTGGTGTTTACAAAGCTTGAGCTAGATACATAGTGCCCATTGGTGTATTTACAATCCCTTAGCTAGACATAAAGGTTCTCCAAGTCCCCACCAGAGTCAGGAGCCCAGCTGGCTTCACCCAGTGGATCCCGCACGGGGGCCACAGGTGGAGCTGCCTGCCAGTCCCCCGCCGTGCGCCCGCACTCCTCAGCCCTTGGGCGGTCAATGGGACTGGGTGCCGTGGAGCAGGGGGCGGCGCTGGTAGGGGAGGCTCCGGCCGCACAGGAGCTCACGGAGTGGGGGAGGCTCAGGCATGGTCCCGAGCCCTGCCCCGCGGGGAGGCAGCTAAGGCCCGTGAGAAATCGAGCGCAGCGCCGGTGGGCCGGCACTGCTGGGGGACCCAGTACACCCTCCGCAGCCACTGGCCCGGGTGCTAAGCCCGTCATTGCCCGGGCCGGCAGGGCCAGCTGGCCACTCCGAGTGCTGGGCCTGCAGAGCCCACGCTCACCCGGAACTCACGCTGGCCCACAAGCATGGCGCGCAGCCCCAGTTCCCGCCCGCGCCTCTCCCTCCACACCTCTCTGCAAGCTGAGGGAGCCGGCTCCGGCCTTGGCCAGCCCAGAAAGCGGCTCCCACAGTGCAGCGGCGGGCTGAAGGGCTCCTCAAGTGCCGCCAAAGTGGGTGCCCAGGCAGAGGAGGCACCGAGAGCAAGCAAGGGCTGCGAGGACTGCCAGCACGCTGTCACCTCTCATTACTACCAGGTTAATGAAGTAATTTGTACACCAAACCCCAGGAACATACAATTTACTCATGTAACAAACCTGCACATGCACCCCCCGAGCCTAAAATCAAAGTTGGAAGAAAAACATTAAAAAATAATTTCTAGGGGCTCTCCTCTCTCCGTCTGTCCTTGGGAATCACTGGTCTAAATTCTGAGTAAAAAAACAGGTTTATGTAACTTTTTGTATAATGTCCAACAGTTAATTATCAATAAATTGCATGCCTCATAATTATCTGACAATAATGACTCTACATATGAGCACAGAAGGGCTAGGAGAGGGAGGGCAACTTATAACAATAAAAGGAAAACTTAATTCCGAGTTTAAGGACATGGACCAATTCTGCCACAAACTGAAATGACCCTGAGCAATTCTCTTAACTTTTCTAGGGTACAGTTTCTCCTTTGGAACATGTACTAGGTGACTACTAAGATTCCATACAGTTCTGATATAATTACAAAACATCTAGATTCCTTTAGAAAACCAAAAGAATGGAACAAAGTAGAGAATGAATGAGAATAAAACCAGGTGAGGCTACACTTGTAAGAGATCAAATAATATCAGAAAAAGAGGATAGACCATGAAGAAGGTGGTATCAAACAGAGATTTGATTCTTGGCATGATGGATACATAGGGAGATAGAACGTTTGTATGAGATTCACACTCAGCAATGTGAGATGATGCTCTTGTACTAAAGACAGTGTCTCTCTGCACTTTTATTTTGTATTTATATTAAATTTACAATAGGTGGTTCCCAAATACCACAAATGTTGCAAACTTGAATTCAATTTACAAGTTACACAGCAAGTATCTTATTCTGGTGTTAAGTGCTGTGGGAATCAACTCCAGCTGCTTCAGATCTACATAGTTCTTAACCATAATAAAGGAGGGAAGCGATCTTCAGAGACCCAACTCACTCAGGGTTCCTGAGACCAGAAAATAAAGTAGGCTAAGGGAATCCAGGATTCTGCAGGGGAATGCCAGTACTCCCAACCATGTAGAACATCCCAATGCATTAAGGAAATTTCTGTTAAATTAGAGATTTATAGAGGTCTCCTTAGGGTATTTTACCTCCCAGCATACTTCAAAAGGTCTTATTTTTGCAAGACGCGGTGGAGAGAATAAGGAAGTCATACACACCTGCATGTGAAATGCATGCTACCCTTATCAGTGGTGTGATCATAAGCATTACTCTTAGGTTCCATTTACATCTTCAAAATGGAGATAACAACATCACTCTGTTAGTGTTATTGGGAAAATTGAAGGAAATGACTAATGTCATTTCCTAGCACAGTGTCTCACACATTGTGAACATGGTGATTATGCAATAAATATTGTCATTTTTGTTCTTTTCTTTCCCATTCTGTGTGCTTGGCCTCTCCTTGCCCTATCCCAGAGAGAATGCTCTGCTTATGTCAGCATCCAGCAATAAGAGTGCTAGGAGTGTTGACCAAACGGCTTCACATCTGCCACAGGAATACTTACAATTTTAATTCCTTCTGTGTTATCACTTGCTCTCTTCTGTTTCCCTTACCTGGGGGACAGCTGCTATTTCCCAGAGACAAGAAAGTCTTATTCTTCCTTGGTAAGGGGCTGCCTTTCTAAGAGGAGTAAGTCAAAGCAGGTGCTGAGTTAAAACAAGCTGTCAGATCATTCTGGCTGAGCATAAACTGAGCCTAAGATTTCATCCTAGGGCAACCCTACTTCTTGGACTAAAAAGTCCTCCGCACTCAAGTTGCTGCAAACTGCTGGTTCTGGAGTTGCTGCAAAGGAACTATGAGGGGAGATTTACAGAGCTTGGCTAAATATTTCGAACACAGTTGTTCTTGCAGAATTTTGCTGAGGAAATCTTTCAGCATTTCCTTACCTCTAAATACAAGCTTATGGGAATGCTACTTCATCAACACAATTCTATTTTACATGATTTTTTTTTCTAGCATGCACAGTTGTAAATTGCTGAGAACCTTGAAGGACATAATGTCACCTCAGTATCAGCATCATGTGGTACTATGCCAAAAGTTTCTGGACAGTTGCCTAGCCTAGCCTTCATCATTATAAGGAAGACATCAAAAAATTCAGTGGAAAATCCATAAATTCTAATGAAAGAGCACAATATGAATGATGAATTTCCTGGACAGTAAGTTCTTCAGGATAAAAAACATACTTTAGATATCATTAACAATAATAAATACCATTTACTGAGTAATTGTGTTCTAAGTGCCATACTGGGGTTTTTATATACCGTATTTTCAATTCTTATAACATTTCCCTGCAACATGAATTTATTATCCCAAGTTTTACAGAGGAGAAAAATGAGGCTTAGAGAGGTTAAGCAAATAACATCACACAGAGCTAGTAAATTCAAATTTGAGATTGTCTGGCTTTTAAGCATAAAACATTTCCAAAGTGCTTCCCAATAATTAATAAGTGTCAGTTGACACAGTCACATACTATTAGTACTGGATGAGATTTGGGTGTTCATCTAGAAAACCAGCTGTCTTACAAACAGAGAAACTGAGGCTCAAAGGGTTAACTGATGATGAAGCATAACACATAAAGAGTGGCAGAGCAGGCACTCAAACTTTATGAAGTCCTCATCAAGGTCCACCCGGCTATCTCTGACCAGGCCCCACCCTCCTCTCCAGGCATCTCTTTTAATGAACCTTCTCTCACAGGGCTCAATGTTCCGGGCAAATAGAACTGTGTGCACAGGCACCAAGGTGTTACATGCTTTTCTGTATTTTTCATTTCTGCTCAAAAATTTCTCTCTTTTTATCTGCTTAACAAACACGTACAACATTTTTAATTCAATTTAATTCCGTCAAAGTATCACTACCTCTATGAAGCCCTCACTGATTCATTTCTCTTCTCTTCCCAATCAAAAAATGTATTAAGAAATAGATTAGTAATAGCCAATGTTTACTCATTCATTTATTCCTTAAATATTAATTGAGCATCTACCATATGAAAGCACTATGCTAACATTTTGTTAATCATTCATCACCACAACTCTCTGAGGTAGGTGTTATTTATATCCTCATTTTATAAAACAGAAAATCTTGGCTGGGCGCAGTGGCTCACACTTGTAATCCCAACACTTTGGGAGGCTGAGGCGGGCAGATCACAGGTCAGGAGTTTGAGACCAGACTGGCCAATATGGTGAAACCCCATCTCTAATAAAAATACACACAAAAAAAGAAAGTAGCCAGGCCTGGTGGCGCGTGCCTGTAGTCCCAACTACTCAGGAGACCGAGGCAGGAGAATTGCTTGAACGTGGACGGCAGAGGTTGAAGTGAAATGAGGTGGCACCATGGCATTCCAGGACCAGTGCGAGACTGCATCTCAAAACACACAAACAAACGAACAAAACAAAACAAAAAACCCAGAAAATCTTAAAAGTTTAAAGAGATGCAGTATTTTTTTCCAAGTATTTCAATTTTTTAACTTCTCTGTGGTTCCTCTGTATTCTGAATATGCATTCATTGTGGTTATCTGCAGCACTCTCTGAAATTTTGCTTCGCTTCTAAGTTGTGACTTACGATGATATAATTATTTGTATATCATGGTATACATGGCATATCATTTGCTAAATTTTATAGGCCATTATAGGCTGTAAGCTCCACAGTAGTAGGAGAGATATCTACTTTCTTTACAATTTTATTTTTTATTTTTTATTATTATTAGTAGTAGTATTATTTTCAAGATGGAGTCTTGCTCTGTCACCAGGCTGAAGTGCAATGGTGCAATCTCGGCTCACTGTAACCTCCACCTCCTGGGTTCAAGAGATTCTCCTGCCTCAGCCTCCCCAGTAGCTGGGACTACAGGTGCCCGCCACCACGCCCGGCCAATTTTTTTGTATTTTTAGTAGAGACGGGGCTTCACCATGTTGGCCAAGATGGTCTCAATCTCTTGACCTCCTGATCCACCCGCCTCAGCTCCCAAAGTGCTGGGATTACAGGCGTGAGTCACTGCACCTGGCCAATTTTTTTCTTTTTTTTCTTTTTTGAGACCAAGTCTCACTCTGTAGCTCAGACTGGAGTGCAGTGTCACCACTTTGACTCACTGCAACCTCCACTTCCTAAGTTCAAGCAATTCTCGTGCCTCAGCCTCCTGAGTAGCTGGGACTATGGTGTGCACCACTACGCCGGGCTAATTTTTGTATTTTTAGTAGGGACAGGGTTTCACTATGTTGGCCAGGCTGGTCTTGAACTTCTGGCCTCTAGTGATCCACCTGCCTCTGCCTCCCAAGTGCTGGGATTACAGGCGTGAGTCACCACACTCAGCCTGTTTACTATAATATTATACACACAAGGCCTGACAGAATAGTACATAGTAGGCATTCAGTACATGATAGTCAAAGAAAGAAAGAAAGAAAGAGAGAGAGAGACAGAGAGAGAGAGGAAGAAAGGAAGGAAGGAAGGGAGGGAGGGAGGGAGGAGAGAGAGAGAGAGAGAAAGGAAGGAAGGAAGGAGGGAAGGAAAGAAGGAAAAAGAAAAAGAAAGGAAAGAGAGAAAAAGAAAGAAAGAAAGAAAGAAAGAAAGAAAGAAAGAAAGAAAGAAAAAGAAAGAGGATACGAAAGGAAAGGAAGAAAGAAAGACAAATGCACAAAACTCTGGTCTCTGAGTCTCCACTGTTCTGTGCTGCTTCCCTAGATTAGTCTGCACTGGGAAGAAATGCCACATAAACAATGATGGACATGTTTCTTCCCAAGGCTGACACTAACATCCTAGATGTACATTTTGGAACGCACTTTTGGGCACTATAATTTTCTATTTCCTTACCTATGATTATGGTTATATTAATTCTACAGATCCAAATGGAATGAAAACTTATTTGAGAGGGACAGAAGCTGATTTTCAGACCTGCTGAGGAACAACATAATGACAGAGTCCTGTTAGTACACAGTACCCCAAATAACAGGAGTTTGGAAAAGAGCCTTAGGAGGAACTCAAGTCATTACTATGGCCCTCTGTTATAGCAGCTGGAAATCACACTGCTGAGTTCCACGTAATACTGCAAATATCTCCGAGGGCAAGATCCAAGCTCCCAGATGCTTAACAACTCTCTGGCACATTCTGTACCACATGTGAGTCCCTGAACTATTTTAAAACATGCACTATTCTTCTTTACGCTTTATCAAGGATTCTAATGTTTAGTATCATTAGCCTCCAGCTTTAGGTTTTACAATATTTCACAGGATATTCCCAGTTAATTTAAGGGGTAAAAAGTAGTATCATGAAATTCTCAAAACAGCCTTAGTTTTAGTGGACACATGAATACATATAGGTACACACATGCTCTTATTTTTGTGATAATATACGTAAGTGTATAGTACTAACACATCTCTATATAATTTAGATATTAGATGTATGCTATGGATGCATATATAAATGGAAACAGATCTATAAATATACATATATCAGTAGTTTTGAGGACCTACTAGAAGTAAAGGAAATAAAATTTACATGAAAAAATACTTTATATGGATAGAATGCAGCATTCTTTGGAAGAACAAGCTGATATACTCTAGGACAGAAAAATTGAAATAATATAGAACTCTAATTTTTATATGTGTGCATATATATGCATATATATACTTAAATATACATAAAATATGTTAATATACATAAGTAGTTAGGTATAGTGAGACATTTGAATACATATATTAAAGTCTGTGTGTATGTATGTGTAGAGACAATTGAAATTATTTAACATAATGTATTTGAAAGTTTTCAAGCATTGGTGAAGATGGATTAATCAATTTAGCATAGCACTTTTATAGGACTGAAATGGTAAAGGGTGGAAGGTTCTGGTAAGTGAAAAGTGTTAAAACATTGAAAATCCTAAAAGATATGGTTTCATAGCTCCAGTATTTGTGGATCACTATTAGTCCCAGCCAATAATACAGTACATGTGAATGGGAGGGAAAATGTATAGAAATGCTTATGCAAAAGAATAAGGAGAGATGGTGGCTACCTCAATTTGTTGCCTTCTTATATGTCACTGGATCTCTAATTATCAGTATACGGTCTATTTCAATCCTTGAAAGCATTAAATGGCTGTAAGTTTCAGACAAGTAGGAGGCATTGTTAAAAACTAAGGAAATAAAAGTTTCCCTCAGTTGATGAAAAAATATGAATATTTTTAGAGTTTGCTTATTATAACCTAGTATTAGAGATTTGGGTTTGGGAAATTACCATTTACGAAATAAAAAGTATGTTACATCTTGGATTAAAATAATTGCAACAATAAAGCAAGTTTGCTTTCTCTGCTCTGTGCAACAACCATAAGCTAGATGCTATTAAGTAGGCTTGCTTCCTAGCCTATGTGAGCCTTGAGAATTTAATGTAATCAATACAGAGATATAAGCTAAAGACATTTAAATGAATGTATTTGTTAAAGAGTATATACAGTGTTCACAACTGTTAAGACTTTTTATTCAGTTTGGAATTCATGTTAACTTTAAATAATAACTGCATTTCTAAATGTCAACTTCTATTTTAAGCCAAACCAGTTTAATAATAAAATGGTAATGTATTTTTTATTTAAATCAGGAGGCTGAGATGCTCTATCTCTCTAAGCAAAGCTTATAATTCCATGCAAATCAATCAAAGGCCATATATATGGCTATGCATATGTAACTATATTATTAAGACCAGTGATAAATGACATTCTTGGAAGTACTTTTTAAAAACTATTATTAAAATTAAAATATTCTCTGCACCTGTCACCATAACATTTTATTTATGATCAATATCTACTTCTCCACTATGCTAAAATCATATTAAAATTGAGATTGAATTTTTCTGCAAATACAGCTTTTCTTCAATACATATTAAACAGTCATTGTTCTGTATGACAGTGACTACAGGTGTATTTTATTTATATTTTACAGCATTTGCAGGAAGTTATTTTCTCTCCTTTAAATGAAGAGAGAAAAAAATGAGCCAATTTTATTTCTGATAAAATGATAGTAGTCTGGGGGCTAGAATAACCTAGGAATCAAATTAAAGGTATCTGCACATCTGCTTTAGAAATGCGTTATAGAAGAAAGAGAGCTATAGATGTTGATATAAACTTATTGCTTCTCCATGAATAAATTAAGTGCTTAATTCTTTTATTCTGAGTTTAACCATCCTCTGTTTTGCTCATAATTATTCCTTTTCTTTGTAAAATTAATTATTTAGTGTAAATAATTGTTCTTCTCCATAACTGAAAAGGCATACAGTATTATAAGAGTAAAATTAGAATAGCATACTTCAAATCACTGTTTTCTATAGCTAAAGAAACAAATGTTCTTTTGCCTTTAAAGAGATGGAAAGTTTAGTTAAAATTTATTTTTTCTCTGCTCTTTAAAAAAATAATAATAAACAGGCAGGACAGAACAAAAGTTAAAAATGATTAGAAGTAAAAGGGCTGCTAAAAGACTATGATAAAAAATAATATAACCTGAGGACTAGAGAAGTTGAAGAAAAGTCAGTGAAATAAACTGAGCACGGCATCCCTAGACTTTCACAGGCCACCAGAGGTATGAGCCCACAAACATGTGTGAAAATGACAGGTTTTTCTTGGCCTAATATTTTACATACAGGCATACCCGTGGTACTCTGCAAAGTTTCCAAGCCATTCTAACCTTAAACAACTTGCTCTCACTTTCTTCAGACACTCAAGGGAAAGTCATAAGGAAAAGGCTCACCTGTGCTGGGCTGAACCAACCATGTGGGCAGGTACAATGCTCCCCACAAGTCCCTTTGCCCTTGGTGCTCGTCTTGTGGGGGCTTTTCCGCACACTGTCCCACAAGGTCCTGTTGAAGCTGGACCCCCCGGTCCTGTTTGAAGCTGGGCCCCCTGGTCCTGAGGAGGGCATGGTCTGAGAACTGTACCCGAGCCCCTGACAGTTCCTCTGCCAGCCACAAGCACAGTGGGCATCCCTGATCAGGGTGGGCGCACTCCTGACGGCATCCATCCCATCGGACCCCCGGCTGCAGCTGTGTTGCTTGGTGAGGTATGCATTCATACTGCACTGATGCCTACTCTTTCCTTTGGTCAGCTCTGCACAGAAATGTCTCCTCCCTCACACCCCTTTCTTCCAGCCAGTTGTAAAAGTCTTTTTTCCACCGTGGATTCCTCAGTATCTTTGACAGCTGCTATAAGCAGTGCATCGTGGGAGCAGTGGGAGCAGCGACAGCAGCTCCGCACAGCATTATCTGCGGGCTGGTAGCTCTTTGTCAATAGATGACTCAACTCACAGAGCAACTTGACAGTATCCCTGCTCTAGGCAGAAGCAATCAATGCTCCACACAGCTGGGCTACAAGACTGTACACTGTGTTACAAACCCTTTTTGGATGGAGCCCTACAGTAAAGAATAACTCTTTGCTGTTTGGCATTCCGGCTTTTCCCTTTCCTTGCCGATCCCCACACAAAATACAAACCTTAAGAAAGAGAACTTATTATGAGATTCTTATGAGATTAGTAGGACCCTTCTTTCCAGAAAGGATGCATCTAGGCTTAAACTTTATAGCATAAGCAATAAAAAATGATGGGAAAGTTAACCTGTAAAGGAATTTTCAACATTTATAAGAATCACTTATCTAGAGAGAGATTTGCCAAGACACAGACCCAGTCATGAAGTAACTATATAAGATCATCAATATTAACTCTGAAGAACATAAATTCATTTGGAAAAATCATTGAGGTCACACCATTATACTAGAGTCTCTTAAAATTTGGAAGTTTGTTTTAAATCACGATTATGCATTTTAGTCCAAACATATATTCTTTATGCTATACACGATTATTAATTCTTTCTTATTCAAAGCAAGGCAGTTTTCAAGGTTTAAAACTGATGGGTTGGGCTTATTTTAAAACAGTATTTTTCCTTACCCCAAATTATTCTGAGGGTTTCCTTTCAAATACTTTACCATAACAAATACATTCACCACAAATAGAGTCTGCGTTTTAAAGTGAAAGATGCATCCAACTCTGCCATACAGTATTTTGGTTTCCAAAGACAGAATTTTCAAATTCTTTCACTGAAAAATGAGCTAATTTTTTCTAACTTAAAGCAATTGCCTTCCAAAGAGGATTTTTGTGTTAAATTTTAGCATGCTTGCTGAATCCATACATAGTATTTTCAGTGAAGTGAAAGGCTAATTGCCATAACATTAATAATTTTTATTCTGTTTGAAACTTTCCACATCCATTTCCAAAATGTCTATCCTTATCACACATTACTAAGGAAATAATTTTGGTTTAAGTGTGCAGCCAGTTACCATCCATGCAGTACCTAACAAAGATTATATAATCCTATGAAATAATTACTTTATCTGTAGACCATCAGATGCCATCAAATCTACCTTCTCAGTGGATTGACCAGGTGCTGGGGCAGTATAGGCCTGATTTTTGCCTGAGCTGGCAAGGTGCTTATTGCAAGGGCTGAGATCATAGCAAGTTCTACATTTGAACACTAAGACTCCCTGGATAAATCACTGTTAGACTTAAAAATCTTGAAAGTAAGGAGTAGGATCTTCTTTGTCCATGTATCTCCATATAAGGGTACTTTTCCAAATTCTGCACAAGGGGCTGATATTAGCATTGTGCCCATCACAGAAGGTATTCAAAACACGTTTGTTCAATAATAATGGCCAGATATGTAAGTTTAGAGGGCAGGTTCTGGTCTATGTTAATGGCCATTTTTCTCTAAGCACCTTTCACACCGTCCACCACAAAACAGGCAGTAAATACATACATATGTTTGACGGATGAATGGATGGTTGGGTGGAAGTATAAATGGAAGGAAAAAATAGAGAAATGAAGGAGTTGATACACATTTTTAAAATAATAATATTTAATTCAGCAATGTTCTAGAAACATAAACTATTCCTTTAAAGTTAAATTTAGTTCTGGTGTTGAGGTATTCTTGTTAAGGAAATTTGTCAAAAATATATGAAACTTGAACTGTTGGGCAGAAATAACAAAGGCATTAATAGTTTTTGCCTTCTTAAAGAAGATCAAGAAGTTAAAATCAATACCTGAAGACAGTGACGAAAAGGGAGAAAATTATTTCTCTCTCTCTCTCTTTCCCTCCCTCCCCCCTTTTTATTTTAGATCAATAGATTATACCTGAAAGAACTGTTGGGTCGAAGAAAACCCTAGAGAACTTTAGGCTTTTCTGGTATAACCATGATGCATGGCTGTACAGTAGGATTTGATGCAATATGCCAATGCCATCACTCTCAAATGAGAATGTCGGAAAGTGATAAGTTTGGCTGTCTCCAATCTTATCTAACCATAGATGCTTCTCTAGTTTTTTAGGCAGATATCATTGCACAAGGGCCCATTGGCATCTTCAGGGAACACATGTCCGGTTCTCATCCATTTGCCTCTCAAGTATAAGAATCAATCTACATAGACATAAGTCAGTGTGCATCCATCACAACTTTGTAATGGTGTGTGCAGCTTGCAGCAAGGCAGAAACAATTTTCTGGCTTGACACTACTCAAGATATTACAAATCTTCACAGAGACTTAAATCTGTTATGAATGGGTTGTTCAGAATGCGCAATTTCTTCCCATCACAAGGGCCACAGAATTTCTATTTTAATAACTTAGCATGTCATTTCTTTATAGTTAAATAGCATCCATTGTATAACTAATGTTATTTTGCTTAAAAGATCTTTAAGGCTAAAGCAAACTTTTATTAAGCTTACTAAAAGACTATATTGAAATCACTCCTTCAGTTTAGTACATGTAAAGTAATTCCATACTCCTATCTTTCCCTCCCCACAAACAAGACTTTTCTTTTCAAACATGACATTTGGCTTTCTGAGGACAGCCCACTTAAACAGATAAATATGTTCAACTAGCCCTCTGTACTATAAGACAGACTCACTAATTAATGGTAATCCAATTTGATCAACTATAATTGGACAATTGTAATGACCATGAGATGACATGAAATTCTGGCCAAACAAGAATTAGCGATGCACAAGTACACATCCTACTTATCACTGTGATTTAACATGGGCAGATGGTGCACAGAGCAATGCCTAGATGAGATATAACTTATTGAACTCTCTTTGACCTGGCACTGGCTTCATAGAACAATCACTAGTTTCAAAGCAAGCGTTTAAGACTAATATCCTAGCTTGATTTAATAAAAAATAGCAAAAATGGATAAATATATTGTACTGCACTAAAACTTGATACAGAATCTTTTTCCAGATAAAATTATGCATATGGGAAATGAAAATATTAATAATAAAAGGAGAGCTAAGTGATTGCTAAAGAGTGACTGGTGACAGACATCCTTATCAGCCACAAGTAATACGCCAAATAATCATAAAATGCTTTGAAAAGTGTGTACAGTCTATTCCTATGATTGCAAAAACTAGAGATTTATAAATGCTAAGAAATCCGCATTCTTTTACATCTAATAACCTTTGGCCTAGATAATCTCCAGATCCAAGCACATTTCCTTCAAAATAAGAAAGCCAGGAATACGTAAAGTATTTTAGGCTCTAAAATTATTTCCAAAATATTTAAACTAATTTAGTCATAACTTTTGTGAGACAAAAACAAGCAGGAATTTAGTGTGGAAGAAAACATGCTTAATTGATGCAAAGATTTAACCAAAACAGAGGATTTAATAGAAGGTAGAAAAAACTTTTAAAATGTCCCGAATTGTAACTAGCATAGTTGGATTTGGGTGAGTGTTGATGGGGAAGGGGTTAATCTGAATTAATTACAAGTCTAAATTATAAAATTGTATTCAGGAAATGTAAATGTATTATATTCTAAGGTACTTAGTATCACAAATACAGAAATCAGAACATTAATTATGTAATATTTCTTAAAGATTCTGAAAGAAACACTAGTAAAAAGGTAATAATCACTTAAAATTTGCATATTTTTGCAATTGAATCTAAGTGCTAAACTATACTTCTACCAGAAATTTGTTCTCATCCTTCAAGATTAAACTAATGTCACTTCTGTAAGCTTTTCAGATCCCCTTGGCAAATTAAGTCATGCTCTACAGTATTTGTATACTTGTCTGTGTAAATATCTTTAACATTTATCTATTTCTTTCAATCACCATGATGACCACTGTGATGTCTAACCCAGCATCATTTCTGTGTAGAACTGGTGAAACAGCTTTCTAACTGGTCTCTCGCATACACCCTTGCTCTAATTCTCTCTCACACAGCACCCAGAGTAATTCCTAAAATGCAATTATGATCAGGTCCTTTATGCTTGATACCTGTCAGTTAAACGTCATTTTCTGGGACTCTTTATCCTCATTGATACTATAATCTTTAAAGTAGTTTGGATGGTCTTTAATCATGACCCATGTGATCTGGCCTCTGTGGCTTTTTACCAGTCTTGTCTGTGCCTCACACTCTTGCTCTGTCCTCCAACCATACAGGCCTTGAATACTTGAGCTCAATCCTACCTTGTGGCCATGGAGGATGTTCTTTTCCCCACTTCATACTTTCACATAATTAATTCCTACTCACCCTTCTGTAGGCTGCATCAAGAGGCAACTCCCCCAAAGCCACCGTAAATAAACATACAGTATAATCTAAAAAGAAGTGGGATTACTATGCAACACAGCTCCAAAATAAAGCTTCTAGTCTTTACTTCCAACCAGATTGCCATCCAGATCTCTTTTACTCAGAAATTCTGGTGTCTTCCCTGTCCTTTGGAGTTCAACTTGCATATCATCACCTCCTCAAGAAAGCATTCCCTGAATACCGGGTCACCTTCTAAGATAGCTCATGTCATCTTTCCATTAAACACTCATTTAGCACCTGTGCTTCTCTATTACAACACTTAACAAAATTGTATTTAAAACAAGAATTACACTATAACTTAGTTTGTACCCTTTTCCCCAAACAGAAAGTAAGTGGTTGCTAGTAGGGCAATGAAAGAGCTCTCTTATTTGCAACTGCATCCTTTGAACTCAGCACAAAGTGTTTAACCCTAATTGAAATAAATCAAACATGGAAGAAGACAAAAGTATCTTTCAATGATCACATCAATATAGGTATTCTGGTCTGTGTTCTACTTCTCAGTGTAAAATCAATAAATAAGCATTTTGATTTTAAAAACAAAATGGCAATGTGTTCCTACAGTCAGCACTTTAGTGGAACATTTAGTATGGATTAGTGGCATAAGTGTATGAACTCATTTTTCAAAGAAATTTCCTAGTGGTCTTAGCACTGAAGCTGAAGCAGCTTCTGTTTATTTTAGCAAGATATTAATTCATAAAAGCTGCACTTCCTGGCAGCTGTGCATTTCTCTCAAGCTTTTTCAAGAGTTCTCCCTTTATAGCTAGATAGTACAAAAGAGGGAGCAGTTCCCTAAGTCAAAAGCCAGTTAGTGGTAAAACATGAAGAGAATCCTAAACTCCAAAGTCATATTAATTTTAAAATAATATAAGCCAAAAGTCATAATAATTTCACAAGAATTTTTTTTTTTTTGAGACAGTCTTATTCTGTTGCCCAGGCTGGAGTACAGTGGCAAAATCTCAGCTCACTGCAACCTCCACATCCCAGGTTCTGGCAATTCTCTTGCCTCAGCATCCCGAGTAGCTGGAATTACAGGCATGCACCACTACACCCAGCTAATTTGTGTATTTGTAGCAGAGACAGGGTTTCACCATGTTGGCCAGGCTGGTCTCGAACTCCTGATCTCAAGTGATCTACCTGTCTTGGCCTCCCAAAGTGCTGAGATTACAGGAGTGAGCCACCACGCCCAGCCGATAATTTCAGAAGATAATAAAAGTGTGCTTCAAAGAATATGAAGGCATGTAAATATCTCCTCTAATTCCCTCGCAATCAAGTCACAAATTTAAAAAATATTAAACAGAATTATTATCCATAGCAAGTATTTTCTTTAGTTTTTTTTTTAAGTTGTGGTAAAAAACACAAAACATAAGATCTACTCTCTTAAATTTTTAAGTGTCCAATATAGTGCTTTTAACTATAAGCACAAGGTTGTAAAGCAGATCTCTACCACTTTTTCACCATGCATGATTAAAAGTCTACACCCATTGAACAACAAAACCCCATTTCCTCCTCCCCCAGCCCCTAACAACCACCATTCCACTTTCTATTTCTTTGAGTTTGACTAGTTCAGATACTTCTTATAAGCAGCATAATACCATATTTGTCCTTCTATAGACTATTCCACTTAGCATATTGTCTTTAGGATTCACCCTTGTTGTAGCATATGATAGGATTTCCTTCTTTTTTATGGTTGAATAATATTCTGTTGTATGTATATAGCATATTTTGTTTATCCATTCATTCATCAATGGACATTTAGGTTGTTTCTACCTCTTGGCTATTGTGAATAATGCTCAATGAACATGAGAGTACAAATCTATATTTCAGATCTTGATTTCAATTCTTTTGAATAAACACTCAAAAGTGGTATTGTTGAATTATATGGTAGCTCTATTTTTCATTTTTTGGGAACCTGCATACTGTTTCCCATAGCAACCGTACCATTTTACATTCCCCAAAACAATGCACAGGACTTCCAATTTCTCCACATCCTCAACAACATTTTTTTTGCTTTCTTTTTTCCTTTTTTTTTTTTTTTTTTTTGATAATGGCCATTCTAACAGGTGTGAGGTGATACCTCATTGTGATTTAAATTCACGTTTCCAAGACGATTAGTGAGGTTGAGCATTTTTTCATATACCAAATGGCTATTTGTGTATCTTCTTTGGAAAAATATCATTCAGGTCCTTTCCCATTTTTAATCAGATTATTTGTTTTTTGGCTATTGAGTTGTAGGAGTACCTTATCTATTTTGGATATTAAGCCCTTATCAAGTATATACTTCGCAAATATTTTATCCCATTGTGTAGGTTACCTTTTCACTCTCTTTATCGTTTCTTTTGCTCTGTAGAAGTGTTTTAGTCTGAGGTAGTACCACTTGTCTATTTTTGTTTCTGTTTCCTGTGCATTTGTTGTCATATCCAAGAAATCGCAGTAAAGACCAGTGTTGTATAGGATTTTCTTTATATTTTTATCCAGGAGTTTTATAGTTTTAGGTCTTATCTTCAGGTCTTTAGTTTATTTTGAGTTGATTTTTGTGGGTGGTATAAGATAATTTAATTCTTTTGCATATGATTATTCTGTTTCCCAACATTATTTGTTAAAAGAGACTCTTCTTTCCCCATGTGTAGTCTTGGCACCTCTGTAAAAGATCATTTGATTTTTATCTGTGTGGGTTTATTTCTGGGCTCTCTATTCTGTTTCATTAATTTGTATGTCCAGCTTAGTGCCATAGTGTCTTGATTACTGTAGCTTTGTAATATATTTTTAAATCAGGAGGTATCAAGTTTTCAGATTTACTCTTCTTTCTCATGATTGTTTTGGCTATTTGGGGTCCTTTGTGGTTCCATATGATTTTTTTTAAATTTTCCTGTAACAAATACCATCGAGATTTTGATAGTGGTTACATTGAATGTGTAACTTACTTTGAGTAATATGGACATTTTAACAATATTATCTTTCAATCCATGCACATTTACATTTATTTGTGTCTTTAATTCCTTTCAGCAATATTTGGTAGTTTTTAGTGAACAAATCATTCTTCTGTTAAGTGTGTTCCTCAATATTTTATTCTTTTTGATAGTATTGTAAATGGGATTGCTTTCTTAATTTCCTTTCATATATTTTACTGTTAGTGTATAGAAACACAACTAATTTTTGTATATTGATTTTGTATCCTATAATTTTGTTGAATTTTTAAATTAAGTTCCAGATTTTTTGTGTGTGCAATCTTCAGAATTTTCTACCTATAAGATCATATTATCTGTGAACAAATATAATTTTACTTCTTCCTTTCCAATTGAGGTTTCTTTTCTTTTTCTTGCCTACCTACTCTGGCTGTTACTTCCAGTACTATGTTGAGTAGAATGGTGAGAGTGAACATCCTTGTTCCTAATTTTAGAGGAAAAGCTTTCAGTTTTTCACCATTGAGTATGGTGTTTAGCTTAGGACTTTTCATATCTGATTTTTATATTGTAAGGTAATTTTCTTCTATTCCTAATTTGTTGAGGTTTTTTTTAAATTTAATTATTATACTTTAAGTTCTAGGGCACATGTGCACAAGGTGAAGGTTTTTTACATAGGTATACGTGTGCCATGTTGGTTTGCTGCACCCATCAACTCGTCATTTACATTAGGTATTTCTCTAATGCTATTCCTCCCCCAACCCCCTCACCCTCCAATAGGCCCTGGTATGTGATGTTCCCCTTTCTGTGTCCATGTGTTCTCTTTGTTCAACTCCCACTTATTTTTTTGAAATGAAATAAATGTGTCAATTTTGTCAACTGCTTTTTCTGCATCTATTGATATAATTGCATTATTTTTATATTTCATTCTTTTAATGTGATTTATCCAATTGATTAAATTTCGTATGTTGAACCATTCTTGCATCTCAGAAATAAATTCCATTTGGCCATGGTATATGATCTTTTCAATGTGCTGTTAAATTTCATTTGCTATTATTTTGTTGAGAATTTTTGCATCTATATTCATTGACGATATTGGTGTGCAGTAGTATTTCTGTGATTTTTTTTCTAGCTTTAGCATCAGGGTAATGCTAGCCTTATAAAATGAGTTTTGAATTGTTCCTTCCTCTTCAATATTTTGGAAGAGTTTGAGAAAGATTGCCATTAATTATTCTTTAAGTGTTTGGTAGAATTTACCAGTGAAGCAATCTGGTCCTAGGCTTTCCTTTGTGGGGAAGCTTTTGATTACTAATTTAATCTGCTTATTGTTTATAGGTCTATATAAATTTTTTATTTATGATTCAGTTTTGGAAGGTTATATGTTTCTAGGAATTTGTTCATTTCATCTAGGTTGTCTAACTTTTCATACAAGTGTTCCCAGTATTCTTATAGTCCTTTTTATTTCCATATAACCAGTAGTAACATAACTTCTTTCATTTTAAAAAATTTTAGCTATTTGAGCCTTCTCTTTTTTTATTGGTTAATCTAGCTAAAGCTTTACCAATTTTGTTGATGTTTTAAAATATGTAACTCTTAGTTTCAATGATTTTTTTCTTTTAATTTTATTCTTTATTTTTTTCTCTAATTATTTTCTTCCTTCTGCTAACTTTGTGCTTAGTTTGTCTTCCTTTTTCCAGTTTCTTGAAATGTAGAATTAGGTTGTTTATTTGAGATCTTTCTTCCTTTTAAATGGAAGTGTATATTAATACAAACTTTACTTTTAGTACTGTTTTTATGGTATCCCATAAGTTTTGGTATGCTGTGCTTTTATTTCCATTTGTCTCAAGACATTTTCTGATTTCCGTTTTGATTTCTTCTTTGACCTATTGGTTAAGAGTGAGTTGTTTAATTTCCTCATGTGTAAATTTTCCAATTTCTCTTCAGCCATTAATTTCTAGTTTTATTTCATTGTAGTTGGAAAATATATTTGGCATGATTCCATCTTCTTAAATTGGTTAAGAGTTGTTTTGAGACCTAATATGTCATCTATCCTGGAAAATGTTCCATGTGCGCTTCAGAATAATGCATATTCTCCTGCTGTTAGCTGGCATGTTCTGTATATGTTAGGTCCTTTTCATCTATAATGTCATTCAAGTCCTCTGTTTCCTTATCAATCCTCTGTCTGGATACTCTGTCCATTATTGAAAGAAGAGTATTACAATCCCCTAATAATATTGACTTGCTCTGTATTTTTCTTTAATTCTATCAATGTCTGTTTTATATATTTGGGTGCTCTGATGTTAGGTGAATATATATTTAACACTGTTATATTTTCCTGAATTGACCCTTCTATCATTATATAATATCCTTCTTTATATTTTTTAACATTTTTTACCTATAGTTTATTACCATTTTCCTGGATTATATTTTTCTATCCTTTCACTTTCAGACTTTCAGCCAATGTATGTCACTAAGTTAATGTAAGTCTTATAGACAACATATAATGAGAATCTTTTTTTTTTTTTTTTTTTTTTGAGATGGAGTCTCTCTCTGTCACCCAGACTGGAGTGCGGTGGTGCAATCTCGGCTCACTTCAACCTCTGCCTCCTGGTAGCAGGGATTACAGGCACACACCACCATGCCCGGCTAATTTTTGTATTTTAAGTAGAGACAGGTTTCACCATGTTGGCCAGGCAGGTCTCGAACTCCTGACTTCATGTGATCCACCCGCCTTGGCCTCCCAAAGTGCTGGGATTGCAGTTGTGAGACACCGTGCCCAGCTGAGAATCTTATTTTTAAAATCCACTTAGCTATTCTATCTTTTGATTGCAAAGTTTAATCCATTTACATTTAAAGTAATTATATATTGATAAGGAAGGACTTATTATAGCCATTTTGTTAATAGTTTTCTGTTTTGAATCTTTTTTGTCCCTGTTTTTCTCTCTTGTTGCTTTTGATTTCTTTCTCATTTTCTTTTGCATATCTTCTATAGCTATAGTTTTGTGGTTACCATGAAGCTTACATAAGACATCTTGCAGTTATAATAATCTATTTTAAGCTGATAATAACTTAACTTCAATTGCATACAAATACTCTACTCTTTTACTCTTCCCCCCACATAAGAACTTTATGTTTTTGATTTTACAAATTACGTCTTTTTATATTATGTGTCCATTAACTTATTTTTTACTTATGGTTATTTTTATACTTTTGTCTTTTAAGTTCCTTAGTTCTTAACACAGTAACTGTAGTACTAAACCCTGAGCTTTGTGAATGAGGCATAAATATGCTCTTGTCCAAAGCTTGCATCATCTTGAAAGTTAATTTATTCAATTGTATTGATTTAAATGATAGGATGGCTTTTGATTAGACTTTTGGGAGACTAATACGTGTAACATCCTGGGTGTATTGTTTCCAAGTGTCTCTTCCCCCAACTCTTCCCGTTCTAGATCCTCTACTGACTCTTTCCTGGTTGCCAAAAGCAGAAAAGGTAGTGTAGGAGAGTGTGGAGGCCCTAGAAAGGGCATAGCATGTGCTATCCCTTGCCCACTGCACTGTTTTATGAGGGAGAAAATGTATGAATAATGATATGGGTAAAAATAACATTATGGTAATGAGTCATAACTGAAAAAAGCAAGGGGGGAAGTGAAGAGGAAAAAAAGGAGGAAGGAAGGAAGTTGGAAGGAAGCTAGAAGGAAGGAAGGAAGGAAGGGTGGGCAAGAAGAAGAAAGGAAAGGAAGGAGGGAATGGTCACAAACTGAGGAAATACATCTCTTTAAAAAGATAATTAAAACACATAGTAGGGTTTAATACACAAAACCAAAATCAAGTAAATATAAATGGACATTTCTTTTACTCTGGGACAGTCTTGGACACACCACTGAGGCCTCCTTGAAGTAGAGTGCCTGGCTTTTGGAGCTGTCATAACCAGAATTTGTAATGCAATCATAAAATGGAATCAGTTTTTCTTCAGTTTAAATTTTGCAAGTTCTTATTTTTCAAATGAATAACTTGTAATAGATATTTTCTAAATTTATCAAACGGTTAAAAAAAAAAGTCTGGGTTAAAAATAAACCAGAGTCTGACTTGCCAGTGTAATTCATCTACAAATTGGCCTAAAGGCAGGGTATGGACTAATATAAATTACAGGTCCTCTTTCATCTAAATGATCTCTTTTCCTTAGAGACCTAACATTTTGGTAAAGTTTATCCTAGCTGGCTGTGCTTTAGCCAGTACATTTCCAATTCACATTTAATTAACCATCTTCTCCTCTGGGCTTATATCATTTTGCTTTTGTATTTATGCATTTTATTCAATATATGTTTACTGAGTGCCTAGTTTCTATCAGGAACTATGCTAAGGATGATGTAGTGAACTTTAGACCAGGTAGAATTCTTGCAGGGCAGAAAGACTTTGAATAAACAAGTGTGCTCAGTGATTAAATTGAGATGTACAGAAACAACATGCAGGATATCCCTTGCTATTGAACTTGTCCCATTAAGGTGAGTTATATAATTACATGTGGGCACAACTGTCCTTCTTATTACTAGATCGTAAGCTCTTCAAAGGCAAGAACTATCCTTTATTTGTAAACTCACTCTTTCTTTCCCATTATTTCACAATATAATTATTATTTCTCAGTAAATACTTGAATTGAACTTGGAAAATGTGGGACTTTGGTTTAGGAAACATGCTGATATGGTTTGGCTATGTCTCCACCAAATCTCATCTTGAATTGTAGTTCCCATAATCCTCACATGTCGTGGGAGGGACCTGGTGGGGGGTAACTGAATCATGGGGGCAGCTACTTTCATACTGTCCCTGTGATAGTGTGTGAGTTCTCATGAGATCTGATAGTTTTATAAAGGAGTTTCCCACTTTGCTTAGCATTCCTCTCTCCTGCTGCCATGTGAAGAAGGGAATGCTTGCTTCCTCTTCTGCCATGATTATCAGTTTACTGAGGCCTCCCCAGCCATACAGAACTGTGAGTCAATTAAGCTTGTTTCCTTTATAAATTACCCAGTCTTAGGCAGTCCTTTATAGCAATATGAGAACAGACTAAGATACATGCTCTAGTTTGAACTCTTCCATTGACTAGTTATCTCACTTTGGACAAGTCACAAGTGCTCATTTAAGGGCTGAGAACATTTTCATTGTTGCATAAATATTTGAAGGCCAATGGCCTTTGCTTCTCTTCTGAAACACTGTTTTCTATGTTTGTGTATAATGTGATAAAGCTTTGTATAACATTTACGCACCTCATTTTTCCTGGTCATAATGGACAAGGTATGAACTTCAGAGTAAAACTTCTGGGTTCCCAAACCAACTCTGACCATTATTAGCTATGAACTTGGGCAAGTCACTTAACCTCTCTGTGCCTCTGTTTCCTCATTTATAAAATAAGCTTTCACACCAATCTCATAGAATTGTTGTGAAAATAACATAAGCTCATTTCTGTGAAGTACTTAGCACATTACCTGGCACATAATTATGCTCAACAATGTCTATTTATGCATTTACCTGTCTGTCTATTGTCATCCCTCTCCCTATTTCCATTGTAATTTCCAGAGGCTGACATTTAAAAATTCTGTAGTGCTTATGAACAGAGACTCAATAAAGGTCAGTTTATTTCAACTGAATGTCAGGATTCCATATTGGTCCTAAACTTATTTTCTCAAATTATATTTTGGGCAAGGCTTTCTGCTTCTGGGCTAGTTGCTAAATAAGATCACCACCATCACCAACATATCTACAGTATATTGACTACTTACAAAGTGTCTCAAGCATATGTACTCATTTTATCCCAGTAACCATATATAGTAAACATTGAGGTGACAATTTAAGATATAGAAATAGGTTTAGAAAGATTCTGTAGTTTTCCCATGGTCACAGCATTAGCAGGAGTGACACCAGGAATAAATTAAGGTCCATATAACATTGGAGCCATACAGGAAAACCTGTGCAAAATGACATCTCATTTTTGTGTAAGACTTTGGTTTTTTGAAAATACTGTTATAGCCTTCATTTCTCTACATCTTCACAATAGCCCCATATGGTAGGCAGAGCAGGGGAGAAAACTAAGGTCCATTACCATGAAACAATGTGTCTAAGGTCAAACAGCTGGTAAGTGATATTGTTGAAACCAGAATTCAAACCTCAGTGTTCAGTCCCAGATTTTTACACTATTTCATCCTGCTTTCCTGCTCAGTACATTCCCCTTATTTCATTTCTAGGTATGAATATATGACATCTTGTCACTCTCTTTGCCATCAAAAACTGGGCAAAAGTTGAGGTGCATTTAGTGAACCTAGAACATAGGTTTTTAAGTTTGGTGTCAGCACAAAATTTGCATTTGCCTTCTCTGTTCTTATTTACAGATCCTAAGGAAAGGACTGATCACGATTTTGAGAGGTCTGATGGAAATGGTTTTCTAAACTTGAAAGGCTTAAATGAATATAAAATTTTTGCCTTAATTATATTTTCTCATACAAGTCCAGAAGCATCTGCAGTTTCTTGCAGCCACAAGCAAGAGGTTTGAATTTATGTATACTCCATTTCTTCTGGCTGTGGAACAGCTTCAATCATAGCAGCTGGAGCTACCATTTATTGATCATCTACTATTAATGTGCCAAGAAACTTACAGAATTAGAAGTAATTTTTGTAATAGTCCTGAAAGTCCCAATGTTATTATTCCCATTTCTGGGGTAAAGAAATTGAGGTTCAGAGAAACTAAGTAATTGCTCAAGGTCATGCAGCTATTAAATAGCAAAGCTGCAATTCAAATTTAGGTCAGTCAGATTCCAAATCCTGATGCTTCCCACTTCACCATGTTACTTATCTCAAAAAAAAAAAAAAAAAAAATAAATAAATAAATAAAAGTAATACAAATGAAACTTCTACCTTTCTTTTGGTGATGTAAGTACTTTAAATATTAATCTCTGAGTCAAACTTGATGGAGGAGGTGGGTCGGCAGGGGAGGTGGGCAGTGGGAGAGGTGGGGCGGCCGGGTGGGTGGTGGTGGGAAACAAATTCTAATTTTATAAAATCCCCATGTTGGTGAGAAGGCCAAGCAGAAATGCAGTTGTCAATTACATCGGGGTGGAGTTTTTCACCATCTGATAGTGAGTATTCATTTAGGCCTGCTGGGCTAAATGAAATGTGGTATTATACACTCAAGTGCCAAAGTGCCTTCGTGAGACCTTTCAAAGAAATCTTCTTTATTTCAGATCTCACGCATAAGCCAATAAAACATAAATTGCAAACTACCTGTGAATTGGTTTCTGAAAAATTGGTGTTGGGTCCGAGACATCCAAGTCGGAGCCCAGGAACTGACACTGAAAAACACATCTGAGAGGTTTCACCTGGTGCAAATTTATTAGGACACAACCAACAATAAAATATTTTCTTTTCTGCAGAAAGGTCATTTATTTCATCCTCAGAATATGTTCCTTTGGTGTAATTTGTACAGCAAAGGGTATGCATCACTTTATGTGCAATTTCCTAAACAATCATCCGTTAGTAAAGAAAAGCTGAAAATCAATTATCTGATATTTTTTCCTCTCTTGTCTACAACTTCCAATTGAAGACAACCGCTTTGCTTGTCCTTTTTTTTTTTTTTTTTCTTTTTCTGAGACAGAGTCTCGCTCTATCGCCCAGGCTGGAATGCAGTGGCGCGATCTTGGCTCACTGCAAGCTCCGCCTCCCGGGTTCACGCCATTCTCCTGCCTCAGCCTCTAGAGTAGCTGGGACTACAGGCGCCCGCCACCACGCCCGGCTAATTTTTGTACTTTTAGTAGAGACGGGGTTTCACCGTGTTAGCCAGGATGGTCTCCATCTCCTGACCTCGTGATCCAACCGCCTCAGCCTCCCAAAGTGCTGGGATTACAGGTGTGAGCCACCGCGCCTGGCTTTTTTTTTTTTTTTTTTTTTTGAGACAGTCTCGCTCTGTTGCTCAGGCTGGAGTGCAGTGGCACAATCTCGGCTCACTGTAACCCCGGCATCCCAAAGTGCTGGGATTAAAGGCGTGAGCCACCGCGCCTGGCCGCTTGTCCTTCTTTAAACAGCTAATGTGTAGGAAGTTTATAGGGCAATGGGAAAACTTACTGCCTATTTGCATCCAATCTATTAGGTGGTCTTTGTCTATGAGGTAGGCAGCACATCAGAAACAGCACCTCGTTCCACTTGGAACAAATTAAAGTCAACACAACCTAAAGAGGACCTTGATGCAATGCCCATATCCTTCTCCACTGGTATGGTTACTGTGCCATGGCAGGCAGCCCCCCTTTCAGTTCCAGAAAGCACCCAGGCCATTCAAGAGGGAGTATTCAATAAGTCTCAATTACACAGCTACAATACAGACTCTTGTTGAGACCCAGTAGAATTCAGTTGAGTGGATGAGTAGGAGCTTTATACACCTGGATGTCATTTATACCTACCACTCATGTTCTAGCCCACTTTTCAGACATCCTCATGACTTTCCCTATCCATTGCCTTTTTGCTGTTCACATGCAAAGTCCCTGTTGCTTTATAAAGAGTGCTATAAGGATAAATTGAAAGGACTGATAGTCCTCTGCTGCCTTGGTCCAATGAAAGGTCTTTTGGAAATTGCGTTGCTAAATTTTGATGGCACCAAACAAAGAGAAATGTTTCTGAAAATGAAATTGTGCTGTTAAACATCTGCATTCCAAATAGCTCCCTAACAAGTAAAAATACAACTGCTTTTGCTTTAAATTAGGTTCTGACTAAAATATGTGCTCTTACGATCTAGGACCACGTCAACCATTGGGTTTGGTCCATGACTGATTTGGCATTCAATCCACAGTTTCTTTTTTGTTACATTACTGATCTCTGCTGTATGCTTCTACTGGATCAGAAAAGAGCTGGCCCCTTTTCAAAAGCAATCTAAAGCAATCAATTCTAGTCTGCAATAACTTTTGAAGCTGCCAGGTACATTCAAATTACAGAAAATTTAAAAAGCTGTTTACACTTTTTTCTTAAAGCCAAGCTCCTTAACTGCGAATGAAGAAATCCACAGAAGAACAGTATTCACAATAAAACAGCTTTGTCTCTGGCCAAAAAAAAGACAGCCATAGTGATGATAAAGTCTATGTTCAGTTTTACATTTCAGTTCTCTGAAAATCAGTTCTATGACTCCAAAGTGTTCAGATCTCCTTTAATCCTAGTATCACTCATACTGGGAATTAATTTATTCTAAGGATATAAGGTCTTAGACAAATTATTTAATGCTTACAAGTGCCTGAGAATATTATTGTCACAAATACAATGACACTTTTTGAAAAAATAGTAGGGTTCGAAGAAATGAAACTAAGTTGAAGACGTGAGTGTCATGTGTCAGAGGTGGTAGGCCAGAGGGTGAGGTATCTGCTACCAAACTATAGGGCCTGCCTGTAGAGGGGAGAGACACTTCTACATATGCTGTAGGCTGGGCACATCCTCATAATATGCAAATATTAAGCAGAATTTATCAGAGCAACAAACTCTAAGACCTTCATTAAATCAACATTCAAAATGAGAATTATTCTCAAAAACCTTCTTTTATAAGAGTATGCCAATCTTATGTTTCAGTCTCCTGCAATCAAATGCAGTCAGGATAAAGGAAAGCTATTGTCAAAATGTTGAAATATTTGAGTTTTATGAAACTAATGCTCATCTTTTTCCAGAAATACATCCCAGAACTTCTGAGGTCTGGCCTGTATGAGGGACCATGCAAGTTTGGAGGTTTTAGGGGACACTCCTGTGCATTTTGCTAATTCTTTCAAGTTACTTAATTGCCATCCTTACCCACTAGCAGATATAGAGGTGTTTGTTTAACCACTTTTCTGAGTTTCAAGTGACATATTACAAGTTTTCTCAGGGTCTCCATTAGCTTTGAAAGGTAATGTCACTTTTTGGCATTTTCAATTCTCAAAGGTAGCAAACTACGCAAAGTTGAAACCTGTCTGTTCATAAAGCTAAGAACTAAATATAGGAAAACAATTTGGGTGTATTCATTTGTTCAACAAATATTAATTGCATACCTACTATAATCCAGTGCTTTGCCTTCAAAAGGCCTCAGTTTACAGCATTGTATCAGCTAGATATTGTCCCTGCCCTGATGGTGATTTCAGACTAATGGGAACGACCTTGAATAAATAACCTCAGAGATAATAATTTAACTACAACTTTGATAGCATGAATAAAAGGGAAGTGTTAGAGGCTATGGGGGTATATAAGAGAGGTTTTAGGGATGGGTTCCTTGAGAAAGTGACATTTCGGCTGAGAAAGCTGATGTCTATGAAAGTAAAATCTATTCCACTCTAGATCAACTTGGCAAATAAAATCAGAATATGTTAAATTAATTTACAACCTGTAATATATACAGCTCTACAGGAAGAAATACATTCCAAAATGCAAATAGCTAAAATTTGCAGCCTCAAAAATATATGATTTAATACTATTTAAAAACTGATGCCATCCAGAACTAAGTCAAATCCTTATATTTTAATTAAAGTCCTTTACTACAAAAAAGAATAAAGCAAGAAAGCAAGCAATAAAGAAAGCAAAAAAAAAAAAAAAAAAAGGAAGGAAGGGGAAGGGAAGGGAAAGGAAAGGAATGAAGGAAGGGAAGGAATGAAGGAAGGGAAGGAATGAAGGAACAGAGGGAGGAAGGGAGGGAGGGAGGAAAAGGTAGACAACCATTTTAACATGGCTTCAGAAGTAATACAAAGAAGTTTATACCATTGCTGGCACTGGTAACAACATTGTGCTGGAGGATAATCTTAAAAACAAAACACAACGACTCTCTGATTTTGATAGTAAGGTCATGCCCCAAGTGGGAACTGCTACAATATTTGAGCAAGTAGGTTGACAATACTGATTGATCTCCAAGGAATTCTGGATCAGACATCAAAACTGAGGTGACCCTTGTAAAGTAATATATACATGCTGATGATTTACGTTTTCCAACAGTTTACGGGTGTTTTATGTCATTACTACCTACACTGCTAGCAATATCACCTTTTTCACTCATGGAGTACACAAAAGCTCTGAGGAAGGAGAAATTGATTTGCATCTCAGCTGCATCATCAATCAGCTGTGGGACCTCAGGCAAGTCACTTAACCTCTTTCAGCCTCATCTAACTTCATCTGTGATATGAGGATAATGATGTTTACCTCTTAGGATAGTTGTAAGAATTAAATTAGGTAATGATTGTCATGAACTTGGCACCATGCCTATCTAGTACATTGCAAGGGCTCAAATTTTAGGGTAATATCGATGATGATTATGATGAAAATGACTTTCAGTCTATGGTATTTACAGGGCTGGATTAAGAAATTTAATCACCTCAACCCCTGAAAAGATACTAGCCCCACCAATATAATTCAACATAAATTTTTATTATTTTAATTCACAGCATAACATGCATATCCATATTCATGTAGCAATTCAAATAGCTTCTTTCAAGATTTTTCTGATTGTGAAATTTTGATGTATTTACCAATAGGAACTTTTCTCATTTTGGGGGGGCCCATGCTTTGCCACTTCTCTGAGTGCACGCTTAGTTTGCCTAATGGGTAATTCAAATTCCCCAACATAAATTAGGAGATGTTAAAAAGTAAAACCAGAGAAAATAAATAATCTGGTTAAATGCTATCACAACTGGAGGATAGCTGTTATAGCTTCCTAATGGATAACTATTTAATTTCTCTAGCTTCATCTCTCCCTGTTCCCCAATCTTCTACTGCAAGCCCAGTGTCTTTTGGACTTGATTTAATTCTGTTCCTCCCAACCATTTTCAATGCTCACAGAACTTCATGTTTGCTTGTCATGCCATAAAAGAGCTCCTACTCAGGGAATGACTATTGACTCATAAAGTATTCCTCCCTTACTTCCAACTCACAGTTTGGCCTCACTTAGAGATTCCCTTTACCAAGACCACAGAGCCTCATGCTAGTCACATGGATTAACTTCCTTTCCTGGCTTCCTATGTTTGACCCATTTTCTTGGCTCTCACAAGCTCTCTTCCTCTGGTGGGCCATCATCTCTAGTACTAAGCCACAAGCCAGCAACCACATTAAATGGCCAGCATGGCTCCCCGGGAGCCAAGTCTAGGAAAACAGCCAGTCTTCCCACTCTAAAGTAGGTCTGTGGCTATGTACCTCTTCTGGGTTCAAGGGATGCAGAACATGGCTGACTATAGCAGAAACAGAGGAGAAAAAGATAAGCTTGATGAATTTGCTGAGTGGAATCTCTACAAATTGAGTATTCTTGCTCTTATCCTCATACCTATCAATTTCTAAACTCAATCCAAGGGGATGCCTTCTCTCCCTCTTCCCTCACTCCTATATACACACTACACAAATATATGCATATATGTATGTATAATCTTGACAGAATTTCATTTGTGAGATTTTATTGTAATTAACATGATTGAGTCTGACATTCTTTATCAGGATAACTTTCACTTTTATTATGTGTTTTATATGTGCACATTCTATGTGAACATGGGTAAGTTTATTCAACTCTACAAGCTTCAGTTTTTTAATGTATAAAATTACGTTATGGGCTACGGGTAGATGCAGTATCTACCCCATAGAGATGTTGTGAGGTCATACATATGAGGTATCTGGCCTACTTCTTAACACAGCTAATAAAAGAGAACCCAGGATCCAAGTTCACGTGGTTCAACCCCAGAGCAGAGCCTATGTACTTAGCTCAATAGTGTACACTCAATAAGAGTTGGATGTCATTACTAGGATTGTTGTAATTATCATATTCATTGTAGAAAAGTTAGAAAATTCACATAAGCAAAGAGAAAAATTACTCATATCTCCATTGTTAGAGATGACAATTTTTAATATTTTTTATTGTCTTCCTAGACTTTTTCTATGTGTATATATTTTTTTCTGCAAAAAGTACTATCAGATTCTACTTCTTATTTTTAATCTGCTTTCACATTTAATATATTGTTAAGATTTTTTTCACATAATAAATACTCTTCTCAGTAGAATTTGTAGAAAAAAATAGTCTAAATGACTATATAATTTGGTACCTCTGACTAGGTCTCCCATCTCTGATAGTGGTCTTAAACTTACATATTCCTTGTATCTTCTTATCCTTGTTAATAGCCTCTGAGGCTTGGGGGCAATTACCCTGTTCACTGACTTAAATAAGAATTTATTAGGCAGAATCCACAACAGAAGTAAGATCCTAGAAATGAAGGAAAGTTTCTCTCCAACATACCACTATTAAGGAAGAAACAGTGCTTTACAAAATATCATTATAGCACAGTGACTATGGATTTCACTGAGAGCTGGCAATTTAACAAAACCAATATGGCAGCTTGTCATGGATGGAAGACAGAAAGATCAAACAAAAAGAGAAGTAAACTTTATTAAGACACTTGGAAATATGAAAATATAAAACTCATTGAAAGTATAGGTCTAGTGAAGTATCACAATGCTTAGCATACAACTTGGTACCAAAAAAAAATAAGAGAGATATTTATTTGTTAATTCACAAATCATTATTTGGAAGCACAGTTTGAGACAGGTATCAAATCTGTACAGTTCGAAGCCAGCACCCACATGAATCTAACTCCACCTTCGTGCAATTGTCCACAGACGTTTACCCAACTAACATGCTCTCTTTTCTTTAACATCTACCGAGATTCCAACCCCAAGCCTATTTCCTTGATGAACTCTATTCTTAGAAGGCAACTTGTTCACTCTCTTCTCTGAAAATGTTTATACCTAACTGGATCTAAAACTTAGCTTAATATTTTATAACTTATTTTTTTTTCTGGGACATAAAAAAGAGGAGTTTCCAATAAATTAATTTTCCAAATAGTTTAAAATTGTCCTAGCTAATCCCTTTGTAACCTTAAAAAGTTCCTTAACAACTATGAGCCTCCGTTTCTTCACATATAAAGTGGTGATATTAGTCCGGGCACGGTGGCTCAAGCCTGTAATCCCAGCACTTTGGGAGGCCAAGGCGGGAGTATCACGAAGTCAGGAGATCAAGACCAACCTGGCTAACATGCTGAAATACAAAAAAATTAGTTGGTGTGGTGGCAGTCACCTGTAATCCCAGCTACACGGGAGGCTGAGGCAGGAGAATCGCTTGAGTCCAGGAGGCAGAGGTTGCAGTGAGCCAAGATGGCGCCACTGCACTCCAGCCTGGGTGACAGAGTGAGACTTCATCTCAAAATAACAATAATAATAATAATAAAATAAAGTGGTAATACATACTTTGAAGTACACATATGAAAATTAAATAATACATGATAATCCTTAACATGTAGTAGTAGTTATCATTTTACTAGTCATAAATGTGGATTTGCTCACTGGGATCATTCATAACAAACATCTCTTATTGTAATAAATTACATTACAGTGATGTCTGCACAGACTATAATGGTTTATTTTCATTTATTTCATTAAATATTCAAGAGCTCTATATCTTGAGCATGTACATTTACATATTATAAAGGGTTTTAGCGTTTCTTTTCTCCTCTGTATCACGACACTGTTTCAGCTATTACTTATTTCCCTAGCCTTCTCTTTGTACTTCTATCAAGCTGAAGGGATGGAGGGTTACGGGCTGATCATCTAAATTATAAAACTTGTTGGAACTGTGTTAAAAGCAAAAGTAATAGGATGAAGGGGGCCTACACTTATGAAGCATTAATGTGCCAGCAACTATTATAACCATTATTTCGTCATATCCTCAACATAACATTTTGAAGTAGACCGTGTTCATCATTTCCATCTTATAGTTAAAGCTGAGATCTAGAAAGGTTAATTACTTGCAACTTTTTATTCTTATAGTTGATGCAGTGGATATTCAACAAATGCTTATTGGTATTTGTTCATCTATTTTTTCTCTTTATTTTTAAGAAAATCCTAGAGCAGAGAATTTTAAGACGGTGATCTCTCCTGCTTTCAGTTCCATTTTGGCACAAGTCTTATGTCAACATCTCACCTCCCTTTGATGCAATGATATACACTTTTTCCAATTTAAGAAGGAGTCTGGACTCTGTGGTGTCCTTTCCTTGGTCTATCAAGATCATCCCTTAGGAAGCAGAGCTGAATTCTGGAACCTGGAATTCCAGCATCTCCCCATGGAAGTAGCCCTCATTAAAATAATCCCCTTTAGAAAAGAGTCTTATTTTTACTCATAGAGCATTGTTGCTACATGTACTTCTTAGACCTGAAGATTACAAGCTAGATTTTAGCAACATGTGAATAGTTTTGCTTTTTTGCTCTCCAGAAAATAAAGTACAGAAAAATAATCATGACGACTTTAATTTCTTCAGTATCAGTAAATCTCCTGGCCATACGTCCATCTAAGAGCCACACTGGTTACTTAGAGATTAGGCTTGTGTGTGCATGGGGACTAGTATGTTTGCTGAACTGTTTGAACCCAATTACAGAAAGTCACCCAGTAAGTAAACACAGCCAGAAATATGGTCACAGAGAAAACGTAGAGAAAAAGTAATGAAGTATTTTGCAGGAGAGTCTGGTTTATTTGCTAATTGGTAGTATCTAAAGAAGGCAATATTGAAGAATGCAGGCACACCAGGAGTATTTCTCAGCCAATAATCTAAAATTGCTTTTAACACAAAACCCCACCAGTTGCCTTAATCTCTGAGTTCTACTGTCCACACTGCCCCAGTCTTTTACTGGACAGACACATAACGCCTAGGTCTGCATGCACTGTATTTTTTTAAATTGAATTCAAATCTCCTCTAGGGAAATAAGTGATCACTAGACAAATGTCAGTGGTGATGCAACATCTTAGTAGCAATCATTGTGCTGGTTAAGTATAACTTCTCATACAGAGATGTAAGAGGTCAGAAAGAGAGAAAAAAGATACTACATACTTACCTAGAGTCTATGAATCAGGCCATATACCAGAAAACTTAATGCATATATCTCCAGAAAAGTAGGTATTCTGATCCATTTTACAGATCAGTTTTACCAGTAAGGGCACAGGCTCAAAGATCTCGAGTAATATCTCAAGGACACCTGGCCAGTAAACAGTAGAATCAGGACTGAAACAGGTATCTCCTGACTCTAATGTCGGCACTCTTCTTGCTTCATTGCAGGGAAACAAAATCACTGATGCTTGGCCATGACATAACTTCAGGGTAATTAGCATATGTTAGGAGGTAGGTGCAAAACTGAAAGATACCAAAATAAAATCAAAAGTATGGGGCTAGTGTTAAAGGGCCACTCTTGCAATCAAGTAGAAAGCATTATGGCTCCATGAGAGAGATGGGAAATAGGGAATGGTTGAGGATATAAGCAGTGGGATCAGCATGATTGAAGGAGAGCTACGTGGAAGAACAGTACATTCTATCCAGATGAATAAAAAATTGAAGAGTATCTTCAAATATTTCTGAGTAGTTTAAGGCTAAGGGAAATCCAACAACTTCTAAGCTAGGTCCCCAACCTCAAAGGAACCTATAACTGCTAAGGATCGTAAGTGGGGGATTCAGGCTTTGAGGTCTCTATTCCATTGCATAGTAGCTGTGAGATCATTACTTCTCTGAGTTTCAATTTCCTCATTATTGGGGGTTCTCATAATAGTATTCTTGAAGTGTTGTTCTCTCTTAAGATATATATTAATACCTAGTTGCACCACTGGAGCCTAATATATAATAGTGGTGGTGGTGGTAGCTGTGGTTGTGAAATTCAAATTGGTGGTGGTAGTAGTTGTGGTTGTGAAATTCATATTGCCTTAACTAATAAAAGAAAAAAATGGTGGAAATGGCAAGGTAATAGACTGAAATAAATAGGCATGCCTATTTTTGTTGGCATTGTTTACATAAACCAGTTCCTGTCAGACAGGTGGGTCTTAACCTTGGCTGCACATGAGAATCTGTTTAAAAACATAAAAAATGGCACTCCCTCCCCAGAGATTATGATTTAATTATTCTAGAGATATACCCAGGTTTTCTGTAGTTCTGAAAATTCCCCACTATGTCCCATATGCAACAAGGGTTGAGAATCACTGCATAACAAGACAATGCTGCCCAAGGGCGACTTTACCTTAAGGCTTCTCAGCCCTAGATAAACCCACTGCTAGAGGTAAGGAATAAAGTAAAAAACACTTTTTGAATGGCCTGTGTTTTGCCTTTGGGCATTGGTAGTGAAGTATCAATCAGGTAGAATCTGGAGGCACAGAGCCACAGAATTTCTGTACCCCTTTTTAATAATGTCTAGTGACTGCCTTACTAACCTGTGTGTAGATGCACTATAACAAAGCACAATTTCAAATTAGCAGTTTTTACAAATAACATGCTGTAACTCTGAAGGAATAACAATTTTAGTGGAGGAGATATGACATTTGGCATCAAAAGAAAAGGATTCACATTCTTTAATTCAGTTACTTAGTTCATATCCATTCTACCAAATTCTAACATATACAATGTCCTAACCTGGACTTTTCTTTTTTTTTTTAATTTTATTTAGGGTACTTTTCTATAAGCACCCTTGGGCCAGAGGCCTGGTGCGTTTGTGATGGGTCATCTGGCTGTTCTGTTATTTGAAGCTCACCCAGGAGACTGCTCACTCTGGAGGCAGCACCCTGAAGAGCTCTGAGTATCACTAACAATCAGACTCTAGATCCCAACTGGGGAGAAATGTGAATTCCACCCACTTGTTTCTCCAATTTACCAGCACCAGAAAGGAATGCCCACCTACATTTAAAAAGTAAGTACTAATACAGCAGGAGTGTAATCTAGGGCCCCTGTTGGAAGGAGCTATGGTTCAAAGCTGAGCTTATTTTTTAAACTATTGCCATTTATTTCCCCTCTTTTGACAGAATATGGGTGTTATATTTTTAATAATTTGTGAATCAGAGGTGGAGTGGAGAGTACAGTAAATACCAAATAAACTGTCTTTTGGGTATCTGTTGAAATGGCACAATAATAATTTGGTCCAAGGTAAAGCCTTTACTGCCTTGGGGTCAATATTATAATATCTACCTATTAGGTTTATTATGAAGACTAAATGTGGACATGTATATAAAGCATTTAGCACAATACATTACCCCAAACCATAGCTATTATGATTAGCTTATTATAACTACTTTTTCAGTAAACACCTTTTAAACTCAACACATATATAGGCAACAGGCTCAGGGAAAAGAAAGAGTTTGGGAACACCAACACCAAACATATTTATTGGGTCTAAAATAGTGAAATAGGACTTGGCGCCAACACCGATAATATCAACATGCTAATAATAAAGCCACACAAAAAGCTCAATCAGGTAATCCTGTGAATTTGGAATGTGTGCTCATTCCAGCTGAATTTGATGCTTCAGATCCCTTCCTGATAATACATGCAGCGTCCCAGGCACCAGGGATGACACAATGCCCTGCCCTGTAGGATCTTTTCAGTCTAGTGAAGAAGGCAGTCTTACCAAAAAATAATGACAATACAGTGCAACAAAAACAATGAGAAAGTTTAGTGGCAAGTAATGTGGGAACATGGGTACAGAGGAAATAACTGTCTGGAGAAGAGAAAGCTTTGCAGAGATGATAACCCATTTAGGGATTTGATGAATCGATAGACATTCACCAGGAAGAGAAGAGAGAGCTGGGGCAAAAGTTAGAATGAACAAATGCTTATCACACTGAATTCTTGCCCAGGGCCAACATGTAAAGGTTTCAAGCTTAATTATTTATGATTGCTATTATAATTAGATATTACAAAGTTATATTTATTACAAAGTTTATAATATATCCCCCCAACCTAAGGGAAAAGCCCTGAATTATGCTGTCAGCTGTTTTCATCAAAGCAAGTCACTAGCCTTCTCTTGTTATTCACTGGTTGAATGTATTTGTTAAATATTTGCTATTTGTCAAGAACTCTGCCAGAAACTGGGGATGTAGCTGAAGAAAGGAGAAGCATTCCTTGTCTTCGAGGAGCTTGAAATCTAGTGGAAACATCAGATGTTTAACACACACGGAGCATTTGGAGAAGTGTTCAACAGGGGATGGGCAGGAAATGCTTTTATACCTGATTTTGTGCTTCAAAAAATGGCAATAGTAATAATTTTGTTACCTAATTTCCAGGGCGATTGGTACAGGTTATGACAATACTTTAAAGCATGGTAAAATATAGAAAAATTTAAGGTGAAGGTATTATTGTTGTCACTCTTCTTACATCCACCTAATTGAATTTATTTAAAATAGCCTAAAATTTACATTTTTTTCCTAATATAGACATTCATCAGTAAAAAATTGTCTTGAAATATTATTTCTTCCACATGAAGTACTGAATACCAACTATTTATATTTTCATGAGAAATCAGCATAATTATTCTTCCTGTCTAGTTATCTAGTTATGTCCTCTTGAAGAAAGAAAATGATGCCACCTGTTGAGTGATGTGCCCAGATTCATGCAGAGTGAGGACAGAATTGAAAGATCCCTACTTTATGTTCGAAAGAATATAGCCTATCAAATATTTATTTAAAGTCAGAGAAGAATGAAGAAATAAAGACAACATCAATATCAGTTTGGGAAACAAATACCAACACAGAGTCCAGTTTGAAGCCTCTTTGAAAAGGGAGGAGGTAAAGTGACCGAGCCAACAGATGCTGGAACCAGACTGAGTCCACAACTTGCCTCCACTGTTTACTAACTATATGACCTTGTGTGTAAAATGTCTGTACTAATTTTTCTGATATCTAACATTGGGGTGATAATAGTTCCTACTATGAGGGCTTTTGGAAAGGTTCAATAAATTCATAGAGGTAAAGGTTTTAGAGTAGTGTACTCAGGGCTCACTACATACTATCTACTATTATTGTTGTTAACTCTCATGACTACCCTTAAACCTACACCTCTTCTAATGGAAGAAAACTGGAGAAAGTAGAACCAACTCAGAGCTCTCATATTTACTTCTTGATGGAGATGGTTGAAAGCTCAGTGAAGTGCAACCAGACATTGAGAAACTTGTCTTTTCCACCTATTAAAGGCAACAGATTTGTCAATTTCAAACTCTCTTCTATCTGAAAACAAAAGACTTCCTTCATCTAACTTAATCACAGTAACTTATCTGTCCGAAGTCCTCCCTAGCTATCCCCCAGTGACTCTTTTCCAACTAACGTTCCCTGTCTGAAGAATATAGATATCCAGGTTATTACTCAAGTTACCAAAATTTCAGAGCTAAAAATTACTTGATAGCTGAACCCTCATCAGAAAGGCAATTTCACATTTTTACTGCATTTTGCATTTCCATCATTATTTCTTCTACCGTATGGAAGGCCAGGTTGGGGACAATTTGGATTATAGAGGGTAAAACACATGATATTTCTTTTGTACATTTAATAAAAGCTGAAGTGAAAAAAAAGAGAGATTGAAGCCTTATTATATTACTTTTTAATCCTTTGCAATGCAATACTAATGCTATGTATGTAATATTTGAGATCCCTAACCAGAGCTCACTTTGGCTGAGGGTCCAATCGCATTAGAAATTACCTTGAGAGAAGTACTGCAAATGCAAACTCATGAAAATAAGAGAAAAGAAAGAAAAGAAATGTCAGCCAGATCATTTGTTTTCCCATAGATCATCTTTCCAAATGTGGGCCAGCAGGAACAAATTTTATGCTGACCTGGGAAAATTACTGCAGCAATTTGTATGTGAAACATGGATTTGGAAATTTTGAAACCGGTATATTTGCAGAATGTGAAAGTAACATTTTGGAATAAAGCAAAAGTCCTGTACACGAGTAAATACTAAGCCCTTAACAAAGCATATTCAAGGCTGATTTTTAAGTTATGATATTTAAGCTTTTTAGGATATTGACCCTACTTCTAAACTCCCAAACTACTAATAATTTTCTACCCTATTAGATTTTGCAACAGGTTACAGAATTATAATAAAAACCTTCTTCATTTTTAACTGGACTGATAGTGGTGGTGTAATATCCCAAGAGAAAGAGTCACATGAAGATTCTTATCTCCTACAGTGAGAATCAAATATTGAAGTGAAGATGGTGTCACAATCTATGTTTCTTTTCTTTTCTTTTTTTTTAACCTGAGGTTTCAAAATCCTTCTCTGGTACTTTGTAATGACAGAGTTGGATTACCTGTGAGGCTTCATGGTATAGAGCAAGTGTTAGCAAATTGCAACTTGTAGGCCAAATCCTTCTCACTTCCTGTTTTTGCAAATAAAGATTTATTGGAACATGGCCAGGTCATTTGTCTATTTATTGCTGATAATTGCTTTTCTGCTACATCAGCAGACTTGAATAGTAGTATCCGAGACTGTCTGGCCTACAAAGCCAAAAATATTTACAATTTGACCCTTTGTTTAAAAAGTTTGCTACCCTTTGGTATAAAGGGAAAGGCAGTGGGTTAACAAGCAGTAAAGAAAAGAGTACTTCTGAAGGTGTTTTCTCTTCTATTTATCAAAGCAGTCATCAGAAACCTGTAGTATTTTATTTTTATAAATAAAAACTACTATGTGTTTACATATTATTTCATAGCTGTGAAATTTTTTCTGAAACTAATTACCAAGGTGAATTCCAACACTCTTTCCTTCAAGGCTCTCAGTTAAGTCATATAGTGCAAAGTATTCTTTGATACTCTCAAATGGATCTGACCATTCCTTTCTATGGCTAACTCACATTTATTCCTGTATTAGAGAGTATTTCATTTGTTTATTTATTTATAGGTCTTCCCTTCACTCTAGCCTATAAGCGCCTCCAAACTTAGCATAGTGTCTTAATTAATTTTGCATCTTGAATCTTATATATGCCTGGTATACAGCAGGTATCAGTACATGTTTATGAAAGTTAGCTGGGTAAAAAAGTGGTAAGCGTAAATCTTGAGAAATTAACTTGCTGAAGGTCACTCAGCTAGCATGTGATTAAGCTGGGATTTGAACCTAGATCTGAAACTAATTCAAGTATTCAAGTGCTCTTTCCATTTATCTTACTGACTGTAATCTGGAGACTGCAGTTTTCTTTTTTGTTTTGAAATGGAGTCTTGCTGTGTCGGCAGGCTGCAGTGCAGTGGCACGATCTTGGCTCCCTGCAACCTTCGCCTCCCTGGTTCAAGCAATTCTCCTGCCTCAGCCTCCCGAGTAGCTGGGATTACAGGCACATGCCACCACACCCAGCTAATTTTTGTATTTTTAGCAGAGGCGGGGTTTCACCATGTTGGCCAGGATGGTCTCAATCTCCTGACCTCGTGATCCACTGTCCTTGGCCTCCCAAGAGACTGCAGTTTTCATTTTGATTCTACTATTGAAAATTTGGGTTTCACTGTCTTTATCTGTAAAGTAAGTATGTTGCATTATGAAATGCCTTTCAAGACCTCTTTCCCTAATGTTCAATGTATCTAGGATAGTCGTTTCACTAAATAATTGCAGATAATATTTAAAAAGTAATTATGGCTATTTTGTGGTTCATCTCAGGGCTAAAAAGGTCACATACAGCCATCTAATAAAAACACCATCTCAGTGTGGGGGTCAATCACTTCTCTGGTAGATGGCTGTTAATGAGTTTTGAATGATATGGAAAGTGTCACCCAGCTGTGCACAGACAGAAGCTTGGCAGTAATTGGTTAGGGTGCTGCTGAATAAATAAATGCATTGGGGTGGGGGTGAAGGCTAGAGCAAATGACTTCTTAGATGTGTGACCACTTGAGAATATTAACATATGTAATACATTGTATATCGAGATTTCTATCATGCCCACAACGTAAGCCATTTACTTGGATTTTCCATTGCTGACCAGTTCTACTTATAATTTTTGTTAAGCCAGTAGTTTCCTCCTGGTTAATTCTGCCCATTGATATTTGGTTTACCCTCTAGAGGGAAATGAAATCAATCTCAACCCTCTCCCTTGACTATCTCCACTATAGGTTCTGGAAAAGCAGAATGTTTTTGATTTCTAGTCTTTCTCGCAGCAATGTGTGGTCATATGTTTGAATTCTGGCCAATGAACTAAAAGCAGAATTCTGTGACATGGAGGAAAAATCTGGAAAAGCTTCTGTGGTCATGACAAATAAAACAGACATTATTGATGCCTCCCCACAACCCACTCCTAGCACCCTATGCTGAAATAGTACATGATGTTCAGAGATGCAGAGCCCATTTTGTGACAATGAAATGGCCAAGAGGTTTACAGAGATGTCAGCCCTGATATAATGGCAGTTTACCTCCAAAGTTCATAATATGTGAGAAAAATAATGTTTATTTGTCACTCTTAGGCACATTGCTGCTTGTAGCCTAGATCATCACTATCTGATACAGATTGCATAAGGGTTTATGAGTCTTTACAGCCAAAAATATCTGGGTTTAAATCCCCATTCTGACAATTTGTGATCTTTGGTGAGTAATTATATCTCTAAGATGAGGTATGTTAATCTAAAATTTGGAACAACAATAACATTCACAAGCTTGTTATGAGGATTAAAACAGATAACACAGGTGAGAGTACTATGGAAAGCATGTGACACATAGTAAATGCTCAACAAATATCATATAGTGTCACTCTTATTATTACTTATCATTCTTATCATTACTTATAATATTTGAGCCATGTGCCAAGCCCTGTACCTAAGGTAAATAATTTATTTAGCATAGATAAATTATTTTCTTTTCTAGTACTATTTAACAAACTTATTAAGTAGAAATAATTACATTCATTTACTAAAGAAGAAAAATAAAGCTCAAGGACGTTAAGTAATTTGCCAAAGGTCAGGCAGTTAGGAAATGATAGAATTCAAATTTTATTCTAGATCTCACTCTAAATTCTACATATTTGCTTTCAAGTCTATGTTTTTCTTCTATCCAAGAAGAAAGATATTCCATGGGATGTTTATAGGTATGCTAGGAAGAGTAATATTCAGGGATCTCTGGAATAAATAACTTAGGTTTGTTAGCTGCAGAATTTCTCAAACCCTTAATATGCTAATGCATGTAGGTAAGCTATGACAGGGGATTCTAATAATGAATGTTTTCCATTTTTATGGCACACATGGTGTATGGGTTGAATTAAGTACCCCAAAATGATATATTGAAGTCCTACCTCCTAGTACCTGTTGTGACTGTGACCTTACTTGGAAATAGAGTCTTTGTAAATGTAGTCAATTTTAAGAGGTCATTAGAGTGAGCCCTAATCCAAAATAACTGCTGTCCTTAAAAGAAGGGAAAATTTGTACACACACAGGGATATCACCATATGAAGACAAAGAAACAGAGATTAAGATGATGTGTCTACAAGCCAAGGAATGCCAAGGATTGCAAGCAAACCACCAAAAGTTAGGAGAGAAGCATGGAACAGAGCTTCCTCATAGTCCTCAGAAGAAACCAACCTTGCCAACCCACCTTAATGTTGAACTTCTAGCCTCTAAAACTGTGAGACAAAACATTACCATTGCTTAAGCCACCAATTTGGGGTACTTTGTTTTAGAAGCCTAACAAAGTAATACACATGGAAAAACACTTTTTGGAAAAGTTTTTCAATTAGATTACCTCCCGGTTTTAACTTTTTGACAACCTCAAGTTGTTTTAGCCATTCCTCGTGTGGCAGGCTAAGTGCATGATCTCAATATTGACCCAAATTATTATAAATATGATTTTCATCTTATTAGTAAAGCCAGAAGTAGGGGTGCTGGGGACAGAATATTGATGGGTCAGAAAATATTTCCCAAAGGCATGGTGTCTAAAGCAGGATGTACTATGGCCACCCCCTGCCCCCACCTTCTTTTTTGAGTTTTGACTTGAACTTTAGTAACCAGATGAAGTTCTGCAACTTTGTAAGGTCTGGGGTTTGAAAATGGCATCCTTTCTTTTATATTTTATTTCAACCCTTTGGAAAAAGGGTCTGAATAATCAGATTTTATTAGTAAAATATCACTGCTTAAAAGCCGTCATGAGAAATATGCAAAGCTATGATATATCTACATTGTGAATGACACACCCTTGGATGTGAAACTTCTATGCTTTGCACGGTCATGTACAGTAGGTCTAACATGACCCATGTGCCATAGTGACTATAAATACAGGCATCCTTCACAGGTAGTTGACATACTTTTATCTTCATAAATTCTGAACAGTCTTAACTAACAAAAGGCCCTACTAATTGTTGTAGAAGAAGAAATACTTATCAACAAATATACACCAATGTGGTCACTTTTGGCAGAGAGGATTGTTTGAGACCAGGAGTTTAAGACCAGCCTGGGCAACACAGTGAGACTCTGCCTCTAAAATATATATATATATCGCTAAGATGAATCTTTATTCTGGCTTTAAAAAAATCCAGGCTAGGCCGGGCGCGGTGGCTCACGCCTGTAATCCCAGCACTTTGGGAGGCCGAGATGGGCAGATCACGAGGTCAGGAGATGGAGACCATCCTAGCTAACACGGTGAAACCCCGTCTCTACTAAAAATACAAAAAAATTAGCGGGGCGTGGTGGTGGGCGCCTGTAGTCCCAGCTGCTCGGGAGGCTGAGGCAGGAGAATGGCGTGAACCCGGGAGGCGGAGCTTGCAGTGAGCCGAGATTGCGCCAAGGCACTCCAGCCTGGGCGACAGAGAGAGACTTCGTCCCCCCCCCCAAAAAAAAAAAAAAAAAATCCAGGCTAAAATGACGAGGACCATACTTTTCAACAGGTTTTTAACCTGAAGAGGTTAACAGGAATGTCCCAGGGGCTTCATGAACCTCTTGAAATTACATTTAAAATGTTTGTGTTCATTTGCATTTTTCCAGAAATAGGCTCCACATATTTTATCACATATGCAAAGGAGTAAGTATCACAAAATGTATTTAAAACCACTGTTCTACAGCATAGAGCTTTGAGGCCTTACTCATCCACATCTATGTAAGAGAATATACCTAGGAGGACATATTGAGAACCTACACCTGACCACAGATGTTCCTTCAGCTAACCACCATGAAGACACGGAGTGGTCTTCCATTCATGCCATTGTCAATACTGGGTTATTGAACCCTCCTAAGAAACTGGAGAGAATGGAATGAGTTGATACATTTAGCATATAGTTATACAGTTAGCATATAGTAATCATTCAATAAATGTTTCCTAATGTTGTTATCCCTCATTGGGGTGATTCCTAATGAATATGGCTCTACTTATAACCTGCCATGTTTTGCACTGCAGGTATAATCTATTATTCCTTTTCACTTTTCATACTTATTAAAATTTGGCTGAACAAATGGTATTAATGGAATATTTGCTAAATAATTTGTTCTTCATCTAGGCTTCTAGATACTCTAAAATCTGTCTTTGAATTAATCTAGGCCATCAGAAAGCAATCTATCAGACCAAATCAATGTTTTCCTATTCCTATCCCTCCCCTTTTCAATGTAAAAAAATGCTTTTTAGAGAGTCATGGTTTGGCATCAGCCTATCTACCTGTATTACAGGATTTTATTTTTTGGAGAGCACTGTACAGTCTATTATACAGAACTTTAGATGTGAGGACAAACAGGAAATATTTTTCTGTACTTTAAATTCCAGGAAAAATATGTTTCTCCAGATGAAAAAAAAAGTTTATTTCAAATCTTACAGGAATTGTAAATAATAACACTTATCATGGTTTCTTTTTTCATTTGATTCCAAAATTAACCCAGAATTAAAGTTTTAATTGACTTTTAGTAAATACAGGGGATCTCTGTGGCATATATTATATAAAAGGTGCTCCCCTGACTTCATCTGTTTTTCAGCCCAGGTCCTCTCATATTTCTGACTATTTCCCCTAATTTTATTCTTATTTTTCTTCATGCATTATATTCATATTTATAAAACAAATTAAAATCCTCCTCAAATAAGAGGCAAATATGCATACATACTCACGTAAACTTTATATAAATAAATAATGCTCGGAACCTAACTACCTTGGCAAGTTAATTAATCTCTCTGAACTTTATGTCTTTTACCTTAAAAAATATTAATGGTACATTCTTCATGGGTCTGTGACATATATAACAGCATTTGATTTATTGATATACAGTATTTTAACTGAGCGCCTGGAACATAGTGGATACTCCATAAGTCTGGTCCCTTTATTGTCCTTTTAGAGAACTTGTAATTTTGACAAATTTGTAGTCAGCAGAAATATTAATTTGCCAGTAATCTTAGGAAAGTGGTGATTCCAATTCTTGGCATGAGGTGAAGACTTAAAAGGACCTTGCTTCAGCAGATTTAGGTTGAAACACTAATTAGAACAGACTGTAACAATGGAGGAGAAGTAGAATGGACGCACTATGCTCCATATATAAATCCATATAGTAATTAAAATATAGTCATAGCTCTCAAGAATGACAGCTCTTGGCCAAGAAGATTCCTGGGCTGAAATATTAGGATTGCTAGATTCAGATGGGATCTTAAACAAATTTCTTGAGGTAAATAGTATCCATCTTTGTGCCTAAACCACATGATATTTTCTCATAGTCCTTGCCTTTGGAAAGGTTTATTGATTCATAGAACCTTTTTAAACAAATGAGGCAATGCAGTCTAAGGAAAAAGGAAGATGGGTTCCCACCAACCAAAAGAAGACCTTCTCCCGCTCTTGCTCCACAGCATGGCATGAAGTAGATGTGTTTTTCTCCTACTAGCTGAAAAAGTGCCAAACTAGAAGTCCTAAAACCTTGATTTCCATTATAGCTCTACCACATTCTGGCTCATGAACCTTGGGAAAGACAAGGAGTTTCCTTATAAATAGGGGTAATAATACACACACCACAAGGTTGCTGTGGAGATTAAATGAGGTATTATGTATGAAGCCCTTGACACACTATTAAGTGACTCTATGTGTGAAGAGGGGAACGATAGAAAGAATAAAATGCATAGTGAAACCAAGTGAAATGATGAAGTTGTTTTTGTAATTTTGTAATATATCAACTTGGCTAGGCTGAACTACATTTCCCAGAATTTTGTTTCCTGTATGTTTCCAGCTAGGGTGAGCCACAAAAAAAGATTCCTGCGGGAGATTTGTGGGTGTAAGTGAAGGAGCTGCCATTTTGTAATATACACATTGTTGCTTATCTGCTGGCTCAATTCATTGGCGCAAGTAGTGGTTAGGCCAAGGCACTAAGATATTTTTAATGTCTTAAAATAACTTTGTGGTAATATTCCCCGAAATTCTGGGAAGGGGTAATATGCCACCTGGCAACTGTTTATTAAAACAGACAATGTGGAACTTTATGAAAGAGAAAAGCAGGACTTGTAAAAATGAATGGCAGACAGTGGGTGCTCACAAATTATCTTTATTTTTGTCTTAAGTTTCTAAATCTCAGGGACAGCTAAAGAGAACACATAGAAGAGTTTTACTTCTTTCTTCTGTTCTCTGGATCCTACTCTCTTCCTTACAACACATATTACTCTTCTGTCTTCAGAATTTTCAAGTTCTCCCATTACACTAGATATTTTTCCATGGGCACTTAAATGTGTTCAAATATCTGTTCCACTTTCAATATATTTTCTCTCCAGATATCATTGTGTCTCCCTCCTATTTGCAAACAAACCTCTCAAAAAGAGTTTTCTCTACTCTCTCCATTTTATCACCTCTCACTTGCTTCTCAACTTACTGCCAACTGTTTTTTACCGCTTGCCTTAAGGCTACCAAAGATATCTACAATACCTAAATCCAATAGACAGTTTTAGGATTTGGTTAGCAAGACAATTTGAAAGACTTAGAGACGCATCATACTTCAAATACCCCAAACTGAACTCGCCTTCTTCCACCTAAACTTGGACTCTTCCTGCAGTGTTCCCTCCCTTGGTGAATGACACTGCCATTCACTCAGCTGCACAAACTATACATCTGAAAGTCATTCTTGACATTCCTCTCCCTCATCTCCACACATGCATCAGTCACCAAGTCCTGTTGTGTCTATCTCCAAAATATTTTTTTAATTCACCCACACCTCCACGTCTCTAATGAGATTACCTTAAATCAAGTTACAGTTATGGCTTTTTAACTATTGTCTCCTTTTATTCAACAGCCATAGTATTCTAAAATATAAATCTGCTCAATAACTTTGAAATGGTGATCACTGCTATTTAAATATCATTTCAGATTCTTAATGTTATCCTCAAGGTCATGTTTGGTATGTTTTTGTCATCATTTTTATCTTGTCTTCTTGGCTCTGTGTTCTTCTGTCACCCTGACTGTGTTCTGTCTTCTCTCAGAATGCAAAGCCTGATTCCTCTGTTTGTAACAGCATTTTCCCACAACTTCATCATTTATTTTACCTAACCAACTTCTACTAATCATTAACATTCTCACTCAGGTTTAATTTATGTTAGATCTTCCTCAACCTCCCTGATTGGTCAGATAGCTGATATAAGATCCCCCCACTCTCATTCCTCTCCTCCATAGCACTTATCAAAATCATAACCAAATAATTAAATGCTCAAATAACCTCTAGGAGGACAGAGGGTGTGCCTGGTTTGTTTCTTACTTCATTAGCACCTAACACAATGTAAGTTCTCAAAAAATCTGAATTAATGAAGGTGTTGATTTAATCATTATTCCAATTCCACAATACAGTATTTTTAAGTAAATATTTCCTTCTTTGGCATCTGAGTAAAATATCATAACATCAAAAATAATCCAATGTATAAAAATGTACCAAAGTGGAAGATTTCAGTAGTCAACTCTGGGTTAAACTACTCAATGCATTATAAGTATTGAGTAGACATTTGTTAATTGTGTGAATTATAAAGGTGTATTAGACTGCTTACATATAATGTTTTAGCAATAAATTTGCATTAGTAAATTTAAACTAAAAAATTCTACTTGCCTGCATATCGTCTCCTTTTCTCCTACTATGTTCAGCTTTAATTTCCTAATTTTGAGAAGGAAATTGCACCTTTTTTTCTCAAAACATTTTCCTCCTGGCAGAATAACTTTGTTGTCAGGGATGAGAAAAATGCTATTTGCTAAAAATATGAATATTTCTTATTAAAGTAGATAAACTATAGAAAATTGCTCTCACTGACTCCTTAGAAGTGTTGCCTTTAGAAGTACAGAATCAGAGAATTAAACTCGAGACCTTAGAACCATCTGTCAAACCCTAGATCTACCACTTTACATCACACCAGCCACCTCTGCAACCCAGAGTCAGCTCCCTAAAGAGTTGTGAAGCTGGTTATTGTACAGTTAGGCTCACTACATCAATTTGAGTCAAATGCGGTTTGACTAGGTTGTCAATACTTCATGTGAAAAGTTCATACCATTTCCAAAGAGAAGTATTAAGGGAGTATTGAAGACCTGAAAGTAGAGACAAAAACAGAAAGATGGAGAAGTTTCCCAACATCAGAGGGTATGGGACATTTAAAAAAGGACATTACCTTCTTTGCCTCCTTTTAATAACCAATTTTTGAACATTTACTATATAGCAAGCATGACTTCTCTCCTGAACAAGGTAATGTCTTATGGGAATGAGTGGTAAATGCATAAGCCCTACTTTAGTTCACAGTGTATAGTTCTCCTACCCCAGAAAATAGGATCATATAAGATGATACAAGCATGAGTAGGATGTTCTGGCAACAGAGAACCTGTGAATGCTTCTTAGAGGTGTTGCTACTTGTGCTAGGATTTGAAGGACAAGTAGATGAGCCAAGTGATGAAGAGATGACAGGATCACAGGAAGGGAGGAAAGAGATTATATGAAGGCAAAACGGACATCCGCTATTGCTGTAGATGTAATATTTGTATCCCTGCAAAATTTATATGTTGAAATCCTAACCACCAAGATGATGATATTAGGAAGTGGGACCTTTGGGAGGTGACTGGATCATGAGGGTAGAGCTCTCATGAATGGAATTAGTGCCATTATAAAAGAGTCCCCAGAGAAGTGCCTTTCCCCTTCTGCCAAGTGAAGACACAGCAAGAAGGTGCTCAAGGCAGACCTTCACCTGACGCCAAATCAGCTGGTAGCTTGATCTTGGATTCCCCAGCCTCCAGAACTGTGAGAGATAAACTTTTGTTGTTATAAGCTTCTTAGTTTATGATATTTTATTATGGCAGCCCAAAACTAAGAACTATGGTTATAGCTTTAGAGAGTCATTAGTACAATTAGAGCATGAGAAGAGGTAAGATGAAGAATCAGAAATTTTAAAAAAAGATCACAAAGGACCTTCCTCTCAAAGCCACTAAAGATTTGAAGTAAATGAGACATTGTATAAAAATCGTGCCAAAAGATAGATTAGAAGGGTTAGTGTATCCTGAAGGGACAGAACATGACTTGCACCTGATTTTCCCAGCATCTTGCATAGTGTCCAAATGTGTCACTGTTCAATAAATATTTACTGAATGTTATACCTGAGTTACATCAAACAGAATCCTGTTGAATTATCACTAAGTGAAAACTAGATTGTCAATACTTCATGTGAAAATTTCACATTATTTCCAAATAGAAGGATTAAGGGAGCACTGAGAACCTGAAAGTAGAAGCAAAAGCAGAAAGAGAAGTTTCACAACATCAAAGGGTATGGGACATGAAAAGAAAAGGGTTAAAGCACCTAAGATAAATGCTTCAGACTCAGTTTTTGTTTGTTTTTGGTTTTGGTGGGGAAAGCAGTCCACTTTATCCATTTCTATAGCAGGAAATTGTAATTACCACAAATGTACATAATAAAGACCAGCTTTTTCTAGGCACTGAACAACATGCTTTGATGCACTACTATTCATTCACAAACATTTACTGAGTATCCACCATATGTGAGGCATTGTTCTAAGCCCTGTGGATACAATCTGAATCACGAAGCTTATATGCTAGCAAGAAAACTGAGAACAAACAAAGAACCTGTATAAGACAATCCCAAGCTAAGAGGCAGCAAAACATAGTTGTTAAGAGCATGGCATTTGGAAACAAGACTATCTGGCCTTAAATGCTTACATGATGACTTGCTAGCTGTGTGACTTTGGGTAAGTTACATAATGGCTGTGTGCCTTATTCTCTTACCTGTAAAATGAGATCAATAGTAATTATCTATCTGATTTATAATCATGATTAAATGAGTTAAAATATATAAAGAGCTTAGAGAAGAGTCTGGAAAGTAGTAAATATTATTAATAAATAGTATTATTGATGTTTTCTTATTCTAATTATTATTATCAATAACTTCTACAAAGAACGCTCAAAGGAGGATCAAGGGAAAGAGGATCAGATAATGCCAGGGTAGAGAATGAACATAGAAAGAGGAAATTTAGACAGAGGGACCTGGAAAAGTATTTTTAAAAAGATGACATTTCAGCAAGTGACATAAATGAAGTGCAAGAATGAGTCATGTGAATATTTGGAGGGGACTATTCCAGAGAGAGAAGAGAAATTGCCAGAAAGTTCAAGGGCTATTGGGTAGAAATCAGCTTGGTTTGATGTGCTCAAGAATGAGTAAGAGAGTTGCACGATGAGAAATGAGTGAGCAAAGAATGTAGGTGGAGTAAGAGGCGAGGTAGGAGAGGTGAGCAAAAAGTAATTGATTTGGAGCCTCATGAGGAATCAGATTTTACCTGAGACTGAGAGAAAGCCACCAAAGGGCTATGAGCCGAGACAGCACAGTCTGGATGTCTTCTTAAAAAGATAGCTCTGGCTGCCTGTAGACAGCAAACTACAGAGGGATAGAAGACATAGGAGGCAATTCCTGTTGTCTCATTTAATCCACACATCAACATGTGAGATATACATTACTGTTCCTATTTTACAGAAAACACCATGAGCCTTGGAAACATAATGTATCAAAAGGCACACAGATGTTTTGACTCCAAGTCCATGTATGTCTTCCTCTCCTCAGGAAAGCCTTCAGGAACCTCGCTGACCAGGTCATACCATCCTATTACATGTTTTCACCGCAGCATTTTCCTCTCCTTCATAGAACCTATCACAGTTTAATTTTACATGGTTGGGTGATTATGTATTTTATGTTTAAGAGCAATGGCAGTGCTTGTGTCCCCAAGGCACATAAAGCAGGTGCTCAGGATTACTTGTTGAATGAACAAATAAATTGTACTGCTAAAAGTAGAGGGGGCAGAATGAGAGGTCTGTGAACAAATATGGTAATAACATGAGTAAATTAAAAACTGAATTTCACACAGTAACAACAAAGACCCACTATTCTTGACTACCTGTTGTTTCTTTTCTAAATATAAGTATTATTTTTCAAATTATTACTAGTGAAAGTAAGAAAAATATTTATTTTCCAAGGCAAATAAAAACAAATTATTTTTAAATCTTTTTTTAATGAAGGCATTAAATGAAACATGTAGTAGGTAAGAGTCTCAAATTTCTTAATGTACAGGAGGGTTATTGTAATAATTTTCTAGAAGTTGGCCACATCTAGAATTAAAACATTGGTATATATACCTACCTGGAAACAGACAAAAATGAAATAAAAGATTTCTACATATACTTTTATAGTACTATTATAATACTACAATGACAATTACCCATATTTTAATTGTGCTTTCCAATCTACAAAAATCTGCTCCGTATAGTATCTCATTGCTCATTCAGAAGGTACTCAACATGTCAGCCATTATTTAAACACATACATGTGTGCAGGCACACACACATACTCATGCACACTTTCTAAATCATTTCTGCAGCTATGTCCTTTGCAGTGGCCTTGATAAAAGCTGACTGTGGCATTTTATTAAATGCAGCCCTCATTAAGACTTGGCATTGTTTGAAGCCACTATCAGATGATGCTGAGCTCAGTAAGGGCACCTGTTCTTATAACTTCTGTCTTCATCAAACAGCAAGTCCCAGTATTTTTTTTTTTTTTTTTTTTTAGAGCTGAGACTAAAAGCAAACCTACTTTCATTGGTATATGAAACCGATTTCCATGCCTTCATTTTCTTTTTTTGTGCCAGGTAATAAGTAGATAAAAATGATTCTCTGTTTTCAACTCTAACACCTCTGAAATTAAGCCCTGGGGAAGCTAGTGATAACTCTGAGGTGGTAACTTCTCTCTAGGTTATTTGGAAAAATAACTCTATTAACCACCCAGGAACAAAGACTTGGCTATTATCACACATACATATTAAATGGCTGCTGGGACACAGTGAAGAGGTGAGACATAGTGTCAGGAAATGTTCTGTTCCAGCTCCCACAAATAGGACATACTCAGTTTTATAACTGAATGACTTATGTGTAATACCATTAGAACAAAAAGGTAATAATCATTTTGCTGTATAATAACTAATTAAATCCAACAGCAACCTATCAGATGTTATTATCCTCCAAATCCCATTTCTACATACATAAAGAAATTGAGGGACATATGAATTAAGCAACTTATCCAAGGCCATGCAACTAGAAAATAAAAAAGCTGAGATTTCAACCCAGATCATTTCTCTTACATTGTTCTTTACTTGTCAGTTTTATGGGGGAGAGATACAGCATGTCAGGTTGTGTGGAGACATGAGCATATGAGTATATATAACAACAGGCAGAAGAATTAGAACTTAAACCCAGGTGTATCTGACCCCAGAATTTGACCTCCATGGCCAAGAAAATGATTCCATTTTCAATACAATAATATGCTTCCCTAGACTGAATAAGCCTTTAAACATATTCTTTTTCTGGAGTATTACAAATTTTCTCCAAGTTGGATTGAGGAACAAATATATTCCAAAGAAATGGTAAAACTGAGAAATGAATCAATATGCTGTTGTTCTAATCTGTAACTCCCTGGTTGTGCTGTATTTCTTAACAAATCTCATTGAAGCAGATTTACCTTTAATCTTAACACCCCATCTCTGCTAGACGAATTAACTCTTTTGGTTCACTGCAGAATTACTGAGGAATTGGTTGGCTTAAAATTCATTAATGTTGCCCTGAAAATATAAAAGAGTTAATACATTTCCCGAAATATTTGCTGTTATTAGCAAAGGTTACGTGGCCTGAAAATTATTGTCTAGGGTGTCTGGAATTTAGTTTTTCCAAGTGAAAAAAAGTTCAACGACTTTCAGAGAGTTTATGAAACTAAGGAGAAACAATTCTCATATTTTAGGAAATCCCCAAGCTTCCTTACAAATGATTCTTCCTAAAGAGATGTCAAAAACAGTGCTTATTACACTTTGGGCTTCTACTCTAATTTATTTAGCCCTTCCTATCAATGAGTGAGGGATAAAATGTCATCCTTTCTTCTTAAGCATATTAGAGCTTCCTATGGCTCCCTACACTAAGATAATAGATCATCCTACTATTAATCTATTAAGATAACAGATTATCCTATTATGCTTTCTCCACAGTAATACACTTGGTTCTAAATCTTGGCAATTCAGTTCATCGAACTCTGATAATTTACATTTTACAGTAAATTTCCTGATATATTTGATGAGTTAATTCTTAAGACTAGAGAAAAAAATAGCTTCTAAAACTCTTACACAAAGAAAATGCAATTGGTAGCTTAGTAATGCAATCTATTCTAGTTTCTAAATGTGTAATTTTACCCCATCACCCCAAAACTATTAATGGGATGCAATCAATCGTGCAGGTGAACAGGTATCTTTTCAATGAAAGGAAATGAAATAAATATGCCTCTGAAGGGACAAATACTAGGAAAATATGAGAAGATGAGAGAGAAAATGCCTTATAGCCACATTATCTCAATTTTTTTTAAAGAAATCCAATTCTAAAAAAAATGTGATTATAGGGGTAGAAGGCTTGAAAAGTAAAGGTTTGAAGAAGACAATCAAGGGAATAGAAAAGAAAACTGGTTAAATTCAAATAAATTATTAAATCAGATTTGAGGGCCAAATTCCTACTTATACTTCCAAGGCTCAAATAAAATCTCACATCCTCCCAAATTAGCTACGAGGGAAATTGCCCACCAACTATAAATAACTGGAAAACAAGAAAAAATATATGATTCAACAATTTTCAGTCATTTGATGTCCCTATCATCCATGAGAGAAAGGAAATAAATAAGGTGAGCTCCACAATTGCCCCAGCTTACTGCCTGGAGGCAGTTTTCAGGAAAGAGAAAGAAATACGGGACTCAAACAGAGTCTAGTTTCTCCAATGCACTGAAGACAGAAATTGTTTTGGGTAGCCATGGCAGGTAGAATTTGTGGTCAGAATACCAGGGTTGAAGGATAAGAAGGACTATCATGAACAGACAGAGAGTCAGAGAGGTACAAGTGTGGATTATGTAATCAGTTCCTGATTATCACCCATAATTAGGAAAAAAATGAATTAATAGAGAAATGACAGAGATAATAAAATAGGTAAGAATGTTTAAGAAGCTAATTTTAAAAATGTGCTTTACATATGTAAAAATGTATACAAAAACATAAACAGGATGAAGAGTATGAGAGAAATGGAAGATTTTTAATGAACCAAATGAAACATATAAAGATAAAAAAAGATACCCAAAATGAAAAATACACTAGATGGGATCAACCACAGATTAAGATGCTGCAAAAGAAGAAACCAGTTAACTCGAAGAAATAGTGACGGAAACTGTTTAAAACACAGAGATTTTAAAACACTGGAACAAAATGAACAGAGTGCCAGTGATATGCTGAATGATACCAAGTACAGTCCTAGAAAGTGGGAGGGAAAATAAAAACACTATTTAAAGAAATAATGACCAATAGTTTTCCACATTTGATAACTATAAATTCACAGATCTAAGAAGCTCAAAAGCCCCAGTCAGAATGAACATAAAGAAAACCATACATCATGATCAAATTGCTGAAAACCAAAGACAAAGTGAAAAATTTCAAAAGCAGCCAGAAAAGAAAAAGCTTACTTTCCATAAAGAACAAAGGATGACAGCAACCCCTCCTCATAAATAACTATTCAGATCATATGGCAGTGACATCTTTAAAGTCCTGAAAGAAAAGGACTGTCAATCTAGAAATCTATAACCTGCAAAAATATCATTTAAAAAGGACAAAATCTTATAATATTCATTGCCAGCAAATCTGTACCACAATAAAGGTCAAAGGAAGATTTGTGGGCAAAGAAAAATAACGACAGAGGAAACGTATATCTATACACAGAATTTATAGCTACAACAAAGAAATGAAGAACATCAGAAATGATCAATATCCAGGTACTTATATTTTTGTTGCATTTTTAATCTCTTTAAGATATAAATGACTATTTAAAGCAAAAATGATAGTAATCTATTATATGACTTACATAGAGAAATAAAATTGTGCACAAGAGGTATGTGCAGAGTTAAAAGCATATTATTGTGAGTTTCTCACATTATATGTGAAGTGGTATAATATTATTTAAAGATAGACTGTGATAAATTGTATAAACCCTAGTGAAACCACATAAAATTAAAAGAAATATAGGTAATAAGCCAATAGTTGATCTAAAATGGAATCACAAAAAGGCTCAACTCAAAAGCAATCAGGGAAAATGGGAGAAAAGAACAGAGGTTAGCAGTAGAAAGCAAATAGCAAGATAACATATTTAAATTTTAGCATATTAATAATTATATCAAATGTAAGTAGTCTAAACTCTTCAATTAAAAGGTAGAGATTGATGGATTGAATAAAAAAGCAAACTAGAAACCAAACTTAAATATAAAGATACAGTATAAACACCACAACAGTTGAAATTCTTCAAGGATATAGGCTTTATCTGATTCAACTTGTATTTCTCACGCCCAGTTCAGTACTAGTACTCAGAATCTACTAAAAGTTACTCCTTGAAAGAGTAAATGCCTTCATAAAGCAGTCTAATGGTAACTCTAAGAAATCCCTGGTGAATTAATCACTTCCTCCAAATTAATAGGTTCATAAGAAGAGTTGTTATAACAGCTGCTTTTTTAAAAATCAGGGTTTTAATTCAGAAGACTTCACATGTCTGGCAAGTGTTTGTTCTATGGGGAATTTATCTACCTCACCTGAAAACCAGAATTCAAATAATCCTCTTTTTTTTTTAATAATTTTTTTTTTATTATTATACTTCAAGTTTTAGGGTACATGTGCACAATGTGCAGGTTAGTTACATATGTATACATGTGACATGCTGGTGCGCTGCACCCACTAACTCGTCATCTAGCATTAGGTATGTCTCCCAATGCTATCCCTCCCCACTCCCCCCACCTCACAACAGTCCCCAGAGTGTGATGTTCCCCTTCCTGTGTCCATGTGTTCTCATTGTTCAATTCCCACCTATGAGTGAGAATGTGCGGTGTTTGGTTTTTTGTTCTTGCGATAGTTTACTGAGAATGATGATTTCCAATTTCATCCATGCCCCTACAAAGGACATGAACTCATCATTTTTGATGGCTGCATAGTATTCCATGGTGTATATGTGCCATATTTTCTTAATCCAATCTATCATTGTTGGACATTTGGGTTGGTTCCAAGTCTTTGCTATTGTGAATAGTGCTGCAATAAACATACATGTGCATGTGTCTTTATAGCAGCATGATTTATAGTCCTTTGGGTATATACCCAGTAATGGGATGGCTGGGTCAAATGGTATTTCTAGTTCTAGATCCCTGAGGAATCGCCACACTGACTTCCACAATGGTTGAACTAGTTTACAGTCCCACCAACAGTGTAAAAGTGTTCCTATTTCTCCACATCCTCTCCAGCACCTGTTGTTTCCTGACTTTTTAATGATCGCCATTCTAACTGGTGTGATATGATATCTCATTGTGGTTTTGATTTGCATTTCTCTGATAGCCAGTGATGGTGAGGATTTTTTCATGTGTTTTTTGGCTGCATAAATGTCTTCTTTTGAGAAGTGTCTGTTCATGTCCTTCGCCCACTTTTTGATGGGGTTGTTGGTTTTTTTCTTGTAAATTTGTTTGAGTTCATTGTAGATTCTGGATATTAGCCCTTTGTCAGATGAGTAGGTTGTGAAAATTTTCTCCCATTTTCTGGGTTTCCTGTTCACTCTGATGGTAGTTTCTTTTGCTGTGCAGAAGCTCTTTAGTTTAATTAGATCCCATTTGTCAATTTTGTCTTCTGTTGCCATTGCTTTTGGTGTTTTAGACATGAAGTCCTTGCCCATGCCTATGTCCTGAATGGTAATGCCTAGGTTTTCTTCTAGGGTTTTTATGGTTTTAGGTCTAACGTTTAAGTCTTTAATCCATCTTGAACTGATTTTTGTATAAGGTGTAAGGAAGGGATCCAGTTTCAGCTTTCTACATATGGCTAGCCAGTTTTCCCAGCACCATTTATTAAATAGGGAATCCTTTCCCCATTGCTTGTTTTTCTCAGGTTTGTCAAAGATCAGATAGTTGTAGATATGCGGCGTTATTTCTGAGGGCTCTGTTCTGTTCCATGATCTATATCTCTGTTTTGGTACCAGTACCATGCTGTTTTGGTTACTGTAGCCTTGTAGTATAGTTTGAAGTCAGGTAGCATGATGCCTCCAGCTTTGTTCTTTAGGCTTAGGATTGACTTGGTGATGAGGGCTCTTTTTTGGTTCCATATGAACTTTAAAGAAGTTTTTTCCAATTCTGTGAAGAAAGTCATTGGTAGCTTGATGGGGATGGCATTGAATCTATAAATTACCTTGGGCAGTATGGCAATTTTCACGATATTGATTCTTCCTACCCATGAGCATGGAATGTTCTTCCATTTGTTTGTATCCTCTTTTATTTCATTGAGAAGTGGTTTGTAGTTCTCCTTGAAGAGGTCCTTCACATCCCTTGTAAGTTGGATTCCTAGGTATTTTATCCTCTTTGAAGCAATTGTGAATGGGAGTTCACTCATGATTTGGCTCTCTGTTTGTCTGTTATTTGTGTATAAGAATGCTTGTGATTTTTGTACATTGATTTTGTATCCTGAGACTTTGCTGAAGTTGCTTATCAGCTTAAGGAGATTTTGGGCTGAGACGATGGGGTTTTCTAGATATACAATCATGTCATCTGCAAACAGGGACAGTTTGACTTCCTCTTTTCCTAACTGAATACCCTTTATTTCCTTCTCCTGCCTAATTGCCCTAGCCAGAACTTCCAACACTATGTCGAATAGGAGTGGTGAGAGAGGACATCCCTGTCTTGTGCCAGTTTTCAAAGGGAATGCTTCCAGTTTTTGCCCATTCAGTATGATATTGGCTGTGGGTTTGTCATAGATACCTCTTATTATTTTGAGATACGTCCCATCAATACCAAATTTATTGAGAGTTTTTAGCATGAAGCGTTGTTGAATTTTGTCAAAGGCCTTTTCTGCATCTATTGAGATAATCATGTGGTTTTTGTCTTTGGTTCCGTTTATATGCTGGATTACATTTATTGATTTGTGTATATTGAAGGAGCCTTGCATCCCAGGGATGAAGCTCACTTGATCATGGTGGATAAGCTTTTTGATGGTGCTGCTGGATTCGGTTTGCCAGTATTTTATTGAGGATTTTTGCATCAATGATCATCAAGGATATTGGTCTAAAATTCTCTTTTTTGGTTGTGTCTCTGCCTGGCTTTGGTATCAGGATGATGCTGGCCTCATAAAATGAGTTAGGGAGGATTCCCTCTTTTTCTATTGATTGGAATAGTTTCAGAAGGAATGGTACCAGTTTCTCCTTGTACCTCTGGTAGAATTCGGCTGTGAATCCATCTGGTCCTGGACTCTTTTTGGTTGGTAAGCTATTGATTATTGCCACAATTTCAGATCCTTTTATTGGTCTATTCAGAGATTCAACTTCTTCCTGGTTTAGTCTTGGGAGAGTGTATGTGCCGAGGAATTTATCCATTTCTTCTAGATTTTCTAGTTTATTTGCGTAGAGGTGTTTGTAGTATTCTCTGATGGTAGTTTGTATTTCTGTGGGATCGGTGGTGATATCCCCTTTATTATTTTTTATTGCATCTATTTGATTCTTCTCTCTTTTTTTTTAATTAGTCTTGCTAGCGGTCTATCAATTTTGTTGATCTTTTCAAAAAACCAGCTCCTGGATTCATTAATTTTTTGAAGGGTTTTTTATGTCTCTATTTCCTTCAGTTCTGCTCTGATTTCAGTTATTTCTTGCCTTCTGCTAGCTTTTGAATGTGTTTGCTCTTGCTTTTCTAGTTCTTTTAATTGTGATGTTAGGGTGTCAATTTTGGATCTTTCCTGCTTTCTCTTGTGGGCATTGAGTGCTATAAATTTCCCTCTACACACTGCTTTGAGTGTGTCCCAGAGATTCTGGTATGTTGTGTCTTTGTTCTCTTTGGTTTCAAAGAACATCTTTATTTCTGCCTTCCTTTCGTTATGTACCCAGTAGTCATTCAGGAGCAGGTTGTTCAGTTTCCATGTAGTTGAAAAGACCAAATCTATGTCTGATTGGTGTACTTGAAAGTGACGGGGAGAATGGAACCAAGTTGGAAAACACTCTGCAGGATATTATCCAGGAGAACTTCCCCAATCTAGCAAGGCAGGCCAACATTCAGATTCAGGAAATACAGAGAATGCCACAGAGATACTCCTCGAGAAGAGCAACTCCAAGACACATAACTGTCAGATTCACCAAAGTTGAAATGAAGGAAAAAATGTGAAGAGCAGCCAGAGAGAAAGGTTGGGTTATCCACAAGGGGAAGCCCATCAGACTAACAGCGGATCTCTCGGCAGAAACTCTACAAGCCAGAAGAGAGTGGGGGCCAATATTCAACATTCTTAAAGAAAAGAATTTTCAACCCAGAATTTCATATCCAGCCAAACTAAGCTTCATAAGTGAAGGAGAAATAAAATACTTTACGGACAAGCAAATGCTGAGAGATTTTGTCACCACCAGGCCTGCCCTACAAGAGCTCCTGAAGGAAGCACTAAACATGGAAAGGAACAACTGGTACCAGCCGCTGCAAAATCATGCCAAAATGTAAAGACCATCGAGACTAGGAAGAAACTGCATCAACTAACGAGCAAAATCACCAGCTAACATCATAATGACAGGATCAAATTCACACATAACAATATTAACTTAAAATGTAAATGGACTAAATGCTCCAATTAAAAGACACAGACTGGCAAATTGGATAGAGTCAAGACCCATCAGTGTGTTGTATTCAGGAAACCCATCTCACATGCAGAGACACACATAGGCTCAAAATAAAAGGATGGAGGAAGATCTACCAAGCAAATGGAAAACAAAAAAAGGCAGAGGTTGCAATCCTAGTCTCTGATAAAACAGACTTTAAACCAACAAAGATCAAAAGAGATAAAGAAGGCCATTACATAATGGTAAAGGGATCAATTCAACAAGAAGAGCTAACTATCCTAAATATATATGCACCCAATACAGGAGCACCCAGATTCATAAAGCAAGTCCTGAGCGCCCTACAAAGAGACTTAGACTCCCACACATTAATAATGGGAGACTTTAACACCCCACTGTCAACATTAGACAGATCAACGAGACAGAAAGTCAACAAGGATACCCAGGAATTGAACTCATCTCTGCACCAAGTGGACCTAATAGGCATCTCTACAGAACTCTCCACCCCAGATCAACAGAATATACATTTTTTTCAGCACCACACCACACCTATTCCAAAATTGACCACATAGTTGGAAGTAAAGCTCTCCTCAGCAAATGTAAAAGAATAGAAATTATAACAAACTATCTCTCAGACCACAGTGCAATCAAACTAGAACTCAGGATTAAGAAACTCACTCAAAACTGCTCAACTACATGGAAACTAAACAACCTGCTCAAATAATCTTCTAAGTCGAGGACCAGCAAAGTTTTTCAACAGAGGAGGACAAAATAGTAAATATTTCAGGCTTTGCAAGCCATGTGATCTTTGCAGTAACTACTCAATTCTGCCACTGTAGCACGAAAGCAGCCACAGATGATACAGAAATGAATGGCATGGCTGTGTTCCAGTGAAACTTTATTTACAAAAACCAGCACTGGGACAGACTTGGCCCATGAACTGTAGTTGTCAAGTCCCATTCAAGCAGGATGATTGTTTGAAGTCTCGACGGCTGTGTGCTAGGGTTTGAATATTTGTTTCATCTGAAATTCATATTGGAACTTAATCCCTAATATAACAATATTAAGAGCTGAGGCCTTTGAGAGATGATTGGATCATACATAGATTAATGGATTAATGGGTTAGTGAAGTAATGGGTTATCATGGGAATGGATTATTTATCACAAGATGAGTCTGTTAAAAAAGTGAGTTTGGCTCTCAGTGTACCCCTCTTGCCATGTGATGCCTTCCTCTATGCTATGACACAGCAAGTGGACCTCACCAGAAGCTGACCAGATGCAGCCACCTGATGTTGGATTTCTCATCCTCCAGGACCTTAACGAATAAATTTATTTTCTTTATCAATTATCCAGTCTCAGATATTCAGTTATAGTGACAGAAAATGGACTAAGACACTGTGTTATCTATTCCGTAAATGATACATTTATCACCACTCTAGAAAGCTTTGATCAGAGCCCGTAATAGATGCACACATCTCTTTATTTATACTTACCCTGTACCTACATTTTCTAGTTAATGCAAATAGAAAAGGCAAGATCTCAGACACTGACAGGTAATTTACTTTCTATATCTAAGATCTCCAATGCTGTTTTGTGCTTTTATTGTATTGTCACAGTCTATGCAGCCAGTGACTTTGAAAACAATTCTAAACTATAAAAGTGCCTGATGTTACCACTATCAGCTCTTCTCATTTTTCAATGGGACAGAAGGTTTGGTCAATTGTATTTATTCACAACATGTAATATATGTTCTTTTTATATGCTCAATCTACTTTTTCAAAATATCTTATTTTAGCTTTTTTTTCCCAGCATATCACAACTTTCTACCTCACATTCTTATAATTCTCTCATCTTCTTAAAATTACTAATAAAAACAATGTATTCTATGTTTGCCTATTCTTCATGGCTTTCTATATAAATATTCTCCCAAGGTAAGGATTTGAGATTTCAAGATAAACGGTCACTAAAAATAGCATGTGCTCAAACCATCTACTAGATCAAGTAAACATGTCCTCTATTTAAAGCAAATTGCTCATTCAGAGAAAAGGGTACAATTATAAAGGAAGATCACGTATTTGGTGTTAACATGTGGTCTAAGTTAGATATTAGGAGTTCAGGCTTTAGATGCATCCTGGTTGTATTTATTAGTGGCAATGTAACACTAAGTGAGTTATTTATCTTTTATGATTCTGTCTTATTATCTATTAAATGTGAACACAAGGTATACCTCATTAAAGATGATGTGAGATCAAATGAGATAATGCATGAAAGTTTAGTAGAGTTCTGCTTTATAATAAGTACTCAATAAATATTGTGTTAATTTTTAATTTTATGTGTTTGAAACCCAATAAATATTCATCAAGTAACAGACAGAAAAAGTATATTTGTATATAGTCTAGAACTAGTGTCTTACCAATTATTTTTATTTCCAGAGTCCAGTATACTGCATAATAACTAGTAGCTACTCAAAATATTTTTTTTGAAATTGAAGTTAATTACTTCTCCACATGAGGTAACGTATTCACAATGTAATGGCTTTGCCTTGTTAAATCACGTATCCATCCCATTAGCCAAGAGTATAATTTGAAATTTTCAATTTGATTGCTCCAAAATTTACATTTTTATACTGCAATATGGCCGTGTTTTATACATTACCTTATATAACTTAGATAAGTTTATTTAAATACACAAATCTGTGAGTTTAGGTATTATTAACTTAGAAATGAAAAAAAAATAGAGAGCTCCAGACTCCTTATCCCAGCCACCACAGTTGGTTTGGAACTTAGGTTTGTTATGCTTTGGAACTCATTTTTTAAACCACTGTGCTACTCTGTCTCTTCAAAAAAAAGTATAAGTTCCTGTAAGTTATTCATGACTTCAACAAGAATGGGAAGAAAATGTTAATATTTCTCATGCATTAAAATACTTAATTTATTAGATCTCATGACAACAGTTTGAGACAGATGTGATCATTTCTACTTTTCAGATGAGGCAACTGAGGCTTAGAGAGGCTAACTTGTTCAATGTCATACAAAGCTTTTCTTGGGGGGAGATGGGGCGGGCAGACATACACACAAGGAATAGCTTCATTTACTTTAACTGTTTTGTTGAAAGTTGGCCCCTGAAGTAACTTGGCACTTGGCTCTCTATTCAATAAAAGGCTTCATGCCACAGACATGGTTGGAGCATTAAAAATATGCCCTTCTGAAATTTTGTAATGTGACATAAAGATTGCTGGTTGGAACTGCTGTATAAAACCCTTCACTGAGAAACCCCAGGGTCAGATACGCTAACAGGGAACACAGTTTGAGGATCATAAGAAAGGATATGAAATATGTATTGAGTGCTGACCATGTGCCAGGAGCATGCAGATACATTTGATATTCACAACAATATATGGGGTAAACTTTATCCCTTCACCTTACTAATGGGGAAACTGACATTCACAGAAGCTATTTCACTTGTTCTAGGTCCCTCTGCTGCTAAACAATAAAACCAGCTTTTGAATCTGTTTCCACTAAAACACCACAAATGAACAACATAAATAATTATAATGCTGAAGAGAGAGGGTATTTACCTCTTCTTCCTGAGATGAGAATGTTATATCTTACAAGGAAGAGGATATCCCCTCTTTCTTGGCAATTATGCACTTCCTCATATGCATATTACAACTGTTTGACATATACAATCCATTCATAGACTCGAATATATAACCGTTTCACAGATCTGAGCTGCCTCTCACCTAAAAGTGGTATAGGGGGAAGTTGTATTTTTTTTCAACTTTATTAGGTACTTAAAATCCTTATGAAAATTTGAAATATTATTCATTTAAAAGTGGAAAAATAAACTATGTAATTACACCTTTAAAATCCACCATTTCCAAGGAATCTCCTAGTTTTCCCCAATTTGAAATAAAGGAAGTGGCATGGTAATAGTAGGAAGTTTGGGGTCAGACAGATAGGTAGACTAGGTCTAAGTTCTAGCACACTAGCAACTAATTAAATGATTTTAGAAATCACTTATCCACATAGGATTTTGGGGAGAGTTGACTGATGCTGAAAGTGAGGTGCCTACCACAGTGTGTGGTGTACAGTAGGGCCTCAGAAAGCATCAAATCCTTTTTACCACTATGAGAAACACAAGACAGGTTTCTTCTTTTATTAGCATTAATAACATATGTGTGTATTCTCTCCCACAAGAGTACTATTTCTGGAAAGCAGTGTCTGACTCTTTACCACCTATTAGGTCTCTGCGTTATAGGTTCGTTATAGGCGTTCAAGAAATTATTGGTGAACTGAAAGTATAGGGAGTAGGTTCCTGAGCCAGACTGAAAGGAACCAAAGTTCAAAGCAAAATACTGAATGCTGATAGTTAGCACATACTAATAAAGACCACTATAATCGTACATGTGTGGGCAGGTGGTGGGAGGAGGGCATCTAGGGGTCTATTTTATCAAAGGTTATATGTTGGAGAAATGTGCCCACCACATTCTCAGTCACTCTTCACACTTTCCATTCTGGCTTTTTTATAAATCCAGTTGCCTACTTATGTCCAAAGGACCAAAGTCTTTTTGTCGCTTTAGATCTAAAGAGGTCAGTGAGATGTGAATAATGTTTCTACTGGTTCTTTTTCAGCCTTTGGTTTACTTTACTAAAAAGAAAAGACAAGCTGCGATTTTAATATGGCACTATTTCACTATTTATAAATAAGAAGTCAGATAACACAAATCTCTTTATAAACCAAAAGAAAAAAAATACATGTAGTATACAAAATCTTTTTTTTTTTTTTTTGATAGCCTCTGTCACCCAGGCTAGGGTACAACAGTGGCACAACCATGGTTTACTGCAGCCTCAACCACCCAGGCTCAGGGGATCCTCCTCCCACCTCAACCTCCCAAGTAGCTGAAGTTACAGGTGTGCACCACCAAGCCTGGCTAATTTTTTGTATAGACGGGGTTTTGCCCTTTTGCCCAGGCTGGTCTCAAACTCCTGGGCTCAAAAGATCTACTCACTTCAGCCTCCCAAACTGCTGGAGTTACAGCTGTGAGCCACCACGCCTGGCCACAAAATCTTTTCTACCAGCACAGCAAACTTGCTTATTCTATTGGTCAGAATCGACATACTACTAAGATCAATTAACATTTTAAAATGTAAGATTAAACATGGCCTACCAAACCTCTTCCCTCCCAAAAAAGATTAAACATTATTCCTATACTTCTCATGGTGAGCTCAACTGGTTAGTTAACAAAAAAGTCCTGATATAATCTATGAAAATTTTCTACTTTTAGAAAACTTTTGTAAACGTACTTTAAATTTCTATGAGAAAATAATATCTCCTGCATGGTATATAAGGAAGATTTATTTCATTTCCTCTCAGCTAGTCTCTAATTTTACTTTATTAAAAAGATAACCCACTTCACGGAAAAGGGCAGTCATTTTGAAAAATCATAATATTCTGAAATGGCTGTATTTTAGTATGTGATTTTAAAAAATTGCATGTTCAGATCTTCTTGTTAGGTGTCAGACCTTTGGCATTTACTTTCAAGGATTTTAAGCGGTAATTTGTGTAAAGTATATTTACATTTAAATTAATCTGAAAAATGCAAATGAAGACATACCAAACAGTATAAAACTTACGACTTACATTTAGATTCATATTGTACATAGGTGCATTAAAGTATTGTTTGGTAATGATGGAATCCAATCCAATTAGAATTTTTAAAATTCAGAAAGCATCTGAAGTGTGTTAATAAATTCACAGCTTTATAATATTAACATCACAATTTCAGTGTTGCTTTTTATTTCACAAAATAATTATGCTGGACCGCATATGCAGATTCTAATTATACACAACAAAGAAAGACTTAAATTGGACCTCCTGAAAAGGCCCATTTGCTTATAAAAAGCTGTGATGATTTGCCATCACACGAAATTTGTATTTAATAAATAAAGACAGAATGTGTAAATTAGCTTTCAGTGTCTTTGCCCTACAGCAAATCCAAAATTATGGAAATATAAAAATTATAGCTTTAACTTCCCATGAACTATCTGTGCATTGCTTCAATTTGTGGTTGCTTAGAAACATTATAGGCAAAGGAATTGATTCTTTCCAGATGCTACTAGTCAAACCACATTTTCTGTTTTTGATTTAAGGCTATTCTGTTTAATAGTGTTATAAATATACATTTCTCTAAAAAGTCACAAATGACAAATCAAGTTCTGTTAGTAGTGCATCTCGGGAATCTATTCCTTCTTAACATGGAAAAAGTATTTTCTGTGTTCAGCTTCCATTAGCTTAACTAAAGGTAAACAATGTTGAATGTTATTACTGTCATTTATTCCCAAGATTTAGTCCACTAGTTCCCATCTAAGTTTGTGATTCAGTAGCTTGGTAGCACTGAGACATTCACATTAATTTATCAAATGCTCATTGAGAGAGACAATCACCTTACCAAATACCTAAAAATATAGCAAGAGATGAAACCACGAGAGTTACTGGCATATGTGAATAATGAACTTAACTAATAACTACAGACTGTACTTGGGTGGATACTTTAGAAAAATAACTGAAGGAAAGAGAGACAGAGAGAGGCAAGAGAAGAGAGGAATGAGATGGAAGCAACTGAGTCCTAAATGTGAACTTTTTTCAGTTTGTGGAGGAAACAAATGCAAGGCCAACGTTCAAACTCCAGACGACTATCTGGATGATCTCAACAATGTTACTTAATTTCTCTAAACTTTGTTTTTTCCAATTAAGAAACAGTCAAAAAAAAAAAAAAACAAAACAAAAAAAAAACCCACCAGGCCCGGCACGGTGGCTCACGCCTGTAATCCCAGCACTTTGGGAGGCCAAGGCAGGTAGATCACCTAAGCTCAGGAGTTCGAGACCAGCCTGGCCAACAAGATGAAACCCCGTCTCTACTAAAAATAGAAAAATTAGCCGGGCATGATGGCACGTGCCTGGAATCCCAGCTACTCAGGAGGCTGACGCAGGAGAATCGCTTGAACCTGGGAAGCAGAGGTTGCAGTGAGCCAAGATTGTGCCATTGCACTCCAGCCTGGGTGACAGAGCAAGACTCTGTCTAAAAAGAAAAAAAAAAGAAAAGAAATACCAGTTAGGGTGCTTGTGGGGAAAAACTGAAATAATGACTAGTGAAGGAGGAAACTTGCTTATCAAATACTGTCAGAAAGTAAATAATCGTTGAATTATCACATTGTTGAAACATCAAAGATCCTTATTTTTAACTTTTAGTTTCTAGGAGTTGTTGATTATTTTTAAGATGTTCTTAAAATCCCCCAAATTCCTTTCAACTTCTGTTTTTCTCTAAAGTTTGAACAAAATATGTATACTTTCACTAAATTTCTAATAATGAAGATCAAAGGTAACACTGGATCTAATCTCACAAAATAGATCTAAAATATAAACATAAGGATGATAATTTTCTCATTTCTGCTTTGTAAAAATGTATATGAAAAGTTATTTTGAGCTTCTTGATACTTTACATGAACACATTTGCTCTGCGTTGAGAGGTTCCTCCTGCTTTTTTCACAGGCAGAAAAATTATTTGCTTTAATGAAAACCCACCAAACTGAGTCAAATCCCAAATAGCTTGCTTGATATGTTCCTTCCAAAATTATTTGTTTCATGGGGAAAAGGATATCTCTAGGACCCATTCCTTATAGTCCTTCCTGGGTTTTAAGCCTCCACATGCCTGAAATCAAGCTCAGGGAACTTTTTCCCCAAACCAGTTTCTCCAACTATTCTCCTAACTCAATGCCACAGTAATCCACCCAATTTGAACACTTCAGGATAATTATTGATTATTTCTCACCATAACCCATAATGTTCAACTGTCTCTCTGCTTTAATTGATTTTATGTTCTAAAGCAAGCTTGTTCAACTCGCAGCCCACAGGCTGCATGCAGTCCAGGATGGCTTTGAATGCAGTCCAACATGAATTTGTAAACTTTCTTAAAATATAATGAGATTTTTTAATCTGTGATTTTTTTTAGCCCATCAGCTGTCATTAATGTTAGTGTATTTTATGTGTGGCCCAAGACAATTCTTCTTCTTCCAGTGTGGCCCAGGGAGACCAAAAGATTGGACACCCTTGTTCTAAAGAATACCTGAAATTGTCACCTTGTTGGGCATTCTTACTACCACTAGCTTGATTCATATCTCATCAACTCTGGCAACACCTTCCAAACTTATCTCTCTGCCTACAGTCCCTTCCCAGCTTCATTTTTCCCCCTCAAACTAAGTAACTTGTAACTACATACAACTATATCAAAACCTTTGCTGGACACATAAACACTAGAGTCTAAAAGCCCAAGCTTCTTCTCATGACACTTAGTCTTTCCCATCTTCACCAAACATCATATGGATTCTCATCTACTGTCCTCTCTCATGCACCCCCTACTCCAATCACAGAGAACTGTGTATTAACCCCTAAATACAATATGTATTTTATAATTTCCTGTCTCTACAAATGTGCTTGAGTCTCAGATTTTAATGGACTATTGCCCAGTTTCTCCAGCTGGTAGACTTATATTCAATACCCAAATTTAAAGTTACTACCTCGAGAAACTCTGTCTTTAAAAAGCTGTCTCCAAAGCAAGAATACCCATTATTTTCAAATTACCCACAGCACATCTTCCATATTCTCATTATAACACTTTTCATAGTGGACTGTTATTAACTGATTATGTGAATAATTCTCCAAAGAGACTGAGTTCTTTAAAAGAAGGGTTCTTGTCTTATTAATCTTTGTTTAATTAGTGCTTGGAACTATATCTAGCACATGATACAAGACATATGATTTCTGAGTGAATGAATGCATGAATTAACTGCTATAATTATTGCGCTGTTTTTGTTCACCAACTGGTTCTTTGAAAACAATATATATAAAACTTACCAACTGACAATGCTGCTGAGTCTGATAACATGGCACACCATGTTAATGTCATTTTATAATACAGACTTTACATTTAGTTTTTTATACCTTAATTTATCTTCTATAAATGTGCAATAAAACTTATTTAATAAAACATTAAAAATCAGGGTTTTTAAAATGTGGATATCTATCTTTTTGTCTACAGATAGACTGAATATTAAAATTTTGATCATCTGACTTTATCCGTTTTAGTATTAACCTAAAGGTTGCCTTTGGAAGAGCAACTGGAATATTTTTTTTTTTAATTACAGTGTTAGCTGGCCATATTTTAATACTGATTGTTATTGAGGCTAGATCCTTGCTACCTAAAACAACATCTCTACCTCTGCTTTGTCATTTATACATTTGCTTTTCCATTATGTTACACACATTTATCTTAGATTATCATACATACTTTGTAAGCAGAATATGCCTTCTTTGGTTGTTGAACACATTATTGCAGAGCCTTTCTTTTGTATAACTTATTAATTAAATCCTGTTCAATGACTTGTTTGTGATTATTTTCATAATTTCCATTTCATACAAACTTGACCCATTTGCCTCTTAAATAAGCTTATTGTACTATGTTGATGTCTTCATTTTTTTCCACGTAATAAGATGTTGATAAAATATAAGGTCAGGAAGAGAAATAGCCATGTTAATGTGTTCACAAAGTATTCACTCTAAGTTTGCTTAAATTATCATCAATCTTTTCTTTGGCAGCTAAGAAATTCACTTCCATAGAGCTTTAATTATCTCTCTCTCTCTCTTTTTAATTCTTAATTTTTATTATTAGCATGACTTAAAAACACAAATCACTATTTGACAAATGTCTTATTACCCATATTAGTTTTTGCTATGTAAAGGAGATTGAGGATAGGCTTGTTATTTATCCCAACTCAGATTCTATGGATGAAGGCAGGGAGGTGAAGGGATGAAATATTAAAAATAAATTTTAGGAAAATCATTCTAGAAATGTAGGATCACATTGACCTTAAAGGATAAACAGGAACTTAAAAATAATGACATCACTAAAGATAGACTAGGGTTTAAAGGACTGAGAAATTCAATTTTGAATCCTTACTAAATTAAGATCTACTCTTGTGTCCATATGGAAGGTACTTATATTCTAGAAAAAGCCAAGTCTAAAAACTTTTCATGAACCCAAGAAATACGAAACCCAAGTATAGTGATGTGGTTAGTATTCTTGATTTTTATTTTTGATTTATAATCCTTCTCTTTATAAAAACACCTTGAAGCTTCACATTATAAAAGCCAAAAACCTAATGGAAAATTAAAAAAAAAACAACTCATTTCAGCACAGGAGGTAGCTAGAGTGGCAACCATTTACTATGAAAATTGGCAATTAAAAAGAATTAAACATCTTCTCCTACACAAACTGAGCATCAGAGTCATCTAAAATCTTCGTCTGTGAGGAAAATTTTTTCAGAAAATTTTCATCTGATAAATGTAGATTAATGACAGAATTAGAAAATCACCAAATGGCAAATTATGTTGAAAAAATGTTAAAAGGCAACAATCATCAATAGATTGTAAAAGATATTATGTGAAAAGACTAATGGGGAAATTTGTAATGTAAGGGTCAGGCTGACAAAACCTGTACCAATGATAAATTTCAACATCACTAAAATTATGATTACCAGATATACATATTTTCTGATTTAATGTAATACAAATTACATGCACCATCTGTGAAGTATCCATGCTAAAGAAGTTGAATCCAAATATAATCCAGGCTTTATACTTATTTTTTAGTTTATAGAAAATATGAAGAATAGAAAAACATTTTATACACCAAAAGAAAACAATTCTATAAGGCAACTGTCTTAGTTTTCAAGAGTCATTGGTATCATTAAATTTTAAAAAAAGGAAGGACCTATTCTAGATTAAAGGGAATTTAAAAGAAAGCACCACCACCATGAAAGGCAAAATGTTGACCCTGTTTGGGCCCAAATTTAAACAAACCAACCATAAAATGACATTTTTGAAATAATAAGGGGAATTTGACTTATATTCAAATGTATTAGATAATAGTAAAGACAAATTGGTAACTTTCTAGGTGATTATATAGAAAATATCTATTTGTATGGTTATATACATTAGTATTATAAAATGTAGTAATTGATATTAGAACTCTAAAATATTAAAATAAAAACATAAAAAGAAAGAAGAAGAACAAGTTTAAGCAAGTTTGACAAAATGACGATTATAGAATCTGAGGGTACATTACATCGTATCTACTATTGTATTGACTTCTATATCACAAAAGTCTGAGAATGTTTATGATAAAAAGGTTCAAAATACAAGGTGAAATATTTAAAACATATATATTTTAATGTTTAACTAATTTGAACAGAAAGTATGGGAAATCTTGTGAAGCCAAAAATAAATCCAGAGGTGGAACTAAATACTGAAGCCACCAGCTTCACTGGGGACATCTGCCATTCACAATCACCTAAACAGTTAATCTAAATGACCTTATAGGAACAAGAGACTTAGCCTAGGGCTCACACAAGTTGAAGAGTCAGAATAAAGATTCCTACAGAGAGCTGAAAGCCCAAATCCTCATTCTATCACTGAAAGGGCCTACTAGGAAAATACCTATTCCACTGGCTATAGACTGAATGTTTATGTTCTTCTGCCTCCAAATTCATATATTGAAGCCGTAACACTGACTGTGGCTGTATTTGGAGATGGGGCCCCTAAGAAAGTAATTAGGATTAAATGAGGTCATAAGGGTAGGGCTGTGATTTATTAGGATTAGTGTCCCTAAAAGAAGAGACATCAGGGGGCTGGTTTGCTCTTTCTCTTGCTCTCTGTCTTTCCTTCTCTGGATGCACTGCATACACACATCAAGGAAAGGTCATATGAGGACACAGTGAGAAGGCAGCCATATACAAGCCAAGAAAAGGTTCCTCACCAGCAACCTAATTTGCTGGCACCTTGATCTTGAATTTCCCATTCTCCAGAATTGTGAGAAAATAAATTTCTATTATTTAAGCCATTCAGTCTGTAATATTTAGTCATAGCAGCCTGAGCAGACTAATATAACCAGAAAAAAGATGATGAGGATATTTATCAATCTTGGGTCTGACACTCAATGGGGGGAAAAATCTCGCCTGAGAATTTGTAATCACAACTTGGCCCTTTTTTAAGATTTGGAACTCAAATTCACACTGTGTGTTCTAAAAACCACCAATATAAGAGTTCAGGCCAGGCGCGGTGGCTCACACCTGTAATCTCAGCAGTTTGGGTGGCTGAGGTGGGCGGATTACGAGGTCAAGAGATCAAGTCCATCCTGCCCAACATGGTGAAACCCTGTCTGTACTAAAAATACAAAAAATACAAAAAAAAAAAATTAGTTGGGCGTGGTGGCGCACACTGGTATTCACAGATACTCAGGAGGCTGAGGAAGAAAAAATCGTTTGAACCCGGGAGACGGAAGTTGCAGTGAACCAAGATCGCGCCACTTCACTCCAGCCTGGCAACAGAGGAAGACTCCATCTCAAAAACATCTCAAAAACAAAAACAAAAACAAACATAAACAAACAATAACAAAAAAAAAAAGAGTGTAAAGTTGTCCCCAGGTGTCTGGAAGAAACAAATACACATTATTTCTTTTGAAACTCACCTTCAACCCAAGTCTCAAAGAATTCCCATAGATAAATACCCAGAAGACATAAACTCTAAATAAATGGGGAAACAATAAATCCAGCCACAAAATTTTCAAGAAAGTGAATCATCATGATTGAGAATCAGCAAAAGAAAATAACAAAGTAAAAAGCTCAAACAATTCAAAGTGTAGGATAAATAATATACAATATGTTCTAATATGTTCAAGACGTAAAGGAGAAAATGAAAGGCATAATTAAGGACAAAAGACTACTAAAAACAGAGAGCTGATGTGAACAAAGAACCAAATAAAATTTCCAGAAATTAAAAAAAAGTAGCTATTGAAAATAGCCTTTAAGGAATTAAACAGCAGGTTAGACACACCTGAATAGAGCACCAGGGAGTGAAAACTAGATCTCAGGAAATTTCTCTGGAAGACACCACAGAGGATAAGAAGATGAGAAATGAGATGAAGTTAAGAAAAGTGGAGGATGGAACAAAGTGATTCAAGATGTAGAAACATAGGTAGCTCAAAAAAATACTTTTGAGATAATTAGAAAAGAAATGGTATTATTAAACAAATGCACACAGAGACAAGGACAATACGGTCTGAGGCTCAGGCACTATTTCCCTCTTCATCTGAGTATAAACCGTAACATTATTGAAAGTATCTTGCCAGTACACTTTTAATGAGAGTTTCAGTAATGGAAAATAGGAAAAGAGGTATTACTAAAAAAAAAAACAAGTTTGCTAAGAATTTTCTATAACTTAAATATACAAGTCCATTGATTTAGGTAGCACAATAAGCCCCAACAGCATTTATCATAAGAAATCAAACCTAGACTTACTATAGTAAAGCTGCAGAACACCAAACATACAGAACAGACTTTAAAATCAACCCAAAAGGAAAGGTAGATTACCTAAAGTAACACAACTAAATATGGAGTAAGATGGAATCTATAAGAGAGTAGAGTTACATTTTCAAGGAACACCAAAAAAACAAAACTAGAATTTTGTTGCCATGAAAAAATAAGTATTTCTTCAGAAAAAAAGAATAAAATAAAAACATTTTTGGACAAACAATGCACATTTTATGACCATTACTGAAATTTCAAAATAGATGCTCATGGAAACCTGTAAGTAATAAAAGAGGAAAGGTTGGAGATACTAGAAGAAACAGAAAGTACAATTCTGAGTAGCATAAGTGGGAGTCTTGATCTAATTGACATAAATCCCTACTAATCAGCTAGAGAATGCACTTTCTTTTCAAATATACATGGAACATTTACAAAAATTTACCCTATACTAGGCCATAGTTCAAGCCTCAACAAATGTCAAAGAGTCTATGCCATAGAAACAATGTTGTTGACCACAAAATAATGAGAAATCAGGAATAAAGAAATAGCTTTGAAAACATATATATTTTTAAATTTTAAAAGTCCATTTCTAAATAACACAGGAGTTAAAGAAGAAAACTAAACAGCAATAATACTGAATATTACAATATGTGGAATGCTGCTAAAATGATTGAAAGAAGAAAACTTATAGCCTTAAGTATTTACATTAGAAAAGGAAGAAAAAGTATGAAAACCAATAAGCAAAGTCTCCAAAGTAAGATGTTAGGGGGAAAAAAATAAAAGAAAGTTGGGAAGAAGACTGTAAAAAACAGAACAAATATTTCAAAAGTAGAAAATAAATACAATAGAGAAAATCAGCAAGGCCCAATTTAGTGTTTTCATAACAAATAAAATTTTAAAAATTCTGGAAAGATCTCTCAAGAAAAAGAAGAGTACCAGGAACATCATTTTGCATAATTCCAAGAGCTACATTTCATATCATATGCTACATAAATGGTGTATTTATGAATATATTAATGGACTGTGATCCATGGAATCTGATTCATATAGAATAATACATTGTTAACAGTGTCCCTTAAAGTTATGCGAAAGGAAGGAATTGGGGAATGTAAAAATAATATTAGGAATGAAAAGGGAGACATATCAAGATAGGTAACAGAAAATTTGAAACGATAATAAGATAATACTTTACAAAGCTTTTCTCTACCAAATTTGAAAATTAAAAAAAATGACAAATTTCCTGACAATCATAACTTATTAAACTTTGCTCAAGAATAAAGAGAAAACCTGAATAATCATATAAATATTAAAACAGTGAATAAAAAGTTTTAAAATATTCTTACAAGGAAATACTAGACCCAGATAGTTTTACAGACAAGTTCTTCCATTTAACCAAGAGGTGAAAAATTTCACACTTAAACATTTCTGTAGAATGAGGAAAAGAGGTACACTCACCAGTTCAATTTCAGAATAGTATAATGTCAATACTAAAATTAGGCAATCTCATTGTACTCATAGATGCAAAAACACTTACTAAATTTTACCATACTAAATCTAGCTATATACATGTTCTTCATTTTATAATATAAATTCATCACAAGCAAGTTGACTTTATTTCAGAATGTAAACTGGGTTTAATATTAGAAAATGTATTAATAATTCAGTTCATTAATATGAAGACAAATTTATACTTTGTTTCAATTTAGTAGTGATAAAATATGTAAAACATCTAACTGAATGACAGCTGATAGAAGTTCAATAAACTATTTCCTCCTCCCTCCTAAAATGCTAATGAACCAGTGTATCATTTTCTGTGGTTATAAACAACGAACTCTGATTAACTAAATCAGAAAGAGTCTTTATCAGAAGGAATGTGGGAAAGCTTTAGATAAAATAACCAGATATGGAAAAAGCAGCTGCTGCTAGAATGATTAAATTCCAACTGAACTTAGATTGTCTATCTGCCTCCTGTAAGGGGGAAGCATCTGCCTGAAGGCATAGGTTTCAGCCTCTGGGATTCCTTCAGCTTCTGGAGCATGGGGACACCTGTCTGGATTTACAGTCATATCAAAATTACCATCAGTGGGAGACAGGTGATTCCCAAGAGGAAAATGGAGTACAATGAGGAAAAGAAAAATGAATGTTGGGCAGACAGAAAGACAATAAATATCCACCCTAACATGTTTGGCTAGAAGCAGTCCTGACATGGAAGGAAATAAACAAGCTCCCACAAATCAGCTTTCCTGCTAGAAATCAGTTTAACCCTCCCTAATCTAGTTCTTCGTCACTGGATTAATGTCTACAGTGGTGCCAGTTCTTTCTCCTCAAACCAGTTTTTTTTTCTCAGTGTTTAGAGAAATAGGTAAAACCACCAGACAGCTGTCATCAAACTAGTACCTTCTTTGTACAGATGATCAAATAGGTATCAGGCCAGTTTCTGCTAATGGGAACACCTTTCCAACTACCTCCCCAGTCTTATTCCAGCATAAAATCTTTACTTATTGCTGATGAAAAAAATTACCCAAGATTATACTATCATTTTAAAATTGGACTGAAGTAGAAAACAATCAAGAGGCTCCTGTCGAATGAGACGTTAAATGATAAAATATGTTGGGGCTCCTGGCCTTTGTCTACTCATTCAAGGTAGTGATCAGTTATCCATTGCAAGCCTATGCCAGGCTGTAGATGAGAGTATTTGTCTCAGAAGTTTTGTTTTATCATAACCATTTGTCCTTAAATACCAATTTGGCTTTCTATAAGGAATTTAGCACATTTACAGAAATCTCAGTGCTCTTTAGTTATGGCATCATTAAAAATTAAAACTCATATATCACCTGAAAGAAGTCTACTGGCTTTAAATACACAAAAAATACTCAATCTCTCTCCTACCACTAATGCTATATAATTGATACCATATTAGTTGCACCTCCTCTCCAGTCTAGGCGACAGAGCGAGACTCCGTCACAAAAAAAAAAAAGTTCCCATATCCAGATGCTACTCTACTGCTTGAATTCAGTCTTCCATATGACTCTAGGACTATAGATAGCATCTCATTTATTTCCCTTCCTCTCATCTTAACCTCCTTCCATCTGTCCTCCACATTGCTGCCAGAATAGCATTTGTACCATGAAACTCTGACCATGGTGCTTCCTGCCTGGTATTCATCCATTTTTCCCTTGGCTTTTGGCATACTCCTTAATTCACAAAAGAAGGCCCTTTGTGATCTGACCCCGACTTACCTTCTCAATACTCTTTCACTTGTCTACATTTCAGCAAAGCTGTTGTCTTAGCATGGTTCATTTTCCTATTATCTACTCATAAATATCATGTGTTAGCACGGCGTCCATTCCCCCGAGAAGATTTTCTGGATTATATGGTTAGGTTTTCTTCAGCTCTGACACACCCCAAGCTAAGATGACGCCTAATATTTATTTCTCTGTTCCCTGCTGTCCATGCATTTACCTAGTACCTTCTCCTTGAGTTGAAGTGGTGATTGGCATCTAAATAATATAATATAGCAAAGGTGATGGGATGTCACCCTCTTTATTAGGTTACATTAAATGGCAAAAAAGATGGGATATCATGCCCATGATTACCTTACATTATATAAGACACACTTCTTAGAAGATTGGAGAGAGACTCTCATGTTGGCCTTAAAGAAGCAACAGCCATGTTGTGAACTGCCTATGGAGAGGGCTGCATGGCAGGGTACTGTGGGCAGACTCTAGTAGCTAAGGCATCTTCCAGCCAACAGCCAATAAGAAGCTGAGGCTCTCAGCCATACCCCCACAAGGAAATACATTCTGTTAACAATCCAAGTAAGCTGGAATTAGATCTGTCCTTGGCTTAGCCTCTTGTAAGACTGCAGCCCTGGATTCCAGCCAGTGAGACAATGAAGCAGAGAGTCCTGCTATGCTGTGCTTGGGCTTGACCAAAGGAAACTGTGAAATAATAAACATGGTTTGTTTCAAGGGACTGTTCGTGGAAATGTGTTACGCAGCATAGAAAATGAATGCATTAACAGCCCAAGATGCTTTTCATTGGGCTCCTACTGCACTTTTCACATACCTCCATCAAGCAGCTGAAACTTTTATACTCAAATAAATTGTTTCCCAACAGATAAAAAATTTCAAGAGCAGTTACTGTGTCTTTTTTTCTAGCATCTAGTATAGGAAGCTCTCGATGACGCTTTTTTTTTTTTTGCAATGAGAAAATAATTTTTAAAAAGAACAAAAGTAAATGTGGAAAGCTGGAAGTGTATTTATTGAAAGCATTTTATCATTGAACATAGAGCTATTTCAACGTTAATAATCTATAAGCCTACATCTTAAAAATTTAAATATAGGAAAACCAAACAGGGCTATTATTTAATGAGGGCCTATTATATACTTGGTGCTGAACTAATAAATATGGAAAATGCAACTTTAAAAGACTCTTACATAATTTCTCATGGTTCATATGGAAAAATTTGAGCTTTATCCAAGCAACATTAGTTAAATGTATAAATCTTCAAATAAATGTTGTCGAAGATAGTTGGGATAGTAAGCTTTGCAAAATTAAGCTGCCCTAGAGATGTTTAAGCTCACACTTCAGTCCCTCCTATTAGAATGATAATAAAAGGAATTCAAATACTGAACTGCGTAACCTTTGAGGTCCCTTTTAGTTCAAAGATTTCATGATCCTTAAAACTGCAATTTGGAAAACATTATTTTGTGGCAGGCTAATGAATTATAGCCAATGACATGATAACTATATTAAATATATATATATTAGAAAGATAACTCCGAAATGCATTCTCACGAACCCTACATATTCCTTTAAATAAAGTATCTGCCCAAAAAACCTAAGACATGTTGTTCCAGTAAAACTGGAACTGGGTGCTGATTTTCCTCTATATGTGCTGCAATGACTCCAGAAGCCACAAGGTGGCAGAGTGTTGGTACTGTGTTTCTAATTCACAAGACTTCACAACAGGAGTTCATGATACATTCAAAGGCAACTTTAACTGAGATTTTGAATTCTTCCATCTGTTTCCATGTGCCAGGTGCAGGGGTTGGATGGAGAAACTGAGATGTATATTTGGAGGCTCTTGAAAAAGGAGATGACAAGATATAAAATCATGTGTATTTAAAGAAAAACTCTTTGTTGGCATAACTCCCAATTTGCCTCTGACCTCAAAATTATCACAGCTCAACCTGATCACTGACTTCTCCAATCATTTCTGTAACATTTACCCTTCCACACTTAAACTGGTACAAATTCGCGAATCTAACACTCCCATTTAGATCTCTAAATCATCTAAAGCAGTAAAATTTTTTTAATCTCTTTAAAGAGTTTTAAAAAAAATCAAAGAGGCATACTCTTGTCTTTATTTCCATACATTGCTACAAGTCACAGCCCCAAATGAATATTATTTCAGTTCTATGAACAGGGTAAAGAACTTGTTCTCATGCTTTGACCTCAGGCTTTAGAGATTTCTAATATGTAACATACTTCCATTAAACTCATTCATCTTCCTCTGAAATGTAGTTTTCTCCAGAGCTCATGATCTCTTTGATAGTATTTGAATTGAAACATACTACAAGGTTATTTTTCTTTCCACAGATATTTAGAGTACTGTCACATCATAATCAGCCAAATAAATAGTATGCATAAGGTGGTGCCTCCTTTGGGGAATTATTAATAGTAGATTCCAATTCTAGAGAACCAGGACCCTGTTGTAGTAAACATTGTATCTCCAGGGCCTGGAATAGTGCCTAGCTCATAATAGACATTTGAGTGATACTGATCAAATAATCAACCTAACCTGCCTACTTATTAAACTGAAAAGATTGTATATACCTTGAGTCCAATGGGAGCCTACAATTAAGACTTGCAAATAGTAATTGCTCGATAAATCTTAAATGAACAATAAAGAGACCTGTATGCACGCATAATTTTGTGTTTCCTATTTAGAAGGGAAATTGCTATAGAAGCTCAATCAATCAAGACACAGTTATTTGTTACTACTGAATAACATTTTAATTCTGTAAGTTACCTCAAAGGTAACCAATGCGTACCCCTAAGGAGTTAACTGTGGAGGAGACAAATCACAAGAGGTAATAAGCGAAGGACTCAGAATAGCACGTTTCTTTAACCAATTTAGGGATTTTTTACATCTATTTTTATTACTTTTAAAGTAATGCATGTGAATATATGTATTTGTATTTCCATGCAAGCTGTCTAGAAAAGCTTAGACTCTCCCAGCCCAGCCAATTTTTTTAACTCTTAACACTCCTCTGGGAATTGTCCTTACTTTATTTTTTAGGGTGTCTCTTTACCCTTATATGAGTATACCTCTAATTTTTTATTTGTCAACTTTAGTATCTATTGATTTCTATACATGAAAAATGAAGATTTAGTTACTCACACTACTCTCCTACTATATCCTTTTGGTATGTTTGATATTTATAATATTATTTGAGTCCTGTTAACTCTGTAACTAATTTCTTAAAAATCTCTCTCTTATTTCAATATTTGACAGTCTTCCTCAACTCCACAATCTGTAAAATGTCAATATTAGTCATCATTCTTCCTTCCACATCCCCTCTTCTGTCAGCTAAATATTTACTTCTATAATTTTAAGATTGTTGATATTTATATTTTGTCATACAACCATAACAATATTTTCTACATTTTGTTACACAATATTGCTAAAAGTTGAAAATCAATAAATGGCCATCATATTATAATTGTTTTGTAAATACTGTTAGTGCCAGGTCAGGTAATATGTTGATGCATTTTTTTCTTTGCAAATCCAATGTCACGAACCTTGGATCACTCATGAGAGAATGTTTCTCACATCGAGGTCAAATAGATTTTTTTCCTTCACAAACCATGCATTTTAAAATGCATCAAAATTTGTTTTATATTTGTATCGTCTTGCATAGTTTGCTTTGTAGGCCTGAAAAATATAGTACTTCACCAGCCTTCCTAGAGTTTTTCCTACGCTATTTGCCTTTATTGCCTTTATTGTCATATTTTTAGTTATTTACAGACTCTTGATTATATCATTTATTCTGTGAAGTCACTGCTTTTGTAAGCTTCCTTTAGAAGATTCTGAACCTCTTTTATTTAAATTGATTACTCTCCAGGCCATTTGTACTCATGTCGTTTTGGAACTCCCCACCACCTCTTCCTTGCTCTTCTGAGTAAGAAGTGGTGGAAGCAGTTGAGTCCCAGGTCATCCCCCATCACCACACTGGGGCAGCGTCCCCAGGCTTCCAGTAGCTCCCAGGTGGGCGCTAGAGTCCATGCATTTACCTAGTACCTTCCCCTTGAGTTGAAGTGGTGATTGACATCTAAATAATATAATACAGCAAAGGTGATGGATGTCACCCTTTTTATTAGGTTACATTAAAGTTGTACATAAATTACCTCTCTCCTGGAATAGTTCTCATTTGTACCCAAAAGTATAAAATTTTTAAGAAATTGGTTATATAGAATTTATAATTATAATCATTATAATTATTAAGAAATTAGTTATACAGAAAAATATTACAATCTCCTCACAAAAAAATAAATAGCCAACTATGGTCAGTGTTCAGCTTTGTTGCCTAGCCCCTGAGGCATCTTTAATATAGAAACATGTCTAAACATAACTGCTCAATAGTAGGCCTTTTGCTAGGTGTGGTTGGGCATGCAAAAGCTAAATGAGAGACAATACTCCTGTTCCAAGAAGTGTACAGTACCCAAATGCCACAAAGATCAAATGTTAGAGTTACATTTATCAATCTAACTTTATCAACATAATTTGTATGTTATATTATGGCTTTATATCTATAATATCCCTTTGCCTTACGTATACTTCAAGTATCTTTTCAGGTTTACTCAGAAGACCACGGGATATGGATTACCTGAAAGTAAATAAAGCTACAAAAACAGTTCTTCAGATTTTTCTACTTCTACATTCTGATGAAGTGTCAATGTTATGAGAAGGGCTGGCTAATATCTATGACTGGAACCTTGTTGCCTTGTCAAAGACCATGCACATACTCTCCAAAGCCAATTGTAGGGAGGGAAAACTTTAGTGTGGAGATGATTTCTTCCAGCAAAAATGTCTCATGTGTTTCTTAGAGTTAATGCTCCCCCTTTTCTATCAGTTTTCTATCTTCTTGTTGTTCTACACTGCACCATTATAGGTGCAACCATACACTGGGGACGTATAATAACAAACAGCCTCACTGACAAACATATATTCGACTTATCCTACAGATACACAGAATTCCAATAATAACAGCAGAGAAGTTATTACTGGAGGGAAGTACCATAAGTAGAGGGCGGATGGCCGTGTCATTAATTACCAAGAGGCTACAGATCCTATTGCGTGATCTAAACTAAATCTTTCATATTGTCAATCTCAAAGAATCTATCAAAAAAAAACCCACATCTATTCCATCTCTAATAATTTTCCAAATTGCCTACAGGGGGAAAATTAAAAGGGTGGTCTAATAACAAGAACCTCCCACTAGTCTTTGGTTTGCCATTTTTTATTGTGTATGTTTTGTGATGATGTAATGAGGTGGGCTGGATGGGCTGTTTTCTGGAATTGGGTAGTAGAAAAGAGGGCAGCTATTTCATTTTAATTTATAGATTCCTAATTTATTCAAATTTCACAAATTTAAACATTTTAGATTACAATTATTTCAGTACCCTGTGTTTCTAGAAATGTCATGTTTTAGAGAAGCCCATCTCTGGCTACGAGATGAAGCAGCAAATGGGAGAAAACCTCAAAAGAGAGGAGCATGTGATAAATGTGATAAAAAAGGAAACGAGGAAGAAGAGAATAAAGAAGAAAAAGTGGATGTCAGGAATTGGAAGTAGAAACATGCAGAAGCCATTTATCTCTGCTACTAAAGAAATAATTATTTATAATCATAAAAAATCATGTAACTCTTGCTCTGCTTAAATTTGTATTCCTTTGTTCACTGACTACATTGAAATTCTTGGATGTCACTCTGAGACTCTCAGAGTATCCAGTTTTCTCCCTGAATATTTAGCTTAGAGATTGAGTTTGCTTTCCTCCACTAAAGGATATACTTTAATTTGCAGGCTTTCATATAGACTGGGTTGTTGCTTCTAAAAGCCTTTATGTCAACTCCCTGCATTTTATTTTCTGCAAAGTATTAGAGAGCACCATATCTATAGCTAATCTCTACAGCTAATGTTGCTAGGAGGATTAATTTGAAAAGAACTCGCTAACATTTCTGAGGTTTCCTCAGCAAAGTCCAATATAAAGGGTATTTCATTGTATTTATTATGTTGTTGTATTACTTAAAGTTTGTAACCAGAGTAAATGAGATTTCCAGACTTGGGTACTTTGCACAGCCTTGTAAAGTACATATAAATGTGAAATTACTAGTGATCAAGGGAAGAGGGGAGGACTCTGATGTTTTTAAACTTCTGTTCTTCAGTTAAAACTCCATAAAAACCTGTCCCAAGTCAATACCAAAATGCTGAATTCAGATATTTTTGTACCTGTAATATAAATAAAAATATATTACATGGTATATATTGTTTTGTATTAATTGTATGCTTAATTTTCTTTTTGGGCCTTAACAATAATTTTGTTTACACTGGAATAAAATTGAAATAAATTTAGAGTTGATTTATATTCATAGCCTTTGCATTTGAAGCATGACAATATCTTGTTTTCATTTTATTGCTTCAAAGTTTCCAAGACAACTGGATTTATCCTCCAGAATAATTTCACACTTTTTTATTTAAATCAATTAAATCAATGTGAAACATAACCAAGATTATATTAATATTTGTCTCTTTTGAACTGGTAAGCATCTAGCCTTTGTCAACAGAAATAAAATTCTATTTCATAATTCCTACAGTAAGAAATGCAGCTAGCTCTGGCAGGAACATCAAACTCAACTCATGAACATTTTTAAACACTTCAGATTATCTATGGGCTTACTTCAAATTCATGAGGTAACAATATGCAAATAATTATCTCTTGGAATGTGATGGTTCAAAAATGCTAACAACAGTTATTCCAACTTGATTATGACTTAGCAGTATCATTTAGGTATATATGTTCAATATGAATATTCAGTTTGATACACTGTTTTTAATATTGCCTTAAGTGGTATAATCATCTTTGGATGCCATATGTACTATTGCATAATCCATCCCAGTTACAAAGGAATGCTTCCCTAAATGTTTTACCAAAAATTTTATGAGCTACTTTTCTACAGCCTTTACATCCAATTCTCTAATTAATCAACACTCTAAGAAGATTAAACCTTAAAACTAAGCTGTGAAACAAAAATATCAAGGAATACTACGGTAACATAACTTAGTGAATTATGAGTTCCCCTGATAATAGAGTCCACTGGTAATTATTTATTAAATGTCAACTGCACAAAAGGCACTATTTTGTTGTAGGAAGGGGCTATAAAATGTAATGACTACCACCATTTGTTGAGTACCGACTCCATGCCAGACACTTTACTGTACTATCTTCTTTTATATGTTAGTGTGGTTAGGCTTGAATGCCAGGTTAGAAAAATCTAGAGTTAATCCTGTAAACTGTTGGCAACCTTTAAAGGGTTTGTAGGGGAGAGGTCAGGAAAAACTGTATGAGTTTCGAATGGCAAGGAGACCGCAGGTGGTAAACAGGAATGACCTAAACCTGAGCAGCATCTATGGAATGTGAAGCCTGGGCCCAAAGGGGGAGCACTTGGATAAATTATAGAGTCTGGTGATCACCTGGTCTTAGAGGCTGTGAGAAAGAGAAGTTAAAGCTAAAATTCCACTGTGGGGAATTTATTTCATAAATACATTTGTGCACATATGAAGTAGTGGGTTTGTATTAGTCAGAAAACAATAGGTGATACCATGGTAACCATAAAATCTCAGCGGCTTACCATGTGGACAGTTTATCTGTCACTCATAGAAGTCAGATGCTGGTGCGGCAGCAGGGCAGCAGCGCTCCTTCCTCTTGTAATGATACCATCTGAAAGGTGATTTCTAAGGGGTCTGGCAGGTGGAGAGAATGTTGGAGAGTTGCAGACAACAGTTTTAAGAGTCAGGCCTGAAACTGCTTATGCTAATTCTCTTCCTATCTCATTGATTAACTGAGACACGTGTCCCCATCCTACCTACACACAAGGTTGAAAGTTGAGGGATACACCTATATTCAGTGAATGTTAATGTCACTAGGTTTAGTTGTAAGAGGACATTATTAGAAACCCAAATACTCATCAGTAGGAAACTACTTAATAAGTTATGCTACATTCATACAGGGAAAGCTCTAAAAACAAGTGCTGATATGGGAAGATCTTGACGATATATTATTAAGTGACAAAAAATTAAAATGCAGACAAGTATGTACGTTATCCTTTATATAAAAAATATGAAATATTTGATTGGATGATAAAGAATGTCTGAAAGGATACATAAGAAACCAATGACAATGTTTACTCATTTGGGGAAGAGGTTGGATGAGGTAGACCATCCTTTGAGACAGCTTAGTTCTATTTTTACCAATAACCCAACCCAAACAAATGGTTTTGATATTTCATCTTTCCAACAACCAGTCTTTATATTACATTTCAATATTAAGTATCAAACAATCGATATTTTACCATAACCTAATGAACAATGAATTCAAGCATAACTGAAAGTTAATGAACTCCAAGACAAGACAAGGGTGGCATGCTAGTAGAGATGTGAATTTGTCTGAATACTTCCTGAGCATTTAATAGTATCACTACAGCTGATTGTATTCCGAGACTTCTTAATGGAAAGCAAACAAAACTAGATGCTGATTATTTTCCCTCGAATTGTTTCTTCCTAAAAACCAAATTTAAATTTAGCTTGGGATTTTCTGTTAATGTTAAAAAAAAAAAAAAGCCAAAGCAGCTGTTTGCAGTTTAGTATGCTAGAATTTGGCTCACAGTGGATTTTAAATTTTGCCAGCTAAGGGGGTACAAAGAGAACCATAAGTGCCACCAGCGTTAGTTTTCCATTCCATGGGAATCTGAGTGGGTCACTGGAAATGAAGAAACAGCTTCACTTATCCAGTCATCCTCTCTGAATCTCAGCTTTCTTATCTATACAATAGGGATTTGGTATCTACCTAATGGAGTCTTTGTGAAGAATCAATTATGACACAATGTATCTGTCACAGATTTGTACACTAGTAAGTGCTAAATATGACTTTTTCCAGGGAAGCTTTCCTTTACACCTTAAATGAGACCTGGATCTCCTGTTCTTTTGCTCCCATTGTGCCCCTGTACTTCTTCTTCCAATACTTAGTTGTTCGCTTTTTGTTTTCCCCGCTAGCGTGCAGAGCCTCGCACACTACTATGTTCTAAATGCCTACTACAAAGCCAGAGACGTAGTGCAATATTTCAGTTTTGAATTAAACTGATGATTGCAAACATTCTCCATCCCTCTCTTTGATTCATACTCTATTCACAAGGTCAGCATTAAATACTAGAACCCCTCAAAGCAAAAATGACATCCATGACATTCATATGCCAATGGTCTTAGAGGTGTAGGTTAGTATTTGTCTTGTAGGTTGGCCATATTATATTTTACTGATCATACTTACGATGTTCAAGGAATGTGATTTTCACTGAGGTCAAATCCATTTTGGTCTATTCTTGTAATAATAAAGTATTTGCAAGCATGTATTGAACACTTACTATGTATCAGACGTTGTTTTTGGCAGTTTACATGTAATTCTTGCAACAACTCCATTGGGTAGATTCTATTATTGTTCTCATTTTACAGAGAAGAAAATAGAGACAGGTAAAATATCTTAGGTAAAACATCTTGTCCAAGTTTTTGTAGTTACACCTTTGAAATTATAACGTTTACTTATCAAATTCTAAACTTAGTTACTATAGACAGAGCTAGGATTCTAATTTGGGCAGTTTGGGTTCAGGAGCCATGTTCTTCACCCTTCGGCTGGGCTTCTTTGTAATGATAAACTTTTTTAACATAGCATAAATATAGTTGAAAATATATAATAGAATTGCCTATTAAATTTGCTTCAAAATGAACATTTTAAAAAAAGTATGGATGCAAATAAAAAGACATTGGTACTCATGCATTTCTGGTGGCATAAGGTGACATTAAATTTTTGGTAAATAACTTAATAACGTGTGAGCTATAATGTGTATTCACTAAGAAAATGGCCTAGAAATCAGACGGGATCGCCTTTGAATCACTGTAGTTAAGGAGGCTAAATATATAAATATCTTTCACCATTGATCTCCATTCTGAGCATTTACTTTAAAGAAATAACACAAAACATGAAGAAAAACTTGTATAGCAAAGATGCATATGGTATCATTTATTTATATATAAACTTATCTTTTGGAAACATTCTTATTAGAAGATATATGTATATAAAACATATATAGAAGAGTATATAAAATATGTGCAGTTTAAAAAGTAGTTATGAAGTATCACTCTAAATCCTTTCTGTCTGTCTACAGCTAAGCACTACTCTAACTTTTGTAATAGTTATGTTCTTGTTTTTCTTTATAGATTTTGCCATCCTTCATTCTTTGACAATATAGTACAGTTTACCTATTTTGAACTATATAGAAACAGAATCACACAAAATGTGACTTGCCTATTTCTCTTACCATTACATTGTGAGATGCAGCTATCTAGTTTTGTGTAGCAGTAGTTTCAATAATGTTTAATACAGGAAGCTACATATTTGGCTTTCTAGCTACCTTATTTTTGCTCTTAATTTGCCCAAACTGTTTTGTGTTTATTTTTTTCTTTCTTTTAGATGACTTTTTAAAATTATATAGTTTATTTTTGTTTCCCTTTTTAAAAGTGGTCACCCTTGAAATTATAACGTTTACTTATCAAATTCTAAACTTAGTCAATTTTACTCTCCTACTTCTTATTAATGTATACACATCATTAATACATTATTGTCATCATATTTTTACTCTGTTCAATTTTTTTTGTTGTTTGTTTAGACAGAGTCTCACTTTGTCACTCAGGCTGGAGTGCAGAGGCGTGATCTTGGCTAACTGCAACCTCCACCTCCTGGGTTCAAGCAATTCTCCTGCCTCAGCCTCCCGAGTAGCTGTGATTACAGGCATGCATCAACACGCCCAGCTATTTTTAGTAGAGACAGGGTTTCACTATGTTGGCCAGGCTGGTCTCGAACTCCTGATCTCAAGCGATCCACCCGCCTCAGCCTCCCAAAGTGCTGGGATTATAGGCATGAGCCACTGCACCTGGTCTCAATTTTTTAACCACACAAAGCAATGTTTTTCTTTTATAAAATATATGTTCATTTAGATTAATTCAGATACATGGCACTCTAGGATCACTTTCCTTCTGCCTATGGGGCATTTTTTTAGAACATTCTTTAGAGAAGTTCTGCTGGTGCCAAAGTCTTTCAGTTTTTTTTTTTTTCCCTGAAAATATCTTTATTTAGCCTTCATTTTTAAAGACAAAAGTTATAGCATGACAGTTATTTTCTCAATATATATTGAGATATACACTGCCCTCTCTGCATCCCTCCCTCTCAGCCACCTTACCACTCTTCTATTAAGATGGCTCTTTCTCATTTTCACCATGCTATGTCTGGGTGCAGACTTTTAAAAAAATCTGTTTACAATTCTTGTTTCTCCTTGAATCTCTGTATTTGCGCATTTTATCAATTCTAGAAACCTCTTGCCTACTTACTTTTTCTTTTTTTTATTTTATTGAGATGGAGTCTTGCTCTGTCACCCAGGCTGGAGTGCAATGGCGTGATCTCAGCTACCTCTGCCTCCTGGGTTCAAGCGATTCTCCTGCCTCAGCCTCCTAAGTAGCTGGGATTACAGGTGTGCACCAGCACGCCCAGCTAATTTTTGTATTTTCAGTAGAGATGGGGTTTCACCCAGTTGGTTAGGCTGGTCTCAAACTCCTGACCTCGTGATCCATCCACTTTGGCCTCCCAAAGTGCTGAGATTACAGGCGTGAGTCACAGCACCTAGCCCTTCTCTTTTCAAATGTTGCCTCTGCCACATGCTGTTTATCCCCTCCTTCTGTAATGCCTGTTGGATACTCACCAGTCCTCACCTAGCTCAATGTCCTCTCACTTCTCATATTTCCCATCTTTTTGCCTCTGTGAATTCTGGATAAATTTTCTGGACTAGTTGATTCATTGTTTCTTCAGCTTTGACTAATTTGCTGTTACACTTCTCAACTTGTTTTTAATTTCAATTTGTTTATTTTATTAAAGTTCTCTTTATTTTTTTTTCAAGTCAGCTGGGCGGTTTTTACAATTTCCTGTACTGTTTATTCAAGTTCGTCTTTAATTATTTTAAACAATAAGTATTTTATAATCCATATCCCACAATTCCAATATGAAGTCTTTGTGGGTTGATTTCAAAGCTTAAATTCATTTGGTTGCAAATGCTGTCAGGGCAGAAGGGGCCTTAGTGCGACACCAACCCTCTGGAATCCTGTCTTCACTTAGGTTTCTTTCTTCTTTTGCTTTTTTCCTTTTTGGAGACAGGGTCTCATTCTGTCACCCAGGCTGGAGTGCAGTGTTGTGATCTCGGCTCACTGCAGTCTTGACTTCCAAAGCTTAAACAATCCTCCCACCTCCAGCCTCTTGAGTAGCTGGGACTACAGATGCACACCACCACACCTTTCTAATTTTTGTATGTTTTCTAAAGGCAGGGTTTTGCCATGTTGCCCAGGCTAGAGGTTTCTGCCTGACAATGCTTAACTATCTTGTTAGTTGTCTGGTACTTTGAAGGAATTAATTTTTTAGTTAACTAGATTTAATCATTCCGCAGTGTATATGTACCTCAAAATACCATGTTGTACATGATAAAAGCATACAATGTTGTCAATTTCAAATAAATAAATAAAAGTTTTGTTCGTTTAAAAATATATTGTATCCAACATTTGTAGTTGTAGTCAAAGGGATGGTTGGTCCAAGAAACATAGTCCACTATTTGTCAGAAACAGAAGTCCTTGTTTTGAAAGGTTTAATAATTCAGCTGCCCAAGGGCAATGGGCTAAACTAATCTTTCACATATTTTCCCCTATTATGTTTATAGAAACATTACGAGGCATCAAACAATAAGAAGTCTAATAAAAGGTAGCCTGCTCTTAGATTTTGACCTGGAAATTAGGAGTTTTGAGTGTTCTTTTAGGCCACTGACATTCTACTATGTGATGTTAGAACTTATTTACTTATTGCTTTTCCCATTTGTAATTTAAAATTTAAAAAAATCCTTTACTTATAGCTCCACTTTTCCCATAAATCAAATCTCAGCTAAATGAAGAGTTTCCAGGAAGGACTTTGAAGCTACTCTATATATTCAAAGTACTGTACTAGGTTTATACGGGCTACATAGTTTTATAGTTAATTTTCATTGCAAAAATGAGAGACGTTACCAGCAAAAGTCCTTAACCATATCTTCAGAGGAAGTTTTCATAAAAGATACTTTAAAAAAAAATATATGGTGCAATTGTTTTTGTTTTTGTTTTTCCATAAGAAACATCATGTACCAGACAGCACAACATAATTTTCTTTTGTTTCGTGCATGGGCACTGAATGAGAACCCTTCTACTCAATTGTGACAAATTCATTCAAGCTCAAGCCTCAATCTTTTAGATGTTTTGCAAGTGTCTGTGATTTATGTGCATACGTCAAAGAGAAAGCACACTTCACAGAAATTAGGGACAGAAAAACTTCACTAAGCTCTCCTGCCTAAGAGGTACAACTAGGCCTCTTTCCTGGTGCAGATGAGATGAGAGACTTGGTGAAAACAAGCTTTCTTGTGAGTCATCCTTAATACCATTGGGAAAATAGGCATCGCATTCCAGTGGACTGGGCAGCTAACAACCCTCACCCCCACAAAATGGAAAATCTGTAAAGTTCTTTTGATTCCCACAACCAGAGATATTCCTCTTCTCATTCAACTCTTTTATTTTGTGACGGTGCAACATCTTTTCTGAGAATAGCTTAAGGTTTGGGACCCAAAGGTCCTAAATTTAAGGGGGTGGAAAAGGTTTAATAGTAAATGTCACGTGCATGAATGTCCTTTATCCTGTATTTATTCATAAAATAATAATAGTTATCATTTATTGAATACTCCCTATGCAGTATGCATTATCTCACTTCTATCATTACAGTGTCTTTCCTGTTAAGTACCTTGATTCTTAACGAATGAATGAAAAAATTTAAAGATAAGGAAAACAGGAAAAAGACCTCAAGGAGGATAAATGGCTAGCAAGAGTAAAGGGAAATTTGAACTAAGACTGATACGACTACAAAGCCCTTGCTTCCAAGTATTATACACTCTGCCTCTCTTTAAACTTCTTAAGGGAGAAATTTTTTAAAAATCAGAAAAAGGAAATGGGAATTATACTGACTAATACAATTATCACTTCATTCTAAATTATAAACTTCTATCTGAGACAATGCTATGTGCTCACCAAATTGTTTTATTGTCTTCCTGGACCCACAGATGATGAATTCTCTTAGCCTTGTTTGCAGTTATTTTGGCACCATTCATTGCGTTCCGGCCAATGGAATGCCAGTAGAGATGACGCGGGCCATGTCCAGGCCTCCTCATGAAACCACTTGTGCAATTCTCCATGCTCTCTCTCTATTTTTTGGCAATCTTAGAAGTCAACTGATGAAAGTGGTAGTGACAAAAATGGAAGGAGCAGAGGTTTCTGCATGACTATGTGGTCAACAGCCCTATCGCCAACTCAGTTGAACATTGACGTGAGAGCTATAAGTCTTTATTGCACTGTCACTGATGTTTGTTGTGTTACCACAGTTAGCTTGCATCACCTCACATACTGCTTTTTAACCATGAGAAAGTACATTCATAAAAGCCACTAATGTCATGCTGACATTTCCAGTTTCTTCTCTACTTTTAAGGATTCAAGCTTATTCCTAGATTGTGTAAGTTGTAATAACTACTGGTCTAGTTTAGGAGAAAAGGCTTTTGTCAGTCTGTGGAAATTAACAATATTTTCATCAGGAACACATGAACCATAATTTGTTTTGATGCAAAAATCAATTATACATGAACTCTTTCTTCATAATGCTTTATTTTTATAATAGTGGATTCTGTCTAAGGACAGATTGGACTGTGGGAATCTAAGTGATACTGTTATTTAAAGCAGCTTAGTTCTGAAAGGCTTCCTTGTACTTTTGCTACAATTCTTTTAACAAGTTGATATACAGCGCTTTGGCAACATATAACAATATTCGAAAAACAAATATGATTGTGACAAGATGACTGTAATGGATTCATCAGATCACCTGCAGAGGGAGTGCTGGCCAAGTGTTATGTCTGAAAGCTCTTAAAAAGGGAGTGTGTGGACAGCATCAGAGGTAGTGCAAGAACAAGGAGGAAACCAGAAAGCAAAATTGTCAAGAAACAGGAGAAAGAGAAGACGATATTAGTAGTACTATAAAGAATAAAGTAGAGCTCATACTGGTATCTAAGGTTTTGGAAGTAATCATCAAAATTAATGGTGACCAGGAAGGCAGAAAGGACTACTGTTCTTCATCCACTTGTACCCTGAAAACTGGGTACCTTATAAGAATGAGTATTTTTTAAGACCCACATCTCAGCCTTAATATAGGATTTGCAATAAATGCATTTGCAATATTCATTTCCTTATTAAAACCTCTGTTCATGTTAAGAAGGTGTTAAACAATCCAGTAGTGTAGGTGATATCCCCAAGTATTTTAGATGGACAGCAAAGGTAAATAAACCAAAATAAACCACACACTCCAGTGTGAAACAAAATAAACCATTCAGTGAAAAAAAGAGTTGGTGATGGGTTTACACAATTCTTACTGTGTAAAATAAACTATCATATGATCTGTGTTGTAACATCAGTTGCAGTATTCTGGCTCAGCCCAATTTATGAAGCACAAGATGTATTCTATACCCGGAATTACTGTGGACTCAAAACACTCTCAGTAAAGGAGCAGCTTAAAGAGCAGATTTTAATTTTCTATTTGGGCTTCGACTGTGAATTCATTTTCAGAACTCTATGACACTTTCTCAGTTATAGCTTTATATTTTCACTTTTTAGTATGCATAGTATATATAAGAAAATTTTAGGGTTGGTGTTCAAAAAATGAAGGAATCATTAACAATTAATTATCTTAATTGTGTCTTTCATGAGGTACACACATCTCTTAGTCTAAACAAATATCAGAAACTTCTTAAGACAGATCATCATACAAAAATAGGGACTGAAAATGCCGGGAATGCCTTTCCCTCTGTATCCTCTTCACTACCCTGCTAGTGTTCCTTCTTCTATATGTCACCTTTAACCCTCCTGAGAAGCTATCTCTGGCCTCTTCAGGGGTCTCCTTTTTAATCTCATAGCCCTTTGTAGACACTTTCATTCACAGTGTCTCAAATTGCATTATATGCTTGTTTCTCTCCTCCTCCACTAAATGGTGGACTCCTACAGGATAGGAGCCATGATGGCACTAAAAAATATTTATTTATTCATTTATTTATGTGAGAAAGAGTCTCGCTCTGTCACCCAGGCTGGAGTGCAGTGGTGTGATCTTGGCTCACTGCAACCTCTGCCTCCTGAGTTCAAGCGATTATCCTGCCTCAGCCTCACGAGTAGCTGGGACTACCACCACATCTGGCTAATTTTTGTATTTTTTAGTAGAGATGGGGTTTCACTGGGTTGGCCAGGCTAGTCTCAAACCCCTTACCTCGGGTTATCCACCCATCTCAGCCTCCCAAAGTATTGGGATTACAGGTGTGAGCCACTGTGCCTGACCCATGATAGCATTTTGACACTCATTAAAAGTTTGCTCCATGAACATAAGACATTGGACTATTTTTGTTTGTTTGTTTTTTGGTTCTACAAAAATCCAAGGGGCTTGCCTATGCTTGAATTTGGGTCTGATCGATAAACCCAAAACCTTTGTTCAGCACGTCTGGCCCACTACGTTTGGCTGTACGTATGTCTACTGATGCTACCTAACCTGTTTGTCAATATATCGACTGCTAGAAATATTTTGTTCCTTGCCTGTGAAGGCAAGTCTGATTTCTTCAACTATGGTAGATCCTCAACAGCTCAGTTAATACATGTTTGAAAATTCTGCTGTGTTTACCTACTGGGGGGACACTAAAACAAATACGGCATCTTTCCCACACTCAAGGAGCTTATAAATGGCTTGGGAAGGCAGGAAATTTAAATGTAAAAATATAAGCCCCCAGTTAGGAGAGTAAGATTATGACCAATAATTTTAGGTTTGTCTAGTGCTTTATAATTTCAAAAGAGCATTCATATGTATATTCTCATTCAGTATTAACTATCCCTTGATATATTACATCTACCCAAAGTAGGCATATTTCATAAAGTAAACATGTTATTTATCGGCTAAATAAGTTAGGTGTCATTCCTGTCTTACAAAAGAAGAAACAGAGGTGCATTAAGATTAACTAGACCATATAGCTCACTGGTGAAGTAAACCTAAGACTGGAAGTAAAGACTGCTGGCTCAAATCTAGTTCTCTTTTCACTTTGTCAATTTCCTGCTCATTTTAGGGCTTCAATGCTAATTTGTTTGTCTCTCCAACACGTCTTCTTAGGCTCCTATGCCCACTCTAACAGGAAAACCCTCCTTACCAAATTCTTTATTGACAGTTATCCAAACGCTTAAATATCACAATTGCTTTATCACCAAAAGTGCAGACCAGAATTGGAAACTAAGTTTCCTTTTCTCAAATGATACCTCACCCTTTCCCTTTCTTGTTCAAATTATTGGTTTCCATTAGCACACAGTAAAAAAAAATACAGACTAGACAGCAGATTTAGACATTGCTTTTTTTGTATGTTTAAGGATTTTTCCCTAATATTTTGATTATAGTTGTGTATTTTTTTCTAAATAACAGATATTAGTCTGAGTATCAAGACTATAGAATTCTCATTCTGAATTACTAACTTTCCCTCTACCCTGTCTACTGCAATAACATCAGCAGCATCATCGTCATCATCACCATCACCAACTTCCTCCTCCTCCTCCTCCTCCCCCTTTCTGCCAACATAGTTAACATTCATTGAGCACATAACATGTATCAAACACATGGTTGATTCCTTCATTTAATCTTCATAATAGCCCTATCGGGTTAGTATTTCTGTTTCATTTTATGGTTGAGAAAACTGAACTCTGGAGAGATTAAACAGCTTTCCTAGTGTCAGACAGCAGGCAAGTTATTTATCAGGTAAAACTGCAAAGACCTGCATAGACCAGCTTCCCCCATAGAAGATGCATAGTATATTAAAGAAGACTGTAAGTTCTTCAAGGGCAGAACCTTGCAGACTCTCTTACCACATGCCCTCAAAACCCCCTGTACTTTTCCTGCATGGAAAAGTATTATTATACACTTTTCACAACTTATTATACTTATTTTTGTAATCATTTGTTTAATGTCTTTCCTCCACCCCCAACCCCTGGACTGTCTCTTCAATGCGGACAAGGGCTGTTTCTATATTGCTTACTTCTGTTTGCCCAGGGGTTAGCAGAGTGCCTAACGTGGTAGGCACTCTATAAATACCCATTAAATAAATAACTCTCCTTTGGCCCTATTGTCAAAGCAGCTTCATTGAGGATTTCTTTAGTACATTTAATTAATATTTTAGTACTCAATGTAAATATCTATGGAGCTCACTTCTGGCAGAAGACAAAAGTACACTGGACCCAGCAAAAGAGTTATTCTGGGTGGTGACCCTAAATAACTTTACTACACTCTAGCTACAGATACACTTTTGAAGAGAACTGAGTCATCTTTTTAGCAGCGATGTCATCTTGGCTCACCGAAAGCTCCGCCTCCTGGCTTCATGCCATTCTCTTGCCTCAGCCTCCCGAGTAGCTGGGACTACAGGCGCCTGCCACCACACCAGGCTAATTGTATTTTTAGTAGAGACAGGGTTTCACGTCACTTTTTAGCATATTTTATTTGCACGTTTGACATGTTTGAAGCAGATGAACTTCCATAAAGTATAGAAACTGATATGAATTTCAAGAACATAAATTGTACTTTTCTAAGGAGTAACCTATACATTTTGAAAATTATGTTTTTAATGTCAAAAATGAAATGCAGCCTTGTTTTTTCTCAGTTCATTGGAGTTTTCAGATAAGCCATGCCTCTCTCTAATCCAATGGCTTAATCAAAAATTAAATACCTGAAAATGTTTTCCATCAAGAGAAATTTTGAAACTGTAGGAAAGAAGGAATAATGAAAGAAAAGCTTTATGTAGGCAGAATAACTAAGAGGCATTATGTTAGCCTAACCAGTAGGCTAGTATTTTAAGAGGAATAAAATGTATCTATATTATTTATCCCTCTCAATCCTCTACCACAGTGAGGGCAGTTATTGTTAAAGAACAAGTTCAAGGTCATTGAATGGTTAAGATCTGGAGTCAAGATTTGTCTCTAGGTTTGATGGGAAATTTAAGGCTGATTGATATTAAGTGGCAACATAGATTATATTGCTGATAAATAACAGAGATAAATTCAAATTTTGCTCTTTGTGGTACAAATCCAGGGCTTTTTCCACTACTGGCACTGCCTTTCCATTCACATCATTTCATGATTAGTCCTTCATGTCAAAAAAAAAAAATGTAAAAAGGTTGGCAATAAAAAAAAATTAACTCGGCCAGGTGCGGGGCTCACGCCTGTAATTTTACCCAGCACTTTGAGAGGCCGAGGCGGGCGGACCACGAGCTCAGGAGATAAAGACCACCCCGGCTCACACGGTGAAACCCCGTCTCTACTAAAAATACAAGAAATTAGCCCAGTGAGGTGGCGGGCGCCTGTAGTCTCAGCTACTCGGGAGGCTGAGGCAGGAGAATGGCGTGAAGCCGGGAGGCGGAGCTTGCAGTGAGCCAAGGTCGTGCCACTGCACTCCAGCCTGGGCGACAGAGCGAAACTCCGTCTCAAAAAAAAAAAAAAAAAAAATTAACTCAGAATTCATTATGTATCTTACATGTTGTATTAATAGCATAAGCTTTATATAACAGAAAAGGAAGAATTCCATTCCCCCACTCCAATTCTCTCTCTCTCTCTCTCTGGCTAGAGGATGGAGTGGTATAAAGTGTTCTCAGACTGTGTTTTTTTTTAATATCTGATATTTCACCATTCTCAAGTTCATTTCCAGAAGATATCCTCTATCAGTAGGAACAGATGGTTCAGTTGATTGCTAATAGAACATGGAGATAATTGTTAGTAGGTTAACATTTAAAATACAGTCCATTTGGGAGTCACTCAAAAACTGCTGTGGTAGTGACAAAGCTATTCATGGCATGTAGGCAAGATATCATGTGGTTATCACTCTGTATTCCAGAGCACCAAATTCATACCCTGCCTCAAAGATTTGTACCAAAGACCAAATAAAATGAAGTATTGACAATGCTGTGAAGTCTTTAAACGGTCCCCAGTTTCCCTGACAGCCAATCAATTGCCATTACTGTTTATTTTATCTCCATGTCTTTTGTATCCTTTACATTCCCACTGCCACCACCCTCATTCAAGCCATGATTGGCTCCAGCCAAATCTTTTGTGCTAGACTACCAACTGTTCTCATTCCCTCCAACCTCTATTATTTTCTATCACTGTTATATGTTCCTTCCTGATTAACCTCCCTAAAAAAAACAGCTATAAGCATGCACTTGTGGGCTCAAAATCCTTCAATGACGCCTACTAGCTTACCCAATAAAATTCACATAGTTAAATGTCCAAACTCTTCAACTCTAACTTCTACTCTTCAATCTATTTCTCACTCATTTGATTCGGGTGTCTGTCCCATACTTTAGCCAGAATTATTGACTTGCTGTTTCCCATACATCACCTTTGCTTTCACATCTCCCTGACCTCCTAAATATTGGTCTTCTGTTGAAAATAACCTTGATAACTCACAGTTCCTATTCCTGCATACTGGAATCCTACCTTCTTTTCAAAGCCAAGTCCAAAGCCACCTCTTCCATTCATCCTTTTCCAACATTTTTAACAGAAGATAATCCCTCTTCTGCATTTTTATCTAATATTTTTATATCACTCTTATCCTTTCTTTTTTCACTCCATCTACTTTTGCCATACTCCAATCCAGTCTCCAAATTTCAAATTGTATTATTGCTTTACCGTGTTTATAAGCCTTATTGACTTCCCACTGCTCTGAGGAAGAGCAAAAACCTTGATGTCTATCCTTGCTGGCCTATAGTATTCTACATGATATATCTTGGTATGCCGCTCTCATCTAACATTCTCCTTGCTGCTCTCATCTTCTCATGTATTCATCTTTTAATAAGACATGTCCTTTTTTGTCTTAGGGCCTTTATACATGCTGTTTCCTCTGTCTAGACACCTCCTTCCCATCTCCACCTTTTCCTACCTAGTTCATTTCTACTCAGCCTTCAAAACTCGACTCAAATACTACCTCTTTGAGAAGGCTTTCCTCAATCCCTAGACAAAGTTAGCACCCTCACCTACCTTTTCATTGCAGTACGTGCCACAGTCATATGTTTGTTTTCTCAACTAGTATGGAAGGATGGAAACTCTGTTTGTCTTATTTCCTATTGGACCCACATTGCCTAACACAGTGCCTACACCTATAGTAGCTATTAGGTAAATACGTGTCTAGTAATTTAAATATAAGTAGAATATATACTAGATATCTATGTACAGGATGATTGAAAGTTTTGTGTTTGTCTTATTTCCTATCTTTCTCACCATGCTGTAAACTCCCTGATTTACTTTTGTACCTGAAACAACTCAACCAGCTATAATTAATATGTGCAAAGGAAATATGTGTTGAACAACAGAAAAATGAAGGAAGGAAAGAATGTAGAAATAAACAGACTAGTAAAATGCAAGGTAATAGTCTAACTTTTCATATAATTTCCAAATCCTCATGCCTTTTAGGATATTTTAACATTTCTAGATAGGAAAAATAACCTAATGTCACTTACTTTTTATAGACCAATAGCCTAGTGTTTATTGACTGTTGATGTTTATTGAGGGACAAAGGAAGGAAGGAAACAAACACTATTATAATAGGGAAAAGGGACAATGTTGATATGTAACACCCAGGTTCAAAGGAAATGAATATCCTCTTTATTCTTGTAATAAGGAAGAGGGGGGAGAATAATTCATAAATAGGGACAGGCAAAGGACAAAATGAATGAAAACAGTCCTTGCAGGAAAAAAGAAACAATTGTTTCAATATCTTTCAATTACAAAAAGAGATCAAAATATTTATCTGTTTTATGTTAGCAATTTTCAATTTAGTAATACAAGGACTGCCTTGCAGCTGTAGTATTCTTTCCACAGCCAACCTTAGTATCTCCATCCTTATTTCCTTTCCTCAATGTCAATGAGCCCCTGGAAGACCAAGCACCATACATTCACATACTCTTTACTTCCTATTATCTCTGCCTGACATGCTCTATGTCTTGGGCAAGTCACTTCTGTCTTCCGTACCATGAAGGAGACATAGTCTTGTGTCTACAATTCCTTTCATGTAGAATATTGTATGATTGGAAGTCTTGCCTTCCTATAAGTTTTGGTCCATGACTGCTGGTGCTTTGATTTCATACATTCCATATTTAATATCTAACCTATTGAAAGCCAGAAATGTTCAAAGTGCAAGGCATTAAAGGATAAAACAATGATCTTAAAGACAAAATCTTTGCCCCTCAGAGGTACATTCTAGTGGAAAGAGACAGACAATAAAAAGATGAATGAAATATGTGAAATAATAGAGACTAGAAAGTACTAAGGGGGAAAAAAAGCTAAAGAAGGGGACTAGGAATGTGGTGGGAATGTTACTGAACAAGTACGCAGGAAGGCCTCACTAAGAAGGTGATATATAAAAACTCAATTCACAATTTTCTAGTTGTCTGCCCTTGTCTCCTGTGAATTGCTTGTAACTTAGTTCAGTTACATATTTGAGGATCCCTTACTTCTTTGCCTTAAATCTAACTGTCTCTGCTCATCTCTATCGCCATAACCTTGGTTCCATCTCTGCCATCTCTTGCCAAGATCATGAGCAATAGCCCCCTTCTTGGTCACAGTTTTGTTATTCACTCTATACTCCCATCTTCCCTTCTTTTCTGCCAAGAGTCATTTTCTTTACAAGCAACTCTAGTGCTACCTGAAGTCTGAAAACTCCCCATTTATTTTGTCCATTGATCTCTGAAAACTCCCCCTACTGCCCTAGCTGTCACCACACTTAACCCCTGATTACCTGAATATGCCCATTCCTTAACTTCATACCTACCCACAAACACAGGTCTCTCTTCTCTGTCTGCCCTTGCCCTGCCTATCTACCCAGCAAACTAATACCTGACCTTTTTTTGTTGTTGTTTTTCTTGTTTTTGTTTGTTTGTTCATTTGTTTGAGACAGGGTCTCCTTCTGTTGGCCAGGCTGGAGTGCAGTGGCATAAACAGGGCTCACTGCAGCCTTGACCTCCTGGGCTCAAATGGTCCTCTTGCATCAGCCTGCCAAGTACCTGCAAGTACAGGTGTACACCACCATACGATGTTAATTTTTGTATTTTGTGTATTTTATTTCACTTTGTTTGTAGAGATGGGGTTTCACCATATTGGCCAGGCTGGTTTTGAACTCTTGGGCTAAAGGAATCCACTCACCTTGGCTTCCCAAAGTGCTGGGATTACAGGCATGAGCCACCACATCCAACCTACCTTCCTTTTAAGGCTGTTCAAAGAATTCCTCTTGGCCTGCCTTTTTCAATTCTGGAGGGAGCAGAATTCTTGCTCCTCCATTCTCTCTGTATTTTTCACATACCTCTCTGCCACATTTATTCCGTTGTATTGTGATTATCAATTTCCCTGTTTTTCAATATCCTTCCAGAGTACATTCCTTATTCATTCATACTTTGAACTTGGTAAACCCTCAATGAAATGGACAGGGACAGAGAGAAAGAGAAGAGGTGGAAGGTGAGAGAGGGAAAAGGAGACTGTCAGTCAGTTTTCAAAGATGGGCAGCTCACAGATAGGAGAAATCATTGCTTCCTAAAAGCTGTGAATTAGAAGAAACCTTAAAGTGGCCCAAATTCTAAAACTTTAGGCCTCATCATTAACCTATTATTCAAGCCCTGACCTTTTGTCCCAGTTATCATAACTGGGCTTCCGCACCTCAGTCCCCACCTGGTGCCCCAGTTCTGATAACTCACCTTCTGTCTTGCTCTTCTCTGCCTGAATCTCTCTTTTGGAGACATGCCTAATATGTCAGGCTCCCCAAACCTGGAAGTCTGTCTCGCTTTTGTTTCCCCCACCCCTCCCATTTCTCCCTTTTTAATCTCTGCCCCGCCTATGAACCCAGGCAGGTGGCCAGGGCCCTGCTAATCCCTGACAGACTTCCATGATTCTGACTTCTGAGCATTACATGCTCCTGGGTTCTTTTGTTGCCTTTCACGGCCTTCCTACTGTGGCCACTATCTCTCCCATCCTCCATGCCATCTGACTGTTTGGATGACCACCTGCTCTCTAAGGCCATACATTTTGGATTTCATTCTTTGCCTGTTCCCCTGGCCTGCTTCCCAAAAACCTCTGGACCTAGGTCAGGTTATGTTGTTGTTACTGTTTCTTTCTATTTTTAGTTCCTAGACCTACCTTCCTTCCAACCCTGCTCTGATAGGACTGGTGACACTTTAATGAAAAAAAGAGGGCCTTGACAAATCACTGGATTTGTCCAGTTGACTTTAACATATCTTATAGCATTTGGATACATGGGATATTTATTTGCAGTGCTAGTGTAACACTCTGATTTCACAGATAAGGCACTGAAACTCAAAAGGTAAAGTGACTTTTTCAAGGTTGCACCGATAGCCTGTGGTAGAATGACATCTAGAGCCCAGGCTTCCTGTGTCACAGTCAAGAACTGTCCTTTCCCCATATTCAATCATCACTGTAGACCTACTTTTTACAAATTAGAGTGTATTGCAAAACAAGGATCATAGAATCACTTGTAGCTATCTTGAAGAAATGAGGGTATTAACCTATAGCCAGCACCTTTACAAGTTAAACAGATCCTACTAGATTATCCTTTTTCAAGGACCTAGATGTATGTGAAGAACTAGGAGGAGACAACAGCTTTAATTTATCCCAGATAGAACAATATTTTAAAATTTTTATTCAGGGTGCCAATGAGCTCGGAAAAGATGACCTGGAGATTCAGAGAAATTAACCAATTAAAAGAAGGAAATAAATCAGACATTAGTTATTAATGAATCAACCAACGGGGGCAGAAGTGGTATTCCAAAGGAGACATACCTGAGACCAATGTCTTTATAAAAAATAATGTAATCTGTGGCCAAGAAGAAGAAATGAAATATATGCCCAATATTTTTGTCTAGTGAAATGACAACTTGCACATGTTATATATATATATATATATTATTATACTTTAAGTTCTAGGGTACATGTGCACAACGTGCAGATTTGTTACATATGTATACATGTGCCATGTTGGTGTGCTGCACCCATTAACTCATCATTGCACATGTTATTTAAGACAATTAACCAGCCACTTGCTTGGGACTCAGGGTTGCATTAAACAACGTCTTCATCTTGATGAGCTTAAAGTCAATCGGGGGTTATGGCTATGTGCACAAATAATTATAATTCAAGGTAGAAATTATATAGATAAAAATGCAATGAAATTATTGCAGAAGTGACTTCTTCCTACCAAGTTGGACTAGCAAGAGCTTCATGGAAGCAAGCACATCTGTGATTGCACAGGTAGCCCTGACCTAATGAGCCATGATAAAATCTTGAGGGTCACCCTGTAGGCCACTGCTCTTTGACCACTTATATCCAGGCAGTCACCATTTCAATTTCAAGACCTAAAACATTTTACAACTCAGCATTTTCCCTTGTGCTGCTGTCTTAGTTCAGGGCCGCCTCTTTCTCTGTAGATGTCTACAGCAAGGCCCTTGCTCATCTTGCATCTACAGTCTCACCTTCCTTCCATTCATCCTCCACACTGCTGACAGAACGATCCTGCTGCTAATCTGATCACATCACTCTAAAGTTTAAAATCCTCCGATGACTCACCATTTACAAAGGCCTTCAATGATCTGGCCACTGTTTACTGCTCAAGTCTCATCTCCTGCTCTTCCTTTCCTTGCACATTATGTTCTAGCAATATTGAATTCCTTGCACTTCCCCCCAAGAAAGCGCTCCTCTTTTATATCACCATGATTCTGCTCTGAGTGCTTCTCTATTCTGCTCTGCAAACCAGAGTACTAAGCAGAGTGCATGATTAACAGACCAGCCATTTAGCAATTAGGATGAATCACATGCACTTCAGGACTTAGAAGGGCCCTTTATACCAGAGGTTCTCTCTCCTCCACAGGATCTCCTACCAACAGCATGCAACCCTAATCAGCAGCAAGAGTGGAATCCTAAACTTTTGTGTGGCTCTTTGTTTGAAGGCTTTTGTCAAGTAGGAGTGGTATTGTCAGCAGGGAAATGATGAAAGCCGGTTATAGGGAAGGTAACATGATAATAAAAAAGAAAATTAACATTCCTTAAATACATACAACATGTTGCACACATTCAATACAATACTTTCTACATGTACCACACTTAATACTTACAACAAGTTAAAAATCTTTGTTCCATTTTAAAGATAAAGACAATAAGCTTTATGTAAACTGATTGTTTCTCCATTACTTAGTTAGTGACTAGGGAGGAAAGGATCTCATTCTAAGTATTTTTTTCTTCCTACCACCTTATCAGGGCAAGCATTGTAACCATGTCTCCAAATTTCTTTCTGAATCATTCCAGATCAATATGTTTAATTTAGTTTTAGTGCAATTATCTATTTTTTTCTGATTATCTGAAAATGGTTCATTTGTATGTTATAAACGTAGCACAATTCCTCCCTCCCTTCACCGGGAAGGCCAGAGAGGCAAAGACAGAGCACAGACCATACAAGCAGCTTCTAATCTCTCCCTTCTTGATATGGAGATTAGAATTGTGACTTTTAGAACTCATATTGACTCAAGAGGCTATTCAATGTAATGTCATCCTTTTAGAGAAAAAATAAATAGAAATATCATACAGTACATGAATGACAAAGCTAGGACTGGAAGGTAACTCCTAGGCAAGAAGAGCTAATTACTGACTGAACCCTGATGGCTGAGCATTCTCATATGTTGCTTCTGGTAATCTTAACAACAAACATGTGAAGTGGGTATTGTTATCTCTACATTACAATGGAGAAAGTGAGGCTCAGAGAGGTTAAATGACTCATGCCAAGTGGCTCAGAGTGATTAAATGACACTCCAAGTCACATACCTGGTTAGGCATGATAGATCAAGGATTAAAACTCAGGACTCACACTGTCAAGCTGATGGCTTCAACCCCACTCCCCATGAGCATTTCAATCTTCATTTTCAAATATCCACAGATATTTGAAATATAGCACAATTCCTTCCAGGACCAATAGAGGGGCTTGTATGAGAAGTGAAGGCCTTGTGACTGGAAAGTCATCAGTCAATTTAGACAGCTTCTTTGGTGGCTTATTCCAAAAAAAAGAAAAAGTGTATAGAAAACACCTATCAATGACTCTACTATATAAACAATCATTTTTTAAAAACCACATAAACTTTTTTTTTTTTTTTTTTTTTTTGAGATGAAGTTTCGCTTTTGTCGCCCAGCTGGAGTGCAATGGTGTGATCTGAGCTCACTGCAACCTCTGCCTCCTAGGTTCAAGCGATTCTTCTACTTCAGCCTCCCGAGTAGCTGGAATTACAGGTGCCCACCACCATGCCCGGCTAATTTTTGTATTTTTAGTAGAGATGGGCTTTCACCATGTTGGCCAGCCTGGTCTCGATCTGCTGATCTCAGGTGATCCACCTGCTTCAGCCTCCCAAACTGCTGGAATTACAGGCATGAGCCACCGCACCCAGCCAAGTTAATAAATTTTTAAGAGCTTATGGATCTTATGTTAATGTTATTAAAATATTGTTACTTATTGTCTTTTATGTAGAATATCATTTTCCTGTTCATTGTGCTTTAAAAACAGTGACTGCTAATTTCTAAAAATAAAATCAAATAAAAACCACATACCCTGCTCCATACATCTAAACAAACCAGAGCTATGCAGTGAAAAGGCAGAACACAGCTTTTCAGTAAACAGAGGTAGAATTTCACCATGTGGAAAAACATACACCCTGCTAAAGACTGCAGAATTTTACTTCTATCATTTAGAAGACTCCAAGGGCAAGAAAAATACATGAAATGCTGATTCCAAAAATCCTTGACAAAACAGCAGTCTAGAAATTAATATTTACCACATTTTCAGTGTTCCTGACACAACAGCTCCTTATATGCTGATGTTTATGAATACAAATTTGCTGGCACTGTGGACATATATTATCTTTTCAGAAAATAACAAGGTAGGCAGGTGCCTTCCTACTTCTGGTTACTAGAGCTAAAAAACTACCACAAATGGGCAGCAACATTTATGACAAGTAAAATTGAAATCAATGGACCACATAAATCTTAGTTGTACACTGATTTAATTAACTATAATGAGAAAGTGGGCAATGACTCTGTTACTATTTAAGACTATTTAGAAGACATCTGTGGTACTTTTTTTTTTTGCCTCAATTCACACTTGGATTAACGTAGGAGAAATAAGTAAGAGGTGGATGGTAGTAAGCTAGGGTTCAATTGTTAATAGAATGAAACACATTTTCATTTTGTAAGGTGCAGAGAACATAAGATCATGTCCAGTAGTCCTAAACAAAGCAACTATAGTATCATAGTATTACACAACACATAGTATTGCATTTCAAGTATCATTATCATGCCACAGTTATTGCTTACTATTTCCTTTACTTAAGCTTACAAATCCTAGAAAATAAAAATGAACAAACCATAGACTGACTTTATTCCTTGCTATAGATTTTGGGGACATTCTACATTTATTTTCTAGCTGAGTTATTCTTTTGTTCAACATACCCTGATTGTGCCAAATACTATGTACTGGATTTTACAGTCTGACAGAGGAGTGCAAGTTCTACACTATTGACATACAGATGGAAATGCCATAATGGAGGAGTGTGCGAACCCAAGCTCCTACATCTGCAATCTTTAGCACCCTATAGCTGGGCTTAGCTAAAGTCTGCCCCATAACAGATGGTAATACTGATAATGGCAATAGTGATGGTGATGATGATTATGAGAATGTGATGATGATATCAGCAAAAATTGAAACTCTACTATGCATGTTATAGTTCATAAAAATGTTCATAAAAATGAACAAACCATAGACTGACTTTATTCCTTGCTATAGATTTTGGGGACATTCTACATTTATTTTCTAGCTGAGTTATTCTTTTGTTCAACATACCCTGATTGTGCCAAATACTATGTACTTGATTTTACAGTGTGACAGAGGAGTGCAAGTTCTACACTATTGACATATAGATGGAAATGCCATAATGGAGGAGTGTGCGAACCCAAGTTAAATGTTTGTTCACTTACTCAGAACAACCTGAAGAAGCAATTAATATTAATCTCCACTTTAGACAAAGCAACCTAGGCTTGGTAAGGTTAAGAGATTTGCCCAAAGTAATACAACTACTAAGTGACAGAGTTAGGGTACAAAAAGATAGATCCAACCAATATGGACATAAGACAAACAGTATTGTAAACTGCCACATGCCCTAGGTGAGGGAGCTGAGCACCAGCCACCCTTCCTTACTGGCTGTTCCCAGTTTGCTCTGGTGGCAAGCTAAGCACCTGCCTTAAGGCTCCATGGTTTTGAGCTTTAAGTTTTCCTCATTCTGCTACATTCCAGTTCCCAGAATAGAGTTTTGCCTTGGCTGACTCTAGTGGCCTCTGTTCTGAGGACTGCAGGCCCAGCATCTGGGATTTACCGGAAACCTCCAAGATAACTTCCTGGAATGTATACTTCTCTAAGATTCCTCCAGTTATTATCTGAAAACCCAATGGAAAATTCTTTTATTCATCTTGGTAACAATGACACCTATTATTATCTGAATTATAATATATTTCTTAGTATGCATGCCTTCTGGTACAGACAATTTGAAAGCTAGAAATAAGTCTTTCAATCCTACTGACACAATGCCTGACACTGAATAATGATGAATGAATGACCTAGTTAGGCTCATAGACTCAGAAGTCACTGTCTCATTCACTGGATCTATTTCTTGCTGTCAGATGTCTCAGCCTGGATCCATTCTCACATCCAGAGCCCACCTAGGTCTATTCCAGTCCTCTATCTCTCCTTATCTATATGTCTCATGATAAAACCATCATGTCTCCACCTGAATCTGCTGATATGAAAGAACAGCAGAAAGCACGGAGTCAAATGAACTACTAGTTTAGAAGTGGTATTTCAATTGGGTTTTAAGAAATAATTAATGATCTTCCCAAGGAAAGAGGAGGCATAAACAAAGGCAGAAGATATTTGAGTTGCTGTTGCATTTGAAGAATGCCAGGCAGCCTTGAGAGGTTAAAATACAGAGACAACACTTTTGTGGTAGCACAAGGGTAGATACCAAAGAGATCCAGAAATGTGATGTGTCCTCACTGTAAACTCACCTGCAAGACACATGAAGCATTCATGGGAATATGAAATAAATACAGTCAAATCTCCAACCTACCTGTTCCCAGACTGCTTTTTGTTTTGAGGGCCTTTCATACTTAGTAAAATCCCTGCAGGGTTCAGTCACAGGTTCTCAGAACACACTCAATCACCTGCTGACATCAGCTATCAAATGGGACATTACTTGAAAATAAGGAATATGATTATCCCTGATGAGGGCAGCTCAGTGAACCTTTCCTCTGCACTTATCCATCCTTCTCCCTGACAGATATGGTAATGCAGATTTTTTTTTCTTCAGTATAATTATCAATTCAGACATTCTGACTCCTCCAGGAGGAAACTAGCTGAGAGCTGGCTGGGAACCTTCAATTTCATTCAAGGGTATAGAACAACTATTATGTGCTGAGTTCTTTTTATCATAATAGCAACACAAACTTCAAAGGCAAAACCCAAGCCAATTCGACAAAACACCCATCTCTTATATATGCAGAAAACAATTATATGCAATTTGTACTATGTTCTTCAATTTCTCATCTTTTAATCTATAAGATAGATCATGCTATTGTATACATTCTAGGTCACTTAACTGTTCAGTTTCCTCGTCTGTAACACAAGAATAACAATATTAACCTTTTAAGACTATTGTGAAGATTAAATAAGTGAGCATATCTAAATTAATTAACATAGTATCTGGCAAATGTTTACTGTTATCATTTTATTATAATCATTATTATCAATAAAGTATTCAGGATAGTCTGACTACACTGAACTGTGATAAACTACTTGCTTGTCACAGAAGACAAGATTTACAGGCAGGTAGGTGAATCTGAACTTTCTATTTTTACTATTGCTGCATAACCATAAAAGAAATGGCTTATCTCCTATTTTTGTGCTGTAGGGATTCAATCCACAAACTGCCTGAGGGACGAACTTGGACCATCTTAATAATATACATAGTAAATTCCATTCCGGTTTGTTTTGAAATGGGTATTATATTCGGACTGAACGTTTTCCTCCCTAGATTTTATCTGAACGGCTTACATGAGTATCCTTTGGTCACTCTGTTTAAAGCACATATTCAAATGCAGTATATAATCAAGACTGATCTATCTAATGACACTTGGAGAAAATAAAACAGATATAAAAGCAGTCCTAATATTATGCGACTATTTACAAACAATCTCCCAACTCAGGATGCTGCTGCAAAGTAGCTTCTTGCCACTTCCAGGTTTTAATGCCTTAATTAATTATGGAATGATGTTTAATTATGTATTTTATTATGCATAGCAAATATAAATTACATACCTGATTGTTCACAATTGTATTAAAAATATGTATCCTTTATCCTTGAAAGTGAAAGACCTTTTTCAAGATGGATAAAGCTGTTTGGGGAACAGAGTATGGGTGGAATTAATTGTCCCCACATTAATCATTTATTTTATAAAAATGTGAAGGTCGTTCTCCACTTTAAGACACTTCCTGAATTCCTCTAGCAAGGTCTGGCAGCCAAATTTCAATATGCAAAGCAGAGGATTATGCAATGTGCACTATTATTCCCCTAAAGGCAAACAGCTTTTATTTAATAAAGATGTTATTCTAAGAAGATTTACTGTGGTATTGTCACATATCAGAACTTGTTCTGGAAATGTGATTCTTATTAGTAAGAACAGATGACCTTTCTCTATGGGTAGAAGAACTATGGATGTCATTGCATGCACCTGCTAATTTTCCTAGAATCACAGGGTGTTAAGAATCACAATGCAAAATCCACAGACACCATTTATTAAGCATTCTTTCTGGGAACAAACTATTGCATTAAACACATGATATTATTATCATATTGAGTGAACCATTATGAACATTATGTACAAAGCACTAATATAGAAGTTTTCTATTCATCTTATATAATCTTCATTTTTCCCCAATTTTATAGAAGTATGCCTCAGTAAAGCATTTTTCTGAAGATTATGCCGCTAGATGAAACAACTGCCAGACTACAAAGGCCAAGTTTTTTCATTATCAATGAATGCATATTGTCATAATTCTAAGAATTAGGATTCGTGATTCCAAAGTGGAGATTTGTCATAGGTGTGGCCAGCGCCAGTGAAACACATGGGGCTTCTTCCCAGACCCTCAGGCTTGACTCACTTTTTTGATAGTCAAGATGGTAATCAGTGGGCAAAACACTTGGGCCAGACAGAAATGGACTTCTGGCTCCACTGGTTGTGTGACCTTTTACAGGTCATTTTGTTGCTCCAAAACTCACTTTCTCATCTATACAGCACTGATAATAGTACCTACTTCATATATGCATTGAGAGGATTAAATAAGTTAATCACATGTTGAGTGCTTTGCCTAGGGTGCCACGTATCATAAGCCATCAATAAATATTAGCTGTTATTGCTGTTATTTTTTTCCTCCTTCTCTAATAATTTTAATTACTATTTTGGGTTTTTGCAAACTAATCATTGGCTTCTTTCCAGTTCTTTCTCCTTTCATCTTAATCTCAAATTCTAAATGTGTAGAACCTAAAACATCAAAAGATTAATAAAACTCCCTTCTCCATTTTGTGCTCCAGCCTTGATACCAATATCCTTTCATGACCCTATATTCATAATTTTTTGTTCTATTTAGTTTCTTCACAAGATCTGTCAAAAATAAAGTCCACAATATTACTTCTGAGTAACTTAGAGAGAGAGAAAGAGACTAACATTCAATGCTTCTTAAGAATTTCCCCAACCAAAAAGAAACTGAATGTCACATTTTCCATCCAAGAAAAATCAGTGTTTCCAGAGATGTGTGCTGAGATGTCTATGGATGTACAGCAAAACTGATTTTTTTTCCTTGTTTCCCACTTAAGCAAAATGAAACTGTCTTCTTCAAGCACAGTAATTTAAAACAACAGTAACCAACTCCAAAGAGCATGAATTAGAATGAAAGTTCACTGGGAGCAAGGATGCTCTGAATAACTGACTACTCTGACAAAATAACATATTCTGCTAGATAAGAAGGCAATATCACCTAACGATTAAAAACATGTGGTTTGGGATAAGACATTTTGAGATTTAAGATCCTGGTCTATCACTTAACTGTGTGATCTTAGCAAAGTCATTGAAGCTCCTGAAGCTTGAGTTTCCATATACATAAAACAGTCAAATTGTTCCAACTCATGCACTTCTGCTAAAGATTAAATGAGATAATATAAAGCATTACATTAACACAAGATCTCACACAGTATATGTGCTCAATTAAAAGATTGTTATTATCAACATTATTATACCAATATCAACTTCATAACCATTACAGTAAATAACAGAAATAATGGAATGAAACTAATAAAATAATGCCAAATATTGAATTTTGTGTTTTCTTGGGGAATTGAAAAGAATGGATTGCAATTAGTTTATAATTATTGAAATATGAATTTGGATTCGACGAATACTGATAAAGTAGCCACACAAAAGCCTATTTAATATTTGAGAAAACAGTCACAGAAATGCAGATTCCATGATTAGGCAGCTAGTTGGTGAACAGCAAGAATGTGAAGACAGCAACATAGTGTCCAGCACACAGTAAGGGCTCTGTGATTAGTTACTGAATAAATGGATGGATGGAGATATGCTGTGGTTTAGCGGAAACACTGAATTTAGACTTTCTGATTGTGAACACTTTGCTTGGATTTCTTAATTCACACTTATTATATGATCTATGAAAGTCATTTTAAATGAAATTCAACTTCCCCTCCTATAAAACAGTGATAATAGTATCTGTCCACAGAATTAATGTGAGGTTGAAATGCAACAAGACATGGAAAGTATCTAGCATTATGCCTGGTACATATTAAGTGCTCAATACATGCGAATTTCCTTCCCTTTTCTCCTTGTACTAAAGTCCATCTCTTTCCCAAACTATCACAGCCTTCTTTAAATCATACATAGTCCCTCATCGGTACTTTCCTTTCTCCCCAGTACAATCATCTATTTGCCTTCCAGGTCAGTTTGAAAATCCAAGGCTCTTGATGACTTCGTCTGAGTCTACAGCCATTTGCTAGGGTGCCACAAACACATACCCAACCCTGACCCATGCCCATCTTCTCTGCCCACCTTGCCCCTTTAGTTCTTTAAGATGTCATCTCACAGCCTATCCTCAGCTCTTCATTTCTCACTGGATGCCTCTGCCTTCTTCAAAACAATGACAGAATTCATGAAGACGTGTTTTTTTTCCCCACCATTTTATGTATTATTTTCCTGGCTTTTAAACAGCATTAGAATCTCACTTTATTCAGGAAGCCTTTCTGGATGAAACTTATAAAACTGAACTTCTTTTTGTACACTGTAACACCTGGGAATGGACTTCCTATCTCCCTATCCCTTAACCCGATTATACTCTTACAGTATCTCTCAACGCTAAATTATACACTTTACATGTAATATAAATAAATTCCTTGCTGTCTATTAATATACTGAGTTAAGAGCCAAACTCAATGTCCAAGTTTCTTATAACTAATCTTAAGATAATATGAGTTTGCTCTTTGACCATAACCATTTAGAGCGTAGTGATTGGTTCATATTTCAAAAGCACTTTAAAAGGAGTTTGCATATGGTGCTACCATACGGCAGCACAATTCCTTATTTGTATGTTGGGCTCTTATTCATCTCTGTGTTGCTAATACTTTCCATACATCCTGGCACATAGTAAGACTTACAAGATCCAGAATACAACGTTATTTTCTAGTTTAGTTCTATGAACACATAGGGGCTGAAAAGTCCCAATGTGAAGTGACAGTGGAAAAGATGATAAAAAGAAGAGCAACAATACTAGTCCAGAATAATAGTTGGATGATATATGAAGGACTTTATATACACCATTTAATTTCGTCCTTATACCAAAACCATGAAGGAGGTATCATTATTTTTAGAGATGAAAGAAATGAAGTACAGAGTCATGAAATAACTTACTCAAAATTAAATAATAAACAAAGTCCTGAGTTTGAAATCCTGGTGGAGTCCATGCTTTTAACCATTATTGCACTGTATTTTCTTGTCCAAATGGTTTTTGAATTAGTTATACCATGTCTACCTTCTGTTCATGCAATTAGGTGCTGCTACCTCCTTACTACAGCATGCAAGGCTTTCCCCAATCTGGTCCTATCCTTCCTTCCCAGATGCAACTGTTAGTTCCCTCCTCTATACCCTATTCTCAACCTAGAATAAATACGCTTAGGTTCCCTAAAATGCTCTTATCCCGTTGCTTTCCCTGTTTTCTCACCCTGGAATGCTGTCCTACCCTCTTCTGCCTATCAAAATCCTTTTTCTTCTTTATAATCAGTTAATTTTCCATATTTTCCTTGGAATATTCTCTATTTTTAGACTGGAATGATGTATTCCCTCTTTAGTATATGCAAAACTTTTGGTTTGACTTGGAGACACAAATTGCTTGCCTGCCTCTTACATTAAAATGTAAACTCCTTAAGGGCAAATGTTCTCTCTTATCTGTCCTGGTATACTTAATGCTCTACACATTGCTTGGTAGACACAACTCAAAGTTTTGTGAATATATGAAAAAATACAGAAAAGAGAAGGCGAGAGGGAGAAAAAAGAGGGGAGGAATAGGGAGACAGGCAGAGAGAGAGAGAGATATTATATATTACTCAATTTGGTGGGCTTGTGTAAGATCACTGGTGCTTAATTAACTCAAACTTGTGCTTACTTTGAAATTAAAATCCATTTAAAGTTCTATACATGTTTTCAAAACACGTTTTGTATTCAATAATATCTCCCCAATATCTATCCTTATGCCTGGGAGAAATTACACAAACTAATATAATAGCATTTTACCTTCATAAACATTTATGAGCTGCAATATTAGGCAATCACACCAAGTGCTTACAGAAGTAAAATCTATTTATTCTGGACATCATTTAGAACATCCTGAACATACTGTCTCATATACAAAACAACCCTGAAAAGCCCTTCCATTAAAAACACGTTTGAGAAATGCCGATAATTTTATGATCATTTCTCTTTCAAGACAGACACACAGAAAGAAGGGAAAAAAGTCCTCCGAACTAGACAATAAATTATATCTTCAAAACATCCCTCTATAAGATCCCCACCCCCAGACCAGTGCAGATTTGCAGGGAAGGCTCTGTGCCCCTTTAGTGCGAGTACCATCTCAAGTGTGAGGTAATCCCATTATATTCATCGCAATTAGCCTGTGTCCTGAGCCTCCTGCTGACAAAAGGCTACCCATTTTGCTCCTAATTAAGAGCAGAAAATTCTTCCCAAACTACCTTCATTATTACACACTGCGTGCTTGGCTCTATCAGGCAATACCTTCACATTCTGGAAGAATCAACTACCTCTTTTTAAATTGGAGATAACCACACCAGTGTTAATTATGTCAATTAAAACCTTTTCCTACACTCAGCAGATGAAACTCATTTCACTAGAACAACACTGGGGCTACAGGAAAGAGAAACCTTCGTTACAATGAAAGGTAATTAGAGAGATCATGTTTGCCTTAAAAACAAACACACAGAATAAACAGAAACAGGAGAAAAATCTTGTTCAACCAAAAGAAAATTATCACGTAAACCTTCTTAGTAAAGTATACGGTTACTTTAAAAATAAAAAATCTGAAATGGTGAAACAAGTAAAACTCAGCCAGGTTCTCCTTTGACCATAATATAGCTGAAAACGGAGGAAATATGCAAGACTGCAAGAGCCGCACTTTATGTTAGACAGCAACCTGCTTAGATAACCAACTCTGTGAAGAGACAAGTCCCTTTCTTCCCCCACTCTGAATGGAAAACAGTGGAATTTGAAATACGATATTCCTAAGGATATTTACTGCATTAACAGTCACTGAGAACCACAGGTCACTTTTACTCACTCTGACCCTAGTAGAAAACAGCTGGTTCACTTTATTTCCCCCAACACCCACCAGCATCATCAAATGCCTAAGGCATTGTGTTATTCAAGCAAAATTTCAGGAGGAAAAAATGTATCACGAGGGTGCTTCCAACCAATCAGGCCTTTAGAATGAGATTTAATTTGCCGCTTGTATTTCACTGCCTCAGCACAGTGACCAATGCTTGTTTTCTTTTTTTTTTTTTTTTTTTTTTTTTTTTTTTTTTTTGAGACGGAGTCTTGCTCTGTCGCCCAGGCTGGAGTGCAGTGGCGGGATCTCGGCTCACTGCAAGCTCCGCCTCCCGGGTTCACGCCATTCTCCTGCCTCAGCCTCCCAAGTAGCTGGGACTACAGGCGTGCGCCACCACGCCCGGCTAATTTTTTGTATTTTTAGTAGAGACGGGGTTTCACCGTTTTAGCCAGGATGGTCTCGATCTCCTGACCTCGTGATCTGCCCGCCTCGGCCTCCCAAAGTGCTGGGATTACAGGCGTGAGCCACCGCGCCCGGCCCCAATGCTTGTTTTCTGTTACTCATCCGTAGAAACCTAATCCTCAATGCAGTGGTATTAGGAGGTGGAGCTCTTGAAGTCCTTAGGGTGGAGCCTCATGAATGGGATTGGTACTCTTATAAGTTAGTTCCCAGAACACTCCCTTCCCCTTCAACCTTGTAAGGTTATAGTGAGAAGACAGCTGTCTATGAACCAGGAAGTGAGCTCTCACCAGATATGGAATCTGCTTGTACCTTGATGTCAGACTTTCCAGTTTCTAGAATTGTGAAGAAATAAATATTGTTGAAGCTACCCAGTTTATGGTATTTTGTTACAGCAGCCCAAACTGATTAAGACAGGCTTTTATGGTATATTTATGTCTGCAATTGTCAAAACAGGATCCCAGAGCAGCAAGCGGGGCCAGTAAACTTGTTAAGAATGCAAATTCTTCCCCATTGCAGACCTTCTGAATTTGAAACTCTCTGGGTAGAGTGCAACAATGTGTGTTTTATCAAGACTTCCAGGTGATTTCCATGCACACTAAAGTTTGAGAATACTGTAAACGTCTCCTAAAGCGTCTCCTTGTCTGTACTCTTGCTCATTTCTAATACACTCTCCACATTCTGCTACCAGATAAGTTTTTCTAAAATCTGAATCTGATCTTATCAACCTCTCTCTCACCTTAAAACCCATCAGTGACACTGTTATTCCATCCTCCATCAAATAATTCGTACTATTTAGATAACAAACCAAACCTTTTACCATCTGGCCCCAGCTGACCTAAGCAAAGTCACATCTTCCCATTCCCTTGTGTACCTGCTCTGCTCAGGCCAAGATGAATTTCCTGCAGCTTCATGAAAAAGCCATGCTCTTTGAGGAATCTGTGCTTTGCTCTTTTTCTCTGCTCGGAATGAATCCCTCACCGCTTCTGCCTGTCAAACTTCTTATGTTAAGTATTTTCGAGCATCATCCCCTCTCCGAGGCCTCCTGTGGCTCCACTCCTTTCTGTCTACTTCTCCTGTTGTGCCTACAAATTGTGTTGAGTCTAGAGACCTCTATAACGCACAACTTTGAAAAATACACTTGAATTGTCATGCTATATGGTCGTCCACTCAAACATATCTCTCCCTCACTAGGCGCTTGAACTCTTCAGAGTTGAGGAAGGTACTTGGGCAAATTATGTCTCTTTTATTTTTAGATACTTAAATGAGAATACATTATGCATCTATCATTCATTCTAATTACTACTTATTATAGTGAATGAATAAATGAATTGACTCTGGAGCACTTACTGTATGCAGCACTGTTATGCTCGTGATTTACCTCTAGTATCCCTATTTTACAGATTAGAAAAAGAACAATAGCAACAAAACTGAGCCTCAGAGATCTTAATTATGATGTTTTAATAGCCTACCGCAGTTCTGGGCACATTGGTCATGCTCTTTAAAATTTATTTGATTGTAAGCTATAGCAATGGTGTCAATCCTCTTGAAAAATTTTCTGTCTGAATAAGGGTATGAAGTTGACCATAAAGTCTCTCTCCTTAATGCATATTTAATTCTGGTTTAGATTTGCCAATCAAAATTTATAAAGACAGTTGGAAACTAACTTATCTTTATAACTCATTACGCACATTCAATTTTCCCAATTTTATTCATGATTGGGCACAGCTAAATCATTACAGCAGTTATCATAGTTGAAGTTGTTTTAGTTTAGACCCTCAAATTAATATATACTAAGGAAGAATTTAATTAGCTGAAACCTAAATTGTCATTATTAATTTACTAGTTATATTACAATACCTTGTAAAACATTTATGTTCCAGTAAATGGAGTACCTACTTTCCAGTGACCACATGGCATAGCTAATTTAGTATACAACTAAATATTTAATTACTAATCTTAGTAAAGCTAAAGGTACTTAGTTGAAATTAAATTGTATTACTTGCAACAAAATGCTTAAACATCATGACTCTAGACCTACCCAAAGTCACTTCTCCTGCTTTCTTGTTACAAAATCTTATCAAAGTAGTAATGGAAGTTGAAAGATTTATAAGTATTTCTGAAACATTCTCAGAATAACTGTAAAGGGTAGATGGAACTATTGTAAATTAGTCAGCACATTTTATGGCAAGGTCAAATGGGGAAGGTCTGAACATTTTTTCATTAATGTTAATATTCAGAAGGGTACAGAGTTTTCATTTGGTATGATGAAAATTCTAGAAATGGATAGTGGTGATGGTTGTACAACATTGCAAATGTATTTAATGCCCATAATTCTTCACTTAAACATGATTAAAATGGCAAATTTTATATTATGTTTATATTTTATCGCAATAAAAATAATACATTCAGGTTTGATAACTAAATGATATTTTGTCTCACTTAGTACACTAAGATACTTAATAGTTCGACTTAAATTCAACTGTGTCCATGTCATGCCTGGCACTTGTCTACTGTAACTGATGTGTTAAAAAATAAAATCCCAACCAACCTACTTTATCTTTTTATCATCTAAGATGGACTACTTCACAGACTTATGAAGTATTTACTCAATCAATAATGGAAATGTATAAAATCCCTAAACACATCATATTCATCACACTATGTTGCAATTGCTCCTTTATTGTTGTCTTCCTCATACACTGTTGAATGTTGAGTACTGAATAGGCCATGTTCACCATCACATCCCAGCTTCTCAGCATACTGTGAGGTAGCTCTTAAATGAATTCATTTATAGATTGTTTAGATTATCTTTTAATTACTCAAAGTTAGTGTCCAGTTTCTTTAAAAAAATAGTTCAGAAAGACATGTTCTTTGCTCAACTAGTGATTCAATTACATAAATTATAAATAGGTGTGACATGAAAACATACATAGGCAATACACATTCAAGAACATACAATGTTAATCATAAATGCAACAGTAAGCCATCTTCTGCTATTTGAATGTACTTACCTCCATTAAACATTAAACAGTCCATAAATGCAGAAAAACACATTGAAGTATCTATATAATTGAGCAACAAATAGTGATGCTGGACACTGACTTATTTTCAAAAGCAGAACTGGTGCTTTAGGGAGACAGAAGTCTATTATACTAATTAGAGGCCATTGCCCTACCTCCACAGATGATGCTCTCTTGGGTAGATATCAAAGCAGACACTCTTGAATAGATGCTTTTCAAGTTAATGACTCAACAATCAAATGACAGTAATCCTAGTATCTCTGGTAAGATCAACTGCTTAAATCAGAGTCACCTTCCAAAAGTACTGCTCAGTGACAGTGAAACTCAAGGTTGCTATATTAGGGCAGAAATGTGCTTGCCCATCCATGCTGATATTGTGGAGCATGTGATTACAAAGTTGTTCAAAATAGTCCTACTACAGGTCAAAATCAGAGGCAGAGAATGACATGAAATAGTTGGCCAATTAGCTGAGAAGCTCCAAAGAATTGTATGCACCCCATAATATCTTTCTTAATGACTTGTCACATTATATTCATTTAAAAAAAAACTTAGGTAATACCTGTTATTCAAAAATATTTACTCAATTCTTATAATAGTGCCTATGAGACAGGCACTATTATTCTCATTTTATAGATGAGGAAGCACACGAGGTTTAAGTAACTTGCTCAAAGTTCCACAGCTAGTAAATGGCAGTGCTGGGATTTGAAACAAGGAAACCTGGATCTAGAAACCATGTTCTTAAATACTCTACTTTTATGTATCAATATATTTTAATAGAAGTATTAAAAATAAGAACAGTTTCTTTAAGGCATTTTTTGGGGTGGGTAGAAGGACATTATGGACATTCACATGTGCTTCCTAAGAATGTAATCAAAGCACGTGTGTTTTATTCTAATCTTGGAGAACAGGGCTCAGTGAATGAATGATATACCAGGTGGTGTGCAATCAGGCATGATCACAGAGCTCAAGAATGTTAAGATTCAGCAAATAAGCAAAGAGGGTCTGGGCAAGACAGAATAAATAAGAGGGAAAAACTGGCATATTGTTTACACTGTTTAAGCAGTATAGAGTTTGCTAAGTGTTTGCCTTAATTGTGTATGCTTCTTTTTAGATTTTTCCAATCTATACCTAAACTTCCCTAGGATAGGGACCATAGCTGGATCATTTCTGTATCCATGCATCATTGTAAGTCCCAGCACAGTATTATTAATATTACTGTGCAAATAAGTATTTTTTAATACCAAGGGGCAAATGAGTATTTGTTGAATTGTTAATTGACTTCAAAGGCTGCAGATGATTTATTTACCTGAATTTTATTTTCCTGGGGTCAGTCTACAGTCAACCTGGAAAGATAGAGAAGATATGACTTTCAAATTGTTCAGGACAACTACATAGGTGATTTTAAGAAACTGGAGAATGGAAAGCATTATTTAATCTGGATTGTATTGGAATTTGCTTTCTAAAAGGCATAGTGTAGCTGATAACTGCTAACAAGCATTATTCATCATACTACATTTTATCCTGCTTTTTTCAAAACACTCACTAAAGAAATGACTACTGCTAAAGGAAATTCTTACTTGTGTATTACAAAAGCCATTTTCATAAAGCCTTTGTAAATTCTACATATACATAAAGAAAAACATCAACTTTAATAAAATAATGGATATTTGAACTAAACATGATATTCAAAATGTTATACTTGGGAAGTTAACGGAATGCTATATGCTGAGATAACAAGAGACAAAATCATCCTACAACATCCCCTATCCTTCATAAATTAAATCTGAGAACATTAAAAACAGTCATAACAATGAAAAGGATTACTTATGGAAAGAAAACAGAAAAGAGAAAGTGGTTAGTGAAGATATTTGCCTCTGAAGATCTCAAAACTGTGCATCCTAGAGCAGAGGTAATAAAAATTGTTATTTCTAAGAAATAGATCCAAAGTGACTCCATTCAATTCACAGCAGGAACATTCAAAGTAGCAATTAATGCAACCACTGGTGTGGAATTGTTTTCCAAATGCCATCCTGTTGGGTGACTTTTTTGTTGTTGTTGTTGTTTTTTAATGGAAGCAGGGCACTGAAGACATGGTAAAGTCACATCAATTATATAACTGAAAATTTCATGAAAGATTATCAATACCACCACTCAAAAATATGAATATAACCAATAATACTTTTGGTTAAATGAAAGAGGAACTTAGCAGGTACTGTTTACCAAAGACATTAATGGTAGTGCTTGAAACTCCTCAATATTTGATCATGAGAAATAAATGTAGGGGCGTACATCTTAGTGGCGCATGAAGCCAATGAGGCCGAAGTTTGGAATTGCGAATATCTAGGTTCAAATCCCCAAAACTTGGCCATCAATATTGGGGAGATATTGGACCAAAAAAATTCCTAAACCTCATATTACCTGGGGACTCAGCTTACTCATTTGAAAGGCATGAGAAGTTACTGTAGCATCATGGTTAAGAATTTGGACTCAGGTCCAGATAGCTTGGGTTGAAATCCTGGCATTAGGACATGCTAACTGTGCATCTTTGGACATATTAATTGACCTTTCTTTGCCTCATCTGTAAAAATGTGGATATAATAGTACTTTGCATATAGGGCCATTGTGAATATTGCTAAATTAGAACACATAAAATCATAGAGTAGTGACTGGCCCATAGTAAAGACACAATAAATGTTCATTAATGTTATTATTATTATCTACGAAAGGAAGGTCCTTTCTAGTTTTGAACTTCAATGTAACATTGCATGGGACTCTTTTCTCTTTTTTCCCAAGACTTGAAATAAAGCAACAAACGTCAAGTGATACATTTATCAGCTGGAAGATAAGCATCTTGAGTCATTCAGCACATAATACTTCCTTTCAAAGGAGAAGTGATATGTCTTAACTGGCACTCACGAAACAGGGAATCCCTCTCTTAAAAGTTGGGTGGTATATTTTGAAAGAGAGAATGTATGGGAAAGGCTGGGAGCAGGGGGACAATATTTTATAAGGAGGATCTAGAAAATTATTTAAAAGGAAATAAAAACCTAGAACTCTCTCAGAGTCATTATACTAACAATTCCAACTAGTTAAAGAAAGATGTTCTTCTTAGTCATTTTCTGCCTCTAGCCAAAGACAGAGATATAATTACACACCTCCTCATTTTATAAAACCAGGGTGACAGAGAAAGTTCATTCGGAAGCCCAGGGGGATAGTAGAGTAAGAGGCATCATTGGTGAAGAGGTAAAGCAGAACTATTTTTCATTCTTTCTAGAACTAGGCAGAATATTTAAATGAATGGTAGGAAGAAAGGAAAAAGGGAATGAAGGAAGGAAAGAAGAGAGGGAGGGAGGAAAGAAAGGAGGTACGGAAGAAAAAGTTTTTACAATAGGTAGATTCTTCACATGCAGTTTTAATTGAATCATAAACCCATGAAAAGGTGGTTATCACCATTTTTAATACATGAGAGCACTAATAATCAAAGAGGTGCAGTCATTTGCTCAAGGTCACCCAACCAGTCTTGAAGCCAGGTCTACAGTCTTTCACTGCCTTACTGTTCTTGGGTGGTGTGCCAATAAGAGGATTCACAAAATGGGTAAAGGACAGAAGTCAACGAAGATGACAAAGAACTTTTACAGGAATCTTGGGGAAAAAAATATATAGGAAAGTCAGTCCTATGCCAGGATAATGTCCAAATAGGAAAGGAACAAGAAAAAGACTTATTTTTCTCAATCTTCTTAAACTTTCCCAAGCACTGTCCCTCCTTCAACTCCCCTAACCCCAATATACTTTTTTTCCTTTCCACAGAAAATACATTTTTACCCCTCCCATGCTAGGGAATCACCAAAATGTCTGTCAAATCACATAGATCTGCACTGCTAACAAGCACAGGAATACCACGGACCTCAATACCTCTAACAGTACTTGTTTTGTCATTTCTTGCTGCAAACCCTGGTGAAAAGTTACCAGCCCTTCTGATAGTAGGAACTTTCTCCAAGACTAGCTTGTGAGGAACAGTGAATGGTATGATAGGGAAAATCAATCAATTGTTTGTAAATCAGTGTGACCTAATGTAACAAGTAGGTGTGGAAGAGAAGAAAAGTATTTTGTGAGTTATATGTATTTTTTGTTTTATCAAGTTTGTTGGGTGAATAGTTTGCATTCATTTTGCCTCCTCTGTAGCTTAGACAACTATAAAGACAACCAAAGCTATCCTCCAAAAGCATTTCATTCATTCCCCTTACCCTCTACTTCTCCTTTTTAAAAAATATATTACCATTTTAAATAACCTCTCATAGCTCCTTCAAAAGATTGAGTGGTGTTAACTCTGCTGAATCCATGTGTTTATCAGAACTTACATATTTTGAATAAAAAAGAACACTATTTCTACCCGGTGTTGATAGGCTGGCCTTGGGCACTAAAAACCACTCCTTATTAGACATCATCATATATATCTACAATGGTGGGAGGTGGTATAACAAGCCCTTAGCTTGGGCTGCCATAACAAAATACCAGGTATTAGGTGGCTTAAACAAAAGAAATTTATTTTATCACAGTTCTGGAGACTGGGAAGTATAAGATCAAGGTTCTATCAGGGTATGGTTTCCAGTGAGCTCTCTTTCCCTGGTTTGCAGACAGCTGCCTTTTCTCTGTGTCCTCACACAGTGGAGACAAAGATGAAGAAATCTGTCTCTTCCGCTTCTTACAATGCCACCAAGCCTATCAGATTCAGACCCCACCATTATGGCCTCATTTAACCTTAATTACCACCTAGAAGTCCTATCTCCAAATACAGTCACACTGAGGACAAGAGCTTCAACATATGAATTTGGGGAGGTCACAATTCAGTCTGTAGCAGGTGGGATGGAGATTCTCTAAATAACTGGAATTTTAGGATTGAGAGTGTTCAAACAATAAACATTTCATCCTCAACTATAAGCTTGTAATGATATGGCATGTGGGATAAGGCAGCTGGAAAATTTTAGTTTGATGTCATTGTTGGTGGCTGAAGAAGACTCTGGCTTTATGCTAGTTACTGTTTGTTTTACTTCAGTGTTAGTGGCATGGAGGGTGAGAAAGGAAGAGAACCAAAGCCTCAAACGCAATGCTATAAAATGCCTCATAATTCCTCTTTCTCCAAAGAAAAAAGGCATTTGAAAAAGAAGAGCCCCTGAGCATTTTTCATCTTGCTCTCACTTTGAAGGTGGACAGAGTCTCCTTTACATTCTTCTTACTAATGGTCAAGGAAGTTCCAGACCTTTTGTGTATAGTCATTTGGCATAAATGTTCTGTTTCATCTAGTGCTAGGCGTTTTGCTAGGTGCTGAGAATACAAAGACAAATGAGTACAAATCTTTCCCTTTAAGGATTCTGCAGTCTTATAGAAAATCAGAATTAGAATCAAAAAATGTTTGAGTGGGGAGGAATCTGCTTGCAGATGAACTCAGGCCCATGAAAGCTTGGACACTTAACCAAGGTGGCACAGGTTGTGGGGCAGAGCCAGTTAACACCCAGGCCTACTGACCTCTAATCTGGTCTTAATTCCTATACTTAATACAGCTGAGAGTGTCCCATCCAAGTGAATCATCCAACCAGGGTTCATTTAGGACCTTATAGATGCTAGGTGTCCAGACCAAATAGGACAGAATTTATAATGGTTTAATAATTAAAGATTTAATAAGATATTTGAGGAAATAAGACTACCTCAGATATAAGCAAATACTACGAGGCATTTTTTAAAGCGGGATGGCTTCTCTAATAGCCTCATTCCTGCAATACATGTGCAAATAAAACATGCAGATTATCTGATTATCAAATTTATCTTTACAATGATAATCATGCTTAAATTAATCTTGCTGTGTTGGAGAATGTCTCCTTTCATCTTCATTTTCCAACGTAATATCACTCAACAATATCAGGTAGAGGAATATCATTCTAAAGTTATATTAAGAAAAAAATGCAATTAAAGTTTTGTAAACTAGACTGAAACAAGGCTATCTGGATACCTGGTTTCTGAAGGACCATAACTGAGAAGTCAGGTCTCATTTCCAGCTTATCTCTTCTCCATATCAGAGGTCCATCCAACTGAAGGTAGGTTTAAAGAAGAACATAAAATATGAGTTGGGGCTAGGGTCACAGGCTGTAGATTCAGTAAACCTGTTCCTGAATGCTGGCTCCACCACTTGTGACCTATGGCAAAATCCCATAACATCTTATACCTTAGTTCATCTATGAAATGCAGCTAATAGCCAGGCACAGTGGTTCACACCTGTAATCCCAGTACTTTGGGAGTCCAAGGCAGGTAGATCACAAGGTCAGGAGATCGAGACCATCCTGGCCAACATGGTGAAACCCCATCTCTACTAGAAATACAAAAAAAATTAGCTGAGCTTGGTGGTGGGTGCCTGTAATCCCAGCTACTCAGGAGGCTGAGGCAGTAGAATTGCTTGAACCAGGGAGTCGGAGGTTGTAGTGAGCCGAGATCGTGCCACTTCACTCCAGCCTGGCAACAGAGGGAGACTCCATCTCAAAAAAAAAAAAGAAAAGAAAAAAAAAAGAGAAGGAAATGCAGCTAATAAGAGTACCTCAGAAGGCTGTAGTAAGAATTAAATGAGATGGTATGTGTAAAATACATGTAATAATGCTCGAGTAAACTGCTTAATAGTCATTCCTACAACTAGTCACAATTTTACAGTGGTTTTGTGACCAACTATCTTGCCCTCCAGCCTACTCCTGCCTTCCTTCACTTTGGCCATTTCTCTGATCCTGCCCTTTGTCTACTTTCCCTGACCTTATAACAGTTGTGCTTTTTGCTCTGCCAGGGTGGGCAGCAGTTCTGGGACCTCAGAACAGGTGCTACTGTCCATTTTGCTGCTTGATTCACCTTCCAGGTGACAGAGGAGAACTGCAGCAGGGCTGCGTTCAGCATGGACAAACACCTGTCCTCTCTGTCACCACAGCTAGGCAGACACTGGCGCTGAGTCATGCTGCTGCTCACAACTGAGGAGCTTTGAGAGACTCACAAGCCTCTAAGAAAGGGATCTAAGAGGACAATCTGTTCATCCTTCTCTCCAGGTCAGACCACTCTTCAATCTACTATGAGGCAAAAATAGAAATAAAATGATCACTGAGGACTGGTGAATCTTCAATATCAGGACACTACTTATGCCTGAGATAAATTTCAGATTTTGCATTTAATTTTTAAAATTTATTTTTCACAGGAAAAATAAACTTAGTATCTAACTCATCATAAACCTACATGATTTTATAAACATAGTATAATATGTATTACACATAACATATATATACACACACAATATATAGTATACGCAAACATACAGAAGCAGAGTATTATCTACCAGTGAGGAGATCAAGGTCTAGAATCATACAGGATGTCTAATCATAGTCACCTACTGGTGATATGTTTTCTCTCTAAAAACTAGTAGTAATAATCTCACTGGGTCTTTATATTCACAGTTCTCAGCTCATAGAACAAATTCAATAAATATTAACCATTGTTGTTTAGACATATAAATATATAGTGGGAGTCTGGAAGGCTTCTTAAGTTTTCTCTTCTGCAATCTAAATGGTTCCAGTTTGATTATATCTTTTAATTCATTTCATAATGTTAATTTTCATTTTTTTCCTTTATCATTTACCTTCCTAAATTCAGAATAGGACACATAATATTTGTTGAGTCTGACTGGCACAAGTCAAAATATATGATATATCTCAGTGTTCCATATAATACTCTGTATGAAAACTATTATTAATATTACCAGATAAATAAAAATAATTTGATAGCAAGTATAATATTTTAAACACTTTATTTATATTAACTCATTTTATCCTCAAAGTAAATCATTCATTCTTCACCATTATGTCATATATTATTAATTCTAAGAATAAATATTTTTCACTTTTTAACACCTGTGAAATCAAGATGCATCTTGCAATTCATGATGTGTTATGGTTTCATTGGCAATCTTTTTTTTAGTAATAGATGAAATAATGACACATCTCAAAATTGATGACAACTTCAAATCAATTAAATATCATACGAAAGACAACTATGTGTCAAGCATTCTTTTAGACCCTAGAAATATGTTGAATAAGATTGAGAAATCATTCATTTCAAATCTACTGAGGATTGTAGAAAAATGAAGATAATTACAACAAATGCACAAGTTGCTGTGGGAGCTGATGATAGATCCATCCTGGGCTTTAGAGGCCAAGAAAAGTTTCCTAGTGATGGTGATGTCACCTAAGGCTAGAGTGGAATAAGTGATGGATACAGCCAGGCTGTGATTAGCTGGTTAGCCAAACAGATTAAGCAAAATCCTGGAAGCTAGAGAGAGCATGGGCCATTTAGGGATTTGAAAGTAGTTCAGAATTCTGGATTTAAAGTGCTGATAGAAGAGGTACAAGGTATGATGACAGAGAGGAAAGCAGAGGCCATATCATGATGGGTTTTGTAGATTATATTAATGGTTTGAACACTGTCTTGAGGACATTGGAGATCTACTGAAGCATAAATGTTACTTCTATTTGACAGATGAGAAAACTGAGGCCAGAGAAACCAAGTGACTGACTTCAGGCTGGATAGCAAAGAGCAAGGCTAATTTAATCCCCTCCCTCTAAATCCTTGCCTGAAACCTGGTGCCCCTTATATTCTACTAAGATCACCAGGACATAATTCTCTTTCCTTGGTCCTACTGCCAGCAAATGTATTACTAGTTTATCCTCCATTTTAGTTTTTGTTGAATTAATGTGTTTGGTTTAGACAAGGGGGAGAGTAGAACTAGTGTGCTGGTTTTTAAAAAGTTTTCCAAGGTGGGCCAGGCATGGGGGCTCACACCTATAATCCCAGCACTATGGGAGGCTGAAATGGATTGCTTGAGTCCAGGAGTTCGAGACCAGCCTGGGCAACATGGTGAAAGCCCATCTCTACTAAAAACGCAAAAAATTAGTCAGCTGTGGTGGCACATGTCTGCAGTCCCAGCTACTCAGGAAGCTGAGACACGAGAATTGCTTGAACCCAAGAGGCAGAGGTTTCAGTGAGCTGAGATCACATCACTGTACTCTAGTCTGGGCCACAGAGTGAGGCCCTGTCAAAAAAATTCAAAAAAAGTTTTCCAAGGTGAGTATGGCCTAATGTCAGGATATGTGGGGTTGGTTACATCACTCATAGGTTATAAACTGCCAAGCTCATCTACAGGTGTGTCTGTTAGATTATGAATATTGATACTAGTCTTTCCTAAATGCATCATGAAAGTACTTTTCATAATGTGCACTAAAAAGATAAATATAAAAATTAAAACAAAACAAATGAAATAAGCAATATATTGCTGACGGGGAAGTGAAGGTTCACAAGTTTTGGTATTTTAATACTCTTGTATATTACTACGTAACCAGAAATTGCACTTTCAATTTATCTTAAAGATTCTTCAACTGGCCTTTTAGAGTAAGACAATCTGGAGATTGTCTAATTAAGAGATTTAAGTTGAAACGTGACAACAGGCATACAAGTAAGATACTAACTTCTGAATTACTTACACAGGGTCAAAACAAAGAAGAAAGGAATAATTATTTGAATGGAGGTATTCTATCCCAGCCAGGCAATCTGGATTTCACATTATCACTTTTAAAATAATTTTATTCAGAGAATTTGTTGGTACAAATGAACTTTTAAATGAAAGAATAACAAAGAATCTCTTATGTAGCTTATTTAGAAAAATGTCAATGTGAATCACCTAACATCTTTGACTTTTTTCAAAAAGAGAGCACATGTACAATTGCCAGGCATTTAGGTCCTTTTTGATTAAAGACATTTTTGGATTCTATAGGAATAAGCAATGAGTACAAATGCCAACGTTAAGGTTAAAATGATATGACAATTAAAAGCTATTCAAATAGAATAATAGGTGTCCCAGCATGGTGGCTCATGCCTGTAATCCCAGCACTTTGGGAGGCCAAGGTGGGCAGATCACTTGAGCTCAGGAGTTCGAGACCACTTTGGGGAACATGGGGAAACCTCATCTCTACAAAAAAATACAAAAATTAGCCGGGCATATTGACACACACATGTGTTCCCAGCTACTCGGAAGGCTGCGGTGGGAGGATCACCTGAGTCTGGAGAGGTTGAGACTGCAGTTTAAGCAGTGATTGTGCCACTGTACTCCAGTCTGAGCTACAGTGAGACTCCATCTCAAAAAAAAAAAAAAAAAGAATAATAGGTGACAAAACAAGTTTGCTACACTTAACCAATGATAGAGGACAAAGAATGTAAAATCTTTAACAACATGAAAGAAAACTGTTTATTCAATATAGTTTATGTATAGTCTTATCTGAAATAAAGAGGTTGAGTTACACAATCAGTAACTTTGATTCTGTAAACATTATCACTTTGAAATTCTAATATAAAAGAGAGGGACAAGATAAGAAAAGATGAGTAACCTTATTCAGACAAGACAGATTAGTGGATCTAGAAGAATGATGAGTGGAAGGAAGAAGGCGCTAGAGACACAAGGAGTCAGTTTTGGAATACCTTGGGCTGACTTGGTGCAAATCCCAACACTGAGACTTACCACTAATCCTGTGACCTTGGGCTAGCTACTCTTCTCTCTAGGATTCAGGAAAAATAATTTCTATTTAATAGGGCTGTTGTGATAATTAGATTAAATTTTATGTATAAAGAAGCTAATGTATAAGCTGTATGGAGATTACTATCATTAATATTATTATTGTTGTGAGCATTATGATGGTCATTTTGTGATGCTACTGAGTTCTAGTGACATTAGCTGAGGCAAAACAGTAGACAAGACAACTAGTAATAAGTCACACTGAGTGTTTAGGATGGCATTTAGTCTTGCATGTTCCTAATTATTAAGAGCTTTTCAATTAACCCCAACCTTGAGGAAAATACTTTTCAGTGTTAAAATAGAAGTGAAGGGCTATGGTGAGTTCAGGTTGTTTTATTAGAGTGTGAAGAAATAAACTGTCACCTACTGAAAAAAAAAAAAAAAAAAAGAAAAGCCCAGAATTTATAGAGGGTACTAAAAATCACAATCATTGTCCATTGTAAAGATATATCTCCCCAAATGCTAAAATATGATCTTTCACAATTAAGTATACTGGTCATTTTCTAAACAAAATTCAATAATAATCTTATTTTATACATCTTCTTCCATCTGTTGATAAACCATGGCAACATATCGTTAGTAGCACTTTACATGCCCCACTGTTTTGCAACTATATGATCTTTGATATTATAGGAATACATTATGTAAATTAATTCAGCTTGTTGTATTATTTGTTAACTGTCTTCTCAGCTAAAGTACATACTGAACCCTTAGAAAAAAATTAATTTAAAATTATAGTTTTAAATAAGCTATGTTATAAAATTAGGTATACAAAATAAATGAACTATTTCCATTCACCAGGCATCGACTGAGTGCCTACATTTTTTGAGGCAACACACCTTTTAATTTATTTCAGGAACTCTGTGAATACAAATTCCATTAAAAAATACCAAGATGTTATTTCATGTTGCTTATCATGACCTAATGTTCAAAATTAACTCCTCCTAGCTCTCTTCCTAGCACAAAGGCAGTAGAGTTGTTATTTCCTTTGGTCTTTGTCACTCAGAGAGCAAACCTTCAGTTCTCTAATGTAGATTTCCTGATGTAAATGTATCTTACTCTCTGAGTAAGGTAATTAAATAATTTGAACCCTTAAAATCAAACTTGGTTTCTTCTGGCTTGTTTTAAACATTAGCCATCACAGAAATGGATGGGACAGATTGAAAGCCCCTTACTAGCTCCTTAAGAAGCAGAAGCTCAGATTACTTTGTTGTATCAATGTCTTTTTAGGTTCTATACACTGAATTTTATAGAGCTGCTATTTCCTACATTTGGGTCCAGGCTTGAAATAAGTGCTTCTGGGAGATTCAACTTTCTTTGCATACTAATTTGGCATAAGACATTATCTCCCAGTGGCTGTCAGAGCCATTTATGGTCTCTGACAGTTCTCTCATCCATACAACTTATAATTTTTATAGGAAGAAAGGACTTTTCTAAAACATTTGTTCCAATAAAAGACCCACTTACAAGTCTCTTTCCTGCAAAATTACTTGAAAGTCAAAACAAAACACAACCTCAAAAGCCAACTGTTCAATATATATGATACTAGTTGACACATAATAGTTAGGCTTGTAATCTTTTTATCTGGGCTATATAGAGTGGAGAAGAGACCAATTCCAGCCCAATCCTCCCCTCCCTCATCCACCAAAAGTGTTATTAAATAACAAGTCAGTTACGTTCTAAAATTGTCAGATCTGGACATTATAAGAGGCTCTAAAGTCAGAACCCCAGTGATATTTTCTCTTCTAAAGCTAAAAAAATTCGTATCTTGGTTCATCACTGGATTCTTGTTCATTTTATCATTTCCACTCTGAAGGAATGAATAGCAAGTTATAGTGAAGGCATCTTTCTAGGTGAGAGAAAACACTGTGCCACAGGCCAGGAGAGCCATCTCTGGGTCAATCTCATGAGTTTACATAAAGCAGTAAAGATACTGGGCTGAAGATCATATCCTCAGAGGAATATGAAAAATCTGTTTCACAAGATTTTGTTACCTTTGGAAGTTTCCCCAATGCCTACCGCATTGGATATTGATTCCCTAAATATGACAGTTTGGACAGTGCCCCAGAAAGCACTGGAGAATTAGAGATGTAAGCTATCATCTTCTGTTATCTCCAAGCATGTAATATACCTTAGGACTTACAGGCCATTTTAATTTCTCAGGGAAATATAACTAATTAGGTAAGTCTACACAGAGATTCTCTGGAAATGACTGGTCATGCTGAATACAAGAAATGCAAATCTATTCTTTAAATGGCCACAACTACCTGATTATAAATATAATTCTTGCTCATTGTGAACACTTTTGAAACGATGGCTTAGTGATAAGATACCAAGCACCCCTGTAGAGTCTGGTCAACGTTACTGAGAGTCCCAGATATATGTTCCTAGGACACACACTGTAACACATGTACTAGAGAAAGGCTCAGGTATTTATAACGCCCACTTCAGAACCAAAGATCACAATAATAAAAATAATGCAGTACAGCAACAAGTTTACTAGAGAGCTCTCTGAACAAGCATAAACTGCAGCTGCTCAATTGCTTTCATCCTATGTAATTTAAAGGAATCTTAAGTCTCTGTGAAGACACTGTATCAGTTGATGATTTCACCACGCATTTTGAATAGCCAATGATCTTGCTTAACCCTTAATGCTCCCCTCCCAAGCAAGCTAGGCTCTAAGTGTTACCCCTTTTCATAGTGGCAAGGACCACATTCACAGTGAGAGGCAGGTTCTCACTCCAAGCAAATAAAGACTGCGTCTGTACTCAGACCAATGGTCCAGAGCAGGCAGTTGGCAAACCGGAAAGGTAATTTTCAACCCCACTCATTCCATACCTTCTCTGATTTCGCCTTCCTGGCATTGTGCACGAACCTGCGACCCAGCTTCTTAGCATACCAGATAGAGGCAAACATAGCGATGCCAATGGAAGGAATTCACAATGAAGCTGCCGCACAATCAACTTCCCACCTCGGCTCAGAGACGAACAGAATCAGGCTGGAGCTGTCACTTGCAGGCTGTTGCTTTCTCAGTTCCTCTCATGCTGGTTAGCTGAGGGAGAGGGTGGGAGGAGGGAGGGGTTGGGGGAGAAAAGGCAGTCCTGTTTGGCCAGTCTGCAGGTATATTTACATCCTGCCAGCAGGAGGTCCGGGTGAGGCAGGCGCTGCCTTTGTAGCCAGCTCACACACATCCAGTTGGCTAAGTATTTGTCTGCAGTTCTTCGGCACCGGCACCGTCGCCACCAAACTCCATGTGTGTCAGGAGGAAGGGAAGCTGCAGTCAAGTCCGGAGGCAGCTCACCTCCCTCTCTAGGCTTGGGCAGTTACAATCCTCGCTTTGGCTTCCCTCTATCTTGACAGTACGTGCTGGCGGCAGTGGCCACATAAAGACAGATCCACATACAGCCTCGCAGGTAAATCAGCCAATACAGGAATTGCCAGGCATGGGGAAGAGAGCTGCCAGGCAAGGGGAGAGGCAGAACCACCATGAATCTGCCCCTGCAGGCACAAACAGGTGTCCCTGGAACCCAATCCCACTCATATCCTCCAAGAGGACTAAGAGGACTATCAGGGCTGTTAGGGTGACTGGAAACACAAGCATCCTTCTCTTTTCTCCTCCCCAGCTCCATTTGGTCCAAGGAATATCACTTCTCTGCCCACCAGCCAGCCTTATCCACAACTTACAAGGTAAACACTTTATTTCTTTAGAGAATGGCCTGGGACCAAGGGCAAAGTGAGCAGGATGAAGTCTCCTCCCAAATGCCTGAGTGAAGGTCCGTAGTTTTAGAAGTCATTAGTTGTACCTGTAAAAGAACTGAGGCCTCTATTACAGGACGATTTTTTGACATAGTTACTGGAGGATGGACAGGGGTTCAAATCGAGTGTTAAACTAAAAAGAGCAAACTACTCTTTTTAAAAAAAATAAAAAATAAAAAATAAAAAAACCCAGGTTTTCTTGTAGTGACATCCAGTGTTCAGTGGATGACTGAAATATCACCTTTGGGGAGGTAGATTTATGGCAGCTTTTAAATCATGCTCCTTTGAAGAATTTTCACATTTGATTCTAACATTAACTACTTCCATTATCTTATTAGAGTTTAGACTATTATGTGAGGCACCTTTAAGATAAGGTCAATGCTAAGAGACAACTGTTTCTTCCAATGAGAGATAAGGTTTTAGCCCTTTGCCAGTCCTACCAGAGGACAAAAATAAACTGCTCATGATGGCAAGGAAAGCCTGCCTTCCAGTGGCACACAAACTAGACTCAATATAGTAAATGTTTTCCAGCTGATCTGACAGAAGTGCCCTATGAGCAATGAAGAATCAAAGAATGTCAACACACTTGCAGACACTTGGAAAAGAACTTCCTTCTCTTAACAAAGTCACTTGAGGTCTATCCCTTAAGAGAGTTTCATCTGTGGAATCAACAACAACAACAACAACAAAAGTATATTGTAAAGGATGTTGAATACCCTCATAGGCAATTGGAGGTAGAACAAGACAGTGTAAGACAGGACATTGGTAGTCAGAACCCATGTTCATGTTACTCACACTAAGGTAACTCCTGTGCCTAGAACAGTGCTTAGCACAACACATTTAATCTACGTTTATTCAAGGAATGAATGATCTTGTTTCTGACCCTGACTTTGCTTCTAATTTATTTATTTGTTTTCTCTGGGTTCGATGTGCCTCATCTGTAAATTAAGAGAATTGGGCAGATATTTTTAAAGTTCCTTTCCTGCCCTATGAGTCTATGATCATTATTGTGGGTCTTCAAATGATATTGAACAGAAATCTCGAGTGCTCACCGGATACATAGGCTGTGGTGAAATGATTCAGTGTCCCAAAAAGTCAACAGTGGTACCCCTGGGGTAGCCCAGCTTCTTCTACCTCCTTTGACATGCCTTGCTGCCAACCAGGGTTTGGTTTTTCCATTAGCTATTTCTTTTGCTCTATGCTCCTACAAGCACTCCTTTCCTTTAATTTCCTTTTGACACTCTAAGGCAACCCCTGTGCAAATTTATCCATATTATACCCTGTACTCTCTGGAGGAAAAGTGCCACAGAAATCCAACGAATAAATATACATGGTAACTCCTGCTTAGTTTTCAAAGAGCTACTCAGCAGGACCGTAGCTTACTCTAATATTGCTGTGATGTAAAGGTATTTATTATTTCTGCACACAAGTTGTTCCAAGCCATGTTGTAGTTAAAAGTGTATTCAACTAAAAGACTAAAGTAGATAAAAAGAACGGGGATAAACAATCATCCCTAAGTTAATGATTAGAAAATTTTGTTTTTAACACCTTAGACAGAATCAGACAATAAAGAGGTGAGACAAAATGCCTTGAACTTTCAAACCACTGATATCATAGAGAGAATCAAAGGATGTTAATTTACTCTGATGGGACTGACATTATAATTTTTTATATCTTTCTATAATTTTTGCATTCTCTTCATGAGTTAAAACTTCATGGATCACTAAAACTAAGGCTTGGAGAGATCTTTGATGTTTGATCAATTTGTTTACTGGTTTTGCCTTTATGTTGAACCTTTAGTGACCTTTTTTACACACCTGACCAAGAGGCTTTATAAATTTTTTTATAGTACAAGATCCTTATAAAATAAATTGGCCCTGCCAGCTAAGATTTAACTTATGACAGTAATAACTATTGTTTCTTAAATAGGCAGTTGGAGGTAGAAAACACAGTGCAGTTAGGACTCGTGTTCATGTTATGCAAATGCTCAGTAAACAGTAGATACTCAAAATATATTTGTCAAATGCATCTATGACAAAATAGAAAAATCCACAAACTGAGAAAGACCAGAAGACTCAATAGAAGAATGGCCATAAAATTCTCAGTAGCAAAAGTTGCTTGAAAGATGGATATAATGTCAACTGAATGAAGTCATTGCCATATTTATACAACCATCTTCCCTGGCTCTCTGTGGGCAGATGTGTCTGCTGTAAAGGTGGCAGCTTCCTACAGTTAATCCTACTAGTCTCTAACCATTGCTCTGCTGATTGAGATAAATAACATTTGCAGCTCTGCTGTATAAGTAAAACAAATTTTTCAGACATTTTCCATCTGTATATAATCAGTACCTGGACAGACCTTTTCCTTTATAATTTTATTTTTAAAGCCTCTCCTATGACGGAAACCTACCAGTGCAGCTGAGTTTGAGATGCAACAGTAATCCATTTAAGCAGCTTTGGGTTCATGCCTCAACACACACACTATGTGAGCCTCCTCTGAATTCTCAAGGTAAATACAATGTTTAAATCAAGCCATTAACTATCATACATTTTCTGCCTAGCACATGAATGATTTTTGTTTAAAAATAATCTATTTATATCAGAGATAATTATTTTTAAAAACAGAGCCAAAATTCAATCCAAGGAATTAATATCTGGTGGCCTGAAAAGCTATGTAATTTCAGTGTTGAATATAGACCAAACAAAATAACTATTGAGACATAAGTAAGTTAATGTAAAAAATTAATTGTACAAAGATTTTGATTGGTTTGTTTGCATATTTGATATGTATATTTGATAGTCCTTTGGCTAATGTCTGATGTTAGTAAATTATTATTATTATTATTATTATTACTATTTTGAGACAAGACCTTGTTCTGTCACCCAGGATGGAGTGCAGTGTTACGATCATAGCTCACTGCAGCCTTGAACTCCTGGGCTCAAGTAATCTTCCTCCCTCAGCCTCCAGGGTAGGTAGGACAGTAGGCACATACCATCATGCTTGGCTAATTTTTAAATTTTTTCTCTTTCTAGAGATGAGGTCTTGCTATATTGCCCAGGCTGGTCTTGAACTCCTGGCCTCAAGTGATCCTCGTACCTTGGGTTCTCCAAGCGATTAGCTGATTATTAAACAAAAGGGTGGAATATATAGTACGTAGAATATTTTGGTAAAGAATATGTACATAATATTTAACTTCAATTCAGAGGAATGCCAAGATCTTGATATTAGTTACTTCTATACAAACTAGTAGAAAGGGGAAGATTAAAACAGTTATATTTTGCTCTAAGTATATATGTATCATGTGACTCATCTACATAACATATTCTCATTAGTACTTGTGTGACTGAAAATGTAAACAATGCTTTTCCACAAAAATGTATTGAGTATTACTACATGTCAAACCTTAAGGGCCTATAAATGAATAAAGTACAATCTTTTTCTCAAAGAGCCCTATATAGCTGGGGACACATATCTATGAATAAATAAATCTCAGGTGTAAGAAAGGGGTCCAGTTTCAGTTTTCTGTATATGGCTAGCCAGTTTTCCCAACACCATTTATTAAATAGGGGATCCTTTCCCCATTGCTTGTTTTTGTCAGGTTTGTCAAAGATCAGAAGGTTGTAGATGTGTGGTGTTATTTCTGAGGCCTGTGTTCTGTCCCATTGGTCTATATATCTGTTTTGGTACCAGTACCATGCTGTTTTGGTTACTGTAGTCTTATAGTATAGTTTGAAATCAGGTAATGTGATGCCTCCAGCTTTGTTCTTTTTGGCTGGGATTTTCTCGGCTATACAGGCTCTTTTTTCATTCTATATGAAATTTAAAGTAGTTTTTTTCTGATTCTGTGAAGAAAGTCAATGATAGCTTGATGGGGATAGCATTGAATCTATAAATTACTTTGGGCAGTATGGCCATTTTCACGATATTGATTCTTCCTGTCCATGACCATGGAATGTTTTTCCATTTGTTTGTGTTCTCTTATTTCCTTGAGCAGTGGTTTGTTTTTCTCCTTGAAGGGGTCCTTTATACACCATAGAATACTATACATCCATAAAAAGGATGAATTCATGCAGGGACATGGATGAAGGTGGAAACCATCATTCTTAGCAAAGTAACACAGGAACAGAAAACCAAATACCACATGTTCTCACTCATAAGTGGGAGTTGAACAATGAGAACACATGGACCCAGGGAGGGGAACATCACACACTGAGGCCTGTCAGTGGGTGCGGGAGGCTAGGGGAGGGATAGCATTAGGAAAAATACCTAATGTAGATGACAAGTTGATGGGTGCAGCAAACCACCACGGCACATGTATACCTATCTAACAAACTTGCACACCTATCTAACAAACTTGCACATTCTGCACATGTATCCCAGAACTTAAGTATAATTAAAAAAAAAGAAAGAAAGAAAGAAAGAAAGAAAGAAATTTCAGTGAAGAATGGCCTTGTTACAAATGTATGATGCTCAGGGATAAAATTACTGATTTTCGGTATTTATATGATATAAACTCACTAATAAATATTAGCTGGAAAAAGTGCAATAATTAGTGCTAATGTATATTAAAAAGCAAAGCAAAGGAATAGCTACATGTCTTTGCATGTTTTATCACTATGGACAATAGGAAAAAATTGTCACTATGAATTTATATGTATATCACAGTCAATGCTACAAACTGGCCCGGCTGCAGATGGATATATTTCTGCACCGAAGAAATACCCAGTTATAGATAAGTGTGAAAAAAAGATTCCAAATAATAAACCCACTAACTCTAATTATAAATGAACAAAGCCTATATCTTTTTCTCCTCTTAAAATCATCAAAACTCATTCTTCAACAGTTGAATGTATAATGTGCCTCTTCTTTCATATGTTTAATCATAACATACTTGGCATCAGAAATGTAAAGAACCTAATGTAACATTTACCTTCCATCCAGATTTAATAAATGTTAATATTTTGTCATATTTGATTCAGATTAATTTTTTAAGAAATAAGTTCTTCATAATATAGGTAAAATCTCCACCCTACCTCCTCAAATTCATTTCAAAATAATTTTCAATAAACACTCTTGTAGCTCTCTCTTTAAGTACATACAAGTTTCTTTAGAGCAGGTCCTTCAAAATGTAATTGGTGGATCACAGAATATGTCCAGCTTTAATGCTATTCATTACAAATTGTTCTCCAGTTGCCATTATTAGTAATTTAAATGAGTAGTATATATTAGTAGTTTATAAGAGATCAGTATTCTATATAACACAGTGTAATCAGACATTCATGTTTCCGAAACATAATATATAATGTTAACTCTTTGTAGTCTTGATATGCATTTTCTTGATTACTGGTGAGACTTAAGATGTTTTCATACATTTATTGGTTATTTGAACTTCCTTCTGTTCATACCCCTTGCCCATTTTTAAATAGGGTTATATTTTTCTTATTGACTTGTGAAGTACTTGATGTATACTGAACACTAATCTTTTATTATGGGTTTTGAAAATATCTGTTTCCAATCTCTGACTTGTCTTAGTTTTATTCATGTTTTGTCATACAGAGCCTTCATAAAAATTAAAAGGACTGAAGTTTTTCAGTGTTTTATGTTTACATTTTTATCATTTTTTTCTCTCTTCTAAGTTTATAAATATTTTATTTTCTTTCTAAGCAATTTAAATGTTTTGCTTTTCATCAATAAGTCTCCAAAGTTTTTTTTTTTTTTAATTTACAGTGAAAGGAACAAGATCTTGTCCTTTTCAGGGACATGAATGGAGCTGAAAGCCTTTATCATCAGCCAATTAATGCAGGAACAGAAAACCCAACACTGCATGTTCTCACTTATAAGTGGGAGCTGAATGATGAGAACACATGGACACATGGTTGGGGCAGGGTAAACAACATACACTGGGGCCTATCGGGTGTGGGCAGGGAAAGGGGGAGCATCAGGAAGAACAGCTCATTGGTGCTGGGCTTATATCTAGGTGATGGGTTGGTGATCTGCGCAGCAAAACACCATGGCTCATGTTTCCCTATGTAACAAACCTGCACATCCTGCACATGTACCCAATAACTTAAAAGGTGATAAAATAAAATATTAAAATAACAATTAAAAATAGTAATTTATGGTGGAAGGTAGGAATCTATATTTTTCCCATATGTATGGCCAGTTTTATTTATTTATTTACTTATTTATTTACTTGCTTACTTCATTAGCTGATATATAATAATGCTTTTCCTTTTCCTTACTGATTTCTAATGTCCCTGAGTTATATATCTAGATAATATGTATGTGCATATAATTGTTTCCTGGCTTTTTAACAATTATCCTATTTTTATTTACCTGTGCCAGTACTACATTATGTATGCTTTATAGTAAATACTGTTACTTGAAGGGTGATTCATCCTTTTCACTTGATCTAACTTTTCAAGTTAATTTTCATAAATTTGTACAATAGAGCACTTTTATAGTATCTGCAAAATGTCATGTTATTATTGTATACTTTTTTTTTTTTTTTTCTTTGAGACAGAGTTTCACTCTTGTCGTCCAGATTGGAATGCAATGGCAATCTCGGCTCACTGCAACCTCCGCTTCCCAGGTTGAAGCGATTCTCCTGCCTCCGCCTCCCGAATAGCTGGGATTACAGGCACGTGCCACCACGCCGAGCTAATTTTTGTATTTTTAGTAGAGACAGGGTTCCATTATGTTGGCCAGGCTGATCTCAAACTCCTGACCTCAGGCAGACCAGGTAATCCGCCTGCCTCGGCTTCCCAAAGTACTGGGATTACAGGCGTGAGCCACTGCACTTAGCCTATTGTACGCTATTTTAATTTTATCTTGCTATAGTAGTTACATTCCCCACCAAATCAGTCATTATTATTATCACCATTATCATTTTTTGTTATAGTTTACTCACAATAACTATCAGTTAACTTCTTTATTTTTAGAATCCTAACCCCTCTTTCTGGATTAAATTTTCTTCTTACAGATAAATACATTTTAATAGTCTTTCTGCAAAAATCAATGATGTTTAAACATACCCAATCATTTATATTTTCCCTGAACTGAATGATAGTAGACTAGACTTTGAATGAGAGTATAGAAACAGATTTGTAAATCGACAATGATTTTCCCTCAGAGCTTTGAAGATATTAACCTGCTGCCTATTTGCTGCCTGTTACAAGAAATATGTCTTTCTTAATATGGTTTGCATAAATACTTTTTTTTGCCTTTCTTGAACTTCGGTTTTACTATAATATTTTCTTTTTTAAAAAATGTACATGGAACTCATTCTGTTTCTTTAATCTGATTATTTATAAAATAAGTCTCAGTCATGGCCGGGCGCGGTGGCTCACGCCTGTAATCCCAGCACTTTGGGAGGCCGAGGCGGGTGGATCACTAGCTCAGGAGATCGAGACCATCCTGGCTAACATGGTGAAACCCCGTCTCTACTAAAAATACAAAAAATTAGCCGGGTGTGGTAGCGGGCGCCTGTAGTCCCAGCTGCTCGGGAGGCTGAGGCAGGAGAATGGCGTGAACCCGGGAGGCGGAGCTTGCAGTGAGCCGAGATGGTGTCACTGCACTCCAGGCTGGGCGACAGAGTGAGACTTCGCCTCAAAAAAAAAAAAAAAAAAAAAAAATACGTCTCAGTCATTAACTCTTCAAATATTTATTTTCCCTCACTCTCATTATTCTCTTAAATTCTGTTATGTTTTTTCTGGACCATTTTATTCTACCCGTACTATTGCTTCATAGAGCTCATATTTTTTTCTCCTTCCTCCTCTGTGCTGCTTTCAGGGTATATCCTCAGATCTAATTACTATTTTCTAATTTCTATTTTTACCTTAAATTTCAATTTATTGTTTTTTACCTACCTACAGAGTATCCATTTTTAATCAATTGTTTATACCATTTTTATTTTTAGACATTCTATATATATTTTTAAATCTATCATGTTCTGTTTTTATTATGATTTTTCTTCCTTTATCATGATTTTAATTTAACACATACTTAGTTTGTAGTCTTTATCTGATATTTTTATTCCCTAATTTTCCTGAACGTCTAATCTCACTGGTTTCACTCATGGTGAGTATTTTCTGCATCGTATTGTACATTTTTATTCTGAGATTATCTTTAGAAAGATTATAGTTTCTGTGGGAGTCCCTGCGACCTTCAGTTGTGCAACTGTTGCTACAGAATAATTTTGCACATCCCTCTTCTAGTTGTCCAGAGATTTCACTAGCCCAAGAGCAGTTTCATATCAATTTTTTTTTTTTTTGACTTGGAGCTATACTCTCCCCACAAAATAGGGTTGGGTTTAAATTTACTCTTTTTTTTTCTTTTTCCACTCCTAATAGAAACATGCATCCTTGTTGCTACCCTGGGCTGGTGAATAAAGTTTTTAAAAAGTCCTTTCACAAATGAGAATCCTTTTATGTTTTCAGTTTTATGCAACAGTCTCAGTTTCATTTCCCTTCCTTTGGTGATCCTAACGTCAAGTGTCCTGCCCTGAATGTCCATCAAAACCCTACACTCTCACCCTAAATGCCTTTATTGAGTCCCATACACCCCTGGGATACCATAGTCAGTTCAGGATCTCACTGCTGTGGCCATCATTATACACAAACACAAACAAGTCCACGTGGCATCCCTCTAAATTAACCCAAAATCAAACTAGATCATTTAACTAGCCTGCAAATGAGGCTTTAGAGTTTAATAAGTATGTGTGGTAACAACATGTATAAGATTTATTGTTAAGTGTTTCCTGCAAGAGATTTGGGGAAATCAACTAATTAAAATGTTAGTCAAAAGTCACCATATTATAATAGTTAATTAGCTAAACTACGCTGTAAGACAGACCACCACCATCATTATTGTGACCTTGGAAAAGTTATGCTAACTTTATAAAATGGGGGTAATAACGGAAACTATGTAACAGTATTGATAATAGGAGCAAATGAGATAATACATATACACTATTTGGAGTAGTTCTGGCACATAGCCTGAGTGCAATAAAAATACTGCTTTTATTTTTATTCATATTCCAATCTTTAAGGAAGACAAAATCACAATAGTCTAGACAGACAGTACATGCTCAATATTATGAAAAGAAGCCGAAAAGAATGATTTCTAAAAGCTCTTTATAATTCTGTTTAATCATCCTGTGAGGAAAGTCTACCTTCTTTCTGCTTCAGTGTTTTCTCCCCTTTTATGCCATTAGCAAAGAAAACAAATCAGTTGCAAACTTGTAAAAATATTTCATAAATTTAAAGTCTTCCAGGTTCCCATGTGTCTCTTTTCTGAGACAAATAAATATCTTCTTGAGCCTTATGAGTAGTTTTTTCTTTCTTTTTCTTTTCTAAGTTTTATTTATTTATTTATTTATTTAGAGAATCTTTCCAGAGCCTCAAAAGAAGGCTTGCAGGACCTCTTGTAAGAACAAAAACTCAAATGGGTCCTAAACTTATATAGTAGATCTGAATTAATATGCTGTGATTTACCACCCATGTGTTCATGTGTTCAAAATTAAATTTTCTTACAGCAGAAAAATAGACTGATAATGGCAGTAACTATCAAAAGGAACGTAGAGCTGGGAAGACATAGCTCCTCACGAGCAATGTAGAAAAATATCAAGCCAGCAGTCAAGAAGGAATATCTAATGGAACATTAGAACTTTGACTTGTGAGCACAAACAACAATGCATAAATAAGGCCATTTTTTTGAAACAGCTACACAGTGCTAAAGATGCCTAATTTAATAATTTAGTAACTGAGAATGCAATTCAATATCTTTAAATTCACATGCTCTTCCAAAGCATGCAAAAAACACAGACATTTAAACACCACTCACCTAACCTGACTGCTTTGGAATGGGAACTTTCTTTTAAGTAAAATTCAGTTAGCCTGGTATTCTAGCTATCTCAACAACAGAATTATTTTCATAATTCATGGAGGTGAAGTGCTAGTTTTGGAAGCAATAGTCTTAGTTTTAATTTCATTTCCATCAGTTGTCACATCTCTGGGTATTGAACTACATAATCAATTCCTTATGAGCTCAAATAATGTATTAGTCCATGACATTTATGAGCAATAATTAATGAGTAATACAATAATCTCTTAAATCCGGTGGCCATTTTTGATGAAGTTGTATTTTTGCCATACCATCCCTTTGGATCTTCACAAAATTATTTTCTGTTTCCCCAATGTGCTCTATAAATTTGTACCTTTGAACATGCTGTTTCTGCTGTCTGCAGCCCTATCCACCTTACTTTCTGCTCCTTGTCATTTTATATGTGACAAATCTTGACAAATTTTCTGAGATGTGGCTAAATAAATGTCTATGAAAATTTTTCCAGATAACCACCAGACAGAGCCAGTAACTCTCTTCTATGTCCCTTATTGTACTTTGTACATAACTCAGATTTAGTTCTTATTATATTTACTTGTAATTACTTTGAGCTTATGTTTCCCTCCGAACGCCTATGAAACACTCAAGAAAAGTAACATACCTTATTTATTTTCGTATCCTCGGAGACCTACATAGTCCTCCACACGTGGTAGGTAATAATAACTATCTTTTGAATAATTTAATAGTTGTTTGCTTAATGAATGAACAAATGAATGAAGCATATCACTTGAATACAACAGCTTCACACTCCTATGAGAAGAAAGGAAGGCACTATACAGAGACCTATCTAGCATTTGTTATTACCCTCTATTTGCATTTTTACCTTATACTCATCTTCATACCATAAGAGACAAGTCATTGTAACAAGTGTTCAAAGTGCTTCAGAAAACACCATTTCTAAAGGTAAATCACTGACACTTATTGATACATGGACCTATAAGCTGTCACATTTTTTTTACTTTGTAATTCCTACTCTTTCACAGTAACAAGTGATCTTTTGCAAAATACAATAAATAAAACCAATTTATACAGTAATAAATAAAATCCCTTTTTATTTCCTTAAAAATGAGATCCACTAATGAAAACATACAAATCATTTCATTTTCCATCCTGCCACCTACATAAAACAGAAAGAGCAGCTGCTGAAATCTTCAATGCCAATATCAATTACAGATAGTGTTGCTGAAAATATTCCTGATATTAACTGCAACCTCTCTCCAGCTTAAAAAATATACAAAGTTTTAAAAAAGGTGTAATAGCATCATCTTGTTATATACTTCATGGCTAACTAGATAGAAAAGGGGAGACTGAATTGTTAGTTGTATTCTATATGTCAGCTATTTTTATGTTAAGCATCTTTATATGAAGTTAAAAGTGCCTTGACTTTAAGATGCACAAAGTATTTTGTCCACTAAAGTACTTAACATGCATTTCCTTAGTATTGGTCTAACATCAGCCATTTTTAAAATGTTTACATACTATCTTTATTGTTGTTTACTTATGTTATTTTAAAATTTAATTTGACTCACTTTTTATTTAAATAAATTTATTTTAAAAGGGAACTTATTGCCATCCGAATAAACACAAGGGTTTGTTTTCATAAATAAATAACCATATAAATAACACAATAAAAATAAAATACTAATCACATTAAGAAGTAAAATAAAAACAAGTAATTTTAAAGTCTAATTGAAAAGATGATGGTTGATACTGAAGTTACAATTTTTAAGTAATTACATTAAAATTAAAGTATAAGTATGTTTTTAAAGATGTTTTCCATCTACCATCTTATGTATATCATACTTCAAGAAATACTCTCAACTAATTTAATCCTCACAAAAAATACCTGAGTCAGATAATATCAAATTCCTTTCACAAATTTAGGAAACTAAATTTCAGAGGAATTGATTAACTTATTCAAGGTCATTTGCCTAGAGGAATTAAGCTTTGAATCCTGGTTTGCTTCTCACTTGCTTCCAGATTTTCAAACCCTGTCTGACTCTCAACATCCTTATCTTTAAGCCATGGCGTAACAGTACAAGAAATGTCATGTGGTAGCTTATGACAAAAAAAATAAATAAAAGCAGCAAGTTCTATGAGTTCAGAGAACATTAGCCCATGAGTTGGATTGGTGAAGACAGGCTTACTGTGAGAAAGAAAATTTGATTTAGTACTTAGAAAACAGATCAGAACAAGAAGTACTTTTTTTTTTTTTTTTCCAGAAGAAACAGCAGGAGCAAAAGCAAGAAGGTTGGAAAACATGAGATGTGTTTGAGGAGAAAAATAAGGCAGAAAACACTGTACCCATAATTAGACAATGTCAATAAATGTTTAATCATGACAAACATGGTCAGATTTAGAGATCAGGGAGAATGATGAAGGTGGTAGAAATAATGGGGGCCTTAATTAGGGGGATGATGGTAGAAATAAAGGCAAAGACCAATAAAAGAAACATTATTTCTTAATGTCCTAGACTGAGTTCAAATCCCTGGCCCATTCTCTTAGTAAAATACACTCCTTTTCACAATGTTTATCATGTTGACAATAATCTATTTAATACATCTATTTTTCATGGTTTCCTTGTAGGGCATTCCATGAAAGCAGAGGCCATGCCTGTTTATTCATCATTGTAGCCTCCGTGCCTAACAACATGCCTGGTGCATAATAAGTGTTCCAAAAAAAAAAAAGAGTTATTTAATTCATGCTTGAAAGAAGAAATAACATAGGGAACAGAATGTGTATAACTGATCTGTAATCCAAACCTCAGCATCACGCAATATACCCATGTAACAAACCTGCACATGTACCCTTTAATCTAAATAAAATTTGAAATTATTTTTTAAAAATCTGTAAAATTTGACTGCTGCTTTATAGGCTGAGAAAAAAAAGTCAAGCAGCTAAAGAGTTGAGCCCAGGGGACTTCAAGTTATCTGTAAGACGAAGGAAAAATTTTCATTTGCATGGCCTCTTCTTTCATTATAAATGTTTGTATTTCTTCCCTTGTCTCTTCAATCCTTTTACCTTCTAATATTATAGGCTGCATCTAAACTTTCGTTAAATTAATGTCTTAGAAATTTAATTATCTCATTAAATTTCTCATGGTCCACAATTTCCATTTAAGGCTTCTATATTTTCTTTGTAAACTCTTCTAAAGCAGATAATTATTTTTTCTTGTTTTTGAAATGGAGAAGTGTTGTCAATTATTTTATTTTTTCTAATTCATTGTTTGCCCTTGGGAGCTTATGCTGTGCCTAGGGGGACATCCACATTCATGTAAAAAATGAAAGCGTTCATGATATGCTAAGTTTTAGATATATTCAGATTTTAATGCCCCTGGAAAACTCGGGAGTATATATGTCTAATAAGCAATGTGATAAAGTAATCCCTCCTCCACTTATTTATTTATTCAACAAATCCTAATTTGAATGTTACGATGCACCAACCTGTTTATAAGCAATGGGGTCGTAACAATGAACAAAACAGACAACAATCCCTACCTCATGGAGCTTACATTGTATTGCAGAAAAGAGATAGTACAAAAGATAAATAGAAAAATGTAGTCTCTTCAATAGTGATACAAGCTAAAGAGAAAAATAAAGCAGATAAATGGAATAAAAGGTGTTGGGAATGGTTAAATTTTTCTGATAAGTTGATTAAGGTAAAGCTCAGTAAGATTAAGGAAGTGACAGCAAGCCAGGAAGATATCTGGGGAAAGAGTATGTGAAGGCCTTAAGAAGGGACTGTTTGAACTCACAGATCTATCACATTCTAGATATGGTTTTTTGAAAAAGTAGATGAATCTAGATGAATGAATAGAGGTATATTCATGTGAAATATGGTGAATGGTCATTTTCATCTTCAAGTAAAATTGTAATTGTTCCTGTATTAAATAAACTGAAAGGTTAACAAAAAAAAAAAGAAGGAAGAAGGAGGAGGAGGAGATGAGGAAGAGGAGGAGGAGAAAAGGAAGAGGAAGAGGAGGAGGAGGACGACGATGAAGACTAGGGCTACCATTTGACAACAGTAAGGAGAACAGCATGGCTAAAACAGAATGAGGAGGAAAATGGTACAAAATAAGATTGGAGAGCTAGACAGGTAGGTGAAGGAAGAAGTGTGGAAAGCAGATCTTGTAAGCCTCATAAGCTACTGTGGGCAATCTGGCTTTTGCTATGAATGAGACAGGAAGCAATCTAAGAGCAATACCATGATATGACTAATGTTTTAATAGGATTACTCCTGCTGTCTTAAAAATTTTGACTCTAGGGGATCAAGGCTTGGAGCAGGGAGAACAGTTAAGAATTATTACAGTTATCAAATTCAAAAGGAATAGTAACTTGGAAAAACTAATTAATATGAAAATTTTTAAAAAGTGGTTGGGTTCTGGACATAGTTTGAAGGTAGATCCAACAGATTGTATGCTACACTGAATGTAGCCTGTGAGAAAAAGAGGAGTGGCACAGATGACTCCAAACATTTTGACCTGATAAACCAGAAAGGTCATCTCATCACCAGCTCAAAGGAAAGCTGTGGATGGAGCAGGTTTTGTAAGAAACATAAGAAGTTAGGTTCTGACAACCTGGTATGGTGGTGTGCACCTGTAATTCCAGCTACTCAGGTTGGGGCATGAGCTCAGGAGTTTGAGTTCAGCCTCTACAATGTAGCAAGACCCCATCTCCAAATAAATAAATAAAAGTTTAAAAAAGAATTACAAATGGATCGTATACTCAGAAAAATATATTTAAAAAATACAGAAAAGATAAATATTTAAGATTATAGGTATTCCAATCACCCTGATTTGATTATATGAACGTATCAGATTATCACACGTACCCCAAAAATATGTATATCTACTATGTATAAATTTTCAAAAAAAAATAAATTTAAAAAAAGAAGTTAGGTTCTGGACATGTTAACTTGGAGATATCTTTTAGACATCTGACTGAAGACATCAAGTAAGCCACTGGATATATAAGTCCAGAGTTTGAGGAAGATATCAAAATAGAAATGGTATGTAAAGCCTTGATCACTGGCTGAAGTAGAGAAAAAGCTTAAAGATCAAGTCCTTGAGCATTTCATTGTTTACAATTATCTATTTAATACATGATTTTCTTACTGAACTGTAAATCCTATGAAATCAATATACTGAAAGAGGGATAAGAAAGTTGAGGTTCTATGTAATGGAACTGGTTATAAAGAATTTTCCTAGAGTTTAAGCTTGGTAGAAAAGGTAGTAAGGCTAGAAGAGAAATGGGAACCAGATAAAAGATGATAGGATCAATAATTATAAGACCAGGTAAGGCCCAAAAGTTTGTTGGAGTTAAGGTTCCAACAAGTATTTCAGGTTTATATTGTAGATATTTTGCTTCGTGTGGTTAAGATGACTACCAAATCTAACATTTATCAAGTTTTAAAATATGAATCAAGTACTTAACTACTTATCTTATTTAATTTTCAAAGAATTCAGTGTGGTAACTCCTATTTTTGTTCCCATTTTACACGTAAGTAAACTAAAAGAAATGAAGTACCTTGTTGGGGGTTGACACTCAACCAACAATGGCACATTCCGCATGCAAGCCAAAATCTAACTCAGAATCTCTGCTCTTAACCACAAGTAGGGGCAGAATGCCTATCATATGGTCTCTGTTTTCCTTGGAGGAGGGTCTGTAGCCTCTGTGAACCTGTTAGCTATGTTGAGGATCAGAAGCCGTTCTTCTTATTTTCTGTACTCATTTCCTTTGTTGTTTTCTTTGGTATTTGGTGCAGTCTTTGCAAAATTCTATTCTGCCACAGAGGAGTTGAAGAAAGTCAAATAAAGGCTTTATTCATGACAGGCTAGATCATATAAGGAGATAGTTCTACCTGAGGTTGCCTCAGGGAAAAAATAATTCAGGAGGACTGAGTTAGGGTACTTTTATCCAGTGTCCCATCTGCACAGTCTCATAAAAAGATGACTAAAGAAGATAATTAGCCAATTAGCAGTATGAATTGAAAAGCTGAATCTCCAGAGGAAGATGATAAGGTACAAAGGAAGGAGGAAGAAGAAGGCAAAAATTTAGGAGCTATTCTCATGGAAGGAATGACTGTCCTCTGAGAAGAAATAGATATATTCTTACTACCCATGGAACTCAGGAAATTGTCTAGCCTCTGATACTTTCAAAAATGTAAATGTAGAATAGAACAATCGCTTTGGGAATGTTAAATACTGCAACCACTTCAGAAATGTTTGGGAGTTTCTGAAAAAGCTAAACATATGCCTAAAATATGAGCCAGCAAGTCCACTCCAAAGCATTTAAGCAAGAGAAATAAAAGCATATGTTCATTCAAAATTATACCCAAATTTTATAATAGCTGTATTTTCAATATCCCAAAACTGGAATAAAAAACCAATGTTCCTTAAGAGGGAATAAATATATTGTATTGTATTTATAAAATGAAATACTGCTCAGCAATAAAAAGAACCATATTATTTACATGAGCAAAAGCATGGACAAATCTCCAAATAATCCAGCTGAGAAAATAAGCCAAATAAAAAAGCACATTTTGCATGATTCCATTTATATAAAGTACTGGAAGATGCAAACAAATTTATAGTGACAGAAAGCTTATAAGTGGTTGATCAATGATAGGATGAGAGAAGGAAGGCTTTACACAAGAGCAAAAGGGAACTTTAGGGGATGATGGATGTATTCATTCTCTTGTTTGTGGTGATGATTTTACAGGTGTAGATATATGTCAAGATCTATCAGATTGCACTTGAAATATGTGCAATTTTATGCCAATTATTCTTCAATAAGGACACTTAGCATCTAAAACTTGAAAACGTTTTGCTTTCTTAAAAAGGTGGAATAAAAAATGACTTCATAATAAAGAAATATAAAATAATAAAGAAAACAGGGGGAAACTAAAATAATTTGTCAAACATTTCTATTTCCTTTTTTATTCTATTTCAGCCTAACTTCTGTTCTTCTATTCCTCACCTACAGCAATTTTCCTAATGAAATTTCACACCTGTCCATTTCTGACACCATTTAACGTTTAGTAATAATGCAAGTGTTAACAATGTATTTTGGGTATATGTTTCTGTGTGGCCTGCATTGCAAGTAGATTCATAAAGAATTTCAGAAATCCCAATTCTATTTTTCTTTTCCATTTTATTCAGTTTGGTTTTGGTGTAGAAAAAGACTTAAGCAGTGTACCTAATTTTAATTTCCAAAATTGATTTTCTACTCTATTTTCTGCTGCTTGCTTAGGAAACAAAATTTACCAAGTCTATCTCCTAAATGATTAACCTCAGCAACCTTTGGCAAGCAAACTATTCTAAGAGACCCTGGGACTGTGTTATGCTCCCTCTCTTTGCCCAAATGCATTTTTAAAAAAAGTTAGAAATCAAAGGAAAAATGTGGAAGTGAAAAAGAAGCCAAGTGGTTAAAAAAAAATAGAAAGAAAGTATCACTAAGGATCATACATACAACACATACTAGACTTTTATTCTACTTTTCATTGGGCATTTAAAAAGGCATAGCCGCTATTTGAAAATATATTCAAGGGCTTAACAGCAAATCCAAATTAGGACTCCACATCCAGGAACATTTGGGAATTCAACTGTATCATCTAAGAAAGTCTTTTCTGATGGGGAAGGGCTGCTTCAGATTCAGGAATACAGGCCAAAAAGATCAATTTGTTTCCTGTCGGCACAGCTCAAATTGCATTCTTGACTTCACAGCACTGAGATCTTTCCAGCACATCCATTAAAGGAATTTGGCTCACATTAAGGTTGTGTGTAAGACCTAACATCCATGAAAATGAGCATAACCCTCATCAAGCAAGTATGGAACACTGGATTCTGAGCAGGAGGGCCTTCATGTCGCTTTGCATGAAAAGCCTGTTGACAATCTTATGGTGACTATATTCAGGCATTTTGATAAGGCAACTTACATTCCCTCAGCTCATTCACTGAAGCTGCATGGACCAAATTTTTAATAAATGTATTTAGAAGCATGGATAAGTAGTTACCCATGATATGAATCATGACAAGTAGCTATGCAAGGAAGTAATGCCTTAGAATCAGATACGTTTGGCCCAGACATATGGTGGAAGAATGCCCTAGTTTTCACCCTAAATAGACTTGTGTTTCTTTTTCTACAAATGTTCTAGGAGCCTATCTCATATAATTCCCATAATGATGATAAATAACATTAATTAATTATTTGATATGTGCAAGGCATTGTGCTAAGTGCTTTACAGGAAGTTCATACCTCATCACAACTTTGTGAAGTCATGAACTAACTTTATCCTTTTGCTACAGATCTCCTAACTGGTCACTGCTTTGGTCCTTGGGCTTTAAAAACACCACATACATTATCTTCTCAGGTCTCATTCTTTGCTCTAACCTATTCCTGAAATTCTCTTTCCCAAATATTCATATGGTCACTCCTTCAAGTCTTCACTAAAGTGACACATTTTCAATGAATCTGTTCCTTTGGATGTGCTCTTATTTTTAAACATTGCACTTATCAGCTTCTAACAGCGTATTTCACTTATTTATTTTGTTTCTTCTCTTCCCATCCTCACTAGAATGCAAGTTCTGTGAAGGGAGAAATTTTAGCCTTTTTTGCTCATTAGATAGAAGGATGCTTGATGTATTGTAGATGCTCATCAAATATTTGGAAGTGGTAAAAGGAAGTGATGTGGTTTTAAGTAACAACCACTTGTTATAAGTTAGTATTTAAAAAAAAGGTACAGCAACATTTTAAAATAAATTATTGTTTTTAGTTTAAGGTTAGCCAAGAGTTATGCTAATAAGCCATATTCAGACAATTTTATCCAAACTTACTTTGCAAAACAACAGGTTAAGCAATTTAACTAAGTGGGCAATAATTCTGAGTTTATTAACAGGTATTAGGTACAAAAACCATATGTGACCTCCTAAAGTTTCTAATCTTGTTGAGAACAGAAAACATAAAACCTGAAATAATTCAAAGACAATATATCAAATAGTTATCATTTATTCATTCATATAAAAAGTACTATCTCCATATGCAAGGAATTCTGGGCTAGATGCAGGAGGTGTAGAAATGAATAAGACATAGTTCCTGACTTCAGGGAGTTGACAGTCTGGTAAGAGATTGGATATACTACAAAATAAAACTTGTTTAGTGGAATAACAACTCGATAAATGGAATAAAATGTGCTAAAATTCAGTAAAAATACAAAATGTTTTGAGAATTCATAGAGGGAGAAATTACAAAGACAGTATATTACAAAGTGCTAAACTAAATATAATCAAATGCCAAACTGTATGGCAGAGACACTAAAATGCTATTGCCTGTTACTCCTGCAATTGAAATACACCAGGGATTTTAGTAAGCTTTCATGCAGAAAATAACATATGCCAAGACTCATATTTCTCTTATTTCCCTGTGAAAAGGCATTGAACATTAAACAGAGTGCGACCCTGAATGATGTTTCCAGCTGTTTCTGAGAGCAATTTCATAACCTCAGTTTTATTCTTCTCTCTCACGTTTTTTCAAACGAACTAAAGAGAAAGCCTATTGTTAATTTTCCAAAGTTATATTTATAATTAAATTCGTGCAAAATTGATTAAATACAACAAATCTCATAAATACCAATTTTTACATTGCATGTAAACTATTATCTTCTAAAAATGAAGCAATACATAGAATACATCTATATTTTAATATTTGTCTTATTTTTTCTAATTTTTTAACTGTTGCTGATTATTATAGAAAATCTGAACACATACAACATAAAAATAAAATTCATCTGCAAGCCTGTTATCTACGTAAATGATAGTAAATTGGTATATTGCTTTCTGTATACAGGTACAGATATAGACGCAGATGTAGATATAAATGTAGAGACTGGCATAGCTACTAATTATAATTTTCCTAATCTATTAGTGTAAGAAATTGTACACCATCTAATGTGCTTCAGAGCTATGATTTCCTGTGGCTGAATAATATTCCATCTCATGAATGTGTCAACTATTACAAACAATACTGTGATAAAATAAGTATACAAAATGCTGATTTGGTTTCCTGATTATTATTCCTGGAATAAGAATTAATGACTAAAATGGTAAAAATATTTTTGAGACTTCTGCTAAGTGTTGCCAAATTGCCTTCCAAAACATTAAAATGAAGTAAATCCTGTTCAGAAGTATCCAAGTGATCATCGTCCTCCAGTCTTGTCACCTGGAATATTGTCATATTCTTTTCCTAATCTTTGCCAAATTGATAGCTTAAAATCAGTACCCATTGGTATTTTATTTATATTATCTTAAATGCTGTTAGAATGTTATTAATTTATTTGAATTTGTTGTAATTTTTGTGAATTGTTTAGGATGTTGGTGATTTTTGAATTGATCTGTTAAGAGCTCTTTAGAGTTTAAATATAATAACTTTTTTTATTTGTGGCTTTTCTACTTTTTCTATTTTAAACATAGTATTTTGAAGTTCTTATGTAGTCAAATCTATTCATTCTTTGTGAATTCTTCTGTTGCATTTACGATTAGAATGTCCTTCAAAGCCAAGATCAGTTAAGTATGAAGTTTTCATGATTTTATTTTTACATTAGCCTATCAATATCTTTGTAATTAAGTTGGTATTTAATTATAAAAATTACTGGTAATATTTATTGAGTGAATACTTTGTCAAGCAGTACACGAAATTCTTTACATGAATTATCTCCTACTTAGTCCTCATAAACACCTTATGAGGTAATAACAATCCCCATTTTTCATGTGAAGAAACTAAAGTTCAGAGAGATAGAATTACATATCCAAGGTTATACACCTAGTAAATGATGGAGTCAGAGTTTGAACTCCAGCAGTCCCTAAGCCTGCACTCTTAACTACTCTTTTTTTTTGCTAATATGACATGGATCTAACAATTTTTCAGCACATTGTCAATTTTATGAACACTATGTTTTGAATAATCTATCAGTTTCCTCTTTGATTCGCATTTCTTCCTTCATCATATATGACATTACCATACATACTAAGCTCTATTCCACACGTAGCCATTCTATTGGTCTGTCAGCCAGTTCTTGCACCAGCAGTATACCATTTTAATTGTTGTATCTTTGTAATGTTAATTAATATATAATAGGACAAATAGCCCACTTACTGTTATACCTTTTGACAAATAATATCACTTCTCTATTTATTATCCCAAGTAAACATTATAATCCTTTCATTAGTTAAAATAATTTATTATTTGGCCATCAATAAATTGTATTAAGTATTAGAAATTTTTAGGTGTATGTACTTATGGGGTACATAATAGGTTGTTTCTGAAAAAATTAATACTAGAAAATTTAACTTTTTTTCAACTTTTATATTTTATATTCTGGAATATGGGCTGCCCCATAATTTTGCCATTAAGTTGAACGACATTTGACAAGAGTTGGTAAGATTTTGTAGTTTTATTCATCTATATCCTGCATAGCTATATTAGAGTTATTTCTAGGTAGGTTGTGTTTTCTGTTAGTGTTATAAATCTAATTTAAAATTATATTTTCCATTTTTTGAAGTAGTTAGAAGTATACATCTTTTAATACTTCTATTTGGCCCATATCTTGAGTTTTTGACAAAAATACAGCAATTTAACCTTCTCCCTGAGATGTACCTTATTCTATTTCATGTTATAATTAAGTTGTCAGAAATTTCAAATAATGTTAAAGCATAATAGGTATGACAACTGTCCTTACTTTTTCCAACTTCAATGGAGATTCTTTTAGTCTTTCAACAATAAGTATGACAGAGATTGTTAGCTTGGAGTAGCTTTTCTACACTATGTCAAATAGTGTCCTTCTATTTTAGGTTTTCTGAGAAATTTTGTCAGGAATGAGTTTTAAATTTTATCAAATAGGATTAATATGTTTTAGAATGATACTTTTTTATTTTTTTGATCTTCAGATTCTATGTTTTATGGTAATAGATTTCTAATTAAAACATCTTTGCCTTCCAGGGAGTAAACTCTATTTATTCTAATAGATGATTCATCAATTGACTATTGCGTTGTGTAGGATGCATTTTATTTAGGATCTATTCATCTTTATGAACGAGGGTAGGCCATAGAATTATTTTTGTTCTTATCATTTTTGACATCTGGGTAATATTACTTCATCAAGTGAAGTTAATATTGCTTCATCAAGCAAACAAATGAACAAAGAACCAATCATATTTGAAGGATGTTCTAGATACAGCATTCCAAGAATGAAGATCTAAAATTTGTACTATACACAGAGTTAGCTCAGGTATCACACATCTCTCTCATGTTCAAATTCACTTTCTTGGTGGTGCCCTGTTCTTAGCTTTTCTATTAGAAAAATTATCATTATAATCAGTTGATTAATACATCCATGAATTACAACCTTTTTAACACTATTACTTCAAACATTAATAAATGAATTTGGGTCAGTCAATTATTAAATATGAGTGCATGTGCATGCATGTGTGTGGTAATTTTATTTAAGTCTCAGAGTAGCCTAATTCACTTATTCAATAAATTTTATGAAGTATATATTATATGCTAACCATTTCTCTAGTGCTGATGAGGAATAAGACAGGTGAGGTTCTTGCCCTTGTGGAGCTCTTTCTTAGCCCATATAAATAAAAAATGTGAAGCTGATCAAGTAAAGCAGTTTGCCTAAATCCACATTCTAAGTGAATAAATTACTGCACTGAACTACCCTATAAGAGACTCATTGAAACATTTTTTAAGAAGCAGCTTTTGCATATGTGTAACATACTTTAATCAGTTCGACCTAAGGGCAGGAAAATACATGAAATGGCCCCTGAAAATTTCTTCAGCTATATTTCTGGTAGTTCACAAACTCTCTTAATTTAGTGAAACTGCATTAGGAAGACTATGAAAAAAATAAGAAAATTATAACAATATGAATTTTAATCCCTAAAGGTTAAGTAGGAGTTATTGCTATTACTTGTCAAGCTCACCTTCTTCCAAGCCTATACCATGTGCCACTATCTCATTTTAGCATTGTACAAACTTTTCAAGGAAGATGTTATCACTATTTTATACATAAGAAAATGGAGGCTTAGAATTTAAGATAAGATGGCCAATGAATGCCACACATGGAACAATTAACACAGAACACAAATCCAGGTTAGTCTGTTTCTATAGGTATTATTTTTGCCTCTCTGCTATGTCTTTTCTATATGCATGTCTTATGATTAGATTAGTTGTAAGAGTGTAGTGTGAAAAATATGTTCTTTTTAAAAATTTATTTTAAATTATGCTTTCCGATAATTTTAAATAAATGACCAGAAATAGGGAAAAGTTAATTAACCTGTCAATCAATCATGTATAGGCAGTAATACAAAAATGTTTTTAAAAATTGATATAAAATAATTGGATCAATATTTTCAGGACTTCATTGAAGACTTGATAAATGTTCAAGATAGGCTTTGGGTGAGAATTTAGAAGTAATATAAAGAGTGAAGAACACAAAATTAAAAGTTAACTGGCAGGGCTTCAGCACAACTGTATTGAATCAATGTATACTGAATTTTTTTTTTCAGAATGGAGAAAGGTGCCAGTTTATAGTTTTTTTCCTGTGGTAGATAGAGCAATTAGTTCTGGGAGGGCAGCAACTACATTTTATGTATTGTGTTTCTAACACCTGGCACAACACTTGCCACATAGTAGCCATTCAGTAAATGCCTGGATAAATGAATGGGTGAATGAGTCTCTGTAGTCCTAAAAAAAAATCAGTTCAGATGATAGGAAAAGACATCAGAAAGACAGGAGATCAAGATCCTTGGCGAAATGTCATCAACGTTAAGTAGATTCTTGACTTCTCTATGACTCACTTTTGTCATCTGTGAAATGAAAAGACTGAACTAAATGATCCCACGAGTCCTTATTAAGTATATAACTATTATAATTCTATAATTTATAATTAATAATTTCAGTTTCTTACTAAGCCTTCTTACCCATCAAAGAGGAAAAGGTCCCATTTATCAAAATGGTTCCCAAGCAGTCAGGGACTTTAACCACAAATTAAACAATTTACAATCTTCCTGGAAGTTCATGCAAGAGGTCCTATATCTCTTTTATCCTTAGACATTCTATTTGATGACTATATATACTAACATTTTTTTAAAAACCTTTTTTCCAACAACTACCTAATAATGCAAATAAACATATAAAATAACTGAAATTAATTGATAAACACAGTGACCACTGTGCTTTTAAGCATGTACATAAATCTAGTTTTCTTGGTAGAAGAAACATTGCCCAGCCTCTACTACTAAAATACTTGTCCAAAAACTAAGAAATGAACCTATGTTAAGAAACAAACCCTTCATGTTTCACAGGGCTGTAAAGTCACAATTTATCACATTTTCACACTCAGAGTAAAATATAAGTATTAAGAGGGATGCCAGTTTAGTTCCAAAGAAATGAAAAGACAATAGGAGTGGCTTATTACTCTCTCTGTTTTTTAATGGTGAACAGGAAATGACTACATCATCACTCACGAGGGTTGAAAATACAAAAATTCAATAACATGTCTAACTTCAGTTAGACTTCAGCTGAGCAAAACTATTAGTGGCCAACGTAACAACTGGTCCCAGTCTTTTAAGGAAAGGTTTCAGAACCTACAAAGAGTTTAATAGGCTACTACAGATATCACACACTGATCTTTTTGCAATGAAGAATGATTTTTGAGTTTTACCAAATTTTTAACAACGTAAGAGCTAGCTTTCGGAAGTGTCAAGTGCATAAATGGGAGTAGGTATTTATTATATAAAATCCAATTCTATTTGTTACAAGGCAGTCTTCAAAGAGATGCAATATTAGAGCAGAAAAGAAATCTCTGAGCCAGCACCTTTGACTTAGGGAAAAAAACAATCTGGATCTGAGAGAGGTTCAGCCCCTTGCTCAATGTCACGCCAAGGAGTAGAGCCAGTTCACAGAATTTGCTTTCCTACTTTCCAGTGCTTAATTCTTTTCTCTTACCAGGCAGTGTCTTTTCCTCAGACAGAGGCTTGTTTACTACAGTATTCCTCATGGGATGTATCCTCTGAGAAGCCAGCTGCTCTGAATAAAAATAAGTCAGAAATGAGAGGGTCAGAGTAGGGCCCATCCTCCTCAGGAATATCAGAGAAGTTTGAAGAGTGGGAGAAAGGAGAAGAGAGAAAGTGATGCTATCTCAAGAAAAGGCCTCTTGTAGGTTGGTCATATCTGAGCCCTCTGTGCTAAGGACTGCACTCCTAATACTCTTGTTGTCTGGAAACCACAATTGGCAGACAGTGCCTGAGCTCAACACCGCTTGAGACAAGAGAAGGGGAGGATGAGGTAGTATTGATGGACTATTATTTCTTTGTAGATGAAACTGCCCCCACTATCTGGGTGCATTGTACTTTAATTACCTGATTATGATACCCAAATTAACTATGCATTCACTGAGGGAAGGGACTATGCCCAACTCATCTCTGTATCCTCAGGGTCTATCGTGTTTGATGTACAATGAATGCTGGATGAAACAAGGAATGTGTGAATGATGCATGTTGTACCTGGAAGAAAATCCCTAATCTTGAACACACCCGTGGGTTTTCAATATTATCTGTGTCCCTGAAAATAAGAGGCATACAATACCAGACTTGATCGACCTATTATACTCTTTTCTTTAGTAGACTAAGAGAGAAAGGGAGAAGGGGGAATGTAATCCATGTCCTCTTGCCCTCCACTTCGGGCATAAACTGAAGTTCACCTTTAGTGAATGAATTAGCAATTATGTATACAGCAACATACATCAAATATGCAAAATTTCAATCTAATTTTACTCTAAAATATTCAAAAATGGTTACCCTTGCAATGAGTTGGTCATACAGAGATAATTTGTATTGGGAACTAAATTGACCGATTCGACAGACATTACTGAGAAGCTACTATATATTAAGGGCTGTGCTCTGTGCTCTGGGAGCATATATGAATATTACAAGATCCTAGTCTCAAGTTTTGCATATTGGCATCAGGTACACAAGCATATCAACAGAGAATAATATGTATAATGGCAGCTGCTACAACAGAGGTATGAACAAACAACTACAGGGATAAAGAGGAGGCAACAAATGATGCTGGGTACATTCAGCTTCAGACTTAAGCTTCTCAGTGTGGTGGTTTGCCAGACAGTAAACATGAGTACTAACCCTAGCTTTGTAAGAATCTAGTTATGTGATAGAGCACAGAGAATTAATATCCCTATATCTCAATCTCTTCAGAGTTTGGACTTTGGCATCACATTTAAGACCTGGCTTAAATGGTTCTATGATTTAACTATCTGTTTTGACTTTAGGTAATTTTTTTCAGTAGTGTAGAGTTTAGCTTTTTTATCTTTTCAGAGCAAAAATTATGAGTTTGCCTGCATCAAGAGGTGAAATGTACTGATCATAGTTCTTAGCACATAATAATTGCTCAATAAATGTTAACTATAATTATTAATATTAAATTAAGATAAAAAGCTTATAGTGGACTTGAATAAGCTTCTTCTGAATGAAATTCAACATAAATAGATATGAATAAGAGAAAAATGTACACATGTATATAGATATACACATATCTACATACAAATATGTAGTAATTAATGTTATGTTGGGAATACTTTCTCCCAACTCTTAAGCAAAAATCTCAAGACAATGCATAGGAAAGGGACCTCGGAATCACATGAATGACCCTAAATATAAACAAAAAAATCCGTTATAGGTCATGACATATTTATGATTCATTGCCAAAACTGACAGAATATTCCAGGTTGAACACTGTTGGCCCTTGGAAAGTCATAGTATGTAGAACATTAAGTCGTACTATGTAGACTATCACAGTAAATTTAATTCAAATAATAAACCGTCACACACTTGATTCACTTCCATTATCATGGCTCCACAGCAGGACATGCTGCCTGCTTTGGTAACTCAGAGTTCTTTTGTGCAACGAACTGTGATTACTTCATAAAGGTCAATTCTCTTAAATCCCTGGAAACCATGGCATGCCAACCCACCAAGATCACAGAAGCAATTAAAAGTGTTTAACCGGGAAAGTTGCCAGGACCAGATGGCTTCTGCCAGTGGGTTTTTGTTTTTATTTTAAACTGCTTAACATTAGGCAAGTGGCATTTATTTGCCTCATATCTACTTACTAGTGGATCTTCTTCATATTTGTAAAAGAATGCACATTCATCATAGAGATTCTCATGTTACGTGCACCATGAGAGACAATGAGAGTGGGCCATAGAGACAATGATAGAGACTTTCCCCATCCTCAAGCTTCATTATGGCTTAAATCAGTTTAAAGTTTGCCATTTATACTCTAATAATATTTATGCATGTGAAATCTCGCTTCTATAAAGGGTTATTCAAGAATTTTTGGAATTATAGTACATAGGAAAATTCATGTATTAGGAAATAACACTTTTAACAAAATAATCATTTTTATGGTACAAAACTACTCTGTGTTCTTAATATTTATAGTTTAAGCTACCCCAAACCACCACTTATTCAGAGTACCTCTCTGACATAAATAGCAGATAGACTTATTTGACTGAGATAAATATTTTGCCTAAATGTATACTTAAATCCTACCAAGACAGGGTGGCCATAGATCAAATCCTAGCTCTGATATTTTATTAATAAATTGAGTTTTAGCAAACCATTTATCTCATAAAGCTTTTGACTCTTCACTTTTTTAAGGGGAGGCTATTATTATCTATAATTAAAATAATTTGATGTTGCCATACTACTCAGATTGAATACAGAAATAAGGTTGAGAAAAAGACCCAGATATATATGGAATTTAGTGTATGATAAAGTTGACATCTCAAATCAGTTATAAAAAAAGGAATTTTTAAATAAATAATATTGAGACAACTGTATAGCTATTTCAAAAAGGACAAAACTAGATCAGTACCTCACACCATACCCTAAAATAATCTCCAAATGCATCATAGAATTGGATGTTAAATAAAGGAAAATGTACAAGTATTAGAAGAAAAGAGGAAAACATGATTATGAATAATTTTCTAATAACCTAAGAGAAAAGAAAGCTTTTGTAACTATGATGCAAACATATGTGCTCAATATTAAGGACATTTTTCCCCTAAAGATGAATAACAAACTAAAATGTATTTGCAGCTTATATCACAAACACAAAGATCTGATCACTTTAATATAGAAAGAGCCTCCAGAAGTCTGCAAGAAAACCGCTAAAAGCCCAAGAGAACAATGAGCAGAAGACACAAACGACTACATATAGAAAAACAGAAAGACAAATGGCTCCCAAACATATGAAAAGATGTTCGGCATCACTGATAAGAGAAACAAAATTCCACTGAGATACTCTTTCATGCTACAGGTTGGTAAAAATTCTAATTTGATAACACGCTCTGTTGGCAAGAAGCAGCAGGAATTCTCACATATTTCTAGTGGGGGTACTAAGTATTAGAATACCTATGAGAGTACTTTTAGCAATATCTAACAAAAGTACATATGACTCTTTCCTATAATTCAGAAATCCCGTTTACAGGATTCTACTCTATAGCCATACCTCTGTAAATACAAAACAGCGTATCCACAATGTTATTTGTGACAGTATTTGTTAGGATAAAGTGAATAAGTAAAAATACTAAGAAAACAAAAATTTTAGTGTAACAGAAAGGAGTCACAAATATAAAAGCAAGAAATTTTAAGGGAACATTATGCAATATTAGATTTGAATTAGAAATATCAATATCTACTTATGACTTTTAAAATATATATAAATTTCCTATCTTTGCTCACTAAAAGGCCTAGGAATCAGTGATACCCCAATAGCAACGACCGTATCTAGCACAAAGATCTTGGTGTCTATTTATCATTTTCTACTAAAAGGAGCTAGGACATCTTGTGAAATGGCTGACTCTGTATCTTGGGCAGCAAAAGTTCCAGAACAAGAAAGTCAATTTGAAGGGATTCCCCTAGGAAAATCTGATAACAATTTGAGTATCAAAAAGAATGATAACGCTTTTTTAAAAATTGAGAATCATTTGTCATTATTAGAATTGATTTTTACACCAACTTCTTATTCTAAAAGTTGCTAGTTAAGAGAAAAGCAGTAAGTCATAGAAATAACATTTTAAGATAATGAAAGAAAACTTATTTATAGAAAAAATGCCATGTAGAAGAAATGACAGAATTAGAAGAAGCAAGCTAGAGAGAGTAAACGTGGCAAAACGCTAATAATTGGTGAATAAGGTGAAGCGTGTAAAGGGATTTGTTTACTTTTTTTTAAACTTTTCTATACGTTTTTAATTATTCAAAATAAAAGTTGGGAGAAAAGGCCAGTGGCATAGGAGAAAGTTGGGGAGACCCTTTTACATTAAAACACACCAAACAAATAAGAACCAAATGAATGCATGAACCATAATTGAATTTTGCTTTATGAAAAAAATTGGGATAAATAATTTGGGTGAATAGTAGGGGAATTTGAATAGGGACTAGCTATTAAATAATGTTAGAAAGTAACTGTTAATCATCTCTTGTGTGGTAACACCATTATAGTTTTATAGAAGATGAGTATTAAAATTACTATGTCTGCAACTTACTTTCAAATTGTTCTGTGAAGATAATCTGGCTATCTACTTAGGGAAAGATACATCAAAAGACTGATAATTCAATAGGTAGATAGATAACACATATTTGGCATACTGCTAACAATTATTGAATCCAGGAAATATGAACATTTATTGTATTATTCTTTCAACATTCCATTCAGTTTGAAAATTACCATAATAAATTGCTGGAAAAATACAAATTAAAAACAATACCTACTTTGCAGTTTTATAATGGAATTAAACATGAATAACCTAAAAAACAAAGTGCACAATACCTGATGGTGAGCAGATTCTCCATAAATGTTATTTTACTCTTTTCATCTTTCATACTACATTTTATAACACAGAAATCAATTAATATAAGGAGGAGATTGGGTATGCCTTATTGGGTTGAGTGGATAACTTTGGGTTTAGTGCACATGTGATTAAGTATGTTGGATTACCATAAAATGGTCCCTTGACTTCCATGTGTGTTAATTGGATCTTGTTGGCTAGTTCTGAATTTCCCAGAGGAAGAAAGGAATGCAAATTTTCCCACTCTCTGTTCTAGTCCTTCCATTCAAACTCAGCCAAGTGAGAAACAACAGTAATCCTCCCTGTGCATGTTCCCTCCACACACCAAACCTCCCACATGTATACCCATGCTGCAATGATTTAACACACCAGTTGAGGACTCCAAATACCACATTCTTATATCTTTGCCTTTAACTCCCTTACTCCCCTGCAGCCAGAACTGCTGTTAGTGTTTGAGATGAGTGCCTTTTAACACTTTCAATTTTGTCCATAACTGGGTCCTTATCATGGGATTTAACCAAGACATGCTTTAGATCTTAGCTCTTTCTTTAAAGCACCATGTTTCTCAAACTTACTTAGGTAAAAAAAATCAAATTTACCAAGTAGGTACTAGAATATTTGTAAAATACACAAAATTTTAGAGTTTAATATACAAACCAAGTTCCAGTTTCTCCTTTGTTATTCCATTTTGCTTTAAATGTTTTAATCCTTGCTATTTAGCCTTTCATAACTATTCCATTTTGCTCTAGAGCAGGGAGACTCATTGACTAATGTAAGGAATTAGTAGGAAATTAGAATCAGGTAGTAAATTCCTAGTTCACCTCCAAGCACCAAGTGAAGTGACATTTCCTTTGTGAATCTTCCCAAACACTCAGACAGGGACCAAACCAGTCTATCCCAGTACTTAGCATATTACTAGACAACAGTCAAGGACTCATTAAATAATGACTAATCTCTAATAATATTTATCATATCATGGTATAACTATTTCTAATATCAGTCTATCTTCAATGGACCTAAAATTGGAAGGTTTTATTCTGGTATAGTTAAATGATGAATAGGTTTAGGAAGATTAATCTGGCAAGGATTAGGAAGAGGAATGAGTTTGAGGAAGAACACACTGAAGGAATAGAGAAAGTTGACTATAAGTCACTATATGAAATGCCACAGAAAATTCCTTTAGACCTAGGGACCAAATCAAAGATCAGAAACAATCTATACCTATCCATAAAACATTAGGCTGATGGCACAGGAAAGCCCAGAGTCTTATTTGTATGGCCTTGGAATTAAAGTTAAAATTCAGGAAATCATTTAAACCTTTAAAGCCTCAGCAAAAAGTAAGACATGGTAGGAGAGCTATTTCAGTAGCAACAAATCCTTGCAGTAGACATTTGCATCACATATTGGTGGCAACTTCTTTGTTCTCATTCTGTATATTGTAGTAAATCAACATTACTATCATTAAATATTTATCCAGTACTTCTGCTAGATTGCTGTAGCAAAATGATTTTCTAACTTATCTTCCTATCTAATTATAGACAAAATAGATAATATGAATATAAAGAGGCATGAACACACAACAAATAACATTAATATTGAAATATTTGCAGCCTTATTAAATAGTCACATGGGTAGAACTCTATGGAAAGACAAAAAATATAGGAAATACAGCCTCATAAAAATCAAATGAAATAGAGTCATGGGTTGCTGAACAACAGAGATACATTCTAAGAAATGTGTGTTAGGTGATTTCGGTGTTGTACGAACATCGGAATGTAATTACATAAACCTAGATGGTATAGCCCAATACACATTGAGACTATGTAATATAGCCTATTGTTTCTAGGCTGTAAACCTGTACAGCATGTTACTGTACTGAATACTGTAGGCAATTATAACACAATGGTAAGTATTTGTGTGTCTAAACATATCTAAACATAGACAAGGTATAGTAAAAGTGTGATATAATCTTATAGGACAATTGTCATATATGTGATCAATCATTGTTGACTGAAATGTTGTTATGTGGTACATGACTGTATAAAGCACAAGTGTTGGTAAACATAGTTGAATCTAAATCAGGAAAGATAAGAGGAAAATGGAAATACTAGAAAAGAAGGTGATAGAATTGGTAAGGATAAGCCAAGATGGATTTCAAAGAAGAGGTGAGGATAGAATGGATTTCATTTAAGTTGCTTTCATCTGCTCATTTAATTTACCAGATGTTCATAAGAACTTTTTCCTATTTCAGCCATGTTAGGTACTAAAGATCTAGAAATAAATAAGTCATTGTTCCTGTTGTCTAGGGGTTCGTAGTATAATGGGGAAGAATGGCATGTCAACTAACAATTGTCATTTACTGAGATAAGTGCTTGGGGAGGAGTTTGCAGTCAGGGAAGACTTCAATAAATATATATTTGAGGCTGAGTAAAAGTTGGAAAGCAAGAAATCAAAGAACATCATTCCAGTAAAAGTAAGTATGCAACGTACCTATGTAAGAGATACAATTGCATAAATGGTAAGGACCATTCTCCCTGGCAGAGGTAAATATATGCACAAATAAATGCTTGCAGACTGAATGATAAAGGAAGTTTGAGATGGCTCGAGTGTGTACAAAGAAGTGATAAAAAAAGGTAGATGAGTAACTTTATGGAGGGCAAATTGGAAAGAACATTTTGTGGTATGTTGGTGATTTTGTATTTTATTCTGTAAGTACTGGGCAAAGTTTCTAAGAACAGACAATTAGACAAACAATGTAGAATGTATTAATATATGTATTTTCAGGACAAAGATGGGCATTCCTGGCACTAAGACAGACAGGGAAATCAGGACAGGGAGCCCTCCCTATTTTTCTTATACACTGTGCTGACTTATACACTGTGTTTCCCTTTTTGCTTGAGCTAAAATCCCCAATAAACTGCCTTTCTCAAGACCATCTCAAACTCTTGGTCTATTTCTCTTCACTGAGGGCCAAGAACCCATCAGCTAGTAACATTCTGGCAACCCAGATGGAACTGGGGTTCCCAGACCCCTGACTTAATGGACAATTCTCCATAGTAGTAGACAAGAAGCCCCCTGAGCACTTTCTGTGGTGTCTCTGCTACCTAGTGAGTTCTCTGACAGCTCAGAGATTACAAGGGCACCCCTTGAGCAATGCTGTTCACCCCTTCCCTTTCCTCCTTATTTGTAATTGCTGCTCTGATATCTCCTTACTCTACTTTTCCCCTTTTCCTTTCCTTCTCCTGTAGCCCCCTCTGTCCTTCTCCAACAACCCTTTCTCTTTTACTTTCTACTTATTTGGCTGAAATTTAATAGCCATTGGCTCCTGGGTTCTTTCTGTTCTGGTCTGGTCAGTTATGGCTGAAATCTGACAGCCTTTAGCTCTGGAATACTCTCCTATTTGGAGAGCAAGAGTTGTTTGAGGAAAGGAAAAGGGGAAAAGGAGTGAAAGGGGATTCCGTAGCAGCAATTTTAAATGAGGAGGAAAGGGAAGGGGTGAACAGCCAATTTGAAATCTGAGCTCTCAATTAGGTTGTCACAGTAAGGAATTCCTTCATCTGCTGATGACTTTGTTTTGGAAATTGGTTTCTTTTTGTTCTGGTCTGTCCTCCCTTCCTCAACTCCCTCACTCTTTCTATCCTTACCCCCTACTTTCTTGTAAAACTCTCTATCTTCCTCCTTTCTCCTCCTGCTTTGAATCTGCTGTTACCAAGCTACTGGTGTTAAGATAAAACTCACTGTTGCAAAGTTACTTAAAAGATTTTGTTTTTCTTATACAGTTCAGCCAGTTCTGGCTAAAATAGTAGCATTAGAAACTGATTTAAAATTAAGGAAAAAAAAAGAAAGATAAAAGAGGTTTTAAAAATCACAACTGTCATGAAAATGACATTACCCAAATTCCGGTCCCCAAATTTCCTTGAATTACCTATTGGAGCAAATCAAGTGTAGCCATGTGAAAAGGTCCCAGTTTCGTCAGAAATATTTAGAATAAGCTATCTTTCCTAAAATGATTAGTTCGTATTGCTATCTTATGGCTACAATCCCAACATAAAAGCGATTGGATCTCAGTGTGCCTGTATACATGTTTAAATATGTTTATGTGTATATACATATAATATGTATTGTGTCTAGCATGCTACCTATTGGCTCATACATAAACCAGCACTCAAAAATTAAGTCAAAATGCTTTTCAAGTTCACATGAATCTTTAGGATATAAAACTGGTTTTAAAAATCTTTGGTGAGATAAATATTAAAATGTTTTCAGAAATATCAGCATACAGTTGTGTCTCGATAAGTTTAATATTTGCCTCTGCTAAATGTTTAATATGTCAGATTTTGGCACAGACTTTATAAGACTATAAACCCAGCCAAAACAGGGTAATTTTTGTTTGTGTAATCCTTTTAACAAATAAGACTAATTTAAAATTTGTAGTTCAATAAAAACAATTAAATCTGAATTATTGGCAAAATGTATTTAACTTCAAGGATCTTATTTAGATGTTCACCTAATGTTCATACTTAAGCCCATCTCAAACTCTTGGTCTACTTCTATTTATTGAGGGTCAAAAACTAGGTGTTGACAACATATTTGGGGTATACTTAATCAAGGGCAGGTTGTGAGAATATGACCATACCAGCAACTGAAAATATATTTCTGATAAATATTTATAGATATATATACTTCTGATAAATATTTATCCTCAAATCTTGCTAATTCGAGAGATTATCACTTAATTTTTTCACAAATAAAATATTTATCATTATAGTTACACAATGAATTATCACTAAACCTCATTCTTGCAACACAAGAATAAACGTTACAACATGTAAAATACTTCAAGTAAGCCAGAAAAATTGCCCAACATAGAGTGGCAGTAATGCCAAAGCTAGAAGGAACTTAGAGTGTGTCTAGTCTAATCTCCTTAATTTACAAATGGGAGATAGATATGGAGAGTTGTCATATGACTTGTCTAAAGTTCATTCACCTCGTATTTGGTAGTACCAAAGCTTTAAATTTTCTTTTCTGACTCCTGATTCAATGCTTGTTCTGCAACAGTTGACTGACACCATTCAATGAAGGGGGGGTTTCTCTAAGAATGTGGCTCTGGTGAATCCTTGTCCACTAGGATTGCATTGCAGTCCCCTCATTTTGAGGCCACTAAAGCCTAGCTCTCACACAAATTGCCTAGGTGAATCTAACAGCATTTTTACCTCCTGATACAAAAAGATGGTTCTGCAGAATGACATGAAGCTTCTTGGAGGGAAGTGTGCAGGTGTCTCTTCTTAAGACATTGTTCCTGGAGAAGGCAGATTATCCTAACAGAGACTAAGTGTATGCTCTAAACTACTATCTTGATGTCATTGACAGAAACTATACAATAAATGGGTATTGCATGGAAGAATGCCATCACTCTTACTTGGTAATGTCATGTGAGCAGAAAATAGTAAGAATTAGCTCTATTAGAAGTATTCTAAAGCCATTTTCTCCAGAGGTAATTGAAAAAAAATCTAGCTAGCTAGCATATCCAGCCAGATTTGCTTTTGAAAACACTTTCAAAAGAAACTCTCTGAAAAGTAAGTGATTTCCCTGTTTCCTTTATATGTTGTAGAAATGGCACTAAATACTTTAAGTCAGAGTAAAAGAAGGAATCTGCTGATACCTGGAAACACGGAATTAACATAAGTTTTTAAATTCATTGTTATTCTAAGCATCCTCAATATTTATGCCTTAAAAGCAATTATTTCTCCAAAGGTTAATCAGAGTATTAATCTTTATATCTAGGTAAAACTCATTTATGTTATTCACTATTGGTGAGCTATGGATTTTCAGCTGTGTTTCTCAGAGAGGTGGTAAAAGTAGTTCATTCTCCTATTTATGTCATCCTGCCACAATGAGCATGCAGTTGTTCAATTCATACCTTCCATGTGGGGTATGACTCTGAAAACCTCCTCTTTCATACTTATTTGTTTCTCTCAACATCACCTTTCTCACAATCCCATTTCTGATCCCTTGTATCAAGTGGGATCTCCTCTGACTCTGAATATCCACAGCCCTCTCCTTATTATAAACAGTGCCAGGATGGGGAAGAAAGGGACAAACATGTATGTGTTCCTTCATTGCTGCAAGCAGTATGTGACCCAGTTTACAGATGCACCCAACAAAAGATTAATTTTCATTAAATAATTTTAATGCTATCTAATTTAATCCTCACAACAATGATTTGATGATATTATTAAAAACTGTACATACTATGACACTTCGCATTTCTCTGGAAGCCTTTCTGTTTTATTATTGTGACTCCTCTAAGGATGATTTGTGTGTAAGGAGAATTAAGAGGCCCCAGGGCTGTTTTCTGGCACTTGCTTGAATTTCACTTTTTGCCAATGAGTGTGTTGAAGCCAACTCCTATAGACAATATATTCTCTTTATCATGTGAGATAGGATTCCCATTCTATACATGAGGCAACAGGCTCAGATAAATAAATTTGTCCAAATTAACACAGCCAATTGGTAGCAGATTCTGAATACAAATATGGGTTTTCTCTTAGTTGCTGTTACTGCTGCTACTACTACCAGTAGTAGTAGCACTATTATTTTACAACTATGATCTTATGCCACAGTAAATTGTTTAAGTCCAATTTTTAAATCATAATCTTCTTGAAGAGTGGGGCCATGGCCTTTTTATATTTGTCAAATTCAAGTGAATATAATAGAATCAAAGGGAGGTCATATTAACTTCTAACCAAACACTTGCCCTTATTGAAAAATGCTTTTGTCTAACTCTTACCTCCTTTGTGATAAGATACAGACTATCAAAACCAAAACTGAAGTGAAATGAAAAACAATCCATCAGCCAGGTCTCTTGTTATAATTCACTCTTCATTTCTGTAATTTAAAAATGACATTTGCTATGACCATAAAATCTGCTAGATGTTACCAAAAATATAGAAGCATGAGCTGATAGCACATGTTGAGCTCCAACGAGTTGTAACCAATAGGTTATTTTGTTCTTGGCTGGCACAGCCTGGCTTCTGTGTCCAAGATAAGACATGTGACGTCTGTCTTTCCTTCTCCAAAACCATGTTGTAGCAGTGTATCTCATTAAAAAAAATATTACAACACATTTTTCTTTTCTGATATGTGATGTTCTAAAATGTTTCTGTCTTCCAAAGGGTATCAATAAGCATTTGGGGAGAAATACTAACATTTTTTGCGGTCAAATAGACGTAGTTTAGAAAGAAAAAAAGCAAATTACCTACTGTGACACTGGCCATATCTCTGGAAGGCTTTCTATTTTATTATGGGGACTCCTCTAAGGGTGATTTGTGTCTCAGGGGAATAAAGTGGTCCCAGGGCTGTTTTCTGGCACTTGTTCAAATTTTACTCTTTGCCAGTGGGTGTGTTGAAGCAGTCTCCTATAGACAAGTGAGAGACAATTGTTTTGCAACCTAGTTGTTAACATGTTGGTAGCTTGTGGGAGTATTCACACCATAGATATCATGCTACAAATCAGGGACCCCCAATTTTTTGAGAGCCTGTTTAGAGAGCATCACTGCATTTAACTCTGGTAAATTGTATACAAACAACTAGTGTAAAATTATAAAGAGATAGGAATGCACTGGGGCACAATGTCTGGTTGTGCAAGCTGTTGTGTGCCCAAAGAAACCCACCTGGGGATAAGTGAAAACAGAAATGCAATTCACACTCTGGTGCCCAAGCTGTGTGCTGTGGCATGGTACTGTGACCTCCTAGGGGAGGTTATATTTTTCCATTTTGCAAAAATGTGCCTTGTGAGTTATCGATGGTTCTGTTTAAGTCCGATTGTATACATCCCTACACTGATGCTCCCCAGGCCACCATCTGCAGTGTAACAACTGCTGATTACATGAGGTATATAATTCTTTATGCACCCTGTACTTCAAATAACAAGAAATAATAAGATAATAAAATTCTAGTTATTATCTACTCTCTAAGAACATATGTATTTATTTTATACATGAGTACCCTGTTGTTCAGAGAAGTTAGGAAACTTGTTCAAAATCACATAACTAATAAAAGAGCAGCAGTTCAACTCACATCTATCTGACTCTAACATCTCCCCAAATGGCTTGTGTGCTGACCTTCACTTGACATGACTGGAAATTATTTCTTTAGAGTACAAGTTACAGGAAAAGGTTTTAAATCTATAATAAACAAACAAATACTTACAAAATAGACTGCATTTTTTCAAAACAAATATTTCATAATTTTCCTCTTTTAATCATTTCAACTGCATTCTTTACTTATTTATGGAGAACAAAATCCAAGCTCAGAAAAATTAGAGATTAAGAAATCCAAGCTCAGAAAATTAGAGTTCATTAATACTGAAAAGCTATGACATTCAACCAATCAAACACCAATAACAAGCAACACTTGTGCAGAATTTTACAGTTTACAAATGTTAATTGTTCAAGAAAAAATAAAGCAAGAGTGATGCTATGTGATTTCTGAAGCTAGGTCATAAGATGGATATGAATTCTGTTTGGCTGTCTCCCAGGAGGCTTGCCTTTGGAATTCAACCTTTATGTTGTGAGAAGTCCAGGCCACATGGAGAAGCCATGTGTAGCTGTTCCAGACTATAGTCCTAGTAAAGAAATCAGCAGAGAGCCAGCACCAACTGCCAAACATTTGAATGAATGAACCAGCAGATGATTCCAGCCTCTTTGTGTCTTCCCACTGAGGGCTTAGACATTCAGAGTGCAGACATATCATCCCTGCTGTGTCTTATCTGAATGCCTGGCCACAGAAGCATGAGAGATAATAAATGTTTGTTTTAATACACTAAGATTTGGGGAAATACACTAATACACCATGCAGAATAGATAACAAATACAGTAATCTTTAGACAGACCGCAGGAAACACTAGCAGACACACTAAAATCGTGCCTGAAATATAGTGGACACTGAACAAATAATTGTTGAATGAATAAAAGAAGCCCAATATAAAAATAATGTAGGCTTCTATAGTCTGAGTAGAACCACAACTTTTACTGACCAATATCTCTTTTTGTCTTTTCCTTTTAAATAATGGCAACTTTGGGCTGGAGGGAGTGACTCGTGCCTGTAATCCCAGCTCTTTGGGAGGCTGAAGTGGGTGGATAACCTGAGGCCTGGAGTTCGAGACCAGCCTGGACAACATGGAGAAGCCCTGTCTCTACTAAAAATACAAAAATTGGCCAGGCATGGTGGTACATGCCTGTAATCCCAGCTACTCAGGAGGCTGAGGCAGGAGAATTGCTTGAACCCAGGAGGCAGAGGTTGCAGTGAGCCAATTTTGTGTCATTGTACTCCAACCTGGGCAACAAGAGAGAAAATCTGTCTCAAGAAAAATAAATAAATAAATAATGATGGCAACTTCCTCTCCAAAACCATTAAGAAAACAATCCCAGAATGAGAAAGCCCTGCAAATAACTCAGAGTAAAGTACTGAAAAATCTCCACGGATTAGAGTGCAAATGCATACGCCTATTTTGTTTTGCTTGTTTTATTCCACATGAGAGCCTATTCAAATAATATTTTCTAACCCTTCAGTGAAGAGAACTTAAAAGTGAATTAACTCATTTGTAATCTTGGGAGAATATGAACATTGTCATGTTAAATAGAGACATACGAGAATCAGAGGATAGATGAGAGTATGTGCTGAAGTTAAACAAGTTTCACATTCTGATTCTATCCCTTTTTAGCCAGGTGGCAGTATTAGTGGCAGTTAACATTAAAAAATATATTTTATCATGTTTCAGGTACAATTTTATGTGTATTACATGTATTCACTACTTTAGTTCTCACAGAAATTGTATAAACCATTATTAGCCCTATATTATAAATGAGGAATCCGAGGCACAGAGAGGTCAAGAAACTCCAAAGTCACACAGCTAGTAAATGCAAAGATAAGACAAGAGCTCATGCTCTTAGCCTCTCTAAACCTCTATGTACTTAATAAAAGAGGTTAATAGATGCACACTGTTAACAGTGCATTGTTCATTATTACAAATTTCTTAGGAGGCAGCATGTCACAGTGGCTCAATTTGTTTAATATAAAAAAGCTTAATAGCAATGCCTGTTAGAGTCTTATATAAATGAGATGATACTTATAATGTGTTTACAGTAGTGTTTGAAACACAGTACACAATAAACAATTATTTTTCTATCCACATTGCTCAAATATAGTTTTAAAAAATAAAATCATACTATACATTTTCTTTGTAGCCTTCTTTTATGCCCTATGATAATCCATGTTAATTAAAATGTATCCATCAATTTCATCGGCAGCATATAATTCTAATGCATGATTATACTATAATTAAACCAATCCCTATTTGTAGGGATGCAGGTTGTTTACATTTTTTCTAGTGTAAATAATACTACATATGAACATCCTTATGCATAAATCTCTTCATAGTTTACCTTTGGATAAATCCCTGAGAGTAGAACTTCTGGATGAGAAGATAATAATCTAATTTTGATAACAGAAGGAAACCCTGTAGAGTAAATGATCTACTCAAAATCTTACAGAACCAGAGTTAATGCCGGGACTAGAAAGAATGGTCTTTAAAACACAGTTATATAACTATGTATATTTTTTTCAACACAAAGTGTCAAAAGAGATTAAGGCCTGTCAGCTAGTAAAAATCTAGGCTTAAGCTGAACCCAGATTTCCTGAATCCCAAAACTAGAATCTTTGACGTATAAAAGATGATTTGTGTAAGGCATCTTCTTTGCATAACAATAAAATCAGAATAACTGGCTTAGGTGCTTTGCCACATAAATGAAGAGTTTTAATAGGCATAGGTGTTACATTATTTGTGACCTGGTAAAATACTACTCCTTTAGTCCATTATAATTCTAAGAAATAAGAACCATGGTACATAAAATGACAATCTTGCTGGAAAATCTTCACTGTACTGTTTGCTCATAACAGAGGAAAAGTGACTTCTTTAATAATGATGACATATATTTCTAAGCCTCATACATCATTTAAACACCCATTACTCTTTGCCCTTCATCAATATTTTAGGAACACTATAAAACTTGGATTGTTCTTGGAAATAATTCTTTCATTTTTGCAGTAATTTGTTTCACTACCAGTAAAATTAGATAAATACCCTTAACTGGTACAAACTATTTCTCTTAGGTTTGAGTCAAGAGAAGCCAAAATGAGTCCTCAGATGGTGACGTGAAGGCTCTGTCTAATATACCTTTTCTGAGTTGGATTTCTTCTTTCCTTTATTCCATCTTACTCTTGTTCAGATATAATTCAATAAAATCATATTATTTCTAATCAATTAATTTTCTTATTCCTCTAATATATATTCTGAGGGCCTACCAAGGCCTAAAAATAAAACTTTAAGACAATATGTTTCCTTCCTGCAAGAAATTCTTAATCCAACAGATGATTTGTCCTTAAATTATTTTTGAAATATAATCCCTTACAAATTTAAACTAGGCTTAAGTAGATAGCCATATATTATAATGGAAAAGTAGAACACATGCAAAAGGAACAGTAGGAACATATGTTAACCAAAGACAGGCATTAGAAAAAAATATATTTTTAATTGATGCCATGAAAAATTTAAAATTTACAATTATTTGGAGCTTCAGTATAATAGGTAGGAAGACTTAGTTTAAAGGAAACTACATTATGACCATTCAACCTACTAAAAAATATAATAAACTGAAATGTTGTTCCATAATTGCCATAAAGAGAAGCAATTATTTATCTCAGGGAGAAGCAAGATATTGGCACTTAAGGGACAAAAATAGCAAACATTAGTTTGCTGTTAAAATGTATCCTCCTTTTCTCATTCCTTTACTAGTATCTTAGAACTTTATTTCCCTTGTTTCTTAAATATGTATATTTCATAAAAACTCAGACTCTTAAGAAATGTTTTGCTTACATTCTTCTCGTCATATTATTTCATGGTCATGCTGTGCAGAATGACAGTGATTTTAAATAGGCCTTCATTACACTCCTTAGCAACCTGAAAACAATATGGAAATCTATTATTTTAATTTCTTTTAATCTTGAGAACCCCAAAATCTTTAAGTTGTTTCCTTTACCCATGAGTCGTTAGCCATCATTATACTGTTTTGCCTTATCTAAAAAGGCAAACGAGTGAGTGACTTTCTGAGGCTCATGAGAGGTGTCAGTATGTATGGAGCTGCAGTAATCCCCCACGTTTTAGGGATAAGACTGTTTAATCCTTGAGAGTTGCATCAGCGAAACAGGCAGTGAATGAGATTAGCCATCTTTATGTAGAAGAAAATATACTTCCCAAATCAGATAAGAAGAGCTGGCCCTGTAGATAATTCCTTCACAGAATATGGAATCTAGTTTCAGAAAGATATAACTAAAACATAAGTTTTACAAAAAAAGAAAAAAAGAAAGAAAAAAATGGTATACACTGTGCTAATCCCATTATTGGTATGAAGAAATGCCTGGGTTTTGGAGTCAGAATTTCTGGGCTCAAAATCCAGCTCTTCTTCTTACTGTGAGACTGAAATATTTATCTAGTCTCTTTGGCCCATCAGTATTCGTTTTTTGTTTGTTTGTTTGCTTGTTTGGTTTTTGTTTCTTGGGGGTTTTCTTTTTTTTTTTTTTTTTGAGATGGGGTCTCACTCTGCTGCTCAGGCTGGAGTGCAATCGCATGATCTCACCTCCCGGGTTCAAGCGATTCTCCTGTCTCAGCCTCCTGAGTAGCTGGGACTACAGGCATACGCCACTATGCCTGGTTGATTTTTGTATTTTTAGTAGAGACGGGATTTCACGATGTTGGCCAGGCTGATCTGGAACTCCTTACCTCAGGTGGTCTGCCCACCTCGGCCTCCCAAAGTGCTGGGATTACAGGTGTGAGCCACTGTGCCTGGCCCAGTAATCTCATTTATAAATAAGGATAATAATAACTCCCTCTAGAATTGAGACTCAAAAGAGATAATATAGGAAAATACATAGAACAAGGCCTAGGATACTGTTAGCGCTCAATGAACAGTACCTGCTATTATTAATATTTTGTCTATCATATGGATGTTTACTATTCCTGTGGTTTCTAGTTGTCTTTTTTTATTTGGTATTTTATTCCTTAACAGATTATTTTCAAACACCATATCATGTTTATCTTGCCCTATTTTTTGCTTTATCCCTGATTATCTTTCAACTCTGCATCATTAGATCTCTTCTGCTGAGTCTTCTTTTACCCAGAGGCCTCTTGCCCAGAGTTCTATCAGAGGCCATCTGAGGTAAATGTTGCTATTTCCTCTCTTGTCTTGCTTGGCCTTATCACCTGTAAAATGAGAAAATAGTAGTACTTATCTCACAGAACACTGAAGAGAATTATATGAGGTAATTCATGTGAAGGGCCATACGTAGTATCACACATATAATTACCCAGTGGATGGTAGTCAACATCATTTTTACCCACAATGTCTTCAGAAGTGGCTTCTACTAAAAAGCCTTCTCTCATTTTTCTCCAAACTATCCCTAAACCTCAGTCCACCCTTCCAACTCTGGCTTTGTTTCTAGCTCTGTGCCCTCTGCTCCCAAAACACCCAATAAGTCAAATATAGCATTTTCTGCATTCTATCAAAATTGCTTATGTTTCTCTTTCCCCCATGAAACTGCAACAACTTTGAGAGCCAGTAAAATGTCGTACTGCAACTTCCTTGCCTCAGTGTGTAGTAACATGAATGCTCCACCCAAATGCATTGAATTGTTTTTACAAAACTCAGGATCAGACAGGGACTTCAACAAACTCATCTAGGTCTGTCCTCAAAGTTTTATGTGCATATTCAGCAGTCCCTTTCTCCGATATCTTTACTTCAGCAAACTTTTCTATTACATTGCATTAAATTATCTATTTTTCTTTACCTTTATTTATAAAAGATATCTATTTCCAGCATACTTCTAATATTTTCTCTTTAAGCTGAGCAACAAAATATAGATAAATACATTTCTGCAGGTAATGCAAGCTATCTATTCTCCTGAAAAGAGAATTGCAACAAAACAAAACAAAACAAGAATCTTCTTTTTAAAAAGCTAAATAAGCAAAAAAGAATAAATGCATAGGTAACCCAGATAAGAATTCTTTAAAGCAGCTGCTTGCCAAGCAAACATTGGTTCTTTATTTCTATAATATAGCCTCATGGAAGTAATCTTTCACCAAGAATGTCTTGGTATTCTCATAACTTGTTAGTGTCAAAGGATCCAGGCAAAACAACTAGTTAGAAATCCATGATCAAAAATGTTGCAGGTGCAGGACTTAAAAAGGGCCTATAGTATGAGAACATTTTTGAAAACATTGATTATGTCAGTTAATAATAATAAAACCTTGAGCAAGCTCCTTAACTTTGTATTGCCTCATCTGTAAAAGGGTGGTAACACGATCTCCCACAGAACTGTTGAGAGGTTACACAAGATCATTAATGAGAAAGTACTTTGTAAATGTTGAAGAATAAATCTAATATAATGCCTAAGCATGGTAAAACCCTGAATTTTGGTAGTTCCAAACAACAGCACACTGCTTCATATTATTTGGGCCCATGTCTTTCTATTTTTCCCCAAAGATGAAGTCCTTTGAGAGCCCAAATATTATCTTATTCCTAGTTTGCTTCCCAAAGTTTATGACTTAGTAAGTGAAAATAATAGGTGTTTTAAGACTGCTGAATGTCTGAATAAATGAAGATGAATGGAATGAATGAACAATGGGTAACAAAAAATTAAATGAGTAAATTCCTTCTCTGATTTGGGGAAAATATTTGCCAAAATATTTTAGTGGAGGAGAAAAATGTTGACTATGGTTGTCAAATAGAGAACTGTTCAAACATTAGGCCAGAGAATATATAATAAACTTATAGAGACAAAAGCATTCAATGTAAAACTCACTCAATTCTTTGGACTCATATAACCTGGAAACAAATGGTCATTATTCATTAAGGAATACATAAAGAACGACATCTGCATGTGATGATTAAATTACAATTAAACTGCCTGGGCACGGTGGCTCACACCTGTAATCCCAGCACTTTGGGAGGCCGAGGCGGGCTCATCACCTGAGGTCAGGAGTTCAAGACCAGCCTGGCCAACCTAGTGAAACCCCGTCTCTACAAAAATACAAAAATTAGGCAGGCATGATGGCGGGTGCCTGTAATCCCAGCTACTTGGGAGGCTAAGGCAGAAGAATCCCTTGAGCCCGGGAGATGGGGTTGCAGTGAGCCTGGATCATGCCATTGCACTCCAGCCTGTGCAACAGAGCCAGACTCCGCCTCAAAAAAAAAAAAAAAAAAAATTAAACCCTGCTTACATTAGTCTCTGTAAGCAGAAAGAAACTTAATGCTGGACAAATGAGGAAGCTGAAACTACTTTTTGCACTGTCGTTCTGATACAATTAATAGCATAAAAAACCACACATTAAGTAAGAAGAGGACCTGAGCTCCTCCAAACACTCTTAATTGAAATAAGGTATCGTTACGAGTTTATCCAAAAACCTTTTTAAATCTGTAGGAAGAGGGTGGATGGAGGGGAGGAAAAGCAGTTAGGTACTTTTGAATTGCAAAATGAAGAAAATAATATTACCTTCAGAATTATGTAAATCATCTGAAAGAGGTAGAAGGGTTTCCAGGTCAACAAGACCTGAATGCCGCCTAATTGAGTTCATTAATGGATCTAAGGAAAGAATATACCTATGCAATGGAGAGTTCGTTGGCCAGTGAGGCAACCAACTCTTGCCAGAGGCAAGGAGTCTCTGAGACAGTGTCTGGCAGTGCATGTCATAGCTCTATTCCCTCTATTCTATTGGCCTTACCAATAGATCTTTATGAGAGTATAGGCATCTGGCAATTACATTCTTTATGTTGCTAGAGGGACAGCAGGAGTCAGACCATGAGGTCATTAGACTTCAGACCAAGTATGGTCACCAGGTATATTCACCAATATCCACTTCCTCTCTACTGTGGGGTACAAGAGATGGTTGCACCTCACCTCCTTAAACTTAGGTATAGCAATTTAGGTATAGCAAGTAAATAGATATTTACTTTAGCCAATGAATGTGAGTTTAAGCAACATATGTCACTTCTTGGTGGATGATTGTAAAAGCTAGTGTAAGATCCTTCATTATTCCTTTCCCCTTGCTGAAACAATTTCATGAAGTACACCCTCTATCATCTTGAGCTCCTAAGTGAAGATGTCTTAGAGCCAGATACTCACCACTCACTGTGGACACAACGTTTGAGAGATAAATCCATCTTAGAATTTAAGGATACTGAGATTTTGTGGTTATCTGAACTGGATTAAGCTAGCCTACTCAGACACAGGTAAGCTGAGGGTTATCATTTGGCTCCCTTTATAATTTCTGTACTAAGGGATAATGAACTGGTTAGAGTATATGGACATTTAGTCAGCTTAGAAACTTTTTTGCATTAAAATTAATAAACTCTAGTAAGTATCTATTCATCTCCAGCAGTATCTTGTAAGCTTTACTATTATGAAGCAATATCCCCAATTTCGACTGGCTCTGGGATGTTGGCAAATTAAGAGTTTTTGAACTTGCAAAATAAAAAGCTTGATCCTGGAGCTTGATAAGTTCAAAAAGGAAACTCTCCCATTTGAATAATCTTTCAAGTCACGTGGCTCTTTCTGACCACATCTAACCCATGTCCACATCTGTTTATTAGAAGAGTTAACAGTAGTCACTGATGTTTTAAATTTGAATAACCTACTGGGGTCTTAATATTCTATGCATTTTAAATGGCAAACTGAGTCTCTAACACTTTATTGTACATCTACTATACACCAGACCACAAATGCTTTTATACAAATACAACTTCATAATTTTCATAAAAGCCATGTAAGGTAAATTTAATCCATCCTCAATTTAGAGATGATACACCTGTGGCTTGCTTAAGTAATTGATTGCACAGCTAACATGGAGCCAGAATTTCAATTCAGGTATTCTAGGTCCAGAGGTCTTTACACAGTAAAGAATTTAATTGGATGTTCCTAAATCAGCTAAAAGAGCCTCCTGTATGCAATGATTTGGTAAAAATGTCCCTATTTACCCCTTCTCTATGGTACTTAGTTTGATATACTTTGAATATATAATATTTCTATTTTTGATTTTATTCATTAGCAATAACAAACAATACCCAATAATGAGACTAAATAACATAATTCCTACAGAGCCAAAGTGAGTCATGTGTAACAATTTATAAGAAACCCCCAAATAACTCTAAAGGATGATAATTGAATAAGCATTTGACACAAATTTACTGAACTCATTCCAAAATGGTTTTCCCTGACTCTGTGGTCATTGAACTAATCAATATAATCTTGCTTAAATAAGTAGTCAATATGTATGGCTCTCAGAAGACAGGTCTATAATATTTCTGCTTTAAGACAGATATGGCACTACAGAAGAGACAGGATCAAAGCAATTGTGAATATAGATTCCACATCATTTGCCTGTGTTTTTCGGTGCCATCTGGTTCCTCCAAACTTGATAAAGGTTTTGTGAGAAGTAAATACATCAACAGCAGAAACAGCAGACCATATGAAGGTCCTACTGTAGTGTAGGCATATAATTGGGTACTCATTAAATGTTAATTCTCTTCCTGTTTCTTTTATTATTTTGTGTTAATCTGGTTAGGTTAGGTTTGTTGTAAGAATGCAGTAAACCTGAAATCTCAGTAGCTTAATAATACAAAGGCTAGTTCTCACTCATTGCAGGTTAGGGCACTCTGATCTATATAGTCATTCAAGGATCTAGACTAACACACCACATTTTGTAGCTATACCATCTAAAACATGAGGTCTCCTTGATCCCGGTGTCAGGAAAGAGAATGGTAGAGGGAAGGCAACCTGACATTTCTGTGCTTCGATCTGGGAGAGACACATATGCCTTTTTCCACAATCTATTGGTCAGAACTAATTATATACCCCTGTCACCTATAAGGGGACCTAGTAATGTGGAGTGGCAGATGGGGATAGCCTCATTGTCTTTGTCATGCCTTCCCTATCTCTATAAATGAGGTAGATCTCAATAAAGGGTTGAGTGACAAAAGTATTATCTGTGAGTAGGCCCTCTAAGAGACCTTTAGCAAGGCTCAAGCACCTTAAATTTTTGAAGATTATGATCCATAAGTTCATCTGTCCCAAACAGATTTAACACAGAGTGGGTTAGGTTTTGGTTAGACTTGGTTGGAATAAATCATCATTTTTCTCCTCTGATTAAATTATCCAAAGTTGGAGCCCTCTTTGAGCTGACCACCTAGGCCAAATGAAGTTACTGATTCTGCTTTTTCTTTAGGTTCTTCCTAGTAGTACAAGTTTAAGTCCCAAAGTTGCAGGGTGATGTGAACCACATATTAATTATTTACATGTTTATGCGAGTGACAAGATGATTTCCTTCTATTGGAAATAGGTGTGAAAATCTGCCTCAAATGACACTTTTTACTCTCAGAAACAGAAAAGAAGGTGAAAAGTCTTTCGAGCAAATGCAGGAAAAAGTCCTATGAATGTTCTTGGAGTAATGTATGTATCAGCCACTAATAAATTTCCTCATCATTGGCTTAAAAAATCAGCTACCCCAAGACAAGGGAGTGAAATATCTTTCTAATTATACATGCATTCAATAGCTCAATAGTTATTTGATACTCCTGTATCAAACATTGAACATATAAAGATATTCAAGACCCTGGCTCTGAGTATGTTGCTAGCAAAAAAATGTGCCTCTTGATAAATTGAAGATATAATGCATGTATAAGACATTCTAGAAGGAGGATATAGATTCTTCTTACTCTGACCTGAGAAGGCCAACAAAAATAATGGTAAGACATCTACTACCCAAAATTGGAAGTGAGTGTAATAGGAAAACTTACATAGAAACTTTGTTTTCAGGAGAAATGTCTAGCGGTCATAGTTAACTTATTTTACCTAGTTGCTTAGGCAACCAAAAACCAAAAGAAAAACTATGGGAAAAGGTACAGAATGATTAATCAACAATTATTAGTCTTTTTTTCAGAGTCTGTGTTTATCTGAAAGTTATAATTTGTTTACTTGGTTCTAAATATATGAGTACCGATGACAAACTCATCTTGTAATTCAAGATAAACCATAAACTCAGTGTTTATAAAATTATCATTAATGTAAAAATACTTAACACAGTGCCTAGCTTAAATAAAATGCTTGATAAAATTTAGCCACTATAAATATTGTTTCATAAGAATTAATATTTATTGGCATAAAAATCTCAAAAAGAATAGAGTAACAGAAAAATCTCTCTGGGTATATAGCTGATGGTCATCAAGGGGAAAGAGTCAGATGTATTTTTGTTGCCAAAGTTCTAAAATAATATAAAGTTTACTCACTTCAGAATGTCCTAATAACTTAGGTATTTTATGAAAACTTTTTAATTCAATCCTTTCTAAATAAAGGTATTGTGAAAGATACTGTAAGTTCTGTAAGATACAGTAACATACTACTCCAGCCTTTAGGATGCTCAAAAGCTAGTAAGAATGTTAAGAGAAATACAGAGATAACTATACTGAGGTTCAGCCAGAAGATAATTAAGAAAAACCATGGGGATTGTGTAAAGGACACAGCTGGGAAAAATGAGGAAGGCTTCACCAAGGAAGTACCACTAAAATGGCATTGAAAAACAGGAGGATTTCAACAGGTGAAGAAAAAGGTGAAGAACCAGTTGGGGCGAAAGTGGGAGTACATTCCATGTGAACAAATACGGAAGGAAAAAGCACCTAATGTATTTCAGGAAGATAATCCCATTTTATTGGAGACAAAGTATTCATGGATCAGAGGTAGAATTGGATCAAATTAGAGATGAATTTGAATGACAGAGTAAAAAATAATTGTAAAGCTCAAGACATACTATCTTTAATCTTTGTGTTCTCTTTCTCTCACTTTACTGAAAGAAACTTCCAGCATTGCCCCTCAGAATCCTGCTTTAGGTGTTGATAACAACCAAAGGAAACTCAAATTGGGAGAAAGAGGCAGTTTAGTTTTTAGAATTAGAAAACAACCTGTTGAAAGTCAAAGAGAAGATCAGAGAAAAAAGAGTTGTATCATACCAATAGACGTGGAAAGACAATAGAGAAACAGGAGGCCCCAAGTGCCCAGTGACTTCACTGGAAAGGAATCCTGGGAGGTGGTAGGAGAATAAAGTTCGGGTAAGGATGGTAAGATGACCTCCAGATCTTGTTGGAATTGGGGAAGGCCTTAGTTGATGGCCATGGTCAAAGTCATCTTGCTGCATGGGAGCTTTGCCAACTGAGCCAAGTTAGCCTCTTTGCTGTTGGGTATAGGTTTTCCAAGCTGTGACTCATCCAACAGAAGGATCCCCTTCCTTAGCCCTGAGATTTGTATGTATTCCTATTTAAACTGCTCTCTTATGTGTGACCAGCACCCTGCATTTTCCATAGTTAAGGACACTTGCAAGACAGCTTACTCTGCTTCCCCATCACCACCTCACTGCTTCTGAGCCAGAAAATGGGCTAGAATCCAAAGGAGTGGTGGCTATGTAAAAGATGCCTTTCACACCAAGTAAGCTTAAAGGGACTAGATTCCTATACGAGGTGAAGAAAGATGACTGCAGATTTTCAAAAGACCTGGTAAAACTAATAAATACTGTAGTTTATCTGTAACTTTTAAAGGTCTGTGACTGTACACCTAAATAAATGTTAAATATTTGTAGAATTGATCCAATAAACTAAATGTCACCTGGGGCATAAAGATGTGCTGCCTCTCTTCAAGAGTATTCAGGTAAGGTATATTCACTGGAATATTCAAAGATGAGATCTAACTCACCACAACTGCTCAAGTGTTCATAATAGTATCAGTGCTTAAGGCTCAGAAATACTGAATAATTTCACATAATATTGTAAACCTAATAGATAATAGAGAGGACTCAAATTAGTTGTTCTGTCTCTCTTTTTTTTCTTTCTATAATACAGATTCATCCCCTGCATGGCTTTATGTTTGGGACTTAAGGGATAAAGTCACTTCAAAGTTTATGATAGTATAAAACAAACGGCACTGCAGTATTTTTCCTTTTATTAGGTATTATCTGTCTTTAGTCTCAGCACTGATTATTTATGTTCCGAAGGATAATGGTGGTTCATCTTTCTTCTACATTTTAGTATAGGCAACTTTATTTGTACACTAACTGCTTTTTGACCATTATCACTTATTTTTCTTCCTAAACCATCTACTATTCCTATTTAAAAATGTGTTTCTGAAATATATCCCACTAAACACTCCATTCCCTGCTTCCAGTGAAAGGAACACACAGTCCCTTAGGACTCAAAAATATCCTATAGCTCTCCATAGTCTACAAAGTAAAGGTTATACCCTTCCCATTGATATACCATGTTCTCCTCAACCTGTCCCCATTTTATTATACAAACCTAGCTCCTAATAATTTATGTCAGTTGGCCTTCATTTCAACCAAAGCAAAACGCTGGCTCCAGGATCTCACATTATATGCCTTTATGATGCTTGTATTCGTATTATTCCTTCTTTCTAGATTGATTTACATGGACTTTTCCATGCATCCAAATGCAACATGACCTTTAATGTTCACCTCAAAATTTAATTCCTCCATGAAACCCTTCCTAATCATCCATATTCAAAGTATCTTTTCTATGTAAAATTTCATATATTCTATCATGTCTTGGAATTATTTTTGCCGGAGGACTATAAGAAAGAAGATGATATGGTAGAGGAGAAATAGGGAAGAAAAAGGAGAAAAAAGAGGCAGAAAAAGTTAAAAAGAGAGGAAGAGGAGGAAGAGGAAGTACCAAAAGAAAAATAGAAAAAAAGAAGATATTTTCAGAAGTGTTTGAATGAATGCTATTAAGAATGATTATTTAAAAGGTAATCATTAACAAATATCGAGAAATCAGGACATTCAGTGGTTAGCAAGAACACAAGCTCATTCCCAGCTCTATGATTTAACAGATCTTTGATGCTGGGAAAGGAAAGTTCCTTAGCCCTCAGCTTTCTCATCTGTAAAATGGAAATAATAGCAGCTATCTTACAGCACTGTTGTGAGGATTAAGTAAGATTGTATTACTAAAGTGCCTAAGACATCTGGTTAATAGTTTCAAGTTCCACAAATGGAAATGCTTTAATACAGTTGGAGGTATGCTTTTACAAGTTCCTTTAAACCAGAAAGGTTTTAGCTTGGATTCAGTAGAAAAGATGAAATTCCCAGCTTCTAAATTCCATTATTGTAAAAGTACCAAGGTCTGGACAGCTGGCAGGGCTGATTGAACAATATCCTTATGTGAAAAGCTCAGGAAAACTGAGCCCTGGTTTAATAACTTACTGGCCTCTGTTTAATCATAGGTCTTGATGACTCTCAGCGGAGATTTAATTTTTGGTCCCTGGAAATAGGCTATTGATGTCTTGACAGAAACAAGCAGAATAACAACTAGCTGTTGGTCAACAGGAATACACACACACACATATATGAGCAAAAAAAAAAAAAAAAAACCCGACAGATTTAATAATTAGATCTAAATGTGTTTTGGTAAAAGCAATGAGAATTGCCTGAGAAGGATAAGAAACATATGAACCTATGAGTACATCAAAACCCAATGGAACCAAATGGTGCCCAGTTTTCTTGTTTTGACATCCTCTATTTTCTAGAGTTCTGGAGAGTAGGAATAATGACAACTAAAAAATCCCATTCTAACAGATCTGAATGGTTGCGTGTGTGTGTGTGTGTGTGTGTGCATATGTGTGTTACCATATTTAATTCTCACTAGCTCTCCAGTGCATTATCTTCATATGGGATATTGTGAAATTGAGGATAAAGAGGTTAAGACATTTACCTAGGTCATCTCAGAGTTAGTGGTAGAGCTAGAGTATGAAATCAAGAAGGATGCCAGAACCACTCCCCAACATAAAATCTAAATAATAGGAAGAGGTAGAATGTCAGAGCACATTGCCAAAGTCAGGGGAAATCGGAAGCCAGGTATGGTGATATGGTTTGGCTGTGTCCCCACCCAAATTTCATCTTGAATTCCCACGTATTGTGGGACGGACCTGGTGGGAGATAAGTGAATCAGGGGCAGGTCTTTCTCGTGCTGTTCTCTTGACAGTGAGTAAGTCTCATAAGATCTGATGGTTATTATAAGGGGGAGTTTTCCTGCACAAACTCTATTTGCCTGCCGCCATCCACGTAAGATGTGACTTGCTCCTCCTTGCCTTCTGCCATGATTGTGGGGCCTCGCCAGCCAGGTAGAACTGTAAGTCAAATTAAACCTCTTCCTTCTGTAAATTGCCCAGTCTTGGGTATGTCTTTATCAGCAACGTGCAAACAGACTAATACATACAGTTACCAAGATGGACGCATTTTCTAGGACAGAGAAGGAAGATAATTGTATGACCACATCCTTGTTTGTTCTAACTGGGTTTCTAATATGGTGAACACAGCTGCCATTAAGAAACCAATTTTAAGAAGTATTCTATAGACCATTTTAGATGGTCAAAGCAAGTGGCAGTTCTGCTCATAGCTGATAGTGCCTACCTCAAAGTTCTAAACACATTTCCAACTTCCACTTGCAGTCAAGTTCCATGGTTTTTAAAAATTACAGAAATCTTTTTTCTTGCTACATTCCTCTCTAAAATGCTCACACTGTGAATGTTAAACATGTGTTTTACCTAATACACTTTCCCTGGTGGTGTGGCCCGGTCATTGATTAAGCTCCTTTCCCAAGATCCACATTCACATTTCAATCTTTTGACTTTATCTCCTATAAAAGGAAAGTGTGTTACTTTCCCATTGCATTGTAGAGATTGTTGCTAAAAATAACAAGGATTGTTACATTCTAGAGGCTTTTAAAAAGACATTTTAAGTAAACATGAGGTAAAAAATTATGACCGAACAGAATTTATAAAATAGAGTGTTGATTTAATTTTATACATGAGAGATATAAATTTAAGACTTTTCAGGCTGAAATATGTTACACTTAAGAAGAGAGGCACCAACTGTTCTAGTATGAATAAAAGGGTTTTTAAAATTATTTTACCCCATAGAATCTATGTTCTGAAGAATTTTTCTGCCAAGCTAACTGCATATAATCAGTGATGATTTGATTTGTTTAACTACATTCAAGTATATGTGGAATAATCAAGACAAGCTTCTAATCAGTCCAAGCAAATCATTGTCAGTAGAGTGGGTGATATAACTCCAGCTTTCTTTCTTTAGAATGCACAGGCTTTTGTAGAGCCAATGTTCTACTGGATTAGGCTTTCTGATATATTTAAAGTAGCACAATTAAGGACTGAGGCTTTGTAGCAGGTAAATTAGAGTTTGAATACTGATTCTATCATCTAATGTCTGTGAGACCTTACACAATATATTTAGCTTCTCTAAACCTCAGGTTCCTCAGCTGTATAATAAAGAAAATAATCACATATAACTCACAGAAGTAATGTGAAGAGTAGAATAATGAATGTAAAATGCGTAGTGCAACACCTAGCATATTTAGTAAGTGTTAGTTGCTGTTTTTGTCATCCTCATCATCATCCTAACCACAATCACCATCATTATTATTATGTCATCTTTATGATTACTGGATTCAAGAAGTGTAGCAGGCTTGGAAACTTTAGGTTGAGAAGTACTGTTTTAAATGGAGTGTCTTGTGATTTTGCACTTAAGTTCCAATAGACAGTTTTAACCATCAGACCAAAGGAATTATATATAATTCCCAGGGGATACCAACTTTTTAAAGGCATGCTTATATAATAATATCATATTTCTAATGGTCAGGTTCCTGATGTTTTGATAAAAGGAACAGTTTTTCTATGATCTTAAAATGAAATGGCCATTGGGTATGGGAAAGAAGAGTGTAGAATAATGGTGGACAATATGAGATAAGATGGGATGACAAGACATGATTTACAGTCACGTTTCCTTTTCTACCTGAAGTGTCCATCAGCTTGGGGACATGGTGTATGTCCATCAGCTTGGGGACATGGTGTGATGGTGGATTTATCAGGTCAGATTCAAATATCATCCAGCTGATTACTACTGACTCATTGGGTAGTTTTACTTTTGGCAGAGGCTCAGATTCTTGATAAATTTTACCACCTGCTTGAAAATAATTTGCCATCACCAAGCAGTGAAATTAGTTTTGCTAAGCAGAACAAAGACAATGATCAGTCTCTGCTTATCTAAATATAAGTAGTGGTGGGTTTTGTAATTGGTGTGTTTGGCAACTCTCCTCCTAGTCACCCATAAACTCTCTCCACCCATTCCACCCCCTTCCCATCCTCTCCAACCAGCCCCTGCCTGAATCATAATAATAGCTCCTATTTTGGGAGCATTTTTATGCATCACACATTGCTCAGGTCCTTGGATACTGTAGTAGTCAGAAAAATGACCCCTCAAGGTGTTCATCTCTACATAAACAGTGAGCAGGCACTGGAGTCACTCAAACTTGATTCAAATCCCAACTCCACCACTCACATAGCTCTGAGATGGCCTGGTGAGCAAGATTACACAGGCTCATTTAGGATGTGATGGGGCTTTCAACTGTAAAATGAGGATAATAATCTCTACTTTTATAGGTCCCTGATAATGTATACAAAGTGCTTAGAACAATGGCTGGCATATAATAGGCACTCAAAAAAAGGATGTTAAAAAAACTAGTGATACTTCACATCTCTTCAATAATTTTATCAGGAACATGCCATCTGAAAGGTTCATTTTTGCTGAGGTAAGTATCTTGGCCCCAGGTAGAATTAATGAGGAATTTTTAAGAGCTTTGTCATAGTGTAACATAGATAGATCCATGAATGGATTCAGTTGATGTAAGTGAGGTGGTTTAAAAGCAGACAGGGTAGGCAGTAGGGACAAGTGTCATGGCACATAAAAGACAGAGAAGACTTATATGCTCAAAATTATCTGCCTCTTATATGTTTCAATACCCATCATTAAAGACTGACAACTTATCTGTATATTCTCCCTTCAATCTCTTTGCAGGATCCCTTTACAAAAGGCAAACATTTCTTGTGTGTGGTCAAGAAAAAGCAAAGATAATACATGTGCTTCTTAGCTCTTAATCGGAAAGAATATGCTGCCCATGCCTTTGGCTTGAACCACTGTGCACCTGCTGACTGGGGGAAGAGAAAGAAAGGAGGTGAAAAGTGCTCTCAACATGAGGGTGAAAACAAATACTACTTTTGTCTAGGACATACTTTTTACCTGAAAGTAGAATGTTAAAATCTAAGACTTTCTTCCCCTGAGAGTAGCTGCTTAGAGACTGGCCAGAGACCCAGGGCCTTGGGCCACTCCCAGCAGAGAGGAGCATGTTCATGAAAACTGACCCAGGCAGATGGAGAAGATAGAGTCAGGACTATGTCAGGTAGTGGGCTGTAGCCTGGGCTGGTGATCTGTGTGAGCAAAATTCCAAGGGGTCCGGAAGTAGTAATGACTGATAGATAAACATGGTTTCAGGAAAGAGGACCAGAGGAAAGCATTTATTATAGCCAGGGGTGAGCTTCAGCTGTACTAGGCAGTGAGTAGCAGACCCTAAAGCATGACTAGAAGAAGCAAGAGCTATGCAAAGCCACAGGATCTAAGTGTTGGATGAGGTGTACAGAGGAATCCCTGAAAATACCTGGGAGCCAAGTTGACTTGCTGCAACATCTTCCAAAAGGAGCCTCCCTGCCCCAATTTTACCAATTTTCAGTTTCTCGTTTTAAAACCCATCAGTGACTTTGCATTGTCCCAAGAATCATTCTCAAATTATTTAGCTTTTCACATTTTTCTCTTATCACTTTCCTGTGCTTCAAACACCATGGGAAATGACATAGAGACAGAAGCATACACACATGCTCACACCTACACACAAGCTCACCCACATACACACACCCATTTAAACATAAACCAGTTGTGTCGCTCATTTGCTCAAAATTTCTAACATTTTTCATTTGAATTACCATCGTACTTATATAATCTGTCCCTAAAACCATCTGTGACCTCATTTCCTACTACTTGCTCTCATCTTGGTCATTCTTGCTATTTCTCTGACACAGGAACTACTACTGCCTCAAAGTCCTTGTGCTTTGGGGTTCCTGTGCCTAGATATTTGATTAACCTGCTCTCTCATTTTCCTCAAGTCTCAGCTCAACATATCACCTAAGAGTTAGGGAAGCACGATCTGACTGCTCTGACATAAATGTGTCATACTATTCAGAGCACAAGTATAAACCATCATTTCCCCTTTTTTTGCCTTATTTTCCTTCAAGACATTCAAAACTACCTTCAAATTTATAACATTTTACATGTATGTCTCCTCTTCATAAGAAAAAGGACTGGGTCTTATTCATTTTATCACCAGGTCATTAGTTACCTGAACAGCCACTGCTATGCCTTCAATAAATATTTGTTGAATAAACAAAAGAATAAATGATGTCACCTCAGTTATCATCTATTTTGGGAAAACTCTGGTTGCCCTCAAACTGTATATCATTCTCTTCTCTGTGCTTCCATAATAACTTATGCTTATCCCTGCATTAACACTAACCATATGAACACTGGGCAGAAATGACCTCTAATTATGTGGCCTCCCTACTATTCTCCAAGCTCTGTGAAGTCATGGATTCAGCTTTGCTCACTGAAGCAAATGTGGTACACAATAGGTGATCCACGTATGTTTGAAGAATAAATGAAGGGCGGTAAACGGGCACAATGTCAGAGGAACATGTTGATTCCACTGAACCACAGAATGAATGCTTCTCAATTTCTCCCCACTTGTGGTGGCTTTCAGGTCCAGAGCAGGGCTGAGTTTCCACGTGGGACTCAGGTAAAAGATGGGACCAAGAAGGTCATTATATCCTGTCTTCTTGAGTACCACCAGGCATCTAAGCTGGAGTGAGCTAAGCTGAACTGAGCAGCTGTGTGTAGGTGGAGAGAATATTCTGGTTCATCATAGGCAATAAGTTCACTAAAAGTTCCTGGGTGGATGAAGGCATCAAAGTTCAGAATGTACCACCATCGTGAACCTCAAAGTTAATTATCTTTTCATCCAGTTTCATGTTTACTTAATTGCCAGGAAAGAAACCTGCTTTGAATGAGGTTCAGAACTCGCTGATGAACAATGACTACTGCATTCTGAGAAATGTGTTATCATATAGCTTGGGGTGAGCTCTGTGTGTTTTCAGAGAGACAAAGCATCTGAGTTAGAGTGCTTAGTTCCCAACCACTGCTACTGGTTGTTATATTTTGTGCCTGCTACATGAATGGACTACAGATAGATGGCTTTAACCTTAGAAATCAATGATCATAACTTTTATGGTGTGCATATGTCATGCCAGGCACTGTACTAAATTCCTTAGAATCTGATTAATGGAGGCAAGATTGTTGAACTGATTGTTGCTTTTTCCAACAAGAACATTTTTATTCAGCAACTGCATTATTGTAATATAAGGAGAAAGTAAAAGACTTTTTATTGAAAAATGTCCAAAGCCCATCCAGGGGAAAACTTTTATATATATAAAAAATAATCCTTAAAATTTATTTAGTATTACATGATTTCCAAAGCATTTTTATTTATGTTATCTTATTTTGTTTCCTCACGGTTCACGGTTCACTGGAATAAAAAGGAAGCCCCATGTGAAATGTGACTTTAATTAGCCTCATACTGTATTTTAAATTTTCAGAGCAGTATCTGGACATGGTAAAAAACTGACAATTTTTGAATGAAGGAATATACTTCATTCTATTTACTTAATATGAAGTAGGAAGTGAAATATGCCATAATCAGGAAATTACAGAGAATAATAGGTTAAGAGGTAGCCAGGAATTTAGGTTTGCCTTTTCCCTTCATTATCTGACCAATTCTCTGGTCTCGCATAAGAACTTAAACTCTGACTCCCACTGGCCTCACTAATTAAACAAATAGATAATGGCGTTTAACTCTGTCATGTAGATTAACAAACATGGAAAATGTTTAGCACAAGGTTTGCACATATAAGATGTTCAATTAATATTAGTGTCCCTTCCTCCCTCTTCCCATAGGAGAGATACAAATAAATTGTTATGGGATTTCAGAGGAATTTAGATATTCAATTTTATTATATGAAATCTGAGGTTGTTAAGACATTAAATAATTTGCCTGAAGTCACTTAGCTAAGTAAGTAGGAGAGCTGGAGCTTGTTCTGAGCTCTCCCAATATTAGATTATTGCTACTACAACTGTACCCTATGGACCCTATAGTCCCAGAGTTGGGACTCTACTTGAAGCATCCTAAATGTGAGTATATATCCCACTATCCAATCAGAAAGACAATCTTTTTTCTAAGAGAGATAGGGGATGAGGATTAGAGATTCATAAGGCCATTAGACTCTCCTGGGAACATACTGTTACCTCCAAAGGAGATCCCTGCGGAAACCTCTGAAATATTAATTCAAGCAAAATTATAAGCTTATTTGTCCTCTGCATGGCTCACATAATACAAATTAGAATTCTCATGTCATGAGTTTGGGAACCATGGAATTCATATAAAACATGTTTATTATTTTGCATAATGAAGTATGTCAACCTCCATGGAAATTAAAATAACTAATCATCTCTTATCAATGACATTCACATGCCGTTATACCTCCACTGAATGTCAGTTCTTTTCATGCCTGGCACAGATCCGCATTACCTTGATCTGACAGTAGGCAGCCACATAGGTTTCAAGGAAGGAGACATTAAAAGGTATCCACTGATTGAGCTATGGCTTGTAACCAACTGGCAATCAAGATACACGATACACTAGAGGACAGAACCCAGGCACTCATGGTAAGAAAGCAAATGACTACCAAGTACACATGAAAGGGCAATAATTTTCTACATGACAGCTTTCCACAGATTGTTTCCAAAGGGAGACTTGCTCATTGGAGTGGAAACTGGGATAGTCACCGCCTATCTATCCATGTAGTGTGTTTTCTGGCACAAAAACGAAAAGAGATAACTAGTGATAGGCAACAATGAGTAGTTTATAAAGTATTTTGGCATGATAGTCAACATTTCCTAGGTTTGGGCTAAATTCTCAGAAATGCCTACATTGTGTTTCTATTTTAATCCATGATGAGTAAGAAACTGAGATGCAAAGACACTATGTAATAAGTACTTACTTATTCAGTCAATCCAATGACAGGGAGCTGACTGGATGCCAGGCGAAGCATGTGGGTTCAGGGGAAGCAGATGAATAAGTCACAATCACCGTCCTAATGGAACCCATCTTCTAACTGAGATGTCACCACCACCCCCACCACCAACAACAAAATTCTTACCACATTCTAAGGTTCTCTTAAGAAAACAGCCACAGATACAAATATCATCAATTATAATCACCTAAATAATATGCTAAAACTACAACTCAAAACCAAAAAATAAAAACAAAACAAAAACACTGGGTGTAAATAGAAGTTTTGGCTGAAACAGCAAAGCAGTAATCTTGTGCCAAAAGAAACCCTACTTTAAAAAAATGATATCTATGAAGTGCTGAGGCAGCCATTGCCTACAAATCTTACTTCCTAGCATTCTTAGAGCATTACAGAGTTTTCAAAACACTCTCTTATATATTATCTTTCTTAATCCCCACATGTCAGGTATTATTTTCTTTACAATATCAAAAAACTTATTTGTAACAAAATCAATTACAAATAAACTGATTTGTACAAGGTAACAGAGAAAGTAAATACTGAGACTGGGGTTGGATGCAGGTATGTGAGGTGTGAGGGCCAGGTACAGTGCTTTTGTCCAATACACTGAAGGATGAGTTGCTTAGACACATAGGGTCAAAGCTGCACCTAGAACCTACAGTTTATGCTTCTTAGCCCCAGGCTGCTGGATTCTTACCTATTGTTTAATTCTTAGTAACTTGTTTAAACATAAAGGATGTTCTTTTGCAATAATTTTAACATCTTCCAAACATAATTAAGTGGTTAAGAGCTGAAGTAGGGAATATCAAATCTGATGTGAAATTCCAGCTCTGAGACACTACCTAGATAATTTACTTAAACTTTTTGAAACTCACTTTTCTCCTCTATAAAACTGAATTGTAATGTCTGCTTCATAGGGCTGTTACAAGGATTAGATGAGATATTAAGTGCCTAACATAATCCCTGATAATGGCAGATTTCAGATTGAAGAGCTATTTAATAAACAACATGGTAGTAACAATTTAGTAGCTCAAATTTGCACAGGACTCAGAAACTTCACACTTTTTACAACCCTATCCCATGACCTTTACTCTAAAGAGGTGCTAACACATAAGTATTGTGCTATATATATTACAAGTGGGAAGCTCTGCATAATCTACAGATTCATAACAATGCCAAAACTGCTATACTAAACTAAAAGATACTTGCCATCTTAATGGATATCTTGGATGAAAATGCTTTACTGGCTCAAATATAATGCAAAGATTAACAGTTTTTACTTTACTTAAAAGTCTTAGCTTGACACTAAATATAAATATTTGCCAGGTTAGCAGATCAAAGCAGATACTTACATTTTTTTCACTGTTCTCTCTTTCTGTCTCTCTCTGTTTCTCTCTCTATATATTCCTTCCTCTCTCTCTCTCTCTCTCACATGCACACACATGCATATATGCTCACACATAGATTAAGCACTTAATTTTAAATTATATCTGCTTGTCTGGCATAGGAGGTAAGATTGTAGACACTAGAGTCAGGTTACTTCCGTCTAAATCCATTCTATGCCCCTGAGAAGTTGTCTGATCATGGGCAAGATTATCCATTCACTCATTCATTTATCTATTCATTTATTTAAAATAATTACTGATGATCTACATGTCAAGAATTGTATTATTTTTCTGGAGATACGGAGATGAAAAAAATAGACAAGATCCATGCTCTCAAGGAGAATACATTCAGGAAGGAAAGACACAAGTAAAAATAAACAAACAAAGCAATATCAGGTTGTGATAAAGAAAATAAAATAAACATGGTCGTATGATAGAGCGAGTTGGAAAGGTACCATTAGACAGGGTGGTTATAAAAAACATGTTGGAGGAAGAACATTCTCCTGTGAGCTCAATTCTCTCCTGATTAGATAGCTGGAAGGGATAAATGACAGTTGTCACCCAGGCATGCTACAGACTCTATTTACACACAGATGATGTCTCAGCCAAGGTTATTTGGTTGCAAGAAAAAAAAAAAAAAAGCAAACAACAAATGGCTTTGACTAAATTAAGGAAAAAATAAATCTACTGCTGGAGAATTTGATAGCTTAAAGAATCAATGAAAACATTATAAAACTAGGTTCAACCACAGGCAAGTAAATCACCTGGGGTCTTGATAGAAGAAACTGCCTAACATCTATCTATTCAGAGCATTTTCTCATCCTTGCATTCTCTATAATCTGGCTAGGAAGTGTAATCTAGCTTTCGTCACCTAAATTCACTTTGCCTAAGGCAGGATAGGACACCAGCATTTCAGAGCTCCAGAGCATCTAGGAAGTGTCCCTGTTTTGAATTGGAGACAAAAAAGTAGAAGATATGTGAAGGCATCAATGCCCTCAAATCTCAAGGTCCAAGGTACACTGGGATCAGAAACCAGATAGATAATTTAAAAAGTAATGGATCCCAACACAGTGTAGTATAAATATTGAGATCATGTCTCATGCTAACCAATTTTTCTATGCAGAGAGAAACTCACCCTAAAACAGTTCAAAAATTCTTATTTCCTTATCCAGGTGATATTTTATATGGCAATTCACAAATATATTGTCAAGGACCCTACAATAATTCTCACTTATATGAAAAAAAGTTGATTATATGTTGAATTTGGCTCACCTGACTTTAAACAATATGGTTTTTGACAAGTGCACATACCCCATCCCCTGAACTCAGTTTCCTTTGTTGTTTGACTCATAATAGGTTGTCAAACAGAAGGTAGTAATAGAAGGATGTGGATTTTTCTACTCTTATACTTCTTCCCACCCAACTACTCCAATATGGGGAATATAAGCTTCCAAATATAAAACTTATATTTTAAGCTTTTAATTATGAAGAACTTCAAATTATACAAACGGTCACTTATTTCCTAAGTAGATTCTGAAATGTTTACATAAGAAATAGTAGGCCAGGCTCAGTGGCTCATGCCTGTAATCCCAGCACTTTGGGAGGCCAAGGCAGGTGGATCACCTGAGGTCAGTAGTTCGAGACCAGCCTGGCCAACATGGCGAAAACCCGTCTTGACTAAAAATACAAATATTAGCCAGGCATAGTGGTGCATGCCTGTAGTCCTAGATACTCCAGAGGCTGAGGCAGGAAAATTGCTTGAACCCGGGAAGATGGACGGTGGAGTGAGCTGAGATCGTGCTAATGCACTCCAGCCTGGGTGACAGAGCCGAGACTCCGTCTAAAAAAAAGAAGAAAAAATTTATTACCCATTATGGAATTAGAATACAAATACTTTGCTTACATCGTTGAGATTTTGTGAGAAACAGTCAGGTATATGCAGCTTACTGTAAACTTTCCAGTACAATGCAAATATAAAGTAGATTATTCTCTATAATGAAAAAAAATGGATTAATGTTCTCTAAATTACATTTTAGTTCCAAAATTATCTTCAATGGTATGATATAATTATCTGATCAAGCCACCAAAAGAGTAATTTGTTAAAGGAAAATAAATGATATAGTAGAAAAACCATGTGAATAAGGGTAGAGGATTTTTTTTTAAGCTTTAAATATACTGATGCCCAGAAGACTTCTAGTTTCACATCCTGCTTTTTCCCCCAAGCAATGCTGTGAACCTTGGGCTGTACACCCCACTTTGCAGTTTCATCTGTAAAATGAGGACATACAATTACTCCATTTCAGATTCCTTTTCTTTGCCTTTCTTTTCTTTTCTTTTTTTCTTTTCTTTTTCCTTCCTTCCTTCCTTCCTTTCTTTCTCACTCTCTCTGTCTTTCTCTCTTTCTCTCTTTCTCCTTTCTTTCCTTCCTTCCTTCCTTTCTCTCTCTCTCTCTTTCTCTCTCTTTCTCTCTCTCTCTCTCCTTCCTTCCTTCCTTCCTTCCTTCCTTCCTTCCTTCCTTCCTTCCTTCCTTCCTTCCTTCCTTCCTTCCTTCCTTCCTTCTTTCTTTCTTTCTTTCTTTCTTTCTTTCTTTCTTTCTTTCTTTCTTTCTTTCTTTCTTTCTTTCTTTCTTTCTTTCTTTCTTTCTTTCTTTCTTTCTTTCTTTCTTTCTTTCTTTCTTTCTTTCTTTCTTTCTATACAGAGTCTCATGCTGTCACCCAGGCTAAGTGCAGTGTCTCAATCTCGGCTCACTGCAGCCTCCATCTCCCAGGTACAAGCGATTCTCGTTATTCAGCTTCCCAAGTAGCTGGGACTACAGGGTCCCGCCACCATACCTGGCTAATTTTTTGTATTTTTTAGTAGAGATGGTGTTTCACCATGTTGACCAGGCTAATTTCGAACTCCTGGCCTGACATGATCCACCTGCCTCAGCCTCCCAAAGTGCTGGCATTACAGGAGAACCATTTCACGACAGCCCAGGTTATTTTCTTAAAATTCTCTGAACACTTTCTAGTGAGTGTTTACTTATTTCACTATGTAGGTCTACAGATTATCCAGCCCTTTAAGGATCTTACTTTTTAAAATGGAAGGCATAGAAGTAGGCAAATATGCAAGGGGAGAAAAAGAAAACAAAAATCAAAACTAATAAAAATCTGGACAATAAAGTAAATGCATCATCACTCATATTTCCAGAGGAAATGCTACATGGAGAAGAAGGTCAGGGATAAGTGCCTAATTAGAATAGACAGAAAGGAAAAGAAAAATAGAGAACTAACAAAAACTGACTATGCTAAGTGGGACTGAAGAGATTCTCTTGTAATACATTCTAAAAATCTTCCTGGAAGTGGTGTTTCTAATAATGATTTGAAGGATAGCAGTAAATGTTAGTGGTATAGAACAGAGGTGTAATCTGTTGGAAAAGTGAGAGCAAGAGGTAATACAATTTCTTATGGAATAAACCTTTGCATTGGTCTCTTTTGGTAGACTAAGAAAACGCTCGAAGATAAGAAAACTGCTTTATTCATGTCTGAATACCCAATACTATTTCATAGGGTTGTCTGGGGGTCAAATTAGTTACTATGTGTGAAAGACCTAATAGTGAGCTTGGCAGAGTAGACACATAATAAATGTCCCTAGATTACATTTTGGGGAAAGGTTGATGCATAAAGATCAGAACAAATGAGTGAAGATGATTTGAAGCAGGTGAATTCAATGTCAAAATTAAACTGTTTCTAACACAGCCTGCTAACCAGGACCCCTCAGTCCTCCAGTGGAAGGGTAGTCTGCTGCATGTTTCTTAGGACCAAGCTTCTTGGCTTTCCATAGAGTGTGCCACAGACATTTTCATAGGAACAGGTGAGTTGAGAGACCTCTGTGGCCAAGCTACCCTCATTTCCAACAAGGCAATCTGTTCTTGCCACATGTTCCAGCTCCAGGGCTAGATTGCCTGGTAAGTTAAAATGATAGATGGTCCTTAAGAAAAGTCTGAGTCAGCAAGTTCAACAGTATATGCATTTGTCTTAGAATTTTAATAAAAACCCAGACCTACTCAAAAACTAGACCTCAGTGAAGAAAGTGAAATATTACCCTGTAAGCATCACTGCATCATTCTTAACTTCATAACAGATTTGAATGACGACTTTACATTTTGTGGCTTCTCAATGTTTATTCCTTCTTAGCTTCACAAGCACTGTGTACAGAGATTTCTATGTTCTTTTCCCTACACTGCACTCTGATGAATTGGAGTGTGACTTTGAAAATCTGTCATGTCCATCACTGAAATACGGATGTAGATATTTTTCCCAACACAGCTTTAATATTATTGTTGAAAATAATAACAAAAATAGCTGTTACCATTTGCTGAGCAATTACTATAGACCAAACTGTACATGTGTTATCTCATTTAGGAACTATGAAGAAGTAATATTACTCTAATTTTACACCTAAGAAAACTAAAGCTCAGAGATGTACACCAAAGCCCAAGTTTTAAACTCATTTTTTTTGACATTTAAGCCCCTGTCTTTCTACTATCCTCTTCTACAAAGGGGTGAAATGTTTCAACAACTTACTTAAACATTAACTTCCATCAGATAAATCACATACATGATTATTTGTATTAATAATGCCAAATCCTACCTAACTACTAAGTGTTTGGCTTATTAGAACCCATTCTGGGTATTACTAATTCTCAATTATTAATGGCATCCCTTTTATTATCAAACGCTGTTACCACTAGATATTTTAGTTCAGCATGTAAAACCTTATTACTTATTTATCAAAGATACAATTTAAGCCCTACTTCAAAGATAAAACCTGAGATTGTGCTGACCTAATTGCCAACATTCTTTTTCATCTTCAGAGTTTTTTCCCTAAAACCTAAAGTTGATTAATAAGTAAAGTAAGAAATTGTGTAATTTTTTTTTCTAGGCATTTAAACTAACCTTCTTAAAAAGCCATTTTTAACATTGAAACCTTCATGTGGCACCAGTGCTTGTTAGAAATACAAGTAATGACCCAGAGGATTATATATAGACAATGGAAGCTGACAGTTTGACCTTTAGCTGATAAAAAGTCAATGTGTTGACTCCATGTTTTAGCAGCAACATCTATAATTGACTCTAAAACTTGATGGCTCTTTGACTGAATCATCTATTTGCAAATAAGTTCAAATATACCCTTCCCCCAACAGAAACTTGCATACAACTATATATAACACAAATATTTGCTCGTATTGCTATGTAATATTATGAATAGTGTGTTTTCCATTCACTCTTTTATATTCTTTTACGTCAAATTAGTTCAAATTGCCAATGGATAGGAGCACTGGACTTGGATTCATGAGAACTAGCTTCGTTGGTGCCTTTCTAAATGATACTTAATCTTTCTATACCTCAGTTATGACCCTGGTGATATAGTAGTATTAAAATGTATCCTATTTATTTCAAACAATCAGTAGTTCTGTAGCAATGCAACAATGGTAGGCGACCCTTCCCACAAATTTGGTATAAGGTATCATAATATAATAAGTGAAATGTAAATTTTAGCTTTTAAATTAAAAGTAGCATTCTATGAGCGTATACTGTATACTAGCTATTGCATCAAGTACTTACATATATTATATGTAACATCTCATTTGTCTTCACAAGAATCCTAAGAGATAAGTGCTTTCTCCATTTTTGTAGTTAGGCAATCTGAGACTTAACAAGGTTAAGTAATATATTTGGGACTACAGACCTAGTAAAAATCACTGCAAGTATTGAATGAGAGACACTTAATTTTAATTCCAGTTCTATAATTTACTAGTTAAATGGCTTTGAGCAAGTGTTTAAATGTCTCTCAACAACATCAGGTTCCTAATTTGCAAAATAAGGATGCCAACATCTGCCTTATAGAATTATTGAAGGAATTAAATGTGATAAGATGTTTCTAGGCTAGAATTAATATGTTCAGCAATAAAAATGGTAATCATTATTACCATTATTTAATAGTAGCAATAGTAAAAAGAAATGTGACATCTTCATACACCTTAGAATACAGCTTGCATTTATCAAGGACATATGGGGAACAAGAAATCTCTTGGGTATATTTTCAAGATTAGAATGAAAAACAAAAAAATGTAAGATGTATTTTATAGTTCAATCTCATACATCTTAGCTTAACTTTCTGGGTTGTAGTAGGCCGAAGAAAGTTCCCCTAAAAATGTCCACATTCCTGAAGGTTATAAATTCCTGAAACCTGTAACTGTGTTACCTTATATGACAGAAGTGGCTTTGCAGATGTGATTAAATTAAGGACCTTGAGATGGCGAGTTTACGCTGGGTTACACAGTTTGCTCTAATGTTATGACAGAGGCTCAGTTCTTTTTTTTTTTTTTGAGACGGAGTCTAGCTCTGTCGCCCAGGCTGGAGTGCAGTGGCGGGATCTCGGCTCACTGCAAGCTCCGCCTCCCGGGTTCAAGCCATTCTCCTGCCTCAGCCTCCCAAGTAGCTGGGACTACAGGCGCCCGCCACTGCGCCCGGCTAATTTTTTGTATTTTTAGTAGAGACGGGGTTTCACCGTTTTAGCCGGGATGGTCTCGATCTCCTGACCTCGTGATCCGCCCGCCTCGGCCTCCCAAAGTGCTGGGATTACAGGCGTGAGCCACCGCGCCCGGCCCTCAGTTCTTAAAAGAGTCAGTAAAAGATATGTGAGGACGGAAGCACAGTCGGAGAGAAATTTAAGGATGCTATGCTTCGGAGAGAAATTTAAAGATGCTATGCTTCTGGTTTTAAAGATGGACAAAGAGGCCATAAGCCAAGGAACATTCTAGAAACTTCATCTAAAAGCTGGAAAAGGCAAGGAAACTGATTCTTCCCTCAAGGCTTCAGAACATAGCCCTTCAGATACCTTGATTTTAGTCCAGTAAGGGCCATTTTGGACTCTGACATCCCAAACTGTAAGATAATAAATTTGTGTTGCTTTATACCATGAAGCTTGTGGTAACTTTTTAAAGTAACAATACAAAACCAATAAAGGAGTGGTGGGTATTATAGAGCGAATAATATTTATATGTGTAGTATCTGAAAAAAAGAAGAGGAAAATGTAAGAATTTGTTGGAACCTCAAGAACTGCCCAGAAGAGATGATAAGTCAGCAGACTACTGGCAATGACTCTGCTTCCTCAGCCAGTCTATCTTCAGTGGGGACAGACAACCATGGGGCAACCATGGCTTAAAGGTATTAGTTGGCTAAGGTCATTCTACTTCCCTTGCTCTAATTTTCTGCTCATTGTATAATCCTTTTATTATAGCTTAGTTTCCAAAGTAGACATTTCTACTGAAAAGATAAATTTGCCAATAAAATTTTCTTCCAGCTTAGCACCTCTATTTCTCACTGCAGATTAATTAGTTGGCATCAAGTTTCTATATACTCATTCACTCATATCGTCAATGAATATTCATAGAGCACTGTCAGGTACAGTGCTATTACAGATACAGAAATAAATCAAATATAATTCCTACCTTCAAGGAGTTCACAGTTTAAGGGAGAAACAGTTAAAAGAGTCATAAATTAGCAGTCACAGTTCAGCATGGTAAATGCTAAAATATAAATAAATAATGTGTGACCAAAGTGCCAGGAGAGTAGCTAACTAATATTTGTGGGAATCTGGGAAGGCTTTGAAGAGAAGTGATGAGATTTACTGAGATTTAAAAACTTATTAAACAGTTTAACATGAAGTGCTACTTTAAACATGATGACTTCTGGATATACAGATAAAATTGAGCCCTTACTTTTGTAAAACTGAGTACTAGATGCTGATAAATAAAAACTGGGCATCCTTGTCTTGTTCCAATTCACAAGGGGAATGCTTTCAGCTTTTGCCCATTCAGTATGATGTTGGCTGCAGGTTTATCATATATGAACCTTATTATTTTGAGTTATATTCCTTTGATGCCTAGTCCGTTGAGAGTTTTTCATCACGAAGGGATGCTGGATTTTATTCAAAGTTTTTTCTATGTCTATTGAGATGATCATAAGCTTTTTGCATTTAATTCCGTTTATGTGGTGAATACATTTATTGACTTGCATATGTTGAACCAGCCTTGAATCCCAGGAATAAAGCCTGCTTTATCACGGTGTATTAACTTTTTGATGTGCTGCTGGATTCAGTTTGCTAGTTTGTTGAGGATTGTTGCATCCTTTAAAATAATCTCAGATCTAAAAATGTGAAACTTTATTAAGTGATTCTTTTTCTGCTCTAGTTTATGCTTAGCAAACAAGGTGACAATATTTGATTTCTTTGATAGAGACACAGTGTACTTTTTATATAGCAGTCAAAATAATCCTTTTCAAAATATAAATCACATCATTTTCCTCCCCTGATCAAAGTTTTCCACTGGGTTCTCATCTCATTCTGAATGAAACCACCAGTTCTTACTTTGTCTTATGATACACACATGTGCTGCCTGCTCTACCTATTTTAACTTCCACAGTACCTTTATAACCTCACTTCCTACTACTTTGTCTTCTTCATATGCCACACTGATCTTTTTTGCTGTTTCTTGAACATAATAAGCATAGTTTGGCCTCAAGGCGTTTTTATTACCTGTTGTCTTTCATTGGTATATTCTCTCTCCAATATATTGTGCATGATTAACACATTTTTAAGCCTTTGCTCAAATGCTATCTTTTCTTTCTTTACCTTTTTTTTTTTTTTTCTCTTTTTTAGACAGAGTCTCGCTGTTGCCAGGCTGGAGTGCAGTGGCGCAATCTCAGCTCACTGCAACCTCCGTCTCCCGGGTTCAAGCCATTCTCCTGCCTCAGCCTCCCAAGTAGCTGGGACTACAGGTGCCCCCCACCATGCCTGGCTAATTTTTGTATTAGTAGAGACAGGGTTTCACCGTGTTGGCCAGGCTGGTCTCGGACTCCTGACCTCAGGTGATCCACTCGCCTCGGCCTCCCAAAGTGCTGGGATTACAAGCATGAGACACCGTGCCTGGCCATTATATTGCTTTTTTATTTATTTACTTATTTAATAGCACTTACCATCATCTGACATTTATATTATTTCTTTATTTGTTTATTGTCTGTCTACTCTCACTTGAATGTAAACTTTGTTAAGACAGGAAATTGTTCTGTTTTATTCATCATTGTACCTTCAGTACCTTTGTGAAGTAGATGCTCAGTAAATGGTTATTGTTGACTGAACACAGGAATATGGACTATATGGACTTCTATAAATGACTGACCGTCTTACTACCAATGTATAAAAATTAGGCACAAAATGTGGAAATAAATATTTTAAATACATAGCTGAGCGCAAACACAAGAATTGGAAATCTCTGGGTGAAAGAAATGTAGCAGACACCTGAAGGCAGATCAATCAACTTATAAGCTAGTGCTAATATATATGAACTAAATAAACCGTAATAACTCAAAACTGGAGTTTTAATGCTCACCTGAGGATAAGAGATATATCATACATTTGAAACTGTGACCTTGCATAAAGTCTGAATTCTGGAAAATGTCTCCTTTAGATAAAGGGAATTAGAAAACCTGTGACCTTGTCCTAAGAAGCAACAAATAAGATGGCCTCTACTTTAAATTTAAAAAGTCTTTCAAGGAAATTACAATCCTCAAGCAAATTTCTCCTGTGAATATGTATTCCAAACTTACTGTTCCCATTTAGTATGAGATCTCTTATATTGATAAATTAATGTAAAAAACTACTTTTCTGGACAAGTGAAACCTTTGGAATGTTCAGCTGAAGCAATTATGCAATTATTCCCTAGTGATATTTCTCCAACCCATGGCAAGTGAAATTACCACTGATAAAACAGTTTCTATCAAAGTTGAACTCACAATAAGAAGTCATAAACTACATGATAAAGTGCTCCACCAGGAGGAAGAGTCAGCCCACCCAACAAATAGAAAGACTAAATTACAAAGAATTTGAAAATAAAAATGGAATAATTTGACACTAAGTACAAAATCTATATGTTTAAAATGACAAAATAGTGGGTGAATTGAGAAGCAATTTTTTTCACATCTGAAAGAGAATTGGTAAATTAAAAATTGTGCAGAATACAAAATACAAACAAAATGTGATCTAATATATGAAAAATATTGTGATTTCCAAGACAGAATAAGAAGCCCAATTTATATCTAATCAGAAGGAGATAATTGAGAAAGGGAAAGAGATATTATTAAAAACTTCAATGGTTGAAAAATTTAAAAATTAAGAAAATAAATTAAACCTTATATATGAAGAAGCACACCAAATTCAAAGCAACAAAAACAAAAATAAATTCACTCCTAGGTGCCTTTTAGCAAAACTGCAGACAGCCAAAAATAAAAATGAAATCTTAAAAACAATCAGAAAGTAGTAAGAGTTCACTTATTATTATTATTATTATTATTATTATTATGTTAATCAGAAAATAATTAAAAACAGTAAATTAGAATAAGGTAAAGTTGCCATTCTGGAAGTCAAAAGAAGTATTAGTTATTATATTATCAAAATTGGAAAGGAAAATATAACATTTGATGAGTAACTATGTGCCAGTTACTGAGCTAGATGATTTTAAATTTTTATTCCTAACATATGTCATTTATTACCCAAGAATTCTCAAGATCATATTCACCACATTTTATACAAGTAAAAGTGAGTTTAGAAACAATAATCTTGCCCAATCATGCTATCAATAAATGAAAGCGCCAGAAATTCCTAAGGGTTTGGCTCCAAATTACACTAAATAGATATAAGAACTCAAAACAAGACAGAACAGAACAACATAGTTGTACTACTAACCTTGTATGATTTTAAATAAGTAATATAGTTTATTTTTTTCATTTGTAAAATGAGAATAACAATAGTACTAACCTCATAGAATTGTTGTGAGGAATAGTATCCAAATGTATGTAATATATAATACAACTTGGAACATATTTAGTATTTTTTAAATGCTAATTGGTTGTGTTATTTACAATTAATTATGATATTTAACAGTCATTCGTTGAAGGAAGACAATGTTTTATTCATCTTTTATTCTCTATGGCCTTACATAATGGGAATTGTATTGAGTAAATTATTATTAAGTTACCAGGATAACTGTTTTTTGTTTGTTTGTTTGTTTGTTTGTTTGTTTTAGGAGTGGAGGAGCAGAGAGTTTAATAGGCTCAAATGAAGGGAGAAGGGAGAAGGAAGAAACTCCCCCATACAGGGACAGAGGGAGGAGGGCTCCAAAGCCGAAAGAGGAGACCCCTACCAGGATAACTTCTTACATGGAACATATCCTTCCCTAATGTTTGGAATTTTAGGGATAAGGAAATATCAACTAGACTCCAGAAGGAGAAAATATATCTGTTCCTGAGAAGGTTTCCTCTGGATGAGAAAAATAGATAATAATAATATATAAAATGAGTTTGATGAGAGTGCTGGGAAAATGATAATGCATAAAGAGAGGATTATAGTGCTCAGCTTACATCAAGTTTCTTGACACCAAGTGTGGAATTTTTTTTTCTAATTTTGTCTTTCATAATATTTTATTCTTAAGGTACAGTAAAATGTTATTCTATTCTTACTTCAATTTAATATAGGACTAATCAAATATGAATGCATGTATGAATAATAAAAATGAACACAATATTTGATAACCCCACTTACTCTTAATTCAGTTGAAATGGCAACTTTTCTTTGGACCACAAATTGAATGAATATCTTCTTCAGGCACTACTGAAAATTAATGATAATATTTATACTTCAGGTTATATCAGAGTTCATATATATTTTGACTCTTCTACAGCATCTGAAATAATGCCTATACTTAGGTTCCACAAAAATTTCCATTAAGTGATTCAACTTAATATATTAATAACCACTTAAGTGCTGAGTACTATACTAATTGTCAACAATATTAGGGCCTAAATAATCCACTGCTTATTTGAATGCTAACATCAAAAACAATCTTAAATGATAAAGTAACCACTGAGGAGTCTAATGGTGCTCCTGAGTGCTGGATAACTGGCTGGTTCTTTATATACTCTGCCTCAGTGCTTTCAAGACTTGCTTGATGATAAAACTCATTTGGCATATATGTTAAAATGCTGGTTCTCAGGGCCCTGCTTGGAGCTTCTGATTCAATACAACTAAAAGGGCCTTAGAATGTAGATTTAAAACAATATATCTGATTTGGTAAAATTTGGTACAAACTGTATTAATCCTCACAACAACCCTTTGAGGTAGGGTGAATTTGTTGAGACTAAGAACAATTAGGTAACACGCTCGAGGTCACATACCTAGCAAACAACAGAGCTGGGACTTAAACTTAGTTTTGAATTCCTCAAAGGCTACAAGTCTACTACCCTATTTTGTTTTTGCTCAGCCAAGGCGAGCAAAGTTTAGGATTATTTCTCCTCCTTTTTACATATAAGCAACAGACCACATGGCATTTCCAAAAGCAATAGGCATTTCTCAGTAAAGCCATGAAAATATAACAACTTGTCCCCTCCCAATAAGGACACCTGAGCACCTTTTGTGGCATGCTGAGCTTTCTTCAGCTTTTCTGCATGCAAGTCTCTGCCTGTCCACAGATTTCTGAGTAAACAATGTAAATATTTACCAAGAACTTCTAGGAACATAGAGAGCACTTCAGGCAAAATAGAACTGACAGTACCTTTAAAAAAATCAGATTTGAAAGAATCTGAGGAAATTAAAGGCTACTATAACTCTGTCCTGTGTGTTTCCACTTTCTTATCTTACTTATTTGTATTTATTCTGCAACTGACTTGAAGCTCCTTTTGAACAAGAGTTGTTTCTCAACCATCTTTGGATTTCTAGGACTTTGAAAAATTCAAATGACTACCACAAGATATATTATAATCAAACTATAAAACATAAAAAAGACAGGATCCTGAAAGCAAAAGAGAAAATACACAAATAACATATAAAGGAGTTTCAATACAGCTACCAGCAGACTTCTTAGTAGAAACTTTATAGGCCAAGAGAAAATCAGATAATATAGCAAAGTGCTGAGTAAAAAAAAAAGACAACCAAGAATAATGGGTAAAGAAAATGTGGCACGTATACACCATGGAATACTACACAGCCATAAAAAAGAATGAGATCACGTCCTTTGCAGGGACATGGATAAAGCTGGAAGCCATCATTCTCAGCAAACTGACACAGGAACAGAAAACCAAACACCTCATGTTCCTACTCATAAGTGGGAGTTGAATGATGAGAACACATGGACACAGGGAGGGGAACAATACACACTGGGGCCTGTTGGGGTTGGGGGACTAGGGGAGGGAGAGGATTAGGACAAATACCTAACTCATGCGGGGCTTAAAACCTAGATTACAGGTTAACAGGTGCAGCAAATCACCATGGCACATGTATACCTGCACAAACCTGCACATTCTGCACATGTATCCCAGAACTTAAAGTAAAATAATAATAAAATAAATAAATTAAAAGAAATTGAAGAGGACACAAAAAATGAAAAATATTCCATGTGTATGGATTAGAAGAACCAATATTGTTAAAATGTCCATACTACCCAAAGCAATCTACAAATTCAGTGAAATTCCTATAAAAATACCAATGACATTCTTCACAGAAATAGAAAAAAGACAATCCTAAAATTTAAACAGAATCACAAAAGACCCAGAATAGCCAAAACTATCCTGAGTATAAAGAAAAATAACTGGAGGAATCACATTACCCGACTTCAAATTATACTACAGGGCTATTGTAACCAAAAAAGCATGGTATTGGCATAAAAACAGAGAAATAGACCAATGGAACAGTACAGAGAACCCAGAAACAAATCCACACATATACAGTAAACTCATTTTTGACAAAGGTGCCAAGAACATACATTGAGGAAAAGGATTTCTTCAATAAAGGTGTTGGGAAAACTGGATATCCATATGCAGAAGAATGAAACTTGACCCATCTCTTGCTTCATACAAAAATCAAATGAAAATGAACTAAAGACTTAAATCTAAGACCTGATACTATGAAAGCATCACAAGAAAACATTGAAAAAAACCATCCAGGACATTGGTCCAGGCCCCCCAAAAAAAAAAATCTTGAATAATACCCCTCAAGCACAAGCAACCAAAGCAAAAATGCACAAATGGGAATCACATCTAGTTAAAAAGCAACACAGCAAAGGAAACAATCAAAAAAGTGAAGAGATAAACCACAAAATGGGAGAAATCATTTGCCAGTTACCTGTCTGACAAGGGATTATAGCCATAATATATAGGGAGCTCAAACAACTCTATAGAAAAAAAATCTAATAATCTTATTTAAAAATTGGCAAAATATACGAATAGACATTTCTCAAAAGAAGCCATGCACATGACAAACAGGCCTATGGAAACGTGCTCAACATCACCGATCATCAGAGAAATGCAAGTCAAAACTACAAAGAGATATTATCTCACTCAAGTTAAAATGGCTTTTATCCAAAAGTCAGGTAATAACGAATGCTGGTGGGGATGTGGAGAAAAGGAAACTGTTGTAAACTGCTGTTGGGAATGTAAATTAGTACAACCACTATGGAGAGCAGTTTGGAAGTTCCTTTAAAAACTAAAAATACAGCTACCACACGATCTAGCAATCCCACTCCTGGGTATATACCTAAAAGAAAGGAAATCAGTATATCAAAGGAACATCTGCACTCCCATATTGTTGCAGCACTGTTTACAATAGCTAAGATTTGGAAGCAACCTAAGTGTCCATCAACACATGGATGGATAAAGAAAATGTAGTACTTATATACAATAGAGGTCATTCTGGAACTGGAGGTCATTATGTTAACTGAAATCTCAAGCCAGGCACAGAAAGATAAACATCACATGTTCTCACTTATTTTGGGATCTAAAAATCATAACAATTGAACTCATGGATTTAGGGAGTAGGAGAATGATTACCAAAGCCTGAGAAAGGTAGTTGGGGCAGGGGTGGGGGTGAGGAGGAGAGGTGGGGATGTTTAAAGTATGCCAAAGTTGTATAGTTAGAGTGAATAAGAATACTGTTTGACAGCACATCAGGGGTACTAGAATTAACGATCATTTAATTGTACATTTCTAAATAACAAAAAGAGCTTAACTGTTTGTAACACAAAGGATAAATCCTTGAAGGGATGAATACTGAATTTTCCATGATGTGATTATTACACATTGCATGCCTGTACCAAAATATTTCATGTACCTTATAAATATATACACCTACTGTGTACCCAGAAAAACTAAAAATAAAAAAATTAATTAAAGATCTGTTATAACTGTAACATTTTAAAATAAGTCTCATGGTAATTAGAAAGCAAAAACATGATAGACACACAAAAAAATTAAAAAATAAGGAATCAAAACATACCACTAGCAGAAATCACTTAGCCACAAAGCAAGACAACGAGAGAGGAAGAAAGGAACCAAATACCTACAAAACAACAAGAAAATAATTCATACAATGGCAGTGAGGAGTCCTTATCTACCAGTTATTACTTAAATATAAATAGATTAAATTATCCAACCAAATTACGTAGATTGGCTGAATGAACTTAAATACACACACACACACACACACACACACACACACACACACACCCCAAATATATGCAGCCTACGAAACCCCACTTTAAGTAATTGTAAGAACACACATAGACTAAAAGTGAAGGAATGGAAAAAGATATTTTATGCATATGAAAATCAAAAGAAAGGAAGAATTACACATATATCAGATAAAATAGACTTTAAGTAAAAAAATCATAAAAAGAGATAAAGGTTATTATATAATGATAAGGGGTTCAATTCAGCAAGAACATACAACAATTATAAATACATATTCATCTGACATCCAAGCACCTAAACATATAACATAAATATGGATAGATCTGAATGGAGAGCCAGACTAAAATTAATAATAGTAGGAGACTTTATCACCCCACTTTTAACAATGGAGAGATTATTCAGACAGAAAATCAGCACGGGAACATTGAACTCAAACTATACTCTAGATCAAATGGACCTAAAAGACATATACAGAATATTTTCTCTAACAGCTGCAGGATATACATCTTTTTTAAGTGCACATAGAGCATTTTCCAAAATAGATCATGTGTGAGGGTACAGAACAAATCATAAAAGATTTTAAAAGACTAAAATCATATCAAGTGTCTTTTCCAACAACAATGGAATGAAACTAGAAATCAATAATGGGAGAAACTTTGGAAAATTCACAAATAAACATGAAAATTAAACAAACGTGTTCTTGAACAATGAGTTAATTAAAAAATTAAAATAAAAATTAAAATATCTGTTGAGACAAATGAAAATGAGAGCACAATATACAAAAACCGACAGAATACTGCAAAATTGGTTTTAAGAGGCAAGTTTATAGCAATAAATGTCTACATCAAAAAAAAAGATCTCAAATAAATAACCTAATACACCTCAATGAACAAGAAAAGAAGAAAAAACTAAGCCCAAAGTTAATAAAAGGACGGAAATAGAAAGATTAGAGTAGAAATAAATAAAATAGAGTCTAGAGAAACACTGGAAATGAGCAGTAAAACTAAGTTGTTTTTTGAAAAAAATATATAAAATTGACAAACTTTTAGCTAGACTAAGTATAATAAAAACACAGAAGACTCAGATAAAGTCAAACATGAAAAAGAAGATATTATAACTGATATAAATACAAAGGATCATAGGAGACTATTATGAACTATTATATATGGACAAATTGGATAACCTAGAAGGAATGGATAAATTCTTACCTACATACAACCTACCAAGACTAAACCATGAAGAAAGAGAAAACCTGAATAGATCAAAAACAAGGAGATTGAATCAGTATAAAGTCTTCCATTAAAGAAAGCCCAGAATCTGATGCCTTTAGTGTCTAATTCTATTATATATTTATTGAAGAATTAATGCCAATTCTTCTCAAACACTTCCAAAAAATTGAAGAGGAGATAATACTTCCAAATTCATTTCATGAGGACAGCATCACCCTGATACCAAAGCCAAACAAGAACATGATATATAAAAAAAAGAAAAAAAGAAACTACAGAACAATATTCCTGATGAACGTAGATGCAATAATCCTCAACATAATATTAGCAATGTAAATTCAGCAGTACATTAAAAAGTTTATTTGCTATGATCAACTGGTCTTGATCATGTACTTATTACTGTGATCATGACTTAAAACTATGAAACTACTAGAAGAAAACCTAGGGGAAAAGATTCGCATGTACCCTAAAACTTAAAGTATAAAAAAAAAAAGGATAAAAGTAAAAAAATAAAAAATAAATAAATAAATAAATAAATAAATATTCTATCCTAAAAAAAAAAAAAAAGATTCGCAACATTGGTTTGAGCAATAATTTGGGGATATGGCCCTAAAAGCACAGGAAAAAAAAGCAAAAATAGAAAAATGGGACTGCATCAAACTAAAAAGCTTCAGCACAGCAAAGGAAATAATCAAGGAAGAGGCAACCTACATGAATGAGAGAAAATATTTTCAAACTATATATCTGTTAAGGAATTAATATTCAAAATATATAAGAAACTCAAATAACTCAACGGAAAGAAAACCACCAAATTAAAAAATGGGCAGAGGATCTGAACAGACATTTCTGAAGAGAAGACATACAAATGGCCAAGAAGAATATGAAAATATTTTCAATATCACTAATCATCAGGGAAATGCAAGTAAAAAAACAATGAGATATCATCTCACACTTATTAGAATGGCTATCATCAAAAAGACAAAGATAATAAACGCTGGCAAGGATGTGGAAAAAAGGGAGCACTTACACACTGTTGATGGGAATATAAATTAATGCAACCATTATGAAAAAGAGTATATAGAGCTTCTTCAAAAAACTGAAAATAGAACTATATCATATAATTCAGTAATTCAACTATTGGGTATATAGCCAGAGTAAATAAAGTCAGTATGTTGAAGATATAGCTGCACTCCCATGTATGTTGCAGCCTTATTCAAAATAGCCAAAATATGGAATCAACCTAAATGTTCATCAATGGATGAACGGATAAAGAAAATGTGGTATATGTACATAACGAAATGCTATTTAGCCACAAAGAAAAAGGAAATACTGTCATTTGCCACAACATGGATGAACCTGAAAGACATTTGGTTAAGTGAAATAAGCCAGTCACAGAAAGACAAATATAGCATGATCTTACTCCTATGTGAAATCTAAAAATTTGATCTCATAGAAGTAGAGAGTAGAAAGGTGTTTACCAGGAGTTGGGGTGGTTGGTGGGAGGAGGAGTTGTGGAGATGTTGTCAAAGGATACAAAATTTTACTCAGAATAAATAATTTCAAGAGACATCATCACTCACGAGGGTTGAAAATACAAAAATTCAATAACATGTCTAACTTCAGTTAGACTTCAGCTGAGCAAAACTATTAGTGGCCAACGTAACAACTGGTCCCAGTCTTTTAAGGAAAGGTTTCAGAACCTACAAAGAGTTTAATAGGCTACTACAGATATCACACACTGATCTTTTTGCAATGAAGAATGATTTTTGAGTTTTACCAAATTTTTAACAACGTGCAAGACAGAGCTGGGATTGACAGAGAAACTAAAAAAGAGAAGAGGGAAGAAGAAAATACATAGAAAATAATTTAGCTAATGAGTGTTCATAGACAGTTAATATAAAGAAAATGCCGAATGATATACCTAGACACAAAATATATTTACATCCAAAATGTTCTCTTCAATATAAACATTTCCCAGGGCCCCAATATATTCACCTTAAGAAAACAAAAAGCAAACAAACTTCCTCATCAATTCCTCTAACAGATCTCACAACTGAAGTATGATGCGTGCCTCGGAAGCTCTCAAAACTGTCAGCATCTGCTTTGCTGAGGCCCATTTCATTTGATCATTTATTTGACAGAGGAATAGCTCCAGTTTTGCAGTTTTCCTTAAATTGCTGAGATTTTTCCCCCCAATTAAATCACCCAGTGACAGCAGCAATTTTATTAGGCTACTTTTTAAACTTGGTCAGAAGGCAGAAAGATAACAAGCTAAGGCGTGCAACAATATAAATCATGTTAAGAACCATCACTCAGTAGCTCTGGATCCAAATCAAAGCTATGAAATACAGAATGACATTGGATGCTGAAGTGAAAAATACCAACCACATTTCTCTGAGGTTCAGACATTAATACTCAGACACATTTTATATAACAGTCTGCTCAGTAGATTAGTAAAACAGAGACCATAAAGCCTGGAAATCCTCCTACCCACATTAAGCTAATTGAGTTGGAGACATCCAATTCATCATATTTGCAGGCTGATTTATAAGCAACTCACCCTGCCCTGGAGCAGAAAGTGAAATGTTATGAGTTAGCTACTCTTAAAATTTCAAACCCAGCAATTCTGAACCTGTCAATACCTTAACGGTACAGAGACAAGAAGAAGAATTCAGTTCAGGTGCATTTCTGTGACCCTGATGAAAAAATAAATACCCAGTGCACATTTTATGACTGATATTTCTATGAAGAGTCTAGCCACATATTGGAAACTCCCTGTGATAGAATTCTATGGAAAGTGTATCATCATTTTAGCAAGTTGATGGGGCAATTTGAAATCAGTTCTTTGCTAGAATGCAACTTCCATCAAGCATAAAGAAAACAGCCTTATGACAGTTAAAACCCAAATTCAAAGAGACAAGATATTATTGCTCTTGGCTTGAATAGATGGTGAAAGCTTATGGCACTAACTAATAAACAGAAAACTGCCTTGTAAGAATACATCAAAAATACTGAGGAGAATGGAATCAGAAGCAGTTCTGCATTTAGAGAACCCTCCTGAAGCAAATGTACCCTAAAATCCTTCTCATCTAGGGGAACCTGTTGATCTTTCCTGCTGAGGGCTGCTGTGGAATTGGGCAGGCCTCACAGACACAATAGATTGGGAGGCCTCCTCCTATTTTTTCCAAAATTTACAAAAGATTTATTCTCAAGGACAAGCATTCCTTAACCAGCCAGTAACTGTGGGACAGAAAAATAGGAATCATAGTTTCTCAGAAATGAAAGAAAACTTGAAATTCATTCCATCCAGAAATTCCTAACCTTAAGTCTATGTTCCATAGGAAGTCCATAGATGCCCTTCAAGTAATTCATATCATTTCTGAAGTTTTATGCAATATTTTTGTGGGTATAGTTTTGTGGGTATAGTTTTTATCTAGGGAAAGGGGTCATAGTTTTTCAAATCAATTTCTCAAAGTAATTTATGTGTGGAAAAAGGTTGAAAATACTATTCAACATTCTCTTTCCTGAATCATCTCTACAATATCTCATTGAAGATTTTCTACCTTTTGCTTGAATACCTCCAATGACAGGAAGCTCACTACCTTATGAGGCAGGTCATTCTCTCTTTGGACCAAGTTATTTAAAACAAAAATTTTTTAACTTACATAAACTCTGTTTTTCTTTCATTGTTTACTCTAAAGGTCTTGATGTCTACAAAAATTGTATGGACAAGTTCTTTGTTTTAAACAATTTAAAGATGAACTACCATGTCATTGTGAGCTGAGTCTATTCTCCAAGGACCACATCACTCATAGCCTTTGATGTTCCCATTTGACATGGTTTTAATAGCCTTGCCAGCCTATTTACCCCTCTCTGGAAGCACCCCAATCTGCTGCCATTCTCTCTGAAATATGGTCCTCAGATCCTAATGATACATTCTAGCATAGTGTAGAATTGTCATCTCTTTGTTCTTGGCATGCAACTCCATTAATGTAGCCTAAAATTACATTGGTTGTTTGGAAGTCCCACATACTGACAACTCCTTGAACTAAATGTGTGCTGACATTCCCCTCTGCGCCCCCACCCACCACCCAACCCTCACTGCCCAGCTCCTTTTTCTTTATCATGTGTTTCTCTTACTTTTCCATTGACCATTCTAGAAAGTGGGAATGAGAAAAAGAGGGTGGAATGGAAAATAGGGACTAGGGAAATAGAAGTTGAGGTGGAGGTAGCCACACAGGAATTTGAGTGTGGAAGAAGGGGTTCTTTAAGCGTAGATGGTAAAATTCAAGCCAACAAAGGATAACCTCCTTAATCTTAATTACTTCCCACAATGTGCTTCTATTATCATCAGTATATAAATGTGGAAATTAGGTTTAGGAGCATTCAGTGAATTCTCAAATGGCACATTTCTGATGCCATGCCTAGCTCTTATCCCACACACTGCCCTGCAGCTCTGGGAAAGCATCCCATAGAGAAATAATAGCATTGCTACGATGTACATTAGTCTTTGAGATGTAAATCATTTACATTTTCTTTTTACAAAACTATCTCATCAGAATTTACACAAGTACACAAATGGACAGAAGAGTTAAATAATGATGAGACTTATTTTTACTGAATCAATCTGATGCACACAGTTTAGTTGGAGAGATTTGGGATGAAGAGAGAGGTTGGTCTAGCGTCAACAACCTAGATTTGGCCCTTTACTAAAGCTGAAAATTGGCATAAACAAATAATAACTCAGTGATAACAATTTTCAATAACATCCCCTAGAAATTGAAATAAGTGAACCTCTGTGATCTGCTGAGTTGAGAACACCTGTTGTTTACTTTTCTTGGGAAACAGAGACATAAACTCAGGTCTAGGAATCCAAGACCCGGATTCCTGTCTCAGCTATAGTGTTAGCTAGGTGGCTGCCTTGGGAAAGTCTCATAACAGCTGTGATTCTTAGTTGCTTTATTTGTAAAATTAAGTAATTACAATATGTTATTCCTAATGCCTCTGCTGAGATGTAAGTCTAGTGATTCTATGAGGCTTCCTATTGGATATTGCGTTATCTGATTATTTAAGGAATTTATTGCTGAACTTAAAAGCCTCTTGCCTGGGTCTGTGCAGCGCATTATCTAAACTAAAGCAAGGTATCATCTTGTATGAGAAGGGGCTCCATTTTCTAATTCATATAAATATGTTGAATGAGTAGCGGCAGCTCAGCTTTAATTGTTTATAAGAGAAGTAAAACCTACTTTTGGAAATGATATTTCAAATAGTTTTAAATTGCTTGTTTATAATTAAAAGCAGGTAATATGTCTTATAGTCCACTGAGAAAATAAACTACCATCAGAAACAAGTTTTTAAATTAAATTTCTTTGGGCTGGGCATGGTGGCTCAAGCCTGCAATCCCAGCACTTTGGGAGGCCAAGGTGGGCAGATCACCTGAGGTCAGGAGTTCAAGACCAGCCTGGCCAACATGATGAAACCCCGTCTCTAGTCTCTACTAAAAATACAAAAATGAGTTGGGCGTGGTGGCACATGCCTGTAGTCCCAGCTACTTGGGAAGCTGAAGCAGGCGAATCACTTGAATCCAGGAGGCAGAGACTGCAGTGAGCAGAGATCATGCCACTGCACTCCAGCCTGGGCGACAGAGCGAGACTCTGTCTCAAAAACGAACAAACAAAAAAAAAAAAAGAAAAGAAAAGAAAAAATTTATTCACATGTAATATGAAGCAGTGAAACTAGAAAATCTCTAAAGCACCAGTCCTGAAACCAGAAAATCTCTGGAACACCAGTCTAGAGTAACTTCAATTACTGTAATTTCAAGTTAACTTTGTCTCATTACTTCTGTATGTGCCCTATTGCTTAATGGGCCTTAAGGTCAAGGTGGGAGGTGGGGAGTTGTTCTGTTCTATGTAAAGGAACTTCAGTAACTGTCTCTTGAATGCATTTTAAATGAACTTACCTGTGACCCAAAATTGGCCACAAACTCTAACATACTCAGTGTTCTGCCAATTCAGAAGGAACAAATCATCTGCCTTCAGAGTGACTTTGGTGAGTCAGCTGGACTGGAAGAATGTATCCTGGGAGCTGCATTAGGATTAAATCTGATTGCTAGACACTGGCAATTCCTCTCTGAGTTGGAGAAAATCAATTCAACCTTCTCTACCATGTTTTCTTGTACAACATTCTGTCTTATATAAGATTACATAAGTTTCCTTTGTATATACCAATAGACGCATTTAAAAATTGCCTTCTGGACTATTTTTATACTTATTAAACAAGATGAAATAAGTGTTTTGCTGTATAGCTTCTGTCCACTAAATGATCCTTGCACATCCTGATTATCTTTAAAGGTTATGCATATGTTCCAATATCTTCCATCACTAGCCTCAAAAGAAAGCCATTTCTTTATGCTTTAGTAAATTCTTGTTTGGACCACTCAAAATGTCCCCAACTCATTTGCTACAATTTGAGCTAACCAACATGACATTCACTTTTGCAGAAGAGATAATAATTTGAATAACACACCCTTACTTAGCTGAGATAGGAATGTTCTACAGTGTAAAACTATTCTCTGAAGGACATCAAGGATGAGGATTTAACAATTTCCAATCATTACTGAGAGCTCAAAGAGTTAACTAATCTTAAATTTAGATTTGTTCTTAGATACATACACACTTTCTATTTTTTTAATGTGAAATAATTACCATTTACTGAGCAACTACTAGGCGCCAAGTACTACAGACTTTCCACGTATTATCTCAAGTAATCTTTACAGCATGGAATGTGAATTCCATACTATTATTTCCAAGAGGTTAGAAGTTAATAGATTTACTAATAGACACAGCTAGAAAGCAACTAAGCTACATTGTAAACACAAGTAAGTCTGATTCTAAAGCCCATCTGCTTTCCACTATATGCTATTACTTTTCTGGATTAGCTGGGAAAGAGTTAAAAATTCAACAGCACTAACAGTCTCAGAATTAATTTTTGCAGAGTTTGGAAAAATTTCCGATTATCTTTGCTAAGAAAAAAGAATTGAAAACATGCTCACCAAAAGGTTACAATTCCAGACTGTTTAGAAATATGGGAGGGATGTAGAAGTTACGTATCATTTTAGGGTACCACTAACAATATCATCTTTAACCACAGTAACAATAAGTGCCTTATATTGATGAGCAGCCTCTGTGAGTGTTAGTACATTATTTCTAATTGTTACAGAAAGTTTTGGCAATAGTGAAATCTTAGTTTTGAGAAAAATTTCTGTGTAACTGGGTTAACTCTAGAAATATCTGCAGCTACATATAATCACTATTAACACTTATCTAGAATTTTCTATAAACACTTATTTTTAAAACTTATTATGATTTTAATAACCTAATATTTCTTAGAAAAAATTCATCATCATTATTGTTATTAATACTATGTACATAAAAGAAGTAGAAAATTTGAATTTCATCACACAAACTCATCTTTCAAAACCCATAGAGAGAACCCCTTCCATGGGTGTCCAGTCTTTTGGCTTCCTTGGGCCACATTGGAAGAAGAAGAATTGTCTTGGGCCACACATAAAATACACTAACTCTAATGATAGCTGAGGAGCTTAAAAAAAAACTGCAAAAAATATCATAATGCTTTAAGAAAGTTTACGAATCTGTGCTGGGTCCATTCAAAGCTGTCCTGAGTCACAGGTGGCCCATCACTGCAGGTTAGACAAGCTTGCCTTAACCCTTGATGACTTTGGTTCTAAAAAGAATTCTTATATTTTGAGATGCTGGTTCAGTCCTATGCCTAACATTCCTTTCTTCCCGCTTTTCAATATCTGGCCTAAATAGCCAGAATTATTGGGGGTATGCTGTTTGTACCCTTTCCAGTTAAAGATAATTGAGGAAAGGAATGCTTTATTTGCATGGAATTTCGATCAGGAGATTTTGTGCCTACATTCAGAATGCGTCTGTCAAGGCCATATTTCAACCATTTCCTCTCACCAGGGACTAGTCCTGGAACACAATGTGCTGTGCACAAGTCACAAATCTCTGCCAAACCTTTATGTTTTTATTAACTAAGAGCTTCTAATTTAGCTTCACAAATCTGTTTCTTCCTCAAGACTAGATGCTTCCAGGATGATCATCTCAGCTACTTCCACCATCTAGTGGCAAGAGATAGAAATGAAAGGATTTTACACTTTTAAAGATTATTGCCTAAAATATCAAGAATCAGAATAGTTTTCTAATCAGTGGTATTATTAAAAACATTATGTCTAGAAAGGAAAAATAAACACATTATTTTCAGTTGCTGGTCAGGGCCTCATGACTGTTGGGGTCAAATGTAACTCATAGGGTATTTCTTTTTTTTTTTTTTTTAAATTAATCAAATACGTATTTTAAAACATCTGCTATTTGGTCAACACCATCTTAGGCATTGTAGAGGAACTACAAATTTCTGTATTTAAAAGACATGACTCCCTTTTAGTAGAAGTTCATAACTTAGTTATGAAAATAGAAGCTCCAAGCTACTAAGGGCTAAATGTTGTGGTAAATTTCTCACTGCTTCATGTTATCCTCGGTAGGTACCTCTCTCTCCCCAAAGCCCATATATGGTGGTGGTGGACCTGTGTTTCAGTCCTCTGTGTTCTTCTCCCCTCTCCTGAGCAATCCCATCCATTTTCACAACTCCAACTACACTGAAAACGTCAAAGTTTCCATTTTCTAGATCAGATCTTTATTTCAAACTGACTGTTAAACACTTCTACCTGGGTATAACATAAATACTTCAAAATCAGTTACTCCAACATAAACTCAGAAATTATCCCACTCCCTCCCCTGCCATTCTAAAATCTGCTCTTCCTCTGGCATTCTTGGTTTCATTTCATGATACATCCTCTACTCTGGGGTCAAATTTTAAAAATTGTAAATTATCTTCTATTTCTCTCTCTTTTCTACCTTCTATATGTAATATGTCTCAATGTCCTGATGATATCTCTTTTTAAATAAGCCTTCTAATCTATCCTTCCCTTCAACCCCAATACCTCTGCTTTACATCAAAGCTTATCTATCTTTTACATTTCACCTGATGCTCTTGAATCTGATGTCATACCTTTCCAATTATTCCTTCCACTGTACCACATGACATGAATAACGGTCTAATTTGCATATCAGGTCATGTCATTCTCCTTTTTAAAAATTCTGTAGTCACCCCTCATTACCTACAAGGTGAAGTCCAGTCTCTACATAAGGTCCTTCATTACCTGTTCATGCCCATCTCTCTTGCTTTATGGGATGTTTGGGCCCACTCTATGCCCCTTTCCTTAATTCTTACATTATGCGTCAGTATCCTAGCCAACTACTTGGCAATTCTCAGAACTTTTCCATACTGTTACACAACTGCTAGAGTATAGGGCAACCTTGACTTTTCTCCCTTATTTCATACTTCCTTCAAGTAAAAAATGATCTCGTGTATAATTTTTTTTCTCTGACAACACCCATCCTAACCTCTCCAGCTCCAAAAAATTAAACAGTTTTTCTACGTCTTGAGAGACCTCTTCTTTCACACTTTCTTTATTGTACGCTCCAAAAGTATATGTGCCCAACCAAAATATAATTTTATATTAAAGAAATAATTCTATGACAAAATATGTCTGGGAAATACTTTGTACTAATCATATTTCCATCTTAGATGTTTATATTTCATATTATTATAGTAAAGGCTCTGAGAAATCCTTCAATAAGTTAATGGATTTAACTCCTCAAATGTGTTTAAGCACTCATTCATACCTTTATTTTAATAATGCTGACAAAATTCCACCAAACATACTTTGGGAGATGCTAGTCTAGTTTCATTTTAGATTCCAATAAGGGAGTAAAATGAAAAGCAAAACAAAACAAAAATAAGATGCAGTCCAGGTCTTGGGAGCTTACACATTTACTAAGAGCAAGAAAAACAGCAAACCTAGAGGAAAGAACATTATATAGCAGTCCTTCCTGATCTTAGGTTGCACTTTTCATGCAGTTTCAGCTACCAGAGGTCAACTATGACCTGAAAACAGGTGAGTACACTACAAGATATTTTGAGAGACAGAGAGAGAGCACATTCACATAACTTTTATTAAAGTATATTGTTATAATTATATTTTATTAGTTATTGTGGTTAATCCCTTACTGAGCCTAATTTATAAATTTAATTATGTGATAACATACTTATGAAAACATAAGAAAAAACATAGTATAAATAGGATTTGGTACTATCTGCAGTTTCATGCATCCACTGGGGGTGTTTTTTTTTTTTTTTTTTTTTGAGACGGAGTCTTGCTCTGTCGCCCAGGCTGGAGTGCAGTGGCGCAATCTCGGCTCACTGCAAGCTCCGCCTCCCGGGTTCACGCCATTCTCCTGCCTCAGCCTCCCGAGTAGCTGGGACTACAGGCATCCGCCACCACGCCCGGCTAATTTTTTGTATTTTTAGTAGAGACGGGGTTTCACCGTTTTAGCCGGGATGATCTCGATCTCCTGACCTCATGATCCACCCGCCTCGGCCTCCCAAAGTGCTGGGATTACAGGCGTGAGCCACCGCTCCCGGCCCCACTGGGGGTCTTAAAATGCATCCCCCACAGATAAGTGGGGACTACTGTATAGTTCAACAAATAATTTTTAGAACAATAGAATAAGGCATATTTTAAAATGATGACTATGTGGGATGCACTAACTCCTTGTGCCATAGGATCTTATGACCAGTCGGGGTTGGCCAAGAGTTAACAGGAAAGGCTTTATGTAGGAAGAGGGTTTTTATTGTACTTTTGGCTAAAACATACTTTCCTATGATTGTGCTCTGGCAACTCTAGTAAGAAAATAGTATAAAAATACACATTGTTATCCTTTGTCTATAGTTTTTTTATTGGCTTCTTCATGCTTCAGCTCTCCTCCTATAATTTCTCAAATGTGCATTGCCTACAGATTCTCAAATGTCTTCTATATATACTCAACAAGTGCCCAGTTGTCTCAGGGTATTGAAGTTTACCCAAACCTCACATACTCCTAATTTCCAGCAAAGCTTCCCAGAACTGTTTATTCCAGTCCCTGTGAAAATTCGAAGACACACAATAATATTTATCTGATTAAAGTAATTCACACCAATTTATAAAAGGAGGCTTTAATCTTCCTTGTAATTAGTTACTGAACCTAAGAATCTAAGCCGGTTTTGACTGCAAGACACATTTCTTTTTTAATACACCCTAGGAAATACTGCCAATTTTAACTGCAAGATGCCATTGATCTTAAGACACATCCAGATTTCAGATATGTTAATATGTGATAAAATATGAAGTTTAGAATTTATGAAATTTTGTATAAGTGATGATTAGGTAAGGAAGAAGAGGACAGCAGTTAACTCCCTCCCTTTCTCTCTCTCTCTCTCTCTCTCTCTCTCTCTCTCTCTCTCTCGCTAATAAATACTCCTACAGGGCACTCTGGTAGGTGCTTGGGCCCCATAGTTTTAAGTTTGAGGAGTTCAAATTTCAGTTTCGGAATAATAATAAGTAACAAATAATTAATTATGAATCAAGAGAATAATCTAGGTACTGAAAATCATTTCACTGCTCTTTGTTTCCCCATTACTTAGTGCTATAGTAGGCACTCAGTTAATATTTATTGAACTGACCTAAAGTGAGAAGACCTAAACTGAAAAGAAAATTCTTGTGGTTTATTATAGGCCAATTTCTTTTATGAAAGATTCTAGGTAGCATCTGAAGAGAATGCATCCCCACCTTGAGGAAAGGAAAACAAATTCCCTTGAATTCACCACTAAATTGCATTTCTCTTTCCAATCCCACACTTCACACTGGCCAAAGCACTCTAATGAAAACAGGCTAAGAAAGCCCATCCTATCACTTAGGCAGCTGGTGTGCACCAAAGACAGATGAATCTTAGAACCAAGGCTTCAAGTAATACACGACGATGGAGAAAATGATACTCAAACCTGTGACAGTGAGATTATTCAGCTAATGATTCAGAGCCCACTCAATGTGACATTTAAACTGTTATCCAGCAATCTCACACTCTGTTTAGGCATGCCATATGTAAATTCTCCATTAATACTAGAGTCACATTGTTTTCTCAGTAGGATTCTGGGGGAAGCATCTGATTATGTGTTTTGCCTCCTTTTCTTCCTTTTAGTGTTTGACCCAAGAATACCAGACAGATAAAAGAAGGCAAAGAAGTTGAAAATATGACAGTTCTAATGGAGACCTTGTACCTTTTTAGCAGTTCCCTGATTCTAACAGGCTTCCTTTATGAGAAAATAACCCATTAGATTTTAATCATTGCAAGTTTTTCAACAGTTGAACTGTGATAATAACAACTTGATTAGGAAATGTATCCTATTGCTATAAAAATGCTAGTGCTTGAATCTGATATCACAGTACTGTGCTGGAGCTCACTCGTACTAGCTCATGAGAGCCTCATGTGCCTCCATTTCCACATATTTAAAAAGTAGCTTTAGGTTGGTAGCCTGAAATCAGCCAGGCTGGGAATATTTACATCACAAAATTGGCCAACCTTAAAACGGACTTTTTTTTTCCCCTAGAAAAATGGTACACATTTATTCCTATTACTATTGGTGTTGAAGGAGAGATACACAGAGTGTCTTTACTAAGACAATCTAAAAGCATATCTTGAGCTATAAAATCCCAGATCATACTGAATGGACAAAAGTTGGAAGCATTCCCCTTGAAAACCAGAACAAGACAAGGATGCCCTCTATCACCATTCCTTTTCAACACAGTCCTGGAAATCCTAGACAAAGCAATCAGGCAAGAGAAAGAGGTAAAAGGCATCCAAATAGGAAGAGAAGGGATCAAACTATTCCTGCTTGCAGATGATATGATGCTATACCTAGAAAACCCCTTAGTCTCTACCCAAAAGCTCCATGATCTGATAAACAACTTCAGCAAAGTTTCAGGATACAAAACCAGTGTCCAAAAGCAGAAGTATTCCTATCTACCAACAACATCCAAGCTGAGAGCAAAATCGAGAACTCAATCTCATTTACAATAGCCACAAAAAGAATAAAATACCTATGAATACAGCTAACCATGGAGGTAAAAGATCTCTACAACACGGATGACAAAAAAATTGCTCAAGGAAATCCAAGATGATTCAAACAAATTGAAAACATTCTGTGCTCATGGATAGGAAGAATCAACATTGTTAAAATGGCCATACTCCCTAAAGCAATTTACACAGTCAGTGCTATTCCTATCAAACTGCCAATGACATTCTTCAAAGAATTAGAGAAGAACAATTAAAATTCACATAGAACCAAAACAGAGCCCAAAGAGCCAAGGCAATCCTAAGCAAAAATATCAAAGCTGTGAGTATCACATTCTTGGACTTCAAACTGTACTACAGGGCTATAGTAACCAAAACAGCCTAATACTGGTAGAAAAACAGACACAAAGACCAAGGGAACAGAACAGAGAGCCCAGCAATAATGCTGCACACCGACGATTATCTGATCTTCAATAAAGTGGAAAAAAACCGGCAATGGGGAAAGGACTCCCTAGTCAATAAATGGTGCTGGGACAACTGGCTAGTCACATACAGAAGATTGAAACTGAACCCCTTCCTTATACCACGTACAAAAAAATCAACTCAAGATGGATTAAAGACTTAAATACAAAACCTAAAACTATAAACACCCAGAAAGATAACTTAGGAAATACTATTCTGGAAAGAACCTGGTAAAGATTTCATGATGAAGATGTCAAACACAATTCTGACAAAAACAAAATTTGACAAACGGGACCTAATTAAACTTAAGAGCTTCTACACAACAAAAGAAACTATCAACAGAGTAAATAGACAACCTACAGAATTGGAGAAAATTTTTGCAAACTATGCATCCAATAAGGGTCTAATATTCAGAATCCATTAACAAGCCAAAAAACAATCCTTTAAAAAAAGTGGGAAAAGGACATGAGCAGACACTTTTCAAAAGAAGATATATATGCAGCCAAGAAGCATATGAAAAAATGTTCAACATCACTAATCATTTGAGTAATGCAAATCAAAACCACAAAGAGATACCGTCTTACACCAGTTAGAATGGCTTTTATAAAACGTCAAAAAATAACAGATGTTGGTGAGGTTGCAGTGAAAAGGGAATGCTTATACAGTGCTGGTAGGAATACCATTATTTCAGCTATTGTGGAAAGCAGTTTGACAATTTCTCAAATAACTTAAAACAGAACTGTCATTCGACCAAGCAATCTCATTATTGGACATATACTCAAAGGAATATAAATTGTTCTGCCGTTAAGACACACGCAAAGGTATGTTCCTTGCAGCACTATTCACAATAGCAAAGGCAAGGAATCAACCTAAATGCCCATCAACAGTAGCTGGGTTCAGGAAAATGTGGTACATATACACTACAAAATACTGCACAGCCATAAAAACTTCGGGAGGCCAAGGCGGGAGGATCACGAGGTCAGGAGATCTGTAGTCCCAGCTACTCAGGAGGCTGAGGCAGGAGAATCACTTGAACCTGGGAGGTAGAGGTTGCAGGGAGCCAAGATTGTGCCACTGCACTCCAGCCTGGGTGACAGAGGGAAACTTCGTTTCAAAAAAGAAAAGAAAAAAAAGAAAGTAAAGGATAAAGAATGAGATCATATTCTTTGCAGTAACATAGATGGAGCCGAAGGCCATTATCCTAAGCATACTAACACAGGAACAGAAAACCAAATACTGCATATTCTCACTTACAGGTGGGACCTAAACAATGAGTACATATGGATACAAACAAGGGAACAACAGACACTGAGACCTACTTGAAAATGATGGGTGGAAGGAGGGTGAGGATTGAAAAACTACCTATTTGATACTATGCTTATTACCTAGTGATGAAATAATCTGCACACCAAACCTCCATGATATGCAGTTTACCTATATAACAAACCTGCACATGTACCACTGTACCTATAATACAAGTTTAAGATAAATAAATAAATAAATAAAAACTCAAACACATCTTGTTTAGCATAAACAACACCTCGAGAAGGTCATGATGAAAAAAATCCTGGTCCCAAAATAGCTACCTCACAGCCCCAGTGTAGAAATCCTTGATGAGCTTCCCTTTCCCTCCTCTTCACAATACCTTGGGGCCATACCACAGAACTGGTGGTTCCAAAAAGGAGAAAAATCTATTAGGACCATGGTGTTTTATCCCAGGGGCCTGCTATTCATAGTTGGCTGTTCTTAAAACTGACATGAGGTGCCCTCAATAAAAGGCTAGGAAATTAGTTAGAAGTGACATAAATATAACAGAAAATCTAGGCTAAGAGAAACCCATTGAAGTTGAATACAGTTAATTTTAAGATTCCTGGAAGGCAAAGGATAAAGGAAAAATAGGAAAAATTCCTTTGTTTATATGAGATCTGAGCTTTAGAAAAAGCATACTTTCCCCTCAACTCTGATATACATTTTCCAAATGAGACAGTGAGTAGCATAATAAATGATGGTGCAATCACCAAAACAGCAGATGTTCAGATAATTATATTATCATGTATATGCTGAAGACTTAATATACAAAACAAAGCTCCCATGGTGCTTTCATTGTTCTGTTCATTTTTTTTTTTTTTTTTTTTTTTTACTGTAACCGGGCTAGCATCCCTCATAATTATAATAGCACTAATTATAAAATTTGGACTCTCCCTATTCCATTTTTGAATCCCAGAAGTAACACAAGGAATCTCACTACTTTCAGGCATGATCCTACTCATAAGACAAAAGATGCACTTATTTCAAATATTTCATCTATCATTATTAGTTGACTTAAATATAATACTAATAATCACCATATTATCAATTCTAGTAGAAGGATATAAAATGCTAGCCTTGATTATCCTACCTACTTAGCCTAAAGTTCTTTGGGAGGTATGCTCTAGAGGTGATTAAGGAGGAAAGGTTGGGAAGGGAGAAAGGTGGCGAATTTTGTGTATCTGTGTGTTGGGGGTTGTGGCATGGACAGGGTCTCACTTTGTTGCCCAGGCTGTAGTGCAGTGGCGTGATCATGGCTTACTCCAGCCTCAACTTCCTGGGCTCAAATGATCCTCTCACCTCAGACTCCTCCATACCTGCAACTACACTTGCATGCCACCTCGCTTGGCTAATTTGTTAAATTTTTTGCAGAGACAAGGTCTTGCCTTGTTACCCAGGCTGGTCTTGAAGTCCTGGGATCAGCGGTCCTCCCACCTCAGCTTCCCAAAATGCTGAGACTACAGGTGCGGGCCACTGTGCTTGATCTATGGAGGTTCTTATAGGGAGTTTTTCAACCAGTTTGAAAGAATAAAACTGAAATGTAAGTACCTTCAATGCAGTTCAGTCTCTCGGCCCTGCCCTTTCTCAATTTTCAGTGGTTTGTAAACAGAGTAAGGATCAGCAATTGTTAGAAAATATTAAAGAGTACTGTCTAACTCTAGGAATCAGCAAGATTCTATACTGAACACAGAATTCTGATTCCTAAACAGGACCTTAAAGACAATTTTGTTTACCCTTCTGCGGAAGAAGGAGTCTTTTCTACAAAACCTCTGACGAGTCATTATCCATTGCTGAAAGATTTCTAGGGATAGGGAACTTCTGTCTCATGAAGTAGTCTATAATTTTTCTGAGTAGCTATAAATGTCAGGAGCTGTGGTGTTAAAATGTTCCCAAATATAATATACATTCCTGTCAGTTATGCACAGTGGATCTGCTTCTGCCTTCCGCATGACATCGATGTCGTGTTTTTCAGATGACAGCTCTGGAGGTAAAAAAGGTTTAGTCCCATGTCCCCCAATTCTTAATCTTTTCTTCTCCAGGTTAAACATACTCATTTCCACCAGTCATCCAAATACTTGCAAAGAAATTGCGGAGATTTGCACAATGAATCCCAGAAGCATAATATTAATATTTACATATTTTTAGTTACTATATAATATTTACTGGAATTTGATAATTGGTCTAATATTTTTATGTATTGGTAGTAGCTATAGCTAATTTATTTGCTAATACATTTTTAGCATACCAATATGTTTGAAATGTTCCAAAATTTGAAACGTAAGGTTAAGCATAAGTTAACCTCTCTTAGATGTTTTTGCAGGTATAATAAGATCCAGAGAACACGGGAGACACTTTTATGTCTTTATTTTTTATTGTAGCACAGCTGTGTAGAAGTGCTGGCAAAATGAATGTTCTCGGTGATGAAAGAAATTTTTGTTTAGCAATAATTACTAAGGAGTTAATTGGTAGGTGCTTTTATTTTTTCCATTTCAATTCTGTTATTTCAGCCATATTCTGATTTTTTCTTTTTAAACTTTAATCAACCTTTATAAGCTTTTTATCCCAAACACAAAATCCAGTAGCGCCAGTTCAGCCAAAAAAAAAAAAAAAAAAAAAAAAAAAAAAAATCAGAGTAATTTGCACAGCCAAGGGGCATAGAAAAGTATTTTTCTCATTTAATTATACCTTCTTCTTGTCGAAATATAATTTATCAAGCAATTGTTTAAAATTAAATTTTAAAAAGTAGAAAGTGTTGGGAAAAGTATGACAATGAATTGAAATAAATCTAGTAAACAATTTTCTCTAGGATAAAATAGAGGAATTGATTAGACAATTCACACATTTTCCTTTATAGTTTAGACAGTAAAGCAATCATTAGATGTGATCATGTTATATTTGTTCCCTTTGTTGGACCACGAGTACTGACAAACAGAGAGCATCTGAGCAAAACCTTGATGTACTTGGGGTTTAAAAATATGTGGTTAGCTTATTTTCCCTTTCAGTGTTTCACTCTTGGCGCTTTCTTTACTCCATTCTCAGCAACTAAAATGATTTTTCCAGATATTCAAACAATTGCAATAAAAATATGTCCCAAAAATACAAGGTGGGCCTCCAATGCACAAGAAAGACCCTTTGGCAACCCGTGTCCTCTATCATGTTTTAAAAGAGCCTCATTTAATCGGGCCAGCAAACATCTCCATTAGCAATTAAGACCAACTACTGTCACCAACTATAAAGTCGGAAGAGCAATATAACTGACCTTCAGAGGAGAAATATGAGACTGCAAGACATATCCATGGACATTTTCTATTTGAGAGAGGTTCTTTTCTGATACATGCACGAGTTCTGGGCCTCTTACTTCGTGGGTTAGTCGAGGTAAGGAATGATCATGTGGAGCGTCCTCATCTTGATATCGATACTTCTAGGAGAAAAGAAAAGAAAGGACAAGTATGTATATATCAGTGTTTGTAAAGGATATAGACTGAACTTCATATTCTAACTTCATCAATAGGACACAGTGTGCACCTACTGTTGACTTCACCAAATGGGCTTTGCTGCAGACTCTTCTGGCGGTCACCATAGACCAGGTCAAATGCAAGCAGAACTGAGTTAACCACGAATATTGACCAATGTCCAGACTTGTTTCTGCCTGATAATATACTCTCTTTGTTTATGAGCTACAGAAAGGTGATAACAAATGAGACAGAACATTTACTTTATTCAAGTAAGTGAGGAGGTAACCCTCCTGACCAGAGTAGCTAAGTATGTGTTAAAAATTCTAGGTTATGGATGGAGAAGAAAAAAAGTACTGAGCAAGAAGAAAACAGAATTCCAATATATCCCATTTAGAAAACTTAATTTTCCTTCAGAATTTGTGAGTGATTTAAGTTCCTTTTGAAATGAGGAAAAAATTTTGTCACCCACATTATTTGTATTAGACTCAAAGAGAAGACAAGCTTATCTTTCTTTACTTCACCCGCTAGGAGAAGGAGTATTGATTTGGGTTAGTCAGATTCCAGGACAAAAGATCACAATTTTTAGAAGCAGAGCTAGCTCTTTTAAAGAACTTTAAAAATCAAGGCAAGTTATCTGCCTATATTGTATGGCTCCCTGAGGGGACAGAGGTAAATACTTCTTCTCTCTTGTTCCCTTTTCCTCTTTTCTTAACCATCTTGCTTACACATGACTGTACCAGTAAAGATTATTGTTTGAGTCTTCCAAACAGATATAAGGAAGTTGGCAGAGAAAAAAAAAGGTTCAGGGTTAGGAATGCTCTGAGGGAACTCAGCCCTCTTCTTGGGGTCTATCTCCATTTTTGGCCTCAGCCTGGGTCTCCATCCTATTTCTGTGTCTTTTTCTAGTTTGTACCCCTTTTCCCTTGGATCTGTCCCTTTAGAGTTCCATTGTTCAAGGCTGTTGTCCTACCTGGGAAAGAAGAAAGGGAACCCTCTACATCTGACCTCTTAATCAGATAATAAAGTGTTAGTTTGCTTTACTTTGCCTATGTTCCTTGTGCATAACACAGGGATATTGGGAACAGGGATCTAAACATTGTCATAACACCATCACAGGCTTAATTGTGATGTCTAACTTCTTCCCAGTGTCCCATTATTGTTATCATCAATGGTTAATTTTTTCATATACATATATATATAAAACTTCTAGGACATCAGCTCTCAGACTGACTCATAGTGGAAAAGTAACAAGAACCACTCCAGGGATGGTAATTCAATCTGTTGTTCACTCTTCCTCAGAAGCAGATTATCAATACTTACACTTATACTTTCTGGGGCAAGGTAGGCTTTCTTCAATGTCCCAAGTAATATCTCTCTCAACAAAAATAACAATGCCATAACTGCAGTTTCCAAAGAACTCTCACAAACTTGTTCCATTGCAATCATTCTTGGCCATTTTACCTATGAGAAAACTAACACTCCAAGAAGTTAAGGTACTTGTCAAGAGTCACCTTAACTGACGGGCATAAGCGCCAAGACCCTATCCAGATCATTGCAGTCTGAATCCTCTTTCAGTTATCATCAGCCTCTCCTCTACCCCATAAAGAGATGAAGTCCAAGTCTGAAAACTGAATTGGCTGCTTAGTAGAAAAAAAAAAATCACTGAGAATACACGACACAATGAGGTTAGAACATTTCTGTGAACTGCAAATACCATGCTTTTGTTTATCTAACCTTATGAATAATTTGGGAATGTAATCTGCCTCAGAAACATGGATCAAATTTAACATTCACTTTTGATCAGTTACGCCCATTATGAGTGGAATAGTGTCACACTTGCGCCCATTTTAGTTTCTCTGGCTTTCAACCCATTAACTCCCACGTCTGCTCCACATTTTTGATTCTCTCATAAAGGCACTACCATCTATGTTGTCATCTGAGCCAGAAAAGTAGGAGTCAATCAGACTCCATCCTGTCTTTTGCCTGCTGCCATCTGCCAATTTAATAAGTTGATGAGTCTGCTTGATTTATATCCTAAATAATACTTGAGTCCACACTCTCCTTATTCTTCCCATACCCCCACCAACACTGTCCATGTTCAGGATCCCATAAGTTCTCAGCTGGGCTATAGAAACAGCCTCTGAGCTGGCTAGCCTGTCTGTGGGGTTGCCCGTTTCCCATAAATTCTCTACACTGATCCAGGGGACTTTGTGAATCACATGCTGATAAAGTCCTCCTTGAAAACTTCCAATGGCTCACACTGCCCACAGGACAGAATACAAGCTTTCTTACACTGCCATAACCCTACTACTATATATGCTGAACCCCCATTACTTCTGAATTACTTTTTTTTTTATGAGACGGACTCCAGCTCTTGTCACCCCAGGCTGGAGTGCAGTGGCACGATCTCAGCTCACTGCAACCTCTGCTTCCCGAGTTCGAGCAATTCTCCTGCCTCAGCCTCCCGAGTAGCTGGGACTACAGGCGGGCACCACCACGCCTGGCTATTTTTTTTATTTTTAGTAGAGCCGGGGTTTCACCATCTTAGCCAGGCTGGTCTCGAACTCTTACCGCAGGTGATCCGTCCACCTCAGCCTCCCAAAGTGCTAGGATTACAGGCGTGAGCCACCGCACCCAGCCCTGAATTACTTTTGTTCTCAACATTCTCACTCCAATAATTATAAAATAAATATAAACAAACTATTGAGTCTCATTTTTAAGCTTCTTTTAAAATTTGTGGTAAAATACACATAAAATTTTGACCATTTTAACCATTTTTAAGTATACGGTTCAGTAGTGTTACTTATATTCACTTTGTTGTGCAACAGATCTCCAGAACTTCTTCATGTGCATGTTCCCATAACTCCCTAGAGTCTCCAATTACAACTCTTGTCATGCTATATGGTTGTGTATTTTCTGTGTTTTTCCACGGAACTGTAAAATCTTGTAAGGACTGGGACCACATTGGTATTGTTTATTCTCACATCTCCAGTCTTTAGTCATATGCACAACACATATGCTCAATAAGTGTTTGTTGAATATAGCCATGAGCTACCATTACACAAATGGATGAAATAGATATCACTTGCTTAAGCCACAATACTATTTTGGCTACTGGATGAAAACTTTTTCACTATAAAATGCTGTGAACTCAGGTTCAAGTAAAAAGGACAATCACATCATTTGCTTGACACAATCTAAAAGGACATCAGGCTATTAAGTACTACATATCTTTCTCCTCATCATTCATTTCAGTATATGCTAAGAATATGAACTGAAAAGAACAACCCTTGACTTCAAGAAGACCATAAATTACTGAGTTATACTTGTGCACAGATAAGCTACCATACCTCGTGATAAACTCAGTTCTGTGGGAGCAGAAATGGGCAAGCATTTGTGGCTGGCTGGCTGCAGCTTCTCAGTTTGAAACAGGGTCTGGAATACCATAAAGAGGTAAAAGATATTCCAGCCAAAGGCACAACATGTGAAGAGACATGTGGTAAGAGGGGATGATGTTTGAGGGAACAGTGAGGTCTTAAAGTGGATTGTAGCAGATGCTATTGTGTCCCCATCCAAATTCATGGAAATCTTTTTTACCCATTGAAGGCTCATATCTGCATACTTTTCAGGAACATTACCCTTAGGTGATTGAAGCCTCCTCTCTTGGATGTCCACAGGAGTCATATTTGAACCCCAACTCTCATACCTCACGGTGAGACAAATCCCGTGATGTGAATTACACTACAAAGTATCCAGCGAGATTAGCTTAAATTTAGACTGTACCTGAACCTATATTTCTGCACAGTTCCTTTGTGCTTCCCTTACTCCCTATGTTTTTTTTTTTTCTTGGAACTGCCCTCCATAAATCATGCACACATGAAATCTCATCTTAGGTCTGCTTCTAGTGAGCTGATGTAAGACTTGGATGAAGCTTGGGATGTAAGGTACAGTGTGGCAGGAGGAGACTGGAAGGCAGATTGGTGTCCACTGTAGACAATAGGGAGTCATCCAAGAGACCGTGGACCTAAATAATACTCTGCCCAGTGCCAACCAGACATTCCCGTGTTTTTTTTTCTTTGAGTCTTCAGCCTATGACTAAGCAAGAAATGACAAGAACTGATGAGAAAGTCACATCTTTAACTCAAACTCAAGCTTCCAAAGGAATCACCCTGATATGATATAGCAGAATTTCTCTGCTTGTATTCAAATCTTTATTTCCTTTGGCTGAACAAAGGTACTGATTTATAACACTAGGATTAATATTAACACCAACATTAATGCTAATCCTAACACTAATGCAATATTACAACCAATAATAATACCAGCTACAGTTAATGTACCTGGAGCCATATTAAATGCTTTATATCCATCATCACCATATGAGACATAGGTGTTATTCTCTTTATCTTAGACTCAGATAATTAGGTATTTTTCTAAGCTTACATACCTGGAAAGTGGCAAACCAGGTTTCAAATACATGTTAATTTCACTCTAGAGAAAGAGCACTTAGTCTTCTAAGTTAGTTAGGACTCAAAGGTCTTTAGAGGACAACTTTATCTTCAGGAAATAAAATTTTTAGGAAATATTCTTACACCCTGACTAAGAATCAACCCTAACATTCTGGGTAATTCTGAGTCAAACTTTTCATTCCAAGGCTTGTCTGGTAGGTACTAATGTCATTCTGGGCACCTTTGAGGATTTCTCTATTGCCTACAAAATGAGGGCCATTGGCAGAAGGCCTCTGTATTGCAGTCTGTGCTTTCTTCTTTTTCTCTCCTCAGCTTGGTCTGTTGAAGGGGACTTGAGTAAAAGAAACTTTGTAATTCTGTGAGGAAAGTCATCGGTAGCTTGATGGGGATGGCACTGAATCTATAAATTACCTTGGGCAGTATGGCCATTTTCACGATATTGATTCTTCCTAACCATGAGCATGGAAGGTACGTTAAAGTTCATTTGGAACCAAAGAGGAGCCCACATTGCCAAGACAATCCTAAGCCAAAAGAACAAAGCTGGAGGCATCATGCTACCTAACTTCAAACTATACTACAAGGCTACAGTAACCAAAACAGCATGGTAGGTATAGACCAATGGAACAGAACAGAGCCCTCAGAAATAATACCACACATCTACAACCATCTGATCTTTGACAAATCTGACAAAAACAAGAAATGGGGAAAGGATGCCCTATTTAATAAATGGTGCTGGGAAAACTGGCTAGCCATATATAGAAAGCTGAAACGGGAATCCTTCCTTACATCTTATACCAAAATTAATTCAAGATGGATTAAAGACTTAAATGTTAGACCTAAAACCATAAAAACCCTAGAAGAAAACTTAGGCAATACCACTCAGGACATAGGCATGGGCAAGAACTTCATGTCTAAAACACCATAAGCAATGGCAACAAAAGCCAAAATTGACAAATGGGATCTAATTAAACTAAACAGCTCCTGCACAGCAAAAGAAACTACCATCAGAGTGAACAGGCAACCTACAGAATGGGAGAAAATTTTTACAATCTACCCATCTGACAAAGGGCTAATATCCAGAATCCACAAAGAACTTAAACAAATTTACAAGAAAAAAAAAAAAAAACCCCATCAAAAAGTGGGCAAAGGATATGAACAGACACTTCTCAAAAGAAGACATTTATGCAGCCAACAGACACATGAAAAAATGCTCATCATCACTGGCCATCAGAGAAATGCAAATCAGAACCACAATGAGATACCATCTCACTCAGTTAGAATGGCGATCATTAAAAGTCAGGAAACAACAGGTGCTGGAGACGATGTGGAGAAATAGGAACACTTTTACACTGTTGGTGGGACCGTAAACTACTTCCACCATTGTGGAAGTCAGTGTGGCGATTCCTCAAGGATCTAGAACTAGAAATACCATTTGACCCAGCCATCCCATTACTGGGTACATACCCAAAGGATTATAAATCATGCTGCTATAAAGACACATGCACACGTATGTTTATTGAGGCACTATTCACAATACCAAAGACTTGGAACCAACCCAAACATCCATCAATGATAGACTGGATTAAGAAAATGTGGCACATATACACCATGGAATACTATGCAGCCATAAAAAAGGATGAGTTCATGTACTTTGTAGGGACATGGATGAAGCTGGAAACCATCATTCTGAGCAAACTATCACAAGGACAGAAAACCAAACACTGCATGTTCTCACTCATAGGTGGGAATTGAACAATGAGAACACTTGGACACAGGGTGGGGAACATCACACACCGGGACCTGTCATGTGGTGGAGGGAGAGGGGAGGGATAGCATTAGGAGATATACCTAATGTAAATGACGAGTTAATGGGTGTAGCACACCAACATGGCACATGTATACATATGTAACAAACCTGCATGTTGTGCACATGTACCCTAGAACTTGAAGTATTATAATAATAATAATAATAATAATAATAAAGAAACTTTGTAAACAGATTATATTTCCTGTTTCAGCTCTAAGGGGAGTAGAGGCAGGATAGGTGCTCAAGACAGGGATGCCTGGTATACTACTTATGTCTCCCTATCTTAGTTCATTTTGCCCCTGACTTCTGGAATTCTATCCCCGTCCCCGTTCTGAAGCTTAACCCTGCCCCCAACCCCAGATTCCTTCATCAAGCAAACTTTTTTAGGTCCTTGATTATCAGATTTAGTGTTGCCTCCTCAGAAGCATTCTCTGACTTCAAAGGTTGGAAATCTGTATCTCTTTTATGCTCCCATAGTGTTCTGCACAGGATTTTGTCAATGAATAAGAACTTTATACTGTAATGACCTCTCCATGTGCCTATCTCCCCTAGTAGCCCACAAATGCCTCAAGAGCAGAGGTAGAGTCATGTTCATCTCTGAATCTCCAATGCCCAACCGACAAATGACACATAAAAAGAGATCAGTAAATGTAAGTTTAACTGAATTAAACTGTAATTATCTGAGCAATAACATGATCCGCATAATCAGAAAGCCCTCCCAGCTGAGCTTGCACGCAGTTATACTCATACTCATTTTCTACCACAGTCCCCCCTACACAGACAGAAAAAGGCTAAGGAAGTCTGACCAGGCTCTGCTCAGTACATTCTGCTGATGCTTGTGTGAGTCAGAACAAACCATCCTGAGTTTCCCAGAATTTAAAAACGGAATCTTACATGTGCCTGATCTGTCACTGGAGGTTCTCTGGTGCAATTTGGAAGATGGCATTTTGCTGGCACAGTGCATGATAACTGATCCAGAAATTGGAAATATTTCAAGGTTTCATAAACAAAAATCTGAGTTTACCTCTGTTGCTTCATAAAAAGTGCTCTACTTCCCCCTTGTAGCAGGAGTTGGCACAGTACTGATGAGAGAGAGAGAGAGAGAGAGAGAAAGAGAGAGAGGGGGAAGGAACAAATCAAAAGCTGGAGAGCTAGAACATGTTTGTGTGCACATGAATAGGTGGCATATTATCATACCTAATAGTGAATACTATCCATGAACGCTTTGCTAAGAATGTCACAGAAATTATCCCACTTAAGGCTGATAGTAGCATTATGAAGCAGGTATAAAATTAAGTAATAATTACAGTTCCTTACACAAAGCCTGACATTAAAAAACTTGTTAGTTTCACTGTCTCTGTTAACTATACTGACAAACCATGTTCTCTGTGTCAAGTTTTATCTGTCCCTCTGTAATCCAAGTTCTTTGAGGGTAAGAACCCTGACATGTATCTTTGTATCCTGCAGAGTGGTCAGGCTAGAATGCTACATACATAGTGTGTGTCCAATAGGCCTGTGTTGACTGATTGAGTGCTGCTTCTGGAAGAAAGCCTCTTAATTTAAAAAATGTGCTTGGGCTGAAAGGAAGCACATATTCTAGAAGCAAGAAGTTGGTAAAAACAAAATAATAATAATAACAGAATTTCAAAGGGATCCCTAAGGAAGAGGTAAGTGAATCTCAGAAAAAAACAGAAAACCAAAAGGACAAAGAAAACGAGCTCAATGATGAACCACGTGAAAACAAAAAATTTCCATTTCATCTCAAGGCTGTAGAAATTTAAGTTCCATAATTGAGTATTCCCATCTAGGCCCTGCCAGCCACCTTCTTATTTTGAGAACAATGATTTGTTTAAACACTTTGACATTTACTTTTAGGGATTTCTGCAGTCTGTACCCAGCAAATCCTTTTCTCCAGCTTCTTCCTTTTTCCATGATGCCTCAGCCTATCTATGACCTGTGTCTCATCACTTTTATATACCTACTGCATCCTCACTCCTACTCACTGCCTTCCTCTCTGGAGGGAAAACATGGGTAAAAAAGAAAACAAGAGAAGATAAAGGAATGTTCAGTGCAATGATCAGATCAATATTTATATTCATTTCTTTAATTTGAAATGAATTCTCTGAATGATATCCTGACTGGAGCACAGTTTTATTTCTGTTATTCCAATCCATTCTTTCAGAATGGTTACATATAGGTTGCAAATCTGGGGGTGGAGGTAGGTAGTTTCAGATAGGAGAAAAATGGGAGGAGGAAAGGCAAGAGAGACTACATAATTTTCCCCTTCACTTCCTCAAGGTGACCTCCTGACTTCCCAGATTAGGAAGTTCTCTCCCTGCCTCTGCACACCGCACACTGCTCCCTGCTTCATAGGCTTTCAGGGCACCCTGTCCTTATTCTTCATAAACCTTGGCACATTTTTATTTTACATTTATTTCTGTGATGATTCGCTGGATGTTTGTCTCCTCCACTGAACTAACCGTCCCCGCCCCTCTCCCCATGGGGTCAAGGGCCCCACCTGCTTGGTTTACTGCTGACCTCTAGTGCCTGCCACATAGGAGTTACTTGATAAATGTTTGTTGAATAAGTAAGTACTTTGCAGCCAGATCTATCTTCAAAATAATCACCCTTTAAAAAAACAATGACCCACAATTAGCAATATGGCTTGCCCAAAGAACCCTTGAAAGAGGAATTTTTCCAGTTTGGAGAAGAATGTAAGTAACAGCACTGATGGGAGAAATAAAAAGCTCTCCCAGGTGCTCCATTTGAATTTTTTTTAAACAAAACTCAAAAGTGAAAGGAAATACTTTCCTGCTTTTTTTCCACAAAGAACAGGACAAGCCAGGATGTTAATTAAATTACAAATCAGCTGTCTGCTTGCAGCTGACAGAGCTTTGTGTGCTTCCAAGCAACGTCAGATATTTTAAACTCTATGTAATTACCTACTATGGACTAGCTGCCAGGAAGGATGCTTCATGAATATTTAATGAATTCTAAGATCCTTTTTAAGGAACTGATGATTTAAATAACTATGGGAGAACTTACTCTAGCTCAGTGCCACCCTCCATCTGTTAACTGAAGATATTGGAAATGTAGCCTGGTAGAAATGCCATTTCTCCCCTAAAATGAGCTAGGCTCAGGATCTAGGGAAGGCTAGACTCACACAGGAGAGGTAACTGTAATTCTAAAGTTAACTGTTTAATTCTAAACAGACCTCAAGCTCTCTAAGTCAGAATGGAACCACAGACCTATGAACTGGGAAAATAACGAGTATGGAATTGCAAAATGAAATTTTGTAAGATGCCACACATTGAGGATGCTCTTTATAATTTACAAAGCACTTTCAGCAACACTGTCTTGAGTAATTCTCTCAAGAATTGGATAGATTAAACAGGTATCATCATTCTCATTTCCAAATGAGAAAACAGAGGGTCAGAGAGTTTCTAAAGTGCTAAATAAATAGTAAAGCTGTGTTTCAAACCAAAATAGTCCTCTGATTCCAAGAGGCAGCCTCACATAGTGGAAAGTGCATGAATTCTGGCATTAGACACATGATCTCAAATCTTGGTTATACTACTTGCTATCTGGGAGACATCTATCACATTGCTGGATACAACTGAGCTTTGGTTGACTGAAGTTATGAACCAGGAATTACAATATATATCTCATAGAAATACAAAGATTGAATGAGATGCTGTACTCCTGGCATACAGTGGCTGCTTGGCAAATGTAATGCTCCCTTTGGCTTGGAGTCTCAAGAACTTGGTACTCTGCAGATTTGTCGTAACAACAACAGCCACAACCAAAAAAAGTGGTCGCTAAAAGTGAATTTTTCACACAGCAAAAAGTCTTTGGTGGAATGCTCTTCACTTCCACAGAACAGAAACAATAATAACCTGTTATACAATTAGTCACAAATACAGTCCTTGAATTTTTTGTCCATACACATGAGTATTGTCTAAAACATGTTTTCTTTGTAGCAGCTAGGTGCTGCCACCACTGTGCATGGCTGAGTTCACAAATCTGTTGTAACCTGTAGCTTCCCTGTCACTTCTCTCTCTCACGCTAAGCTTTGTTTCTTTGCAGTAATTAGAATTTTTGCCACTGCCATGGCTAATGCTGCTACTGGAACCACGAGAGCCTCCTTGGTTTCATGGTTTGGCAAAGGATTGTCCTTCATCACCAGAGGGGCTGGAGCTTCTGCCTCCTAAGGTTTCTCTCCTCATGGGTCCAAAATTTGAAGACTGATTGTTGTAGCTGCCAAAATCACTGTAGCTTCCTTCACCTCTAAAACTGCTTCCATCATTTACAAATCCATTATAGCCATCCCACTGCCACCATATCCACAACCACCACGGCTGCCACCAAAGCTACTACGACCACTGAAGATTCCTCCACAATCATAGTTCATACCAAAACCACCTCCACAACCACCACCAAAGCATCCAGAACTACTTTGGCTTCTTTGGCTCAATGAAGCACTAGCCTTCTCTTGCTTTGACAGGGATGAATTTACTGAACACTCTTTGAAGTTTCCTAACTTCACAGTTGTGGCCATTCACAATATGGTACTTCAATCTTATTCATAGAGTCATGGTCCTTAAGAGTTACAAAGGCAAAATCCCTTTGCTTGCCACTGCCTCGGTCATTCATGATTTCAGTCACTTCAATTTTCCCACATTCTTCAAAGTAATGTCTTAGGTGATGTTCTTTTTTTTTTTTTTTTTTTTTTGAGAAGGAGTCTTGCTCTGTAGCCCAGGCTGGAGTGAAGTGGTGCAATCTCTGCTCACTGCAACCTCTGCCTCCTGAGTTTAAGTGATTCTTCCACCTCAGCCCCCTAAGTAGCTGGGATTACAGGTGCCCACTACCAAGCCCATATAATTTTCTTATTTTTAGTAGAGATGGGGTTTCGCCATGTTGGCCAGGCTGGTCTTGAACTTCTGATCTCAAGTGATCCATCCGCCTCGGCCTCCCGAAGTGCTGGGATTGTGAGAGTGACCCACCATGCCTGGCTCTTAGGTGATGTTCTTCAGTGTCTTCTTTAGTGCCACTCATATGGTTTGGATCTGTGTTCCCACCCAAATCTCAAGTTGAAATGTAGTCCCTACTGCTGGAGGTGGGGCCTGGTGGGAGGTGATTGGATCATAGGGGTGGTTTCTAATGGTTTAGCATCATCTCCCTGGTGCTGTCTCATGACAGAGTTCTCACGAGATCTGATTGTTTGGAAGTGTGAAGCATCTCCCCTGCCCTCTCTCTTCCTCCTGCTCTGGCCATGTCAGTCTGCTTCCTGTTTGCCTTCTGCCATGATTGAAAGTTTCCTGAGGCCTCCCCGGAAGCCCAACAGAGGCCAGCATCATGCTTCTGGCACAGACTGAAAGAACCATGAGCCAATTAAACCTCTTTTCCTCTTTTCCTTATAAATTACCCAGTCTTGGGTATTTCTTGATAGCAGTGCAACCATGAGCTGATACAGCCATCAACAAATATCTTTTTCACAGTTAAGTAGGCAACTAGTCTTTGAGAATCTCCTCTTGAGACAACTGTCTTTGGTTCCACGACTCTCTCATACCTCATGTAGCATGGCATTTAGGGCTGCATCCACCTCCTCCACAGTGGCATATGTGACAAACCCAAAGGCCCTGGAGCAATTGGTGTTTGGATATCTCATTACCACACAGTCCATGAGTGCTCCCAATTGCTCACAATGGCTCTTCAGACTCTCATGGGTTGTTTCAAACCTCAACCCTCCAATGAAGACCTTCCAGTTATTCGGGCTCTTTCAGAGACTCCGACTTAGACATGATGGCAGTAGGAAGATAGACTTTAGTGATGATTCCTCTGTGGCATCCCAGGGCCAAAAGGAGTAAGGTGACAAATGTATCTCAGTAGAATAAGTTTCTAGAACCTCAGTTTCAGAACAGCGCCTAAAAGCGCAGATTCTGGAGAGACGGCCTGCATCAATTCCTACTTTGATAACCACATGACCTTGGGCAACTTATTAAACCCTCTGAGACATGGTAATCTTATCTGCAAAACTGGAATAGCAACTACCTCACAAGATTTTTTAGAAAGCCAAGTGAGATGATGCATGGAAGGCACTTAGAAGAGTGAGTGTCTGTGATCTAGTAAGTAGTCACTTAGTAGAAGTTATGATTGTTTTACTGGAACATTAGATATGTTATTTGATTATAAAAAATTGGAAGAATAGAAAAAACTAAAGGAAAAATTTTTGCCTTTTACTGTTTTGAATTTTTCAAATTCTCTAACTGCAACTTCTCCCACTACTCCATAACACATAGACAGTTTATCAAATCTCACAGCCCTCCTAGTCTCACAAAGTACACTTTAGCCTTTCTTTACGCCATCTTAAATGCTTGAAAACCTTCTCTTTGCACTTTTGTATGCAAAAAGAATTTACTGAGCACCACTTCTATGCCAGATATTGTACCATGTGCTAGAGATGTAATAGTGAATAAAGAAGATACAGCTCATCCTTGCCCTTTGCTCTTGATGTCTTCTCTACCTCTCATAACTTTCCCAACTCTTTTTCACATACTGCTCAACCTTCAAAACTTAGTTGATAAATGATATCTTTCCAGATGCTTTCCCTAGACATCCAAATTTGGCTAAGCATTCTTATTCTGTGCTCCCATGTCTGACTCCCTGAGAATCCCTCTTTTTTCTCAAAGCATGTATGTCTCTGCCATTCTCACTGGAATGGGAAGAGTTCACAATTCATTATTGTACCAGGGGCAAATATTCTGCTTGGGACCCAGTAGGTGCTTAATAAATGCTACTAAATGGAACTACCCCTGGTAGAGATGTAAGCTCCTTAGACTCCTGTGTACTCCACCATGACTAGCACATCCTAGAAGTAGTGCATAGTCAAGAAGCCTGTCACTATTCTACAGTAGAGCTGGTTATTGAACAGTAGTACCCTGTAAGATTTTCAACAATAAAATCAAAAATTGGTTTATGTTGTGTAGCACAGGTAATAAAGTGAGTTCCTTTGAAAGTTTTCATTTAGCAGGGAGAATTGTTCCAGCTTTGGGTATGACATCCCTGACAAAGTGTATTAGCTGGTGGCTTCCTGGAGTAAAAGAGTTGACAGAAAGAAAAACAGTAACATGCAGAGAAGAACTGAGTTCCCTTCTTCCTTCTCCACTGCCAGCACTGAGTCAGAGCAGCTACGGAAGCATAACACACAAATGAGACAACGCTAAGTATTCTTTTTTTTTTAATTTTTATTTTTATTATACTTTAAGTTTTAGGGTACATGTGCACAACGTGCAGGTTTGTTACATATATGCATGTGCCATGTTGGTGTGCTGCACCCAGTAACTCATCATTTAACGTTAGGTATATCTCCCAATGCTATCCATCCCCACCCGCCCCCCACCCCACAACAGGCCCCGGTGTGTGATGTTCCCCTTCCTGTGTCCATGTGTTCTCATTGATCAATTCCCACCTATGAGTAAGAACATGCGGTGTTTGGTTTTTTGTCCTTGCGATAGTTTGCTGAGAATGATGGTTTCCAGCTTCATCCATGTCCCTACAAAGGACATGAACTCAACATTTTTATGGCTGCATAGTATTCCATGGTGTATATGTGCCACATTTTCTTAATCCCGTCTATCATTATTGGACATTTGGGTTGGTTCCAAGTCTTTGCTATTGTGAATAGTGCCACAATAAACATACGGAGACCACACTAAGTATTCTTACACGAGCCCATCTAAACCCCAGGTCAGCAGCTTGACTCACATTTGAGTGTACCAACCTCAAATAAGCCCAATAAAATAGATTAAAGTGTATGCAAGGCAGGGAAGAGGTCTGGAAGAATATACTAATATGTTGACCATGGTTATTTCTGGATGACTATTACTTTCATTTTTTGGAGCTACATATATTTCTTTGAGGAATAAAAAGAATTAGAATATGTAAAACATGATCAAGTATTTGCTTTGTTGTACTGGAGAAGGTTCAGTGTGGTATAAGTTTTGTGATAAGGAAAAATTCTCTAGTCCTGGAAAGGGTTTATCCATGTTCAGTTGAGTTAATTTTGAGAACTGGCTGAAGGATGCAAAGGAAGGGGTTTCCAGCTGACAAATGAAAGAGGGATGTGCCGGGAATAAATTTGCTGGAGAGGACCAGGCTTTAAGTCAAATTGCTTTGGTACCAAGAAATCAAAGCAATGATTTGGGAGCAAACTCAACAGTAGTTCATCCATTTGAAGCAAAACTTCAAACATGGTCTGAGTAATTTTCCAGGGATAACTGCCACTGGATTCTATTGAGCACTGTACGATCTTGTGGGCAGTCCCTGTCTGACTAATCCACCAGCTGTGCAACTGCTACAGCATCTGTGAGTGAGAATCATTCACTACTAAAAGCTAGAAACATGTTTTGCTCAGTGCACCTGGTGCCCAGAAAAGAGGAAATGTTCATTTCAGCAAAATGCTTCCTCAAGCGATGCAAATTCCCTGCAGCTCAGTTCCTGGGTTTAAATCCTGTTCCTGCACCAACCAGCAGTGCGACTTTAGGGAAGTATGAAGGCTCTCTGAAACTCAGACTCCTCATTTTAAAATTGGACTAATAATGTATGACAGTGTCACTATAGGAAATTGATGAGATAATATGCCCAAACTCTTTGGGCCAGGACCCGCCTCCTAACAGGTGCTTAGGAAATATAAGATTCTTCCTATTTCTCTTTTTTTGTTTGTTTGTTTTTGAGATGGAGTCTCGCTCTGTCACCTAGGCTGGAGTGCAGTGGCGCAATCTCAGCTCACTGCAACCTCCGCCTCCTGGGCTCACGAGATTCTCCCACCTCAGACTCCTAAGTAGCTGAGATTACAGGCTTGCACCACCACGCCTGGATAATTTTTTGTATTTTTAAGTAGAGACAGTGTTTCTCCATGTAGGCCAGGCTGGCCTCGAACTCCTGGCCTCAAGTGATCTGTCTGCTTCAAATTCCCAAAGTGCTGGGATTACAGGCATGAGTCACCACACCCAGCATTCCTATTTCTCTACCAGTGTCATGCAGTCATCTTTCCAAGTATTGTAAAACGAGCCTATACACACACACACACACACACACACACACACACACATACACACACATGCATGTATATGCTCAATTCAGCCTTATCACCATTACAGGGAACAGGCTTCCACCATGCTATTACCAGTATTGTAGAGTATTGTAGCATCCCTACAGAACAGCACAAACTTTCTGAAGGTGGTAAAATGAGCTGCTAAGGCCTTGCTGCCACTTCTCTTGATCCAGTGCCTTTTCTGTATGTGAGGCCATCTTACCCAAATTCTACTCACACCTCTAGCTAGGTCAACACTCCTACTCTTGGTATCTTCCACTTATGATGATCATCTCTGTCCAGCAGGCAGAGAAAAAAAAAGTCTCAGACACAGGTGCTGAAATTGCCTTCACTGCTCATTCAAGCTACTCTTCCTAACCATGTGAGTTTTTGGACTTCAGAACCTACCTGTGAAATTGGCACTTGCCTAGCCTTCCCATTATATTTGACTTCCAAGGATGAGATCAGTTACCCACCTGAACCTAGAATATCTCCTGGATGATCTCCAGCAGACTTTGTTCCTGGTCCTGGGACTTCCTGGGTGGTCGATTGGCATATATATCCTCTGTGACACTATAAAGACTAAAGTTCCTTCCTAGTGGGAAGCACCATTATTCATTCATCCAACAGAATGTTTATCTAGCGTGTTATATGCTAATCACTAAATTTTAAGTGCTAGAAATACAGTAGTTTAAAAAAAGCAAAAATCTGTGACTCTGTCGAAATTAAATTCTAGTTGCGTTAGGTAATCCAGCTCTTTGAGCTCCCTTTTTCCTCAACATACTTCCTGTACCAAGAAGCAGTTATGAACAGCTGTCCTTTCTATGGGAAGACACTCAGGGGTCCAGGTAGGCAACCACTGTGAATTGTCTCTGGTGGTGGTGCAAATGGGCTTGATCTATCCAGCTGCCTTTGTTTTAGAGCACCTCATAATGAGCTGGTGTCAATGGCATTGGAACATGGGAAAGTTGAAAAATAAGGCAGAAAGTGTGGCCCTATTACTAGTGTGTTCCAATCAAAGAGGTTTATTTCACAATCAGACACTTTAATAAAAATATTAATGTTTCCTCAAATAAGGTTGCTTTATAATCCATGCTTGCTTATGGTGGTTTAAATATTCTCCAAATACAATAGTGTCTAATAAAATGCCTTTTGGAAATAATAAAAGCATATTTATACTTGATCTAGATGCTTAATATGCAACTTAATGTGCAATTGTAGAATGTTATTTTGTGCTTACTATACTCTTAAGATGTAAGCCCCAAATCAAGAAAACCCAGAAAGTTTTCTAATTTTCTTGTCCTGCTGCCCTGCTGGGAACTGACAGTGTCATCTTTCAGATTACTGCCTGTGACATGACGTGCATATGTATTAATGCTTTACAAGCCTTAATTTATTTAATCCTTAAACAAACTTATGGAGTAGTTACTGTTTTATTTCCCTCATTTAACAGATGAGAAAATACAGGGAGAAAGAAATTAAATAAGTAACTTGTTCACACAACTAGTGGATAGAATGAGATTTATACCTCATTATCCTTGTAATTCCACCTTTAATTCACACACTATATTGTCTCTCAAGTATTATGCATTTCTTACTCTCTGACTCAGATGTTTCTTCTGAGTATGGTAGATACTTTGGTCCTTTGGTTTAAAAGCTAAGGTCTGTAAGCTTCCCTTTATCCTTGCTGGGCCATAGAATGCAATTGGGAGAAAGTATAAATAGAAATAACCTAGTTAATGACACTGCCATTTCTCTGGTCACCCAAATACAAAATTACACAGATGAAGATGATCCCTCAGCATCTTTCCTCTCTCATGTCTTCCAGAGTGGGGTCCATCTAACTAAATTGCCAGAACATGACTCCTAATATCAGAGTGAAGGCCAAGATGGTTTACATTAGACTGAGAGCTCCCTGATGAAAGCAGTGATACTACAGCTGTAGCTATCTCAGTAACCCCCTGGCACATAGAAGAGGTTTAGTACATTTTACCAAGTGAATGGATCTAATACAAGTTTAATGGACTCTAAATCAGCAGATATATTTGTTTTTGTTTATCTCCATTGTCCACTCCCCCATCACACCCTTGTTTCTTCTCCCTAGAATATTCCACTTGCCTTCAATTTCTCTTTCCAAACATATCTCTTGCTTCTTTCTACCCCAACACACCAACTTTCCTTTCTCTGCTTCTTCATCTTTTCCCACCACATTCCCCAAAATCTAGAATTTCACCAATCTGAATTATTTGCAACTCAGAGTAAGAGGAATGGATCACCTCCAATGTTTTGCACTTGTTACCTTCCACATGCCTTTTGCCATGTCTTTAACGTCAAAGTTCAGTTAAGATGACAATCTTTCCAGGAGCCTCCATAATTTATTCACTGCCTCCATCAGTCATCTACACCTCACCCCCAGACTGCGGTCAGAACTCATAGTTACCTGTGCACTCACAGGACATTTACTTAATCTATCATTTTTGTCTGTTTATTTAATTGTTTACTTTTTATACACTATAAGATCTTTGAATGCAAGGATTGAGTCTTGTTTATGGCTGTAGGACCTGTGCCAGGTATTCAGTGGGTCCTAATAAATGTTTGTTAAGTGAATATTAGCCACCTAGTAACTGGTTTCCTTATCTATATACTCTCCATCAACCAATTCTTTTAACTAATCACCCTCAGATACATCTTCCTTAAACACAAGTTTGGCTATATCACTCACCCCTTTAAAACCCTTCAGTAGTTTCCTCCTGCTCCAGAATAAAACGCACGCACTTTGATGTGAAATTCACAACATTCTCAATCTCTTGCTAAAGTACTATCTCTTACTGATTTTTTTCACTCATTTGCATTCCTTTCAAACTAGCTCAGCAGCTCTTTCCTGGAGCCATTTTATCTTTCTAATCTTTTCTCACCTTCCTGTCTCATGCTTTTCCTTCTGTCTTGAAATGATGCTTCCCAAATCACAGGTGAGAAATACCTTGCTCTTTTTAAGATTCTTTTCATGTCACCTTTTCCACAGTCTCTCCTAATCTATCTTATTCCCCCCAAAATGTGGTTTACCTTTGTCACTTTGTATTGTTCTTACAATAAAATTGTCCTTGAGTTTGTAATCTTTTTATTCATCCCTCATTTCACTGAGCACTTAAAATGAGTCACTGATGCACTGTAATAGACCCTGGTAATATTTAGAGAAAACGCAATGACCAGTGAGCTCTGTTTTCAGTTGATAAGACTGATAAATGTTATCAACCTAAAATGTCATAGTTAAGATGCATGCTGATTTCAGAGATACAAATATTTAAAAAGTGCATGTTAGAATCAATACAATATCAAATAAAATATCATATTCACATGCTCCCCCAGAGGTCATTTAACCTAGCTTTGGCCGTATAAAGGAGCAGTTTCTTGGAGAATAAGATATCACAGTCTACTCTTAAAGAACGGAAAGGTATGAATCCAAGAGACAGCAACAATACTGTCAAAGGAACAGCAGACTAGAACTCACGGAGGAGGAACCATAAAGGTTAACTTCCTCTCTTGAGATTTAAGATGCTTAAAGGCAGTTTCTTACAATTCTTTCCTTGAGAAGGTTGGTACAGTCTTAAACGGTTGTGTTAGATTAAAATTAAAATGTATTGTGGACCATTCACATGTTACAATATAGATAAGTTTGATAATTTCTTCTTAAAATTGGCAACATGAAACTAAGGTGTCAGGAAACCTTGAAGAATGAGTGCTTGGGGGGAATATTCAATTAAAATTTGAAAGATAAATGATAAAGTATCATCCATGAGGATATGATTTGAATGACTGCACTGCCATAAAGTTTAGACTTTCACTTCTAGAGACTTGGCCAGGCTGATAAAGAAGAGTTAGTGCACATTCTCTATTCATCACAGAAAGTCCAATTCTAAATTGAATTCAATTCAAATTCTCTAAAACCCATGAGCAACTTCTAGTCTCTGCTTGGGCATATCTTCGTCCATTCAGTTCATGGCTTCATTTGTAGTTCTGTGTGTTTTATTTTCTTCTTCATCCTTGTATCAATTCATCCTTTTATCTAAACTATTAAGTTTTACCTGGATATGCAAAATTAACAATCACAGTGAAGCTTCCCAAATGGGGCAGTTTTTAACCCTAAAAATCATTACTCTTTCCTTAATGTGGATAGGACTTGCTCAATCTTGAGGGCAGAACGACTACCAGTTTTATTAGGTGCACTAGCTGCAGGGATTCAACAGTGTACAAGCAAGATAGGCAGTATTATTTCTCTTGTGGAGCTTTCCTTCTAGTGGTGGTGACTAACATAATTTAAAAATAAAGAAAATGGGCCGGGTGCGGTAGCTCATGCCTGTAATCCCAGCACTTTGGGAGGCCGAGGTGGGCAGATCACCTGAGGTCGGGAGTTCAAGACCAGCCTGACCAACATGGAGAAATCCCGTCTCTTCTAAATATACAAAATTAGCCGGGCATGGTGGCGCATGCCTGTAATCTCAGCCACTCGGGAAGCTGAGGCAGGAGAATCACTTGAACACAGGATGGGGAGGTTGCGGTGAGCTGAGACTGAGTCACTGCACTCCAGCCTGGGCAACGAGAGTGAAACTCTGTCTCAATAATAATAATAATAATGAAGGAAATAAAGTCAAGGAAATAAGATGCTCCAAGAGAGCACAAGAAGGAACCATATTCATTAGAGAATGTCAAGGATGCTTTCTGAAACAATGACATATTAACTGAAGTCAGAGGAATGAGAATATCTCCCATGTGAAGAGGTGGGTAAGCTGCCTTTCAAATGAAAGGAAGAACAACCATGAGAATCTTTGTGTTGGAAAAGAGTGTGGTAGGTTCAAGGAATTGACACGGCTTTCTGAAGAGGGGTGAGTGAAGCAAACATGAGGAAGGAGAGGTAACCTGGAATAAGATTACATACGGCCTTGTTAGCCTTGGGAAGGATTTGGGTCCCCATCCTAAGAAAAATGGGAAGTCAACAAAGAATTTCAGCAGGAGAGTGATATGACCTGATATATATTTTCAAAAGCTCACTCTTGAACTCTTAGTGAGCCTGTAAGAGGATGTAACTGCAATAAAAAGCAGTATGGAGGTTCTTCAAAAATATGAAAATAGAACTACAATATTATCTAGCAAACCCACTTCTGGGTATATATCCCAAAGAATTGAAAGCAAGGTCTTGAAAAGATATTTACACACCCATGTTCATAGTAGTACTATTCATGATAGCTAAGAGGTAGAAGCAACCCAAATGTTTGTTGATGAATAAATAAACAAAATGTGGTTAGAAATATCCATATATACACACACACACACAATAAAATGTTATTCAGCTTTAAAAAAGAAAGGACATTTTGTCACAAGCTACAATATGGACATATCTTAAGGACATTATGCTAAGTGAAATAGGTTGGTAATAAAAAGACAAATGGTGTATGATTCCATTTATATGAAGTGCCTACAGTGGTGATATTCACAGAAACAGAAAGTAAAATGGTAGTTATCAGGGACTAGAGAGAGGAAGAAATAGGGAGCTGTTTAAAGGATATAAAGTTTCAGATTTACAAGAGGAAGAAGTTCGGGGGATCTGTTGTACAACAAAGTGAACATAATTAACACTACTGAACTGTACAGTTTAAAATGGTTAACATAGACTAAAATTTTATGAATTTTTTACTACAATTTTTTAAAAGCTTACTCTAGCTGCCAAAGGAGAATGGATTCAAAGGGAGAGGGCAAAAGTTGGGGAGACCAGTTGGGAGGCATTTAGAGAACCTGTGCTGGTGCCTGAGACAGGCAAGTGGCAGAGCCTGCAGGCCAATGAGCTCAGCCCCTGCCCATCTGCATTTCCTACAGTAGGAAGCATCTAGGGGCCACAAACTCCAAGTTTTCTTTTGCCCACCCACACAACATTCCAAATGTCCATGTCTTTTATTCTTTCAACCCTCCAACATCTTTTCTCAGAGGAGATAAGAAGTAACAAAAAAAATGAATTTTGTAACACTTGGTGACTAAGTTCACTCCCATCTGGGCCCATCTTTTGCCTGATAGGAGACAGGACATGGTCAGGTAGCAGGTGGACTTTAAGCAACCATATCCAGCTTTGAGATTGGGGCCTAGTGGACAGTGGGTATAAAGATACTCTGTGTTAGCCTCTCATCAAAAATGCACCCCCAGTTATTTTTTGTAAACTTGAGCATCTGACCTAACATGTGTTTAGTCTTTCTTCCTGACTCGTATTTCTGTTTTGGCTCATAGCAACAACCCTAAATGGTTAGAGCAAGAGTATCCAGTCTCCGATCTTTTGGCTTCCCTAGGCCACAATGGGAGAAGAATTGTCTTGGGCCACACATAAAACACACTGATAGCTGATGAGCTAAAAATAAATAAATAAATTGCAAAACAGTCCCACGATGTTATTCAAATGTTTTTGCATTTGTGTTGGCCCACATTCGAAGCTGTCCTGGGCCACATGTGACCCACAGGCCGCAGGTTGGACAAGCTGGGTTAGAGGGTGAAGAGCCTCTGTTCCCCAGATTACACATGTAGTACTCCCACACTCTTACCAAACAATTATTTTGTATTGTGATTAAAAATTATATTTCAAACTCATTATGGAATCATTCATGTGTTCTTATCATTTAGCTCCCACTTATAATTGAGAACATGTAGTATTGCGTTTTCTGTTCCTATGTTAGTTTGCTAAGGATAATGGCCCTACATAACAAAGTAATTTACATCAGCTATACAATCTATAAGGAATAATGTAACAAACTTCCTCATAACTGCCATCCATCTTTAAAAAGTATTACCAGCAGAATGGAGGCCCCTGGGTATCCATCCCGGGTCATATCTGTCTGCCTCTCCCCTGAGGTAATTGTGGAATTTTATCTGTATAATTCCCTGTTTTCCCCAATAGTCTTACTACATAGACAGGTAATTGTAATGGTTAGTTTTATGTGTCAACTTGGCTAAATTATAGTATTCAATTACTTAATTTAGGTGTTGCTATGAAGGAATTTTGTAGTTGTGGTTAACATCTACAATCAGTTGACTTTAAGTAAAGGAAATTATCATTGATATTCTGGGTGGGCCTCATCTGACCATTTGAAAGGTCTTAGAAGCAAAACTAGGGTTTCCATGAGAAAGAATAGATTTCATCTGTGGATTTCTTGCTTAGTGCCTATTGAAGAGTTTCCAGCCTGCTGCCCTGCCCTATTGATTTTAGCTCCCACAATGACAAAAGCAAATTCCTTAAAATAAATTTGTTTATATACACATATTAATATATATACACATACTGGTTCCATTTCTCTGATATGATCTTTACTGATACAGTATTCCTTAAAAATGCTTAGTTTATATCTATTTTGGAACTTTATGTAAGCAGTATCATATTGTGGCTATTTTTCTACAACATTTCATTGAGAAATTTATTTATGTTGATGTGTGCAAAACTAGATCATTTCTTTTTAATTTTTTACAGTATGTTATTATTAGTATATCACAATGTACCATTTTTTTTTTTCTGAGAGAGATATTTGGGCTTTTTCTATTATTTTCCTTTCCGGAATAACAAAACTAACAATACTGCTAAAAATCCTTGCATGTGTTTTTTGGTGCACATATGTAAAACTCTTGTTAGAACATATATACCTAGGAGAGTAGAGGAGTTCTGGGTCTTAGACTATATGCATCTTCAATTTTTCTAGATATCTGTTCCGTGCTTTCTCCAATGATCTTACTACAAAGTAGTTGTATTTTTGTCAGAAATATACCAATTTACAAACTATCAGCAACATATGAGAACTATGATTTTTCCATACTCTCAGTAAAACCTGGAATTATCAAGAAAAACACTTATAACGTGACTATATATCAGATTTGGAAAATCTCATCGACAGGATTTATAGATACATTATATGTAAGGGGTGAGAAAGATAAAGGAGTCAAGGATCATTCAAAGATTTTTAACTCTAGTATTCATTAATATTTATTCTAAGTGTTATTATTCTTATTATTATCTCTAACGCTTGTGATGAACTTGAACAAATAAAAAAACTTCACTAAGTGGTTTGGAGTTGGTTTATTTCCCAGATTACATCCCTTGTGTGCAGCATTCACTGTCAGCCACAAGGTGGCAAGCTAAGCATCCTTAAATCTAAAGCTCAACTCTGGTCTGGGTGAACTTGACTATTCTTAGAAAGTTTATAAAGCAAGAACTTATTCCCCAGTAGTGAATTCTTATGGGTATAGCACACATGCTTCTTTCCTAAAAATTGTGGCATCTTTGCAATGTATGTCTCCTTGTATAAGGAAACAAGCAGAAACCTTTTTTTCTTAAATAAAACTCTAAACCAATCAGGGCTCTGCTAGCATCCTTTTGGCTCCCTTTAATCACAGCACACATTCTAGACTCCTAATCCTGCCATCCAAGACCCTCTACAAACTGCCTTAAATCTTCGCTTCTAACTTCACCTTCCTTTACTTTCTTTATACTTCAAATACCTACCGCTCCCCAGCTCCCTATACACACACCACTTTTTATTCCTCTGCCTAAACATTCCAGCTCTCAGGGCATAGTCCACCTACGCCAAATTCCGTTCAGATGTGTATAACTCATAGTTCACATTTCCATGACTTGGTGAAGGCTATTGATTCCTTATCTTCTTTATTTTTTTGCATCTATTCAATTGAAATGCAAATTTGAGTCTCAGCTTCAAGAGTACTCTTCCAAAGACTTCAGGGTCTCCTCCAGCAGTTAGCTATGATTCTCCTAAGCCCCTCAAAACATTTTTTATACCATCATTAGAGCTGTCACATTTTATTATAACATTTTTATCTTTTTTCTCCCCAAAAGCTTGTTACCAACAGAGAGTCATGACAGATTTTTCTTTGACTCTGTCAGTGACCATTCCACGCCTGGCAGCTCAATGGATGTTGAGTAGCTTGCTGAATAAATGAATGAATAAATAGATATTGTATGAAGGCAAATATTTAATTTTGAGTGATGTATGTTTCCTATCAGTATGTAGAGTACCCAACAAAGTGCTTATATTGCCTGAACTTTTATCTATTATTACTGTTGTCATTATAACAAAAATCATTTAAAAGTAAACAAACACTGAGTTGGTTGTTAACCAGACACAGAAGATACAGCTTCTGCCATGAAGAGGTAAGCCAAGGGGACCTAGGGAGATGGCATAACTTAGGGAACAATTAGAGACACAGACAATGTGTGCATATGTAAATTAGTATAATATACTGATATAATAAAGTAATTCACTTAATGTAATTAAATAAATCATTAGGTTTCACTGTTGGCACGAGAAGTTTCCATAATTCAGTTGACACATAAAATATTTTTTTCAGCAAACATATTATTGATTTTCCACAAAGGTTATAATATAATAAGCATATAATATTGATTTCTTTTAAAAGCTCTCCATCCAGAGCTACGAGAATCTCAGAGGAATTGTAATCCCTTCTAATTAAAAGCTTCAACATGCAAATATGTGCTATTAGGCATTAGGCACCATATGCTGCACTATAATCTGAACTTGCTAACTGTGTCTCTTCGGTCCTCTGAATATAACTATTTCCTGATCAATACATTTTTTGCATTTTATCTTCTTGGGTTTAGATCTAAAAGGTTTCCTAAGTTAGTTTATGCTAGATCTTAATTCTATTTTAATTTTAAATTGATTAAATCAATAGTTACTGAGTGACTATGAGATACAAGAAAATGGGCTATGCTCTAACATATGGCACATGACATGTTATCCCATTTGTTTTTAGCTATTATTTTGATGAAGACCTACTCTGTGCCAGATATTCCTCTAGGAGGAAGAATCTAAGGCTCAAAAATGTATATAGGTATGCTGGAGTATCTTGTGTACTTGTTGGGAAATCACAGGAATAAATTCAGCCTAACAGGTTTTGCATAATCTTTTTAGATTCTTTTATATAATACTAGCTACAGGACTGTATATAGTCTGGATACCAAATTTGGGAATCTGATCTTCCCTTTAAGTCAAATTTAGTAGGAAAGCCACATTGTATTGATTTTAGCCAATGTTCTCAAATGAAGCAACTTAAGTCAGCTTAAAAATTGCTGTTGACTATTATTGAATACCTACAGTGTGCTAGGCACTATCAATTCAGCTGAAACTCATTAATTCAAGTGAATAACTCAGTCCCCATTAGGAGGGCTCACATTTTACAAATGACCAAGCAAGAGAAAAACACCCAGCTGAAAGGCAACAGAACTGGCAGGCACTTTTATCATCTGCTGTTAATTGGAAGTAGAAGAACTTAATTTTATTCAGAATAATGCTTCATCATGGCTTTGGAAAGTAATGAATTCTCAGGGGATCTGAATGTGCGCCTCTAATAAACTTTCTATAAGACATGGCAGATTTGTTGAGAGAGGAGAGGGGTCTTCTTATAAAATATTCTGGGCTGTGGAAAGGTAAAATAAAACAAATGTACATTTTGGGTTAAAATCAACAGAAAATCATAAAATTATTTTATCTGGCCATCCATAGACTACTATGAGCTTTTAAGTTAATTTATGTATGAGCATAATGGAGAGTTGAGGCAAGAAAATGAGGGGTATGCTGAAGATGGAGTAGGTATTACTTCAAGAGGTCTGAGTGCCACCCTTTGCCATGAAGGAAAACTAATAAATTGATATTTTGGAGTTAGAGTACTCACGCTTTTACAATGTGACTTGATACTGCATTTTTAAATAACTCCTTCAACACAGATTTATTGGGCATCTGTCATCAGCTAGGCACTTTGGTAGATACTAGGAATACAATAATCAATGAAATAATTTCATTCCCTTTTCTCATGGTGTTTGGTCTGGTATGGGGAGGCAAATGTTAAATGCATAAGTGACTACTGACTACTTAATTATAGCCATAATATTAGCTGTGAAACAGTATATTGGGCATTTGGAGTATGTGCAGTGAGTAGGACATATAGTTCAATAGGTTTAGGTGATAATGCAAATGATAGATGTGCTTTACTGAGCATCTATATTCTTCTGGTCATTATGCTAACTCTTTTGCATTATTTCCAATTTTTATAATTATCCTACAAAAATAAAATACACTTCTGTCACAGATGAGAACTCCTGATCCTATAGATTTCATGATGGCAGATGCCATCAAGCCATAGCCTGTTACACCCTTTTGCCATCTCATCTTCTAAGACTCAGATTAAATGTTACCTCTCTTTTAAGACTCATATTAAATGTTACCTTTCTGTGAAACCTCCCTTCTAGCAGCCAATGTTCTCTCTTCTGTGCTTTCCAAAGCTCTTGCTTTAAACTCTAATATTTAGAAGTGTAATTAATCTACTTATAAGTCTGACTTGCCCACCAGACAGTCATCTTCTTAAGGAGGAGACTATGTTTTAATTGTATTTCATTTACTTTCATACCTCCTGCACCCAGCAAGCTCAGTGCTTGACATTTATAATTCCTCAATAAATATTTATTAAATCATTGTTGAGTGAAAGAAATTTGTTCTTATAATCTATAGCAAGAATGCAACACAAATGGGAAAATAAGGATAGCATTTCATTTGAAATGCTAAGAAAATATTTGAAAGGCAAATTGTTAGTTAATAAGTATCTAGAATAGACCATGAACCTTGTACACAATACATATTAATTTGAAGATTTAAAATTGACTTCTTTTTTTAACTTCCTAAGTACTGATGAACACTATATATGTCAAACGAAATTGCAACTGGGTTTCAACCAAACAGAATTCACCTAGATAATTTAGCCTTGCACTGCTTTCTCAATCTTGATTTATACTTATCAAAATGTGACAAAATTTCATGTAATCCATAAATACATACCCCTTATGTAACCATAAGAATTTTTAAAAGTTAAAAAAAAAGTAATGTGACAGAATATACTTTTATAAAGTTACATGTTTACAATATCAAGCAATGTATAATAGAATCAATGACCCTTGATCTAGAAGGAACTCCAAGATATCCTTTGGTTCAGTCCCCTGTCTATGAGAAACACTATTCAGAACTGATGGCTGTCATAGACTAAATAATGACTACCATTTAAGTTACTAACTCCCAGGATAAAGGCAGCATTTTCTATGACTGCCTATGTCTCTACCCAATACTAGCTTCTAAGATAATATAAAATGTAAAATTTTTTTAAAAAGAAAAAAAATTGGGAGCACTCATTTCCTTCTTTGCATGTGGATTCAAAGGAGGAGTCCAATTCAAATTTCCAGCCCCTACATGAAGGCTTCTGGGTTTGCCTCATCTGCAAGTGCTCTCTCCCTTGACATTTTATCTCTAAATGCTTATAATAGTTAGCTTGAAAATTATACCCTGTATTTTGGAATTGTTTGTGTCATTTGTTTAAATAACAGTCTATGAGATCTATGAGTCCCTTCTTAAAACTAAATTTTTAACAGCAGTTTCGTCTTATATTTTCTGATTCCTCCAAGCAACTGCTATAGTAGATGTGTCTTGTGTTACAGTAACAATGCAAAAAATCTTTAAAATATATTTCTTAGAATAAATAAATATCCAACTCTTTACCTCTTTTTCTTTCTTTCTTTCTTTTTTTTTTTTTCTTTTGAGACAGGTTCTTGCTCTGTCGCCCAGGCTGGAGTGCAGTGGTACGAACATGGCTCCCTGCTGCAGCCTCAACCAACTGTGCTCAAGTGACCCTCCTGCATCAACCTCCAAAATAGTTGGGACTACAGGCATATGCCACTGTACCTGGCTAATTTTTTATTTTTCATAGACATGGGGTCTTGGCATGTTGTTCAGGCTGTTCTCAAACTGCTGGGCTCAAGTGATCCTCTCGCCTCAGCCTCCCAAAATGCTGTGATTACCAACTTTTATAAAACCACATTTCAACTCCATTTACGTAAGTTTATCTTGAGTAACGTTTCTACTAAAATCCATTCATATTGGGCTGCATTCCTTGTGCCTAGCACTGTCGCTAGCATATAATAGGCTATAAATACATATATGTTGAATATAAAAATGAAGGAAGAATCCAGTTGGCACCTGCGGACTTTTCAACCACGTCTGATATTGAGCTATCTCAAAACATGATGGTGAGTAAATGAATGAGTGATGCTACACCCACAACACATCCACATTTGCAAGGAACACTATGCATAGTACTATTGTGATTTATGTTGTTTATGTTTACCATAAATGTTGATATTTCTTTTTTTCAAAAACCCTGGCATTTTTGAGGCCTCCTTCTAACATAATTAGTGAGAAGTAATGACTGAGTGACCTTTTGACAACAATCCCCAGGGCTGGAAGGAATCATGCTTTTTTTCAGAACCTGGCATTTTGGCTGCAAGCAGCAGCACTGGGAGCTCACTGAAAGAGCCAAAATGTGTCAGAGCACAGGGCAAAATGGCACAGCTGCCAGGTGAGGTTCAGATGCTGTCTGTGTTTTAGGTTGAAGCAGTGAAAAGGCAGACTCTAAAATCGGTCTTGTTCTTACACTCATGCGTAGCTGGCTTTGAGTTCAAGAAAGTTTAAGTAAAGCAGTTAAATGTACACCAGAATCATTACAATAACACTCAGATCTTGGTCCTGGCTCTGTGAGGCTCTGAAGTAGCTGTGTGACATCTTAGCAGCTATGTGACATCTTATTAGTTATGTGACCTCCTCTGGTAGACAAATTTCTCATCTGAAACATGTTTAGAGAACTAGGCTAGAAAAGTGGCTCTCTTTTGTGCTGTGGAGACACACTGAAAGGTCATGTTCATCGTGAAAAACATTTCAGATACTGATATTAATTATATAGTGATTGGAAATCATTTACTCAAAAAAATAAAGGATAAAAGATTTAAAAGGAGACAACTCCAGTCTCACTCGCTTATATTCTGTGTGTTTGCTTTAGAGGAAAAGAAAGAAGTCAGATGTCAGTTAATGCAACTTCAATAAAGCACAGCCTATTTTATCCAGGGTAAGCCTATTGCAAGTGACCCTAACTGAAGCTGTGACAATAACAGGTGGTTGCAAAGGCTCGTCTATGCAGTATTATTGGGGGTTTTTATAAAAGCTTGGGTATGCTTATAGGCATGAGTTGCCTCTTATGCCTGTTACAGAGGAAAAAATACTGAGAAGAGTGAGCAAGAAGCTGTCTAAAGTCCCTGTCAGCACTGAACTGTGGAGATTTGGATCAGAGTCAACCTCAGGGAACTGACTTTACAGTATCCTTGGAGACACTACACATATCCCTGAAGCAAGGCTTTAAACCCTTGAAAGATCCCATCCGAGAATGTACTATTCCCTTATTGGGTGAGACTGCAAGGCAGGGGGGTTGCTTGGGAAAGAATAAGAAAGATAACTCTTGAATAAGCATAAAATATCGCTTGTTTTTAAATACTGCCCAAAATAGCACCTCCATTTCTTTTTTATTCTGCACATAATGTCGTCTAACTAATATTTATATATGGTTTTTCTTTAACAAAAAGCTATTCTTACAGAACTATGCTGAATCATGGCTCTGGGTCTCAAGTTGCCATAACTGTAAAATGGTTTGGGTTAAATATTACCTAAGGTGTCTCCTAAGAGTATGATTCAGTGATTTTCTCAAAAAGATGTGAGTGCCTGGCTGCTGCCACCTGGTGTCAGCTACCTGAACTACAGTTACCAAAGAAGTTAATTCTTTCCTGTGTTTGCACATTCTGTCCAATTTAGTAATAATATGACAGTGCAACATGATGACTTTATAAGGTGAAATGGTCTCAACAGATAATCTAGTCTATATGACTGTGTGATACATAAAAATTACATTCTACTTTTAAAGACACCTACAGGTAGATTCTCTAAATTCTTTTGTCACCATTTCTGTGTATCACTACATTTTAAATTCTTCCTGATATTACTCCTTCCTGATATATTCATCATTATACTATAAAGCATTCCCTTCAAACTCAAAAATAAAAATAAAATATTTTCATTTATATTTTAGTGGAATTAAAAGAACATGTAAGTGACCAGCTTGTCCATATACACAGGTGTAAATAGAGGCTTCTGACAAAGAAAATAGGTCTCAGTCAGTACTGCGCACTCAAATTACCTGTAAAATGTCTCTATTAGCTGGAAGCATGGGATGTCAAAAGTAGTAGAATAGGGCATCATGACTATAGGGATTTGGGTCTAAATATGTCAGTTATTTGCTGTATAATACTGTAAAGATTACTTAATTTTACTGAGTCAGTTTCCATTTGCACATAGGTACAACAATTTCCACCTCATGGAACTTTCAAAGTTAAAGTAACTAGAACATAATAGTGTCTAATAAATGTTAGAAAACTCTGTGAGTCATACAGAGCACTATAGATGCCCCTGAATGAAGGTTTCCAACCCTTAGAAAAACAGCACAATACCTAGAACATAGTATGTGCTCAATACATAATTGTTGATAAATGATTGATTATTACTCATGTTCAAATGTCAGATTATAAGGCTTCCAGGACAGGCTTTGATGCTCTACCTCAAATTTATATTGGAGATGGGTCTGATAACAAAATTGGTGCTTATGAGAATAGGACCCAGATCATGTAACACATTGCTATGGATTATATTTAGTTGTATTCACGTGAGCTTCCCCTACAAGCCTATTAAATCCTTGAAGGCAGGAGCTATATTTTAAATATCTCTATATCTCTAGTGATTTGATGATCACTAGAATGATCATCAAATGTGACATATGCAATAAATATATCATTCGATAAAGTATTATTGACACCAACATAACTACTATTTCCACGTTAAATTTCATATGATGAAGTTTTTTTTTTTTTTTTGAGACAGAGTCTTGCTCTGTTGCCCAGGCTGTAGTGCAGTGGCATTATCTCTGCTCACTGCAACCTCCGCCTCCTGGGTTAAAGAAATTCTCCTGCCTCAGCCTCTGGAGTAGCTGGGACTAAAGCAGCACTCAACCACGCCCAGCTAATTTTTTTTTGTATTTTTACTAGAGATGGGGTTTCACCATGTTGGCCAGGCTGGTTTTGAACTCCTGACCTCAATTGATCCACCCTCCTCGGCATCCCAAAGTGCTGAGATTACAGGCATGAGACACCGTGTCTGGTCTGAAGTAATTATTTTTATCTTATGTCTTAGAAAAATGAAACTCTAGTCAAGTAGAGTCAGAAGCTCTTTCCCAGATACATACTATTGGTTTTAACTTTTAGTAAAATCAAATAGCAGAAACTCATTCACAAGTATCTACATAAATCAGGGTAAAAAAAGTTTGCATTTCCTTAGAAGAGTGGATAATGCCCAGTGAATACAAATGTCCCTCTCTCTCATCTGTCTACCTGGTGACTTGCAACACAGCTTTGTTTGTCTAACTGTATGGGCAGGACCTATAGGTAAAAAGTTGAATATATAGAAGATTTAAGCACTAAGGTTAAAAGGCTCCCTGACTTCCCAAGATTTGAGTTACTGTAAAAAATATCAGAGGAAATCCTCTGTCACAATGTGACTAACTGAATTGATAACTGATTATATAAGAGAAGTGTGTTTAAACTGGACTGTGTGGTTTCAGAAAAGCACAGCTGTTTGTAGTCAAGAGGAAGGCCATCATACAGCTACAGTTCCTCTAACCTTGTTCCACTTTGAAGTGGATTGCAGGATAAATTTTTTAAAAACTGTACTATAAAAAACCCTGATGCAGTCCTTTCTCGAGTCTGCAGAATGAAGAGGGTCAGCTTTCCTTAAGTGATTGGCTTCCTGTTTTTCTTAATTATACAAAATGAGGACAATGCAAAACACAGCTGGTGGAAACTCAGATGTTGCTCAAAGCTTGAAACACATAACGACTTTGTGATGAAAAACATAGAAAATACTTGCTGGTGAGGGGAGAGCAGCAGTGACACATTTCCAGTGGTATGCTTACTACAGCTGAAAAACCAACTTCACCTCGAAAAATAAACAGGGTGAAAGTCTTGCTATGGGGTATAAATGCTAGCCTTTAACTTAGCCACACAAGCGTTATTGAAAGAATAGAAAGGAAGAATGGAAAAAATGCATAAAAGGAAGGTATTGAATGTCTGGTTTATGGATGGTTATTATTATAATGCCTAAAGGGTGACAAAGGATTTCTTCTGTATATCTGAAAATTCAAATTACTGTAGGCAGTAAGAAAGCAAGCTGAAAAGTATGCTACTGGATGACGAATCAATTGTGTCTAGGGAAGAAGAAGTTATATTGCTTAACCAGAATTTGGAACAAATATTAAGTTCTGTGTGACAATAAAGAAATTACTCACATATTTGATGATCCCTTGATGGATCCTCAATCATCGTTTCAGGCTGAGTTCAAGTATAACATCCTCTTTAATACCTTTTCCAACAATTAGGCTGAAATAACACATCTTCTTTTCACTTCCTCAGCTTTGAATAGCACTTGACAAACTATTAAAATTAGTTGTATGCATATCTGCCATACTGTTAAAGTACAAACTCTTTGAAAGTAGCGGCTGTTACTTAATCACTTTTTAATTCCCCAACAATTGGTATCACACAGGTCCTTAGGAAAAGGTCAATAATTATGTCAGAAAGATGCCAGAATAGGAAGTTTTAGGCTCTATTCCTCCTTACGGAAAGTTCAACAAGCAACTATCCACAGACAAGAACATCCTTTTGAAAACCCCAATACATGAAAACAAGCCTGAAACACCTGTGTGGCTCTACACAACTGAATGAAAATCTAAAAAGGGTAAGAAGACTGGCCTTAATCTAACTGTGCTGCTCCTCCCACTCCCCCAAGTCAGCACAAATTCAGAGTGAGAATATCTTCCTGGGCCCAGTTTCCACATGGGCAAATGAGAACTGGAGGCAGTCATATAGCATCCCTAGCATTCCAAGATGCTTCTCAGGAAGGCCACTTTGGTTTTACCTCACAGGAAACACTAGAGGAAATGGCATGGCTAGACCACCTGGAGTCAGGTAGAAACAAAGAAAGGAACCATACGTGATAAGTAACCAGTGCATGGATCTTGGTGGTACTTCTGTGTTCCTGTGACACCAGATCAGAAACGCCAACCAACCTCTGGCTGAGTACGTTGGCTCACGCCTGTAATCCCAGCATTTTGGGAGGCCAAGGCGGATGGATCACTTGAGGACAGGAGTTCGAGACTATCCTGTGCTAGGTGGCGAAACCCCGTCTCTACTAAAAATACAAAAATTAGCCAGACATAGAGGCGTGCCTGTAATCCCAGCTACTTGGGAGGCTGAGGCATGAGAACTACTTGAACCCTGGAGGTGGAGGTTGCAGTGAGCCAAGATCGTGCCACTGCACTGTAGCCTGGGAGACAGAGCAAGACACCATCTCAAAATAAATAAATAAATAATAAGAGGCAGCCAACCTGTAAAGCTGAGCTGGTCACCTTCAGAAGCATGTTGGGAGGCTCAACCTAACTTCTGTACTAGCCATCTAGATGGCTAGTATCTATGCCCAGCCTTAGATCCTACCCCAACAAACCTGCCCAGGCAAAGAGACTCCCATAGTTGTGCATTCCAGAGAAGCAAAGGTGCTAGATTGGCTTAACCTGGGAAGTCACTCAGCCAACAACCTTACCCAGGCAGGGAGATTTCCATTTCTATGCAATTCAAAGAAGAGAAGAGCTAGACAAGCTTGGCCCAGAAGGTCAAATAGCTACTCAACTCAGCCAAAAGCCTACCTCGTGGCTCCACCTGACTGGGAGGCAATCTTTAATTGTAAAATTCTAAGGAGCATAACGTATTTCACCTATCTTGAACGGTATCTCCCCCTAACTTTATAGCCTAGCCTGCAGCCCTGCTCAACTGCAAATCACAAAGAGCAAAATTGCCCAGCCAGAGAACACATCCTATTACCAGCCTGACCAGAAGTAATAGCAGTACCCAGTCATCAGCTTTGTAGTGCCCAGCCAGTGGTCTCACTGAACAACAGAGTTCAGCCAGCAGCCCTACCAGTGTCAGAGCAAAGGCAGCCACCCAGTCAACAGGAAAACTCACAATAAACTCTAACTGTCTGGGGTAATCACCAGCTGGTCCTTCCAGAATCACAAGCTAGACTAAATAGTGAAGATCTAGCCCTGCCAAAGAACCCCTGGAAAGGCCATAGCAGGGGCTGTATCCTCAAATGCACGGACAACATACAAGAACAAAAGGATTAGGAAAAATCAGGGAATCATGACACCTCAAAAAGAAACTAATACAGTTCCAGGATCAGAACCAAAATAAATGGAGATATATAAATGACTGACAAAGAATTCAGATTAATACTCAAAGTTCAGTGAACAATAAGATTATATGGATAGAAAATTTAATAAAATTTGGAAAACAATACATAAAAAGTGAGAAGTTTGAAAAAAAATAAAATAATAAAAAAGAACCAGATAGAAATCCTAGAGATGAAGAATATAATGACTAAACTGAAAAATTCATTATAAAGTCTCAACAGCAGACTTGATCAAGAGGAAGAAAAGGTCAGTGTACAATATAGAATGATGGTTCTGAGAAGAGAGGTTATATTGCTCAGTTAGTATTTAAAACAAATCTTAAGTGTTGTTACTCACGTGTCCTTTACCCAATTTCTTTTTGTCCTACCATACTCACTTAAGATTGAGGCCAATTATGGGAGAACAAAAAGAAAGGAGAAGACTGGGTCATTAACACTGTGAAGCATTTTAGCCCTTGACTGGACACCTGGGCTTTGCTGTGAGAGATAAATGAACATCCACTTTACTTAAGCTACCTCTATTTTGATTTCCTGACAGTTAGTAGCAATGCCTAATTCTAACTAATTACCTGTGTTGACATTTGTGTTCTCAGTTATGGGTGAGGTGGGGTGGTGAATAGCTGGGTGCAATTCTGAATGTTGGAAAGGATGAAGTTTCAAATAACTAATAACCAAAAAAATAACTAGGGACCTGTTAATCTATATTTGTAGAACAAAGATGGATTCTATGATTTGGCATATAGGCCTTCCAGAACTAGTCCCTACATAACTCTCAGTCTCTAAATATATTCAGTTACTCATAAGACCCTCCCCTATCAACTTGCAGTTTCACATTTCCTTGCCATTGATTGTGTTGTCCTCTGCCCAATTCTTTATCTGGCTTATTCTTGTTCAAGAATCAGTTCAGGTGTAATCTCCTACAGGAAGGTCCTCCTGTCTTCCTTTCACAGGTTAGGTATCTCACTCTTGTTCACCTACGGCACTCAGTGCACACTTTTGACTTATATCTGATCTCACTTAATTATAATTTTTTGTTATGGTATGTGTCTCTCCTCTCTAAATTGTGAGCTGCCTGAAAGATAGGATAGTGTGCATTCATCAGCTATTATTTTCAATGCCTGGCACATAGTAGGTGTTGCATAGTAAGTACCATCTGGTATAGAGTCCATAGCACATAAGAACGACATACTTGGAATCATGTACCATCACTGATTTTGCCTTCCACTTTATGAAAGACCTAAAATCCACCCCTTGTCAACTTCTAGAGCCTAGATCTGCCCTGAAGCCCATCACAGAAGACAGTTCCTTGATTTCCATTACTCTTTTCTCTAAGGACATCTTCCTTTCTCCCTTCCCTTCATCATCTCAGTTTAGAAAATATATTTTGGTGCCTACTTGGCTACATAGATGCTGGACTAAAACTGTGTCTTAAAATTAATTTGTCAAAAAAATTTCCTCTGCATTTTATTCTATTCATTTCTGCCAATTTCTTCAGAGAGCGAAGTTATCTTTGTGACTCAAAGCTTGAGGCCTAGGAAAGGGGGTTGGAGGAAAATCTGTCTTTTGACATTTAAAAGTATTTGCTAAAATTAGAGAACAGTTAGCACTTCTGTTTAATAGTGAGATGAGTCTACACACATTTATGAACATCCAAAATACCCTAGCTCTGTGTTCCTACTGACCACACATACCTATACTATAAAAGGGAGTAAATAAAAAGAAAGGAGGTACCCTGTTTTTTCATAAATACAGAGTTTAAGCTAAGAGGTATGCTGTTTCTTATTTTGAACAGTTGTTTTCTGCCTCTCACTCCCCTACCTCCTTTTCTTCCTCTTTTCTTTCTCTTCTTTTTTCCCATCTCCTCTTTTTCCTTTTCTTGTTTTTCTTCCTCTTCATTTCCATCTCTTTCTCCATCCCTATCTCCTTTCACTTCTCTTTCTTTTCTTTCTCCTTCCACATCTTTGCCTCTTCTTCCTCCTCCTCCTCCTTTATCTTTTCCTTCTCTTGTATTCAGAAGACACCTAAGTACATTCATTTCACAGTGCAGCATCCCAACAGAACTCTTAAAATGAACTGCTATTTATGAAGAGACTAATGCCATGCTTGGTCTCTACTATGTCTTCTTCTTGGTGTTTTGACATGGCACCCTCCCCTCCTCCTGCTCACCAGATATCAAATGCCAATGTGTACAGTCTCCTTTCTGTACATTCTTAGTGCCTTTTCCCTATGAACAAGCAGCACACTTTTTTTCTACACAGTTTCAAGAGTGGTGACATGTAGATGTAAAAAGTTGCCAAATTCTAGTTATAGTTAATAGTATAGATCTGGAACAACAGAGTGAGTGGTGTGGATATGAGATGGATGGAAAGTTTGATTTTCAAACATGCTCATAACTTTAGGGAACAGATAGAAAACAAGCATGAAAGACATGGCAAACCACAGCTGAGTTTTTAAAATGAGAACATTTGGGGTTTAATAATAACCAGTTTCACTTACTGCATACTGTTTATGTATCAGGCACAACTCTGGATACTTCTTTTGCTTCTTGTCAGTTTGATTAGGTACTTATAACAACTCTTTGAGGTAAATACTTCCATTCTCATTTTACATGGAGAGAACTGAGGCTCTGAGTCCTTAAGTGGATTCTAGATTTTTTTTTTTTATTTTTGTAAATTTTATTATTATTATACTTTAAGTTTTAGGGTACATGTGCACAAAGTGCAGGTTTGTTACATATGTATACATGTGCCATGTTGGTCTGCTGCACCCATTAACTTGTCATTTAGCATTAGGTACATCTAGATTTAAATCCACATATTTTAAAATCTGATGTTGTAGATTACAAAAATGATTACAATTCTTTATAGTACTTTCTATTAAGAGGTGGTGTCTATTATCTATCTCTTGAAAATGGCCTGGCTAATGACTTGCTTTGGCCAATGGAATGCAGCAAAAGTGATGTTGTAGTAGCTTCAGCCTACACTTCAAGAAGCCTTGCTTCTTCTCTCCTTCTTGGGACAGAGACATGTAAAGAAGTCTGGGCTAGACTCCTGAAGAACAAGAGAATATGTGGAGCAGAGATGAGCTATCTTACTGAGATACTTTAGGCCCACAGGCTTTAAACTGAGATCAACCAAGCCTGGCCTAGGTAAGCAGAACCCACCCAGTTAAGCCTGACCTAAATCCTGCCTTTTAGAACACAGGGAGAGGCAAATTCACTAGGGGCCCTAAAAGATTCTGCATGTTCTTCTGGAATATGCAAACAAGGTGACACCCTGACCATACTTTGCCTGAGCCGTTTCTCAAGGTTATATTTGTAGTAAGCAACCTTGAGGAATGAGGTAATATTATTCCCCTCCAGGACAAGAAAAAAAAAACAGGCTTGCTTTGTAAAAATAAATTCCCCAATCTCAGTGTTCCATCACTGTCATGCAAAACTACTACATGTGCAGCATCCATCTGGGTTCCTCTGTGTTTCCTCCATGGGATTTGGGAACCAAGAGAAACCTACACCAACATACTAATGTTCATGCTGCTTTCCATGTCATAATTAATGAAGTTCTTTGTTTCTGACCCAGGAGTCTTGTGTCTCCTGCCAAAAATCTAAGAAATAGTACAAGCTAACTCTTTAGCTTACAAATACAATAAAATCTACTTGACATATATTTGTGAGTAAACAAATGGTTGTTGTTAATAAGCCACTGGATTTTTAGTGGGTAGCAATAGACAACTGATAAAAATGCCTGCAGTCTAACCTCTCTGCTAGTGGTATTCAACATGTGGTAAGTGATTTACAAATGTGTGAGATAATTTTAGTAGCTAAGTAAATTTTTTTCATTTAATTTTTACTATTACTAAAATGTTAACTATTTTTAGTTATCTATTAAGTAGCAAGTGATATCAATTTTCCATTTATAACACTTACAAAATTAAACTAAAAAGTGAATTAATCTAAAGGAAAGCATTAATGATAATTCAAAGTATTATTTTTATAATGCAAAGACTATGATGACAAAACATAAATGACCGATTATTAGGAATCACTGTATACATCAATATTGCTTCTTATTGAAATAAATAGGATACCAAAAAGGATGCAAGGTTAACATTAAGGTAGGCTGACAGATCCTGAATGATGCTATACTTCAGATACTGCTGAGAAAAAAAAGTTATCCTACCTTAAACCACATACATTTATGATAGTCTTTCTCAAATACCACCATTCAGGTAAAGAACTAAATGCTATTGGAAATACAAGCATTCTCTTGGAATAGGAAAAATATGTTTAAAATAGAAGCAAATATTCAGTTTCTATTAAATCAGAGGAAAACCAGATGTCATGGGGAGGAAAAGCTGTCCATGACTCTAGGTGTTATTATGACACTGCCCATTTCTCCTAGCATTTCTTCATAGTAAAAATGTTAGTCCATAACAATCATTCATCTTCATGCTCCAGACTGGCAAACTCTGAGTCATGCACAAAACTTATGAATAACTGAGAAGAACTATGAAGACTTCTTAAAGACAGATGTGTTGAGAGATTCATAGAATATGTTAGCCTGAAAGGTACTTAACTATTCAACCAACTCCTTTATTTCACAGAAAGGAAGTAAGGACTAGGGAGGGGCAAAACTTGTTCAGAATCACACAGCAAATCAGTAGTGACAGAACTGAGACTCCAGATGTCCTATCTTTCCATTCAGCTTTCTTCCATGACTCAGTGTTCCCACTCCTCTGGGTGGTTCACTGGGTGAAACAGAGTATCTGACAGAGACACAAACTGGGATTCACGAAAAGGCAGATATCATTCCCAAAACTGCTTTTCCTCAGCAAAGAGAAGAGAAAGGTCTCTATACTCTTACTGTTACAGAGTTTATATCTTGAAAATAAGATATTACAGGATGTTATATACAAGATGTTACAGGGCACGTATTATTCCCCTAAACTAATATTTCTCTTAAACAGAAAAAAAAAAAAACCTCTTAAACAGTAATGCTAAACCAACACATTAATGTCAATGTTTACCTGTTTACTCTCTTCCTTTTTGGACAAGGCTTTAGCTATACATGTTCTAAATTTCACTATTTGGGATCTTGATATCAATTAGAGTTTTACATTTTGTAGAAAATTAAAGAACCAAGCTAAAGCTCCTTAAAATCTTTGCCTGTGCTTTGAATGTTGTCTATAATGATCTTAGACACATGTTAACACTCATAAATCCATCCAGAAGAAAATTCAGGTTAGCACATACTTTACTATGCCTGCTATCACAGTGAAAGTTTCAGAGGTCCATAGCATTCCACATTTTCTGACCATTGATCATCATCTCCGTGTGCTCTTGGCACCTCAATTATAGAATATCCTACCATTCTTTCTTAAAAGGTGCTCTTGCTCCTTTGTTGCCTATCTCAGTGACTGGAACCACCATCTCCACACTTGCCCAAGCCAGAGACCTGGGCATTATCTGACTTTTCCCATTGCTTGTTTTTCTGCCATTAACCAGCATCTACCCAGCCAACTGGGTAGATGCAAGTTTATCCAACTACACCCTGTCAATATGTCTTTGAGATCATCCCTCCTCACAATGACTCTGTCTATAAAACTTCCCTGGCTAGAAGCATCGTCAGCTCTCTGCTAATGTACTGATATACTCCTATGATTGGCTGCCGTGCTCTAAGCTGGATTCCTTTAAAATCCATTTTATCTCACTGCCACTAAAATTAGCTAATTGAGCTAACCAGATCTTATCACCGGCTTTGTAAACACCTTCAGTGTCCCATACATTCAGGATAAAAATCTGAGCTCCTAAGCAGTCCTTACAAACCTCTCTGAGATCTTACCTCTCCACATTTCTAGCTTAATCTTCTGTAACTCTCCATTTTCCTAATATTAAATTACTTATAGTTCCTCCTGATTGTGCATGCCTCCCCCACACCCCCCATGGAGCATTCACACATTCTCCACCCCTCCCTCAACTGTTCTTTTCTTAGTTACCTCCTATTTATCAAACTTAGTTCCAACATGGATCCTTCTAGGCAGCTTGGTATTATCCTTCCATTTCCAGGCTGGGTAAAGTGGAATGAGTCCTCTCATTTGATTCTGTACAAAGTTCCCTTGTAGCACTTTTCATGTTAAATGTATCTTTTAAGAAAATTTTGTGTGTACATAGTATATATATTTATGGGGTACATGTGATATTTTTGATACAGGCATGCAATGCATAATAATCACATCATAGTAAGTGGGGTATCTAACATCTCAAGTATGTATCCTTTGTGTTACAAACAATCCACTTATACTCTTTTCATTATTTTAAAATGTATAATTATTATTATTGACTATTGTCACTTTGTTGTCCTATCAAATACTATATACTCATCAGTGTTTATGTGCCTCTTTCTCACAAACTGTAGGCTTCTTCAGACTTGAGATTATTTCTGTCAATCCACATCTGGTATAGTATTTCTCAACTCTAGCTAAAGAGTGGAATCACTGGGAAATTAAAAAACTACATCCCAGTGCTCAAGCTTCACTCTAATCTAACTAGAATCTCAGAGGTAGAGCAAGACATGTTCCTTGCCTAAGACTTTGAACCTGGCTGTTTCCTCTTCCTGAAAATCTCTTTTCTATATGGCTCACTCGCCTTTCTTTAAGTCTTTGTTTGAGATGTCGCTTTTTCAAAAAGGTCTACTCTAGTCACTCTATTTAAACTTATTAGCACTTTTCCTGCAAGCTTTCCAATCCTTTAATTAACATCATATATCATTCTGCCATATAATACAATTCACTTTTTCAATATGGTTATCGTTTACTGTTTGCCTCCCTACATGCAGAAATAATCTATTTTGTTTGCTAATATAGCATTAATGCCTGCCACATAATATGTGTTTATCTACCTTTCTACCTATCTGTATCTATTTATCAATCTTTCTCTATAAAGAATGAATGAATTATATTTATAATCTGTTTTTAGCAGAAACAGATGTTTAGGAAGTCCTGAAAGCCTGCAGAAGTGAAGCTGATTAATTATGCTTCTAGGAATCAGAAAATGCTTCACTGAGGAGATGATGATCAAGCTGAGCCTTGAAGGATTTTCTAGACAGAGAAAGAGGGTAAGTTTTTGAAATAAAGTGTCTAGGTAAGCACCAAGCTCAGAGTACAACATATTGCAGTCACTTAATAAGGTCCTGTTAACACCAAAAGACAATTCAGGCAGAGGCAACAGCAAGTGCACAAAAATGAGAGAAGGCATAAACTCTTTGGGATGGGTGAGGTGTGCAAGTAATGAGGATAAAGTTTGAATTGATAATTTTTGGCTAAATTAGATAATTTATTTATTAGGTAGTTTATTTCTGCAAATGACACAAAGAATCTATGTGGATTTTTAGTATCTTAATTCTTGTAGATTTCCCTACAATATTAAAAACTGTTATAGCTGCTTACTATCACTGATATACTTATGGCCCATATTTTCTTATTAGTTTTCATATATACTTTGTGATATGGTTTGGCTGTGTCTCCATCCAAATCTTAACTTGAATTTTATCTCCCAGAATTCCCGTGTGTTGTGGGAGGGACTCGGGGAGGTAATTGAATCATGGGGCCAGTCTTTCCCATGCTATTCTGTGATAGTGAGTAAAGTCTCAAGAAATCTGACGGGTTTATCAGGGGTTTTGGCTTTTGCTTCTTTCTCATTTTTCTCTTGCTGCTGACATGTAAGAAATGCCTTTTGCCTCCCGCCATGATTCTGAGGACTTCCCAGCCATGTGGAATGGTACGTCCAATTAAACCTCTTTTTGTTCCCAGTTTGGGGTATGTCTTTATCAAAAGTGTGAAAATGAACTAATATGGTAAATTGGTAACAGAAGTGGGATGTTGCTGAAAAGATACCCAAAAATGTGTAAGCCACTTTGGAGCTGGCTAACAGGCAGAGGTTGGAACAGTTTGGAGGGCTCAGAAGAAGACAGGAAAATGTGGGAAAGTTTGGAACTTCCTGGAGACTTGTTGACTGGCTTTGCCCAAAATGCTGATAGATATATGGACAATAAGGTCCAGGCTGAGGTGGTCCCAATGGAGATGAGGAACCTGTTTGGAACTGGAGTAAAGGTAACTGTTGCTATGTTTTAGCAGAGACTGGCAGCATTTTGCTCCTGCCCTAGAGATTTGTGGAACTTTGAACTTGAGAGAGATGATTTAGGGTATCTGACGGAAAAAAATTTTAAGCAGCAAAGCATTCAAAAGTTGATTTGGGTGCTGTTAAAAGCATTCCATGTGAAACGGAGCATAAAAGTTCAGAAAATTTGCAGCCTGATGATACAGTAGAAAAGAAAAATCCATTTTTTGAGGAAAAATTCAAGCTGGCTGCAGAAATTTGCATAACTATGCAGGACCCTAATGTTAATCCCCAAGACCACAAGGAAAGTGTCTCCTGGCCATGTCAGAGACCTTCATGGCACCCCCTCCCATCACAGGCCCAGAGGCCCAGGAGGAAAAAGTGGTTTGGGGGCCAGGCCCAGGGTCCCTGTGCTGTGTGCAGCCTAGGGATTTGGTGCCCTGTGTCCCTTCCACTCCAGCTGTGGTTGAAAGGGACCAATGTAGTACACAGGCTGTGGCTTCAGAGGGTGGCAGCCCCAAGTCTTGGAAATTTCCATGTGGTGTTGAGCCTGTGGGTGCACAGATGTCAAGAATTGAAGTTTCAGAACCTCAACCTAGATTTCAGAAGATGTATGGAAATGACTGGATGCCTGGGCAAAATTTTGCTGCATGGACGGGGCCCTCATAGAGAACCACTGCTAGGGTGGTATGAAAGGGAAATGTGGGATCAGACCCCCCACCCCATACAAAGTCCCTACTGGGGCACTGCCTAGTGGAGCTGTGCAAAGAGGGCCACTGTGCTCCAGACCCCAGAATGGTAGATCCACCGACAGCTTGCACTGTGTACCTGAAAAAGCCTCAGACACTCAATGCCAGCCATGAAAGCAGCCAGGATGGAGGTTGTACCCTGCAAAGCCACAGAGGCAGAGCTGCCCAAGAGCATGGGAACCCATCTCTTGCATTAGTGTGACCTGGATGTGAGACCTGGAGTCAAAGGAGATCATTTTGGAGTTTTAAAATTTGACTGCCCCACTGGATTTTGGATTTGCATGGGCCCTGTAACCCCTTTGTTTTGGCCAATTTATCCCATTTGGAATGGCTGTATTTACCCAATACCTGCACTGCCATTGTGTCTAGGAACTAACTAGCTTGCTTTTGACTTTACAGGCTCATAGGCAGAAGGGACTTGCCTTGTCTCAGATGAGACTTTGGACCGTGGACTTTTGGGTTAACACTGAAATAAATTAAGACTTTGGGGGACTGCTGGGAAGCCATGACTGGTTTTGGAATGCGAAGACATGAGATTTTGAGGGGCCAGGGGTAGAATGATATGGCTTGGCTGTGACCCTACCGAAATCTCAACTTGAATTTTATCTCCCAGAATTCCCACATGTTGTGGGAGGCACCCAGGGGGAGGTAATTGAATCATGGTGGCCGGTCTTTCCCAAGGTATTCTTGTGATAGTGAATAAGTCTCATGAAATCTGATGGGTTTATAAGGGATTTCCACTTTTACTTCTTTCCCATTTTTCTCTTGCCACTGCCATTTAAGAAGTGCCTTTTGCCTCCCGCCATGATTCTGAGGCCTCCTCAGCCATGTGGAACTATAAGTCCAATTAAACCTCTTTTTGTTCAAAGTTTTGGGTATATCTTTATCAGCAGCATGAAAAATGAACTAATACACCTTGCATTATTCACGTGTGTGTGTGTGTGTGTGTGTGTGTGTGTGTGTCTTTCTTTTCTACACAACTAATCCTAACCTTTGGTAGTACAAAAAGGGTTCATGATTTTTCTTTTGTAAAAATATAGTTTTTCAATAAGACCTTAGCCAATTGCACTTTTATTTAAAACTCAATAATACACAGTGCCAAAAGTTTATGGTTTCCTGTGAGAAGCAGTAAAAAAACTACTGTGGTTTTTGCTGAAGAGGAAAGAAAAACTTTCAATAGTTCCATTGCTAAACTATAATGAAAGATTAGTAGTAATTAATCATGCAGTGAAAAGAGGAGAGGGAGAACATTTCAAGAACAGAATATATGTGCAAGGACCCAGAAGCATGAGAAAGAATGACCCGTGTGAGGATGTTAAGTATATGTTGCTATAATATGGTAAGAATATGGGGAGGTTGGCAAGGTGAATCTGTGGGATATGGATATGATGCTTAACTTGCTTAAGTAATGAAGGTTATGATATGCTGAGGAGTTTAGAGTACATCATAAAGTATTGGACAGCCATAAACTAGGGAAGTATGCAGGAAGTAGGTAGAAGAACAGACCAGTTAAGTGGATTCCTATAAGAATAATTTAGGCAGGAATGATAAAGGGCTAAATTAAAGCAATGTTAATGCAGAGAGAGAATAACAGATGGAGGCATACTTGACAGTACTTGGTGGCTGGTGGAATGTGGGGGCTGATGGAGAATGAGATGTCTGGGATAACTCCCAAACTTCTGGTTGGAGCAGCTGAGTGCCTGGAAGGTGCCACTCACCATGAAAGTGAGTATAAGGGAAGGAGAGAAAAGATGATGAGCAAGTTTTGTGCATGTGAAGTTTGAGATCCTGTAGAATATGTCTTGTTGGCAGACTTCTAGAAATCAGGGGGAGGAACTGGGCTACTGATTTAAATGAGGAAATAGTATGAGCACTTTCAATCCTCAGTAATCGATTAAAGTGTGTATTACCTAATGGAATATACCAAGGGTTTGCAGTAATATGCTGTGGGTTTCATCAAGCCTCAGACATTTTCCTGGATCATAAATAATGATTAAGATATGGAGAAAATGTATATTAAAACAAATATAAATAATCTAAGGCCTGGCCTGTAAAATTTGCATGGATTTTTAAGATAAAACCAGTCTCCAAACAAATTGCTAACTCTTTGACTTGTACTTACAGTCTTAGTCTCAAACTACATTACCTCTTACACACACTACATTAACTCTTGAGACGTGTGTTTGCCCTCCTCTGTCTTTGGTCCTCTGGTGGAAACATTTAAACAAGACTGCACTAAAGCAGTTCACAGGCTCTGTGTGATTTGGGTCCCAGTGAGCAGCCCATTCAAGAGGTCAACCTATAAGAATTCAACACACCTCCTAGCTGCGAGTAAAAGGCAGCAAGCAGCTGCTGTACTCTAATTCAGCTCTGTCTCCTCGTATTTTGAAAGACTGAAAGAATCCCCATTGAAACACTAAAACGTGGAAAGGAACAGCAAGCTATTTGGACATTATAGTTCCTTTGGCATGAATATAGTATTTTGGTTTCAATTTCATCCTTACCCTACGCAAGATAAATCATTCACTTCAATTCACTTTAGGAGTTGCCTGCTAAGGGGTCAGACGCTTCTTTTATATTCAGTTGTTACCTGCTGCCTGGAAAATACACACGATAAAGTATAAAAAATTCCTTTTACCATCAGGTAGTCTAAATGTAAAGAATACTCAGAATACTGTGTTCAACTAATAGAGTTTCAGTAGTAGAGAGGGTATTTTCAGAAGTGCTAACACCAGTTAATGAAAGATCTTCTGTTGAGAGAAGCACGAAAAAGCCATTCTGTCTTTACACAAAATGACTCCAGTATTTGTGGTTAAACAGCTGCTCTCCCTTTTTTTATGGTGGAACTCATTATTTTATTTCCTTTTACAAATATTTGACGAATTGAAGAACCACATAGGCAAACAATAATTATGAGAAGTTCAGTAGTCTTTTTTCAGTTAGGAATTTTCCTTTATTGACCTATGATATAAATTATGACATGAACACAAAAGACATTCCATCTTTGGAAGTCTAGTGGAGTCGGTTTTTCTGTCTCTCATTTTCCTCATTCCAGCCAGGCCTTTCTTAGTAAAGGAAAATCTTATCACTATATACTATATTTATTTCCTCTATAAAACATTCTTGTGATTATTCCTCCAGCATTACGACTATATATACAGATGTTCATTTTCCCTAAAGGAACATGGAAAGAGGATAAGAGTCATTTTAAAGAAATTGTTGGGCACAAACTATGGGACAACTCTGCTAAGCTATTTCTCAAATTTAATTTAATTTTAAACATATGATAGACATTACTATTCCAACTTTATAATGTCTCTCATGCAAAATCTATGCTGAATTTCAAGAAAAATCTGAGTATTAATTATTTTTAAAAGTTAATTTAACACCTGTAATTCCAGCACTTTGGGAGGCCGAGGTGGGCGGATCACAAGATCAAGAGATCAAGACCATCCTGGCCAACATGGTGAAAACCCATCTGTACTAAAAATACAAAAATTAGCCGGGCATGGTGGCATGTGCCTGTACTCCCAGCTACTTGGGAGGCTGAAGCAGGAGAATCGCTTGAACCCGGGAGGCGGAGGTTGCAGTCAGCCGAGATTGCCTCATTGCACTCTAGCCTGGCGACACAGTGAGACTTGGTCTCAAAAACCAAAAAAAAAAAAAAAAAAAGAAAGGAAAGAAAAAAGGGAAAACTGTTTTAAAAATATCAACATTGATTTAGTGTTCATATTCACAAATAAAGAAATTAGAGCTCTCAGTTAAAGTAACTGGAACCTACTAGAAAGCGGCAGGACTATGATTTAAACTCAGGCCTGTCAGATAAGAAAGAAAGGCTAGCAAGATAAAGTTAGGTGAGACGAACTATAGCTTTCAATTCTATCTGACAAGCTGAATTTGAATGAATAAATACTTGAAAACCAGGATAAGTTCTTGAGTAGAAAGGCAAGGTAATAAAAATTATACTTTAGAAAGATTCATTAAGTTTATCAGGGACTTGAATTGCAGGGATCAAAATTATACAAATCTTGAAGGTGGCGAATATATATATATATTTTAACTTAAAATATATATGTATTTTACTACTAAAAAGTCCTAACTACTACAGCATTAGGACTATATATATATTTAGGGAAAACTCTTTTAAGTTAAAATACATATATATTAAGTTAAAATACATATATATTATGTATATGCGTATATATACATATAAATACATATATAATAAACATACATACATATATATAAAATACATATATACATGTATTTTAAGTTAAAAGAGTCAATGTTTTCCAAAATAATAATAATAATACTATAATTAAGGAAGTATAACCATAATTACATGTTGACAATAAATTATGGGACAGTTATAGACATAAAATTGTGTATATTTGTATATATTAACATCTATAGCTCTATCTATATGTCTATCAATGAATCACAGCAGCAAAAAACTGAGGAGTGACTTTACAATCTTCCTACTATAGAAAAGACTATTTCATAAATTATGAGACTAGATGTCCTGTTCAAATAAGGTCAAGATGAACAAAAAGAGTCTTGAATGAGAATGGCAGAAAGTGGGATTTAGACTGGACACAATCTTATCCTTGCAGGTTAGTACAGGTGTTGCAGTAAGTAGTTCAGCTAAGGGTCAGGTGTCTTCCTGATTCTATTTAATCTTTCCTAAAGGAGCTTCCTAATATCAGATGCTGTCAAGAGTAAGAAATGTCAATTTCATGGTTTTGCTTATGCTGACCCAATAAAAGAAAGTAATAAGAACTTCAAGCTTCCTTTTGAGGTCTATTCTAACCTGATGATTTTGTCATTTTTATGCTTCATTTCATCATTGAAATACTCACAATGGTGGCAGATCCTATCAATGACAGTTCAGTGGTCCCAGATCTTTCAATTCCAGCTAAGATAAGATTGTTCTTAAGTGTATCTGAAAGTAGCATGGCCGATCTAATTCACATGGCAGCATATGAATATAAGCATTTTCTTCTAATTCCACCCACCACTGCTCCCTCTCCCTGTTGCTTTTAAAAGCATCTGCTGTCACAGATGCAGAAGATATGTCACTATGAACAACTGCTTTGTTTGAAAGAGCTGCATTTCATGTCTGTCATCTCTTTAAAGTAAAACTCAAGTCCACTTTCAGGTAACTCCAGTGAAATGAAGAGAGGAATTCTTACAAGGTCCATTTTTGTTTTAAGGGTTAAGCCTGAAAGAAAAACTTGCTATCTTAACAAACCCTAATGTTATGTTTTTTGACTATATGTTTGATGTATGCAAAAGAATACATGTAATGTAAGGGAAAGTCTTGAAGCACAGTAATGAAATTAACATCAACTTTAAAACCTGAATGATAAATATTCTTGTATGGGTTCTGCTTCATTCTTGTATCTCTGTATCTCTTATGATTTAACAACTCTCCTAAATTTTTTAGCACTCCTTTTTTCATTGTATGGTTTTAGTGTATATATACAAATCTACCCCAAAATATTAATATATTGTTTAAATGTGCTTCTTTTTGACCTTCATAAAAGTGTTATCATACCATATATCATTTTCCTTGACTTGCTCAACATCATGATTCCATTTGATTTTATGTTTCAAAGATTCATTCATGTTTATTTTTAATGCTATATATTATTCTATTATGTGAATATTCCATAAATTATATTTTTATTCTCCTGTTGATATAAATTTGTATTGTGCTCACATCATGTTTTACTTTTTCCTTTTAGAAACAAAGCTACTATGGGCAATGGACATTTACAATAATTTCTCTATGGTATATATATCTAAGAGTAAAATTGCTAAGTCATAATGTTCAGCTTTATAAAATAATGTCAGTTTGTTTTCTAAAATGGTTATACCCACCAGTAGTATAGAAGAAACAACCTCAATAACATTTCACAGTATCAGGCTTCCTAATTTTATACCTATATAATTGAGTATAAAATGGTATCGGGCTTAATTTGGATTCCTTTCTTATACGTGAGGTCTGGCATTTTGTTATACTATATAAGTATTCACTATTTGTTTACCTTTTCTTTTGAAATGTTTTGATGATGTCTATTGAACATTTTTCTGTTGTATTATTTATATTTATTTTTATTTTTATTGACCTGCAAGAGTTCTTCATATATTCATAGCTCAATATAATCTCAGATATCTTGGATCAAGTGATCCTCCAGCCTCAGGCTCCCAAGTAACTGGGACTACAGGTGGGTGTCACCATGCCTGGCTATTTTTTTTTAATATTATTATTATTTTATAGAGATGGGTTCCTGCTATGTTGCTATGTTGTCCAGGTTAGTCTCAAACTCCTGGCCTCAAGCAATCTTCCTGCCTCAGCCTCCCAAAGTGCTGGGATTATAAGCCTGAGCTGCTGTACCTGGCCCAGCATTCCTTTTTTTTTTTTTTTTTTTTTTTTTTTTTTTTGAGACGGAGTCTCGCTCTGTCGCCCAGGCTGGAGTGCAGTGGCGGGATCTGGGCTCACTGCAAGCTCTGCCTCCCGGGTTCACGCCATTCTCCTGCCTCAGCCTCCCAAGTAGCTGGGACTACAGGCGCCCGCCACTACACCCGGCTAATTTTTTGTATTTTTAGTAGAGACGGGGTTTCACCGTTTTAGTCGGGATGGTCTCGATCTCCTGACCTCGTGATCCGCCCGCCTCGGCCTCCCAAAGTGCTGGGATTACAGGCGTGAGCCACCGCGCCCGGCCCCAGCATTCCTTTAATGTAGTTGAGTTCAACATCTTTCAATTATTGGTTCATGATTTTTTTAAGATACGCTTCCTAATGACAAAGTCATAATAATATTATGCTATATTTTTTCTAAAATGTTTAATATTTTGCCTTTTTTATGTATTTAATCAAAAGTTTGTTCATTTTTATGTATGTGAGATAGGAATTAATTTAATTTTTCGTATTATATATAATTGTCCCAGCACTATTTAATTAACTCATTAAGTCCTCATATATGAGGTAGGTACTATTAGGATTACTTTTTTAATAATAAGGAAATTGAGGCATGAATAGGTTAGTAAATTGGCTCTAGAACTGGTGAACTTACCTTCTGTTTCAAGGTCCTTTTGTTTGTTTAGCCGATATGCTTATCTAATCCTGAAACCACACTGTCATCAGAATTGTTTTAGTATAACTGATGTCTGTTAGGCCATGTACCCTCACCTGACTCTTCTTCTTGGGATTATCATAGGTATTCCTTACCCTTTGCTCTCCTCATGTACATTTCCATCAGGTTGTCCAGCTCCTCAAAAAGTCCTGTTAAGATTTTTGCAGGAATTGCATTGAATCTACAGATCAATTTGGAAGGAATATCTTTATTATACTGAATATTTATATCCATGACCATAGCAGGCCATTGTATTTAAGTCTTCTTTGGTAAATTTCAATAAATGTTTATACATCCTTTTTTGCATATATTTAGTTTGATTAACTCCTATGTAACTTATTTTGTTGCTGTTGTTTTATTTGTATTTTACATGGAGATGGTCCTCCATACTACTAGAAATAGCAGTGCCTTGTTTAAATCTTCTGTAACTTTAGTAATTTTTTAACTCTTGACATTAAAACGTATCTTATAGCGTTAACGCTGTGGGCTTACACCTGTAATCCTAACACTTTGGGAGGCTGAGGTGGGTGAATCACTTGAGGCCAAGAGTTTGAGACCAGCCGGGCAACATGGTGAAACCCTGTCTCTACTAAAAATACAAAAACTAGCCGGGCATGATGGTGCATGCCTGTAATCCCAGCTACTTGGGTGGCTGAGGCAGGAGAATCGCTTGAACCTGGGAGGTGGAGGTTGCAGTGAGCCAAGATCGTGCCACTGCACTGCAGCCGGGGTGACAGAGTGAGATTCTGACTCAAAAAAAAAAAAAAAGGGTTTGTAATTAATTGTTCATTGTGATGGTGGATTTATTACTTTCTCTATGTGTTCTGTTTCTGTTTATATACACTAAGGATATTTTATTAAATATGCATAAATTTACAATGTATATTTATGAAATAAGCATGTTATGATTATATCATGATCTTCTTTAACTCTAATAGTCTATTTTGTCTTGAAGTTGATTTTGCCTGACATTTATAAAGTACCTCAACTTTATTTTATTTAGCATTTGCCTAGTACATATTTGTTCCATTTGTTAACTTTCAAATTTTTGAGTCTTTATATTTTAGGCTCATGTATCATCATTTCTCAGCCTGTTGGCTAAGATCAAGTGTAGGCTTCTGTCTCATCAAATGGCATATTAGGTGGACTTTAAAAATCATTTAAATGTCAATTTTTGTCTTTTAACTGGCAAGTTTAATCTATTTATATTTGTATGAATATTGTTATATTTGAAACTATTTTTCTATATTATTTTTTGTTTTTGTCATACACTTTTGCTTTATATTTGTTATTGACTTTTTTGATTGATTAGAATTTTTTATATATTACATTTTATTCCTCTACTAATTTGACATTTATACACTATTTCTAATCTTTTAATGGTTACTTCTTAAATTTTGTCATACATTCATATCTTAATAAAATGTAAAGTTTATTACTATCTTAACCAATGCTTTGCCATCCCCATCCTCCAAAAAAGTACAAAGACTTGAAATCTGATTACTTCTGTGATAATACAGTAATCTTATATTGGGTTTCCCACCTTGATGGGTTTTCAAAGCTCATCAGTAAAGTCAGAAAACTCAATCACTTTTTTGCAGACACTTGAATCATTTTCTTAAAGGGAACTTTAACCTCCTAATATCTTATTGTTCACTGCTCCCTAGTCTAGTTCAGGTCACTGGTTTTATGGGAGAGTGTGAGAAGTACATATCCAGGTGACAACTTTTTGTCTGTGCAATTTGAGAGGAAAAATCCCTTTCAGCTATTGTGATTAGAAAGTAGCAGAAGGAACTTGAGTTACAGAGCCAGAAAATCCCAAATTTATTTTCTTTGGCTTATGTGTCTGGCTTTAACTGAGAAAGGATCTGAGTCTTTTTGCCACTGATTATGTTCATTTCTCTCCCTCATAGGTATTTTGTGGGAGAACTTCTGATGAAAAGAAGGTACCCAAGACTGCTCTCATTCCATCATTATATCTGACATCTCTGTTACACATTCCCATGACCCCTGAGCCAAAATTTATTTATTATCATTTTTTACTATTAAAACAGTAAATCAAGCTTCATGATGTATGTAGCCTACTATATAAATGTTTTTCTGTCATGACTTTAATTTTTTTCTCATGAACGTTTATTTTCACAAATGAAATAATATATTTATTCTTGACAATATTTAGATGTGTTTTTCTGGTTTTTAAAAAGGCGGTTCTGGCATTTAAAAGTCCCCAGTGCATCTGATGGCAGACTTGCTCCAAGCTCCTAACATCACTTAGTGGGCAGGTTTATTCCTTGGTCAGATTCACTCCTGCAGTGATCGGCAAAATACTCCTAGAATTTAGCTTTCACTCCTATGAATCTAAAGAACTCCATGAAAACCTTGCTCATTATATTATGCAGTCCATGCTATTTAGCTCTATTCTTACTGGTTTTAAAAAAATAATCAATTGCATTTTTGTAAAGAAATTGGTATTATTTTTCTCAGGAGCCCCACTACTTCATGCCTCCTTACAGCTCACCTGAACCATGGTGATCATAACTGGATTTGGCTTTCAATCACTCCTCTTTTCAGTGCACTTCCTATTACGATAGCATCACTCCTCTGCTTAACAAGCCCAAACATTTTAGGATGACCTACATAGCTGTGTGCTTTGTGAATGCCATGGCCCCAGCATCATTCCTCTTCATTCCTGCCACACACACTGTTCTAGGCTCACCAAATTTATTGACATTCCCTAAATATGCCTCACTATTCTGCCTCTCCATTCAACTAACATTTGCTGAGCTCCTACTATGTGCCAAACACTGGAGATACAGAGAATAAGAAGATGCAGTTTGACTCCGCAATCCATGCTGTCTCCCAGGTTTAGAATAACCCTCTAGCAACTCCTACTAATCTTCCAAAAACTACTCACACATCATCTTCTTTTCAGCCCCACCCCCAAACACCTCATTTGCACAATGAATCATCATTCTTTTGTATTCTTAGTGTTTCTATGATGGTGGCAAGATAATTAGAATTTGGGTTTGCATTACTAAATTTTTTCTTACTCCCCAATTCCAAACAGATAGCTATGATTTATCCCTTGTCTCTGGATTCTGACAAGGCTCAGGACACACTCAACCTAAGTTTACGGACTCTGAAGCCCTTTTGTCAGAGGCATTTGAACCAGAGCAGCTCCATTTTGAATACAGGCTGGCTAAAATGAGGCTAAGACCTGCTGCGCTGCATTCCCAGTAAGTTAAAGCATTCTAAGTCACAGGATAAGATAGGAGGTTGGCACAAGATACAGGTCATAAAGACCTTGCTGATAAGACAGGTTGCAATAAAGAAGCCGGCCAAAACCCATCAAAACCAAGATGGTAAACTTTTTCTAGCATATGTGAAAAAAAAAAAAAAACAAAATATGGGCAAGCAGCAGCCTTTGGGGCTGCTTTGTCTATGAAGCAGCCATTCTTTTATTCCTCTACTTTCTTAATAAACTTGCTTTTACTTTACTCTATGGACTCGCCCTGAATTCTTTCTTGCCTGAGATCAAAGAACCCTCTCTTGGGGTCTGGATTGGGACCCCTTTCTGGTAACATCTTTCTGGTGACCACAGAAGGGACAATAGTGAGGAAACCCCTGACCCAAAGACTAACTCCAGGTAAGTGGTGGGGTCTGGTAACACTTTCAAAGTACTATTCTAGGTATCCTGACTTTGGAGAGGGAGTGGAGAGGTTGTGGCTGAAGGGTTGAAGGTAAAGAAGAAAGAGAGAATGTCTTTGAGATGCTGGAAAGTGAGTAGGGGAGGCTGCAGGAGCTTGAGATGAAAATAAATGTCTGTGAGTCTGGAGAGATAGCAAATCTGGAGAAATATTTGAGAGTTGCCTGTGGAGAAGTCAACACCTAGAGAATGGGATTCTCAGCTTTGCTAATGATTTCTACACCCTAAGTGTATCAGAAAAGCAAGAAGGCATGAGACCATAGAGTTTTAAGCAATGCACTTCTGTCTCCATGAAAATCAGTGTAAGGTATTGATCAGTCAGTCACTCTAGAAGCTCAATCCTGTGAAAAGTCATTAATGTGAAAAATGCTCACAACTTTTCACAGTACTAGGGGTGGGAGGAGGAGAACAAATCCCTTATAACTAGAAGTCTAGAATTCTCCTAGAGAATATTGAGGGTTAAACATTAAAAAAAAGAAATTTTAAAAAATGTTATACTTAATGCAAACCTAATCTTTTGTCTTGAGTCTTATCAATTACACATTCTTCTATTATAACATGCATCAATATGTTCTATAATTATATATTTACCTGTCCCTCTGTTTGCCAGAAGTTTTGAGGACAGGGGTCATGTCTTAATCATCTCTGTCACCTCCGGCTATGGCACAAGATTTTTCATACTGAAAGAACTCAATGTTTATGAGACAATTGTCCCAAATCACCAAATATACATGGAAATAAACTACCAAGACGGAATTTATTTTAAAACTCATTTCTTACAATACATTTCCCTTGAAGTGTTTCCTCATACTTCCATACACATGTGCAAGGCAAATACTGCAGTCTTTTCTAACTGGAGTGTACCACCTATGTTTAATATTTGTATAGAGTCAAAGTTCTACTAAGCATGGATATGCACTTTGGAAATGTTCATCTTTAAATATTATCTGAGAAAACGGGAAATAACATGACATGTCAACTTGTATAATCAATGTCCTACCCTGTTGGAAGGGCAATAGTAAGCATCTAGGTTTGCATTTACACTTGCTGTCACACATAACAATCACTGTAGGGCAAATAGTAATTAGTGTGTAATGAACAGTGTCCAAATGGGATCAGCTCCTGAATTACCATTTAAATGTGGTAATGGCAGAAAACTTGCCACAATTATTGCTGCTCAGCAAGCCCCAAGAGATCCCATTCTTCTCCAAAGTCTTAGGATATTTAGCACATTTCTTTCTTAGTGTTCTTAAACTGTTGGCTATGCTTGGCACGTTTTTTCTCCCAAGTAAATAAGCTCTGAGATTAGGAGACATAACTTTAGCTTTTAAAATTCCTGACAGCGCCTTCATGCTTTGTAATAGGCAGGCACTCAATAAACACACAATTGTTAATTAATCTGACAGTATCTAGAGTAACAAAACTGTAAATTACATCTTGTAAATATTTACTTTCTATCTTCTAGGGGTGAGAGATAATGGCTCGTAGGGGAAAATAGAAAATAAAGATCTAATTCCAAACACTATGATTTAAGTCAATGGTAAAGTGCTATAGTCTAACATATGAAGGTGTTCCTTACCTTCATATTGCTGTTGCATTTACTCAATAGATGCTGCATCTCTCCCTACCCAACAGATGCTCTGGACTATATAGCTGTGAATAATGCAGAAGTTCACCTCTCATAGAGCACGCAAACTTTTGAAGGAGGATATTGATATACTGATTAACCAAATAATAACAGAAATTTAAAGCCTACGATGGGTGATGGGGCACATCTATGAGATCTGGGCCTGTTCCTAAGAGGTGCAAATTGGGAAGAAAATGATGGGACAAATCAAAAATGCAAACTGGATTATGCAGCTCTCTGATTCAAAGACTGCTATACTTCCTTATTTCTCTCACAATAGAGTCCACCTTACTTAGTGCCACACAAAAGTTTCTAGTATGAAGGTCCTGCTCCAATGTTATCTTTCATCCTCTGCTCCCTCCTATTAGTAGCTCTGATGTATTGCTGCAATTACCTTAACGACCATACTGTCATACTCCATGCTGTTGTCATGTTCATACTCCTGCCCCCACCCTAAAGTTTTGTTATAAACACTGCTATATATGTGTCTCTCTGTGTGTGTGTGTGTGTGTGTGTGTGTGTGTGTGCGCGTCTTTCTCCACTACATAATATTGATCAGGGAAAATACAAAAGACCATGCCTTGTTTTTTTTTTTTTGTTTTGTTTGTTTGTTTGTTTGTTTCCCTCAGCACTTAGAAGAAAGAAAGAACTAACAGTCAGGTGCAGTGGCTCATGCCTGTAATCCCAGGACTTTGGGAGGCAGAGGTGAGAGGATCACTTGGGGTCAGGAGTTTGAGACCAACCTGGTCAACATGAGAAAACCCTGTTTCTACTAAAAATACAAAAATTTGCTGATGGCAAATGCCTGTAATCTCAGCTACTGGGGAGGTTGAGGAAGGATAATCACTTGAACCCGGGAGGTGGAGGTTGCAGTGAGTTAAGATCATGCCACTGCACTCCAGCCTAGGCAACAGAGCAAGACTCCATCTCAAAAAAATTAAAAAAATAAAAATAATAATAAAAAAGAAAGAACTAACAGCTTGAGGTACTGGGTGATGATTCCCAACTTTGCTACACTTAGAATTACCTGGGAAGCATTTACAACTCCTGATACCCAGTTTGCATCCGCAATCAAATCAGAATCTCTGTGGGGGTAGGACCCAAGGAGCAGGGATTTTATTATTTTTAAAATTTATTTTTTTGGAGACAGTCTTGCTCTGTCACCCAGGCTAGAGTGCAGTGGCATGATCTTGGCTAATTGCAACCTCTGCTTCCTGGGTTTAAGCCATCCTCTCACCTCAGCCTCCTGAGTAGCTGGGACCATAGGCATGAGCCATCACGCCAGGCTGATTTTTGTATTTTTTGTAGAGATGGGTTCTTGCCATGTTGCCCAGGCTGGTCTTGAACTCCTGAGCTCAAACAATCTGCCCCTACCTCTGCCTCCCAAAGTGCTGAGATTACAGGAGTGAACCACGGCACCCAGCCAAGTCGGCAGGAATTTTAGAGCTCACCGGTTGGTTGCTAAGTGTAATCAAGACTGAGATCCATTAATTTAAGGGTTCAATTACTTATGGGGACATTTGTGAGTATTGTTGAAAGTATATGATGTGGGCAATAAGCCAGAACTCACTGAATTAAAGTATGAGCAATGAGAAAGCAAAAAGAAACAAGTGTTAGACCAGTAGTATGCTAGTCTCTTGAGAGTCTAGGTAATACCATTTAGGACACAGGCATGGGCAAAGACTTCATGACTAAAACACCAAAAGCAATGGCAACAAAAACCGAAATTGACAAATGGGATCTAATTAAACCAAAGAGCTTCTACACAGCAAAAGAAACTATCATCAGAGTGAACAGGCAAACTACAGAATGGGAGAAATTTTTTGCAATCTATCCATCTGACAAAGGGCTAATATCCAGAATCTACAAGGAACTTAAACAAATTTACAAGAAAAAAAGAAATAACCCCATCAGAAAGTGGGCAAAGTATATGAACAGACACTTCTTGAAAGAAGACATTTATGTGGCCGACAAACATGAAAAAAAGCTCATCATCACTGGTCATGAGAGAAAGGCAAATCAAAACCCCAATGAGATACCATCTCATGCCAGTTAGAATAGTGATCATTAAAAAGTCAGGAAACAGGCCAGTAACAGGATTACAGGCCTGTAATCCCAGCACTTTGGGAGGCCAAGGCGAGTGGATCACAAGGTCAGGAGAGCAAGACCATTCTGGCTAACACGGTGAAACCCTGTCTCTACTAAAAAAAAAAAAAAAAAAAAAAAAAAAAAAAAAAAAAAAGTTGGGCATGGTGGTGGGCACCTGTAGTCCCAGCTCCTCGGGAGGGTGAGGCAGGAGAATCACTTGAACCCAGGAGATGGAGGTTGCAGTGAGCCAAGATCGTGCCACTGCACTCCAGCCTGGGCAACAGAGCGAGACTCCATCTCCAAAAAAAAAAAAAAGTCAGGAAACAACAGATGCTGGAGAGGATGTGGAGAAATAGGGACACTTTTACACTGTTGGTGGCAGTGTAAATTAGTTCAAACATTGTGGAAGATAGAGTGGTGATTCTTCAAGGATCTAGAACCAGAAATACCATTTGACCGCCAATCCCATTACTGGATATATACCCAAAGGATTATAAATCATTCTACTATGAAGACACAGGCACACGTATGTATATTGCAGCACTGTTCACAACAGCAAAGACTTGGGACCAACCCAAATGCCCATCAATGATAGACTAGAAAAAGAAAATGTGCACATATACACCATGGAATACTATGCAGCCATAAAAAAGGATGAGTTTATGTCCTTTGTGTGCAGGGACATGGATGAAACTGGAAACCATCATTCTCAGCAAACTAACACAGGACTAGAAAACCAAACACCACATGTTCTCATTCATAAGTGGGAGCTGAACAATGAGAACACATGGACACAGGGAGGGGAACATCACACATCAGGGCCTGTCAGGGGTTGGGAGGCTAGGGAAGTGATAGCATTAGCAGAAATACCTAATGTAGACGACGGGTTGATGGCTGCAGCAAACCACCATGGCACGAGTATATCTATGTAATAAACGTGCAGGTTCTGCACATGTATCCCAGAACTTAAAGTATTATAATTTAAAAAAAGAAAAAGAAAAAAGAGATTCTCTCTATAGCCAATTATGTTAGGAAACATGCCCCATCTTTGATAGCATTAGCATATTGAAGACTGAGCAATTATTCAACAAAGAAACCTGTTTAACATTACCTAATTGAATATTTTCTAAATTTATTTGTCTTCAGAACACTACTTTTCCCATCTAACACCTATTAATTTTCCCAAGAAATGCCAATACATTTTTTTTAATTTCAAGAAATTACATGAGAATGGCAGTGCAAATAATGATGTATCTTAGAGGAAGGAAAGAATGGTTGAGAGAAGACTTTATATCCTTAGAATAGGAAATAATTGGTCACATTTGTAGAATGAAAAGAATGAAACATAGGGGAGGGAGGAATTGAAGATGCTGTAACAAGCAATGATCTGATTTCTTTAGCCCTGGTAAGAAATGCACAGTTAAACTGTGGGTGGATTTTCTTTTCTCAAGCCTCTCTTCTCCATTGATGACCTCACAGAGTCCAGAAGACAAGGGAACATGGACTGGCATTCTAATGTAACATTCATTCATGCCTCAACATTTATTGAGCATCTTCTATGTGTCTCGTCTAGACAATAGAGGTGACTATTCCATTTGGAATGCCAACAAAAGCCTCACCCAAAAAATGAAACTTAAATTGGTTTTTCAAAAGTGAGTGGATAATTCACTAGGAAGAAAAAGAAGAATATGAAAGACAGAAGAAAGCATGAGAAAACAACAATGAAAGAACAAAGTAGCAGTCCAAAAAATTGTGACTGAAATACGGATGGGACTGGTAGAACATGAGGCTGGAAAATTAGACTAGGCCACACATATACAAAAACTTTAAATGGCATGCAAAACAAACAGTTTGGGATTTATGAGGTATAAAATAGGAAAAGACATGCTATATTTGTCTTACAGAAAAATCACTTTGACAGCAGTGTGAGTGATAAACTGGAGACCTGCCACAGAGGGACTAGTTTAGAGCCTACTGCAATTATGGAACTGTTGCAGGTTTCCATGGATACAACTGGGTATAAAGTATTATTTAGTAACAGAGCCTGAAACATCATGTGATCATTACTGGTTTAAAGCAAACCTCCTACCTCAGGATTTGGGCACCTTTCCAAAATATAAACTCAGCATTTATATCAACTGCTGCTATGAAAGTTATTTGGGATCATGTAGATGACCTTTCATGCAAAAAGTAGATCACAAAATGTAGGTCGTTGAAAAAATTACAGCAGCACTTTGTAAAATGGAGATTTGAGAAGATACTCATTTTATATTTATTTTGGGGGTCTCATACCTATCTTGAATATATAGTTATGGTAGAAAAAGTTCTATTTCTGAAGCACAGTGGTGTGATCTCTGTTCATTGTAACCTCCACCTCCCAGGCTCAAGCGATCCTCCTACCTTTGCCTCCAGACTAACTGGGACTAAAGGTGCGTGCCACCATGCTGGGCTAATTTTTGTATTATTTTGAGATTTGGAGAGATAGGGTTTTGCTATGTTGCCCAGGATTGTCTCAAACTCTTGGGCTCAAGTGATCCACCCACCTCTGCCTCCCAAAGTGCTGAGATTACAGGCATGAGCCACTGCACCTGGCCTGGCAATAGTACCTTAATGAAAGACTTAGTCATTGTCAGAGCTACCTCATAAAAAGGTAAATTTCCTTTTTCTAAAAAAAAAAAAAAGCTTATTTGTTGCATATTGAAATAAGCATTCAAGCAACTGAACCTTGTATGAGATCCAGTGGGAGAGTCTACAGACACCAGGAACTTCCTGGCTCTGCACAGACAGATTTTGCGGAGAAAACACAATCTTGCTCTCAAGGTAGTGAAGCTTTCATAGGTTATTACTGTTTCATTTCTTCCGGAAGTTGTTTCAAGCTTTATTTAAGATTGGCTGAAAAAAGCTTACTATGATTCCTTTAACCATAAATAAAGCATAAAAGAAGAAATATCACAAAATCATCCAAATACTGCAGATGCTTTCTTGGTTTTAAAGTCACAGATTGAAAACTGGTTTTAAAGCAGGAGGTATAAGCATTTGATGCTCTGATTATTTTTTACTTTAAAGAAATAATTGGAGTTTTAGAAGACTTGAACTCTACAGCATAGAGAAACCAACAAAACCAACCTAATAAAAATATTGCATCTTAAAGGTAAGAGCTAAAGGAATATTAATGTGGAAAAAATAGGAGCCACTCTGAAGAATCTGACTTAAATCACATAGGAGAAAAAATATTTTTTCCACATTAACACCTAGCATTAGCTAATTTTAAGGAAAAAAGAAAACATTTATTAGGCAACTTACAAACTTCTCTCATCAGCTGAAAGAATTATCAGACTTACTCTGTTGAAATTTCTTTCCTTCTTTTCTCTGTCTCTCTCTCTCTCTCTCTCTCTCTCTCTTTCTCTTGACGGAGCTTTGCTCTTATCACCCAGGTTGGAGTGCAGTGGTGCAATCTTGGCTCACTGCAACCTCTGCCTCCCAGGTACAAGCAATTCTCCTGCCTCAGCCTCCTAAGTAGTTGGGATTACAGGTGTGTGTCACCATGCCCAGATAATTTTCTTTTTTTTTTTTTTTTTTTTAGTAGTAGAGACGGGGTTTCGACACGTTGGCCAGGCTCCTCTCGAACTTCTGACCTCAGGTGATCTGCTCACCTCGGTCTCCCAAAGTGCTGGGATTATAGGCTTGAGCTATTGCACCCAGCCTACTCTGTTGAAATTTCTAGAGGAAGAATGGAATTTCAGTGGCAAATACCAGCTCAAGGTAATGAAGGCATTTCTAACAATTAGCACTATCTCTAGATGGACTATGCAGCATTTGAGAGGGTGTATGTAGTCATTTGTGGGTGGTACTCTGGCAGAAGCTAAGAGACCATCATGCGTTTGCCACAGGAAGCATATGGGTGAACTAGATGACCTCTAAATTACTTTTGATTTTGGAATTACATATTATCAATGAAAACGAAACTGAGGTTGAACTGTTAACTTAATTGTACGAAATATATCACTTTCCAAATCCTTATATCAAAATACTATTTCTAAAAGACTTACTATGTTATGCATCAGGCACTATGCTAGGCATAGGGGATTCAGCAATGATAATGACAGAATGAATCTACTGTGGCCAGACTCAGTGACTCACACCTGTAATCCCAGCAATTTGGGAAGCTAAGGCGGGCGGATCACCTGAGGTCAGGAGTTCAAGACTAGCCTGGCCAAAATGGGGAAACCCCATCTCTACTAAAAATACAAAATTAGTCAGGTGTGGTTTCTCATGCCTGTAATCCTAGCTACTTGGGAGGCTGAGGCAGGAGAATTGCTTGAACCTAGGAGGCAGAGGTTGCAGTAAGCCGAGATTGCGCCACTGCACTCCAGCCTGGATGACAGATCGAGACTCTGTCTCAAAAAAAGAAAAAAGAAAAAAAAATGAATGAATCTCTTACGCTTATGGAGCTTTAGAGTCTAACTGCGAAGACAGCAAAGTAAGCATTAATTACAAGGAGGGATAATGATAGAGGAAGTACTTGTATTTCTCCTCCTTATGACCACTATTATTATTAGACAGACTATTTTTTTTCCAAAAAGTTGATACTGTTCTCAAAAGCACTCTGTTTCTACAAATGCTAGAATCCAAAAATTATGTCAAAATGTCTTTTTAACATGAGAACAATGATGTCAATGATGGGTGAAATGATAATGAGTAGAGGAAGATGAAAGCATACATATATTCTTCCAGTCTCTGGTTTTCATATTATTTGTAAGGCATGGATGCTTTTCAAGAGAAAGGCTAAGATGATATGGCAGTGGCAACCATGAACCATTAAAGCAGCAGTTAGAGTTACTAGATGTAAATAAAGAAAAATCTATCTCCAAAAGCTTGCTTTGAACTTTATAATGGGTGGATTGCACTGATATCATCTGAATCCATTGATCAATTACAGCATCAGTAAAAGTAGGACAAGAAGGCATCATTTGCCTTCAGTAGGAAGTATGGAGCACCATCTATGAAGTATTCTTGCCATTTGAAACCATAACAACAACAAAATCCATTTAATGTAATCAGGCCTGTACTCCTAATTAGCAAATTACAGGAACAAGGACAGGTGAAAAGAGAACAAATTAAATGATACCATGAGAATAGTGCTTAATCAATCTATGTTTTTCTTTTCATATTATTAAAACTCCAATAAGGTAACTATTACTGTGCATTTTCACAAATAATGAGACCAAAGCTCAGAAGGCTTTATTAAGATATCCAAAGTTGCAGAGTAACAAGCTAAGATAAGGTTTGGGGAGTACTGTACCTAAATTCACAGGATGTGTTTTGCACTGGGCCTCACTGCCCCAAGAGAGATTATTTCATCCACTCTCATTTTACTGCAGCACAGAAGGACTAAGCCCTTTGCTCAGAAACCACCAACTAGTACTTGCAGGATCTAGGTGTAGATTACAGGTTCCTTAATTCCAAATTCAGTGCTCCTCTGTCCCTACAAATTATAAATTTGGGCAACCCTTGATGCCCAAGCTGCAATATGGATCAGTTAAATCAGATTCTTTGAGGGTTGGATTAAGAAACCACTATTTTCTAAAGTACCCAAGGTGGCTCCACTTTGCAGCTAAGGTTGAAACACTGGTGTTATGATGCTTATTTCCCTAATCCAACTCAGCTATTTTACATTTTATCTAATCCTATTCATCACTAAATTCTGAGAATTTCTTCCCAGGTACCACGCTTATCTAAACTATATTGAAAATATCAGTGTATGAAAGGAATTCCACCTCCTCTGATAATATTTTAGTTACTATGTTTGTTAAAATCATATAACAGGCCAGGCACAGTGACTCATGCCTGTAATCCCAGCACTCTAGGAGGCCAGGGCAGAAGGATTGCTTGAGCCCAGTAAGTTTGATACCAGCCTGGAAAACACAGGGAGACCCATCTATGAAAAAAGAAAAACATTAAAAAAAAAAAAATTTAGCCGGGCATGGTGTCACATACATGTGGTCCCAACTACCTGGGAGGCTGAAGGGGAAGGATTGCTTGGGCTTTGGAGGCCCTGGAGGCTGCATTAAGCCACGATCACATCACTGCACTTCAGCCTGGGTGGCAGAGTGAGACCCTGCCTCTAAAAATAAAACAAATCTTGGCCAGGCACAGTGTCACATGCCTGTAATTGCAGCACTTTGGGAGGCAAAGGTGGGTAGATCACCTGAGGTCAGGAGTTCGAGACCAGCCTGGACAACATGGTGAAACCCCATCTCTACTAAAAATACAAAATTTAGCCGGGCATGATGGTGCATGCCTGTAATTCCAGCTACTCAGGAGGCTGAGGCAGGAGAATCATTCGAGCCCGGGAGGCAGAGGTTGCAGTGAGCCAAGATCATGCCATTGCACAGCAGCTGGGGTGACAAAGCAAGACTCCATCTCAAATGATAATAATAATAATATGATAAATCAGATCTCAGGACATTAACTGAGCCTTGTTTTACGAGGGACTATGAAAACTGTGTCATATGTCAGCATCCATAAGCGGTGCTCCCTCTTCTACTTCTGCTTTCACAGTACAGACCCATCTAGGCAGAATCAGCTTTCTCCAGGCATGTTGGGTCATTCTCTTCTTTCTTGCTTTAGTGCCTTGTTTTTGTGAAGAGCTGAGCAGAAACTGCCCCTCTGGGTAGACTCATCTAGGACTTACTCTTTCTATTTTAAATGCTTTGTGTCTAAATTTGAATGGTGTATTCATACATCTTAGTTCATGAAGAAGGAAATAGGATGCCTATTTTACACCTACAGGCTTAAGCCATATGGATTTCTCAGCTTTTACCAGAGCTGTGTTTTGGGAGCATTTAGTATTCAGGTATAAAGTGGTACTCTGAGGCCAATTTAGCTTCTATGCCTTATGTATACATTCCGTAATTAGAAATTCCAAGGGAAGCCAGCAGTGGGGCTCACATCTGTAATCCCAACACTTTAGGAGGCAGAGGCAGGCAGATCGCTTGAGCCCAGGAGTTCAAGATCAGCCAGGGTAACATGGCAAAACCCCATCTCTACAAATGGTACAAAAATTAGCCAGGTATAGTGGTGCACACTTGTAGTCCCAGCTACTTGGGAGGCTGAGGTAGGAAGATCACCTGAGCCCTGCGAGGCTGAGGCTGCAGTGAATCCTGATGGCTGAGGTAGGAAGATCACCTGAGCCCTGCGAGGCTGAGGCTGCAGTGAATCCTGATGGAGCCACTGCATTCCAGCCTGGGCCACAGAGTGACACCTTGAAAAAAAAAAAGTAAGAAGGAAGGAAGGAAGGAAAGAAAGAGAAAGAAAGAAAGAAGGAAAGAAAGAAAGAAGGAAAGAAAGAAAGAAAGAAAGAAAGAAAGAAAGAAAGAAAGAAAGAAAGAAAGAAAGAAAGAAAGAGAAAGAAAGACAGAAAAGCAAGCAAGCAAGCAGGCAGGCAGGCGGCAGGCCGGACACAGGGAGGAGTATGAATGTCAGGGCAAAAATAGGGCATTTCTGAGTCCCTAGCCATCATACCATCAATGAAGAAAATAAATTTCAACCTAAACCCTAAACATTTATTATTATTAACTTGTATTGGTAGTTTTTTAATCACTTACATGACAGATTCCACCCTTCCCCTATTCTCTCCACAATACTGTGGGGACAGCAGAAATATTCGACAGATTATTAAATCCAGGATTATTGAGGCTAAGTAACTTGTTCTGTAACACAAGCTGGTTATGAGGATATGACTAGAATCTATCTGCCTTCAAATATAATGCTCTTTTAACATACCTTGTTTATTTTTTCAAATTCATTCTTCAGGAATTTAAAAAGGGAATTTATCATGTATAAATATAACTGCAGTATTTAGTGTCAAGACCTCACTGCTTAACAAAACCAGAACTTTATTCCTCTTATAGGATAGCATTTTTGGGTATTTCTTGGATAACAACAGTAAACTTTGTATACCAAAGAAATCTGCGAAATGAAACTATGAATTATCACTATTAATTAAAAAATGAGAAAAAGAAGGAAATAATTGCCTTTTACAACTTATCCCTCAAAACTGGTACATGGTAGGTGTCCAAGGAATGTTTAGATAATTGCTATAGAAGTTCAAATGCTCAAAGGATAAATGGCTTAACACAAGGTAAAAATAAAAGCTTACAGTAGAGAATAATTATATTTGACTAATTAAAATATGAACTTTGCTCACTTCATTGTGTTTGGATTATATGTATAAAGGTAGTGATCTAGCTATGCTGAAGCTATCTCTACTCTGTTATTTTTATGTAGAAGATTGTACACAGGTAACCCGCATATATTATCAAGCAAGAATAAGGAGAAATTATATTTGGTGTTGACAGGTTATTCTGGAAGCTGTAGTGATACATTTGCCACTGAAAGAATTGTTTTGAAACACACACACACACACGCACTCATGCACATACAGAGAATATTGCTCTTCATTATTGACACATTTTTTCCAATAATAAAGATAGGCATCAACATGTAATTAAGAAGCATTAGGAAAAATACCCGTGGAAACTACAATTGTGAGAAAAATTAGTACATTTTCTGGAAAGAAATGCAGTGCTTCCATGTATCATCTAAGAGCTTTAATCCAACAATCATTTCATCTCCAGTAATTTATTCTAAGTAATCAAAAGACAAGACAGGCAATTTTGCATAAATATGTTGAAGAGAGCATGACTTATGACAGTGAGAAACTGGAAATTACCTAAATATCCAACAATACAAAATGACAGGATTTGGTATCTCGGTAGAATTGAATCTTAATCACCTACTAAAATGTTTTTAAAGAATATATAGTGACAAAATAATTACACGTGATGATGTTAAATGAAAGATCCAAAGAAAATATGCCTACATTTTGACAATGTTTATGTAAGTAAATTTAAAAAATATATTTCAGTTTTTACACAATTGTAGTTTACAAATTTTCTTGAATAATCATGACTATAGATAGAATATTGGGAGAACATATTATTTATTAATATTGCTAAAGGTCTGTGGTAGAAAATAGACTGAATTCGTGGTTAGAAAACCTGAGCCCCAAATGAATACACTTGAGGGTTCATCTTTGTGATCACAAGCCAATTATTTAACATTTGGGGTCTCAGTTTACCCTTTTGTTAAAAGAGTAGCATAAATTCCAGAGGTCTAGAATTCAAATATTTTCAGAGGTCCATCAGATAATATAAAAGCATCAGGAAACTCAGATTCAGACATTCATTCAATGAAGAAATATTGACTGCTTATTAGATGTCAGGCTCTGTGCTGGACACTGGGAATACAGTAGTGGGAGAAATAGAGGTGGCTAGCTGCTTATATTGTGATCAAATCTTAATATTTTCCTAGAGATGGAGAAGTAGGGTAGGACACAGTAAAATAGCTGCAATAAAATCAATACTTTGCATGCAGTGTCTCAGTTTATTCTCTAAACAACTCTAAGAAATACCTATTATTTTCTCCATTTCTCCATTCTACTGGTGAAAAAAAAAATAGGGAATTTAACTGACTTGCCCAATTTCATAAAGGTATTAAGTAACAGAAAGACATAAAGTAATTATATTAAATAATGAAAACTTTGTGATATTAAACAATTCACTCAATCTTTCTATCAGTTTCTAAATAAGAAAGAGACAAAAGCTTGAGTAGATTTCCATTAAGCTTTCCTTTCAATTCATAAACACTATGATTCTATTTTCAATCTAAATTTAGCTCTGTAAACCATATACCAGTGATCCCATCTACATATATTAAAACAACCTATTTTCCTATTATCACCAAAAAGCAAGTGTAATTTGATTTTGCTTTTATGTCCCTTTAAGGATGCAGTGGGAGAAATAGAGTGATCACCTTGGGGCTCTGGAATATTCTCATTTGGAGTCTACTTTTGATTTTGCAAAAAGTCAGCTTCCTCAATATGTTATCAGCTCTGCAGAAGATCTTAAAAGTCTGCTGACAATTGTCACCTCAAACATTAATTCATTCAGTGTTTCTTCACAACAGAGAATTACTGTTGCTGAGTTAAATTAAATGAAAAAAAGAAAAAGTGTAAAACAATTTAAAAGAAACTAAAACTCAAACTAAATGATAGACATGAATTAGATAATGTTCTTCTCTGATTGCATTGGTGAAATTAGAAAATTCTAATTTAGAATCAAAGTCCAGCTTATCTTTGAAGGAAATAGAATAGAATAAAATACTGAAAAATGAATAGCTAGCATAAAAGCCTAGGTCAAATGTAACATCAATCGAGCATCTTCTTTTAGTCTTCTACTGAGAATTAATTGCTCTGTTCATGGTTCTCCTAGAGGACATTATAAATGCTTTAGAAGGCTTATTAGTCTGTCCTGAACTCGTTTATGTAACTGTCTCTACCAATAAATATTGAGCTATTAAAGGGCTGTGGCCAGGTTATTTATATCTCTATGCACCCGGATCATGATGGTCTGAACATAGCAGACATTCCATATATATTTCTAAATGAAAAAATGAATAATTCAAATAAAATTACATTTTTCTATTGAAATGTGACTTTTCCTCTACTTGAATATGACCTAGAGCAAGCCATTTACCTCTAGATCTCAATTTGCTCATCTGTAGAAGCAGGTATGCATCTGCATCACCTCTAACATAAAGTTTTAGATGTGAAAGGATGCAATCAATCTAAGAGCCATTTAGGATAACTGTGGAAGAAAAAAGATAAAAGACAATTCTTAGGGGTCAACAATAGGTTCAAAACTAGTCACTCATCCTCTTAATGGCTTCATTTTCCTAGTTCTCAATCTCTGAACCTGAGTCATCTTTGACTCTCACTCTTTCTCATTCTTCTTTGTTACCAAGATCTATCTTCTTAGTTCTCACAATATATCTTATCTCATGTATTGGTTTATGACAAGATTATCCAATTCAGTCATTTTATAAACATTTATTGAACACCTACTATCTGCCAGACACTGTGCTAGGTATTGTGGGTACTCTGATGAACTCAGTGGCTTCAGCCTCTGCTCCCATGGAGCTTATATTCTAGTAGGATCTAAAAACAAACAAATATTCAATAATACACAATGATTAGTTTTTGACATGGAAAAATGGCACCTATCACATGCTGGAATAAGGAAATTTTCTTAAAGAAATGATATCACTACCACCACAATGACTACACAAGGGATCATCATCATCATCATCCTAATATGTAATAAGCTGCTACTAATTTATCCTTAAATTGTTATAAGATAGGTACTATTAGTCCTACTTTACAAATAAGGATAGTGTATCTAAGCAAAAATAACTTGACTAAGATTGCATAACTAATTTAACATTTAACTCCTGAGTCTGTGACCTTGAGCAGTAACACTGCTTAAGATATTCTGATACCAGAGGAATCAACAGGAATAAGAAAAAGAAGAGCTCAGTTAATTTTCCAGAAGTAAGAATAACATGTACAAAACTCAGGAGATGAGAGAGAAGAATATATTAAGATAATTGAAGAAAGTTCAGCGTGTACAAATCCTGGGGCAGTGGGGAGTAGGGTAGGGAAAGTAATGATAAGATAATGAAGCTAGAGATGTTAGCAGAAATTAAATTATGTAGGGCTTTATAAGTCAAATTAAGGTATTTAAACTTTATGTTAAAGGCAACTACTGCAATAGGTATCCTACTGGCATTCATTTCATCTTCCTGATTTATGTGAGGCTACTGTCATTCAGGCAGTGTTCTAAGTGCTAGAGATGGCATGGAACAAAATAAGCAAGGTCCTTAATCTCAGGAAGATAATTTAAAAAATAAACCAGAAAGTAAAATGTATTGCTAAGTGCTACAATGGACTGAAAATAGGATGTGACGGGAAATGACAAGGTCAACACCAGATGATATTAAAAGGTCTCTCAGAGGACACTGATTTTCATCTTTGTCTTTGTAGTCATGATGGTTTACACTCAAAGCTGTAGCCAAAATAATGTTTGTGATAATCTCTTCTAAATAGTTTTTCAAAATATATTTTAACAAATAATATGTTCCTTTAAGAAAGGTCGATAGATTTAAAGTAAAAGGGAACTTTTAAAAAATTTCTACTCCCAAGTGATAATTATTTTTAACTATTTGGTATATATTCTTCTTGATAGTTTTTACCTAAATTAATAATATAAATATTTGTTTTCACATAAATGAGATAGAAGTTACTGTTTGGTATTTGTTTTGGTTTGTTTTTTAACATATGATAAATATTATTCAAGGCTAGTACATAAAAATATAATTCATCATTTTGGAAAACCATAATTATAAGCATTTTGTTCAAGGTTAATGCCATAAATTATTTAAAATATTCCAATTAATGGGCATTTCCTTTGATGCCAATGTAACAGTACTAGGCAATATACTACTACAGATTGTTATGTATGATCATTCTTGAGTATTTCTCAATTGTTACCTTAGCATGCATTTTTAGAAGAATTGCCAAATACAAGGGTATGCACATATTAAATACTGAAGTATTCTGTCATATTATTTCCCAGGAAGTCTATACCAAGTTATAGTCTCATAATTATGCACAATTTACATCAATGATAATAGTTACTTTTCTATATCTTCGTCAGTACTAATTATTATTAATCTTTTAAAATACTTATTAATCTAATAGGTGAAAATGCCACATTACTTTAATTCACATTCCATTGCTAACACTATTCAACATCTTTGCATATAAGCATCCATTTATGAGGGACAATCTGTAATGCTACGTAATCCTCTGCAAAAAAAAAAAAAAAATCCTAGAACTCTTCACTGTCAATTGCACCCATTTATAAGGAAAAATCTGTAATACCATGTAATCCTCTGCAAAAAATCCCAGAACTCCTGTCTATTAGAAAGGTGTTTGGACTTCTTAATTTGACATTCATGACTCTCTGCCTAAAATTTACCTTTCTAGGCCTCTGGTCTGAAATTTCCTTACATGGCTCCTAAGTTCTCTTCAAATAGGTTTGCTCACTGATCTTTCATTATACTTTTCTTTCCCACATCTGCACCTGTGATCATGCTGTGGAATTTACAACCCCATCATTCAAGCCTTAGATCAAATTCTGCTTCTCTCCAGGAAACCATTCCTATTATTCTAGTCATAACTGACCTCTTTTTTGAATGTCTTCAGTGCATTTCTTTTTCTCCTCTTAAGGCACTGATCACATTCTACTTTTCTTTGTTTTCCTAGTAGATTGTTAGCTATACAAAAGCCACCTTTAGCATGGTAGCTGGAAGACAGTAGCTACTCAAATACTTCTAAAAGAAATAATTGATTTTACAAAAAATTAATTCTATGTATTCCACACCTCAGAGTGCATTAAAAAAATGAAAACATTTAACATTTTCAACAGGATTTTAATTTTAACAGTGGAAAGTATACATAATTTAAATGCACAATATTAGGGAAGTGGATAAACCGCAGCATATTCATGGAATTTTATGCGTACATGATAACAATTTGTAAACAGAGAGTACAGAAATGTATATAATGTGTGTCACTGTTATGCAAAATAAACAACACACACACACATGGAAATACTCCAAAATATAAATTATAATTGTCTTTGTATGGTGGACCTCTTCTAAATATTTTTTCTATAAACTTTCCTATGCTTTCTAAATTTTCTATATTAAGCATGCATGGTATTACTTTAAATAGCTTTATTTCCATCTTTCTTTAAAATAAGTACAATTGCAAAACTGCAAGATAAAATTTTTAAAAATTAATTGATGGATTAAATGGCAATTGTGACACATAAGTGAAACTGTCTAAATTCCTTTTGGACAGCTGACAAGAAGATAAATGCCTCTGTTTCTATATTCAAGTAAAAACAAGTGCACTCGCATTATGAAAGGGGAGTGGGAAGGAAAAGGAAAATGATCTTTATGTTCTTGCTACAGAAACAAGAAAATAAAAAGGGGAAGAAAAAGGTCATAGGAGACATTGATGCGTTAAGCTCCTCTTTCTACCTGGTGGTGTAGTATCAATTCTGCCCCAAGACCAGTTCAATCCCTTCCCCCCTGGAAAATCTTCCCTGGACCCTCGCATGTACCAGTCTCTACTTTCTCTGAATTGTGTTTTATTTACTACAAGTGTCATATTTGAAAGCATTTTATATGTTTCTAAATCATTTCTACTTTTTAATTCTTTCTCCATATCCAGGATCCAAGGTCATCAAGAGCAGGGGGCCATAGAGCTTAATTTTTTTTAGTGTTATTCAAGCATCTAAAACAGCCAGACACACTACATGCTTAGTAAGTATCTTCAGATGAGCCCTTTTCAATGAGATAGTGAGTCACTGGAATGTCTTACTGTAAAAGAGAAAGGGATCTAAAATTTATTGAGCCACAACTATAATTCAAGTGATTTACGATAACTATTATATATTTTATGCTAACTCTTAAACAAGGTATTCTCTCCACTTGAGAGTCAGAAGCAAGTATACAGATAGAACTTATTTCCACGAGGCTCCAAAGTCCTTTCTTCTACCCTGTAAAGTTGAGAAAGCCACATAAAACCTTCCACTTCTTGATGCATAGCCTTGCTTGAGCTAAACTAGAGCAGGCTATAATGATGTCCTCATAAGGAAAGATGTAAGATTTTTGGGGGGGCAGGGAGAGCAGACCAGTAAATGTCATTTCTGCAGGAAAGTGAAGTCAGTGGACTTTTAAAATTTCATACTCTGTCTCCTGAACTTATTAAATAAAGAGTCAGGTAAAGATTTCTAATATTCTAAATTCAGTTTACTCCTTTTTTTAATGAATATAATTCCTACAGTGGGAAGTGCATGGACTCTAGAGCAAGACAGACCTAAGTTCAAATTCTGGGCTTTACCTCCTCCTATCTCTGACTTTAATCAGGTTATTCTCATTTATCTAGTAAGTATTGATCCCCATATCTAATGAAAGAGACAATCACCCCACAGAGTTGATTCAAGGTTGAAGTAAGGTAACCTAATCTCTAATATGGTACCTGGCCTCTGGTAAGCACTCTAAAAATGTTAGTGGTCTCCCCTCATCCCAACATCCTTTGTCCTCTGAGATAAGAATAGTTCTTTACTGCAGACATAACACATGACTCTAACAACCAGTCTCTCTGAACAGCTTTTCTTTGGTTTGGTGACCTAAGGAGAAGGTCTTGTGTCAGATAACAATTCCTGTGTCAAGATAGGCTTGAGAAAAGCAACCTCTAACCACAAATTGAAGACAATTCCTTATAAGCATCTCTCTAGAGGCAGTGAGCAACAGGAGACTGTGCGACTTTTGACTTTAAAGGCAGCACCAGGATCCAATTCCTCTCATACACAGAGCACCTAGCAAAGGCCCTGGCACTGGCCAGTGAGCAGTATTAGACATGTGGCCCAACTCATTCAAGGCAAAATTCCTTCTTGAACATTTTATAACACAAAAGACAAAAATAAACACAATCATATCTGATCCTATTTCTTCTTTGTTTGTGTGTTTGTTTTTACCACAGTCCCTAGAGATACAGACTTGACCTAGGGTAGAAACAAGCTGCACCACCTCCAGCAATGGTTCTGAAAAGGCACTCTTCACACACTTATCTGCTGAAGCAGTGACTCATGAAATTCACAACGTGCTAAGATTCGGTGAGAAACACTTCATATCAAATTAACATAAGCAAAAGGTTACTTGAGGGAACACTGCACTACTTTTTTAGGTGACCCAGTTATGGCTAAATTTGGAAAGTTGGCAAGGCTGATTCTTCCCTTGAAAACAGATCTCACAGAAATATAAGATACTATGAAGCCTCAGGGCCCAGTTTTTTGCCGTGGCATCCATAGTGAGTAGGGCCACTTGACAAAGTCAGACACTGTGGATGTGTCTGGTCACTTCAGGTTGCCACTGAGATAACCGTTTTCTAGAGTATGCTTTGTGAGACAGAAATCAGAGGACAAATCAAACTACAAACAATTAAACAAAAACTTAAATACTGATAAGTATATGCCAAGCACTGTTTCAAGTGCTATGTAAATGTTTATTCCCATAATAATCTTATGAGGCACTTACTATTATCTGCTCCACTTTTTAAATAAGTAAATTCAAATAGAAAGAGGGTCACACATCTAGTAAGTGGCACAGGGCCATAGATTTAGTAAGTGGCAGAACCTGAATTGAAACAGAGGCAGTTTGGCTCCAGAATCTCTGTTCTTGATCCCTACGCTGCCTCTTAATGCTACGTGATGTTACTACATATAGTAAGACAACACCTACCATTTGGTTTCTGGCACAAAGTGTCTCTGGGAGGCAATGCATTGGAGTGGTTTAGAATGCTGACTCAAGAGCAAACTGCTTGGCTTCAATCCTGCATTCTGATCTCGAGAGCTAAGTGTTCATGGGTAAGTTAGTTAACCTCTCTGTGCTTCGGTTTTCTTATCTATATATTGGGTGCAATAATAGACCCTATCTCAGTGGCTTTGGAGGACTAAATGAGTTAATACCTATAAAGTACTAAAAACATTACTTGAGAAGTAGTAATAATAGTCAATAGTTGTTAAGTGTTATTGTTTGTTAAAAAGAGAGATACTATCTTGTCTCAGAGTTACAAAAGAAGCACCGTAATTCTCGCAGTTTTTGGTGAGAAGACATAGTAGTTGGAAAAATATAAACTGTGCTATCTGATGAACTCCAGTTAAGGTCAACCCAAGCCAATGGAAACCTTGGGAAAGGCACTTAATTACACTAGGCCTCAGTTTCTCCAACTGCCGATGATTAACACACCTCTGCCATAGATGGGATGAAAATTATGAGTTAATATGTATAAAAATTGGAAAATGAAACCTTTGATTACTGATAATTTGGTAATCAAATAGGATTATCAGATTCCCTGCCTTCCCTTTTTTATGATTGGATATACTAGTAGAGGATGTTGAGTGAATTAGCCAAACTCCAGCATCTTTTGCCAACATAAAATGACACATGGACTGGCAGCATTTAATGGTTAGGCCCAAAGCAATCTCAGTATTTAAGAATATTTTAAATTATCTATAAGAATATAATTTGGAAACAATCTAAATGTCCAGTAATAGGGGGTATGATAATTAAATATATGTTGGGGAATAGGTTATTCTATGAAATCCTTTATGCTTTTTTGCCTTTAACCCAACAATTCCACATTTATAAATTTATCTTATGGCATACTACTACTTGTATGCTAAGATACATATGTAGGGATAATAATTGTAGCAATATTAATAATAGCAAACAGCTGGAAGTAATCCAATATTTATCAGTGGGGCACTGATGAAATACATAAAATGAGATATGTGGATGATACTGAAGGAAAAAGCTTTTCATGATGCCACCTCTGAATATTGCCAGTAATATTTGTTTTATTCCTTATATTTTTGTATTTTATAACTTTTCTATAATAAACATATTAATATCATAAAATTAATACTAATTATTATTCTGTAGTGAGCATATATTACTTTTGCAACCAGGTAACAAATATTTTTTAAAAATTTTTTGCAAGATTTTTTTTGCCCTTAATACTTCCTATGAGTTCCTTAAATAAAGAAAAATTTTTTAAAAAACATGACAACTTCATCAATATAGTCATATCACCAGGTCATAAAAGGTTCCAGATAGTGACCTAAACCAGAATTATCTTGGAAGAGAAGTCAGGTGGATTGGTAGGTCCTATCCACTGAAAGACACAAAATCTACTCCACTACTGATGAATAAAGGGAACAAGGGGTAAGCCAATGGTGGAAGCCTGAACCACCAGGTCAATGGCAAGCCCCTCCCCTGGCCTGGCCTCCAGGACCTGTTGACAGTGTCCTTGCCCTCCTCACTTTTCCTTCCCTGGCCTTGCCAATCCTGACTTTATAGCTTCAGCCTATTCATCTTTTCTGGGAGAGGTGACCCAACCCAAGGGTAACAGCTTGAGGGTGTAGCACAGGCCATTCATTCCCAGACCAGCATCCCAGTCATACATAGCCACAGATTACTGTTCCACCTTTTCTCCCTCTGGAATTCATACACGCTGTTTCCTCTGCCTGAAATATTCTCCTCCCTCTCCTGCCAAGTTTCTTCACCTGGATCTTTCTTCTTTATTTATCAACTCAGATGCCTCTTACTCTAGAAAGTCTACCTTAACACATTAGTCTGGGATATGTGTACCACTGTCTGTTAGATGACATACACACACACACACACACACACACACACACACACACACACACTATATGTTTCCCAATGGTTTATGCCTCTAACTGAGCTAAACACTCCCTATTCAAATCTACTATTTACTTACCGGCTTCTCAAATAATACTGTCAAATTTTTGAGGCCAAGGACCATGTGTTATTAATAGTTTTGTCCTTAGTACCAATCAAAGTTTTGGCATATAGTTTGAGGTCAGCAAACATTTATTTTATTGTATGAATAAATAAATGATGAGTGTTAAAGGCAACAGACAAAGGTCCATATGCCAGTTTCTACATTGACAGTAGAGAAAACGCCATTTACTAAGAAGAAAAGGAAGTGCTGAGTAGTGACTGTGTGACCAGTGTTGTCAACTATTGAACAATATGGTTAACAGTATATACAGATGAACAGAGACAGTTCATGAGGTCCCTGGAAGCCTGATGGGGTCAGATGCTTGAAGAAGCTTAAAATTCTATCATTATTAGTCTCCTGCCTGAGACTCTTGACTTTACCACTCTAATTGTCACCCAAGTGCCTCTATGCTACTATTTTTATCAGTGGCCCAAGTGGTGATGCCAGGAAACCAGTAATTAAAATCATTTTTTTAAATAGCTGGTAAGTCAGCTATACACATAACTCCACCTCTTAAGAAACTTAAATGAGGAGTGACTACAAAGATTTTTCTGTGCCATTCTTGCCCAAAGAAAGATACTTTCACCATTAGTAGACTCCAAAGAGAAATCAAAGACTATACAATACCTTTATGCCAAAGATGTTCACTGCAATGTTGTTTATGCTAGCAAAATATCTGAAGCATCTAAACATACAGCAATGGGAAGAGTTGTAAAAATAATGATGCAATGGAACCATTATAGTGAGATTTCTTTTCAAAAAGATACATCATTTTTTACAACTATTTTGAAGTATAATTGACTAACAACAACCTATTTAAAGTGTACAATTTAGAAGTTTTGAGCCATGCCAACATCTATGAAACCATTAGTTTAATCAAGATAATGAACATATCCATTGCTCTCAAAAGTTTCCTTTGTACTCTTTCCCTTTACAACTTTTCTCATCCTCAAGCAAGCTTTCTGTCACTACAGATTGAGTTTTCTAGAATTTCATATAGAGGGAAGTATAGGGTATGTACTCTTTTTTAGCCTGGCTTTTTTCATTTGATATACCTATTTTGAGATTGATTTCTATGTTGCATGTGTCAATAGTTTATTTCTTTCTGTTGCTGAATAGTATTTCAATGTATGGAAGTGTCACAATTTTTTTTTTCAGTAGAACCTGTTGATATATATTTGGGTATTTCCACCATTTTTCTATTACAAATAAAATACTATGAACATTTAGGGAGAAGTCGTCATTGACTTATGTAGACATACGCATTCATTTCTCTTCAGTAAATACCTAGGAGTGGAATGACTAAGTTGTTTAGTAGATAACGTTCATGATGGCTAGCAATGTGGAAAGTGCTTATGGTTAACACTAAGTATTATATAAATGTAAGATTTAAACATAGCCATATGAAAATGAAAATAAGAAAATACATTAAAGCTAGAGTGGTAGTTTAATTTGTGTGGTAAGACTAAAGGTAATGTTTTTTCTTTTCTTAGTTCATAAATATTTTATAATATGGTTATATTATTTTTAACTTTTTTAAATTAAAAAGAAGTAATAATATTTGTTAAGCAACTACTATGTATATACACATACACACATTCCTTTTTGTCTTTACAGCTTCATAAGATAATTTTTATTGGTTCAATTTTCACAGATGACTCAATCTGGACTCAGAATGATTACGTCATTTGTCCAATACACCAGAGCTAGTAAGTGGTGTGGCTGTGATTTGAGTCCAGGTCCACCTCACAAAAAAGATTTTGTTCATTCCAATATGTAAATTCTTAATCATGGATAGCAGCTCATATGTCTTTATAAAATGGGGTACACAGTTGGAACCTCACGAATTTCTAAATGCAAATATAAATGATCAAGCTTCTGTTGAACAACTCTGTCCTGCATTGCTCCGTGAGGCAGTTGGGCTGATCGAGAACACTGCAAGACGCTGGGGACTGGCTTGATCTAATTTGGAATCCTCCTAGCAACACTATCAGGACAACGGCTCTCTCTTGAGGAACTAAGACTTCACAGAATGTTCAGGAAAACCAAATCAGGAAGGAAATATCGGTATTTTATATTAAATAATACCATGAGATAGTTTAAAAACACCAGATAACAGTTTATCATAACTATATTAGGAAAAGAGTCTCTGTGATCTAAGTCATCAAGGAGACACTCCATTAATGGCAAGTTCCCACAAAAATTTCAGACTAGGTTAGCAGATACAGCCAGTTCCCTTCAGAGGAGAGAATTGCTGACTCTTCTATGCCCTACCTACTCAGCTTGGACAAGGTATTGGAACCTCTCTGAGATTTGGTTTCTTCAACTGTAAGGTGAAGAAAATAGTATCTATTAAAATAATTTATTTTGCTGGTTAATTGACAAAACACAGGTAACAGTTATCATGGTGCCCTGCACATAGTGACCACTCACTAATTATCAACTACTCTTGTTATTGCCATAGTTGTTTTGTTGCTTTTACTAAATACCACAGATACAATGCCTAATTGTCAAGACAAAAGGATGAGATGAGAAGGATACAAATTAAAAGTTTTTTATCCTTCTTTAGAATGCTTCAATCTCTTTCAGAACCTACTACTCTAAAACTTGCTATCTCAAGTCATTAAACCTTACAATGGAGATTCCTTGCCTAAGAGCAGCTAATGATCACACTTAGAGAACTCACATCAGAAAGTACATTCTTAGGTTGAAGTGACATCATATGGTCACCAAGTTGGAGGCAGTCACTGATAATACTTTTATAGATCCTCTCTTTCATATTTGTAAAGTGGGACCTTGCCTATGGATCTTATGTTATTTCTGTAATCAGATGGAAAAAGAGATATGAACACATTTGACCAATAGTAAACAACTGTGAATATGTAACAACAGTTTCAGTGAAGTAAGATAACTAGCACTGTGTATTATTCAATCATTTATTAATTTTTTCAACAAATATCTTTTGATTGCATAGTATGTGCCTTGAACCCTGCCAGGTGATAGGAAAATAAATGGACAGTAAGTCCAGTAAGTAGAAGCAAACTATAAACCAATAAGTGCTGTGTTGATATAAAATAATAGAGGCTGGGAAGATTGGGAAAATGAGTATCTTTAGGGAGAGGTGGAGAATGTCAGTGGCAGCTTTATGAAAGAGGTAACGTCTGAGCTGACACTGCAGCATAAGCCAACAGAAGAAACCGTGTGGGCAAAAGAAGACATGTAAAAGCCTGACACACTTGTGGAAGGGGCAATTAAAGTCAAGGTCAGACAGACAAGGAGAAGCTAGACCATGACTTGCCTATAGGCAAATATTATAGTGTCTGAATTTTAACTAATACCAACAGAGAGAAATAGGTTTTACATAATAGAGAAAGCAGATTAAATCTGCATTTAGAACAATCTTTCTGTCAGTAAAGTGAACTGTAGTCAGGGAGACCAGTTGTCTTGGAGTCAGACAAGTAGGTGCTAAATAGTGAATGACAAATATATATACATTTTTTACCTGTTTGTTGATCTTTAAAATATTTCCCTGTCTATTTAACAAAGCTGTTATGATAAACAAAGTCATCTTGAGATTATGGGAGTGGAAGAGTTTTATAAGATGAAGAATGCTATATAACACAAGATGTGTCATGATTACCGTTATTTTGTCTTGCCATTTTGACCATCTGGACAATCAATTCAGCTATAGCTACTAAAGCAGTTACATCAATTGTGCTATAATCTACATCTGCTGTTACAGGACTTTCAAAGTAGCTATATGAGCCCTGCCATGGTTCTTCATTTTTCATGAATTAATCCAGTAAGAAAGAAATAAACATAACTGATAGAACTCTTAAGTGAAAGCCACACTTAATTCCTCAGCCAAGCATTCAAGCAGGCACCCAATTCATAAGGATGATACAAATTCAATGGAATATTACCCCCTTGATTTATTCTGTCACTACAAATGGTTGTGTATGACAGTTATGTGAAAATCATGAAAAGTATTATGTGTCATAATTGTAATTCTGGGGTAGAGGAACCAATGAAAAATAAATGTAGCTTTATTTTTATTGGATGAGTCTAATAGCCACATTAAACATGACATAAATTTGATTTGCAAAAGTAACATTGATCAATACCTAACACAAGCATCGCACACATAGTATACCCTCAATAAATACAGACATGGACGCAAACAGAGTTACCAGAACCATCTAACACTAACTACTAATTACTGCTCTTGGTCACCTGAAATGTTAAAGGTATGGAAATGTTTGCTGGAAAAGGTTTTTATTTCTCCAGGTAGCTAATAATTCTTCTTAATTTTAGGTACACAATACAGCCTTTCATTAAGGCATTATTTGTTAACCAAATTTGTCATTCAGAATAGTAAGTTAACAATGATTGGACACAGTCCTTAGCTATATAAGTGTTGTATCCAGGCTGGCTGTCATTACAGCATATACTCTTCTAGTATCATTTTTTTTAGGGGTCATAAAGGGACAGAGTTGCCCTCTGTTTCCATCTAAAATATTGCTATCTATCAAAATACCACAAAATAGAGGCTGGTGACCTGATTAAAAAGGGCCCTATGATATTTTGTCTCCAAATTATCTGAAATTATTAAATTTTTAAAATCCCTACTCAGAGAAAATTTCAGGACAAAAACGGTAAAAAAAAAAAAAAAAAAAAAACTTCATTCCAGTACCCCATGTAATATTTCCATTCAGTCATTTATCATTCAACAATATCCATTCAACATATGTCAGACTTCAATTCTGGGTATAAATGGTAAAGAAAAATATATATAGTGACGAGGTTCATGTTCTTATGGAATTTACCATTCAGTGATCAAGACAGACATTAGTAAGCAAAGGAATATCTTATTACAAATGACAAAAAAGTACTATGAAAAGTAAAAACAGGATTGATCTATTTCAGACTGGAATGGCAAAGGGGGGTCAGAGAAGGCTAATCTAAGAAGGTTACATGGGTTGAGATAAGAAGCACAAGAAAGAATCAGCAAGGTAAAAAGGTGGGGCAGTTGTAGGAAGGAAGAGCTTGTGTTTCAGTTTTCAGTTGACAAAATCTGGTCTTTGTAGTTACAGATAACCTAATGGGTTTGAGCATTTACTTTCCAATTTAATAAACTATAAAGTTTGTGGGACTGAATTTTGATATTTGTTTTATGTACAATGAAATATTATTTCAGTAAACAAAGTACTTGAAATGAAATAATTGAATAGGCAGGGGAACTGTCTGAAGTATTGTTAGGATGATGATTTTAAAATAATGATGAGGGTACATTTTAGCACTAATAGTTGCATGACCGTACAGTTTGGTGGCTTTCTATAATTCACAAAGCACTGTCCAGTAGAATAATTTAATTGAAGCCTCTCATAAAATCTCACAGTGATGATGTGATAAAATGAAAAGAGTCCTAAATTTTAAATCAGAAAACCCACAATATAGTTTACTACTACTTGTTGGCTGTACAGTCTTTGGTAAACCACTTAGGCTCAGAATTAGCACCTCATCTAATGAAAAATGAATTGATGATAATAACACCAAAATTGCCTACCCTTGCACTGTCATTATGAAGACAAATGAAATCACTTTTGAGAAGGTGCTTAACAAATCTTAAAATGTAATATAAATTTAAGGTATCTGAAGTTTTATTATTGTTAGTCTCATTTTAAAGTGGACAGATAACATTTCCCTCATTTTTCCAATGGGTAAACTAAAGCACAGGAAAGGTAAATAATTTTTGCAAAGAAGCATTGCTAGAAATGTGAATCAGATATCATCATCCAGTTCTTCCTCCTCTCTTCCCTTTCTTTTTTTTTTTTTAATTATACTTTAAGTTCTGGGGTACAAGTGCAGAATGTGCAGGTTTGTTACATAGGTATACACGTGCCATGGTGGTTTGATGCACCCATCAACCCGTCAACCAGATTAGGTATTTCTCCTAATGCCATTCCTCCCTTAGCCCCCCACCCCTCAACAGGCCCTGGTATGTGATGTTCCCCTCCCTGTGTCCATGTGTTCTTATTGTTCAACTCCAACTTATGAGTGAGGACATGCAGTATTTGGTTTTCTGTTCCTGTGTTAGTTTGCTGAGAATGATGGTTTCCAGCTTCATCCATGTCCCTGCAAAAGACATGAACTCATCCTTTTATATGGCCACATAGTATTCCACGGTGAATATGTACCACATTTTCTTTATCCAGTCTATCACTGATGGGCATTTGGGTTGGTTCCAAGTCTTTGCTATTATAAACAGTGCCAGAATAAACATATGTTTGCATGTGTCTTTATAGTAGATTGATTTATAATCCCTTGAGTACATACCCAGTAATGGGATTGCTGGTTCAAATGGTATTTCTGGTTCTAAATCCTTGAGGAATGGCCACACTGTCTTCCACAATGGTTGAACTAATTTACACGCCCACCAAAAATGTAAACGCACTCCAATTTCTCCACATCCTCTCCAGCATCTGTTGCTTCCCTTTTTTTTATGTTTTCATTCATTCAACAAACATTAGACTATTAGGATGGCCATATAATTCATCATTAACAATGGGCACTTTTGAAAATAAAAGTGAGCACTACTAATGGGTACACTACGAAGAAGGGAGGTAAACACCAGGACTCTTCTGGAAACCTAATTCATATGGTCACCCTAAGTAATATGCACTGGAAATCAAGGAATAAACAAAAGCAGCCTTTGCCCTAAGAGTCTGATTTAAAAAATAGGTAAAAACAGTCAAAGAAAGTAATGCAGTGTTGTAAAGGGTAAAACAGGTATGTGTAGGTAGTTATGGGAATTTGAAAGAAGGGCACTTAAACCAGTCTTGGGGGCTTAAAGAACACTTAAAAAAGGAAGTGATCTGTGCACTGAAACTTAAACGCTGAAGTATCCTGGTAGGTAAATAGTAAAAAGCATCTGAAGCAGCAGAAAGAGTCTTTAAAAAGTGTGTCATATTCAGGGAATTGTAACTATTTGGGGAGGAGCATATAGGTTCATATGAGTAAGTAGAAGGAAAGGAGCTTGGAGAAGTCCAAAGAGGTTGAACCTGGGGTCTTGATGCTTTTACTAAAGGGATTGTACTTAATCCTGGGGGCTAAAGGAGGATTTTGAAGCAGGGAAGCAACATGATCAAAATCTATATTAAAAAGTTCCCACTTCCGTCATTACAGCACACAAGGCCCTCACTCTGGTGAGCCGTCCTGCTATAATACGTCAATGGTTTTAATACATTCTAACCATCATCCTTTTAATGAATCTCAGCCATGTAAGAATATGAGAAAAATAAGCAAGACCAAACCAAATGACACACAAAATCCTATCAACTAAAACCAGAAAAGTGGGCTGTAGCAAAATGAAAGCCAGCATGCCCAGAGGAAAAATAGTTCTTTCAGGTCTGAGATCAGAAAATTTGAGAATCTAAAGTTAAGCAAGACTCTCAAAAGGGACCAAAGTGGCTCAAACTCAGAAGAGTCTTTTGGCTCCAATCAAAAACCAAGTCTAATCTTCTCTGGAAGAAAACGTCTCCATATTGACCCTGAAAATTCCCACTATTTAAGTCCAGCAAAAATATGAGACCACCATCAAGGAGATAGGATGAAACAGACTACTATGAGTGACAAAGTGTAGAAACAACAGATGTAGACTTACAAGGACTTTAGATATTAAGATTATCAGACACATAATTTAAAATAGCCATGAGTAATATTTAAATAAATAATGAAGAAAATATTTAAAAATATCAACAAATCCACTACCCAAGAAGGCGATTGTAAACAGACCTCTTTGACTCATTGATAGATGATGTAGGTACAAATTTAGTAAAGGTATAGAAAATTTGAAAAATGTAAACAATTAATAAACTTACCTAATGAATATAATTATAAACTTGCATCCAATAATTACAGAACACACATTTTTCTTAGGCAAACAAAAAACATTGACAAAATATTCACCACATTCTAGATTAAAATGAATTTCAGAGAATAGTTACCATAAAAAGTTTTCTAGATATTATTAAATCAGAAATTAATAACACAAGAAAGAATTCTTAGGGAAATTTAAAAAAATTTTAAATAACCTGGCTCAAACAAATAAATATTTGTAAATAGGTGGGTTGGAATGTTAATTTAAAATACTGCATATCATATATTATATAATACCAAAGCACCTAAAATATATTGAAATAAATGTATAAATGTATTGTAATTTAAATTGTTAATTAAAAGAAAATGGCAGAAGTCAATGTTACATCCCTCTGAAACATTTATGTTAAAGCAGGTTAAAGCCCCAAAAGTAGAGTTAATAATAATACCAGAATAATAAAATTAAAACAAAAATAGTAAGAATAAAAGAAGAAAGAAAAAAAGAGAAAATGACAACACTAGGGATACAAAGTTGCTTGAACTAGCACACCCCAATCAATATAATCACATTAACACAATAGGGGAGAAAAATCATGATCATCTCAACAAATATAGAAGGAAAAAAGATACTATTCATTATCAACAATAACAACAACAAAAATGAAGAGAACTGATAAAAAAATTCTCGAAAGTTTTTCAAAATTAATGCTTTTTTTAAATGTAAAATATTTAAGGAAGAAATTATAAAATTGTATTGAAAGACATTAAAGATCTAAATAAATGCAAAAATAGTCTATATTTATAAATAGAAAAATTCAGTATCATAAGAAATCAATCTTCCCAAATTAACTTATAGGTTCAAAGAAATTCCAAAAATAACCCCAATAAGAATTTTCACAAGTTTCCAAGTTCATCTAAAATGCACATGAAAGAATAAAACCTAAACAAAGACACACCTGAAGAAAAATAAAATGGAAGAATTTGATCTAGTAGACCCATTTTAATAATAATTTAAATTTTTAGTTAATGTAGTAATTTATTATAAAGAATTTTTAATTAATATAGTATTGATTTGGCACAGAGATAAACAAGATGACCATGAAACAGAATACAGAACATAGAAACAGGCTCACATAGTATAGAAATATGATATAGGACAAAGTGAGCATTGCAGATAAGTAAGGGGAGAAGAAAGAAGTGTTATTCAACACATGTTGCTATGAGAAATATTTAGTTATTTGGAAAATAAGAATACAAAATAATCAACACCAGACTCATTAAATACTTAAATATAAAAATTTTACAGTTTTATATCTTTATGATCTTGGGATAGGAAAATATTGCTTAAATAAGACAGAAAATGTGTCAACTATAAAGAAAGAATAATTTTGATCATATTAAAATGAATAACTTAATCTACAAAGTGGGAGAAGACATCTATGATGAATAGTGGATAGTATCCAGAAGATATAAAGAACTCTTAAAAATCAATAAGAAAAAGATAATACAATATAGGTGTAAGCACACAGCAATAAACCATTATTTTACAGAAGCAGACACATGAATGCTGAATAAAGATATTTTTAAAACCTCAATAGTATTCCTCATTCTGAAAATATAAAGAAAGAACTCAACGATATTTTTGTACTTCATAAGTCTGATAAAATTTTGTGTTGATGATGTGAACAATGCAAACTCTTAAACGCTTCTAGTAGGCAGATGAATCGGCACAACTACTTTAGAAAACAATTTGACATGATCTTGTCAAGTTGAATAGGTGAAAACCATATGACTTAGTAATTTCAATCCTAAGGAAACTTGTGTACTGATACCAATAAAATTGTGCAAAAATAAATGTTGCTGCATTGTTTGCAGTAGCAAAAATTGGACAGAATCAAAGTATCTGTTAGCAAGAGCATGGAAAAATGAATAAATATTATCCCAGAAATATTGCACAGAGTAGAAACGAACAATATACTACTACATGCAACAATGGGGATGACTTTTAAAAGCATTAATAAATGAGAAAAGCAAATTGCAGAAGGTGAAAGCACATAAATAGAATTAGGGAATGGGAAAAGGTACCCTCAAAGGTAACAGCATTATTCTAATTCTTAACTTGGAGGAGGGGCTTATGGTGTTGGTTTTATTATTATACTATATCATTTCCACTCATATATTTTAGTTATTAAATATAACAGAGTAAAAACTATGGAAGTTTCTTTATAAAAAAATTCAATGTAGAAAAATTACTCTGGCTACTGTGAGAAGAATGAACTGGAGTAGAGGAAGTCTGGAAGCTGGGGGTTAATTAGGAGATTATTTTCATGCTGAAGATTATGGTGTTTTTAAAAAGATAAGCACTAGCTGTGAGTATGGAGAAGGAATAGATGGATTTCCTCAATGAGTGGGATCACCATATTATAGATTCATGTTTTGGCCTGAAAAATAAATGAGCCTCCCATGTACGCCTCATTTGTTCACTCGCTAATTGAATAAAATATTTATAGGAAGTCAGAATTAATTTAGGCACATAGAGAAACTTGCTAAGAGGTCACCAATAAGATTTTGGAGAGAAATAAATGTACAAGCTATTTGGAAGAGAACTAAAAGCAGGGGCTGCTGGCTGACTCACTAATTGGTTGGTCAGTTCCTACTAATGGGTATTTGCAATTACCTGGGCAAAGCATCCAAGTGGGCTGCTGGGGATTTTAAGATCAGCATCAGTAGTAACTGTGTCATAGGAATAGCGCAAGGGTAAGAGTGTGTGGCTGTAAGATGCTTGGGGGAAGGGTGGCAGGAGGGATTTATTTGCTCAGAACACCGCCAAGCTGAAAATTGTCAGCACATTGGGCTGGAAAACAATTCTACCTACCCAGGACAAAGCACAGGTAACCTATAAATAGAAAGTTGCTTGTTGAAATTGTACATTAGTAGTACAACATTTTGAAGCTGTTACTGGACTCCTTAAGGGTCAGTAAGTAAGTAAAAAGTTGCGGACCGCACTTTCCCACTTTACACATCAAAGGGGGCATTGTTTGATATAATTTTGACTTAATAGTTTGTCCACAGAGAATGGGCTGCTTTGTATTTAGATTTTGCTACAAAAGCAATCTTTGGGAAACCTAGCATGATTAAGGGAATAGAAAGTGTCTTCCTTTGTGTCAGAGAAAAAAATATTTATATTTTGGAAGTACCTTTATCCTGAATAACTTTTTTCCTCATAACTATCAGAGATAAATTGGTATACTTCCAGTTCACCACCAGAAAGAGTCTTTCTTGATAGGAGCATATGACTGTATAGAATGCTATACAACATGCTCTGACAGCAGCAGAGATTTACTGATATTGGGTATTACGAGTGTAATCAGACCAACTACAAACATTCTTGGATATGAAATCCAAAAGTCAGATTCCTTCATAAGAGTCTGATCCCACAGTGGACTGAAAACTTCATACATCAGTCCTGCTTACTGAATAGTATCAACTTTAGCACACACTGATTTTGAGAATCAATGGGACCAGCAACACGTGTTAGGTGTTTCACAGAAGTGGAGGGGAGAACATTGCCAGGGAGACTTCATAGCAAAGGTGACTATTTAGCTTGTGATTGAAGGATGAGAGCATTCTATGTGGGTTGGAACTAATATTCCATGCAGAAGAAATGGCATAAAGAAAACATTAGACATGGTCAAAGAATGAGGAAAAATTTACTATGGCTATAGCTTAGAATTGAAGGATCAAAATGGTAGATCAAGACCTAAACATGGAAAGCTTTGAATGCCATGTATGTTCTAGCTCTGTTTTGCCGGAGATGGAGGATATCGACCACTGTGATACTTCCTCAAAGCTCTTTCAAATCTATGCTGGAGATTTGAGAGATAAACCAATCTCTGGAAATTTTATCATTGTGCTATCCCTTACATCAACTTCCTCCTTTTTAGTTTCATAGCCTCCAATCTAGTGCAGGCCCTTATTAACTCTAGCCTCTTAACTTTGCATTCAGTCTCTCTGCTTTCCAGTGGATCCTATCAGTTGTTTGAAGAGTACTATCCCAAACACCACCCTTTTGATTATGCTGCTCTTCTGTTTATCATTACATGACTCCCTACTGATGACTGGATATATCCCAACTATTAATAACTTCATCCTGAGTTTTCCTACCTACATGTATTTACTTATGCCATTCCCTCCACCATGTGGAGGATAATCAACGTAATGACCCCACCTTTTTTCAAGAGGGAAACGGCAGACCTTCTGATCTCCCCGACACAAACTTGCTCCCTCCCTATCAAAATTCTACTCATTAAACTCCACTCAAGGAAAATTCTTTCCATGAAACCTTCCCAGACCTTTCCAGCTATGTAAAATAATAATCAGTGCTTATGTAGCACTTTCTAGCTTGTATAACACTTTATAGCTTATGGATCACTTATATCATTGAAAGTATGGCAGAGAAATATTATTATAATATTATCACAGTTTTACAGATGAAGGAATGATTAGAGAGGTTCAGTGACTTAGTGTTAATTATGGATCTTCTTACTCCAGATCTCATGGTCTAAACTCTGTACATCATTCTTCTGCATTTGAATTTTTGAGAAATATTAACTACACACATTTTAATAGTTACTACCTCAATTACTTGTTTTTAATACAATGCATACACATAGTATTTAATAAACAAATGCAATGTTAATGTACCCAATTCAAATGATTCCAATCTAAAATAGACACTGGCTTCTTCCCTACCACCATAGTATACATACGTCCTTCCCACCACAATGAGAATATTTTTTCTCTTCATGTGTTACACAATTACCTCAGTATTGCAACAACTATTATACTGTAATTCATTTATTATCCTAATATTCTTCTCTGCTAGGTCCTAAAGTAGTCCAGTGATTGCAGTACATTTATTTTTGTATCTTCAATGCCTTACTAAGTGCTCACACATAATATGTACTCAGGGATTATTTACTGAGATGCTTACTAGAATAATGAACCATAACAGAAAATCTTTGAATAATGTAGGATATGGTCAGACATCCATGTGTTGGATTCTTCAACTTGAGTAAAGATAGGGGGAAGAAATCGGGAGGTGACATCTAGGTTCTAAAAACTTTCCTGTTTTGTTTTGTTTTTGTTTTTTCAAAGAACTTGAGAAACTTCAGCAGTGTATTTTCCTGTTTTTCTTTTATACCATGCCTATTTCTACAGAGGATCTGAGGCATTAGTACCATCATAATACCTAATGTTATTACTCCCACGATCACTAACGCCACCACTATATTTACAAGTAATTCTAAAATGGGATAATAACACTTTATTTCAATAACTAAATTGATACATATAAAACTTTAACACACTAAAACCTTGTAAACATCTTACAATTGATTGCTGTCATGATTATTTATATTATTTTTATTATCACTATTAGAACAATGGTCAGAATGACTACTGTAGTTATAACTCCTACTAGGAGTTCTCATACATTAAGCATTTATTGCTCAGGTACTGTATGAGGTCTATCAAATCATTATTATTAACCTTAATAAAATCCTCCAAGAGCTTCACTATCATTCCCATTTAATAGAGACAGAAACTAGGGACTAAAGATTTACTCATCAAGCTCTTCCCCATGACATTCCTCCTTTTATTGGTCCTCAGCATTTTCAGTGAACATCACAGGTCAAATAGTGCAAGCACTCCCCACTTTAACCCACACCACTCCCTCATCTTAAGACTAGCATGATAAAATTATCAAATAATACAGTTGACTCTCTTCTGAGAGTTACCTCTCAGAAGAGAGTCAACCTTTTTTTTTTTTTTTTTTGAGACGGAGTCTCGCTCTGTCGCCCAGGCTGGAGTGCAGTGGCGGGATCTCAGCTCACTGCAAGCTCCGCCTCCCGGGTTCACGCCATTCTCCTGCCTCAGCCTCCTCCCAAGTAGCTGGGACTACAGGCGCCCGCCACTACGCCCGGCTAATTTTTTGTATTTTTAGTAGAGACGGGGTTTCACCGTTTTAGCCGGGATGGTCTCGATCTCCTGACCTCGTGATCCGCCCGCCTCGGCCTCCCAAAGTGCTGGGATTACAGGCGTGAGCCACCGCGCCCGGCCCGAGAGTCAACCTTTTATTCAAGTCAAAAGTCCTTAAAAATTTGAAGAATGAAACATCTAAAATTTCACATTACTCCCCCTGAAGCCAATGCATGTTCCTAGGACACTATTCATCACAGATGACTCTTTACCACAGACTACCTGTTACTGGCAACTGCACTAGAAACTGGAAACCATAATTGGGCTGGATTACCAAGTGGCCGCTCCATTTCTCCTGAACAAGCTGCTTCCGCATTACTTATGACTAGTTCCCATCAAGACTGGGATAATTATGTTATTTCTCTACTCAAGGTTACTCTATATGTGTCACCTAGAAATCAAATCAAGTCTGAAGTTTCTTCTGGGAGCATCTGCTTGTAACTTCCAGGTACTCTGAGAACACAATCTTATGATCCATGAAATAGATTCCCTAACTAAAAGCCAGACCTCATTTCTGTTGGAGGAAAATGATAAAAATATTGAAACTTCAGATGGAAACAAAGTTGGCCTGCATTACCCTTATTCAAGATCCAAGTGACAGACACTTCCCTAAAAATATCGGTATGATGAAAATTTGAAGTCTGAGGTTATCTGAAATTTTGACTATTTTTTTGATTCATGAACCTTGTATCTTTCTCATGATGGGCCAGACTATAGTTTAACATGTGAAAGAAAATCATGTTATTTGGAAACACTAGTCATTTAGATTATAAGAGAATAACCACAAGTGCAGTCTTCTAATCATATCAATATTTTCTCTTTTCTCTTAAATTTTAAATGTGAAATTTAGTGGGATCCTTAGGTCAGGAATTAACAATTAGGTGCCAAGCATAGAATGTATTTTTCTTTGTCTTTGTCACCATTGTCTTTATCATTTTTATCATAATAATTATGATAGTAACTGCTATTGCTTATTGAGGACCGACTCTTTTGAGACTAGTTCGGGTGATTCAGATCTATTATCTTTTATTATGAAAACAATATGAGGCAGGCGTGTTGCCCCTGCATTAAATAATATGGTCCTCTTTCAACAGTACTAGGAGATCTTAAAAGAACATATGTATAACTTATCAGTGGTTTCTAAATTTACATTAGGTGGAGTAAGAAGCACACCATTTTCTGTGAGGAGCCCTTATCTCTGGTACCCCTGGCAACAAGGTCCTGAGCATGATTCCTCTTTACTTCAAGACACAACACTCCTAACTCTTGAAAGCTGGGGTGGGAGGGAAGCCATGGGTAGCTTGCACAGGAAGTGGGAAGGTCTATGTATCTGGAATCCTCCTCCACATCATTGATTCATCTAGCAAATGTGCACATTGGGAAGCATGTGGGACTTAGGGAGGAAAGTTGGTGGAGCCAGTCACTGCCCATGACTCAGAGGTCTGAAGGTGGCAGAGCTTCTTGATATGTGAGGCTAAAATATATTTTGGCCTGAAACTCAGAGGGAAAAAAAGAAAGAAAAGATCCAGTCCTTATTAATTAAAATGAAAAAGGCACTGCTTATAAAATCAGCAACAAGGCTGAAGGTAGGGAAACACAAAGTTAGCTCTGCACTAGCAGGGAAGAGCTATGCAAGAGGAACATGTACAGGAGCAGCAAGACCCAACTACGGCCCAAGGTTTTCTAAGCAGTGCTCTAGAAGCATTTTCTCCTCCACACCTGCTATATTTATATGCTCTTTTTGGAAGCCAAGTGGCTCATCAATTACATATTTTATTTTATTTTATTTTATTTTATTTTATTTTATTTTTGAGATGGAGTCTCACTCTGTCACCCAGGCTGGAGTGCAGAGGCACAATCTCAGCTCACTGCAACCTCTGCCTCCCAGGTTCAAGTGATTCTCCTGCCCCAGTCTCCCTAGTAGCTGGGATTACAGATGCCCGCCACCACGCCCGCTAATTTTCGTATTTTTGGTAGAGACAGGGTTTTGCCATGTTGGCCAGGCTGGTCTTGAAGTCCTGACATCAGGTCATCTGCCTGCCTCAGCCTCCTAAAGTGCTGGGATTACAGCATAAGCCACCACTCCCGGCCCAATTACACATTCAAAATATCCGAACACAGTATATTAGCAACCTAACATTGGCAATGTCAGAGACATTCACTTTAAACACAAGCCTATGCACAATCACTTATTCAACATTCTCAGTTGTTATTTATATATTTTGTATCCTATATCATTTGCTGTTAGTAAATTGAACGTAAGGTTTCTTGAACCCACAAAATACAGAAAAATCTCTAATTTCCAATTCCATTTCTGAACTCTTACAGAATTTACACATATACTACAAAAATTAAATTAGTACCTAATTGTAAAACCCCATATTATTCTGTTACTATAAACGAACAAATTTTGTAGCATTCTCCCCCAGAGTACTGCAGCGGAAATTTCAGCAAAGGCTTGTACCCAAAAGTAGAAGCACAGGCTGTGGAGAAAGATAAACCTGAGTTTGAATCTTGTCTCTCAACAGACATTAGCTATGTAACTGTATTAGGCTATTCTTGCATTGCCATAAATACCTGAGACTGGGTAATTTATAAAGAAAAGAAGTTTAATTGGCTTAAAGTTCTTCAGGCTGCAAAAGCCAGCATTTGCTCAGCTTCTGGGGAGTCCTCAGGGAGCTTTTACTCATGGCAGAATGTGAAACAGGAGCAGGTACTTCACATGGTGAAAATAACAGCAAGAGAAAGCGGTGGGAGGAGGTGCCACAGACTCAAACAACCAGATCTCATGAGAACTCACTCACTATCTCAAGGGCAGCACCAAGCCATGAGAATGCAACACCATGACCCAACCACCTCCCACAGGCCCCACCTCCAACATAGGGGATTACAATTCAACATGAGTTTTGTCAGGGACATATATGATCCAAACTCTATCAGTGACAATGGTAAATTACTAGACCTCCCAAAAGTTCAAATGTCTCTTCTGAAAAATGACTATATATATATGTACACACATATATACACACATATATATATATATATACACACATATAGATATATATATACCCCCGAGGAGGTTATTGTGACTATTAATTAGCATAGCACCTGTAAAACACTTAACACAGCACCTGGCACAGATTAGGAGCCCAATATTCCTTCTTTCTCTCTATCCTCCTCCTTTAAAATCTATTATTCAACATTGCCAAGGAACTATTCTCTGGTTAGTCCAAGCTCTACATTTGTTGAGCACCTACTATATGTCAAGCACTACACTGCATACTGGCAATGCAAAAATCAAAAGGTTTACAATCTCTGCCCTTGAGATATTTGATGTTTGTGTAAATTGATTGTATGTTCCTTAATCAAATAGCTATATTCCAAATTATCCTAGAATATTTCTTGTTCTTTACATACCAATCTTGACTCTACCACGCACTTTTATTATAAGAACTACATAGTTTCCTGAATTTGATGCATTTTTGCTTATCTTCACATCTTTGCACATGTTACGTCTTCTGCTCAGAAATGACCTCCACCTGGATATACTTCAAGTCTTTCTCAGAAGCTTTCTTGAAACTTGCATGAATTTTGAAGAGCCTCTCTACTTTCATGACAATCTATGTGATTTTTTGTCTCAGAAGTCACTTGGTGGGTTGGAGACAAAGATGTCAGTTTTATGTTTAACTTCTTTATAAAACAGAAACCAACCTGAGGGCAAGGATTTTTAAATTATTCATCTTTGTGTTTCTATGCTTAGCAAAGTGTTCAATGAATAGTTGGTGATCAATAATTGTAAAATGCATAATTGAGTGAAATGATGAATAGTCTGGCTGTGACCGAGATTGAAAAAGAGAACAGATGACCAGTATTCTCCAGCACACTAAGCAGGTTTTGTCAGTTCATTTGTCTAGAACAGCCCCCATAGCTTTCTGCACACGGCCAGGTCTCTCTGACAAGAACATTTGGTTTCCAAATTACATATTGCACAGCATGAATCCTTCCTTTCCTGCAACTGCCTGTTAATTATAGTGCCACTTTTGCTCTGTCTTTGTCTCAATCTCCTAATCTCTGAGATATAATAGCTGATTTACTTAGGATTTTCTGAGCTTTATAAACAAATTCTGCAACCCCTCCCCACATACATCTTCTTGTAAAAACAACAAAGAAAACAAGAAACGTCTGTTCAGAGTTCAAAAGTAAAGGGAAATATAAGATCAATACAAAATTATTTGAGACTGAAAAAATACTCCCCTTTGTTCCTTTTTTTGTTGTTTTTATTCACATGTAATTGTAAAAACCAACCTGCTTTAGAGAGTAGCTGTGGAAATGCTGGGGAGCTGTCACTGGAGATTAGCAGCATCTCCAAGCTCTTGAAGCTGACAGCTCCTAGAAGCCAACTGAGAGATTCAGCTGAAGAGTTCATTTGATCACACCGGCAGAAATGCCTAGGAAATGTTTCTGCTCTTCATGTGAAAACTTTGAAGAGTTCAAGTTCTTCCTTAGGTTATAATATTTAGCAAGTATTCTAACAATCCCTCTGTCATTCTCTATTTTTTCAGAAGAGATACCTGGCCCATCTTATTCATTTGTGTCCCCAGTACCTAACAGAACTTGACAAATTAAGTGTTCACATACATACTCAAAAGCTCAGGCAAGGGGATATGACTGAGAAAGGGAAGAAGGAAAAGGCAGACGAACGGAGAGAGGGAGAGAAAGTTACAGAGATAGCTGTGAAAGGGGAGAAAAGGAAAAGTGGAGGAAAAGAGGGAGGAAAGAAGAACAAGAGAAAGGGAAAATGGAGAATAAGTTCCTCTACTTTTTTCTCATAATTTTTACAAGAGACAGCATCTTAAAATAAATATAAAACACCTCCAAAATATTCATAGTTACTGTGAGAGCAAAGCCCCTCTCCAGGCAGTTGTTGACTCTTAGAGCCACTGAGGTACAATAGAGACACATTCCAGATGTATCATGTTTGCTTTACCTGCCTCTTGCCTTGGTCTACCTAAGAAGGATTTCAGGCTCAAGTAATGAGTGATATTCTTCAACCCTTTCCCTTACTGACCCATCAAGAAATCCTTAACGCCACCCAAGACCATCATCTATTTAGCCTCAGCAGATCCAGTGGTTTCCTAATAGCCTCTAGGGTAGGGGAAAGACTGCAGGAGCCTATGTCTGAGTAAATAACTCAGAAGGGGCAACAGAATCTTGTAGAAACCATTTGGGACATTTCTCCACCCCTGTTTTCATCCTGAGGTTAGGTTTGGGGTAGCTCTTTTTTGCTACTATGACTCCTCCTTTGATCTAATTTTCAATCCAACTCTCTTTTGCTTTAGAATTTGCTGTGCTCTTAACTGCAAGTCCTTCATTTTCTCAACATTTTTAAACATCATGAGAATTTAAATGTAATTTGTTATGTGACAAAAACAGTAACTCTTGATTGTAGGAACTTAACTATAAAAAATTTAAAAATAAATGCATGATCTTATCTATTAAATAGAGCCACTGATAGTATGTTAGTCTTTAATGTGCATTGACACATATATTTGTTGTCTTAAGAATAAGATGATACTGTACATAGTTTCTAATCTGCTTTTTCTATCTGAATAACACATTATAACAATTTTCTTTCATTAAAAATTCACCTCAATATTATTCTGATGGCATAACTCTTTATGTTCCAGCAATTCCTTGTAAGGAAACAGGGAGTGAAGAAAGCTCTGGAACTCTAGCAGTCAGCCTCACTGTTCACTTCAGCCTGCACTCACTGTTCCTGTTTTTCCTAGCATAGCATAGCAGCCAGTCAGAAGTATCACCTGAGCATTTGTTTGGTTTGTCTGTTTCAGGAAATATGACGCCAATTCTATGAACTTGGTCTGGGTGATTCTTAAATGCATTTCTCTCTCTCTCTCTCTCTCTCTCTCTCTCTCTCTCTCTCACACACACACACACACACACACACACACACACACACACAGAAACCACGTTTTGTTTCTACTGTGAGCCATCCCCACAGAGTATCAGTGTAGAAAAATGCTGTTGAATGGTAAACAAGGCTACCAAAAGTAATGGCAGGGAGTACATTGCAAATAATTCACTAGATTATGTGTGCTCCTTATGGAGCAGAGACTCTATCTTTTCCATTTTTATTTCTCTCAGGCTTAGACCAGTAATTAGCCCATAAAAAAAAATCTAATCCATTAAGAAATGTTTATCTAATGAATGAATGAATAACTGAGAGAATGGACATAAACCATAATTAAGAAGACTGGTCATAAGATAATAAAATTTTCTGACCCTATCACATTATTTTGGGAAAAATGAACTGTGCTATAGAGAAAATGATTTAAGATTTAGACAAGAAAATTCATCTTAAAACACACAATAGCAATACAATGTCACTAAATCCTCTGTTTTCTGTCAAATTGTCACAACAATAAAGTGTCCTTATAGAGATGTTGCAGTGATCAAATGAGATGACAGTGTAGGGAACCAGGGAAACTTGGAACTTCAAAATGTCCTAGGATCTCAGCACCAAGACGATATTACAATAGGCCATACTTCACTACCACTCCCCTGCCCAATACATACACATAAAAAGACAACAGTAACAATACAACAAAATAAATATCTTCACTGAAAAGAAAGTTTTAAAATGGGTGGCAAGGAATACGGGTACCAGCTGGTGCTATTTCAGGTAACATGAAATAGTAGAAAAAATGATGGATTTAGGAGACAGACCTAGGCACAAATTTTGGTTCTGCCTCTTCTTAGCTGTATAACTTTGGACAAGTTGTTTAACTTCTCTGGCATAGTTTTTTCTTTGGTAAAATTTTTATAACAACTGATGCTTCCTGGGATTATTATGAGAACTAAATAAAAGGATGAGAAGTCCCTAACATAATATATATTCAATAAATGTCATTTCACTTGCTTTTCCTCACTGCCACACCCCAGGCTTTGCCTGAACCAGTGAGAGGAAGATGTTATTTATACTAAACAGTTTTGCCTAAGGCCTTGCCCACCATCAGACCTGAATACCAAACTGCCAAATGGAAGTTTGCTGTGTTGAAATACTTATACCAGACTTCAAACATAGAACTCAGAGGTTATTCTATCAAAAGCTTAGCACTTGTCAACAAGAACAGCAGAGACTCCAGAACTCTTTTCAGTCTTGCTTTTTTTTTTTCCAAGACAGAAGCAGACAAATCCTCATTGATCATTCTACCGAGGTAGCTCCAACCCTCCAAAATAATATATTTAAAATCACAGGTTATTTTATCATGTTTGAAGAAAAAAAAATTACTGGAAATAAGAATCTTTATTGACTCTTTTAGTTTTAAGGTCAGTTGACCCAGAAAAAGAAGAGTGCTCCGTTTGAGAGTAGAGTGAAACTCTGACTGAAAAGGAAGAGGCACACTGCAACATGTAAATTTGATCCCATTTTACAAATGGAGCTAAAAGGAGCATTTACCATAGTAAGCTGACAGCCTTTAGTAAAGTCAGGTTTAAGTTTGAAGAGTTCCAACTTCCACTAAGTGAATCATGTCTAGCAGTGGAGACAGATGATTCAAGCAAATTTCAGACCATTCTTCTAATACGCTTAAGCCATCCCTGAAGGTAAATGTTAAAACTATTTAATACCTGAAGCTTCAGAATTTGTGGCTTGGGCTTTGCCCTTAGACTTTTTGGTTGCTACTGGAAATAAGATTATATTTTAAAGTTTCTTCTATCAGAAAAAGCAACACTCCAGAATTTTTACATCCTTTAGTTTTACTGCACGCAAGCTCCTGTCTTTGGGTAATAAGGGTCTTTCCTATTCACAATAAAAGGACACATTAAATGTATACCTTCTTCATAAGTCAGTAGCTATGAATGACTTTGAGCAATTCCATAGCTTTTCTTTCTTGAGTAAACTCCTCAGCATCAAATAGGACTCTGCTCCTGAGATGAAAAGAAGAAAGACTGGCTACCCAGAATAATTCAAATAAAATGATGTTTATGATCCATGTATATTAATGTAGCCATTTAGAGAAAGTCAGGGCTATTTATAATCATTCTGGACTTTCTCCAATCAATTATTTCCCTGTTTGAAACTCTTTGGTTGCTCTTATTTTTAGAACAAAGTTCAGACTTCTCAGCATATTATACAAAGCTTTTCTTGATCTGGTCCTTTCCTACCTTTCCCAACAAAATCTGAAACTCTCACTTTTTTTCCTGGACATTTCATTTCAGCCACACTTAACTACCAGCCATTACCATGACTTCTCTGTGCTTTTTTCTAACCTGTTTCCTCTTACTGTGATATGCCTCCTCTTCTCACCCACCCCCTACCTACTGCAACACAGGTTTCTGGGGCCTAAATATATCCTACTCATTCATTGAGAATCAACTCGTGCACCACTTACTCCAAGAAACATTTCTTGACTGCCTCCTCTTCCCCTATCCCTGGATGATAGGAATCTGTCCTCTGGTCTCCCACAACATTGTTTATTTTTATCACAGCATTTCTCACCGTGTATTATGACTATTTAAAAAAAAAAAAAGTTCCTTGAAGGTAGGCTCTGTGTCTCATTCTTCATTATATATTGATACAGAGCCTGTCACACGGTAGTTGCTCAATACACTGTCATTGTTATTGATGAATGCAGACTATGGGCCAGGCTTGTTTCCTAGAAACATACAAGTTCAGGGCCATCCTTATGATGCAGGGACTGAACCAATCACACACACTGGCCTGCTCTCGTTGTTGGGTTCTTAGTAAAATTTGGACTGAGTGAAATAACAAAGGCAGCTGTAACAAGAAAATCATTATAATAATAAGAATAAGCAAGTAATCACGGGCAACTTCCTGCCTCACTGCAATAACTGGAACAGGATAATGGGGAGACCAGAATTATTGGCACATTTAGCCATATTCTTTAAAGAAAAAAAGCATACATACATACATACATACTACCAAAAATGCTCTGTACAGCTGCTCTATTTGCACTTGAGGCATCTGCAGCTTGGGCATTAAAACATATGTGAAGAGTATGTCAGGCGATTTGGGTTGAGAAATCTGGATTTGAGATCTTTGTTTCTAACCATCTGTATTGTCTTCAATCAGCCCCTTCATCTCCCTGATTCTCAGTCTTTTCCTCTTACGTGATCTTTGATCTCCTTTTTAGTTCAAAAGTCTCATTCATTTTGACATTCTGAGTTGGTAGAGCCCCTGACACACATAAAGTATTCAAAAATACATAACAAATAGTAAAATTAAGTTTAGCCTAAACTGTCTACTTATTTAAGTTCATGCTAAAGATTTCTTCATTTATAGTGGACTGTAACTTAACTGGATGTGTAAACAGACTACAACCTACTCTTTATCAACCAGTTTCAGCCAGTCACAGGCGGACAACTATTCAAACTGTGTTCAAATAAGGCAAATGCCAAGCTGTAAACAATCCAGCTGTTTCTGCACCTTACTTTCATTTTCTGTATGTCACCTTCATTTTTCTGTCCATAAATCTCTAACTATAGAGCTACCCAGAGTCTCTCTGAACCTATTCTGGTTCGAGGGACTGTTTGATTTATGAATTGTTCTTTGCTCAATTAAACTTTGTTAAATTTAATTTATCCAAAGTTATCCTTCTGACTAAATGAATGAATAAATGTCACTCTCCTTCCCTGTCTGCTTTTGGGGTTTTGCAGAATGAGCCACAGTAACAAACTTGAAGGAGGCTGTGTCCTACAAGCATTAAGAGCTTCAGCAGCTCCCACTTTCCTCTCAATCTGCTTCAACAAGCCTTTTAAAAAAGTAGCACTGGAGCACAAAGTGGGAAATACCGGACATCCTCAAGGTCAACAAGGAAATGGAGAGGCAATAGATGAAGACTACAGGGTCAATCCAGAAGTTCCTCAGAAAAGCACAATAATTCAATCCGCTGGAGGAGAGGATGACAACAGGGGCCTCTGCAAAGAGCAAGTGATCCTTTGAAGAAAACAAAGCTTCAGTTTCCTCAAGAAGTTCTTCAGAGAAAAGCAAAACAATAACAACAAACTTTCCTTTAGCTCTTCCCAGGCAGCGGGAATTTCAGACAGAAGATCAGCATATTTGCCCTCAAAAGCCACAGCTTGGGTGTGCCCATGTGACCAGCTCCACTGGGCATCTGTTGGCAGGAAGTCCAATGCTGCCTTTCTGATAAAGGCTTGATGGACAGCCCTTCTATATTCCTTACCCACCCTTCCTTGGGGCCAATACTGATGCCCATTACCACTCTTGGCTTTTAACCTAAAAGCCCAATGTCTACTGTGGTCTTAATTTATTGCCCAGTAGATGCTTTAAAAGGAACGTGAAAAATATACAGGCGTGCACGGAAAGCTAAAGCATTTAGAACTTTGAGCATCTTCCTTGTAATAAATACCTAATACATATGTGTTAAATAGTTTATTTGAACTATAAAAATACAAGTATAATTATTATTATTTAATACTTGTATATATATTTTCTTTCCATTCAGCTATGCATTTCTCTCATTATTTTGTTTAGGACCTTAACTATGAAGATAGTAACAAATACAAAAAACAAAGCACCTATATTTCTAGGCACTATACTAAGCCTTCATACACATTATTTCACTTAATTCCCTCAAGGACTCTGTCATCTTCCTCATTTTACAGATGAGGAAAGTAAAGCTGAGAGAAGTTAAGAAACCTCCTCCCACCAAGATCACATACTAAGAAAGTGGTATGGCCAGGATTTGAAGTCCACCTCTAACATCTGTGCTCTTAGCCACAACACCATACTGCCAAATTCTTCTTCATACATTCTTCACACAAAAATGTGTACCATGACATTTAACAATAAACAGTTTAATCGTTAATTAAAGGATAAATGAGAAACAGTGAAAAGCCAAGGACAAAATGTAGAACTTGGTAGTTTACCATGGTTTGAGAAAACCAATGAGACATTGTTTGGGAGGAACCATGTTGGTGTTTCTGACTAAGTTAGGGTGCATGTATAAATTTCCCTTTCTTCCCTTTGCTAATCTGGACAATGCAGATTAAGTTTTTCTTTTGCTTACAGAATATGAGTGAAACAAATGTATAGTCACAGAAGTATGTATATGCACATGTGTGTGTGTAAAAATCAAAGTTTGAAATATATCTTCTGAGCCTTCAGAGATTCATTTGGCCGAGAAATAGCCACAGTCCTCCCTAAAATTCTAATGCCTAGGATTTATATGCTATTTACACAGATTAAGAAGTATTGAAAAGTAGTATAACTGTGACATTGAAGTTAAGGAGACTAGGATTCAAATTTTGATTCTGCTACCTACCAGCTGTGCCTCCTTGGCCAAGTTATTCAACTACTAGTGGTCTGGGTTTCCATTTCTGTGAGTTGTGGAGAGTAAAATCTACCTTGCAGGATTATTATGATGTTTGGAGATAGTTTTTGTAAAATTCTTACTGTCATTTTGGGTACAAAACAGACACATAAAAATGACGGTTTTTATTATGCTAGGCAGAGGAAACATCATTTTCCTATTCTGGAATGCACACCTGACAAACTTCTACTCATTATGTAAGTCTTAATTCAAATGTTATATTTATTTATTCTATTAACATTTCTTAAGAAACTAATATAATGCTCTTTGCTATTATAAGGTACTTGGAGAAAAAAGTTATAAACTTAAGATCTCTGATCTCAAGGGATGCACATTTTTTTTTTTTTTTAGAGGGCGTTTTGCTCTTGTCATCCAGACTGGAGTGCAGTGGCACGATTTTGGCACACCACAACCTCCCACTCCAAGGTTCAAGCAATTCTCCTGCTTCAACCTCCTGAGTAGCTGGGATTACAGGTGCCCACCACCACACCTGCTAATTTTTTTTTTTTTCCGTTTTAGTAGAGACGGGTCTTCGCCATGTTGGCCAGGCTGGTCTTGAACTCCTGACCTCAGATGATCTGCCCATGTCGGCCTCCCAGAGTGCTGGGATTATAGGTGTGAGCCACTGTGCCCGGCTGGGATGTCCTCTTTAATGGACAGGTTAACAGACCATTATGTGAAGTGTGGTAAGTGTCCAAAGAAAGCGATGTCCAGTGGGCTTTGCAGGCCAGAGGACAGGCTACAAGGAGAGTCAGATAAGGCCACCTCGAGAAGTTTACAAAGAGTTTCCCTTACAAAGATTATAGCAATGATTATGAAAAGTTTCCCAACAGCCCCAGGCTGTGATCACTCTTTTCTGTGAACCCACCACACGATGTGTATCTCTATCACAGCATTGTTTATATTGAACTGAATGTTTAATTACCTAGCTCTGCTGCTAGACAGTGAACAACTTGAAAGCAGTGGTCATGACTTTGACTAAGATGAATTTTCAGCATCCCCCATAGGTTCTAACCTAGAGAAGCAGCCTGATAAATGCCTGAAAGAACTGAATTGAATTGTCATGGACCTCTGAAAAGGCAGGTGGTTAAGTAGCAGGACAAACTATAACCCAAAACTGCAGCTGCTTGGGATCTAAGGGAGACAAGAGAGGGAGAAAGATTACTTCATTTGTTCTTGTCTGGGGAAGTTCAGATTCAGAGCAAAGCAATGCCAAAGGCAAAAGTGCCAGGCACTACTCTCTAGACATCGCAGCTCATTTTGTTTTGTGGTCTGTGATTGAACTCTGGTTTAGATCTGATGTCTATGGCCTGAGATGGCTCTTAGTGTGGAGCTTTTGGTTTACAGTGCGATGCAGTCTCTTCAAAACATGACACCCTGGCCAAGTAAGAGGTAAAATCTGATTCTTACAAGATTTTCTAGCAGAACTCTTAAGTTTTTGTGAGGCTTAAAAAAAGTTAAACATTTACAACATGCCAATATGAAGCTCATTTAGCCTCTGCTAATGACTTCAGTGGCTTTCTTAACTATGTTACTTTCTGTCTGGTTTCTCTACCTTATGTTTGCCTTAGAGAGCTGGAATGAAAACGTGTTTGCTTGTTTGGCTGATTTCATCTTTGATTTAGCAGTTCCAACCTCTACTTTCATTTTGATCCAATATTAGATGTGTTGTTCAATTCATTGTCTTGAAATCTTGCCAGATTGCAAATAAGCAATTTCAACAAGAGTAATAAAAATGGACAGAATATAAGGAAGAACATCAATTGTAATCCTTGCTTAACCTCCTGCATGGTCCAAATGTGTCCTTGGCACCAAATGGAAGGTGAAGAGGAAATATAAATAGATAATTTAACTTTCATTAAAATTCAGTAATAATACCACAGACAAGATGGGAAAGAGAAATGATATCAGCATTTAGTGTGGGTTTACTATGTGCCAAGCACTGTCCTATGTTATCTCATTTACATCCCATGGCAACCTAACAAAATAGGTGACAGTCCCATTTTTGGAAGGGAAGAAGTTAAGACCAAAAGAAGTTAAGATGAATAATCATTTAAGATTAAAAGCAACAAAATGATGAAGCTATAATGTGAACTTCTTTGTCTGTCTGGCTTTAATGTACATACTTTATCCATTATAAGGTTAAATGAGTGTTATTTTTTGAAATTGCTCAACTAGCCATACTTTTTGTTTCATTATAAATTTAATAATAGAACCATAGTATGAAGTAGAAGGAACAGAGGAAATCAAATATTCCAGAGACTCCATAACTCACCATGGGACTTAACACAGAACTCTGTATTATCTTCAGAAATTATTAGTTTGATTTCATATTTGTGTGTGTGTGTATGTGTGTGTGTTCAGCAAATTAGAGTGTTGGTCAACATGCCGTTGATACTGCATTCATAGAATTCCAGTGTAACAATTCATACCTTCATTAGCTTGTTGGCTATCATCACCAGCATATTTACATTGAAACACTGAATATAATTCAAGAACCTCTATTGGCACTTCTGGGATACCCAATCTGAGGACCACTGATAAAATCTGAGAGCACTCAGTGTAATTTCACATCACGTCTGCATGAAAATACTCAACTTAGGTCTTTAGCTCTCTTTAACTTTTAAATTTAGTTATTTTATCAAGTATGTTATGAGTTCCTTCTCATTTATTTAAGTTTCCTCATTCAGTAAACCAATATTATGATAATAGGATCCCAGACTCTAGCATTTGGAAAGAGTTGCTTATTTTTGACATTTTGGTCTAATATAATCTGAGTGTTATTTTTTGAAATTGTTCAACTAGCCATACTTTTTATTTTATTGGATGTTTTATACTGAACATATTTTTCATGTTCTGAAATGGCAATACAACTGCAGCATATTGCAGATATCTGTGTTTTTTTTTTTTTTTTTGTCTGAAAGTGACCTTTTGATTATTTTCTTTTTGTAAAACCAAAGAATCATTAAGGCTTCTACAAATAAAGCATAAACAAATAATAGCTGTTGCCATCTTATAACATTGACAGTTCTAATACTTATTATAAAGGTTTGCTTGACCTCAAGCCTTGTAAATTGTATGAAGGAACACTAGACCATTTACTTCCAGGGCATTGGTGAGGTCATAAGGCTAATTACTAAGACTAAAACCCAATGCTCCTCAACTTCTCAACTTACATCTGCCTGCTACTTGGTACTACCTCTGGAGTCCTAATTTCAAACATTATTAGTGGCTCTTCCCAAATGAGCAAAGACAATCACACATGGGCCCTGGGTTGCTCAATGCCAATGCTCCCTCCCAGGGTCATATCTGCTTTCTCAGTTCCCTCTCTTCTTGATATATCCAATTCCTTCCTATGCTCAGTGTACCTCCCACTCTCAGGCTGCTCAGCACACCTGTCTGAGTAGGCTTCCTCATCCCTCCAGACTGACAATAGAATTTCCTCATCATCCCCATTCTATTAATTTCCTGAAGATAATAAGCCTATGAACTATTTCAATTCTAAAATTTTTGCTTCACTCTTTGCCACATCTATGGCAAGAATGAAGACTATTCTCAGCAATCAGACTGTCGGCACTCCAGAAAATGTCAACGTTACTCTGAAGGGACACACAGTTATTGTGAAGGGCCCCAGAGGAACCCTGTGAAGGGACTTCTGTCATATCAATGTAGAACTCAGTCTCCTTGGAAAGAAAAAGAGGCTCCGGTTGACAAATGGAGAAACAGAAAAGACCTGGCTACTGTCTGTACTCTTTGTAGTCATGCACAGAACATGATCAAGGGTGTTAACAGTGGGCTTCCATTACAAGACGAGGTCTGCACATGCTCACTTCCCTATCAATGTCGTTATCTAGGAGAATGGGTCTCTTGTTGACATCCGAAATTTCTTGGATGAAAAATAAATCCTCAGGGTTTGGATAAGGCCAAATGTTGCTTGTTTGGTATCTCAAGCCCAGAACGATGAATTAATCTTTGAAGGAAACAACATTGAGCTTATTTCAAATTCAGCTGCTTTGATTCAGCAAGCCACAACAGTTAAAAACAAAGATATCAGAAAACTTTTGGATGGTATCTATGTGTCTGAAAAAGGAACAGTTCTGCAGGATGATGAATAAGGTCTAAGAGTTGCCCAGCTACAGAAACAAGATGCTGGATGATTCCTAAGACCTATTTGTGATATATAAACAATACAATAAAAGACCTATTGATGGCCAGGCATGGTAGCTCACACCTGGAATCAAAGCACTTTGGGAGGCCAAGGCGTGACGATCATGAGGTCAGGAGTTCAAGACCAGCCTGACCAACGTGGTGAAACCCCATCTCTACTAAAAATGCAAAAATTAGCCAAGCGTGGTGGTGCACGCATGTAATTCCAGCTACTCAGGAGGCTGAGGCAGGAGAATTGCTTGAACCCAGGAGGTGGAGGTTGCAGTGAGCTGCGATCAGGCCACTGCACTCCAGCCTGGGTGACAGAGTAAGACTCTGTCTCAAAACAAACAAACAAAAAAAAAAAACAAAAAAAAAACAACTATTGATTTGGAAAATTTTTTTACATTTAAAAAATAAACAAAATTTTTACTTCTGATCACTTTTCCCTCTGGGGAAACTGATCTGGGGAACCAGGTGTTAGAGTCACACACAGTCCATGGTCTCTTTTCCTTAACACTGTTAACAGTACAGTAGTTAAGAGAACAGACCTTGAATCCATGCTTTCTGAATTTTAATCCCAGCTTCTGCCACACAGCTGCATATCCTTCAGCAAATTATTCAAACTCTCTCTGTCTCAGCTTCACTATATATAAAGTGAAGATAACAATAATACCTCTTTTAAAAGGGTTATGTTGAAGATGACATAAGTTAATTCACATAAAGTCTTTAGGAAATTGCCTAACCCATAGTAAGCGCTCAATAAATGTTAGCTATTATTAGCTACTATTGACTTCCTTCAGAGATGTCCTTCTCAGTTGCCCTTCACTTTGATTTCCGGAGATGGGCTTCTCAAAGATTCCCCTTCCTTCTGAATCCATCCTTAAAACAAGCTCAAAGCCTAATGATGAGAAAAACTGCATGTTTCCGGGAGAGTCAGCAACTCTGGGGTGCTCCAAACCTGGTGTTTTTCTGTATAGTAGCCTGGATTTGACCTATCTCTCCCTATATGCTTCGCTTCAGTGAGGCAGCGTAGTTTAAGTGGCTCCAAGGCCAGACTACCCAGTTAAAAACTCTGGCTCAATTCTACTTTCAAGCTTGGATTACCTTGGGCAAGAGCTTAATCTTGCTGTGCATAATAACAGTACCTAACTCATCAGATTATGAAGATTATATATTAGTTCAATATTTGTAAAATGCTTAGAACATTACCTGCATACAATAAATTCTATACGAGTTTGTTGAATAAATGCCAGTTCCTATTAGAGGAAGTAAAAATGTCCATTTTTGTCAAAGAATGAAACTGTACATGTGTGGATATGTTATATATACACACACACACATACACACATCCATACGTATATATGTATATATATGTATGCATGTGTGTATGTGTGTGTGGATATGTTTTATATATATATATACACACACACACACATGCATACGTATATATGTATATATACGCACGCGTGTGTGTGTGTGTGTGTATATGTAGAGTGTGTGTGTGTGTGTATATGTAGAGTGTGTGTGTGTGTGTGTGTGTGTGTATTAAAAAAAGACAGGTTGATTTCTTTATAAGTTTCTACAGGAGCTTGAATTACCAAACCTTACTCCTAAATTACCACTAAAATTTCCTCAATGACTTTCAAACTTAGAGTAACCAATTCATCCAAGTAACACAGCAAAGTCCTGAAAAATAATACTTATAGTAAACTAAAGCCAACTCCTGCAGCTTTGTATATACAAAGCTTTTCCTACCTAAATTGCATAGGAATAAATTTGTATGGAGTATAAATCAAATCCAGATACATATTTTGCTATAATGAGAAATTTTAAAGTGACGGAAAGAGATACACTTTAAATTTCTGCAATCACTCATAGATCAAAGAAATTTTAAATCAAATAGCTCCTATGTACCAAGCACCATATGAAGTTCTGGGTATATAATGGGAAACAATAAGAGTGCCTGCCTTCCTGTTGCTTACAATCAAGGTGACAAGGAGATAGGAATTAAGTAAGATAGAATCCACCATAAATGAAGCAGAAGAGAAGACATGTACCTGCCTGCTGTGCTACCTGTAAACCACAGCTAGAGGTTCCCCACTCTACATGGACAGTTTTACCTCCTAGCTGGAATGAAGTAGAGAGGGAGACTAAGTGCTTTCCTTTTTCAATATAATGTGCATTGAACAGTCAAGGTGCCCAATTTTGTAGTAGCCCTGAGAAATGACACAAAGAAAAGACAAAGTCTTTTATTTTTCTATCAAGAAACCCCAGAGAGCACCTGCAAATTGATTTAGCTATTTTAAAAGAATCAAGAAAAATTACCTGCATAAAAAAGAGTCCTTAAAATAATGCTACAGTAATTTTTTCCTTACCAGTATTTTTTTTCTTCTCTAGTCTAAGCTGGTGATTAAAGAGATATCTTTCATTCTAAACTTAATTCTACTCTATTCAAGCTCTGGCCACAGTTAAATCAATTTATTTTCCATCACTATGTAGACACCTGTTAATACATTTTAAGGTAGATGCTCTGTGTGTCTCTGGGTATACAGTAGGCACTTTTGAGGCTGTGCTAGTTACTTGGGTTGGGGGGCAGGATGCGAGGTGATTAGACTGCCAAATCAGTCTGTCCAGGAAGGCCTACTCAGGAATTGGGCCCTTTTAGTGAATTTGATGAAGATGTAACTTTCTAAAGGAAATCTCTGTGGACCAGAAACAAGTAATGCAGTTTTTGTAACTTCTTTCCTTAGAAACAGAGAGAGCAGTTATAACCATTACATAAGCAGCTTCAGAGCATGGGATGTAGAATCTGATGACCCAGCTCTTTATTTCCCAGGTGTTACCCCAGTTTCCTCACCTGCAATACTAAGGGACCACATAGATTTCCTTTGCAGAAAAATCATAATGCAGGTTAGTAAAATCATCCTGTACACTGTAAAATGTTCTATATAATTATTATTCCCTCAAATCTGGAAGGATGGTTCTCTTAAAATAGGGGAATCTTATCTCTTACAAAGCAGAGATTTCACCCATAACTTGAGAACAATTTAGACCACTAATTGCTTTGGGTTTTCTGTTTGTTTTTTAAGGCCAAGACTTCTCTACAGAAGAATAGGTGTATAGGGCTTTTAACTTTTCTTTCACTAGTTGGCAGAACAGCAAAAATGCCCCTGCAGCCAATGGGCATACAAGCCTGCTTCTTATAAAGCAATGTCTGATGTTTTTGAAATATGACAAGGAAAATAACCATAGAAGCAAGCAGGTGTTAAAGCCCTACCATGTGTTGAATCATTGTGCCAGGTAGTTTATATATGTTACCTCTGATCCTTATAATCACCCACTTAAGTATTTCTATGTCATTCTCATTTTACTGATGAGTAAAGAAGTTCAAACAGTCAGTATCTTGCCCAGAGATACAGAGCTGGTAAGTGGTAGATGGGGAATTTAAACCCAAACCTGCCTGTTTCTAAATGTTTATTTTTTGCTTCCCCAATACGTGGCCGTCTATACATGAAGATGCAGTATATTAAGAATCCAGAAATCATTCCTGAGTTTTCCCGGGGGCTGAGATGGGTCTTTTCAAAGGTCCATCTATGTATTCTAAGCCTATCCCACTGCTTCACATGGAATGATCCTCAACCCAATTCAGAAGAATGAGAGGCTCATATCTGTCTGAGCATCTCCTAGTGTGAAAAATATTTCTTCACTTCCTCCAGCAATAAGAGATTATCTTATTTCGCCACCTGGTAAAGTTTCCTTTCAAAAGAGCATCTGGAAATTATAGTGTGCAAGGCACTATACATACATGTAAGATGTCTTATTGGAGGCCGGGCGCGGTGGCTCACACCTGTAATCCCAGCACTTTAGGGGACAGAGGCGGGCGAGTCACTAGGTCAGGAGATCGAGACCATCCTGGCTAACACAGTGAAACCCCGTCTCTACTAAAAATACAAAAAATTAGCCGGGCGTGGTGGCGGGCACCTGTAATCCCAGCTGCTTGGGAGGCTGAGGTAGGAGAATGGCATGAACTCTGGAGGCGCAGCTTGCAGTGAGCTGAGATCGTGCCACTGCACTCCAGCCTGGGCAACAGAACGAGACTCCATTTCAAAAAAAAAAAAAAAAGATGTCTTATGGGAATGAAGTAATTTTTTAAGCAGACCAAGAAAAGAAAATGGGGAGTGTGGGAAACTAATAATTCCTGTATGTAGAAAATAATGAGGGTTCTGTGGGTGCCTGAGCGCTGTGTGGCTGACATAGGATAAGTCAAAGGCCTCTCCCTCATCCTCTGCCATTGTTTCAAGACACACAAATTCTCTTGAATTTGGAACCTGCAGTGCTAAAGAAACACATATCTCTCATTTATAGAAAATTCATACTGCAGCACATTCTCGATTATCTGTACCCCTGCAGAGTTGCATTAAGAAAGTTAACAGCTTAGCATGGAAAATTTACCGAAGAGTTTCAAAACCATGACCTTACCCTACAGGCACTCCTACTTTCAAAATTGGATAAAGAGGAAGCAGTCAGGGATAAGAGAGAGGGAACTGGTTATGAAGGGAGACAGGCTTTGTTCACACCCTTCATATTCCAACTACTAGCTATGTGCTCTTGGGCAAACTATTGAACGTCTCTGAACCTCAAATTATTATCAGTAAAATGGGCGTTATAATAGGTACCTTTTCTAAGGGTTAAATAAAATATGTCAAGTAACTATCAATATCTGATATATAAAGGGGCCTAAAATAAGGTTAGTTATTTTTACCCAAAGCCTGAGGAGCAGATTGTAGATCACTTGTCCTGAAAGTTTGGGAAAGGTTCTCATCGAACACAAGGATAAGCTATTAAGTGACCATCCATAATTATCTTTATTTATTTATTTATTTTTTGAGACAGAGTCTCGCTCTGTCACCCAGGCCAGAGTGCAGTCGCACGATCTCGGCTCACTGCAAGCTCCGCCTCCTGGGTTCACGCCATTTTCCTGCCTCAGCCTCCTGAGTAGCTGGGACTACAGGCGCCCACCACCATGCCCGGCTAATTTTTTGTATTTTTAGTAGAGATGGGGTTTCACTGTGTTAGCCAGGATGGTCTCGATCTCCTGACCTCGTGATCCGCCAGCCTCAGCCTCTCAAAGTGCTGGGATTACAGGCGTGAGCCACCGCGCCAGGCCCATAGTTATATTTAATAATGTTTTTGCATAGAGTGGCTAGCACCACAGGTGAATATTTCCCGTGCTTGATTTTATTAATTGCACGCACTCCAGTAGAACATATTTCCAGTGGGGCATCTCCACAACTGGATGGACATAGGAAACCTGGTTCACAACATTCAGGCTAACTCAGTGAAAAGAACTACACAATAATTTGTCACATTTCTTCCACAATGATGATGGTGTGAGATATCTTCCCGAAAACTTCTGAGAAGGGGGCCAGCTCTGAAATATCTAAAGCTTTGTTTTGGAATTTTCTGTTTGTCTGTTTTTAGTTTTCCATAAAAAGCAAAGCTGTGGGCTCTTAAAAATTTTCAAGGTGGGGGTGCGGCTGTATTCTCTAGCACTGGTTTGCAGTGGTTAATAAGTAACTATGTGGCTTCAAGTAATCTATGCACACAGTAGATGGAAGAAAATAATCCCTTTCCCATAAAAAACAGGTTATTTAAATTCAAATGAATCAGTATGGAGTACTTGACACCACAGGGTTTGACCACCTCCGTGGCTGTAAATGAAAAGAAGGACTTTTCGAAGAATTTGAATCAGGTACAAAATAAAAGATGCCAGTTGTTTATAGAAGCTGGCAATTAAGAAAATGTATGAGGGTAAACAGAAGAAAGTAACTTCTTGACAACTTCCTTGGACTTTAATTCTTTGGCATTTACTTTATCTTTGTCAGAGCCAGGCAGGGGGCCAGCATAACTTCTGCAGACTTCTCATCACCCAGAAGACAGGCGCAGTATGAATTACTTGGATGTTTCAGTCTGACAGAAATAACCAGAATCCAAAGCTTCATAATGTAAAAAGAAAAAAAAAACTCTATTCTAGAAACCAATGGCCTGGAAGGTCAACTTTGGTTCAAAAAATAACAACCTCAGAGCACAAGATTTTACACTTAAAAAAAAAAAAGGAAAAAAAGCAAATATTAATATAAAGGTTATAGTCAGTTCCTGCTGAATTATACTGTGGGTTTCACTTCATTAGAATCATCAAACCTTTACTGCATGCACATATGATAAGCGCTGTGCTGGACCCTGAAATGAAAAATGTTATCCAGCGGATGTCTAATGATGGGACATCCTCTCTTCACACATTAGTAGTACAAGTTATAACCCAGGCATATTCTCTGTCATCAAAGGGCTTAAAGTGTATGTCTTTATATGTGACTTGTGTGTGTAGGTATTGAGAGAGTAAGACAGGTAAATATGAAACAAACATAATACAAATTTATAAATGCTAGAAGCATTTATAACATATATAATACATAATATATTATCTAAATCTATTGGGGATAACATATATAATAAATATTTCAGGTACTAATGGCATAATAAGAGCTATGAAAGCACAAAGAATGAATTAAGAAAAACTTCATATAGGAGGTACATTTTAACTGCACTTAGAAAGGTACGTACAATTATGCCAGTTGAAGAAACAGTGGGAGAGAAGGTTTTGCTCAGACATCTTTGTGTACATATATATAAATAAAGGATGATAATGATGCCTTCTCTAGACCTATCGTTACAATCATCACCAAATTAATATTTCTTATAAAACAACTGATAATTAATATTGGGCCATAATGTATTCAATGAAATATAAACAACAAAGGCAAGCATGCATCAAATCCTAGGCACATCAGACTACGATTATCTAGGTATTTCAATAGATCAGTGCGGTAGAAATGTTTTCAAAATTAAGTTTGATGATCAAAATTTTGTCCTGTGTAAATTTTCCAAGATTAATTCCATTAGCCTATTCACTCATTTCTGCGTTTATTTAAAACATCTTTATTAAACACCTATAGATAGTCAGGTAGCCATTAGATCATAAATTCCTTGAGGATGCATTATGTACTCATTAAATGTTCGTAGATGACTTGCAGATGAGAGCTCACATCTAGTCTGTGACACAGTTGGTTCAGTAACCTCTGTCATAGAGATGTGAACAGTATTTGGGGGCTAAAGCGGATCCTACTAGGCTTTCTAGCATTTATTACCCAAATTGGTGTGAATGTACAGTGAAATGATTTCCATATGCAGAAAATACTACATGCACCTCTTTAGTTGTATGAGTATTCATTAATATTAATTACATCTACCATTTACTGGGCACTTACCATGTGATAGTTATGGTGCTTAGTACTTAGCATACTTCAATTCATTCTCACAATAATGCCATAAAGTAGGAATTATTAGCCCCTTTTACAGATGAAGAAAATGAGGCCTAGAAACCTTAGGTAACTTACCCAAGGTAACATAGCTAGTAAAAACAGGAACTAGATTATGAACAAGATCTTACTGCCTACAAAACCTATGCTCTTATACCCAAGTCATCTTATTTGGCACTTTTGATTATAAGCACTTGAGAATAGAGGTCATTTAGAATGCTAATGCGTATTAATACTAAAAAGGAACTTGGAGATGCATAGAAGAAGAAACCCCCTTCATAGAAGAAGAAACAGGCTGGTTCTGATACCTTGATTACCAAAGGCTGATTTTACCACTAGTGCAAAGGGCACCTGCATTCTAGGGTGTTTGTATCATAGTTAAATGGATTCAGAATGAATGCTAGTGCTTCCCAGTCTAATACAGAGATGCAAGTAGATAAAATTTGTGCGAGAAATTGAAATCTAAGGGGAAGACTGTAGCTTCTTGACTTTCATTTTATTTCATTTTTCTCTATTGTATCCGTTATAGTTTGGATGTTTGTCTCCTCCGCATCTCATGTTGAAATTTGATACCCAATGTTGGAGGTGGGGGCTGGTGGGAAGTGTTTGGAGCATTAGGTTGGATCGCTCATGCACTGCTGGGTGCCTTCCTTTTGGTAATTAGTGAGTTCTCATTCTTAGTTCTTGCTAGAACTGGTTATTGAAAAGAGCTTGGCATACCTCCCTCAACCCCCGCCCTGTCTCGCTCACTCTGGCTTTCTCTCTCTCTCCTTCTCTCTCTCTCTATATATACATGTGTGTGTATATATATATATATCTCACACACACAGACACACAATGTCAAGCCCTCACCAGAAGCAGATGCTCCTGTCATGCTTCTTGTACAGCCTGCAGAACCATGAGCCAAATAAAAATTTTTTTCTTTATAAATCATTCAGCCTCAAGTATTCCCTTATAACAACACAAAGACAGTGCCACAGTGCCTCATTTCTGAGTAATTATGATTTATTATTTTTTTTCTAAAGCAACAAAATGAATAAAATGTGAATTTTTACAAATGACATATAGGGTTTTCCTCGATTTCTCCTCCAATGATTCAGGTATAAAGCTTCCAAGTACTTAAGCTATATAAGCTTTGAATTGGGGCCATTTTTCTTTGCAGGTTTGTTCTTTGTTTTCTTCCTGGATCTTGAGTACTGCCATGCACTCAGAAGTTCCACAAACCTTAGAGCTCTTGAATATGACCATTAAGGATTCTCTGATGAAAGGAACATACGACTAATTCCCTAGTAACAGTTTCTTTATAGAGTGTCACCATGTACAAATATCCCATTTTCAAAAAGGTGGTAATAGACCATTAAAATGAACTATGATACTCAGCAGAAAATATTTGTTTTTATATAATGGGACCAACTCAGCATCCTACAGAATAAAGCCCCATGAGGTAGATATTATTAGTGAAGGAGAAAGGCTGTGTAATGAATAGGATGGAGAGAAACTCATGAATTAAACAAAGAAACCCAAAGGTTTGATTTCAGTGTGTTGATGAATTAGGTGTTAATGCATAAAGCTACTCATAGTGGCTATGATTTGTGTGTTTTGTAACATGTTTTTAAACAGGAAAATCAAGGTACTGCATTTTCAAAGGGGAAGTTATGCAAAAATGTATTTTCTGTAACTCTTTATTTGATAGGTTTGCTGTCTACTGGAACTGGCCTGCAGCAAAATAGTGAGGTGGTCAGATCTTGTCTTTGGCCCATTTTGTGCTTTGATTCCTCTGAGACTGCCTGTGGCATGGCCCTGAAGGCATGCTTTATGCCTGCAATCCTGGTTCTAAGGAAGGATTCCAGGGAAAATCACAGAGCCACACTAATTCTACCCTTCCATCAACACATCTCCAAACTCAGACCTGCTCTTAAAGCTGCTCAGAAATCCTAGAGATGACTCTAGGAAGTTCCCTTGTCTCATGTTCCTTCAGAAACTATTCCAAATTCCACCACCTTCTTTGAGTCCATAATATAATCTCTCTCTTTCAGAGAGTAAATACAAGGTACCAAGAAAGAACCCTTTCAGCTTCCAGTTGATGTGTACTCTAGTAGCCTCTATTCCAAAACTAATGTACCCCATGAGCTGAAAATTACATCTATTCATTCCATCTCCTCAGAAATATACCTCTTTCCTCTATTTTAACTTTTTCCTCTGAAGCTGCTCCAAAAGTCTGCCTACATTTGTTTAATCCATTCTTTACCTTTCATTCTTTCTTTCTCCCACTACAATTGAACTCTCCTCCCTCATTACTCCACTGAAACCACCCATGTGGAAGTCACCAATGACTTCCTAATTACCAAATGAAAAGAACCTTCTCTCTCTTTCGTTGTAGGTATTAGAGATGTGGGAGTTTTGGCCTGAGACTAGACATTTTCATTACTGACTTGAGACTATTATGGAGAAATTGGACATCTTAATTACTGAATTGAGATCATTATTTACAGTTAAAAGGCTCAAAAAACTTGAGCCAACTGGAGTAGTCATACAAAGCCAAGAATAGTGAGAAGGTAGGAGAATCTTGTTTATTTTGTTTACACTGATGAAGTGACAGACACAGAGGGATTAAGAAATTTCCCAATATCCTATATCAGGTAAGTAGCAGATCTTGACTTTGAAGTCAGAGAGCTATGCTCCTTCTTGCTTAACCTCTCATTAAATTGCTATTCATAGTCTCTTATGATGTTACTTTTTCAATAATATGCTTCAGAGGCTCTCCCAATAAGTATATACTGATCACAGTATTTAAGAGATGAACTATATTTTATTGTGTTAATATGCTGTAATGGATTTTACCATAACAGAAAAGTTATAATAAACTTTCCTGTATGTGTGTGTGTGTGTGTGTGTGTGTATATATATATATATATATATATATATAAAATTTTTGTGCATTTGTTGAAGTACCGTTTGCATGGTAAAATTTCTGGAAATGGAATTGCTAAGTCTCAAGGATCTGTGCTTTTTAAAAAGTGATGGATACTTTCAAAATGCCCTCCAGAGATGCTGTACCTTTTTTTTTCTGAAAGCAAACATTATCTTACTTGACCTTTCTGAGCTATTTGACTTTGTTGACTCCTTCATTCATCAATCTATTCATTTTCATGATACCGTTACCTTCCAGTTGATATCTAACTCTGCCTGATCTTTCTCCATCTTCTTTAGAGCATCCTCTCCCTTCATCTCCCCTTTAAACACTGGGTTTTCTCAGGCTCACTCCTTTTCTTTTCATCTATAAGTTCTTCCCAAGTGATTTCATCATACTTATTGTTCCAACTATAAGAGTTAAACTGCACTCCATATCGTCTTAGAAAATCTTAGCCTTTTCCTGTTGTTATGTAGTATTTTTGTACTTTTGGACCAATTAATTATGTTAATGGGGGAGAACTCAGTGATACTCTTCATACTAAGATGTTCAGATCCAGATCCAGAAAACTTTTCAGAGTTCACAGGAAGATGCTATGTGTCTTGAGACAAATAAAAATAGAAGCTTTCAAAGCCATAAAGAGAGCAAAGGTCACTCCTCTTCTGTCTCCGGGTGAATTTCACACTGCTTGAGATGGTCACAGGTTGTTGGAATCCAAAATCAGGTGAAGCCATTGGTATTGGAAAACAGACTATGGCTTTTGAATTATTATGTTGATATGATGGCATTTGTAACTAATGAGGCATTGGGAAATGTGTTAATGGGAAAAGGGATTTTTGTGACTTGTATAATCTATGGGAAAATGTAACCTTGGAGACTGGACTAGAGACATCTATAACTTTGCTTCCATAACACCAGTAGGCACCATGAAAGGTGAAAACTCTGTGATCCAGTTCAGCATCAAACTTTTTCATATATTCTAAGACCCCAAAGAGTCATGAGTACCAATATACAGATTTTAATGCCAGTAATAATGAAGTGGTCAGAATTATTGGAAGGCGGAGGAGGTACATTGGGAGATGAAGAATATCACTGTAAATATATGAGGAAAGACTAGATAATATAGCAGGAGAGTTTTAGAGGGAAGAGAGGAAAAAAATAGGCTTGTCTGGAAGAATGATAGCCAGATGATTATGAAAGAAGCTATAAAACCTAAGCAAGAAGCATGAAATATTTGAATACATGAAGAATGTTCTGTGTTCCTGGAAGAGTAAATATTGTAAACGTGTCACTTCTTTCCAAAGTTTGTCATAACTTTGATGCAAAACTAAGTTAGACATTTGTGTGTGTGCCTGTTTGTGTGTGTGTGTTTCTTTTTCTCGAGTTTTGTAATAGTCTAATGAGAAATAATAGTAGAGGAATGGAAGATATACAAGAGTTATTTAAGAGATAGATTTATATCAATGATTGGTTATTGATTAGGTGTATGGGCTATGGGAGGAAATTTAGGGTAACGCACACCCTTCTGTCTTGAGAGATTGGTTGGATCATTGTGGCATTCACTGTCACAGACCAAACAGGAGCAGGATCATGTTTAAAGAAGAAGGCAATGAAATCAGCTTTTGACATTTGAAATCAAACTGTTTATGGAATGTGTAAGGAAAGATTTTTTTCAATAGCTTTGGGATAAGATCTAAAGTCAAGAAGATAGGTCTGGGCTAAGTTTATTGATTTGGACATTAGCATATAAAAATAGACATGCCAAGAAAAATAAAATTAATTATCATGTTTAATACTTACTGAATACCAGGGACCAGGCTCAACTGCTATAGGTATTATTTCATTTAAACCTTTTAACTATTATTGTTAGACCCATCTTACAGATGAGAAAATTAAACCTTAAGTTATTAAGTGACTTACCCAATGCACAGAGTTAGCAAGAGGAAGAACCTGGATATAAATCTAGGCACTCCAAATCTAAAGTCAGTGTGTTTCACAAGATAGTGCAGGACAATGGTGAGGTACAATAGAATCCAATATTGGAGGTTTTTTTTTTTTTTTTTTAGATGGAGTCTGGCTCTGTTGCCCAGGCTAGAGTGCAGTGGCGTGATCTCAACTCACTGCAACCTCTACCTCCCGGGTCCAAGTGATTCCTGCCTCAGCCTCCTGAGTAGCTGGGATTACAGGCATGCGTCATCACGCCCGGATAATTTTTGTATTTTTAGTAGAGACAGGATTTCACCATGTTGGCCAGACTGGTCTCCCACTCCTGACCTCAAGTGATCTTCCTGCCTGGGCCTCCCAAAGGGCTGGAATTACAAGCGTGAGCCACTGCACCTTGCCCAATATTAGATTTTTAATAATTAAAGTAGATGTGATTCCAGACTTGACAGATGTAGAAAGAAATTCAGAGCAGTTTCAATTCTAACTGAAGGCTCTTTCAAAAAGATCTAACTTACATTAAACTGAAATGATTTTCCTGGTAACTTCCACCCAATGCCTACCTTGAAATCCCTGCAATCAACAGAGCAAGACCAAAGTCTCCTTACATAGTCAGTTATTTGAAACCAGTAAGTAATGAGTTTCCATATTCCTGCCTCCAGTAATGACTCCCCTGTTACCTCAGCATCGTCTATCCTTTATTTAAACATCCTCACTTCTTCAGATAGTCTCTTACATGGTCACCTTGAACTGCCCTCACATGTGCCAGCTCCTGTTTGAGTATTTATCTTGCACTATCATGACAGAAGCAGACACATTATGCATCAAGAGTGATGATCCTGCTCCCTAAGTGATAATTCCACCAGTATATGTTCAAGTCCTCCTAACTTATGGGATATTACAGCAAATATTTCCACCTGGGTCTCAGGAAAATGTCTCCTGCTCCTCTCAGTGTCAGGCATTCTCTTGGCTCTTTCATGCAATAACAGGATGGGGCATAGTGAGGAAGAGGACAGAGGAATTAGTAGCTTATTGTCTCTTCTAGCCTTTCTTGGGAGAGGCATTTGGCATCTCCATCACTCCAGAATTCTAAGGCATTCCTGCAGAAAAGATCTTTAGCCTTAGGTACCTCATGCAAATTCAGTGTTGGTTATAACTCAGCTTTTCTGTTTGTAGATGACCAAGTGTATAAGACTGAATGCTTTCTTAATAGAATATGAAGTGGTGTCTTATAACATTAATATTACATTATATAGTACTCACAAGCCACACCATGAACCTGAGGACCCTCTTTTCTGAAGATCCAAAAGCTTTCTTCTCCATTGCCACCACAAGCAATTCACCCATGGAACTTCTTTGTAACCCCCATATCCTCCTTGAAGTGAAGATTTTTGTGACACTCACCTCATCCCATCTCTCACTGAATCTTGAAGATTATCAGATTTGTCTAATTTCTTCTCACTTATTATAAACTCTGTGAGGGCAGGGGCTATGGATAACTTACCTTTAAATGCCCTACATCATCTAAAGCATTCATAAATGTTTTCTTAAAGAATTGCAGTCTACCATTGATCACTTTCCTGGGGGGAGGGACTATTTTTCACCTGCTAACTATGCCAGTCTTTGATCCCTACTTTCTTATCTGTAATTGGGAATAAAATAGTAGCTTCTTCACAGGATCATTAGTAGGATATAATCAAATAATGAATGGTACATAATAAATCTTGCCTATAGTCACCATTTAGTAAGTCCTGTCATTTATACCATTTTTCCAACTGTATTAAAGGACGTGCTGTTCTGAATTGTAATATTTATTCACTTCTCTCTCTAGCTGGCTGGTATGTTCAATATCGGGGCCTGGATCTTACTTACTTTTGAACATGGCACAAATGTTTGTTGGATGCAAAGCTACCTCACACCAAGCCTTTGCTTCATCACATTCATTCCCTTACTTTAGTAGTGTGTGCTGGCATGAAGTTCAGAGGCAAGAGTTTGCTGACACTCCTCTGCTGGGACCCCGATGTAGCTCTGGTTTCAGCAGACTTCTTACCACTCTCTTCCTCTCCATCTTTTGTCCTCAGCAGACCACCTGTCTCATTAAAGACCAGAGCTTTGGGAAACTCACTTTTTTCTATCCTGATTTATTTAAACAGAAGCCTCCTTGAGACAAAAACGTATCTAAATGTTTTATAGCATTTCTGAATTTCTGTTTCTCTTAATTGAAGTTCCATGTGTAATGTGTAGATAAACATTTTTTCCCTAGAAAAATGAAAATGCTGACCAGCTGTGAATCTTTGATATATGAAAGGCTCTGATCTGCCCTGTGTATTGTACCCATCATCAATAGGTTTGCAGGGCAATTTAACCATTCTATTTCCTCCCGTCCCATTCCAATCTCCTTTCATTTCATATTTCACAAAAACTGGAAACATAAGCAGAACATTGACCTATAATCCAGCTACTCAATTTCTACAGAGCGGCAAAAGCCTCAAGAGAATGCAAACATACTTTGACTCCATATGCTTTAATGTTGAGCAGCCTGCTTGGGGTTGTCCAATGGCACAAATAATCCTTAATCTCCTTCGAGCCAAGAGTTAAATGTTTCTCTTATCCTGAGTGATTTACTAGAGAACAGAGCAGAAAATAAACGTAATGGGCTACACCATCTATTTCTTAAGCAAAAAAAATACTAAGTCACAGAGAAAAGAAATATTCAGAAGAAAGGGCCCAGATCTGGAGAGATGGAGCTCACCAGAAGAAAGAACATCAGGAATGAAAGCCAGAAGATCTGGGTGTGACTCTTGGCTTTGTCTTGTCATTCTGTGACCATGAGCAATTCAAAATCTCTCTAAACCTCTTTATCCTCATCTGTAAAATGATGACCAAACTGTACTTTGTTTTTTTTTGTTTGTTTTTTTTTTTTTTCATGGAGTGGTTGTGAGAATTAAACATATGTGCAAGTGCTTGTAAATAGCAGGAAACTATGCAAATGTTACTCTTAATTTCTATCAGGGGGCCTTTTCATCCACCCATGCAAATGTTTCATTAGCCTGTGCTCAAGTATTCTGAATGGCATTCTGCCAGTTCATTTCCATTCACTAAAACAATCAACATTCCAGTAGAATATTGATCTGGGCCTCAGAGTAGAAAGCAAGACTAATTTATTCATGACTTAGTAACAGAGACAAAGAAAAGATGTGTTACCTTAGGTCAATTTTCATTATGTACAAGAAAGACAAAGGAACCGTACAGACACCATTAACAACAAACCTCACAGCACAAAACCTCTGCATGGAAAGAAACCCAGTCCTGCTAGAGAGAGGACTGTTGTTTCACATGGCATGCATCGACAGGTTGGAATCATGATGCATTCAGTTCCAATTTATCATCAGTAGCAAATAAACTCTTCCATGTGTATAACCAGTCCAATCTTTCTGAAGTATTCAGAAATATATCCAACATCTGTTCACTTCTCTGAAAAGACATCCATTCGATTCACTTGAGCCATGGAAACAAAAATCACCATATAAAACATAGGTCTGCTTGCTAAAAAGGCTACTCAGTATATTAAAAATGTGAATCAGCAAAACAATATAATACACTGAAATTTTAGAAAAACTTTATCATACGAAGAGTATAGCCAAATGTAGTGGAAGAGAAATATAAGTTAAATATAGTAGCAGGGAGGAAAGAAAAATACTCTGGGCTAGATGTCATAAATCTAATATTCTGCAACTATGTTTGGGATCATGAAAAGTCTCTTGACTCTACTCTGTCCCATTTCCTTAATTGTGAAAGAGTATAGTTGAATTTAAACAATCTGGACCATAATGGAAACAGAGAGATCACAGTTCAAATCTCCATCCTAGCACTCACTAACGAAGTCACCTTAGGAAAAAATCTCTAAATAATTAGAACCCTGGTATCTTCATCTGTTAAAGGGACATAAGATTATCTCTCTCAAAAAATTGTAATAGGGAGTGGAAAAAAATGCATTTAAAATACCTGGAGCACAGTAGGTATTTGAACTATTTTAATTCTCTACCCCCCAACAAGTTTATATTTCTGTTTATTGTGTTAGGATCAGTTCAAACTAATAGTTTTGTTTGTAATAATTGCTATTTATTGAGCACCAACTCTGTGCCAGGTGTTATCTTTATCCTTAACCTTAACAACGATTCTTTAAGTAGTCATTATTGTCCCCATTTACCATATGACAAAACTGAAGGCCAGAAGGATTAAGAATCTTTCCTAGGATCACACAGCTAGTAAAGCCTAAAGCAGATATTAAAACCTGATATGACTGTTTTAATGTGCTAATCCATCTCCCAACAGACCTGTAATAACAATGATAATCATAGTAATAATAAAAATAAACCTATTTTAATCTAATGGCCAAAAAGTTCACAACAGTGATCCTTTAGAGCACTGCAGCTTACTGAACTCAACTAAAAATGTGTGAGATAATCAAGCAATGGCAAACAGGGGCTTTGATGGAATGACTACAGACAGAAATGCTGTAAGGAGCCATAGAAAAGAGCAAAGAGCCATAGCCATGGGACTGGCAAGCCTGCCTCCCTGCCCCTAGAACATTCTTTTTATGAGACCAGCTCTATGGCCTACACATTGGACCAGAAGTCCTCAACCCTTTTGACACCAGGAAACAGTTTTGTGGAAGACATATTTTTTTCACGAATGAGAAGGGTGGGGAGACAGATTCAGGATGAAACTGTTCCACCTCAGATCATCAGGCATTAGATTCTCATAAGAAGTACACAACCTAGATCCCTCACATGCACAGTTCACAATAGGTTTCCTGCTCCTATGAGAATCTAATGCCGTTGTTAATCTGACAGGAAGTAGAGCTCAGGCAGTAATACTCAGTCACCTGCTGCTCTCCTCCTGCTGTGTGTCTTAATTCTTAACAGGCTACAGGCCAGTACCATTAGGCCACACTCAACTGCAGGATCTGCTTCCAATACTGCTCGCAGTCAAAATTTAATATAGTTGTTTATTGTCTAGCATTGCAGCAAAGGCTGCTAATTAACCTCCAATAAACGGTCATTCCTTTTTCCTTAGAGGACTGCCCCACACCCTCCTCTCGACCTTTTTAGTTGGGCATATAACCATATATAATAAAGATGACATTTCTCTGCCTTCTTGGAAGCTTTGGTATAGCAATCTGACTTATTTCTGGACAATGTAATTTAAGTAAACATGTGCTGTGTAGGAACAATTCCAAAATGGGGAATACAGTGGGTGGCTTATTTACTGCTGCTTCTTTCTCCCTTCTTCCTTCCTTCTTACTTTCTATAGGATAAAATGTATACACGATGATTTAATTTTGAAATGCCATCTTGGATGGGAGATGAACTATTTATGTTGAGGGTAATTTGAGTGACCAGATAGAAGGATCGTGGGTCCCTGATTATCATGGAACTACCAACCTTGATCAGAATCCTTCTTTCTAGGTTCATTTAAGTGAGTGATATAGATGAAATGTTTGTATCCCTGCCAAATTTCATATGTTGAAATCTAACCCCTAGTGTGATGGCGTTAGAAGGTGGGGCGTTTGAGCAGTGATTAGGTCATGAGGCTGGAATTCTCGTGAATGGGATTTATGCCCTTATAAAAGAAACTGTAGAGGGCTCCTGATATGGTTTGAATGCTTGTCCCCTCTAAATCTCATGTTGAAATGTGATCCCCAATGCTAAAGGTAGGGTCTGGTGGGAGGTGTTACAGTCATGGAGGCAGATTCCTCATGAATGATTTGGTGATCTCCCCATGGTAATGAGTTAGTTCTCACTCTATTAGTTCATACAAGAGTTGGTTGTTTAAAAGAGTCGGCACTTCCTCACCTCTCTCTTGCTCTCTCTCTGGCCATGTGACACACCCACTCCTCTTTTGCCTTCCACCACGATTAAAAGCTTTCTAAGCCCTCACCATAGGCCAGCACATGCTGGTGCCATGTTTGTACAGCCTGCTGAACTATAAGCCAAGTAACCCTCTTTTATTTATAAATTATCCAGCCTCAGATATTCCTTTATAGCAATGCACACTGGACTAACACAGCTCCCTAACCTCTTCCAGCATGTGAGATTACATCAAGAAGATGGCCATCTATGAATCAGGAACTGAGCCCTCACTAAACATCAAATCTGTTGGCGCCTTGATCTTGGAATTCCAAGCTCCCATAACTGTGAGAAATAAATTTCTGTGGTTTATAAGCCACTTAGTCTATAGTATTCTGTTATCACAGCCTGAATAAGCTAAGACAATGAGAAAGGAACTTCTTTCTTTTTACTTCAAGTATTCTGTCACTCACAGACAAATTTAATTCTAACTGACAAAAATATCAAGTCCAACTTGTAGGTAGCCTCAATCTAATTGTGTATCTTCTGGGTGGAGCTTTGTATTTTTTTTCAACACTTTTTAAAATTTGAAGTCCTGTCTGTCCCTGGACCCTCTCTCTAAAGTGTGGGCTCTCTATTCTGCCCCTCAATTCCCACTAGGTCTGCTATAATGCCTTTTCAAGACTCCTTTCAGTTTGCTCTAGGTCTAGACTGGAATGTCATCCTCTTAATATATCTCTTGACTACCAATAAACTTCTGGATCCAAAATCTCTTGATGTTTTCCAGATATCTAGAGATGCTAGAAGCTCTACTATCTCTTTGGGGCATGACAGTGCTTTTATGATTATCTGGAGCAAGAAACAAAACTTACATGCAGATATCACAGATCCTAAGAATAAAAAGGGTGAAATCAAGTAAGTTACTGAATGACTATCCTTCACTCTTTTTCCAAATTTCTCACCCTGGGAATTATCATTTGGATGTTGATTTTCAATAATGTCTCTATAAGATGCTAAACCAACTATGAGGTATATGAGGGCCCACAGTTCATATAAGACCACCCTCCTTTCTGATATCAATTGCAAGTTTGGGGGATTCCCAAGGTTACCTTCAACTTTTATCATTCACTAGAAAGACTCACAGAACTCAGTGAAAGCTGTTATATTCACGACTACAGTTTATTAAAGGAAAAAAATAGACATTAAAATCAGCCAAAGAAAGGTGTCCATTGGGCAAGGTCCAGAAGAGGTGCCAAACATGGGGCTTCTGTCTTCTACTCATGGAGTCATGAGCACATTACTCTCCTGGCATTGATGTCTGACAACATGCACAAAATATTACCAACCAGGAAAGCTCACTTGAGCCTTAGTGCTCAGAGTTTTTACTGGGGCTCCATCACATACTGTTCATAAGGCTGAAATTTAGTCTCCAGTCCATCTGGAGACAGAATTGATACCACATGATCCAAAACCCCCATTAAAAATCACAGTGTTAGACGATCCAATGGCAAAAACCCCAGGCAAACAAAGGCATTCCTACCAGGCATCATATTCTAAGAATCCAAAGATTACCTCCCAGGAACTGAGTGTAAAGGTCAGACTTCTGTTAGGATAATGTTAAATTCTTCATTACACAGCATTCCTCTTAACTCCCAGGATCCTGGATTTGACATTGACAATTCCGATATTTCACTGGGTACCCTGACACTTCATTTGCTCTGGCAAAACATGTGCTGTACTATGGTTTGTGCTATTTTTGGTATCTGCATCACCATAATGGTGTGTCTTATCTCTATAACCTTCTGAGGACTGGTCTGATACCTCTTTTAAGGAAGTAAATATGATGGGCAGACCAACCTGACCCAGAGTAGAAATGCTAGAATCTGAGGCAGGGCAGTAGAGAGATGCTTTTGTCCAGGCCTAAAGAAAATAACCCTCAGTTTGAACTAGACTATGATGGAACATGCTGTAAAAGAAGGAAAATCTACATCCCACACCAGCCTTTGATTTACGCATTTTCATATGAAAGCCATTTCATCAGCAGTGTTGAATATGAAGAGATATATAAATATACACATTGACCCAAGCAATAGGAAGTACACTGCAAATGCAGATCTCACTCCTTCTGACAAAGGCAAGGTGACTAAGTGGGCCTATTTCTTTCTGTGACTTCCTGAATCTATGATTTAAATGAAATTGATGCCACAAAATGTTTCATCGCATGTTATAAATAAACTCTCTGGCCTGAAGGACTCAACTTCAAGTTGTACATTTTTATAAAGAATACATTACAGTTTAATGTGGGAGTGGGAGGATCTAATTCAATTCAAGCAGTGATGATTAATTAAAGTTAGTGTGCAAAATTTGTTTATGATCTACAGATATAAAATAAAATTTTATGACTTTGTTACCATATACGCCCCCTCTCTCCAGGTAAAGTCACCTGCAATTTCTTCATACAGAAAAAAATGCCAAGGCATAATGCTTATTTGTAATCATGCCTTTGCAGGTAGTTTTGTTTTGTTTTGTTTTGTTTTAACTGCATGGTCTAGAGATGTTGTGAGATGGTTTCTTGGCTTAAGGGCACTTGAATAAAAATGAAGGCTGAAAGCATCAGAAGTATTTGCCTTGTAGAATGGATTACAAAGTCTCAAATGTAGCAATATAATGTAGCTGAGAACCAGGTTATCTATCTGGGTTCTATCTCTGTATATCATCGTGGGGACCCATTTTATCCTCTGAACAACAGCTTCCTCAATTATAAAGTTGAAATAGACCTAATGCTCACATCTTCAGGGATTATAAATATGATATGTTTGTAAAGTGCATCTTAAAACTATAGAGTGACATGAGAATGTTAATTGCTATTATGTGTACTTTTCAGTGAAAATTTATCATCACTTAATAATTCACTATGGACCAAGAGCTGAAGTACAAGCCAGGGATATAAGAGCAACTAAGACATGATCTGTCTCTTTGAGTTCCTCACAATTCAGTATATTTGTGTCTGTAAGTCAGGTGGGGGAAATGGTGTTGAGGGAGGGAGATTCAGAGATTCAGAGAGACTGAGAGAGATGTCCCTCATTCACTTTCCAGAATATAGAAATAACTTGGCAGGACTTAGCAAAGTCCTTGATCATTAAAGATGTTCAATATAAATGTTTATATATTGACCACGTAATGCAGATCCAGAGACAACTCATCTCAAGTTTCCTTAAAGAAGCACAAGACATACTGAATTAACGGTAACAAGACAGGGAGTAAAATCTCACCTGGACAAAATGCATCTGCCCCTCCCCCATGCATGTTTTAGCTTTAATTTTTTTCTCTGTAATTTCTCTAGTTTAGAAAGGGTCAGCTTGTACTAGGGAACCACAAATGGAAACACATGTGACATGATAATATGGAAGTAGAGGGCCAGCTCCTCTCACATCATCCTGGTTTCCATAACCATTCATTCAGATGTCAGTATCAGATCATCAGTACTTAGAGTCAGTTTCTTTGTAAATCTTTTTTTTTTTTTTTTTTTTGAGATGGAGTTTCACTCTTGTTGCCCAGGCTGGAGTGCAATGGTACAATCTCTGCCTCCCAGGTTCAAATGATTCTCCTGCCTCAGCCTCCCAAGTAGCTGGGATTATAGGCACATGCCACCATGCCCAGCTAATGTTGTATTTTTACTAGAGATGGATTTCTCCATGTTGGTCAGGCTGGTCTCGAACTCCCGACCTCAGGTGATCGGCCCACCTCAGCCTCCTAAAGTCCTGGGATTACAGTCATGAACCACTGTGCCTGGCCATAAATCTCTTTTTAAAAGCAGTCATGGCCCAGACATGGTGGCTCATGCCTATAATCCCAGAACTTTGGGAGGCCAAGGAGGGCAGATCCCCACCTGAGGTTGGGAGTTCGAGACCAGTCCAGCCAACATGGTGAAACTCTGTCTCTACTAAAAATAGAAAAATCAGTCAGGCATGGTGGCATGCACCTGTAATCCCAGCTACTAGGGAGGCTGAGACAGGAGAATCGCTTGAACCTGGGAGGCGGAGGTTGTGGTGAACTGAGATTAAGCCACTGCACTCCAGCCTGGTCAATAGAGCAAGACTCTGTCACAAAAAAAAAAAAAAAAAAAAAGGCAGTCACTTCTGAGTTTGAAGGTCCTGATTAGATCCTTCCAGTCAGGGATTAAACCGGAGAACTGAGAAAAGGTGGAGCTATAAGTCTAGTTTTATTGTTAACAAATTGGGGCATTTTCTGAGCCAGCCTACTCAGTTATAATTAAGCCCTGAGAGGAAAAGCCCTACCAGGTTACAGGGTAACATCACCCTCTTCCAATTTCCTAGCCAACAAGACCACTTTAAGACATAAATACTTTCCTCTGTTTATTACCGGAAAATACATTTTCCTTAGTATGTCCTTCTCCCATTCTTTACCTTCTTCACCATTTTGAAGATCACCTCAGATATTAACTATTCAACTTATTCTGTATTACATTTTCTCCATACAGAAAAACATACCAAGATATAATGCTTATTTGTAATTATGCCTTTACAGGTTATATATATATATATATATATTTTTTTTTCATATATTCTGCATGGTCTAGCAATGTTGTGAGATAGACTCTTGGCTTGAGGGCACTCACCACCATCTCTTTCTCCCTCCCTTCCCTGACCCAAGGCTGGATCAAAGATTGCTGTCCTGGGCTCCAAGAGTGAACTCTGGTGGTTATCTCAAACAAATTAGAATCTATTCTAACAGTCTATTGACAGGATATCCTAAAAGGCAGGTACCTTTTCTTATGAATCTGTGCGTCTCCAGAGTAGACACAGAGCACAGCAAATATTTGTTGAAAAATGCATGAATGAATAGGGCAGGAACACAGGATATTTATTTACTGTATCTCTTATTCTTTCTATCCCTAGAGTGACTCTAGTTTCTTTAGGACTGTCTTAATTTATGACTATTTACTTGGCACACTTATATATTACCTTTCACTTTCAAAAAATAAATGGGTTTGGATGACAAATTATATAGTCCAACACTATTCATACCTGAACCTGTTTGTAGGCCCCTTATATCTGGACCCTGAGGTTCTGTCATCCTTATATCCAAGTTCCCATATCTAATTCTTAATCATGGGCTGACACTGGACGACGATCTTTTACTTCAGCCAATTCCACTCCTGCTATTTTCCCTCTCTTCCCCTACTCAATTCAAAGGGCCTTGCAAATGTCTTGTCTCCAGATCTGGTGCCCAGGCAGGCAAGCCATGACTAAAGGACACCTGTTTTGAAATCCTAGGCCTCTTTGGACTAGAATTCCTGACAACCAAAATTCAGCTTTTTAATCTCAAAGTAAAGTTACAGGCAGAACAACAACGACTATTTTATACCTTAAGAGGCTTCCTTCTGAATGAAGCAAAGTGGCAGGCACATTTCCATGAAATATAGTCTTAACATTTTTCAAATGATCTTTTTTGCTCTATGGATAAACTAATGAAAAATAATCATAATTCAATGTTAAATATTAGCTGTGAATGACATTTGTGTACATATCGTTCCCTTTTTAAAAAGTTTCAAATTCTAAGCCTCCTCCTTGGCTCTCAAAAAACAAAACAAAACAAAACAAAACAAAAAGCCTGAAATAATTTGTCCACTAAAATTACAAATTATATTTCAAATGACTTAATTACAAAGTCATGGAATATAATGAAAATGACAACTGACTCTAAGTTAGTAACTACACTTATAATTAACAGAAGACTTTGACAAATGTTTATAGTGCTTTGAAACAGGAGGTCAGGACATCAATTACAGAGGTAACATAAACTCATTTTTCCTATTTATAATTCAAATCCAAATTACCACATATTGTAACATGTGGCAAAAGCCCCAGCTTTTCAAACTTATGCCTGGAGGTCAGGTAATTGTCTCATAGAAGGAAAAAGCAGAAAACCAAGCAGGACAGATGGGAAGTAGGGCACTGTGGGCCAAAAAGCTTCAAATATATTCAAAAAATTGTATTGATTTTCAGAGATGCTCTGGCTGTGTGTTCCCCTAGCCAGCTTTATTTTCTATCATACTTCTCTCCTTTCCTTACCAGCACCCTGTACAAAATAATATGAAGATGCTGATATCTGATGATTGTGGTAGATTGTATTTCTGTTTATGATTGTTAACACCCCTCCATTGTCCTTTCCCTTAGGAAATTATACATTCCTGCCTCATTGATTTGGAGTTTGGCCACGGTATATGCTTTGGTCAGTGGAATATGAGTAGGTATGACATATTTTTTTTTTCGTGAAAGTAGGAGAAGTACCATGAGTTTCTGCCACTAATCTTGCTTTTATGTGCTGCCATGAGAATCTTAGCTGGAGATTCTTCTATAGAATGGGAAGGCAAGGAAGCAGAGCTGGCCCTTACCTAGAGACAAGCTATAGTGGTAACACAAACCTGTAAGTAACATGAGCAAAAAAATAAAGATTTGTAAGTGCTGAAATTTTAAGTATGTTTGTTATCACAGCTGACCAACACATTGATAATGATGATATATAATAGTATTGATGGAGCTTTACAATGTGTCACACACTGTCTTAAGTGCTATATATGTGTTAAATTATTTAATCCCATTTTACAGATGAGGGAATGGAAGCAAAGAAAGTCAAATAATTTGCACAATATTACATAGTCAGCAGCCAAGCCAGATTTGGAACTTAGACTCTGGCTTCAGAGGCTAAGATCTTACGCTATACCACCTATCTATCTATCAGTAGTATTTCCAAATATTCATATATTCAAATCTCTTTCATATCTCCATGCCTTTCCACATGCTAATCCTTCTGGAATTCCCCTTCAGTCCTTTCTCACTTAGAAAACTCCTATTCATCCTCCATGACCCATCTCAGAGAGTCAATTTCTGTGAGTCTAATTGCTTCTCATTCACCCCACCCCACTTCTTGAAGACGGTTGCTTCTTTCTTCTATAAGGGCATAACATTTTATAGTTTTGTTGTAACAGTGTTATTACTTTCTGTTGTGCTTGTCTTCCTTTCTAGATGTTGAACTCTTCCAGGGTGAGGAAAATATTTCACTTATTTTTAAATTTCTAGAGTCAATGTGCTTGATACCTAGTCAATGATCAGAAAAAGTGTGATGAGTGACTATTAGAGTTCTAGTGACCCATTCAATTTGTTCCTTAAACCCAAGTAAAAGAAGATGTGGGAATAGGTAAGCATTCTCTTAGTCTACAGTTTTATTTTGTAACTGAGTTCACATTATAAACTATAAAATAGGGAGTTAGCACATTACATCGCCTTCACCTGTAGAACAATTTCTCTAGCATGTGTTGCCCTCCCCTCCCCTATAGGCATCACTAGGAATTCGGCTAACACATAGGTCTCCAAATCCATTTCTTCCCTTTCACATTTATTTGCTGCTCAGCCAGATTTTTGGTCAAGCATTATCCTGGGTGTTTCTGTAAGGGTGTTTGGGGATGAGATTAACATTGAAATTAAATCAGTAGACTGAGTAAAGCAGATTGCCCTCCACAATATGGGTGACTCTCATCCAATCAGTTAAAGACCTGAATAGAACAAACAACTGACTCTTCTCAAAGTAAAAGAGAATTCTCCTATCTAATAGCCTTCGAACTGGAACATCAGCTCTTGTTACTACTACAGCAGCTTCTGGTCTTTGGACTGGAACTGAGACATTGATTCTGTAGATTTTAGACTTGACAGCCTCTCTTTAATCATGAATTCCAATTCATTATAATAAATCTCTTTATGTATATATCTATATATGTATATGTCTATATATGTATATGTATATACACACCCCATATTGGTTCTGTTTCTCTGGAGAAGTCTGACACTTACAGGAATCAAGTATTTAGGGACCCTCTCCTCATCAGCAAAACAATTTGATATCAAAAAAGTACTCACCAAACAACTAGCTCCATATGCAATTGGATGTGTGTATACACATATATTTGTACATATAAGTATATATGTGTATAATTACATAAACACATTTTTACAAATATATATTTATATTTAAATAAAATCACACACTCAGAAATTTTTTTGAGGTAATTATAATTATCCCTATTTCATGGCTGAAGAAATAAAGCTTAGAAAGGTTTACCTAAGGACAGATAACCAAGAAACACAAAACTGGAATCAAAATGGGATCCAAATCCAAATTTACATGACACCCAAGATCTAAGCTGCTAACCACTAAAATGCACTACTGAATATCAGCTTCATTTCATGGTAGAGAAAATTTATGTGTTGTCCTATCTACATATCCCTCTTTTTTAACCCAGTTTTGCCTGAATTTTGTTTTATATATTAGTCTATCTTGTATGACTTATTTATTGATGAGAATGCCACAATTTAAAATATCCGTTATGTGAGTGTTAGTTATTATTATTCTTAATACTGAATACTTCATGTTCTTATTTCCAATTTATGAGACGACTTAAACAGAATATACAAATGTATTTCTAAATTCTAACACCATTCGCACCGGGCAGGTAAGTAAGCAACTTAATAGAAACATTAGACCATCAAGATATTTCCACACAGTGAAGAAAGCTAATGCATGTCTTGTGAGAGACAAAATACCATTATTATGGATATACAAACATGGCTAATATTCAAATATAGATAATATAATCACAAATATTAAAAATACACTAAAGGTAAAATATGAATTCATGTATCATTCTTAGACAAAGTCTTTAAAATAAAAAAATTGAGAGGAAATATGAGAGGATAGAACATTGATTCAAGTTTTTTTTTGTTTTTGTTTTTTGTTTTTTGTTTTTTTTTTTTTTTTGAGTCATAGTCCTGCTCTGTAGCCCAGGCTGGAGTACAGTGGTGCGACCTCAGCTCACTGCAACCTCCGCCTCCTGGGTTCAAGCAATTCTCCTGCCTCTGCTTCCTGAGTAGCTGGAAATACAGGCACCCACCACCACGCCTAGCTAATTTTTTTGTATTTTTAGTAGAGATGGGTTTTCACCATGTTGGCCAGGCTGGTTTTGAACTCCTGACCTCGAGTGATCCGCCCACCTCATTCCCCCAAAGTGCTGGGATTACAAGTGTAAGCCACCACACCTGGCCAGATTAAAGAGATTTTTAGTAACTAGGTTCCATTGCAAAAATTTATCCTTGTGTCCCCACCCAAAAAGTTAACTCTGGTGGACAGAGCACAGACTAAAAAATCAAAATACTTGAGTCATTATTCTGGATATATTATTTAATAATTGAGCAACTTTTGAGGGTAATCTTTAGATCTCAAAAGGCAGACTAGAAATAATAAGGACTCTGAGTGAGACAGATCTCAGTGTGAGCCCAGCTCTGTGACACACCTGCTATATGAGAGTATAAAAGTTAACCACTTTGAGTATGAAGTGCCAGATAAAGATAGTAACGCCCATTTCGAATGAAGTGCTTTCTAGAGTGCCCAACAGAGGGTACCCTTGATAAATATTTGTGCCCCTATCTCCAGACCCTATTTTCCTCACCCAAAGTTCCTTTCTGAGTCTATACTTCTATAATGCCATGATCTGTACCCTACATTCTAGGGTGACTCTACTAAAAAAGTTGCTGAATGGATTCTTCTGACTATTTCTATCCCATAGTGTGTTTGTAGCTTTTGTTTCTTCTTTAAGCAATTGAGTTTAAAGATAGGTTTTGTCAAATGTTCTCTGCATTCCAAATGTATCTTTGAATTATCAAATAGAAGGTAACCAGCTTCCCAAATACCATTTCTGTGAAGAGAATTGCTGTGATCAGAATGCCTCGTTCACTGAATGCCCTTTCTGATAAAACTAAATTGAAACGGTTTAAGTACTCATTATGGGTTTACTGAGCTCTGCAGTTGATTCCTTCAAGCTACATCTATTGAACGCTTGGATGGCATAAAAATCAGCATTCTAAGAAAAAACACAAACACTTTCAAAACATTCCTTCATCCCTCGTGGTTTCTAGCGTGTCTTTCTAGAGCAATAATATTTTATCGCTGACTCTGAGTCAAGTCACCATTTCCCCTTAGTAATAATTTTTATCCTCTTCTTTCCTTCTGCATTTCCACATCCAATTGTTGAAAAATTTGAAAATATTTTTACATTCAATTTTTAAATTAATGTGTCATTTTCATGCGAAGAAGACACAAAACACTGTGCAAAAACAAACCATTATCATTTATCCAAAAAATATTTGAGCATCCACAATGTGCCAGGCACTGTTCTAGGTACCAGCAACAGAAAAAAATAAGCAAACAAAATAGACAATATTCCTTGTTCTAACAGGTGTATCTTCAAATTGGGGGAGTATATAGTATATCTGGTCTTGAGAAATGTGATGGGGAAAAATAACACAGGATATGGGACAGGAAGTTAGGGTGGCCAGGGAAGGGCTCATAGAGAAGATGACACTAGAGGTAAGACCTAAGTGAGGCAAAGGGCAAGCATGTGCTTGGTGGTTGGGGGGAATAAAAGGGGAGTTGGGGTCTGGCACTTCAAACCAGGGAAACAAGGGTAAAGATCCTCATGTAGAACCATCAGTATGCTTGGTGTATTTGAGAAATGGCAAGGAAGCTGAAACAAGGGGGAGTATGGCTAGAGACAAGGATGGAAGTGTCCAGATACTAAGGAAAACATTTACCAGTCACAAAGACTAACTTCATATGCCAAAGTAGGACAATGGCAAGCATTGGCTGTGCTCTCCAAATACCAGACTGTCTATATTTTGTTAACTTAAATTGATTTCCAAAGTGAACGCACTACTATCACCTCTGGTGTTCTACTCATCATATATTTACTTATTTACTAATGCATTCATAAACTCCTTCACTTCTTTTGACAAAGTGTTAGCATCTATGGTGTAAGATATTAGATAGGTACGGAAGAACAATATGCTTTCAAATAACACAGTAAAGATTCACCAAACCCCTTTTTCCCCCTACTAAACACACACTTTGACCACATTTCACAGCCTATCCTGTAGTCATTTAGGGTCACCTGACAATATTTTGATCAAATGGCCACCTGACAATATTTTGATCAAATGGACTGTCAGAAGAAGTGATACACTTCATTTTTAGGCTTGGACTCCTAAGTACCTCCTTGGAGATCCTCCATGACCTCTCCTTTCCTTTGCATGCTGGCAGAGAATTGGTGGAGGATTCTGAAACCCTGGGAACTCGAAGAAAGAGTAGCATTGAACTGACAAAGAAAGGTAAGACAAGAGCCTTCCTTGAAGAGAGACCAGCACATACAAAGGCACTGAGGTGCAACTAAACAGGACCTGTTGTAGAAAGAACCAGAAGAAGTTCTTTGGACTGGAGAATAAGGCGAATGGGCATGATGGCAAAATGTATACATAAGGACTGGATTTCAGAGGTCCTGCACGCCATCCAAAGAAATGAAGACTTCCTCTTGAATGAGATATAAAGAGAAATAACATGGCTCAGGTCAATTCCAACCTTCCTCTTGATCGCATTTACACCATTCTGAGCCTTCCCTGTCTTCTTCACCACTCACTGTATTTCTCATTAACAAAATGTCCATATTCTCAGAGAGGTTTGTGAACTCTCAGAGGGCAGGCTCTCTCTCTCTCCTTCAAATTTGTTTTTCAGAACATGAAGTGGGCATTCAAACTATTTTTTCATATTTAAAGCAACAAAGCACTCTAGTTATACATGATTTTGATGTAAATCATGAGGAAAAAGAGTAACTTCAGTGATATGTTGCCTCTGCCCAGGGCTGCGGGAGATCAAAGAGCAGGGCGCTTATGATGGGATGCTAGTGTGTCCACCAGAGGCTACAGAACACACAAGTGGTGTCGATTTCACAACAGGCTCACCACAATGTTCAATTCTGTGTCTATTGCCTCTGGTGGCATAATATAATAATTCAAACAACAATACAAACCACTATTGATTGAACATGTGTTGTTTTACATAAATTGTCACTAATCACAATACATCTCCATTTACAGATGAGGAAACAGCTTCCAAGAGTTTAATGTCACACAATGACTGAGTGGGTAGAGCCAAGATTTGAACTTAGTCCTGTCTGATTCAAAGCCCCTGTTCTTTCCATCATATCGCTCCCACCCCTAATATTGCTGTGGACTCATAGTCCAAAGCACCATTTGTTTTGACACTTGTATTTTATCTTAAAAATTCCTATGAACAAAGTATTCTTATTAACATCAGAGTAGATACCTTTTTGTACTTATTAGTTTCATGTTTTGAATTAATTACCATAAGAAAAAAAATTACAAATTTACAACCTCTTGCAGCAGCAAGTATTTAAAAACATAGTGCATACCCTGTGGGGTAAGAAGACAAGGGTTACATCCGGCAGCCTTGTCACCCTCTTTCCACACTTCTGGGATTTACCGAGTACAATAATTTTTTTTTTTTTTTTGAGACAAAGTCTCACTCTGTCACCCAGATTGGAGTGCAGTGGTGAGATCACAGCTCACTGCAGCCTGCCTTGACCTCCCTTGCTCAATCAATCCTCCTATCTCAGCCTTCTGAGTAGCTGTGACTATAGGTACATGCCACCATGCCCGGCTTATTTTTTTAAATTTTTTTTGTAGAGACAGGGTCTCACTGTGTTGCCTAAACCAGTCTTGAACTCCTGGGCTCAGGCAGTCATCTCATCTAGGCCTACCAAAGTGCTGGAATTACAAGTGTGAGCCATTGTACCTGGCCTTACAGTACTACTCTTGACCCCAGAGCAGCAGTTCCTCTGAAGACTTTACAACTCTATAAATGTCCTACAGCTGGAAGAGCAAGATGACAGTAGGGGGAGGAGATTAGTTGTACAGCCTTCTGCTCTGGGAACCTGCTGTAAAATAAACACTGCTGAAAATTCCTGTTCCTGTTAAACAGAATGACTTCCGTGTTGGCTATTGCCCATGTGCATGTGCTCTCAGCAGAGAAAAAGAGACAAAATAAAAAGTGACTTGTGCAGAAAATTCTGGAATAATTAGAAATTCTTTTGCAGGAAGTCTGGCAAGTTTCGCCACTTTTAATGACTGGTATGGACTTCTCTTGGTTTAATCTTGGCTTCTGAAAATTCGTCTGAGTCAGTCACTACTCAGAACAGACTGAAAAGTGATTATGGGAACTAAGTAAAGGACAGCTGGCTCCCAGTAAATTTGTGAAACGAGATTTTTTGGTTTTGAGGTTTTTGTTTTGTTTTGTCTTCCTCTTGTATTTGCATTTCTGTGTTCCCTGGATGGAAGGCAAGCTTCAGAGGCAGAGACTTAAGACTATATAAGTATCTAGCTCTGTGAGCTTGGACAAGTCTATCAGTTATCCAGAACCTCATTTGAACAGTCCTCATTTTTAAGCAAACATTTATTGTGCACTAATTGTATTCTAGACCTGGCTCCAAATGTTGGTGATATAATGGAACAAATCATAGTTCCAACCTTAAGTAAACTCATGGAAACATAACTAATAGTGTAAAAAATGCTTTAGTAAGACTAAACGGAGGATGCTAGTCACCCAAAGTGGGTGTCTAGTCTATTTCTGTCCTTCAGAAGAACAGAAAGCTTCTTCAAGAGAGATCCAACTCTGCCTAAACCTAAATGATGAGTTGGAATGAGTCACATGACATATCTATGTATTGAGAAGGTAGGGTACGTAGAAGCATATCTCAGGCAAAGAGAACATCAAATGACACAGGTACAGAGACAGAGAGAGCGATCTGGTAGATAAATTTAAAATAAAGCATATACAGAAAGTCTAGAAACCTAACATATTTTTAATAGAGAAGTTGTCTTAAGCAAGCCTCAGCCTTACAATAAGTTTAAGTCTAATATTCACTCATTTCCATCCATCCATTCATTGTACTAGAAACTATTCCAGCTGCTAGCATTATAAACATGAAGAAGTCATAAAATAGGTAAGTGAAAATTGATAGACAGGACTTCTAGAAAAGCGCCTTAAAATGGAGACAGACACCTGAGGCACTCCTTTTGCCTTTCCCTCTCATTCTTCCCTGTTACCAGGAATACAGCTCTGATAGTTAAAGTTTTAGCAGCTCTCTTGGGCCATGACGTGATCCTGGTGTATTAGTCTGTTCTTGCACTACTATGAAGAAATACCTAAGACTTGGTAATTTATAAACAAAAAAAAGGCTTAATTGGCTCAGGGTTCCACAGGCTATGCAGGAAGCATGGCAGCATCAGCATCTGGGAAGGCCTCAGGGAGCTTTTACTCATGGCAGAAAGCAAAGCAGGAACAGTTATGTTACATGGAAAGAGCAGGACACGGTGTGTTGGGGGGTAGGTGCCATACACTTTCAAATAACCAGACTTAACGAGAACTCACTCACTGTCATAAAAATAGCACCAAGGGGGAAATTGACCCCCATGACCCACTCACCTCCCACCAGGCCCCACCTCCAACATTAGGATTACAATTTGACATGACATTTGGGCAGGGACACAGATCCAAACCGTATCACCTGGACATGGAATGCACAAGCTAGGATAATAGACAGGGAGGAAGAAGGAGCCTGACAATCATGGAGCTGCCTTCCTCTAAATGTATTTTACATAAGAGAGAAATAAATATTGCTAGGCTGCTATTATTTGAGGTTTAAATTATATGCAACAGAATCCACTTTCCAACCAATTTAGAGCGGTAGCATGGTGTAGATTAAGAAAGATTATAGACTTTGGATACAGACCTGAATTTGAATCCTGGCTTTGTCAAAAATAAGCTGTTTCCTCCTACCAAAATGAGACTGATATACAGAGGGTGGGTAAGGGGCTTATAAATATTATAAATAAGTGCCTACCATATAGCATATGTGTGATATTATTATCTGGATTATTTGGATTAGGTGGAAAGTTAAAAACAAGTCTACAAACAAAACATCCAAAAGCCCTAGAATCTAAAAAAAAAAAAAAAATTAAAATAAATAAATAAATAAATCACTAATGTAGTGAAGACTGTGACAAAAATAAGAATTTTCCATGGAAGAATTAGAAGAAAATTTGAACCAAGATGATAAAAAATTAATGAATTAGGTACATTTCAAATTAAATGTATCTCCTTAACATCAGAGTCTGCAAGATATTTAAAAGGATAACTTATAGGGACTTCCTCATCTATTATCCTATACCTGTCAACTACTCAAAGTCATGCTACCTGCAACTTACAACAACTCAGCACTTCAGCACAGGGACAGCAAACAAATGCAAATGCTGGCTTGCTGTCTTCTGAATAGGAGTAACAGCTTTCATATGCTTTCAGACTTAATTAACTTTGGCCTTAGGCCCAGACCCTGAATCATCAGTTTATAAGAGGTGCAGAATAATGGCACAAAACTCACATAATGTAGGGGTAACTCTTAGAAAAACTTTTCTAGAACTGAAAGACAAAAATAGAATTGGGCACAGTAGTGAAAGCAACATAGTGATGAGTGTCCTTCTAAATTTGTCCATCTTTCTGAATTATTTTTCATGAAGACAACTATGCATTCATGTTGCTACTGTATTCAACAGTAAATTCTACTAAGAAAATATGTGTGACTCCAGGTTGATGTTTAATTGGTAATAGCTCCTCACACAGTCTACTTGATTAAAAATCTCAAATCCAATATGTCACCAAGAGAAGACTTTTTACTTCCTTGAGTAGTCATCATCATTGTGATACTACATGAATGAGCAGAGTATAATTAATTAAATAAGTATTTATTGAGCCTTACTAAGTAACAGGCACTGTGGTAGTTTATCCTGGCTTCTAAATTAGTGATCCTCTATCCTGCTAACTGGAGACTCATATACTTCTTCAATCTCCCATTCAAACCTTAGCTCCTTATTAACTTATAGAACTGAATATCTCTGGACAATATTTTACACAAAACAAAACTGAACTTCAATCATCATGGCCTCTATTGACCACTGTGACATGTTCTGTCACTTTAGTTGAGTATACAAGATTATTAGGAATAATACAAATTTATTTATAACCTCTCATTGACCTCCTTTTAGTTTTTGACTATAGGTACAATAGTCAGGAGTTAAGCAGCATGACCATAATATGTGATGTATGTGTCCATAAATATGTACTTACTACTTTTGCGTGTGTTCACACGCATATATGTCTGTTCATGTCTTCACCTTCCTTACATGGGCTCATCTTTAATCTCTAAAATCTATTACTTCAGCCTCCATCTCACCAAGTCTTCCCATTTGTTAATGACTTTTTCCCACAAGACAGTTGAAATTAATTTTCCTGTCACCGACTTTGTATTGTGGGAAAATCCTGGATTTATGGAGTTTCCCTAACAGAGAACTTTTCATTGACTCCTATTCCATAAACCTAGTATACAGCATCTGCCTCTCTTTCTTTATTTGCATCAAGTTGCAACTGCAGGCCTGAAATAAACCTGGCAAGCCAGGTAGGGAATCTGCCATCCAGTCCAACCCTGCGGCCCCCTCTATCCAGAGTGTTGATTCTGCTGTCTTGATTTTCAGCACCTGTTTGGATTCTTGTTCTTAACAGAACATCTATGGGTTCCACTGCTTTAACAAAACTCATCATGGAAATAGCCTCTTCAGATAAAAACCTAAAATAAATTAGGAAAGAGAAATCATAAATACAGCAGTGGCTCTAAGAAGCAGAGCCGCTTCTCTCCTGGGAAGTTGCCATTACTGTTAGGGAATAATGTCAGAGGCTCTGGGAAGGCTCTCCATGCAAAAACCTTTCTCAGGGATTCGAAGATATTTTTAACAAATAAGATGAAGTATAAAATTTCACAAGTGGAATTCAGCCTTAAAACTCCAGAGAAACTGAGATTGCTTGTTACAGCTCATAAACCCTAGTGGCTCCTGGGCTATGTTTTGTTTGCTCTAGTTTACCTCCACCCAGTGAATGCATTTTCTGGTTCACATAGCACTCGTTGCCTGACACATGTTCACAATGCTTATTTCTAGCAACTGCCTACACCCTAGTTGAAATTCACTAGATAACTGACATTAGACGGGACGGTATTTTAGCCTTCCTTTTTGGTAGCTATGCAATCCTAGCCCATTGTCTCACTTCTCATCCCTTTTACACCGAGGAGGACTGAATTACTAGGTTCTGGATGATGGCCATTTGTCCAGGTTTCCCAACTGAGAGTAATTAATTGCCAAAGGATTTATGCACAGGGACTCTGGCCTCTTTCTCCTCCCTTGTCCACTTAAATCAGTAGGAGGTAGTTTCCTGGATATGTGTGCCTCCTCTGGGTACCCATACTGGCCCTTGAGTGGGTTTTTTCTCTATCCAGATAGAGTAATAGCTACATAGCAGAAAGGCAGTAGATCTACTTGAATCTCATATAAGAGCTACATATTCCAGTCTAGTCTGACCTTTACTAGTAACAAGGGTGGTACTATCATTCTCCTGCTGACTTGCTTCTCAACTGATACAGTTTCCAGAATAAATATGAGAGCTATTTATTAAGCATAACAAATAATATATATATGAGCTTTACCAAGGAGAATAATTTGATGATGGGTTGGCTGTTTGTGTATAAGAAAAGAAGACCATCCTGGATGTGGAGAATACTTCAGATAGAAAGTCTGGAAACCGGAAGGAAAACATTAACATTATAATTAGTCAGTTCTTTCTTTTTCCCCTTTACTTTGGCTTTTAAGAGAACCTATGTTTCCAATGATTTTAAAAATAAAAGTTCTTAAGAAATGTCTGTATGGGTAAGAAAATTGAAACCCAGAAAGGTTAGATGTCTTTCCAAAGATCATATGGCACAGCTATGATTGGGATCTGAGGTCCTTTATCACACACCCTTTAATCAACATCTACTAATAAAGGGAAAGTAAGAAAAACACCAATGGTAACAACATTTAAAGTGGTTTATACATATAGAGCAGTTCTGCCAGACATTCTTCTAGGTGCCTTGAAATATTAACTAATTCATAAAATACTTTATGTGAAGCAACGTGTACCTGATTCTGTACTACCTGTGGCAAATACAGGCATAAACAACAGAAGTGGCTCTTGTCTTTACATTCTAGTAGAGGTGACAGCCATCAATATAATATATTGATTAGCAAATCATTACTTAATTATACTGTAATATGTGCTCAAAGAAATATAGACTTTCATGACAGATTGTAATAAAAGGCCTGATACTTGAAGTGTAGGAGTAAATTAGGATGGGGGAAAAGCAGGAAAAGATGTTCCAGGCAGATGGAACAAGTGAGAAAAGCCTGCAGCAGAAAAGGGCCTTTTCAAAAGCGTGGGGCATCATTGGTGACTGGAGATAACAATGGAGAGGTGGGACTGGGACAGATCATGAAGGGCCCTAGAGGTCATAAAAAGAATTTGGGGTTTTATCCCAAGAGTAACAGACATCCATTGAAAGAGATATGTGAATAATTTGACAATACAAAGAAGAAAAATGTAGGTGCGTGACTAAATTTTCGGGGATGGAAATCAACAATCTTGGTTACGGCATTCATTAAAGTAGATTGTATGAAGGTGGGACAATGAATCTGCCTAACTTCCTTTTGATTCGTATCAGTCATTCCGGGCATCCCCAAGATAAGTGCATTTCAGGATATTCCAGTAGCTTCACTTATACCTGTTTATGAGAGAAGTTTAAACTTCATAGTCTGGAAACTTCCTGCTGATTATAAAGGATTTTGAGAGTTATTACCTAAATCCTGTGGCTGCTTGTAAATCAGTGAAGACATCATTATAAGAAATAGTAGGAAAAAAACCATATTTCTCTAGTGACCATACTGGAACAAAAATCTCTTATTACCTAGAAATGAGAACTACTTACAAATCCTTCCTTATAAGAATAGCCCTGCACAGAATCATTCTAACTTGACACAGATCATATTTTTACAAAACACTATATCAGTTCAACCACTAAAAATGTTGCTGAGTATAGTGGCTTATGCCTGGAATCCTAGCAGTTTGGGAGGTTGAGCTGGGAAGATCACTTGAGGCCAAGAGCTAGAGACCAGCTTGATCAGCATAGCTGACCTCTGCAAAAAAAGAAATAATAATAATAATAAAAATTAGCTGGGTGCAGTAGCATGCACTCATAGTTCTAGCTATTCAGTAGGCTTAGGCAGGAGGATTTAGTGCAGGAGTTTTCCATTGCAGTGAACTATGACAGCCCTACTGCACTCCAACTTGGGAGAAAGAGTGAGACTCTGTCTCAAAAATAATAGTATTGTCTACTAACTCAAAATGCATGAGTAAATTGCATATAGAACAATATTAATCTAATATTCATACAAAGCAAAATTCTTCAGAGACTGAAGGAAGTCCAAGTCTGCAGAATGCCATTAAGTATCAAGGCAATTAATGAGTTTCAAAAGCTCACTTGTAAAAAATTGCGTCCCTGAAGATTCATTAAAAGACTCTATGGAAAAGCAGCTTCTCTCACCCAATCACTTCTTCCTCCACCTACAACCAGATGGTGAGAGCTAACCTAGGCCTCCATAGCTGCTTTTCTCTTCCTTTCTCTCAGACTATGGACAATGCCATCTGTTCCCAAGGTTTTGTGAATCATATGTAAACTAATGACACACACTTCTTTTCTGTTTAGCCTTAACTTTTTTCACTGGATGTTTTGCTTATCATCAAAAGCAACAGCAGTCCATCTGTTTTCAGTCTAATACACCCTTGAGTTAACACAGGGTTAGCACACCAGGGAGACAACATACGGATCTCATTCCGCCATTAAGGAAGTAGTATATGGAGGTGAATAAGAGCATGGAATTTGGGGTCAAACAGATCTGAATTTACAGTCAAGTCCTGCCACTTAACTGTAATGTAAGTTTTGACAAATTCTTTCATTCTAGGAGCTTCATTGTCTATACTGATGAATGAGGCTAGGAACAATCTCACATAACTATATGAAGCTTAACTAAGATCACTCACTTGAAAAGATGCCTGGCACATAATGATCACTGAAAAGTTTGTAGCTTCTATCAACATCATCGCTCAACAGCTAGCCAGCTTCTCATTTGTAAATATATATTTATACCCTGATTAAATATATTGTATGTGTGGTAGAAGAAGGTAGTATAGTGGAATGTCTTTTGAACTAGAAATGAACAGAAATTGAGTCTAGTTCCTTTTCCTGTCCTCATAGCCATGTGACTTAGGTAATTTATTTAAATTTCTAAATCTCAGATTTTTAATTTGTGATATAGCAGTAATACTTATTGCATAAGTTTGGAGTGTTAAACAAGATAATGTATGGCTATGTAAATTATGATTCTACATAAAAAAGTTCCTAGTTGAGTCAGCATTTAGGATAAGTAACATTTATTCTCATAGAAATTTTGTTACAAATGGCTGTTAAGTTCAAGTGACAACCCACAGCAATGTATTCACCTTAAGCATAGCTTAAACACAATGTATTTGAAATAAAAAATAATACAAAATAACAGCAATGACTCCAATAATAGTTGCTAAATAAAAGACAAAAAAAACAATGTGGCTGTACAAAAAATATTTTGTCTCAGGTGCTGATGCTGGAGAAAATATAATAATAGATATCTGCAGAATATAATGATTGATGTCTGCAAAGAAAATATAATGAAATATTTCACGTTTCAATGGAAACATGAAAGTTCGATGTCAATATATAGAGATTTTCAGGAATGTTTGCAAATGATGACAGATTCCAGTTGAGGTTTTACAAAAATGTTTGGACAGTTGCTTTTTCTTTCTCAAAGTTTTTTAGGGTTCAAAATGAAAGGGAGAGCTACATTAAGATTTTCCTGAGATAATGAATGAAAATAAAATAAACCAAGAAAGAAATAAGAGGGCAAGAAAGAATATGGATTTTCATGTGAAGGAGGGTTACTTCAGGAAGAATCTCAAGAGTTATGATCAGGGATACAGGATTAGGAGATAAAGAAGAAAGAAAAAATAAGTTGCCTATAATAGTTACCATTTATTGAGAGTTTACTATATGTCAAAGTCTGTTCTAAACGCTTCGTATATATTAAAGTCATTTAGTCTTCACACTTCGTCTATGAACTAGTGCGATTGTGAGCCTTATTTTATAGATTAAGAAACTGAGATGCAGTTATAAATATAGTAAGTTGTAGAACCAGGATTGGAATTCAGGCAGTCTGGATCCAGACCCCAGACTCTTATGAAAAAGAATAAATATTGGGTTTGGGACAATTTATTCATGTAACAGTATTTAATATCAGAGAGTATATACAGATGACTATTACAGCCACACTTTCTGTATTATTGGAGCTTACAATTTAGCTCTCGTACTGAGCCAACAGGTAGTGCTCTTCATGAGCATAGTTTGGTCATCCAGTAATACTAGGTTATCAGGTTTCCAAATAAGCAATGTTAGAGCCATTTCCAACTCTTCACTTCTTTATACATGATAGTGACATCTTTCAGTGTCCCTTAGTCTCTCTCTCTTCCAGCATATGGTCTTTGCCTCTGTTCAAACCATAGTCAACCTCCTTCCTCCTCCTCAACAGACTTCTTCTAGGCAGAACACTCCAATCATCTTCAAAGCTGTTTCTTGAAGCTGTTTTCACCAGTTATGTCTATCCCTTTTACCCTGTCACAATTCTGCTTCTTGCTGAACAAAAATCTAGGCTACAAAAAGAGTATGACAATTTGCCTATTGCACCAGTATCAGTATGAAGATAAGGGCCATCCCTCTTAAGGGCAATTATTGCCCCTTGGACTAACCAACACCCTGCCTCCTCACTTCCTCATAATTCCAAGGTGAATCTACCTATCCTTACATGCTGGTCCTCTCAGAAAGGATACTATTCTATTATTCAAACTAATCTTGAAATCCAGGAAATCATTTCTACTGGGGTGTGAGAGCTTGGCATTTCTTCACTTAAAACCTTTCCCAAATATTTGTCTAAAAATTTAGCTAATCTGATGGGCTTGAAATAAACTTTTGCTTTGCAGCCAGACATATTTAGATTCAAATTTTTGCTCTTCTGCTTCCTAGCTGAGTGTCTTTGGACAAAGGTAGCCTCTCCATAGAGCAGAAGCAAATACCATAGCTTGTACTGCTGGTTTGAGAATAAAAGGAAATGTTAACACTGTCTTTGCATGTATTGTTGTCTTTTCAGGTCAGTTGTCTTCTAGCAGTTTTATACATAATTCTTAGTTACTAACTTTTTAAATGCTAGAACCCAAGTTGAGTACACAGAGAAAAGTAGATTCTTTCACCTTCTAATCAATGCTTTGGATATATAACAGTATTTCCCTCATTAATTTACTCAACAAACATTTATCAAGCATCAACTATGTGCCAGGCATTAGTCAGGACACTGGGATGCAGTGGCCAACAAGATCCATAAATATCTATTAGAACAGCACTGCATATCAAATTATATGACTTCATTGAAATGAGTTCTTTTCTATTTATTTCACACAGTTGCTAAACCTCTATTTTCTTTAAATGTAAAAGTCAATTTGAGAAATGTATTCAATAATCATATAGGAAAGCAGTGACTTACTGTCCTGAGGACCACTTCAAACTAATCATTTCTCTTCACAATCCTTCCTTCCCCTGATATGGGGGTATAAGTGTTACCAAAGAATATGTGCCCATCTCTGTGCTAAGTGATTTATCTTATTTCATTTTTATTTCTCTGTAAAGTAGACAATTTAAAGATGGACAACCTGAAGTTCAAAAAGCTTAGGTACTTGAAGAAGGCCACAAATCTACTAACCCAGATCAATCTAGCTGGTTGAGGCACTGTTGGTTTGTAATTTCAAATGTGTAATATACATTAGGAAGTGGGGGGTACCGGTTTCAGTATTTGAACATGCAGCTTTATGCTCACAATGTGTGGTTCCAAGGTCTCTTAATGGCAGAATAAAACTTCAGAACACAGAGAAGAGAACATGCTGGCTCTTCCAACCATCAGTTTTACATGCTTTCAATTAATGCTTGATCTCTGCAGGTGGGAATCTGCAGATGAGACAATCCATCTGCAGTCAGTAATCACTCCATTTCACTGTCTTGAACTCCTGGCTAGTAAGGGCAATTAAAGTCACGCCCCTGCTGAGATTCAGACTCAGTGATTGTTGCTGCTCACTTGCCAGAAAAAGCAAGAACCAATGTGGAAAAATTGAACCTTATTGAAAAAAAAAAAACAAACCCTCTTTTCTTTGCTGACTTTTAGGCCTGACTTTGATGCAGAACATTTAAGAAATATTGCTATTATAGTATCTGCTTCTAGTGAGGGCTTCAGGCTGCTTGTACTCATAGCAGAAGATGAAGGGGAGCTGGCATATACAGAGATCACATGGTGATAGAGGAAGCAAGATAGAAGGGAGGGAGGTGCCAGGCTCTTTTTAACAACCAGTTCTTATGGGAAGTAACAAAGTGAGAATCTACTTATCCGGCTACCCACCCCAGGGAAGACATATGTTTATTCAGGAGTGATCTACCTCCATTACCCAAACACCTCGCATTAAGCCCCACCTCCAACACTGGTAATCAAATTTCAACATGAGATTTGAAGGAGTCAAACAAACCAAATTATAGCACAGTCCCAACATAGTCACTGTCTGGCTATGTGATACTGAGTAACTCAGTGACCCTCTTTGAAAGCTGTAAGAACAATGAGGATAATGGTACCTGATCTACAGACTTCAGAGAACTGTTGTGAGGGTTAAATGAAATTATCATGGAAAAGAGCTTTGAAACACTACCACACAAAATGCAAAGGCAAGGAATATTTTGGTTCTCTCTCAACACAGGCTTTGTGTGGTAGCTGGCAAGGGAAGGGTCCTAAAGAGGTGCCATGGAGAGTGGGGAGCCTGGTGCTCCTCCACGGCTTTCCTCCTGTGGTTAGTACTAACAATCAGATGTGGTTGCTGAATAGAGCTGAAGGCTAACAGCTCTGGGTGAAGATCTTTCAAAGTTCTGCCACTGGAGGAAAAAGCCAACCTCCTTGACCCACAGGTCTCTCAGTCCCCATGACTAGGGCCTTGAGATGAGGCCCCAAAGACTCAGCCCCAGCTCAGTTTTAGGATTAATCTAATCTCACACAGAGGACTCTAGGAAGCCTTTACTCAGTGACTTGGTGGCACAGATGTCAAACCACCAGCTGCTCTATTGCCTCTATTGCTCTGATCTCACACCCTTCTTCTTGTAGGTCAGAGGAGTAGTGAGAAGAGGGTATGGGCTTCAGAATCCTATGAACATGGATTCCAATACTGGATCTATCACTGGTTTGGTTTTAAATAAACAGGCCAAATTTCTCAGCCTCAGTTTTCTCTTTATCACAATGCAGATATAAATAGCTACTGAAGACCAAATTAGTTTACAGAATTTGTGGTGGGGTCTCTGAGTATATTTGAGCAATGTTTATAATGACTTAAATATACTGGTCTGAATGATGAGTGTAAGTTATCCAAGAAAAGGGAAAGGAAGGGCATTTCTGGAAGAAGGAAGATTTTGTGAGCACAGGAAGCAGAAATGAGTCCTTATGGTATAGTGACTGAAAAGAAAGACATGTTAAATAATCAAGTTTAATATGTGTTGTGACCAACTAAGAGAATTCAAATGAATTTTAGGTTCTCCTTGGTTTTCTTAGCACTATCTCCATTCTCCAGACTTACTCTCCTATGCCTGTGGGTTGATGTTTCTTAAACAGAGATTCCCTGCCAGGTATTGCAGGTAATCTTGCCTGTATGTACCTGTAAATTCTTCACTGCTTTAGAAATAAGCATTGGGAGAAAAGCTTAACAATCATAGTCCAAATATTTGACTTCAACCTAAGAACTGCAAAACCAAGTACTATAAGTTTTCAGAAGAAACAACTGCCCTTGCCATAATAGTTGCTGAAAATACCAGCCTCCAAGAAACAGGGATTAACGAAAAGCCTCCTACACAAAGTTCATCAGCCTCCAAATGACACAACCACTGAAGGATTTTGAGACTCGCAGATGAGCACATGCAGCTGGTAGGAAATGGGCTGAAGTCGCAGCACCATGCCATTATCTGCAGGTGCACTGAAAGCACCAATTAAGCCTGGAGACAGGGTGTTTAGGTGGAAGGATGGGTTTTGAGAAGCAATTTCATTGTGAAACAAAGTTCCACAATGTCCTATTGCTGAATCCAGAAAAAAGGAAGAGGCCCTTAATGCAAATAAGAAAGCTCTTGACTTTGTTTTCCACAGTGCAAAACATCCCAGTTATAAATGTTGACTTATTTTTAGAGTCAGGTTTCAGAAAACATCTATACCAACAAAATCAGGAACAAAGCATCTTGAATTTACAAATTTCAAATAGAAAACATCTGATTTAGCTTGCATGAATGTAGTTTTTCAATCCCCTAAGCAATTTGTTTCATGTTGAGATTGCCTCATGAATAAAAAATGTCCTGGAAAAGTTGGTTTTGTTACATCTCAGATATTTAATCAGGCATCAGGCACAGGATAGATGCAATGTGTATTTATTTTCTACTTTGGCTACAATATCAAGGACTGAAAAAATGTATTGAAAGATCTGAAATGACAAGCTGAGTAGTAGGAGATAATTCCCCTGTGGCATTTAGAAGGTATATTTTTCCTTTTGTCTTTCCTTGAGTGCTAATTTTATTCTTGGTATCATCTGCACCCAGCTTGCTCCCCTTGCACCATCATCTCTGTGGCCCATGTCTTGACTTCCTTTATACAACTTTCTTTTTCTTGTTCACACTCCAGAAATTGAGTTTCTAAGCCTCTCCACTCCATTCACTAATACACAGGGTGTCCAGGGCCTGTTAAACAGTACGTCACAGAACATATTTGTTGATGGGCTACCTATGAAAGCAGCATCAACTCTATGGGTACCCTTCTCTAGAGTTCAGTTTGTATGTGGTGCACTGAAGGTAACCTGAACATGTGGGTCAGATCTGGTTTCAAATCCCAACTGAGTCACTTACAAAGCCATGTGACCTCTGACCAGATCCTTGAAGTACCTTCTCTGAGCCTACTTTCTCCTCTGTAAAGTGGGAATAACAATACCCACCTCTCAGAACTGTTGTAAAATTTCCATGAAACCAAATAAATAAATCACTATATGCAAGGCCTGGCATATAATCGTATTTTCTGTTTAATGTGAATTATTACTGCAATCTAATAACTCATGGTTACTTTTCTTGCTTCCACTTAACGTAATTATAATGTGTTCCCAGATACAGAATTAAGTGGAATACAGTGTTTGACTTTGAGAATTTCAGTGAATGATTCTAGAGGAAGAACATATAAGATTTTGACATTATTAAGGTGAGTAGCGCTCTTTTATTATTTGCAATTTATCTCTTTTTGATTCTTACTTAGACAGTATCTGTTTGCATTCTCACAACAACCTCTTAAGGGAATTACAAGCATCCAGGCATTCCTATTTAAGAGACACAGAAACTAAGTTCCAGAGAAAAGAAGTGAGTTGTCCAAGGTTACAGAGCTGGTTTGAAGCAGAGCCAGGGCTATAATTCCAGTTTTCTGACAACCTATCCACCATACCATCCAACTTCAGTTTTAGGAGCTCCAATATCCTGTGAGTTCCTAGAAAGCTGGCCTTTCCATATTTGTGTCCTCAATGCCTAGCCAAGTTCCTGGCACACAGGAAATAGTCAACAAATCTTTGATGAGTGAATAAGTGTTCTGCCTGGAAGCATTAATAAGAACCACAGTCAGTCCTAAATACAGAATCTAGACATGATCCCAGGATTATTGGGCAAGAAGTTCCACTGCCACTTCAGTAGTTTCACAGAGCAAGAGCAAGCTGAATCAGGTACAGCCTATCTCCCAGATCCAATAGGTAATCAATTCCTTCTAGTCTTCTCATACATATATTACCCATTCTTTTCCTGCAGCTCACTCCTGTTCTAATGAGCTTGAGCTAGAGATTTATTTATCTGCCAGAGGACTATTCCAAATATACGAGTCACAGCATGAGAACATCAGAAACATAGCAGAATTTCCAAAAATGAAAATATATTTCAAAGTAATATTTTGCTCTGTATTTTCTGTATCCTTTTTTTTTTTGAGACGGAGTCTCGCTCTGTCGCCCAGGCTGGAGTGCAGTGGCGCGATCTCGGCTCACTGCAAGCTCCGCCCCCTGGGTTCACGTCATTCTCCTGCCTCAGCCTCCCGAGCAGCTGGGACCACAGACTAATTTTTTGTATTTTTTAGTAGAGACGAGGTTTCACCGTATTAGCCAAGATGGTCTCGATCTCTTGACCTCGTGATCCGCCTGCCTCGGCCTTCCAAAGTCCTGGGATTACAGGCGTGAGCCACCGCGCCCGGCCTATTTTCTGTATTCTTTAGGCCAGCAGCAGTTCTGATGCTTCAAGCCTCTTCACTCATTTACAAGATCTAAAGCACTGAACAGAGATCTTCCTTTAAGAGCAGTACCTAGTGAGTCAATCGTTTTCATGAACAGGACATTTGGCTCGAGCCAGACAGCATATGGATAGGCACTCAGTCAACCTCCTGACTGTAGCTCTGCCTGCTTGCCTAAGGTCAGACATGAAATGCTGCCTGAGAGTGCAGTTCTCCATAAGAGGCTGTCAAATCCATGTCTCCTGAGGTAAAGGACTTTGTCCAAAGACCCAGCATGGTTCTTTCTGAATCATTTTTTAATACGCAACTTCCTTGTTAACATCAATTTATGGCATGCAGAAGGCAACCTTTCTACAATGCTTCGTGTCTGGAGATCTAAAATAACAAATTACCCAGAATCCAAACAACAACCTGGATTTGGTTTTGTTTCTCATATTTCAGGACTTCTAAACTAATCTGTTCTTATATTAAACACTACTCAATGACATCTCATGGTTCTCTCCAATCCCTAAAGTTACATGGTATTAAAATCCTGAAAAACTAAGTGATTAGGCAATTGAACTATATTTTATTTCACCTTGTAACCAAATTCTTTCAACTGGCCTTGAGGTTTTTTTTTTTTTTTTTTTTTTATGCTATACACCATGTAACATATAATAGCCTAAAAACATTCATCCATAAGAATTCTAACAGTCGATAGTGACTGCCTAACACTCATAAAGAAATCACACTCCTTACTTGCTTGCATTCAAGAAAGAGACTTGTGGTTGGGGGGTGGCGCAGAAAAAAAGAAGAAAGCCAAGGCATTTTTCTCCATGTTTCTGCTTCCTGTGATAATTCCAACAGCAGTGGCACCTCCTCCTTGGCTCCTACTCTGCTGAACAGGCCTGCAGTGGTTCCAGCTTCCTGTGGTTGATTCTGGCCCTAAGTTCCTTCCTTTAGTCCTTCAGTTTAGGAGTGGGCATGTTTTCCTGCTGTGGTTAATCTGTAGATTGCCTTGCCATCTTCTGTTTGTTTCTAGGCTCTTTCATGGATTATGCAACTTACTGTTTTATGATGTGCCTTTTATTTCAAATACTTAGAAGGACTTCTGTTTTCCTAGTTGGACCCTGTTACATGCTCTATTTCATTTTTCTTTGCCTTCCACAAAACACTGTGTGAAATATTAAATAAGAATCAGACATACTTGGTCCAAATTCTAACTACATCTGCTGGAATAAGTAACACTGCCTGGGACTCAGTCTTCAGTTTCCTCACCTGTAAAACATAACGACATAACTGATTTTACAGGGTTGTTGTGGAGATTAGATGAGAATATGAATGAGTATGAATCCTTAGTGCATAATGCCCAAAAAATCCTGGTTATTATTTCTCCAAACTCAGTTCTTTACAGCCTTGATAGAATACCTTAACTGTAGTCACCTAGCTTTCAACATATTTTCCCATGTAAAATTTTCTAATTCCTCCATGGGTACCTCAATTAGTATCATTTACTCTTATTAAAAACACCTGTCTTTCCTCCAGTCTATGCTATGAATTTATTTAAACCTACCTGCCTTCTTAAATAAACTCTATTTCACTCTTATGACTCATTTGCACAATAGCCTCCAGGTATTCAAAATGTACAAGGTCACCCTGCACTTCTGAAATATTTTTGAATGACTAACATCACCTTCTTTCCTACCTATCAGGTTTCATTTGAGTAAATTTCTTGAAGATCATAACTATAGTTACCATTAATTTTCTTCAAGTCATACATATACACATTAAATGTCAAAAAAAATGAAAAAAATGATGCTAGTTATTGAGTGAAACAAATATCTAATCAGGAAAATAGTGTTTGCTGCACTTTTCTTCCACTAATTGAAAACTAAGGATGGAGGGATTTCAGATGCAAATAAAATACCAGGTGGGTTCCACAGTACTGCATTTAAGTACTGAACTTCATAGAAGTAGCATTTGTCCCTGTCAGGTGCAACTGAACACCATGCCTTCAGATGTACTGTGTATATATGTGATAGCAGAGGAAGAGCAGAAAAACTCAGATGTGGTCCTCAGTTTTCAGATGACTTAGCTAAATAGAGACATCACTGAGCAGTAGGAAACAGCATGAGAACATGAAACATTATAAAGCATAGAAAAAATTTGTGTTGCAAAACCTATTTAGCACCATAAACATGAGAAGAGCCTAATATAAAGGCCTCTTGACATAGCAGAAAATAGCTATTGGTAGTCTCTTGAACTTCACCATACAGCAGTGTTAGGTCTCACCACTGCCCACAACTCTTACAGCCAAAGTATATATAAAATAAATCACTGTATTAAAATTAGGAAAAAGAAAGTAGATCTCAATAAATGTATTTTCTTGTAAAGAGTGGTTAGCTTTTAGAAGGCTTGGCATCAAAGGTATGTGATTCAGTTATGAAAAAAATACACTTACATGTAAAAATTTCATTCCTTTCATTCACTGATTTACATAGGTATTGAGCCCTTGCTCCCTTCCAAGTACTGCTTTAGGCATTGGAGATATGAAGATAAATAAAACACAGTTCTTGCCCTTAAGAAGAGAAGCACTGAGCTAAAGTAGCAAATGTTAAATAAATATTGTGGGGAAGTGTCAAGGTGTATACTATACACTTAAAATTTAATAAGCATAAATCTGGCTCTCTCTGCCTATAATGTGCATCCTACTCCATTTCACTTGGAAAAAGGCCCTCAGACAAGATCAGCTCAAATATGACCCTTCCAATCTCCACTGTCTGTGTCTGTACATCTCTACAGTGTACTCACTGCACACTTCTAGGAGTCTCTCTCACCTCTACCCTGTTCCTGGTGGAGGACTATGAAATCCTCAAAAGCAAAAGTGACAGTTTATTTTCTCTGAACAACTTCTGCATATACTTAGTTAGCTACACAGAAATCAACTGATCCTGAATTTGAATTACCCAGCCTTTAGAATGTGGGAGAGGCCTTCCTTCACAGTGCTGTTAAGCAGACTGGAGACTATCTACGTAAAACGCTAGCACAGTTGCTGACATGTAGCAGTCGCTCAGCCAAATGGAAGCTTTTATTATTACCTGTTTTTTCAACATTCAAAAACGTAAATAACTATGAAATGAGAAATTGGCTATACAGTTTTATCTCAAGAAAATCTGTATATTGTTCTTAACTTCCTAATATGTATAAAATCATCATTTTGTGACATTTACTAGTATTTCTGGAGGTAAAATGCCTAATGTCTTGTTTTTTTAACCATTCTACTTAAGTGGGACCAACATTCAGAATGGAATGTAATAAAGCAAGACTCTATTTGGATACTTTGAATGTATTAATGAATGTTTCTATTGAGAAACAATTAAGTTTCAAAAAAAAAATAGCACATAAGATGTACTGTACAATCATCCCTCCTCCTCAATAGAATATTTAACTTTAGCAGCTAGTGAGCCAGGGATAATGAGGTGATGACTCACTTTACTGGTGTGAAAGATAAGAATGAATAAATTTATAAGTATTTATTATGCATTTAAATAGTTAACTACTTCAGTTTGAGCACTATTGACATCATCTTTCTTGTAATTAATTCTGTTTTACCCATTGTCCTACTTTTACTATAGAAGTTAAAAAGAGGTTTGACAATTCTCCAGGTACAATCAGTTATACGTCATTTTGCTCATCATTAAAGCCAAAAGAGTATAAAGCAGGGAACTAGGTGTCCAAAATTTTGGTACTACCATATTGGTCAATAGGAAATAGCAGAAATAAATAGCTAAGTTAACGCACACACACAGACACACACACACACAAACATGCATGCAGACCATGCACATAATTAAGATAAAGAGAAGAAAAAGAGACAAAAAAGTTCAAATTTGAATAGAGCCATGTGAATAATTAATAGTCAAAAAATATTTTGTGGATTAAGTGTATGTAAAAATGCTACAACATGGGTGAACCTGGAGGACATTATGCTAAGTAAAATAACCCAGGCAGAGAAAAGCAAGTACTGTATGATCTCACTTATATGTGGGATCTAAAAAAGTTGACACAACAGAGAATAGAAAGGTAGTTACCAGAGGCTGAGGTGGTCGGGATGGGGTTGGGGGTAGGGGGAAAAAGAGATGGGAAAAGGAGAGATATTGATCAAAGGGTACAAAGTTTTGGTTAGACTGGAGTAATCAGTTTTAGATATTTATTGCACTACATGGTAGTCATAATTAACAATACTACATATATATATTTCAAAATTGCAAAAATAACATTCTTACCACAAAAAAGATAAGCTGGTGAGATGATGGATGGATATGTTATTTAACATATAACATGGAACTTAATTCTACAATGTATACGTAGATCAAAATATCACATTGTACTTCACAAATATACACAATTATTTGTCAATCGGAATAAATTGTATTTAAAAATACTTAGATTGGAAAAAAAAAAGAAAAAGAAAAGTCACTATGGCCATCCCTCCATCCCTTATCCCTTCTCTCATTGAAAACAATGTAGAGCGTGGGAAAGAAATTAAAAAATTTTAATTCCTTTTAAAGAAAAGAATTTTCCCCAAGATATATGTATCACTTAATGGCAGCTATTTATTGAGTAATTATTACGTGTCAGCCACAGTGGTAACAGATACTTAATATTCATCATCTCATTTAATCCTTATACTAATTATGTGAGTTAGGTGTTATCATCACAACAATATTCATTTAAGGAAGCTGTGTTTCAGAGAGTTTACATGATTTACTCCAAATCACATACTTAATAACAGGCAGAAGTGGTAATTCCAACCTAGGTTTATCTGATTCCAAAGACTTTGCATTTAACCACTGTACTCAGTGGCAATCAAAATAAATGGAATTGATAAGTGCCAGTGTAATTGTGGCATATATGATATTTTGATTCTTTGCCTCCATATAAGAATTCTTATAACATTGACATAAAGAAATGGCTCTCTACTGTAAGACAAAATGTTATTAATGGTCCACAGAACAGTTTATCATATCTATGTTCTTTTTAACATAAGGTTTTGCCCTTTCATCTTTAACATTTTTTCAAGTGTATAAATTTTAGTCATCTCATTTGGGTCCAGCTCAAATGCCACTTCCTTTTTTAAGGTCTCCATGATATTCTCCAGTTGAAAGTAATTTCTGCAAATTTTGAACTTCCATGCTTTTATAATACAACTTACTATCTTTAATTATTTTTAGTAGGAACATATCATCTCCTCCACTAGGCTTCAAGCTTCCGGAGGTAGTGATCTATACCTAAATTATGTCTGTGTCTTCTCTGTGTTGAGAAAACATTTGTACGTGTTTAGAACAGGCAACGACTTAGACAAGATATACATTATTTTACTGGCTAAAATTCTACGTTAAACTACCTATGAAAATATGAATATGTTAAATAAATGAAAAATCAGTAGAAAAAAATTTTAGTAACTTAAAAAAACTATGTTAAAGCATTTTATATACACTTATACACATCAGTTGGTAACTACCAATCATTCTTACATATTCATTAAAGTAGGCCTTTGGGTATCAGTATTCATCCAAAACCATCATTTTTCTCACATAAAATAATTTAGAAATAGAAAAATAATCTATTCTATATTGTTATTAATTCAGTTTAGCTTTTTTTTTTCTGGCTCAACTATAATGGCAACCCACACCATTAGAATTACATGTATATACGTGTTACTTTTAGATGTACAGCACTCTAGTTCTTACAAGTTTGATTTGGGTAGTTATTACTAATGGTCAACACTGATTGAAATAGTTACCATTTTTAAAAATGCAATCAACTTAGCATGGCATGCAAAAATCATTCAATACTTTACTCTTGCCTTCCTTTCCAGACTCATTTCCCATACCTTCCTCCTTCCCTGGTATTCTATAATACTAGCAAAGCAAATTCCTAACATTCCCTGAACATGCCATTCTCCACATTTCTGCCTTTCAGCTCCTTTTGTTAGCTTCCTCTCTCCACATTCAGTACTTTTTATAGACTTCTATTAGTACTTATTGCATGTTTTTCTCCACCACCAGACCAGAAAATTTTCTTTTAGCCTCAGTGATTAGCATCATGTTCAGCACGCAGCATGTGTAGGCGCGCGACAGATGAATTAATGAATGTGAGCCTACTTAAAATTCCCCAAACTCAGGACTCATTTAGATATCCAAAAAGAACAAACCTTCCTTTCCTACCTCCTGCTCTTTAAAACAAGCTTTAAATTTAGCATGGTATGCTAAGCATATTACCTTTTCAAGCTATAAAATTATAACTATCTTCATACTTAGTCCTAATTGGTCATTAAATAAACTCTTTTGAAAGTTCTGGCAACATGTATCTGTCCATTATTAACCCTCTGAGGAGCTAGAAATGCAGAACTATCCACTTCGTTGCCTATAAAAACAGATCCTCAAATTAAAAAAACAAATACATCTGATTTGATTTTCTCCCAGTTTATACCAGGTATATTCCTCTAGATTTTCATTTAGGTTGAAAAATTTCTGTTTGTAAACATATTTGCCTGAAACCACTACTTTATGGCCCAGGTCAATTGCATGGTTAAATAAACAAATAATTAAGCATATAAATGAAGCATTTATTATGGGTAATTTAAATTCAAATTAAACATTTGCTAAGAACCATCGAAGTGTAAAACACTATGCAAAGAGCTTTCACAATCATTATGATTCTTAACCAGGCTTCACTGGCCACTATGTTAGGTTTAAAATGGCTCAAATCACCTGAAATTTTGTGCTATATGATATGCAATAATAATAATAGTAATAATAACAATTATAATAGTTAACATTTATTGAAGACTTATCATTTGCCAGGTACTAAGCTAAACAGTTTACAAGAATTACCATATTTAATTTTCACTACAACGGAAAGGGAAATTGAGACTTAGCGAAGTTATATAACTTGCTGAAAGCCACATTCTTAATAACTGCGCAAACTGGAAAATTAACCCAAACTGTTTGACCCACTCTCCGTGCTCTTCTCCACTATATCAATACCTCTGTTTTCCTGGGAAATGTTCATTGCTTTCATTAGTTTCTCAAATGGTCTGTGAATCAAAATTGTTAAGAATGTCTCGTAAGTATTCACTTAGTCACTCTTCAAAACATCTTGTTAGGCAGTATATTATCGCTGTTAATTGATGTGGAAAGTAAGACCACATAACTTGTATGTTTGTAGGCTTATAACATTAGATACAATTTCCCTTTTAATATAGCATAGCACAAGGACTATTTTTCTTGGTTGTTTCTGTAATTGATATTTAGATATAGCCATGGTAGCAGCTGGGATTATTCTGTTGCTGACTCGAGTTACCAGGATATCCTGAAGTGTTGTCATGTAATGACATGTCATGAAGGCAAAACTTGAGCCCTTGTGGCTAAACCAAGGCCTAAGAGAGAATTCTATAACCTGAAACGTACTCTGAACTGTTATTTTCCATATTTTTAAAGTACTCTCCTGCCACCGGTGCCTCTCCATAACAGCATATCCACGTTCCACATGCCGCAGGAAAAAAAGTATTAAGATTATTTCTAAAAACGAGCTTAGGCACTCTCACAGTAAAAGAACTCCATTGTTTTATACGCCTACAGGATAAAGCCCCAATTGTCTCACCTGGCTTATACACTCTGACTCCCATCCACTTCTCTGTGTTCCTTTCCCAGGACTCCCCTTTATGAACACTGTACTTGCACCATATGGGTCTTTGTAGTATTTTTCAATGAGTCACACAGCTTCAGAAGTCTGCTTTTAATATACAGTCCCTTCCACCTGAAATGTTCTTCTTGACTACTACTCATCTGGAAAACTATAACTCATTCTTCAAGATTACATTCAGGTCTTTTTCTCTAAGACATTCCCAAACTGGAAATTCAGATGAACTCCTCTCTATGGGTTTTTTGTTCATGGCGCCATGATTAATGCTTTTGTCATACCATACATGTAATTGTTTTAAGTAGAAGTTTCAAATAGACCACAGGCCTACTAAGAGAACACAATCCCTTATTCACCTCTGCATCATATTATTAATAATTGTCACATTGCCTATAACATCATAGGAGCCAAACAAGTATTGGAGAAAGAAAGGAAGAAAATTAGCAGGTGGAGAAGGGAAGGAAGACTTGATCTGGTTCTTAAGACTGAGGTCATCTCAGCCATTGTGTCTTCTCATCAAGAAAATTATTCTCCTTAAGAGAGCTGTGGTTATGTTATGATGGGAGAACACAAAACACCATGGAAAGACAACATTGCATATATAAAAGAAAATGTTCATGTGAGCACTTGAACGAATCAGTTTTACAATCTTAGTAATTTGAGAATACAGCTTTGCAACTAATATTTGTAAGAAAACTACATTGTAAACATACAATATTTTTATTTCCTAAGCATTTCCACCTTATCCATCTCATTGAATTCATATAATATCCTCATTATTCTGATGTAGGTATTTTTTTTCTTTTTTGATTGGTAAACTAAGGCATAGTAATAGAGTGACAACTCTAGCCTTATTCCTTCTCTCTGTCGACCTACGACATGAATCCTACAAACTTTTTTACTGGCCTACTTTGTTTTATCAGAGAATAAGCCATAATTTCAAAAATCTTTCTTCCAAAACCCTTGGATGAAAGGAAAAAAGAAGAGTGAATATCCATGGTCATGTAACCTGATTTTGATCTGTTTATCAGATCCTCTTCTTTTTCTATTTTTAGACAACAAATTAGATATTAATCCAGAATCAGTTAAGTCCAAATATGGGTTTGTAATACAGAGTGGGGGTGAAACTAAATGAAACTCCAGGAGAGCAGATGGATTTAGCTATTGTTAAGTTAGGAATGGTTTCCAAGAACATTTTGTATAGTCCAAATTGTCTTCTGTATGCAATTTATTAACAGTTAACATGTAAAAAGTGGCTAAATTGTTCGCCTCATTGCTCCTGGGCTTTGTGGCACCTTCTAGTATATTGATGCTTATGAATGAATTTCCTTTTAATGGTCAAAGCTTCTATAAGATTAAAAAAATATGCTTCGGTAAAATGGTCCCCCCTTCTTTGCTTAAAATCACAATAGCCATCTGTGCAAAGCTGCTATTGTGTTCCAAGCATTATACATCTACTAGTGCCCTTTGCACAGTTCTGCAGAATAGGCCTAGGCTTTATCAGGCTCATATTACAGCAGAGAAAAGTGAATTCATAGAGGTTAAGTGACATGTCCAAGATGCACTGCTGGCAGAGGTAAGACTTAATCCTTGAACTTTTTAGCTTCAAACCACTCTGTTCAACTTGCATTGCTTTGTGTGGCTTATGTAACAGCAAACACAACATTGGAAGCACCTCTGAATCATAATAATCCTAAACACTCAACTTTGGGAATACCACATTGAAAGTATTTAACATATGGCCCCCAAATTAAATGTAGCATGCACTTTTTAAAAATTACAGACAGAACTGAAGTCATCACTGAAAGAAATAAAGTTACTAAAATAACTGGTACTGTAGAAATTTATAATAGCTTTGTCAGAAAGCATGGAATGAGATTTGAACATTTTGCATGGAATGGTTTTGTATCAGCATTTTAAATATAATCTTTATAAATTAGGCTATAATTACAACAGAGTACTTAAAATTTATTACACACGTATTATGTGATTGGTACTATTGAACAGGAAGAACACATCTCTGCTTAAAATCTACTTACAGTTTAGTAAGAGAGATCAACACATATATTATTACTTAATAATTAACATATGCTGAGTAATACATGTAGGTGTTTTGGAGGTACAGAGGCTGATACAAGATTGACCTTACCCTTAAGGAGATTGTAACATACTGGGTACTGTTTACTGAAATGTAATGCTTTTCCCTATACTAGGCTGTCTGCTCCATAAATACTGCTAAAAATGGAAAAAGAAAATCCTACCAGTTTTCAAATAAGACCACTACCAATGGAAATAGTAACCCAATTTTCCTTCAACGAACACTTAACAATTGTCTTTCATGGTCTCCAAAGTAAGATGGAGAGAAAACAAAATTGAATGAGTAGAACAAAATAAAATTGAATAAGTAGAAGGTCTGGGAGGAATGAATGGTCTGGTAGGTAAAAAGTCACGGAAATACGCAAGAAAACATAGGGCAATTTGTGCTCTGTCAGAACAAAGAACTCTATGCTACTTATTATAATTACTGAATCATGGTTTTTGACCCCTTACTATTTGCCATGCACTGTGCTAAGCACTTATGTATGTCGTCTAATTTAATTTTCATACAACTCATTAAATATGCCCTATTATTCACCCAAATCTATAGATAAAATTGGGGCTTAGAGAAGTTGGGTATTTTGCCCAAGATCACACACCAAGTAAGGATTTCAATTAAGGCAGTAAAACTCCAGAATGTAGTTTCTTGACCTTGACTTTGCTGTTGATAGAGTGTTTAGAGGATCTTCCAACCAGAAATTCCCCTTTAGCTAAGTTCGAAAGGTGAGCAGTATATGCCATGGAAGCAAGAGGCTTGAGGAGCAAGGAGGTGAGTGGTGACAAACCAGGCAGAAAAAAACAGTGAACACAAAGTCAAGGAAGCAAAAACAAGACAGACTGTCACTTGTTAAGCAAACAGAAGGCACTTTGTTATGTCTACCATGTAGACATACGGAGGAAGAAGTGAGAAATGAAATAATGTTAAGGATACATATGGAGAAATAATGTGAAGGATACATATGGAGGAAGAAGTGAGAAAGAATGTTAAGGAGCCTAAATTTGAGACCTCTTACCAAATGTCACATTGGTAAGTAAATCTGTAAACATTATCTTAATCCTCAAAATTTCCAAGTGGCATAGGTATTATTATTATAATAATTTTACATATAAGGAAATTGAGGCTTAAAATATTAAATAACTTGCCCACATTGAAGGGTTCAAAAATATTAAAGAGATTGACTCAGGAGAACTAGGTACCTCAGTAGACTTTGGGGCTAAGGGAAATAGAGGAGTTAACAATAACCTCCAAATTTTTACCTTGGGCAACGGGAGAGATAAAAGTTATTTCTCCCCCTGCCTGTGTTTATAGGGCAAACAAAAGCATCACAGGAACAGCAAGAAAAATACAAGAAACCTAATCAGTTACCAAGGTTTTGTTTCAAAAACCTTAAGGAACTATTGCTGGAAAAGGAACATAGTACTGTTTTCTGTAATTGTTTGACTATAGCTAGATTCTCTGAGGCAGTATAATCACAAAGAATCTAATATGACAAGCCAACATCTTATGGCATAAACCTATTCATCCTAGCCGAATTAGTATCCCAATCTCTTCCTAAGAATACACACATTTTGAATACAAAACAACTTAATTCAGGTGAACTTGGTTTTAATCAAATTCAGCTATAATTATTCAGTTTCATGAAACACAATCAGGTAATAGTTACTTTTCAAAAACTAATTTTTTTTAGAAAAACACACAATAAAATTGTCTTCGTATAGTCTTTCCAATGCAATTATATGGATTTGAAATACAATACATTTATAATGCTTACACACTGAGCCACGAAGTGTACCAGGCCTTTTCCATGTATTATCTCACTTAATTATCACAACAACTCCTTGAATTGGTACTATCATTATCTCTATTTTACAGTTAAAGAACGAAAGCTTTGAGCCTTTATTTTTCCAAAATCATTTCTGAAGAAGAGTGAATATTCAAGCACAATCATTGGCTCAAAAATGTACGTCATTGACAGGTTTTCACAGTTTTTCTTTTCAAAGTATTTTCATGATAATAAGTACATATTAATCATGCACACATCGATTATGTTACAGCTAGATGGACCTAGCACCATTGAAAAGCACAAGGTGTATTTGTTTTCCACAATAAAAAGTAATGTGTTTAGTCATGACACCTTTTGAAAAAAACACAGCTAATTTCTATCACCAAATCACTTTTAAAATTCAATTATTCAGTTCAATTATTTTATTTAATGTCTACCATCAAAGAAGAATGCATCAGTATAACATTAAACATATTTCACTTGAAATTCTTAATTATTCTAAATGTGTCTGGGGATTTGACCTGCTTAACAAAAAATACACAATAGTTCTTGGATAGGGCCTTTGCTGATAAGTCATTAACTAAATAGATGATATAAAGGTAGCATGAAGGCAGAAAGCAAAATAGTGAGATATAGCCATCTGATCCGAACTTTAAATTCATAGTGTTTGTCTTTCACATACAAAATTATCTCACTTTCTCTGTTTCTGATTTCAGACTGCCTGTGAACATTGAGCTAGGTACTTTACAAGTATTAGTTCATTTCCTTCTTACAACAGCACAATATAAAATATATTAAATTGAGTCAACAAATGAAGAAACCAAGGTCCAGAAAGATTAATCTATTCGTCCAATTGCTAAACAGAAATAAGTGGCAGAACAAAGATTCAAACATCTATGATTTAAATGACAAAATACAATCGACTTTTTGGTATAAGTAATTGTAAAATATACAATTCATAAAATCTAATTTACTTTAGAGTCTACTTCATCATATGTAATAAGTGCATATACTTCGTTCTAAGTTTAATTGTTCTTTTATAGCATATATCCAAAGATGTGTATCTGAAAAAATTAAACGTTCTTCTAAGTAAGAAATAAGATACCTGAAATTAATGACATATATAAGAATCCTTTTACATATACATTGCTTTAAAGATGAAGACACAGTTAATTTATGAAAAGTCAACTGAATATACTGTTGCGTTTTTTTTGTTTTTCTGCCACAATTCATCACTGTTGAATTCTTACAGGACATTTTAGGTAGTTCTGAAAATACATTGTTATTCAAATGTTTAAAAATAAAATTTCATCTCTTCATATGTATAGTATGAAATAGTCATCAATCTTCACTGCGTTGCTATTTTTAAAACTCAGAATTTTCAGTCATCTTCTGGTGAATAAAATCCCATAGTCTGTGATCCATTACAATTGTCTGCTTGCTTATCACTACCCTCTGTGCCCCACTCTCGAGCTCCATTTCCTTCCAATGTCTTTGCCCAGTATTCAAAATCCCCAAGTCTCTTCAGACCTCAGCTACACATCTATATTCTGGATTTCTTCTTGGAAAAGTGCAAATGGATAGAATTTGTAGCCAGGCAGCTTTGCATAAGGAAGAGTCAAAGAAACCTGGATTTGATTCTTATTAACTGTAAGTGCTTGGGCATGTTCCTGATTTTCTCCAAATGTTAGTGGTGTAGAAATTTACTTAACTTGAAGAGCTAGGGTAAAGAGTAGAAATAATGTCGTTAAAGTGTCTGATGCACAGGCTAAATATAATAACTGTTGGCTTTAATTTAACTAATATTAATAAAAGAAAGCCCTTCTAAATAAGCCCTCAGACTTGTCCAACAACAGGATGAGCTGTATGGTGAGGGGAAGAGCATTCTGTCACCAAAATGCACTGAAGAGTGACTAATCCTAGACTAACTCAAGCAAAGTAAGAAATGACTGTTGGAGTTCTTATTCCAACATTCTAAAAGAATTCTCACCTGATTTGGCCCTAACCTAGAGCTCTGATGTCTTGCTTAGAATCTGGTACAGGGAAAGTACTCAAAAAACTTGCTTTCTAACTCTTCCATTCTGACTATCTTCGTCTCCCTCGTTTTCCTAATGGGCTGGGTACTGACTCTGCTTTCTTTCTTGTTTGGTATATGCAACTCTAAAGGACTCTTTTCTACCTCTTTTTGCTTTGAGGTAATTGGAAAAAGAGCTTCATATAGGATAGCTTCCAGAATTCAAGAAGGCAAACCTCATGCACTCATGAAAGCAGTAAACAGGCTATGTTTGGGAAAGTGCATGACCTGAGTCTCAACAACTTTGGGTCAAATGTAGGCTGTACCACTTCCTAGCAGTAAGACATGAAGAAAATAAACTCATCTTAGACTATTTATTCATCTGTATAATGGGCTAATAACTACCTAATATGCCAATATGAGTATTAGAGATATATGCTTTGTTAAACACTTAGGGTTAGCTCTTATATATAATAGGTAGTTAATAAATGCTACTTTTCTTCCTTTACTTTCTTTGCTATTAATTCCTAACCCAGCAAGAAGAACTTGGGTGAAACCTTACAGTGTTCATTAAAGACATTATTTGTACAGTATAAAACAATAATATTTATTTTATAAATTATAGCATCAAGAGAAAATAATTACTCAAGATAATTTGGAGTACACTGAAATCAAATAGGAGTGTCCAGTTCAGCCAACCTCAGAATACATAAATGAATGCTAAGTGCAAAAAAAAAATGAACAAAAATAGCAAGCAACAAAAGCAGTCTTCAGTTTCATGGGCATGTAAAAATTGATGTGTATTGAGACATTTTGAGAACGCTTTCTACAAGATGTTGAAGTTGCAGAATAAAATTATTCTGTGACAAAATAACTGATCAAGTATAGCTAACCAAAATATCAAGGAAATAAAAATTTCTACAAAATCAGATCTTATTCAAACATAACATCAAGAATGGCATTGTATGGTAACATTACATTTAAAAAGTCACATTATTCCTTCATCTCACATATTTGGAATATTGGCCTAAATAGCCCTACATTCCAGAGGAGAAAACAGAGAGAGGTTTGACGGCTTGCTCAGTATCACTCAGTGAGTAGGAGTGTTGTCTGGATTTCAAGCTTGGTCTGTCTTATTTTAACATCCTCCTCCATTTGTTTGCACTTTTAATTATTATAGAGGACACACAACGTAACTTGAACATGGAAAAGCAAAGACATCCTCACTATCAGTTGGTTTCTGGCTACCCTGACTTCTTGCCCAACCTTGAACTTGCAGTGAGCCACTGAGGGACATCCTGCCATCATTCCCCAGTCTAGCACTTAAACTTCCACCAAGACATATGTACCGGTCCTTGATCCTGGATTGTCTCCAGTCTCTGCTTTCCATTCTGGCTTTCAGGATGTAAAACAGAAAGCCATAGACAAGACCAGTCACACGGCTGGGTGAACACTGTAGGTCTAGGAATAGCCACTCCAATGAGACCATCCTGTCTTCCTCTTGGATCCACTCCCAATCACAGTTGACTTAGACTTTTTCTCCTGTTCACAGGCACCTGTTCCCAAGCCATTTCTCTTACTTCCAATACATTTTTTTTTTCTGTTATCTTAACGTTGCACAATTCCAGCAAGAGAGAAGACTATTTCTTCTGTTTCATGTCTACCTGAATTTGAATCTCAGCCCTTCTATGCATTGTCAGGTGACTGGATAAGTCACTTAATCTCTATAATGTCACACTTCCATTCTTTAACATGAGAACTATGACATGATAGTGTAGGTACTTCTGCCTTTCTTCATTCAAGTTATCCTTTACTTCTAGGAATTATTTTGAGGGAAAATGCATGTAGCATAGCCCCTAGCTCAGAATAGATACTGAATGCATGATAGGTCCTGTACTCCCATTCTCACCCTGGATACTTCTTGTGGGACATGTGTCCTTAAGCCAATACCCTACTCTCTCAGACTTCCAAAATGTTACAATTGAAAGGGAATTTGGAAGTGTTTGAGCTCCCCCAACCCAGGCACATTTTATTTTTCTTTTTACTGAAAAGTAAACTGAGTCCCTGAAAATAGAAAAGATGTACTCATAGCAGAACTGATTCTGAAATCCCAGTTTTATAATTCCTAATATTTGGCAGCTTCCTTCATGCCCAACTTGCAGTGTCCTCATTGTCTTCTTTCTGTGGCTCTACTTAAAGCCCCGAACAGTGCCTTCATTTGTCTTTGCAGATGTATCCAGATCACACCTTATTTTTCTTCTTTATTTCTCTAAAGGTTTTCTCAAGTCATACTCAGCTGTGGTCTCTATGTTTCCCCCTTTCTGTCGAAATCGTCATCCACAATTTTGTTTTCATCCTATGAACTCTAATGGAATTACCAAATCCCATGTTTTTCTCAATAATTACTCTCCTCTGCTGGGCCATATAACTGCTTTGTTCATTTCCACAGGCCTAGCACAAACCTGGAAAATAGTATTGAATACATATATTTGCTAAATGAACGAATAAATAAATCATCAATAACATCAGCTCCCTGATCCTTGGGATACTTGCCTTGCTTTATTCCTGTGGTACTAAACCTCTTGGTCTTCTGTGCTATACTTCTTTTACCCTGCACCTCTCAAAGCTGGGATTTTTGACCTTGTGGTTCTTGCTACATGTTCTGCATTCTGACAGCAGTAACAGTGGTTGACTCTCAAATCTGTAGCTACAGCTTTACTCTAATGTACTTAGTGCTGTGTTTCAACTGGGCAGGTTCATCAACCATGTGAATGGTTCACTATCACCCCAAACTTACTGTGCAAATGGACTTAAAATCAAATTCTTCACTTACTTCTAATTTCCCTAGTTCTGTTGACAGAACATCATTCTTTCAGACCTCTGGACTTAAAATGTAAAAGGTCTTTTGATTCTTTTGTTTTCCCCTTCCTTACACATTAATTAGTCACTAAGCCTTGATTATCCTCTCAAATATTTCCTTTTGCTCTGTCTCAAAGCACTTCTCACTCTTAACACCTTTAGGCATTCTTTGTGACCTTTCTAATTCTAACTCATCCTTTCCAAGTATTACTTCTGCATTGAAACCTTTATTGACCTCACAGTTTAAATCAGGCCTTATATACACGATCTCCTATCATGTCTTTCCCTTCTTTCTAGCTGTTATTGTATATCTATTTAAGTCTTCTGTCTCTTCCACTATACTATAAACTCCATGAAGGAGGGACTACATCTATTTTCTTCATCATTGCCTTCTCAGAACCTTACACAGTGTCTGGCATATGAAAAGATCTATAAATACTTGTTAAAAAGCTAATGAATTAATAATTACTTATCGAGATAAAAAAGTAAATGAACTAATAATTACATATTGAGAGAATCAACTTTTTCCTACAGAGATTTCATGCCTGATATCACTTTGTCCTTATAGTATTATCAAAACAGGGAGTTTATACTTGTAAAAAGTTTCACCAAAAATTCTTAAAAATAAAAAATGTTTTACACACTTAAAAGGGGCTTACCTTATTAGAGAAAAATGTGCTTAAGCAGAATCCACACTCTCATTATGCAAGATGAATGAAGTGTTCCTATGCTTAGATTAATTGAGTCATCCTTCTTTCAAAAAAATGAATATGCTGTCTTTACAAGAAAGACTGTTAGGTTCTACCATACAAATGAATCATGGTTTCCATTGTGTCTACTGTAGTAGGGTTTACTAAATTTCTCTGAAGAAAACCCTGAGACCCTGACTTGCTCTAAATGATCAACTTTTCTTTCCTCAGATTAGATTTGAACAAAGCCATAGGATAATGAAGATGATGATTTCTACCAAGATAAGCAGTGGGTGCTGAAAAAAAGTGATTCAACAAATGAAGAAAACAAATATTTACCATTCATGTTTGCAAGGATCACACAGTTGCCCACCACAAATACACCCTCTATGAGATAAACAAATAAAGCTCAAGTCCACAAAATGCCCCACACTAAACTATAGTTTTCTCAAAACATTAGCATACGATTAGTTACTTGGGTCTCAAGAGCTTGAGTTAAGAGAAAAAACAAATTTTGGTAGGTAAATTTGATAACAATGAACATAAGCAAACTAGCCAAATCTTCAATTTTGAAGATATTCTCAGTGAAAGTGTTAAATAAGAGAATAAAAATACATTTTTTAGACTAGAAATGTCCATAAGAGCTCCTGGATAATATTTTTAGTGTCTTCTTAGCTTAGAAAATAATGCTAAAACTATGTAGTGAAGATATATATATATATATATATATATATACACGTGTGTGTGTGTGTGTGTGTGTGTGTGTGTATTTATATATGTATTTTAGGGTAATACATTCCCCAGAATAGCACATTATTATATTGTTTTTTCCTCTGTTTTAAATAACAGTAATAACAGCAGCCAGTACTTCTTAGCATATATCATATTAACTGCCTGTATATTTAATTTATAATCTCATTTAATTCTTACAATATGTGTTTTAATATGCCACTAGTCTTTTCATTTTGCACTTGAAGACAAGTCTTCAGGAAGTTTAAGTATCTTTCCCACATCCCTACTGCTAATAAATGGTAGGAGTTTTTAATCCAGATCTGTTGAATTTGCAAACTCACATCCCTACCTCTATGACACTCTATGTTCACAGATGCTGATTCTTAAATTATAAGGAGTCTAAATCTGAGTTCTGCAAAGTTTTGTTCTTCTGTAAAGTATTTAAAAGAAGAAACAACATTTCACTTCAGAGTATAGTTTTCAGAGTTTGGCAGACTTGAGTTTGAAGACCAGCTTAGCCCATTTAGCTCTATAAAACTATGGGACGTTATTTATTACTCTGGGCCCCTAATTTCTCATTAATATAATGGGACTACCATCTAGACAGTCATTCCTTCATGTATACAACAAATATTAATAAGCACCTACTATGTGTGAGGTATCATACTGAAAATTAGAGGTAAAGATATACATAAATAAGAGATAGCCCTGGCCCTCATGGAGTATACAACCTAAATTTTCTACATGTAGGCTCAAATTCACACCAATATAATGTTTAAAAATATGAAAATATGAATAATTTTACTATTCAAATGGCTTAACCATTATTGACCAGAGCTTTTCCTAAGTAATTAATTCATTAATTTTGTTACTTTCACAAAGCACTGACATTTCCCACTTCTTGATTGGTTCTTCTAGACAGAAACCCTGATTAAAGTTGAATCTACAGGTAGTAACTAGTTAATTCATATATATATATACACACACACACACATATATATACACATTATGTATATATACACATATATATACATTATGTATATACACATATATATTATATATATATTTTAAATTTAAGTAGGCACATGAGCATGTACACATGTGCACACTCATTTCTAGAAAAGGATTTGAGGTGGCTTGCTAGTTAATTTAAGAACAAACTTTTTAGCTGGTTGCTCTTAGCAACAGTCTTTAGCAGTTCTGCCTAGTTGGCCAGAATGATTTCTTAAAGGGAATGAAGCATTCAAAGTAGTTTAACTAACACATGGAAAATAAATGACTTACTTCAGAAAGACTTACACAGGGACTGGGAATTCTAACGTAGTTGGGATGGAGAAGACAATGGTGCTGAGAAGCCCCCTACACATAGGGGAATTTTCCAGAGATTTCCTTCCCCTGGACTATCTCATGCCTACATGTCTAACAAAGCCAGAAGACCAGAGCAACATGGCTGACAGGTTCCTGTGGCAGCACTGGAACCAGGCCTCATCCTACAAAGTACAGGACCAACCCTTCTTACCAGTTCTATTGCAAATCATTCAGTTCTATTGAAGACACTGGACCATACATGGATTCTATGTCAGAGAGACAAAAGCTGCTTATTTTATAAGCAATAAAAGCAAAACAAATCCTTTCCAGCTGGTATGAAACTATCGATTATTTTAAGATGGATTTAAACTAACTCACAAAATATAGGTTACTATGGGAATTATGTTTACAGACATTCATGCATCCATTCATTCCTCACCAAGTACTTATCAACCAACTTCTAGGTCTCAGTCTTGGTGACCAAGCGATTCATTTATTTGTTCATTCAATATATATTTATCAAATACCTCATTTTCCCTCTGCTGTCATGAAGTGGAGTTCAGTAGAAATTATATGCAGATAAAAATATCTTAAAAATGAAGTATGATGGGTGTCATTATTCAACAGGTCCTTCTTTGAAATTAACACTAGGTCTCAATTGCCTAAATAATTAAACAATAGATTATATCAACCATTCATTCAACAAACATAATAAATTGAACTTATGTTGTAAGCACTATAGCAGTAGCTAGGTGTTCTGGATGTTAAGTCCCAGACTCTGACACCTCATGATATTTACAGCCTTGTGACACTTGAGTTCAATATGAAGGAAAGAAGTCCATGACTCCATGTGAGCAGAGATGATACAAAGTCCAGGGATGTCTTCCATGAAGAGATGACACAAATTGAGTCCTGAAGGAATACTATTAATATTTCCTTGATGGCTTCCCTCCTTGGATAGCGTCCATACCATTGTAAGGCACTAGGCAAGTTTAGAAAAAGATCAATACTGTATTTGCTAAACAAACGAATGTTCTTGTTGGCAATAAGTAGAATATTTATATGCAATGATTAAATAATAGCACAAGGTGCTAACACAATTCAGAGCCAAAAGCAACTATACAGAGAGTGCTTTGGGGGCTCTGAAAAGCCAGATTATATACAAGGAAAGATTTCAAACTGTTCAATAAGTCAGGATTATTCAATTGAAACTAAGCAACTTTAGACATACTGTATAAATGATCTCATTAATATTTTCTGAGTGATACATTGAAACATCTTGATTGAACACAATTCAACATAGAATTAGATTAAATGGAACTGAGTCTGTGATAGGTAATAAGGATCTTCAAAACCATCATCTATGAAATACATCAGGTCCTGAACATTAACACGCTGGTACTGATGAAACTTACTTTGGAAAATCTGCTTCTCCAGACAGAAAGCAAGAAAGTAATCTTGACTTGTAACTAGTAAAACAAGTAAATAAACAAGAAAACAGAGACAGGAGGAAAGAAGAAAGGAAGAAAGGAAGGAAGGGAGGGAGGGAGGGACTTCTATAAATCTATTTAAGTCTATTCATTATCTCTTACTTTGCTACAAATTTCATTACATTGGCGCTGAAGTTGCTATACAGTTTTCCAAAACTGCTTCAGAGAGAAACTAAGTAAACATTGTCAATTAAACGTAAATACAAAAAGTTAACCTAACAACTGTAAAGGAAGTCTAGAGTTTTCCAGATAGACCTCTTCTCTAAAGTTATATTTAAGGGAGACTTGTACACCAATGCCAAATGCTTATTCAAAATTGCAGAACACCTAGCTGTGACAGTGCAAAATGAAACATTTCAGATTATCCTTTCTGGTCAGAAAAATCTGAAAGTTATCTTCCTGAGTCCAAAGAATGGAAGAAAAAACATGAATGAGGGTCTGGCAACATCCAAAAATTGGCCAGACCTAGCAAATATAGCTCCCCAAGCGAACACCTAGAGTCTGAATACTAGTAGAATGCTGATTAATCTGAGATCAAATCTATAAGTGATTTTTATCTGCCTCCCCAGAACCCAGAACATCTACCACCTAAGCTATCTTTACAGAGAGATAAAGATTTTTATTTTTTTCATTCAGATATATTTGATTCTACAAATCTCCTCTGTAGGAGAAGTAGCAGGGTTTTGGGCACATGCAAATTCTTGCTGAGTTTCCTGGCTTGACACTAAAAGTGTAAATAACTGACATGGAGGTGTATGTGAAACTGATTTAACTGGAAGTATCAAGGTAATATCCAGGTCCTGGACTTCTGAAGTGGAATGGAAAAGAATAAAACAGAAAGCCAGCAGTGACTTCAACTGGCCTAACTACATACTCTTATCCATTATAAGAGTACAATAGGTTGTATTCCCAAGCTAGGAGCTGGCTGAAAGAGGTCAGAAGCCAGAGGAAAGAAGAGACCAATATCTGAAGTCCTTCAGCTCTACTTCTGCCCTTATGATCTGAAACATTTGTCAGCCTTCATTGCACAGATGGAATTTTACCTGAGAGTATGCATTAGCTGAGCCCTCTGTACTATGTATACTCTGGCTTTCAAGATTTGACTAGGTAACATGCACTCATTTTGATCATACAAATATATAAATAAAAACTGTGGGGCAAGCACCAGCTTCTCCCTTTGCTCTTGGTAGCATCCCAGAAATACATAGGTTTAGTGCTTTGGAAGCATGGTCAGTCCCCGGAAAATGCTCAAAGAGGGACAAACAAGAAAAATAGAGACTTTCCCTGGGCTCAGAGTCAGAAACCTGGGCTTAAACCCAAGTGCCACGACTTTGGGCTTGGTCACTTTGGGCAAGGTATAGCCAAATTTATGTATAAACATGAAAGGAACTTTAATTTGGGGCCATCTAGTCTAGCCCCCAAATAGTTCTTTGATCATCTGAAAAATATTATGGAGAAATGGTCTTCAGCCTGATGTTTGAACCTTACTAGTAAAGAGAATTTTCATCTTAATGTGCCTTAGTGTTCTCGTCTATAAAAATATCTACCTCATAGAGATGTTGTATTAAGGGATAAAAGATAACTAGTTTACGAAGGCTTTCTATATAATAACAGTAAACATTATTTTAAAATATGAGTGAGACCAAGATTGAGAATACTTTCTAAATTGCCAGATAAAATCATTACAAAGAGATAAGTTCTGTACACAGCAAGCAAATACACAATCCCCATTTTTAGTCTCTTAAACCTTATGACCACTTTCTCTAAGACCGTTTTTGAAATTCAATTTAGTACTTCTAGTGGAAGAACAAAGGTGCAGTTTGCATATTCTGGGTTTCCTATTTATCTACAGCCACATTTTTTTTTTCTTTGCAAACTTTTCAAGATAAAAATTTTAAACCCCAGAGCTCTGGAAGATGCTTGCTCTCCCTTCAGCCAAAACAGGCATCCGGTTTCTACAATAAATGAGATCATAGCATCCCCACTCATACTGCTGTAGCTAGGAACCTGTCAGCATTTTTATTATAAAACCCTTTTCTTTCCTCTGGCTTGAGAGACCAACCATAGCAATTTGTTGGGGAAATAGCTACAGCAAAGGGCAATGCACAAGTACAGAGAGAAAATGTCTCATTTTACAAAATTCAAAAAAGGTGTATTTAGGAATTAGGCAGGCCTGCAGAATCCCAAGGAGCATTTCTTTTGGATGGTCATCTGGCCTTTTAAATAAAGAAAATAAAGTTTACTAATATTTAAAACAAAATTTTCTCAGGCAGCAGATGTTAGGAAAAAAGTTGTCTAGTTGAATACCATCAGGCACCAATACATCTGGTAACAAAAGCTATAATAACACACACATTACTGAATCTGTGCTCACATGGAAGCTGCTGTGAGGGAAGGGAGCATTCTCTATCAGACTCTGAAGTGAGATAATGGGGATGGGAAAGGTTATGCCAACTACTTCAAATAGGAGAAAATAGGATATATTAATAATATGCTAGAGATGATAAATGAAACCTTATCTAGCAAAGTGATGGCACTTGGTGAATACTCAGCGAAGGAAGATTGAATACAGTTAATATATGGTCTGGTTGACACAGTTAACTCTTTTCTTTCTCACTCCTGAGTCTTGGGTATGAACATGAAAAAGCTTCTTTCTAGGTTATTTCATACTATGTTAATGCAAATAAAAGTGAAAAGAGAAAGGACTACATCTGAGAGAGTAAGAGAAAGAAAACTAATATTTATTTAATGATTACTACATGTGAGACATTGTATTTGTTGCTTTCTTGTTTGGTTGGTATAACAAACACATTAAATATATCTTATCTATGTCATATAGATGAAGAAACTAGAGCTCAGAGAAGTGAAAGAGCTTCCCCAAAGTCACAGAGCTAATGGTTCAGTCACAATACTTTGCAGTGCCAAACTCTACCCTCAGGACTTGCTTCTTACATCTATGTTTGCCTGCCCAAGAGCATACACAGAGTATCTTTGCTTGGTACAGAGGGTAGAATAGGATATATAATCTCACATTCTCTCCCCCTCTTCCTCCCTTTCTCCTTTCCCACTTCTATCCAAGGGGAAGGCACACCTTCAATGCCCCACTACTACTTTCAACACTTCTCAAGAAGTGTTGGACCATAGAGATCAATTGTAGACTTGAATAGAAAATCAAATTATTTTTCCTTTCTGACACAGTACAAGGCTTTAAAAAACTGAGATTTACTCTGACTAACTCCTAAAATCCTTCTCTATACCTAAAGACATCATTGGTTCTCTTGTCTTCTCATTATCTGGAGCAGGGCCTTCAACTTACTGAAGTATGAGACTACTTTTAAACTACTGTATGGGCCCTCATCTGATATTAGTTGTACTTATGAAGAGAGAGTGTCACATAGCAATTAATAACTTCCAAATGAATAGCGTATAGATTAATTTTGAATAGCATATAGATTAATTCATGTCAAGTCCTTAGAATAAAACACTGTGGGTGGTGATCACCCAAAAAGGGTTAGTCCAATCTGCTTTGTGAGTTGTTTTTCCCATGTACATTTCTTAGTACTAGCTCACCAGCAAAACTGAAAGGTCCCCAAGGCAGGAACTATTTTACCGTATTTGAGCATTAACCTGAGGTGCCCACTATAATGTTAAACATAATATATATGCTCAAGAGAGAACTAGAAATTGATTAATGGACAAGTGTACCTACATTTCTCCAAATGGAGATTTTCACCAAACCATAATGAGGATACTTGAGACATGGCTCCAAGAGAAAAATCGAAGTCTCCTACCCTTAGATAATAAGCCAACTGACATGTGAGTAGCTGCCATCTTATTTGAGAACTTATAAAATAATATCATTATTATTTGATAATATGATAGTATCATTATTTGCCATATGATGCAGTGATATCATTAATCCCTGCCTGGTTTAATCCATAATGTGGATATTAAGGCTGTTACAGTGCACTGGACCAGCATTTTAGAGATAATGACTGTTTTTAGTGTGCTCATTCATCAAACTAAATAATTTAAACTACTTTAGGAATTTGGAAAAAAACTTCAATAAAGATAATACATGAAACCCCATCAAAATTATGTATTTTATATTAGGAATTACACACACACACACATACACACACACAAATGGAAGTTTCAAAAATATTACCTTATTTATAAGATTTCCAGAAGCCATCATTCAGGATGCTATTGTTATTCTATCTGACACCATCATTTAAATTTATATGGAAAAAATATTACTGTGTTCTTTATAATCACTGAAATATATAATGTGTTCATAAGTCTGACAAGTACATTCATATATATATAGATATATATATATATATATATATAGAGCTGAAAAAAGCATTAAAGTAGTTTTAAATGTTTTCTACTATTTAAATGTTTTCTACTATGGTGTCTCTGGAAGTATAATCTGTGACTTACAATAAAGTAAATCCATAACCTTATGAGGAAACTATTTTAATTTCAATAAGATCACCATGGCATGGAGATCTGATTGCGTTTATGATTTATCAGCTTCTCTGTACCTTACTAGACAAGAATGGCCAATTAGTGATGACAGAGCCAGGCATCTCACCCCAGATACTAGCTGCATTATTCAGGGTTCTCCAAAGAAACAGAACCAGTAAGAGAGAGAGAGAGAGAGAGAGAGAGAGAGAGAGAGAGAGAGAGAGAGAGATCGATCGATCTAGCTATCCTCCCCCACCCCCTCCCCCACCCCCCACACACATATGAATTGGTTCCCATTATCACGGAGGTTTTGTCCCAAGGTCAGCAGTCAGCAAGCTGGAGACCCCAGAGAGCCAACATGCAGTTCCAATTCTAGTCTAAAGGCCTGAGAACTGAGAAAGCTGATGATATAAGTTCCAGCACAAAAGCCAGCAGGCTCAAAACCCAAAAAGAGCCAATGCTTCACTTCAAGTCCAAAGGCCAGTAAAGATCAATGCATCAGCTCAAAGCAGGCAGGCAGGAGGAGCTCCCTCTTACTCAGGCTTTTTGTTCTATTCAGGTCTTCAACTGGTTGGATGAGGCTCACCCACATTAGGGAGGACAATCTGCTTTATTGGGTCTACCAATTTAATCTCATCCAGAAACAATCTCTCAGATATACCCAGAATGATATTTAACCAAATGTCTGGCCAGTCAAGGTGACACATAAAGTTAACCACCACATCAAGGTACCACATTAAGTAATGCCTAGTCTTTATTTCAGGGATCTTCCAGGCATTATACTAAATGAATATAATATGGCTCCTGCCCCTAAAATCCCTACAGTTTACACGGGCAAATGGATAAGCAAACAGAATTTACAATTGAATATTACAATTAGGATACAATTATTAAGTATTACATGCCATAAGAGTCCAGGGGTAATTTAATTCAAAAGATACTGGGAATGATTTCACCATATGTACTTTATTTAAAACTTTCCCTGGATATCCATAAGTGAGTACAAGGCAAAAGGCTTCTTAAAGTCTGAGCTCTTTCAGTATTCTGAATTGTACAATTCAATATTCCCTTTCTGTGAACATACTTTATTGGTGGCATAAAAGTTAACCCTCCTTATTTTTTTATATTCAACGTTTTTCTCTCAAATTTTCTAAAATTAAAAATAAAAACTGTAAAAGACCTTGAAGTGGCAAGTATGTATTGTCAAGGGGGTCAAAAGGTCAATGCAGCCTGCTTGTTTGGGACATTCAGCACCTGTTTAACTCCTTAGCTCATTTTTCATTTTCTCTTTCTGGGTCAGGTATAATCTAGGATTTTTGTTTTTGGTATGAATTATATAAACTTCTAGATTCTTCTTTTTGTAGCATTAGAAGCCTTCAACAACGTGTTGGTAGGTTAAAATACCTCCAATTTACTGATAGGTGAATTTCAAAGTGTTTGATTTAATACTACCCAGTTGACTCTATCTGCAATCTACATCTTCTCAGCAATATGTAAAGTAGTTTAATAAAATAGAAAAAAAATCCACTTATTTTATAGTTACCACATACCAGGCATTGTGCTAAATGTTTTGATATGTGATCTATCACTTAATTTTTACAACAGTCCTGAAAGGAGGGTGTTATTTTTCCAACTTCTTGCAGATAAAACTTGTCAGTTTCTCTTTTCTCACCTTGATTTCCAAAACTTCTAGTTCAGAGTTAGAGGTCATGACGTAGAAAGAATAACATTGAGTTCGAAACTAGAAGACCTAGTTGTAGCCTTGGCTGTGTAACTTGCTGTGTGACCTTGAGTAAGTCATATTCTATCCATGTGATTTAATAACCTCATGCAGAAAATGATAGTGTGAATACTATGAGAAATGATGTTTGGATCAAACTCCTCTCAAAAGAAATTCTTGTACAATAAAACTGACTCCTCTCATCAGTGTACCTTACATTCAAATTCAGGTGTGCATAAATGACATTTTTGCAAATTGACTCATAGCTTAAAGGCACTTAAGCATAGAATCCTGCTATTTGAAAGAGTACAAAATTATATTGGAAATGAGTGTATATTCCAAATCTAACCTGCTTAGGTTCAAATTTTGGCTCTGCTATTTAAGAGTGATATGACTTTGGGCAAATTACTTAAACCACCTGCACCCCAATTTCTCTACCTGTAACACTGGGGTAACCAGGGTAACTACTATACCCATCTCAAAGGGGCACTGTAAAGATTAAGTGAGTTGACATTTCTGAAAACACTGTCTGACAACTGGTAGCAGGTCAGTGTGTGTATGTATTGAGAGAGAAACTGAAGTCTTGGCAATGTAAATAGCTGTCTCCTTAATGTACCAATTTTGAACACTTGGATTTTTTGCATATTAGGTATTTTTGAGGTGATACAAAGCAATATAGTCGTGAGACTCCTATTAACTCAAAGTCTAACAGAGTTTTAACCCGATTCACAGGAGAAAAACTAGACTACCTCTTATTTACAAATCCATAAAGTAAAGATGAAGAATGTGATGACATATAAAGTAGCTTGCAGCAATATAAATTTATATAACTATGATTAAAATAAATGCAGAAATACCCATCATCAAGCATCTTAAATTATTTTTTAAAATCTGACTTAGTAATTTTACTTATTCTATCCTATCCAAAGGAAATAATTTTAAATCCAAAAGAGACTTATTCCCCAAGATGTTGATTTTATTTTTAATAGTAGAAAATTTAAGGGGAAAAAAGCCAAAATATCAAAAGGATGGTTAACTGTTATACAGCAATTAAAATACATTCACAAAGCCTAATATAAATTTAAATTATTCAAATGCAGACTCAACATGATTACAACTACACTTTTAAAATAAGTCATGTATAAACCAAGGAAACCAAAATAGTACTGGGAAACTAGGAAAATACACACTAAAATATTAAGTTTTTACATCTAGTCCTCTGAAACAAAAAGTATTTTCTAAAGTTTGTTTTTTGAATTTCTGTTTTTTTCTAATATATTTCAATGAACACATGTTACTATAAAATAAAAAAAAAACATATACCAAAATGGTCAACCTTTGGCAATATTCAAAATAGGTAAAGGGAAACTACCCTGCTAGTGACAAAAAATATGCATAATGATATATGAATTGATGGCTCCTCTGCTACCACTAATGTTTTACAACAAAGTTGGCCACATTTAAATAAACAAATGGGCAAACAAAACTACTTCTCTGCCACAGAGACTGTCTAGGCAGGAAAAAGGGGTCTGGGAGAGGTGGAGAAAGGCAGAAGGTTCCAGGGAACTGTCCACCAAGGAGGTGCTGACAGGCCCTCTGATATTGGGTGAGTGTTAGAGCACCCTCTGGAGGCTGGGAGCCCACAACCCATTTCCTCTTTCTCTTTCTCTTTCTCTTTCTCTCTCTTTCTCTTTCTCTTTCTCTTTCTCTTTCTCTTTCTCTTTCTTTCTCTTTCTCTTTCTCTTTCTCTTTCTCTCTCTCTCTCTCTCTCTCTTTCTCTCTCTCTCTCTCTCTCTCTCTCTGCCTCCCCGCCCCACCCAAGACTTTCCCTTCCCATCTTTCCCTTCCTATCATTCTGTTCTATTTTCTTTCCTTCCCTGCTCCTTCTTCTGTTTGCCTGGTAACTACGGAGATTGGAAGAAATAACACTGGTAAAACACCTAAGATACTGTATATATGTTTAATAAAACCAAATTATTTTACCCCTTCCTTTTGCTGTTTTAGTCCTTGAACTCATCCCTTTCTTCTTCTGATTCCCTCCCTTTTTTATTTTTCCATTTTCTTCCATTTTAACCTTCCACTTACTCTCCCTATTCTCTCTTTTGTGAGAGTCACCCTGTAGAAGAAAGGTAGGTTGCTTTCTAGAAGATGACTCCTTTCCTTTGAGGGTTAGGGCAGTTACAAAAGGTCCAAATACTCACCAGAAAAAAATAAAATTTCAGGACTCTATAACATTTTCAAAAACTTTCCCCTATCTTAATATATAAAAACAATATTGAAGATACCTGATGTGTCCTACGGGCTTCACAGTGGTTCAGTTGAGCTGTTATATTAACAAATTGCTATTATGAGAAAGAAAGAGGTGCTCAAGTTTTAGCCATGTTTCTTTTAAAACTGTAAATATTCAAAATATACAACATAATGTTTTGATATAGTGAAATGGTTACTACAGCCAAACTAATTAACATACCCATTATCTGTGTTACACTCTGTGTGTGTGTATGTGTGTGTGTATGTAAGAATACCTAAAATCTACTCTCTTAGCAAATTTCTGGTATACAATCCAATATTAACTATAGTCCAAACACTGTACCTGAGATCTCTAGGTTTATTCATTCCACATAACCGCAACTTTGTTTCCTGCAACCCACATCTTCAAATTTCCTCCCAATCTCCCATAACCACCATTCTACTGAGTTTGTATGTGTTCTACTTTTTTTTTACATTCCACATATAAGTGAGGTCAGCAGCATTTTCCTATCTTCAGTTTATTTCATTTAGTTTAATGTCCTCCAGGTGTATCCATGTTATTGCAAATGTAAGGTTATCCTTCTTTTCAAAGGTTGGATAATATTCTAATTTATAGAATAGATATAAATGTATCTCTATAAAATAGATACATGCCACAATTTCTTCATCCATTTATTTGTCAATGAACACTTAGGTTGTTTCCATATCTTGGCTATTATGAATTATTTAAAATAGTGTTGCAGTGAACATGAGAATGCAGATATCTCTGTGAGATGCTAATTTCGTTTCCTTTGGTTATATATCTAAAAGGGGATTGCTAGGTTATATGGTAATTCTATTTGTAATACATTTAGAAACCTTCACACTGTTTTCCATAATTATCACACTAATTTACATTCTCACCAACAGTGTACATAGGTTCCCTTTTCTCCATACCCTTGACAACACTGGTTACCTCTTGTCTTTTTGATAACAGCCATTTTAATAGTATGAGATGATATCTCACTGTGGTTTTGATTCTCATTTTCCTGATACTTAACGATGTTGAGCACCTCTCCTTGTACCCACTGGCCATTTTAATGTCTCCTTTGAAGAAGTGTCTATCCAGGTCCCTTGTGCATTTTTTTTAACATAAGCCATATTTCAATTACATCTTCCTTTTAATTAAAATAGTAAAGCAAAGGAATAATTGTAGAGAATACTGTAATTTATAAAGTATTTTTAGAATATTAGGACAAATAACAAATATTCTTTTATGTTTGTATGTATTTTTATCTTAGAAATATTGGGGAATAAAAGAAGGGAGACACACACACATGGACTGTGGACCTTTGCAATGCAGCTATAGACAAGATAAAGGAAAGAGAAATACTATATAGGCTGGCCCTTGAAATTAAATTCAATACTTTGATCTTTGTGGATGGAGAAAACAGTTAAGTGAAGGTAAAGTTGATGCCTATTTTCTGATAATGACATAAAAACTACTATGACAAAGAAAAAAACCTTTTAGAAGACCTCCTTCCCCATGGCAAGCCCATTCCCATAAATAGCCTTGTAGGTGTGATGATGGCATATGGACAGGGGCAAAAAAAAAAAAAAAGGTAGGGGGGAACTGATATAATAGAAAATCTTTTTTTTTGGAAGAAGGTTATTTTGGTTTCTCTCATGAGAACTTAAGGTTAGATGGGACTGTAGGTGATCTGTATTTTAATAAAAGAAGTGGAATTACTTCCTCAATAGGCTTGGAATTAATTTCTGGAATAAATGGTGTTGTACTTACGTTTGTATCTCTAATGCCCATCATAATGCCTAGCATGGAAAGACACTCCATGTTTACAGTCATAAGTCGTATAGTCAGTTAACTAAATTGAATAGCTCTCAGGATGCAACAAGACGGACCCTGGAGATGGCTAAGTGACAAAAGAAGATAACTTTTGAGTGTCTAGCTTGAAAGCTCAAATTACTCAGCATCCTTGAAGCCATTCTGAGATAATTAGAGCAAACAGTTTTAGTGTTTTTGAAACTGACAGTCTGGCCTACCCATGAAAATGGTTTTAGACTTTGCCATGTAAATAACTTTCAGGAAAGGAAATAAATATTCATCCTAATAATCTTATTTTCACACTTAGTAGGTAATCTTGAAATGACTGCAGGTTTCTGAAGTATCCTTATTGAAATCTGTGTCTCCATGATTTTTTCAAAAATTATTTAAATCCCATTTTAATTACTAAAAGATTCAATGAAAATCCTTATTTTATATTTTTTTCTTAAATCAATATTGTAAGAAATGTAATCATCTGCCATATCACTTAAATTTGAGACCAAAGGGAACAAGAGCAGTTTATTGCTATGCCTCCAGTGTGTAGAATTTCTAGTGTGGTCAATAAATATTTGCTGATCAAATGGAATAATAGTATAATTTGTTAATTAATTTTCATAAATGTACTTCATTTTATGAATGTCATATCAATATATAAATGGTTCCTATATTTTACATAAACAGCATAGAGCAAAGAAAAATAACTTTGGGAAAAGTAATGATTGATTTCTTAATAAAGATGAAGAATTTATCAAGAGAACTATCTTAATAACAGTGGGAGCAGTTTCTCCTATAAGTAATAAGCCCACCTCAGTGAAGCTATGAAAATAATTAAGGCCATATAAGCAACAATCATTTGATGAATTTATACATAGTAAGTACTGCATGCATCTCATTTAACTGTTATTTCTCACAATGACATAGTAATATATACTGCAGTAGTTATTGCTGTGGCCACTTTACATATGAAGAAACTGAGACTTACATAAATCATATCAATAGTAAGTATAAAATTTAGCTTTGAAACTTAAGCCTGTCTGTGAGGTAAATTTTGCATATTATTTTCTGTTGTCATCTGTCAGATAATGTTGAAGAACTTCACTAGGAGGAAGGCTACAGTAGAAAGTCCCAATACTCTTTCCATATTTAAGATTATAAGATAGAATCCTTATGTCAACCCATCTATAATTAACCTTCTGTTAAGTATGGTTATAATATAATAATTGATCCCATTATAAAGGGATTTGAGAATTATCTTATTCAAATACTTTGCAAAATAAGATGGGTTAGAGTCTCTAAAAGCATTATTTTATTTTCACATAACATTAATTTATTTTTCAAAAAACGATGTCTGCAAACACACATGACATAGGTGTTTCACTCTATTGACATGAATCTCTCTCATAAAGTGAATTTGTTAAATCCGAATACCAAAAGGAAGAGAACATAAAGAAAGTTAAACTAATGTATTTCCTTAGCCTTAAAAAAAAAAGTGTGTGCTTGAAATTATTTTAATTCCCTCCAATATGGTTTGAAAGTTAGGGGAAAACCTAACAGCATAAAAGAAACTTGTTTGTAAATGAACTTGAAGGGTCGAATGCATATTCAACAACATTCTCTACACCAATGGCTTATCTTATTTGATTATTAGCTTGTGTTTAATTTCCCTTGACAAATAATTCACCTTTGTTAAATATCATTTAGCACCGCTAAGTAATTCTTGTAAGTTCATGGGAATGGATTTTAAACAGTAGCCATTGCAAGGATGCTACTGTAAATGCAGTTAGGAGAGTGAATAAAAGCATGAGGTAGGGGTGGCAGGTTGTATGGGAGAGAACCTAACTCCTTAGTTATTGGTGCTATTCATTCACATACATCTTCCTGACAGTGATGAACACACAAACCTTCAACAATTCTAAGATCTCTTCGGGGTTTCCAAAGGAACAACAAGCTACTCTTTAGTATGGGCAATATATTTTTTAACCAACCCTACAGTGTAACCTATCATATTGAGTAGAAAAACATAAATCTCTGGCAATAATATTATCATTCAATGACTTCATGAAAGACATAACCAGAGATTGTTAGAGCTGGCAGGTGCCTCAGAGATAATCTCATCCACAGTCCTCATTTTACAGAAGAAAATCTGAGGCCCAGAGAAGATTCTCTAGGCATAGCCAATATAAGACTTAAAATCCTGACTCCCAATTTTTCCGTTAAGCTTACACCTCCTGTGAGCACTATCCATGAAGTTCAGTGTGTGTGTTTCATTAACTTTACTGCCTAAGGTGCTTACCAGCTGTCCAATCCAATCTCTGGTGTTATCTTTCAGAAAAATAGGAATTATGTGATATACATTCACTTAGAGAAGTCAAACTTCAGTTATTTCAGATGAAGAAAGCTCTCTCTCTTTCTCTCTCTCTCTCCTTAGACAGTCACCATAGTAGCCACATGAAGTGTTTTATATAAATAAGCTGGACAAATCCACTGGCTTTTCACAACAAAAAGAAGTGAAGACTTGTAACTTACAGTAACAGGACATGCACTCAGGCCATTAATGGGCTAAAACTGTTCAAACACCAAGTTCTATGCATCTTTTTCAAGGAGTGCGTCGTCAGGTCCAACAAGGAAGCACCATTAATATATTTCAGAAAAGGAGCAATGAATGATAACCTGTTTTAAAAACCTTCAAACCTCATTTCTCTGGGAACACCAATCACCTTTACAAAAATCTGGGGTGGGACAGTTATTTACTACAAACTTCACTGAGTAACTGCGCCACCTCTTGATAAAATTTGTTTGTTGATTTCAAGTGGATTGTATAAAAGGGAAAAGCATGCAACTGGGGGCAACCTGAGCCTAGCTCCAGATTTTCTGTCTAAAATAAAAATAAGCTGTTTATCTTAAAAAATGTCAGTTTATCTAGAGTTCATCGACCACCCCACTTACTCCTGCTAGTTAGCCCAGTGGGTTGGGGCTCTAGGTGGTAGTAACCTGAGATGAGTTCAGGAGCTCCCAAATTAGCAGTCTGGAGCCCAGTCACTAGCTAAATGCATAAGGAGATCCCAAGCAGAGAGCCACCCAAGGTGCCCCATTTCCGAGCTGCATCTGCTCTTGTAGCCTCTGTATGTTAGAGACCAGGGTCCCATCACCATTGAGTTATGAGCCCAACATCGGACGCCAGAAAATCAGTGCGATCTCTTGGCCCCCAAACCCAGCTGGCTCCCAGAAAGAGCAGAGCAGTCGCAGCTTCTGTCACTCTCCCAACAGGCAGACATAAACAAGCAACAGAAGGAATTGTTCTCTCCCCCGAGGGAGGCAACATGCATTAAAAAGACATGAACCTCTTCCTACCTTGCATCCAAACATCAACGATAAAGTGTTGTTGGTGCAAGCAACTTTGCAGTGGCAAATCATTGGTGTAAAACAGTCAGGGTCCTTAACAACAGGGGACATTCCTTCCGGGCTGCGGCAGTGGCAGCTCGCTGGGGGACCCAAACGCTGTGCTCGCCGGGCACATGGAGCGACAGCCTAGACCGAGCTGCCGCTTCGATCACTGCCCCCTGCACCCGCCGTGGCCATCCCGGAGCCCCGGTGGAAGCAACGCCGCGGGCAAGTACCGAGCCTCTCGGGGTCTCCCTTCCCTGGGGAACGAGGCGTGTGGGGGGAGGGACAGAACCAAGAAAGAATTTTTCCCCCTACGGTGAATTTGGGGGAGGTAAAATAAAAATAAAATAAAATAAAAATAAACCATAAAAATAAAAGGAAGCCAGGCACTTAGAGGAGGGTTCAAAGGAGGTGGGGCAGTATTAGCATGTAAAAGGATGTGCCCGCCTACTCTCCCCAGTCACACAAGATTGTCATGCGAGCTGAAGGGGGCTGAAATTATTCCCTCTGAAGAAGAAGAAGAAGAAGAAAACATACTGCAGCTCCCGATTTGGTAAAAAGCCAGTGGCTTGCTGCAATCCAGAGTCACTGTGGGGAGCGCTGGCCGGGCAAGTGGGGTGGGAGGAAGGGGCTGAGAAAGGGAGGAAGCGCTGTGCTTGCCAGACTGGCCCTGCCTTTGGGCGCTCTTGGTGCCACGAAGGAGTCCCCAGCGTGGGAGCGCGGGACCTCCCCGCGCTGACGTGACCCCGAGACTGCATTTGGCCCCCACCGCTACAGCCACCCGAGGGTAGAAGACCTCCGAGGCCGACTTCCCGGGAAGGGGAGGCCCGCTCGGAGCGCGGCAGGGAACTTCCTCCCAGCCCTTTGACAACAGCATGCCTTGCCGGGGGCAGAGGGCCAGCAAAGAAATCTGGGGTAGAAAACAGGCTCAAAATGATTTCGCTGGTGCCCTACGAGGTTGACTTCTGGTTCAGCGAGCCTACTCACTCCCTGGGTAGGGAAGCGGCCTCAGAACCAAGGCTTTATTTGACATAACATTTGTCAAACTCAAAAAAGAAGTGTCTGCCCCTTCCCCACCTTGATGTCTTTGAGACTCCAGGAAACCCCAGAAGTAGTATTTATGTTGTTCCAGAAGTATGAATGACAAGACTGATGGATGTTTTATTGTTTGTTTGTTTTTTTGTTTTTAACTGAGGCTGTCAAAATTGCAGAAAGACCAAAAAAAAAAAAAAATCAGCATGTGGCTGGCTGGCACAGCTGCAAAATTGCTTATGGAAGACAAAAACAAATGTGATAAGAAGGGTGTGGGGGTAGGAAGTGGGTAAAACTAGCACTCTTTGGGTGCCACCTGGGTGCCTGGCACTATGCCTCACAGATGGTTGGTAGAAAGAGAGCAAAACATCCGAGTTTGGAAACAGATTCTGGCTCTGGTGCTAGATGTGGCTTTGTGTAAGTCATTTACATTATCCAAACCCCTGTTTGCTTACCTGTAACTAGATGGTATTAACCCCTAACCTAAAGGGTTGTCAGGAAGACTAGACAGATATACTGAACAACACATTCCTGTGGTAAGCCCCAGTACATGGTAGCTGCTCTTAACTTACATAGCTTATTTCATTTCTTAGCTTCAGAGGTAGATATTATTTGACATATTTTTTTTCTAGGGGAAGAAACTGAGCCCCTTAGTGTTATATCACTTGCTCAAGTCACATAATCAATAAACCTGAAGGTTAGGTTCAAAGAAAAGTAGTAGAGGAGAGTTTAGAAAACAGCATCATGAGAGACATAACACACTTCTCCAGAAACATGTTCCAAAGTCTTCAGATTTATTTGGGAAGGACCAGGACTGTCACATTTACATGAATGTGGTAATTCCAAGACACTTAACAATTTGGTGCTAAATTCAGAAATCCCACCTGAAATACAGGAACAACATAGTCAAAAGTATCCATGGCAAACTGTTAGAACCACATCCTCCTGATGCAATTCCATCAGAATGTCAGACCACCTATATCCGAAACTAATAAGAGCCTCAATATCATGGTATGCTTCCTCCTTAGAAAGTTTAAATGTATTGGTTAGAACAAAAGAACATACCAACTTGTAAACCTTTAAGTCAAAGACAGTGCCTTATAACATGCCTTTGCCCCACCCATATCCAAAATACTCTCGTCCCTTCTCCCAAGTTAATAGAAAATAAACCTGATTATGTCATAATTCTCTATGATGCTTATTATAAATATGGATTATGAAGCCCAACCCTACATTTTCATCCCATAGGCCAGTAGAATGTCAATAAATCTACATTTTAATCAGCCCCCTTGTGAGAGGAATGCAAGTCCTCTTTATGAAATAAGACTTATCTGAAGGAAACTCAATATGGAACAAAGTATGAGCAAAATTCAACACGGAAAGACCCTCAGAGTTGAGTTACACCTGGTTCTAACTGTAGAGGGCAGCCATGCCTAAGGTTTTGGGATTCTTACACTAAGTGCAGAAGTCCTTGCCTAGTAGATTTCTCCATTAGGAATCAGTACTGATTCAATCTAATGAATAGCTGGAGGGACTCAGGAGGTCTAATCTATACGTTCTTAAATGTACTAGGTCACATTTTAGGAGCAAAACTCTGGTCTGAGGCCTTCTGTGAAAATTTAAAGTCAAATGTACAGATTAAGTATATCCTTTACCATTTTATTCCTTTATGTTAGCATAAAAAGTGTGATTGTGTGAGCACTCCCACCTACAGAGCATCTATAATTACGGCTGGTTTTTCCAAGAGAATAGATCCTAAAAAAGCTGTACAACATTTCCCTTATTCATTAGCCTATAATTTGGATTTCAAACACCCCAAAAGTATTGTATGCTCCATATTGTGATGTTCCAATAATATCTAACACAGTCTTTCCCTGATGAATTACCCAAGCTAAAGCTGACCTCCTATTCTAGGGCAGCATTAAGGCTGCTATGTGCAAGTTATTCCCCATTTTACAGTTTGTGCTAGTTTAGATTGATAAAGTGAAATGACAAAATATAAAACAAAATGTATATTTCATTTCCTTGACTTTTTATGTTTAACTTTAATCAGTGAGAGTTCATTTCTCTGTATGTGCATGTGTATGTGTTTATCTGTTATCCGTTTATATGTATTAGAGAAAATGCTTTCCCTTAATTCTCCTCTCCAAATAATAACTCTGGGGTAAATTGGAGGGGAAGATGAGGGGGAAAGTGGTTTCCATGACAATGCATTCCATAGTTACAGCCAGTAACCACTATTATTAAAATAAATGAATTACTGTTACCTTAAGATACCAACACATTGCATTACTGGTTTGAAAAGCACTAATTTGAGAGTGTACTGCATGGGGGTGTACTGCAATATTTTTAGGAGATATTACTAGGAAATGCAAGGAGATGACGCATTCATTTTTATAGTCAAAATAACTACTCTTAATTAGACCTTTCAATGATTGATAAAATTTACAGTTCTTCCTAATAATTATCACTTTTATAAAATGATGCATCACAACAATACACTATTAAGCATTTCTCCTAATGACAACTTTCCTCAAAATGGACTCATAATTACAAAAAACAGGATTATCAATAAATGTAACCAGGTTTTAATTTTGATCTTGTATTTATTATTGTTATACTTAATCAGAAACTGGGACACAGTAAGAGGCATTAGCTAGTTATGCATCTTTTTTCTTTGCTGATCCTTTTCATAGCAATTTTTAAAAAAGGGGTTGTTCATGTTGCGAGGGAAAAGAATAGATTGGCTACTAGGAGCCATGGTGCTGTTTCCTACTCTCTGCCTCTGTGTGACTTTGAGCAAGCTACTCAGCCTCTCTAAGCTTCAGTTTCCTTTTTTATTAAGATGAAATAGGTATACTAGATTATTTCTAAGTTTGCTTCCAATGTTGAAGTTCTCTGAGTGATCTTCTAAATACATTTTTATGAATGTAAAGTAAATTTGAGAAACCATTTTGTTCAGTTACCTATCTTCAGAAAATTTGCTCTTCTATAACACTTACTATTTGATAGGCACTAATATCATGCTTGCTATGTACACTGTTCTGAATTCCACAGAGTGCTAGAGCCAATCCTACTCATGACAGCTGGTTGTGTGTAACTCGGTCTAATTCCACATTCAGTGACATCATGCTAGTAGCTTTGAATCAGTCATGAGAGAATATTTATACCATGTAAACTAACAAACACTACAATTCAGGACTTTTTTCTGCAAAAAACCTTTTACCAGTATAGCACTGGTCTAAGTACTTTAACTACATTAATATATTTAACCATCACAATCACTCAATCTTACCAAAAAAAGGAAAGCAAATGACAGGGCGAGATTAAGTAATGCCCAAGGTAACAAAATTGGTATACTAATCAGCTAAATGAACCAACTAACAAAAATATTTTTGATGACTTTCAATCACAAATGTTTATTTCTTCCTCATGTTAGATGTCCTTCATAGCTTAGCTATCATTCTAGCCCATGTTGTCCATTGGCAGAAGAGTACGGTCTATCAGTAGCTTCTGTCAGATAGAAGAGTAGCCACTATCTAATGTTCTCATGGTGGAAGGAAAAATGATCAATGGCTGAATATGCAGCAGATCTTAAAACATCTGTTCAGACATTAAAAACATCTTCCAGCTTACATTTTATTAGCTAAGGAATGTCATGTGGTCAACCTGATGACAAAGGTTGGGGAATGATAATTCTTTCAGGGGGAGGAAAGAGAGAATATTGATAACAGTAATATAAGAGACTATGGCTTATTCGAGTGACAGAATTGAGATCTGAAGCCAAGCCACCTGATTTGAGGATCTAAGGTCTTAACAAATAGACTATCCCAGCTATCACTAATAGCTAATACATCCCAATTTTTCATCTACTCTCTATAATAGTGTTTGTTATTTAGTAACTCTTTGAGAGAATTCTTCCTTATGACCCCTATAAGGAAAGCATAGTTTTTAGATAACACATGAACTTTGGAGACAATCAAACATATAAGGTTTTGGCATTATTAGCTGTGTGATTTCAACCTTTAAATCCCTTTCCCTCTCCTCTCCTACTGTAAATTGAAGTCCACTTATTTCATTTAATCTTTAGTAGAGATGTTTTCATGTAAGTGGAACATTGCATTTTTATCATTGAGTTTCCTGAAACATGTAAGGCAGAGAGGGATATGAATGTCTTTCTGCCATCAATGAGTTTACAAACCAGTTGACTAGGTTACTCTGAAATGAGAGTAACGAAGCTCTTCCTAACAGTAACAAAGTATATACAATTAAGAACGAACAAATATACTCAAAGTCCATACAAATGATTGACCAATCTAGTTAACTTATCTAAGCTACCATTTCTTGTTCCGTAAAATGGTGATAATACTATAGCATTGCTATAAGGCTTGAATGAGATAACATATTGCAAAATGCCTGTCATCTTTATCTGGTTTGTATTAGCCACTCAGTAAATTATAAAGGCTTTGTGTCACTTGTCTGATTTTTTTTTTAATGAAAGTTAACAGAAAAGAATAAACCTATTAGACTCACCCAATATGTATAATCTCTTTATACTGAACAATTCTAAATCTTTAACCTTTCTTAACAAGTTTTACTGTCTCAGTGACTCTCCTTAGACCCTTTCTCAGCTCTTCCATACTCCTCTTACTGAAGAACACACAAATGCAATGATACATTCTCAGACCCCATATAAATGGACTCTAATATGCATCATGTTCCCCCATAATTGTCAACCCTTTGTGTTCACTGTAATTTATTTATTATTATTATACTTTAAGTTCTGAGGTACATGTGCAGAATGTGCAGTTTTGTTACATAGGTATACACGTGGCATGGTGGTTTGCTGCAACCATCATCCCGTCTCCTACGTTAGGTATTTCTCCTAATGCTATCCCTCCCATACCCCCTACCCCCAGGCAGGCCCTGGTGTGTGATGTTCCCCTCCCTATGTCCACGTGTTCTCATTGTTCAACTCCCACTTATGAGTGAGAACATGCGGTGCTTGGTTTTCTGTTCTTGTGATAGTTTGCTGAGAATTGTGGTTTCCAGCTTCATCCATGTCCCTGCAAAGGACATAAAGTCACCCTTTTTATGGCTGCATAGTATTCCATGGTGTATATGTGCCACACTTTCTTTATCTGGTCTATTTTTGATGGACATTTGGGTTGGTTCCAAGTCTTTGCTCTTGTGAATAGTGCTGCAGTAAACATGCGTGTGTATGTGTCTTTATAGTAGAATGATTTATAATCCTTTGGGTATACACCCAGTAATGAGATTGCTGGGTCAAACGGTATTTCTGGTTCTAGATCCTTGAGGAATTGCCACATGGTCTTCCACAATAGTTGAACTAATTTACACTCCCACCAACAGTGTAAAAGTCTCCCTATTTCTCCACATCCTCTCCAGCATCTGTTGTTTCCTGACTTTTTAATGATTGCCATTCTGACTGGCATGAGATGGTGGTTTTGATTTGCATTTCTCTAATAACCAGTGATAATGAGCATTTTTCATATGTCTGTTGGCTGCATAAATGTCTTCTTTTGAGAAGTGTCTGCTTATATCTTTTGCCCAGTTTTTGATAGGGTTGTTGCCTTGTAAATTTGTTTAAGTTCCTTGTAGATTCTGGATATTAGCCCTTTGTCAGATGGATAGATTGCAAAAATTTTCTCCCATTCTGTAGGTTGCCTGTTCACTCTGATGATAGTTTCTTTTGCTGTGCAGAAGCTCTTTAGATTAATTAGATCCTGTTTGTCAATTTTGGCTTTTGTTGCCATTGTTTTTGGTGTTTTAGACGAAGTCTTTGCCCATGCCTATGTCCTGAATGGTATTGCCCAGGTTTTCTTCTAGGATTTTTACGGTCCCAGGTCTTACATTTAAGTCTTTGACCCATCTTGAGTTGATTTTTGTATAAGGTGTAAGGAACGGGTCCAGTGTCAGTTTTCTGCATATGGCTTGCCAGTTTTCCCAATGCCATTTATTAAATAGGGAATCTTTTTCCCATGGCTTGTTTGTGTCAGGTTTGTCAAAGATCTGATGGTTTTATATGGTGGTGTTATGTCTGAGGCCTCTGTTCTGTTCCATTGGTGTATATATCTGTTTTGCTTCCAGTACCATGCTGTTTTGGTTACTGTAGCCTTGTAGTACAGTGTGAAGTAAGATAGCATGATGCCTCCAGCTTTCTTCTTCTTGTCCAGGATTTTCTTGGCATTTGCAGGCTCTTTTTTGGTTCCATATGAACTTTAAAGTAGTTTTTTTTTCCAATTCTGTGAAGAAAGTCAGTGGTAGGTTGATGGAGATAGCACTGAATCTATAAATTACTTTGGGCAGTATGGCCATTTTCCCAATATTGATTAATTCTATCCATGAGAATGAAGGTTTTTACATTTGTTTGTGTCCTCTCTTATTTCCTTGAGCGGTGGTTTGTAGTTCTCCTTGAAGAGGTCCTTCACATTCCTTGTAAGTTGTATTCCTAGGTATTTTATTCTCTCTGTAGCAATTGTGAATAGGAGTTAACTCATGATTTGGCTCTCTGTCTGTTATTGGTGTATAGAAATGCTTGTGATTTTGGCACATTGATTTTGTATCCTGAGACTTTGCTGAGGTTGCTTATCAGCTTAAGGAGATTCTGGACTGAGACGATGGGGTTTTCTAAATATACAATCATGTAATCTGCAGACACAATTTGACTTCCTCTCTTCCTATCTGAATACCCTTTATTTCTTTATCTTGCCTGATTGCCCTGGCCAGAACTTCCAACACTATGTTGAATAGGAGTGGTGAGAGAGGGCATCCTTGTCTTGTGCCAATTTTCAAAGGGAATGCTTCCAGTTTTTGCCCATTTAGTATGATATTGGCTGTGGGTTTGTCATAAATACCTCTTATTATTTTGAGATACGTTCCATTGATACCTAGTTTATTGAGAGTTTTTAGCATGAAGGGGTGTTGAATTTTGTCAAAGGTCTTTTCTGCATCTATTGAGATAATCATGTGGTTTTTGTCCTTGGTTCTGGTTGTGTGATGGATTATGTTTATTGAAAGGCATATGTTGAACCAGCCTTACATCCCAGGGATGAAACCAACTTGATCGTGGTGGATAAGCTTCCTGATGTGCTGCTGGATTTGGTTTGCCAGTATTTTATTGAGGACCTTCGCATCGATGTTCATCAGGAATATTGGCCTGATATTTTCTTTTTTTGTTATGTCTCTGCCAGGTGTTGGTATCAGGATGATGCTGGCCTCATGAAATGAGTTAGGGAGGATTCCCTCTTTTTCTATTGTTTGGAATAGTTTCAGAAGGAATGGTACCAGCTCCTCTTTGTACCTCTGGTAGAATTTGGCTGTGAATCTGTCTGGTCTTGGACTTTTTTTGGTTGTTAGGCTATTAAGTACTGCCTCAATTTCAGAACTTGTTATTGGTTTATTCAGGGATTCAACTTCTTCCTGGTTTAGACATGTGAGGGTGCATGTGTCCAGGAATTTATCCATTTCTTCTAGATTTTCTAGTTTATTTGCATGGAGGTGTTTATAGTATTCTCTGATGGTAGTTTGTATTTCTGTGGGATCAGTGAGGGTAGCCCCTATATCATTTTTTATTGCATCTATTTGATTCTTCTCTCTTTTCTTCTTTATTAATCTGGCTAGCAGTCTATTTTGTTGATCTTTTCAAAAACCCAGCTCCTGGATTCATTGATTTTTTGAAGGTTTTTTTGGGTCTGTATCTCCTTCAGTTCTGCTCTGATCTTAGTTATTTCTTGTCTTCTGCTAGATTTTGAATTTGTTTGCTGTTGCTTTTTAGTTCTTTTAATTGTGATGTTAGGGTGTCAATTTTAGATCCTTCCTTCTTTCTCTTGTGGGCATTTAGTGCTATGTTTCCCTCTACACACTGCTTTAAATGTGTCCCAGGGATTCCGGTACATTGTGTCTTTGTTCTCATTGGTTTCAAAGAACATCTTTATTTCTGCCTTCGTTATTTACCCAGTAGTCATTAAGGAGCAGGTTTTCAGTTTCCATGTAGTTGTGTGGTTTTGAGTGAGTTTCTTAATCCTGAGTTCTAATTTGATTGCACTGTGGTCCGAGAGACTGTTTGTTATGATTTCCGTTCTTTTGCATTTGCTGAAGCGTGTTTTACTTCCAATTATGTGGTTAATTTTAGAATAAGTGTAATGAGGTGCTGAGTAGAATGCATATTCTGTTGAATTGGAGTGGAGAGTTCTGTTCACCGTAATTTCTAAGTCCTCTATGTCCACTCACCTATCCCCAAGTATAGACTACTTTGAGCGAGTCACACGTAGTGACTGCTTGGCCTTTATCTAAGTCATACTTAGAATGTTTGCATGACCTTGACTTGAAATAGTTTTCTTATTTAGCTGATTAGTCAATAAATGGATGAATAAAGAACCAATAAATAAGTGATCTTGGCCAGGCTTTCCACTGCTTCCACCTAGGCCCTAGGTGAAATATTGTGAAGATCTTTGAGTCCTGACCCAGCTCCCCTCCCTGCCACCTCCTAGGTAGAAGGAGTACACTCTTTATTGAAGAAATGCCAGCCTATTCGTTCTGAATCAATTTTGACATTTTGTTTTAGCACCAAGTGTTTTTTGAAATAATTATTGTCCCCTCACAATTTTGCCTTTGAGACTTCTCATGACAGTCACTTTCAGCCTTGTTTCCATTTTGAAAAAGCAACTCCGAAACACTACCCTCTACACCACCTCTGAGAATATTCTTAGTGGCAAAATTCAAATAAAAGAAGAACTCTTCTTAGGCCTCATTGTTCACCAAATTTGATGTCAATGTTGAAATGATAAAAGTTGGATCTATGTTCCAGTCCCAGTTTGGACACTTGCTATGCAATTCTGAGTTAGTTACTTAATCTGAAAGTTAATTTTCTTAAGTACAAAAAAAGGGGAGGAGGTTGTTGAGTAATAATACCTCTGTCACAGGGTTCCTATGAGAATTAACTAAAATGCCACATGTAAAAGTACCTATCAAAATGCTTGGCACATACTATTAATAAATGCTTAATAATATCCATTTGTCCACTCACTGATTCTTTTATTCATTCATTCATTACACACCAAAGCTAGCCAAGAAACTTATTTAAAACAAATGTCAACCAAGCACAGCAAAATTCCTGTGAAATCACTAATTCTATTTTTATATTGTGTTGCCCATCTGTGAAACAAAGGCAAATTGATCATTGTCAAAAAAATATACTAAATCAGAGTTCAACTTTGAAAGCAGCAATTCATGGGAAGACTGACAAGAACATGGCTCATTTTAAATGGCTTTATATTGCCACTGTGTGGTTCTCTACTACAAATAGATTTTCCTTATCAGCTCCCTTTCATCTGAACAATAGATGGCTCTTCTAGCTGCATGAACTAAATGAGGTGTCTTACATACCCCCAGGAACACCACTCTATTATGTCACAAGAAGGGGCCCTCAGCTAATCATACAGCAAGTTGAATGATTACTCAATGAAACAATTCCTCCCCTAAAACTGTGAAGACATCAGATTTCTCATACAATCTCCAGCTATGTATCACAGATTTAAGATAATGATACAATTAACACTTTTTCTGTTAATGAGCTGCAAGCATAATGGTTCAAGTCCCTGATGGTACCAAATTTTAAGTACAGCCCACCTAGATTCTTATGTCCAGTTTGTTTAAAATAAGATTGTTATAAGAAAATTACCTTTTGGTACAGTGTGTGAGTTAGTTGTATTACATGAATGCTGGTGCTTTCTTCCTTTAATACAAGGACTGTCAATCTCAAATGTAATGCATTGGAAGATGTGCATTGTATTTGCTTTAGTTAGCATCTGATCATGGAAAAACTTTGCTTGGTTGACGACGTTAGCACATTAACTTTATCTCCCCCTTTTGGTTACTAATTACATACTTTGAAGTATCTACTATGTGCTAGACACTAGGCCAAGTTCGGGATACAGTGGTTAAGTACAGATCAATGCAGTGCTGGCCTCATGGAGATTACAAACCAATGGAGAAGGCAGATGGGGATAAGTGCTTCGAGGAGAGCTACATGGCTCTATAAGAGCATATATAGGGGAATCTCATCTAAAAATGGAGGTAGGAAGGCATAATTAGGAGAGTGATAAGTGAGTTGAGATAAGAAAAATAAGTGGGAATTAACTAGACAAACGGAAAGGGGAAAAGCATCTCAAATAGAGGGAATAGGATATACAAAGAATATGTGGTACCAGCAAACAAGAACATGGGAAGGACTGAGATAAACGTAATACAGAAAATAAGGGGAAATATCAAGTGAACAGAGGCTGAAGAAGACAGTAGAGGTGAGACTAGTCAGATTATATTTAAAATGTTTGTTCTTATTCTAAAAGCCTTAGGAAACTACAGAAGAAATATTTTAAAGCAGATTTATTGGCGTAGAACTGACATAAAATAAACTGGAAATATTTACATTTAAATCTGGTAATTTTCAACATACGTATACATCTGTGAAACTGTCAACATAATCAAGATAATAAACATATCTATCACCTTCAAACGTTTCCACGTGCCCCTTTATAACCTCTACCCCTCATACTCTTTCCCAATCCCCCATCCCAAAGCAATCACTCATCTGCTCTCTGTCACTAAAGATTTATTTGCATTTTCAAGAGGTTTATATAAATGAAATCATACAATATGTGTTTGGAGTCTGAATTTTTTCCACTCAACATATCTATTCTGAGGTTTATCTAGATGGTTGCATGTGCCAATAGTTTACTTCTTTTCTTATTGCCAAGTAATATTACATTGTAAAGATATATTACATAATTTGTCTATATTTGTTGATGAACACTTGAGTCACTTTCAGTTTGAAGTTATATAGCTGCTACGAATATCTGTGCATAAGTCTCTGCATGAACTGATATATTTCCTTTTCTTCTGGAATGGATTTGCTTGATAACCTGATGAATATGTGTTTATATTTTAAGAAACTGTTAAATTGATTTTCAAAGTTCTTGTTTCATTTTACATTCCCACCAGCAATGTATGAGAATTCTAGATCCTTCACATCTTCACCATCACCTGGTATTGTCAATCATTTTCACTGTAGCCATTCTAATAGATGTGTAATAGTACCTCATTATAGTTTTAATTTGCCTTTCCTTAATGACTCATTGTGTTGAACATCTTTTCATGTGGTTTTTTTCCCTGCTATCTTTGGTAAAGTATCAATTCAAATCTTTTACCTACCTTTAAAATTGTTAGTTTCTTCTTAAGTTTTGAGAGTTTTATGTATATATATAAATATATATTTATTATACTTTTAAGTTCTAGGGTACATGTGCACAATGTGCAGGTTGTTATGTATGTATACATGTGCCATGTTGGTGTGCTGCACCCATTAACTCGTCATTTACATTAGGTATATCTCCTAATGCTATCCCTCCCCCCACCCACCCCACAACAGGCCCCGGTGTGTGATGTTCCCCTTCCTGTGTCCAAGTGTTCTCATTGTTCAATTCCCACCTATGAGTGAGAACATGTGATGTTTGGTTTTTTGTCCTTGCGATAGTTTGCTGAGAATGATGGTTTCCAGCTTCATCCATGTCCCTACAAAGGACATGAACTCATCACTTTTTATGGCTGCATAGTATTCCATGGTGTATATGTGCCACATTTTCTTAATCCAATCTATCATTGTTGGACATTTGGGTTGGTTCCAAGTCTTTGCTATTGTGAATAGTGCCACAATAAACATATGTGTGCATGTGTCTTTATAGCAGCATGATTTATAATCCTTTGGGTATATACCCAGTAATGGGATTGCTGGGTCAAATGGTATTTTTAGTTCTAGATCCCTGAGGAATCGACACACTGACTTCCACAATGGTTGAACTAGTTTACAGACCCACCAACAGTGTAAGAGTGTTCCTATTTCTGCACATCCTCTCCAGCACCTGTTGTTTCCTGACTTTTTAATGATCGCCATTCTAACTGGTGTGAGATGGTATCTCATTGTGGTTTTGATTTGCATTTCTCTGATGGCCAGTGATGATGAGCATTTTTTACTGTGTCTGTTGGCTGCATAAATGTCTTCTTTTGAGAAGTGTCTATTCACATCCTTCGCCCACTTGTTGATAGGGTTGTTTCTTTCTTGTAAATTTGTTTCATTTCTTTGTAGATTCTGGATATTAGTCCCTGGTCAGATGAGTAGATTGCAAAAATTTTCTCCCATTCTGTAGGTTGCCTGTTCACTCTGAGGGTAGTTTCTTTTGCTGTGCAGAAGCTCTTTAGTTTAATTAAATCCCATTTGTCAATTTTGGCTTTTGTTGCCATTGTTTTTGGTGTTATAGACATGAAGTCCTTGCCCATGCCTATGTCCTGAATGGTAATGCCTAGGTTTTCTTCTAGGGTTTTTATGGTTTTAGGTCTAACACTTAAGTCTTTAATCCATCTTGAACTAATTTTTGTATAAGGTGTAAGGAAGGGATCCAGTTTCAGCTTTCTACATATGGCTAGCCAGTTGTCCCAGCACCATTTGTTGAATAGAGAATCCTTTCCCCATTTCTTGTTTTTGTCAGGTTTGTCAAAGATCAGATGGTTGTAGATATGTGGTATTATTTCTGAGGGCTCTGTTCTGTTCCATTGGCCTATATCTCTGTTTTGGTACCAGTACCATGCTGTTTTGGTTACTGTAGCCTTGTAATATAGTTTGAAGTCAGGTAGCATGATGCCTCCAGCTTTGTTCTCTTGGCTTAGGATTGATTTGGCAATGCGGGCTCTTTTTTGGTTCCATATGAACTTTAAAGAAGTTTTTTCCAATTCTGTGAAGAAAGTCATTGGTAGCTTGATGGGGATGGCATTCAATCTATAAATTACCTTGGGCAGTATGGCCGTTTTCATGATATTGATTCTTCCTATCCAGGAGCATGGAATGCTCTTCCATTTGTTTGTATCCTCTTTTATTTTGTTGAGCAGTGGTTTGCAGTTCTCCTTGAAGAGTTCCTTCACATCCCTTGTAAGTTGGATTCCTAGGTATTTTACTCTCTTTGAAGCAATTGTGAATGGAGTTCACTCACAATTTGGCTCTCTGTTTGTCTGTTATTGGTGTATAAGAATGCTTGTGATTTTTGCACATTGATTTTGTATCCTGAGACTTTGCTGAAGTTGCTTATCAGCTTAAGGAGATTTTGGGCTGAGACGATGGGGTTTTCTAGATATCCAATCATGTCATCTGCAGACAGGGACAATTTGACTTCCTCTTTTCCCAATTGAATACCCTTTATTCCTTTCTCCTGCCTGATTGCCCTGGCCAGAACTTCCAACACTATGTTGAATAGGAGTGGTGAGAGAGGGCATCCCTGTCTTGTGCCAGTTTTCAAAGGGAATGTTTCCAGTTTTTGCCCATTCAGCAAGATATTGGCTGTGGGTTTGTCATAAATAGCTCTTATTATTTTGAGATACATCCCATCAATACCTAATTGATTGAGAGTTTTTAGCATGAAGGGCTGTTGAATTTTGTCAAAGGCCTTTTCTGCTTCTATTGAGATAATCATGTGGTTTTTGTCTTTGGTTCTGTTTATATGTTGGATTATGTTTATTGATTTGCGTATGTTGAACCAGCCTTGCATCCCAGGGATGAAGCCAACTTGGTCATGGTGGATAAGCTTTTTGATGTGTTGCTGGATTCAGTTTGCCAGTATTTTATTCAGGATTTTTGCATCAATGTTCATCAGGGATATTGGTCTAAAATTCTCTTTTTTGATTCTGTCTCTGCCATGCTTTGGTATCAAGATGATGCTGGGCTCATAAAATGAGTTAGGGAAGATTCCTTCTTTTTCTATTGATTGGAATAGTTTCAGAAGGAATGGTACCAGCTCCTCCTTGTACCTCTGGTAGAATTTGGCTGTGAATCCGTCTGGTCCTGGACTTTTTTGGTTGGTAGGCTATTAATTATTGCCTCAATTTCAGATTCTATTATTGGTCTATTCAGAGATTCAATTTCTTCCTGGTTTAGTCTTGGGAGGATATATGTGTCAAGGAATTTACCCATTTCTTCTAGATTTTCTAGTTTATTTACGTAGAGGTGTTTATAGTATTCTCTGATGGTAGTTTGTATTTCTGTGGCATCGGTGGTGATATCCCTTTTATCATTTTTTATTGCATCTATTTGATTCTTCTCTGTTTTCTTCGTTATTAGTCTTACTAGCGGTCTTATCAATTTTGTTGATTTTCAAAAAACCAGCTCCTGGATTCATTGAATTTTTGAAGGATTTTTTTCGTCTCTAACTCCTTCAGTTCTGCTCTGATCTTAGTTATTTCTTGCCCTCTGCTAGCTTTTGAATATGTTTGCTCTTGTTTCTCTAGTTCTTTTAGTTGTGATGTTAGGGTGTCAATTTGAGATCTTTCCTGCTTTCTCTTGTGGGCATTTAGTGCTATAAATTTCCCTCTACACACTGCTAGATTCAAACCTATATTAGATATATGTTGCATATAGTTTTTCACAGTCTGTGGTTTGTCTTTTCATTCTTATCAGTGTCTTTTGAATACCAGAAGTTTTTATTATTGATGAATGCAATTTATTATTTTTTCCTTTATGGTTCATACTTTTATTTTCATATCTAAGAAATCTGTTTAACCCAAGGTCACAAAGATGTTCTTCTCTTATTTCTTCTAGAGGTTTTGTAGTTTTACATTTTGAGCAATGATCAATTTTGAGTAAATTTTTATATATGATATGAGGTATGGATCCAAGTTCATTTTTTTGCACATGTATATTTAATTGTTTCTGTATTATTTGTTGAAATGACTATCCTTTTTCCATTTAATTGTATGTCTTTGTCCTTATATGTATGGTTTAATTTTGGACTCTCCATTCTATTAATCTGTTTTGCCATCTTTCCACCAATACTATATTTTGGTTACTGCAGCTTTATAATAATTATTGAAACAACTTTGTTCTTCTTTGATCTCCAACTTTGTTCACTTTTTTTTTCAGAGCTGTTTTGACTCTCCTAGGTACTTTAAATTTTCATACAATTTTTAGAATTAACCTGTTAATTCTACACCTACAAAAATTTCAACTGGAATTTTGATTGTGTGGAATTGTGTTGAATCTTTAGATAAGGTTAGAGAGAATGAACATCTTAATGATACTGATTCTTCCAACCTATTAGCAAAGTATCTGTCTACTTTTAAGGTCTTTAATTTTACTTAATTTTACTCAGCAATATTCTATAATTTCCAATGTACTGATTTTTTTCACATATTTCATCAGATTTATTCCTAAGTATTTCATATTTTATGGTATTCTAAATGGAATTCCTTTATTGATTTTAATTTCTAACTGTTGTTAGTACGTAGAAATACAAATACAAAGTTTGTATATTGTCCTTTTATTCTGCAACATTGCTAAACTCACCTATTAGTCTGGTAGCTTTTTAAATAGATTCTATCAGATATGACATGTCATCTGTAAACAAAAATGAGTTTTACATCTTCCTTTGCTTCTTTTTCTTTACTGATTATGCTGGTTAAAACATCCAGAACAATGTTGCACAAAAGTAGTGAAAGTGGATATCCCTGTTCCTGATCTTAAGGGGAAAACATTCAGCCTTTCACTAAATAATGATTAAATATGATGTTAGCTATAGGTTTTTCACATAAGTTTCTTATCATGTTGAAGAAATTCCCTTCTATTTATATTTTGCCAAGAGTTTTTGTTTTGTTTTGTTTTGTTTTTAGTTAGGAATAGATATTGATTTTGTCACATGGTTTTTCTATGCCTGAGATTTTTTTAGGTGATTAATATGGTGATTTTTGAATGTTAAACAATCCTGTATTCCTGAAATAAAGCTTGTTTGGTCATGATATATTATAATTTTAGTGTACTACTGGATTCCATTTGCTAAAATTTATTTAGAACTTTTTCCATCTATGTTCATGAGGGGTATTAGTCTGTAACATTTTTTATTGAAATATATTTGCCTGTTTTTATACCAAGGCAATATAGGCCTCATGTAGTGAGTTGGAAGGTATTGCCTGCTCTTCGATATTTTAGGAATGATTTGCATAGAATGGGTGCTATTTCTTCTTTAAATGTTTGGAAGAATTTACCAAAACCAAACTATCTAGGTCAAGAGAGAGAGAAAGAAAGAGACAGAGAGAGAGAGAGAGAGAGAGAGAATGTGATGTGTATGTATTTTTGTGTGTGGGAAGGTTTATGTAAAGTATTTAAGCAGGAGTGGGGGATGTGATATTATATTGCATTTCAAGAAGATCGTATAGCTGTAGTGTGGTGAAGGATTGGAATGGAACAATATTGTCAGTGGGCAGAACACTGAAGAGGTGCTCTCAGTAGTGCAGGCAACAGATAATGGTGATACAGACTAGAGAAACAGCACTGGAAACAAAGATAAATAGTTCAACTCAAGGAACATCTTAGAAAGTGAGTGAAAGTGATACATATTGGGGGTAGATCAGATATGGGGGAAATTCAGTATGACTTCTAGGTTTCTGGTATACATAACTGGATAAGTTGTAATGGCATTCACTGAAATATGATATACTAAAAAGTAATATAGTGTTTGTGTATACGTGTGGGATGGAGGAGGCATTATTCCGTTTGGGGATTTTATTTGTTTGTTTTGCTTGCATTGTAAATTTGATTTACAGTGCTTTTGGTAACTCTAACTTGGATACATTCCTCTAGAGCGCAGCGTAAACTGGGTTAGAAATATAAACTTATGAAGTGTCTGTCAATAGGTTGTGTTAAAGGCTCAGAAATAGGTATCATCCATCCTGAGAGAAGAGCATCACAAGAAAAAATTATCTAGAGTCAGACTTTGCAGAACTCCAGTATGTAACAATTTTCTTTTTTTTCTTTTTCTTTTTTTTTGCTTGTTAAAAAACATCAGGAACCTATTTTTCTTAGTAGCTACTCTGTTGATTCTGCTTAACGATGACATAATATATTCTTTTTCAGTAATGTATATACCCTCTAGATTTGGCCTTAGTTGGTGCCAGAGAGGCAGCAAGGTAGTGAGATAAAATAAATATTGCAAAGAAAAAAGAAATCTAAGGACATAACAACAATATGTATGGTTCTTACAATTTGCTACCTTCTTGATTTCAATATACTAGGTATTCTGTTTCATTCCTTTGTTTCTCAATAGACATACACCTCCTATATGTTGCTATAAAATTATTATTTTTGAGATATTAAAATGTTAGTGGATGCCACTATACACCAATTGGAATGGCTAAAACTTGGGAGTTTAACAATTCCAAGTGTTGATGAGGATGTGGAGGAACTGAAACTCCCCTACATTGCTGGTGGGAATGTAAAATGGTCCAACCACTTTGGAAAACAGCTTGGCATTTCTTAAAAATTTAAACATAAATGTATTGTACAACACAGCCATTGCATTTCTAGGTATTCAAGAGAAATGAAAACATATGTCTACACAGTCTGCAGCTTTTTTCATAATATCTCCAAATTGGAAGCAACCCACAGATACATTAACAAGTGAATGTATAAACAAAACAAGATATATATGTAAAACCTCAGAAGTATTGTTCCAATTGAAAGGCATGAAACTGTGCATATTGTATAAATCATTTTACATGGAAATATATAAAATAAAAATCAATATATAGTGATATAAAGTAGATCTACTGCTTCCTAGGCCTAGAGGTAGACAGAGGGAAGGGATAAAAAGAGGCATGAGGAATCTTGGGGTGATGGTAATTATCTGGAACTCTAATGTGGCAGTGGTTTCTCAGATGTACATGTCTATCAAAACAGATCAAATTTACATCAAGTTGTATATTTAAAAAAGATTCATTTTATTATATGTAAATTCAACTCAATAATATAGATTAAATATCTTAGGTGGTTTAAAACTCAAGACCAAAGAATTACATTAACTTTCTAGGTAAATTACTAAATTAAACACCAATGATAGAGTTTATTTTTTTAATCAAAGTAACTCCCAAATCAATTTTTTCCTAAACAAGTGTTATTACATGAAGTGATGACTCCCTACTTTGTTAGAAGATAGAATTCCACATGGGGCTCAGTTTTCTAGAACTAGAAAATATTTACCCTATGTTTGCCAAGATCACTCAGACAACTACTGTGTTCACTCCTATGAGCACTTTACCTGAGTTTTAAAAAATATTTTATATCACTAGGAAAAGATATATCTTTAAAAATGGAAAGCTGCTAGTGAGGAAAGCCTAAAGTTTTAGAGTTTAAAATTGAGAAATATTGATAAGGCAGTAAGTATATGATTGAAACATAAAACTACCTGGCTAAGGAACCTGGGACTTTCATTTGACTGTTGATTAGAATTTCCATTTTTCCTCACATCTGCCAGAAGATCAAGGGAAGACAAACTAGGTGAAGGATGTAGCCATTTTACATAAAGCAGTATCAAAACAATATAGTAGTATGCAAAACTATCTCACCTCTATGGGCATTGAAACTTATTTGAATAATATTTTATTTATGTTAAATAACTACCCTGTGATCCCAAAGTTTAATTTAGTACAGTCTCCTGGGGTCATTTTACAGGATCTGATGAAGCGGTCCTTGTGCCCAGGCCCCAGCTAGGCCCTAGAGTCCATTGTCTTGGGGGATATTAACCAGATTCTCAGCCTCACAATGACTGTGTCTACTCTGTATTTACCCTAACGTTCAGAAATTGGGAAGTTATCACTGCTATTAGTTTCCATGGCATCCACTAGATAAAAGAAGGAAGGTTGCAAGAAAGGACCAAAGTAATAGAAAAACAGTTAACATTTTACTGGAGTGCCAAAGGGAAATGGCTGCAGTACAGCAGGGGAATGGAAAGGCACCTATTAATTGGAAGCCCCCGGGGGCAGCATAGAGGCACCCAGCTTCTGCAGCCCCATCTCCCTCCTTCCAAGCAGATCAGCACAAAGGCAAGAGGGAGGTCCTCCTGAGTGAAAAAGGTAAACAGAATAATCCCATCAGGCTCCATTGCCACTGGATATACTTACAATCCTTACTACAGAAGAACCCCACAGTTCTTCCAAGCCCTGAGCCCAGCTGGGAGAGATGCTGGAAATTCATGCAGCTGTATTGCTTCAAATTAGGAGGACGAGGTGTAGATGTGCTAAGCCCTACCCAGCCACTGTGGGCCAAGCTGCAGCAATACAGTTCCATATAGAGAACAAAGCCGCCTCTGGAGTGCATCCTCCTCTGGAGGCCAGTAGCTACTGCACCTCTCCAACACTGGTGCTCCATCTTCATTCCACCAATCCCACACCAGTGGCTGAACACCACAACTCCAGCGGTGCAGAGCCTGAACCCAGAATCAACTGTGACTGTCATTTTGCACAGCAGGGAAACCAACCCCTGCCACCTGCACTTCCAACCAGAGGAACAGTCTGGCAGTCTTACCCAGGGCAAAGCCACCCTGAGCCCGCCAATCTGTTTCACACCCTCCCTGAGTGGGAGAGGTTCTTGAGCCACTGAGTAGATGACACATCCCCAGGTCAACAAAATGGCTATCAGGCCATGCCCAGGTTCTGAGAAACAGCCTCATGGTGCCCTCCACACCACTGTGGGCATGGCCCTGGCCTTCACAAAACCCACACACCCAAAATCAGGGCATGAGAAGCATCCCCATGGACTACGCATGGCAGATGCGCCCCAGGCTGACCAAACAACTGTGTGCCTATGCTCTTTTTTTTTTTTTTTTTTTTTTTTTTTTGAGATGGAGTCTCGTTCTGTCGCCCAGGCGGGAGTGCTGTGGCGCGATCTCCGCTCACTGCAAGCTCCGCCTTCCGGGTTCACGCCATTCTCCTGCCTCAGCCTCCCGAGTAGCTGGGACTACAGGCGCCCGCCACTGCGCCTGGCTAATTTTTTGTATTTTTAGTAGAGACGGGGTTTCACCGTGGTCTCGATCTCCTGACCTCGTGATCCGCCCGCCTCGGCCTCCCAAAGTGCTGGGATTACAGGCGTGAGCCACCGCGCCCGGCCGCCTATGCTCTTAATAAGAGTAACAGCCCCATGATTCCAACCCCACTGAGACAGACCCCAAGTGGGCCAACCTACTGTGTGTATACACGTACCCTTGATCTAAGAAACAACCTAATAAATCCATCTCTGGCAAAGTCACACCACCACCACCACCACCACCACAAACTCTCTCAGCCTAGACCACTGAGATACTCACAAACATCACTAGTGTGAATTACAGCTGAAGAAACCACATAAAGACTAAACTATGGCACCCACCTAGAACCAAAGCTAATGCACCTACTGAACCAACACCTCGTCTAAATGAATATCTTTCCCTATGAAACCCACTCCATAAATTGAAAGAGGTGACTGTTCCACCAGACACGTATAAGTTAATGCAGGGCCACATCAAACACCAAAAAGTAAGGAAACATGGTATCTCTAAAGGAACACAATAATCCTTTAGTAACAGACTCTACTCATAAGGAAGTATATAAAATGAAGTACCAGAAAAGGAATAAAAAATAATTATCTTAAGGAAGCTCAGTGAGATAGAAGAGAATACAAATAGACAATTCAACAATATCAGGAGAAAATTTTAGGATTTGAATGAGAAACTCAACAAAGAGATAGATACCATAAAGAAGAACCAAACAGGAATTCTATAACTGAAGAATTCAATGAAATAAAAAATACAATTGAGAGCTTCAACAAAATACTAGACCAAGCAGAAGAAACATTTTCTCAACTTGAAGATAGGTCTTTTGAAATAATCACAGGCAGACAAGAAAAAAAAATGAAGAAAGCCTATACGATTTATGGGGCACTATTAAACAAATATTTACCTTCTTTGCATTCCAGAAGAAAAGGGAAGTGGTATAGACATTATATTCAATAAAATAATAGCTGAAAACTTCTCAAGACTTGGAAGAGTCATAGACATTCAGATCCAAGAAGCTCAAAAAATCCCAAATATATTAAACCCAAATATGTTCTCTCTAAGTCACATTGTAGTCTAATTGTCAAAAGTTTAAAGACAAAGGAAGAATTTCAAAAACAGCAAGAGAAAAGTGTCAAGTCACATATAAGGGCATCACCATTAGATTAACAATGAATTACTCAGCAGAAACCTTACAGGCGTTTTTCAAAAGACTTAATTTTTTAGAGCAATTTTATATTCAACAACCAAATTGAGAGAAAGGTACAGAGATATCCTACATACCTCTGTCCCCACAAATGCATAGCATTCCCTATTATTAACATCCTCACCAGAATGTTATATTTGCTACAACTGATGAACCTTTATTGAGACATCATAATCATCCGAAGTCCATAGTTTACCTTAGGGTTCACTGTTGGTGGTGTACATTCTGTGGGTTTGGATAAATGCATAATGACAGGTATCAGCAATTATTGTATCATATAGAGTAATTTCACTGCCCAAAAAATCCTCTTTATTTTGCCTATTCATCCCTTTACCTACTCCAACCCCTAGGCAACCCACTGAACTTTTTACTGTCTCTATGGTTTTACCGTTTCCAGAATCTCATATAATTGGAATCATACAATATGTAGCCTTTTAATATTGGCTTCCTGTTTCCAGTTTTTACCTATTATGAATAAAGCTGTTGTAATTTTTTTCTTTCAAAAAATATATACTGACACATATCATAGAGACCCTAGTAGTGAGCTCTTAAATAATTCACAAGATTTATTCACTTTTTAAACGTTTTACTTTGAAATAATTATAAATTCACAGGAAGTTGTAAACACAGTACAGAGAAGTACTATGTTTACTGTACCATCCACCCAGTTTCCCCTATTAGTTATATTTTACATAACTATAGAACAATATCAAAACCAGTACATTGACATTGGTGTAAAGAGAGGGAACAGTTTATGTTATTCCTAAAAACTCCCAGGAAAGAAAATTCATATCTATTAACACTGTTACAACTCTTAAAGATACTAAAAATCAAGAAGTTATCTATTGATTTATAGTTCTGAAGGATCTTTAAGAGGCCATGTAGTATACCAACCATCTTTAGTAAGAATTTTTTTTTGCAATTAATTATTCCTATTTACTTATATTCTGATTTGGCTATCAACCCATCCATCCATTTAGCATTCATTGAGTTCTATGACACTTCAGATATTAAACTATAAGCTAAGGATACAAGGATGAATAAAACATGCTCTGTCTCTCTAAAGAATTTACACACTAGAGAAGACAAAGAGTCATGTAAGCTGGCAACTTACATGACGATGTGAGAAAAGAGTTGACAGTTAATATATACATTGGGGTCTTGGGAAGGAGAAATAATTTGCTATATGGATAAGTCTGGATGAGTTTCAAGTAGAGAATGACATGCGCCAAGAAAGTCTAACATACTGAAGGAAAGAGAATTTTCTTTTCTTTTTTTTTTTGAGACAGGCTGGAGTGCAGTGGCACGATCTTGGCTCACTGCAACCTCCACTCTCTGGGTTCAAATGATTCTCCTTCCTCAGCCTCCTGAGTAGCTGGGACTACAGGCGCCTGCCACTGCGCCTGGCTAATTTTTTGTATTTTTAGTACAGATGGGGTTTCACCATCTTGGCCAGGCTGGTCTTGAACTCCTGACCTCGTGATCCACCTGTCTCGGCCTCCCAAAGTACTGGAATTACAGGCATGAGCCACCGTGCCCGGCCGGAAACAGAAGTTTCATATGGTTGAATCACACGTTTCTCTCTGGGAGGTGAAGAAACTACAGGTTGGTTGGGTAGATTTTATCCAGGCTAAAAAGTTTAGGTTTTATTGTTTTGTCATTGTATATATAGAAGAGCCCTGAACAACAACAACAACAACAAGGACATAGCCCAGGGATCTTCAATGAGCTACTAAATATATTGAATAATGAGAAAATGAATCACATTCTCTGTATATCTAATAATACATAATTTCTATACATAGAAATACCTTAGATTGGGCAAACCTTTTAACTCTTGCACAATGCCTTTGAAGTGCAGGTGGGGCTATAAAATATAGGCCTTGTGACATCATCTTGAATGTTTTTTCTTATGTATCATGCTGTGGCAAATTTCTGCATGAAAGAAAATCTGAAAATTTAACTGACAAAAATGTAAACTCCTGTGTGAATACAGCTTTTCAGGAAGAACTCTTCAGTTCTGACTGCACTAATTAGGGAATTTACCGTTCTGTGTCCTCAAAAGGATTAGGCAGCACTTTTCTATAAAAATACTAAACATACCTTAATCTATTTTAAAATTGAAATACTAAGCTAAAATGAAAAATGCAGAAGCAAAGTCAAATTCCCACCTGAGGTAATGTTTGAACATTCTTATTTTCAACTAATAAAAAAGGTACATGGAGTTTCTCAGAAAGCTTTCTCCCACAGCTGGATACAAATACAAAACACATTGAGAAGAAAGACAAATAAATAAGTCTGATGGGAAGCTGTAAAGCCCACCTGCATTTTTAGGAAAGGAAGCTACTAAGCATGAGGAATTTTTTTGAACTACGAAAGTTTCTGCTCTCCAGATCCTGAAATTAAAAGTAAAGGTCTAAAAAAAAAAAAAAAAAAAAAGAAACCTGGACAAATCACCTCCATAAAACACACCCTCCTCATCTTTTAACCAAACAGATATCCAAAAGATTTCTCGCACCAAGCACTGAAAACTAGGAATAAAGGTGAAAAAAAAAACCCTGAAAATACTAATAGTTATACCGACAGTTCACATATTAGAGATCACTATTCTTGAATCCATGAAAAAGAGGGGCTCCTAGCCCTCTACTCAAAAACAATGTTTTCTTACTTTACCTATAATTTATATGTAAGGTTCATGATATGGTTTGGATCTGTGTCTGCTCCCAAATCTAATGTCAAATTGTAATCCCAAATGTTGGAAGTGGGGTCTGGTGGGAGGTGACTGGATCATGGGGATGGTTTCTTATAAATGGTTTAGCACCATTCTGTTAGTGCTGTTCTTGTGATAATGAATCAGTTCTCAGGAAATCTTGTTTAAAAGTGTATAGCCCTGTTCCCATCCTTCTTCCTGGTCTGGCCATATGACATGTCTGTTCCCCTTTCACCTCCTGCCATGATTGTAAGTTTTCTGAGGCCTCTCCAGAAGCCAGGCAGATGCTGCTGTACTTCCTGTACAGCCTGCAGAACTGTGAACCAATTAAACCCCTTTTCTTTATAAATTACCCAGTCTCAGGTATTTATTTGCAGCAATATGAGAATGGCCTAATAACAGTTCATATTAGAATTCTAAGCCCATCTTAGATTAAAAATAAAAGGCGGGATAGCTCCTCTATAAGCAATTATAAAGAGAGCAAGGAAGAATGAAGTAAAATATAAACAGCAGCGATAAGACTTAAAAAATAAGTTATTACAGATCAGCCATCATAAGATCAAATATTTATCAATCCTTGAGTAATATCTGAGGACATCATTACATGAAGTGGCTAAAACATAATCCCTATGCTTTAAGAAAACAGAACATGATGAACTGCATTTAATAAATATTCCCATTCAAAAATGAATTGAAATATAAAAGTTTATGTACTGGCAATATTTAGCCCTTAGCTATCTGCAAACCTTAGCTCTGTGGAATGGCTTGCTCCTCAAAAATTCCAGGTGGATTGCTGAACCACAGTTCAGGTCTATAAACATTAACTGACTGACTACTATGTGCCAGAAGTGAGAGGTACAAAAATGGATGATATATTGTTTCTACTCTCAGGGAGCTTAGACCGTGTGTGAGATAGGCAAAAAGCAGACAATTATAACAACATATTTTGACAGCTGTGGGCAAGGGGTCACTGGGAACTCAGAAAAGGAGTGCTTAGTCAAGACTTGAGAATGAATGGAAATCTGTGAGGAAAGAGATGGAAAACAACAAGATATGAAAAGAAAAAAAAAAAAAAGAAAAGAAAAGATCAGCCATTCTATTTATTTCTTGGATTCCAGAAACTGATGCTTCAAAATAATTCTTTACTACTGAATAAAGGTGACAATTAATATGCTGTATTATTTTACATTTGAAATTAGCAATGAACTTAACTCTGTTCTTGGTCTTTATTTCAGCTTAGTTTAGACTTGATTAAAAAAAAAAAAAGGACAGGATTTTAATTACAGAGTTAGAAACGTGAAGTTAAAGTTATTTTGCAGGGCTGTAGCCTTAGACAAGTCACTTAACTCTGAGGCTCAGTTTCTATATCTATAAGATGAGGCTAATGAAAAGAATGAGAGAAGGCAGAGTCCAATGAGTTGTTAATAATAAAATGTTATATATGCAAAAGGATCAATTTTATTACTTATTTTCCAGCCTGGGAATGAAGGCTATTTTGATGTTTTGGTTGCAAGATACAGAAAAGACAATAATTCAAACTGCTTAAACAATAAGAATATTTGTTGACCACAAGCACTAAGGTCATTATTCTAAAGAGTTCGGGCCCACTTCCCTGCCAATCTTTTGCCCTGGCCTTCCTCTGCATGGGGATGGTGTATCCTCAGGAAGGTAGTAAGATAACTGTGGCAGTTCTAGACTTCACCTCCATGTGCAACAAGGAGGTTGGCATATAGAAGGTCTCTCAGAAGATCAAATCCAACTTTTCCCAAGAACCCCATGGAAATTCTTCCTGCATTTTATAGATCTCCAAATGAATCACATGGCCAGTCCAGAACCAAACACTGGCAAGGCGGATAGCATTAACCTTAGACAAGTCAGGCTTGGAGTTTGAGTAGGCAATGTTTCTCCTAAGGTACATGGGTTTTGTAGTTGAGGAATAAATACTTGTACAACAAGTTCTGTGAGGAAGAAGGGAGGGGACAAATGAATGATGAATAGGCAACAAAAAGCATTCCCCAAAGCTATAAAGGTATATGCAATTCCCTTTTTTAATTTTTTTATTAGAAAACAATATTACTAGAAATATTGGCATAACTTTTAAATTATATACATATTCATACATATTCACACAACCTGTATACATAATCAGATTGAAATTACAGTAAAAATACACTTACCATGATGGAACTAAATTTCAGCTATTATACCAAAGGAAACAATTTAGTAATTTTGAGGCAGAAAAAAAAGCATGGGCTTTGTTGTCTGACAAATATGAGTTTGAATTCTAGTTTTGTAATAAACTAGATATGTGATCTTGGGCAACTTAGAGACATTCCAACCCTCTTCACAGTAAAATGAGAATAAAATTAGTTAACATATTGAATTGCTATAAGATAAAATAAAATGACATAATATGAAAATACTTGTCCTTGCACTAAGGTACTGAATAATTATTAGTTCATGTCTCACGAGCTGCCTTTTTTTCCTCTATCCCTAGTGCTCCAAGGTATCAGTTTAGTTCAAATAATTAAAATCTAAAAATATTTTATGGTACATACTTCTTATATGTGCTAATTTAGGTGCTGGGTATCGTAAATGGTTAGAACGTGATTCTTGTCATCAAAAGGTTTTTGATTGAACACATGACACAGATGTCTGAATAGTCAACTTGACAACAAAACAGAATAGAAAAGTTCTGCGCCTAATAGAAGGAGACAACAGCCAGGCCCCACTTATCTGCACTTCTAGACTAGACAAGTCATTTTCCCCTCTGTGGCCGAGTGCCATATTTCCTCTGTGAGCACACCATATAGGCTGCCATTCCCCTGTTGCTACAGTGCTGATGATTTGTCTGCAACCAGTTTCCTGTGGTTTCTTGAGTAGAATCAAAGACACCTGACAGGGCAACATCTGCTCTCAGGCTGTGCAGCTGCAGGGCTCTCCCATTTGGATACCAGGACAGGAAATCATGTGTGAGAAATCTGCTCTCTTTTTCAGAGACAAGGTGCATTCAGGAGGCCTGCCAACTAGATTCTCTACAAAAATCTGCTGAGGCCCCCAACATGCCAATTGGTCTTCACTGAGACCTTCTGAATAACAGACATTAATGAACCAGAAATGAGGAAGACTTGGGCCCTGCTCTCAAGTAGCTCATAATCACATTTATGTTCATTACAGGATGTGTACCAATAACTACATAATGAGAAGTTGAAAATGGTAAGGTGATAACATTTTCATTTGCACAGCACTGTACAATTTTATATACTTCATTTCCTTTCTCTTGAGATATGGGCATGTATTTTTGGATTTATTTATTAAATTAACTTTTACTGAGCCCCTACTTTGTGCTATCAGGGAATATAAAAATAAATACGCTAGATATTCATTTGCTTATTTGCTAATTTATTTGTATATGTCCTTCCAAAAGCGACCTAAAACATAAATAAATTTTGGTCCTTTATTGCTGAGAGATGAGGACAATGTTATTCTTGGTTTGTGGTAGAGAAGTAAAGGTTACGCGGACTGTAAATTAAGTCATCTTGGTATATTTGGCTGCAGGGTCTTCTGCTAACTCATTGTTCTCTCTTTTAAAATACTTGGCTACTAAGAAGGCTATGAGAGGTTACACAAAGATTATCTTCCTTCAGGGAAGCTAGAACAAATTTATGGTAGAATTCCCATTAGCCTGAAAGACAGAGGCTGGGTGTTATGGCTCACGCCTATAATCGCAGCACTTTGGAAGGCCAAGGAGAGAGAACTGCTTGGGACCAAAATTTGAGACCAGCCTGGACAAAACAGCAACACCCAATCTCTAATAAAATAAATTAAGAATAAATAAATAACTAAACAAATAAATGGAAGAGAGATGGTAGAGAAATACTTGAGATGATCTTTCAAGCTTTATAACCCACCCTCCCTTATATGTTCACTAGCCTCAGTCAACTAGAATTTTTTTGGTCTTTCAGTAAACTCTGATCTTCCCTGACTCCAGGCTTTTCTTCAAACTGTCTCACTCACCTGCAATGTCTTCCTCATGTCCAAACAAACAATCTAAAAGTTTTCTACACAGTTACAGTGAAAACACATTTTGCAACTTCTCAATCAAATCAAGGAACAGACCTGATTATAACTGACATCTAGAACCTCTATAGCCACCCCTGGGATATAAATGTTATCATGTGCTGCCATAACAACGTTTTGGTCAATACAAACTGCATATAAGATAGTGGTCTCATAAGATTATAATACCATATTTTACTGTACCTTTTCTATATGTATATATGTTTAGGTATATAAATAACATTGTATTACAACTGCCTACCATATGCAGTATAGTAACATGCTGCACAGGTTTGCAGTCAAGGAGCAGTGGGTCATACCATGTAGCCTAGGTATATTGCAGGCTACACCATCTAGGCTTGTGTAAGTACACTCTATGATATTTGCACAACAGTGAAATTGCCTAATGATGCATTTCTCAGAACCTATCCCTCTCGTTAAGTGATGCATGGCTGTTTTTGTACAATTTCTATTTTAAAAAAATATATATAAGGAAACTAAGCCTTCAGAGTTAGTTCTTCCCAGGGAGAAAGTTAATCTCAGGCCCTTTGGATTCCCCCTGCTGTTGGTTTCCTCTACGTGTTTAGCACTATAGTAGCATGTCCTGAAGTTGAATCAATGTAAAGCAGAATTTTCACAGTAATCCCTGTAAGGCAGAGATTATTGCCTGTTTTTCTCACCTGCTATATCCAAAATACCTAGAAGAGTGCCTAGCATATAGTAAGTTCTCAGCAAATATTTGTGTTTTTTAATGATTTCAGAATTTAATAATACATTTCTATACAATTTGGCTCCTAAATATATGCCACCTTTTTCATTTGCCGCAAAGAACCACTCACTTGTTCCAACAGTAAAGGAAGACTATTAGATTTATTTAAAGATGGTAGACTTTGCTCTGTACTTTTTTTTTCCTTCAATTTTTATGTTAAGTTCTAGGGTACATGTGCACGATATTCAGGCTTGTTACATAGGTAAATGTGTGCCATGGTGATTTGCTGCACAGATCATCTCATCAGGTATGTATTAAGCCCAGCATCCATGAGCTCTTCTTCCTGAATATTTGTTGAATGAATTATTAAATATTTATTTAATCAAACTGATTTCTGTATGTACAATGAGGAAGATAAAAAGTGAGGTTTGAAGTCGGAGTCTGACTCTAGATACCACAACTTTGTTAAGATTTGAGGTTTGGCATAGGCCCGTACATGTTTTTCTATTGCTGAGTTTAGAAAGAAAAATCTTTGTTTAAAACATTTTCCAAATTTATTTTTAAAAAAATAAATATCATATATAAATTATATCTCAATGTTTTTAATAGTTATTGAAAAAAACTATATACCAAATTATACTCTTATGTTCATGACATAATTAACTCTGCTGAGAGAGTATACATTTCTGAAACTATCATAGTCATCATTTCCCAGTTTTATTACATGGATCAAGGTGTTTAACATAGGCTGTTTTTCAATTACTTCATATTGATACAAAGTTGAACGACAAACCATAGAAAGTCAAGGATTTCAAATCACATCTGGAATGGATACTAGGATGATATGTGTAATTTATGATCTTACCACCTGATTGACTGCAAAATTGTTAAGAAAGATTCCCTGAGGTAATCCAATTTGTTTTTAGTACCTAATTAACACTTCCCAGTGGTTTCTGGATGGGATAATTGAGAAATGTAATGCTTATAAGATTGAAATCAGGCATTGAGGTATCCTATTAAGTCAAGAATTTACCTGTTATTGGCAATGTATTTAACTGATGGCAGAGACAGCATTAGAAAAAAAGAATGGAGTAGATATTTAGGAAAAAGAAGACAGGTAGCTGAATTATTTGCACTTTTAGAGGAATTGATGGCAAATACATGTTCGACTCTTATATCAAAATTGCATCCTGGAGGGAAGAATATACAGACTTAAAGTTCCAAGTCAGAAAGGATGAATCAAAGAGACCATGGGAGAGATAGTACTAACATTAATTAAGTGACTGGATCAGATACTGTTCTAATAAGCATATGTGCTTTATCTCACTTAATCCTCAAAAGAACAAATATGAGGTGCATATATCACTATCTTCATTTTTTATATGAAGAAACCAAGGTTCACAAAGCTTTTAAGATTTCAAGCAGCAAGAAGGTGACAGTGATTGGTATTATTGTAAAAACTGTAGGCATTATTTATGATAATTTAGGAGTGCAAAGGCCAGGTACAAACCAAAAAAAAGTAGCTTGGAGTGGTAGTTCTCACTCTCTTTCTCTGTGTGGTGACGTACATGGAAGAAATCACAGCATTCACATACAGCCACAATTTCCTGGGCATCCTCAGATCACATGCTGCAGCATAGCAAAAATCGGCTGTGGTTAACATGCAATTCTATGAACACTACAACTCAAGAAAGCACATAGAGAGGTAAAAGAACTTTTATTTTCCTGATATCCTTAAATCAACTTGAATTTGTTTTTTAAGTAAATAAGTGCTTAATTAGCAACAAATTGCAATTGATCACAAGGCAGTAATGTGTAGCAATCTTATGTTTTAAAGTTGCCTAGAAGAGGTTAGGATGCCAGGTACAAAATTAAAAACCATGGATTGGCAAAGAAAAAATTAGATAAACTGATTTTTCTTTCCTTGATTTGAGTGGTAGGTTACAAGCATAGAGGATGCAGTAGCTCTCATTTACTTTGTTCTTAGCAAGTGTTGTACTATTTCACACTACACTCTTCTCCAGTAGCAAGGTAACAGGGAATATCTTGGCTGAACCACTGGAAGGTAGAAGATGGCCGAGTCCAGGGAAATATTCAAAAACTCAAATCTTCCACTGCCCAGTTCAGTGAAAAGGCCATCTTATGTCGTGGAGAAAACATGGGGTTTAGAATCAGGTGGTTTGTATTCAAGTTCTTTCTGTCTTGCTTGCCTGGCTTTCTAGCCTTGGATCACTTAACCTCTTCACTTCACTTTCCTTCATTCACTTAAGTATGTTTATTGAAGACCTACTATTTCCTAGGCATGGTTCTAGGTGCTGGGAATATAGTGGTAAAAAAGACAAAGTTCTGCTTTCACAGAGCTTACATTCTAATGAAAGAAACAGCCAAACTATGAAGCTGTAACTACTTACATAAAATATTAGGTAGCAATATGTGCTGTGAAAATAACTTTTTAAAAAAACTGTAGCAGTGTAAGAAGAGAGAGTAGAAGGATGTATGTGGACTATTTTATTTTATTATTATTTTTTTATCATTAGAAATACATCTGTATTTTTAAATCCAAAATCTAACTAGATAACATGGCTGCTTCTTTGGTTTTCTTTTTCTTTTTTTTTTTTTTTTATTATACTTTAAGTTTTAGGGTACATGTGCACATTGTGCAGGTTAGTTACATATGTATACATGTGCCATGCTGGTGCGCTGCACCCACTAACGCGTCATCTAGCATTAGGTATATCTCCCAATGCTATCCCTCCCCCCTCCCCCCACCCCACTACAGTCCCCAGAGTGTGATATTCCCCTTCCTGTGTCCATGTGATCTCATTGTTCAATTCCCACCTATGAGTGAGAATATGCGGTGTTTGGTTTTTTGTTCTTGCGATAGTTTACTGAGAATGATGGTTTCCAATTTCATCCATGTCCCTACAAAGGACCTGAACTCATCATTTTTTATGGCTGCATAGTATTCCATGGTGTATATGTGCCACATTTTCTTAATCCAGTCTATCATTGTTGGACATTTGGGTTGGTTCCAAGATAAACTACTCAAAGAGGTCTTTTTCAGGAAGGGGTATTTGAACAGAGACCTGGAAAGGAAGAAGTAAGCAGCATTTATTTTTTCCACCAGAAGTTATTAGCAAATGAGTCAACAGTAATCACAAAGATTTTTGGGCAAGAATAAACTTGGCTTATTCAAGAGACAGCAAAAGATCAGTGTGGCTACAGCAAGAAAACAGAGAAGAGAGACAGATTAGTCTGAGTATGTTGGAAAGCTTTTGAAGCCAATTTCCCGTTAAAATAGACCTTTCTGGCCGTTGGATAAAGATGTGACTGGATAAAGAAAGGAGTGGAAACAGGGAGATAAGTTAGGAAACAAATCCCATAGTGTAGGTGAGAGATAATGGAGGGTTTGAATTAGTAGGCAGGCACAGACATATGACCAATGGTAACAGTAGTAAGAAGTAGCCATATTTTTCATACTTTGAATATAGAGCTTATAGGATTTTCTAACAGGTTGGTGGTAGGCTCTGAGGAACATAAGCAGTCAAAGATTAATTTATGTTTTTGGCCTGGGAAGATCCTAAAGCTGAGGGAAATGAAGAATTTTATTTTTATGTGATAAGTCTAAAGTGACTATGGGATATCAAGGCAGAGCTATTGAATAGTTATGTATTCACATAGGAGATCAGGAAAGATGTAGAAACTGGAGATGGAATTTGGGAGTTATAAGAACGTGTAACTTATTTAAATTATCTAAAGTCATGGAATGGGCTTGATGGAGTGAAGGAGCATCACTAGAAGGCTAAGCCTTGGTCAACAGTGATACTTAGAGACTAGCAGAGCTGGAAAAGTCAAATAGATTGAGAAAGAGTGGCCAGCAATATAGGCACTAAATCAGATTTCACTGTACTAGAGACAAGTGAAGAAAGTTTTAGGAAAGGATAAGTGATCAACTAGGTTGGACATTGCTGAGAGGTAGAGAAAGATGAGAACTAAGAACCGACCAATGCGTTTTGCAAAGTGGAGATCATGAGGGACAGACTGAAGCTGCTTCAGTGGAACAGCAGGGAGAAAAGCTTAACCAAAGTGGGTGGAGGAAAGAAGAGGAGGTAAGAAAACAGATAACCTTGAGTATAGACTACTCCTTTGATGAGCTTTGCTAAATAGGAGGACAAAAAATATGGGAAAGGGTAAAAGAAATTAAGACAGTGATTCTATTTACCAGCAAACAGTATTTTGAATATTAAACAAGTGAGTGGATGTAGAAGATCTTTATGAACTCCAAAGCACTATATAAATAATATGTTATTTTGTGACAGGAAGGATCGGTAGAGATAGGAAATGAAGCATATTGAACAGTATCCTTTATGGCATTGAACTTACCCGCCTTATTCTGTATGTTTTGAAGTGGATGTTTTCTTTACTTTTATATAACAATGCATCTGCTAGAATAAAATAATCTGGAAATGTTTGAGTAAATGATCTTATTTAATAGATAAATAACAATTATATATTGTGCATTGGGGGAATCTGGAACTTAGAAAAGCTTTGAAATAAATTATACAATATATATTTTATAGGGAAGTTAAGTTCATGAGGATCCTGGTTGTAAAAAATAAATAAAATAGCAAAACCACGGAGATAGCAAAAAGATCAGTGGTTGGTAGGGGTTGGGAGGCTGGAATTTGACTAAGCAGAGAATAAAGGAATTTTAAGACAGTCAAAATACTCCTTACAATGTTTTAATCATGAATAAATGTCATTACACGTTTGTTGAAACCCACAGAATGTGCAAAACCAAGAGTAAACCTTAGCGTGAACCATGGACTTAGGTGATTATGATGTGTCAAGGTAGATTACTCAATTGTTACAAATTTACCATTCTGGTGGGGAATGTCGTTAGTATAGGAAACTATGCATGTGTGGGGGCTGGAGTATATGGCAAAGTTTCTGTAACTTCCTCTTAGTTTTTCTGTGAACCTAAAACTGCTCTAAAAAATAAAGTCCAAAAATGAATGAATTAAAGGCTTAGATAATTCATAGGATGTTATGAGAAAATAATTTACTTGTATTAAAAATCCCAAATTTTTGCAGCTTCTCCAACATATCTTTTACTATCATATTCAACATCAAAGCAGCAAGCTAGATTTAAAACAACACAAACTTAAAAAATTTAAGTTTGAAGAGACCGGAAGAACCCTAGATGTTACAGTGAATGTTTTGAAGGTCACAGTTAGTCACAAATTTATTTTGAGTCAGAGAAAAATATTAACCCAAGTACGTTCTGCACAGAACTTGGTACCAATAAATTTTTGTAGAATAAAAGGTACCAATAAATTTTTGTAGAATGTTACATGAGTAGATAAACCTTTCCTTACCGACAGGATAAAATTTGCTGATTTCTGGGCTGGGCCTGTGGTTCTGGACACTTCATCTCATAGTCAAGGAAATTTTCAGCAATTGTTTTTTGTTTTGTTTTTTTTGAGACGGAGTCTCGCTCTGTAGCCCAGGCTGGAGTGTAGTGGCACAACCTCGGCTCACTGCAAGCTCCGCTTCCCGGGTTCAAGACATTCTCCTGCCTCAGCCTCCCAAGTAGCTGGGACTACAGGCACCCGCCACCACGCCCGGCTAATTCTTTGTATTTTTAGTGGAGACGGGGTTACACCGTGTTAGCCAGGATGGACTCAATCTCCTGACCTCGTGATCCACCCGCCTCGGCCTCCCGAAGTGCTGGGATTACAGGCATGAGCTACCGCGCCTGGCCCAGTGTGTCTTTTACCCAGACTATCTAAGGTAGGTCAACAGATATTGTGAAAACTGTCCAAAAGCAAAAAGGAAACCTGCCCAATTTTCAATATATGCTAGGGTGAAAATAAAGGTCACTTTTAGTGTGAGAATTAGGCATGTTAGTCAGTATATCATAGTGAAAGTTTATTGTTCCCTTCAAAAGTATAATTTGGAATAAAAAAATTAATTTTAACTAGATATGTAAAAATGATTCTAATAGAATGACTGGCGTACTTCATCAGTATATAAAATTTGCAAAAAGGTTATAAAATTCATTAGGAAACATGGTGGTCAAGGTATAAAATGCTAAGATGGACTATTGAATAAAGCTGGGGATATGCGAGACTATTTCAAAAAATCATAAAAAAAATTTAAAACATCATTCATTTCCACAATGGAATATGTATTTGTAACTAACTTGTAATAATTATAATTAAAGAATACTTTTTTATGCCTTTGTTTTCTAGACTCTGTGGAAGGCTTTGTTATAGCAGCGTAGGAGAAAGAAGCAATAAGTGGTTGTAAAGTCTCTTGCAAACACAAAATGTTATGTAAATTCTAAATAGAAATAACTGTTGAGAGACCAGGCATGGTGGCTCACACCTGTAATCCCAGCCCTTTAGAAATAACTGCTGAGGAGAGTATTTTCCTTCAAGAGCACGAATACACTCAAGCTATTGACTATGTTTATACAGTGATGTGGAGAAAAGAGAAAAACTGTAAGCAAACAGACCTGGGCTTGCATCTCTAGTTCTACCACTTTCTAGGTGTGTTCAATTGGGTAAATTGCTTAAAATTTCCAGAAAAATACAGATAATTCCACTTACCTTAGAAGGTTGTTAAGAGAATTAAATGTAATATTATGTGTAGATTCTAGTATACACAAAGTGGATACATAACAGTTACTATTTTTCTTTCCTCGTCTCTGAGTAAACCAAGCTTGTCCAACCCCTAGTCCAACACAAATTCATAAACTTTCTTAAAATATAATGAGATTTTTTTGTGATTTTTTTTAATTTTTGTTTTTTAGCTCATCAGCTATCGTTAGTGTTAGTGTATTTTATGTGTGGCCCAAGACATTTCTTCATCTTCCAGTGAGGCCCAGAGAAGCCAAAAGATTGAACACCACTGGTTAATTTCCCCTAAACTGGATAAGAAATACTACAAGGCATTACAACTCCCAATGAGATAAATGGGTGGAAGAGGCATCAGCCTACAGCAACTACCAGAATCATAATTCCTGGTGTACATATTTAGTTTTTTATCAACATCCTCAATCCTTAAGTGCCCTAAATGATAATGAACTAAGAATAATTATGCTTGTTAGGTAACAATGGGCAAATCTTTCTCTACTCTGGAATTCTCTTCCTTTGTGTTTAGCAGGAATGAGCTAGATTCCTCATATATTCATCCAAGGACTCAGTGTGGTCCTTGGATGAATACCAGTCTGCAAAACTGTTTGTTTCCCATCTACTACAAAGTATTGAAAATGAAAGTAAGCATTTAGAGACTTTTATAACAATTTGACCAAGTAAGTGTATATCTTTTGTTAAAAAAAAAAAGGATTTTATCTTGTATGTTTTTGGTTTATTTCCCCATTTCACTTCTCCAGTAATTCATTTTTATTGCATTTTACAAAAGTATTGGTCTGCAGTAGATTGTAAATTTAAACACACACACACACATACACACCTTTTATCACAAAAAGTTTGAGGAGCATTGGACAGATAATCGCTTAAGCCCTGGTATTCTACAAGATTATTTTCTGTCCATGTTGCCTGAGGCTGACCAACTCCAGAGGAAGATAAGGTGTTTATTGCCTAATGTCCTCCAAAGAGGCACCTCCTCTCCATCAAAGATAATGAAGATGAGGATGATGATGGTGATGATGATGATTTCCCTCTTTACATGCATTATCTCATTTAATCCCTTACTGTTATTACACCATTTAATAGAAAGAGGTAATTAAAGCCCAGGAAGACACAAATGGCTTTAGTTGTATTTGATTCCAAATCCTGTATGTTTCCCACCATGCCATGTTGCTTCCAGTGATACTGCTTTCCCAAGAAAAACTGCTTGCCATTAGCCAAGTCTATCCCGTGCAGCCTGGGGGAATCACCTGGTAAAGTCGGCAAACCTGTGAAGTCTCAGCCAAAAAGGCATGCCTCTTATCCTAATACCATGGGAATTCCCCTTTAGCCTAACCAGCAGAAGTCAACTAAAATCATAGAGCCTCAGGATTTAAAAGTATCTGAGGAATAATCTACAATCTGTATTCCAATGGTTGGGTCATTGCCATAACATACTTTACAACTGGTTATCACTTGTAAATCTGAATACCTCCAGCTACAGGAACTTACTACACACAGAGGTAGCTCATTGTCAGTATATTCTTATAATCTAATAAGGATTGTTTCAGTTAAATTAATCTGAGAGCTTTCTCTTTGTACCTGTACTGTTTTGGGCAAAATTTTACTGTGTGGAGCCATGGAAAACAACCATGTAGAATTGTTCTACTTTGTAACAACAAGCTATGTATCTGGATTTTTTACAGGCAGCTGTAGAGCTGTTAGAACTTGAGTTGAATTCTGGCTCTTAACATTTAGATATGACCTGAGACAAACTATTTGCCCTCATCAATGTTGTCTGTAAAATGAGGACAATAATCCTGGCATCATTTAAATGTTATGATAATTAAATAAAATATTACATCAAGTAAAAGCACCAGGTAGGTACTTTAGAAAGTTTGTTGAACTGATTCCTTTATATTTTCTCATTGTTTTACTCTTCTGAACACTGTTTTCTGATACTGATTCATTCTGTTTCTTACCCTATAGTTTTCTCCCCTAGGCCACCTCAGGGATTCAAATTTGTATTATTTTAAATCATACCATAAATGACCATAATATTGAAAGATGCTATTTAGTTTACAAAACGTTTTCATGTTCTGATTCAAATTAATATTACATAAATCCTATGAACCTAGAAGAACATATTAACATTTCATAGGCAAGGAGTTGAAGATCTTTATTCTTTATATAGAAGGTAACGTAGATTCACTAAGTTGAAAAGCTCGTAAAGATTACTTTTCTACAAAATACACAAGCAATTAATTAATTTATTAATTCTTTCTGTTTATTTATTTATTTTGAGACAGAGTTTCACTCTGTCACCCAGGCTGGAGTGCAGTGGTGGGATCTCAGCTCACTGAAACCTCCACCTCCTGGATTCAAGTGATTCTCATGCCTCAGCCTCCTGAGTATCTGGAACTACAGGCACGCACCACCATGCCTGGCTAATTTTTGTATTTTTAGTAGAGATGGGGCTTTGCCATGTTGTCCAGGCTGGTCTTGAACTCCTGGCCTCAAGCAATCTACCCACCTTGGCCTCCCGAAGTGCTGGGATTACAGGCTTGAGACACTGCACTCAGCCCTAACTTATTAATTCTAAAGTAAGTAACCATTGTCACTAGATGCCAGTCTAACACCTGGAGATATAGATGTGAATAAAATTCTCATTGCCTCTGCCTTTGAGAAGCTATTAGGCTAAAGGGGAAGAAAGATATGGAATAACTGTGATGAGTGTAAAGCTATGCAGGATGTTAAGGCAGCATAAAATAGATTGGCCTACCTGCACTGGAACTGTTAGCTTATGGTAACCTCTCAATCAGAACCACTCTAGTGATGATAAATACTATTATAATTATCATAATAATATCATAGCATCATCTGTTTTCTGCACAGCTATACTTCATTGTGAGGCTTGAGCGTTTATGATAATCTATCTTCTTTCATTTAAATCAAACAATGCTATAAACTCAGTCAACTGATTCCAAAAACAAATGTTTTGAATGTAGTTATTGGGAAGTATGGACCACCCTATTTTTATGAAATAAAAGTTTGTTTACACAAAGCAAAAGTGGCCCTAATAAAAACACCATCCCTTTTTTCAAAAGTGTTAGGCATAATGATGGATGACATTTTCTCCATTGCAACAAAAACTTGTCTTCATATGCTACTGGGTTCTCTGGAAAGAAGTGATCTTTTTTTTTTCCTTATAAGTTCAGAAAAGACAATAATTATCCCTTGAAAAAATTTATACATAGGGATCCTGGTATCTTTAATAAATACTTTCCAAAATTGTCTTGTAGTAACTATGGTATCGGTGGAATTACACCTGTAACAAGCATATAATTTTCTATTTAAAGTACTCCTAGAGTGCAGTACGTTTATGATGTAATGAACTCTTTACACGAAGGAAGAATCATTGGTTTTGTCATTGGTAAGCTTTTGTCATTGGTAAGCTTTTAAAATTAATTGTGAATCCTAATGCAGCATTTTATAAAACATGCTTTAGTTTAGAAACCTGGGCATCTCATCAATTTCTTCTCTTCCCAAAGGATTTAGATCAATAGTAGCCAACACAGTCCACTCATGCTCATATTAAGTTTCATATTCCTGTTCCTAGGATTTAATTCTCTAGTAATAAATCTCTTAGTAAATGATGTTCTCTATCCAGGGCTGCCAAGCAAACTCACTGTTTTGATAAAGGTTCGGCTTTAGCCTTCTGAGTCTTCTAATGGACTTGCTAGGCTGTCTGCCCTTTCAGAGATCCATTCAAAAGAAAGGGCAAAAAGTCCCCATAACCATTTAGTAAATTGGCTTCATTACCAAATGTTACAGGTTTACCAATAGTCTGGGGTTTGCCTTTCCTTAGGGGAGAGAAAGACAACCTAGCAAACAAGTGTTTCAGACACAATCAACTCTTTAATCTCTGCTTCTAATTGTGATGTGATGACCTGTGCTGCTTCTGCAGCGTTCTCCATAGTGAGTTAGCAGCGGCCCCACAACACTGTGCACACCTTCATGACTATACTTTTAACTGTGTATTTAAATTATTTTTAACCACCTCTTCTGTGACATTATGAGTATTTGGGTTACAGGGACAATAACTTGTTTTTCTCTGCAGTCCTGTATATACTAATATGAACAGGAGACAGGAAAATACTGATTAGAAGAGGGCAGTTCCCCAGCAAAGGTGGAATGATGTGGTAGAGAAAGAGAGGAGGGATGTCTGGACACTGGGCCGGCGACAGTCAGGAGCAGAGACCGGCAGCTACGTGGCCCAACTCCAGGGGAAGACCACCTTCCCACTCCATCCCCCTCTTCCTGCTCCCCATCCATCTCGCTGAGAGCCCACCTCCACCACTCAATAAAACCTGGCACTCATCCTTTGCACCCACGTGTGATCTGATTCTTCTGGGACACTGGGCAAGAGCTCAGGATACAGAAAGCTGTCACATGGCCCTCTGCCCTTGTGAAAAAGCAGAGGGTCCATTGAGCTGATTAACATACAAGGTGTCTGAAAATGGGAAAGCTGAAACAGCTTGGTAACACTGGGGTTGCAGGTATCCACCCCAAACTAAGTAACACCTAAACCAAGCTGGCTAATCAGATTCTCTTTCTTGGGATTTTAGAATTGAAGCAATGCATTTTTACCCGTGATGGTGTAATGGTTACTCCAGACTATTGGTAAACCTGTAACATTTGGTAATGAAGCCAATTTGCTAAATGGTTATGGGGACTTTTTGCCCTTTCTTTTGAATGGATCTCTGAAAGGGCAGACAGCCTAGCAAGTGTCAACTTTATTGGATTGAAGGACCTGAAGTACTGTTCCTGGGTGTGTCTGTGAGGGTGTTGCCAAAGGAGATTAACATTCGTGTCAGTGGACTGGGAAGGGCAGACCCACCCTCATTCTAGGTGGGCACAATCTAATCAGCTGCCAGCATGGCCAGAATAAAAGCAGGCAGAAGAACATGGAAAGACTAGACTAACTAAGTCTTCTGGCCTCCATTTTTCTCCCATGTTGAATGCTTCCTGACCTTGAACATCAGACTCCAAGTTCTTCAGCTTTTGGACTCTTGAACTTAACACCAGTGGTTTGCCAGGGGCTCTCAGGCCTTCTACTACAGACTGAAGGCTGCTATTGGCTTCCCTACTTTTGAGGTTTTGGGACACAGACTGGCTTCCTGGCTCCTCAGCTTGCAGAGGGCCTATTCTGGGACTTTACTTTGTGATTGTGTGAGTCAATTATAATAAACTCCTCTTCATATATTCATCTATCTTATCCGTTCTGTCCCTCTAGAAAACCCTAAATAATACAGATGGTCACTTAAATAAAATTATAAAAATGTTTTCTTATTCCTTGGTTTCATTTCATTTCTGAGGGCCCATCCTATTCTTGAGTCCCATCATTCACATGTATATTTATATAAAAAATGTATTTTGGCTTGATCTAAACATAGCTGGGTTTGTTACTTTGAACCAAAAATATATATTATTTTAATTACTCATTTTCATTTATAGAAACATCATATTTGAAAACAAGGTGGGGCCTTCATCATATGCAACCTTCATATTTTAGGTAAGAAATAAAAATGCAATTGCTAAAGATTTCATTTAAACATTTTTATTACACTTGCCAACTGTCCAAAAGAATGCCTCAAATATTAAGAATACACAATTTTTGACATCTTAAGTCTTCATATATTTCCTTTTATCTTCATGGTACTTTGCACAAGGTCTTAGATGGTGGCGTTCAATAAAAAATTATTCTATTAGTTAACTTAATACAATGCTCGGAATCTGTGTACAGTAGTTGTTGACAACTTAATTTATTATAATCTCCTTCCTGTATTTTCTTTCCTAAGAGGATTTAAAGCAGCTCCCAAAGGATAGGAGCTTAGGTCAGGTCAGAGGGAGATAAAGGCAAGAAAACTATTCATATCAGTTAATATAGTTTTTTGCTTTGTTTCAAAATTTGACTACAACAAGCATAGAGAGGCAAGGATTTCCCTTTTTCTCTCTTCTACTTCTTTTCCACTACCCTGGCACTACCTTCCAAAAGAAATTTCACATTGGAGATCCTGTGTCCATTCATTTAGTCATTCATGTATTCATTTAACTAATATTTATTGAATGTCCATGTACCAGTCAGAGAAGTAGGTGCTTGAGATACAAGACAGAGATGAGGATTGTTCCTTCCAACACAGCATTCACAGTGAGGATCTAAGAGTAAGTGAGTAATTTCAATAAAGCATACTAAGGGCTATGTTGGGAGAAATACATAATCCTATGGGAGGAGGCAGGGTGAAATCTAACCAAGACACAGATGCATGGAAGGTTTCTTAAAGAAAATGTTCAACTTAATATCCAAATTGAAAAAAAAATATTTTATAACAATTCTCCTTGCCCAAGGCCCTCATAGACATGCCATTCACTCTGCAGAATATTCTCCCCATTATGACTTGTGCCCACACCATTATTTGACCAATTTATTTGGCTAACTCCTATGCAACTTTCAGGACAGAGTCCGTATCTGTCTATTCACTGCCACATTTCCACACTAGCAAGTGCCAACTCTAACATAGGAGCTCGACAGCATTTTGAAAGGTAATCACACTATATTCTAATTATTAATAGTTGGTTTACATGACTAGAGCCTTCTCAAGGGCAGTGATGGTTTCATTTCTTCACTCTCAACAGGGCCTGCCTCTTTCTATTCCTTGACATAAACCGGACTCTTCATGCTAATCAGGCTGGAAGTGTATCGTAAGTCCTCACTGATACTCACATTCCATCTCTTGAGTTTAATCAGCTTCCATTTACCTATCCATTTGCTTCTTAGTCTTGGTATTGCTGTTTCCTTCATCTCTCACCCTCATTTGGATCCATATTTCAATGATCACATTCTCTGCCCAACCCCTCTGATTGATGCTCTGGTTTGAACATAACACAATTCTGGCGTTACCATCAGCATCTTCTCCTAGACACAGTTTCTCATTTTTTCTATCTGGGGTCACATAAACACAAAGTGTCCCCTGACATGCCACTGCTCTCTACTTACCCCAACTTCTCAATTGGCTCCTCCCTCAGGAGAAGAAAGAGGATACACAAACATTCAGATGAGTGCCAGGTATACAGTAGTCATTCCACTTATTCAGAATAACTTTTTTTAAATGCCATTAATTTTATAGTGGAATTCAATGTAAGAGTATTAACTGATCTATAAAATGTTTCACATATATTGTGTGAGATATATACCTCTATAATTTACCTCCTTCAAAATTCCTTAAGGAATTTAAGAAACTGTGTTTGTTGGGGTGAGGGGCTACATCAGCAAAAGCCAGGGGAGATTTTTACTTTATTCCATAATATTCTACCATAGATATTATTTAGATGCATTTATTATAAAATTTTCCTGGCTTACAATTAGTACAGAGTCTACCTAGAGAGCTTGCAGTTTATGCCCCCTTCAGTCAACATTACAAACCTGCAATTTCCTTTTATCTCACCATTTTATTGGCTCCCACTAGAGATACTGTGAGACAGTAAAAGAGATGGGAATTACACTTGCAGGAAGAATGCTTTCCAAAACATGTTCTAGCACTTGACTCTTGATAGTGTGTGGCAGCTGGAGGCAGGTGGCCAAATGTCCCAGTGCTATACCCTACCTGACTCTAATTTTCCCCTATAGTTACTCTCTTTCTGTAGCTTACCTATGACTCTACTTGTCAAATAAGTACTTATTCTTCCATTTCAGATGTTTCCACTTGTATAAAGACTTCAATGACTGCCCTCTATAGAGTTCTGCAGTTGTTCTAGTCAATATTTTGACGCACCTAACAATGATAGTTAACATTTACATAGTGCTCATTTTCTGCCAAGCACTGTTCTAAGCACTTTATAATAAAAAATGGCTAATTGAATCCTCACAACAGTCCTATCAAGAAGACACTGTTAGTATCTCCATTCTAAAGAGAAAGAAACTGAGTTTGGAAGTTAAAGCAGGTAAGTCTTGAAGAATGAGTTCATAGATTTTAATCAGGTAAAGAAAGATATTCTACACAAATAGAAGAGCATATATATGGTATATATATGCATATATGGCATGAGGTTATGAAGCAGAATAGTATGGGTATTCATTAATTTATTCAAAAATTATATTTTGAACATTGGCTACATTGTAGACACTGTGCTTAGTTTGGCATTCTGGGAGTAACGGGTAGCAAAGGAAAGAGAAGGTGCTACAAGCAGCTTATTGTTACTGGTAAGTAAAGATGAAAGGGGAAATGTAGGCAGGTTCAGTTCATGGAGGATGAATGTGTGTAATGCTAAGCAGCTTAGATTTGACCCAATAGGTGCTGGAGAAAACAAAGGAACTTTAAGAGAGGAAATAAGAAGATGGTTATATTTGCATGTCCAATGGCAGAAAGTGATGCCTTCTTTCCTAAACTTCCAGAGTATTTTGTACCTTTCATATTATTTATTGTATATTACCTTTTAGTATAAATTTAAACTGGATTCATATAAAGTACCTCAAGGGGATTTTAAGCTTCTAATAGGCAACAAACTTGACCACTAGGTTTTTGGATCCTCCATAATGCCTAGAACAGACTGTACTTTCTACTTAAATGTGTTCAGTAAATGTATGCCAGGTTGAATTATATAGTCCCTGTTTCTACACCTGCATCAAATTCCTCCCTGAAAACTCATGTCCCTTTTTGTCTTAGCAGGCTGAGCACAGGGACAAACTACTAATGACATAAGCAACGTGCTACATTTGTAGTAGATTAAGAAAGTTCTCCTGGATAATTAGACATCTGATAGTACTGACTCAGCCTCCCAGAATTCTTCACAAGAATACGGTCTCCCCTCAACCAAACACTGCCTTCTCAAAATCCTGGATCATGTCCTGTCACATAGAAATTGGACAAACTACTGAAAAATATCATTTTTTAGGATCTACTGTTGAGTAATTTTAAGGTTTCTGAGGAAAATATCACACATACTTGAGCCAGAACAGATATACAACTTCCTTGCTGTTATCAGAAAGGTATAAAAATTATTTTGTCATACTCAGCTAATTTAAAAATATTTAAGCAACCCATTCTTTATCCTACTACTGAAAAATAAATGAAGTTAAAAAACATAAAAGTAATTTACATAAATAAGGTGTTCAGCATTCTAGGTCACTTCATTTTGGTGTAAGTTTTTTTTATAGCAATCAAAATTATTTATCTGGATAAATTCTACCTTTTCCTGCTTGCCCTCACTAGTAAAACAATTTAATTCTATTATATCAGCATCACCTTTTCTTGATGCTGTTTTCCCAAACTTTAACCCACAAGACGGTATTCATTCATAAAGTAATCTGTACACTCTCTGAAAGCACACAAACAAGTATTCCCACAATACCTTCAGTTCACTTACATTCCCATAATACCTTCAGTTCGCTTAAACAGACATTTAATGAAGTGCAATACTCCTTCCGTAGCGGCCTTTGCATCACCTAACTTATTACTGACACATCCACCAGAGGGGGAAGGAACATTGTGGAGATGAACAGTTGAATGGTATTTACAGGAGACCACTGATCCCTATCAAATTGTAGTGTCATTTTAGCCTTCACAAGTGCAAAGATAATTTCTATGATATAGGAACTGATTGAAATTTTCTCTTCCCTTTCCATCCAAGGTGCATTTCTATGTGGAGTAGATGAGGTGTCATAACACTGTGTACCTTTCTTCCTATTATAGTATGAGTAATTTTACATCTATTTGAAATTTTCATGAGTACAGTGACCATGTCTTCTTTTTTCTTATCATCGCTCAGGGATAATATTCAAAATTGTTAGCAACTGGCCTAGCACAGTGACAAATCAATTAGAATGGATGCTGCTTAGAACACCACTTTGTTATGTACAAACAGAATATCAGTTCAGCAACTGGCATAATGTGGAGAACATAACAGCTCATCAGTAAATAATTGTTAAACAAATACGTGGATGAAGAAATTAACCGACTTACTGGATCAGACCTGTCTCACATTCAGTTTCAAATCATTCATTACTTCAGTGCTTTCATTGTATTTAATCATTCACTTTTTAAAATCCCTACAAAGTAGACACTACGTTTATTGTTTAGGGTAATTAGTAGGGGAGGAAAGATGGTTAAATAGAAATAGCCCATGCTTTAAGATGTTTATAGTCGTTATAGTCTTGCTTATAGTCAAGATGCTTATAGTATGGGAAATAAAATATTTTCATAAATAATCATAAACAAAGTAGAAATGAAAAGTATCAATGGCTTACTTTTGGGGACACTTGAGATTCAAAAATAGATCTGTTGGATTCCAAAGACCATGTGCATCTCACTATGTAAAACATTGGCTTTGGAATTTACACACCCGGATTTGAATCTCAGCTTCAGCATTACCTGGTATGTTGGATAACATTGGGAAAGTCATTAAACCATTTTCAGTCTCAGTTTTCTTATCTTTAAAAGAGGGGTAATAGTACCCACCTCTCAGAGTTTGAGTGTATTTTAAGTATAACCATATTTTAACATATTTAGCACAAAGTGTAATAATACAGTAGATGCTCATTAGATATTAATCATTTTATATATGCAAGTTAACTGTATCTTATATTAGAATACTGGTATTATGGTGGTCATAAAACTATATTGTTTTAAAGAAAATAAAATTATCAGCTTCTAAAATTTCATATTAGATTGGGCAAAGGCTTGAGGATCAGACAGACGCAGAAACAAACAGTTATTCCATAAACTACCACGTTTATGGCTTGAAGCATATTACCTAACATATTTGAACCTCTAATTTCTTCATTTTTACAACTATATAGGATTGCTATGGGGATTTAAAAGAAAGAAGGTGCTCATGATACATTAACTGCTTCAAAATGCAATTTAAAATATGAGGAGCCTTAAAGGTCCTGAGCAGAGATAATAAAGTCCTCACTTTCTATTTTAAAACTAAAATTAAGATTGTTCCTAACCTGGAACATGTTTCCTGTCAAGATTTTTTTTTTTATTAAGCTATGTGATAGGATGATTGATTCCATTGGAAAACTTGTAGTGGATAAAACACTCACAAGAGGTCCCCTATGCAGAAGGCTGAATGTGAAAAGAGATGTTTGGAGAAGCAGAGTATTATCTGCATAATAGCTGTACCTTGGTCCCCAGAGTAGGTAGCTTATATTCCTAGATAACAGGACTCCAAGACCTGAAGAAATTCTTTCCCTAGTTGAGATATAGTAGATATTATTGACCTTGAGTTTCTCTCCCTTTGGCCTTCTCTTAAAACTCTGGATACATGTATTATCAGGAGAAATCTAGTGCAAGGCAGACCTGTGCCTGCATTAAGAAAATGATACTGAAGTTATGGAAGGAGAACAATAAAGAGGAGGACTCAATCTGAGTCTCAAGTCTTTCCACATCTCAGCAATGTTATGCTGGGCAAATGACCCTTCTTTTAAATCCTACTTTATTTCATCTGTTAAATGAGAATGCCAATGTTTCTAAGCTTAACAACTTTCAACGTATATTTATAAATAAAGTTATGCACAAAGAAAAAGTACACACAAATAGACGATTCTTATCCTACCCCAAGATGTCACTATTGCTCATTATGGCTATTTTAGTCTGAGCCATCTCGTTATTCTATAGCTTATGACTTGTTTGTTGTGTTTATGCTTATTTTGAGTCATTTTTAAAACAGCCAACCCTATTATGAAGCCATTTAATGCCATATTCACCATTAAATGTAAAAGAATTAGTATTGTTTTTTCATAAATGTGTAGAACTTGTTACTTCAGAGTGTCACTTCAGAAATTAAGAAATGGAATTTTAAAATAGCCTATTTGATAGTACAGAATATTTGAAATAGTAATAACTGCCTGACTTGCCTACAGGAGTGTGCAATATATAATAGTACAAATACTTCATAAAATAAAAAATGTGACTGAAATATATTCATTGGTATATGTCTACCCCTACATGCAGTGCTAGGTGGATTCATTGTTATAGAGGAAGTCAAAGTAAAGGAGCCTGGAGATAAAAAGTAGGCATATCTATAAACCCTAGGACAAATTATAAACGACTGAAATTTCTGAAAAAAAATGTAGATGATTATTAGAAATTGGTGGATTCTACTCCCTCTCACCAGATTCCTGGGAGACCAAATGCTCCCAGGAATCTCTCTAGCCCAGCTCCTACCCTCTCCAAGAATCTCTCCTTTCCCAGAAATCTCTCTCTAGGCCAGCTCCTCCCCTCTCCAAGATTTCTCTCTAAAGCTGGTTCTATCATTTAATGATGTTCCAATAAGAAAGAGAAGAGAAAAAAATATATTAATAACATTGTAGGGAAATACAGAAAAAGAAAACATCTTACTTTCATAAAAATAATTTAAAATAATTAGAAGTGCCAGTGTCTTCAGATGAGTAGGAATCAGTGCAAATTTTCTGACACTATGAAAAATCTGAATGTAGTGACACCACCAAACGCTCCTATTAGCCCTCCAGCAATGATCCCTAACCAAAATGGAAATTCAGAAATGACAGATAAAGAATTCGAAGCATGTATTTCAAGGAAGCTAACTGAGGTACAAGACAAAGTTAAAAATCTACACAAAGAAACTTCTAAAGCAATCTGGAAAATTAAAAAGAAGATAAATATCTTTAAAAGAATCATTCAGTTCTTCTGGAATTAAAAAACTCACTTAAGGAATTTTAAAATACAATTGAAAGCTTTATCAACAGACTAAAACAATCAGAAGAAAGAATTTCAGGGCACGAAGACTGGCTTTTCAAATTAACCCAGTCAGAATAAAATATACATATTTTTAATGAACAAAGTCTCAGAGAAATATGGGATTATTTAAAGTGACCAAATATATAAATTATTGGTATTGCTGAGAAAGAGAAGAAGTAAGCAACGTGGAAAACATATTTCAGGAAATAATTCAAGAAAATTTCACTGATCTTGCTAGAGAGGTAGACGACATTTAGATACAAGAAACCTAGAGAACACCTGTAAGATACTATACAAAACAAACATCACCAAGGCATACAGTCATCAGACTGTTTATGGTCAATGCTAAAGAAAAAAATCTTTAGGCAGCTAGAGAAAAAGGCCACATTACGTACAAAGGAAACTTAATCAGGCTAATGGTGGATTTCTCACCAGAAACCTTATAAGCCAGGAGAGACTGGGTGCCTATTCCTAAAGAAAATAAATTCCAACCAAGAATTTAATATCCTGCCCAACCAAGCTTCAAAAGCAACAGAGAAGTAAAGTATTTGCCAGACAAGCAAGTGCTAAGTGAATTTGTTACCATAAGAGTAACATTATAAGAGATCTCGGTATAGTTCAGATATTTGTTTCTGCAAATCTCATGTTAAAATATAGTCACCAATGTTGGAGATGGGGCCTGGTGGGAGATGTGTGGGTTATGGAGGTAGATTCCCCATGGCTTGGGGCTGTTCTTGCAGTAGCAAGTGAGTTCTTGCAAGATCTGGTTGCTTAAAAGTGTGTAGCACCTCCCTTCTGTCTCTGGCTCCTACTCTGGCTGTGTGACATTCCTATTCCCACTTCACCTTCTCCCATGAGTAAAAGTTCCCTGAGGCCTCCTCAGAAGCTGAGCAGATGCTGGTGTCATGCTTCCTATACATCCTGCAGAATAATAATCCCATTAAAAATCCTTCTTTTAAAACTTTCATTTTAGATTCAGGGGTACATGTGCAGGTTTGTTATATAGGTAAACTCATGTCATATGGGTTTGTTGTACAGGTTATTTCATCACCAAGGTACCAGGCCTAGTATCCAATGGATATTTTTTCTGCTCCTCTCCCTCCTCCCATCCTCCGCCCTCGAGCAGGTCCCAGTCTGTTGTTGCCTCTTTATGTTCATAAGTTCTCCTCATTAAGCTCCCACTTTTAAGTGAGAGCATGCAGTATTTGGTTTTCTATTCCTGCATCAATTTGTGAAGGATAATGGCCTCCAACTGCATCCACGTTGCTGTAAAGGATATGATTTCATTCTTTTTTTTTTTTTTTGAGACGGAGTCTTGCTCTGTCGCTCAGGCTGGAGTGCGGTGCAGTGGCACGATCTCGGCTCCCTGCAAGCTCTGCCTCACGGGTTCACGCCATTCTCCTGCCTCAGCCTCCCTAGTAGCTGGGACTACAGGTGCCAGCTACCACGCCTGGCTAATTTTTTTTTTTTTTTAAGTAAGGACAGGGTTTCACCGTGTTAGCCAGGGTGGTCTCAATCTCCTGACCCTCGTGATCTGCCTGCCCACCTTGGCCTCCCATAGTGCTGGGATTACAGGCATGAGCCACTGCGCTCAGCCGATTTCATTCTTTTTATGGCTGCCTAGTATTCCATGGTGTATACGTACGCCATTTTCTTTATCCAGACAACTATTTATGGGCACCTGGGTTGATTCTGTCTTTTCTATGTGAATAGTGCTGCAGTAAACGTGTGGTATGTGTCTTTATAACAGAATAATTTATATTCCTTTGGGTATACACTCAGTCGTGGGATTGCTGGGTCAAATGGCATTTCTGTCTTTAGGACTTTGAGGAATTGCCACACTGTCTTCCACAATGGTTGAACTAATTTACAGTCCCACCAACAGTGTACAAGTGTTCCCTTTTCTCTACAACCTTGCCAGCATCTGTTATTTGTTGACTTTTTAATAATAGCCATTCTAATTGGTGTGAGATGGTATCTCATTGTGGTTTTGATTTGAATTTCTGTAATGATCAATGATACTGAGCTTTTTTTCATATGCTTTTTGGCCACACGTCTTCTTTTGAAAAGCGTCTGTTCATATCTTTTGCTCACTTTTAATGGGGTTGTTTTTTTCTTGTGAATTTGTTTAAGTTCCTTCCAGATGCTGGATATTAGACCTTTGTCAGATGCACAGTTTGCAAATATTTTTTCCCATTCTGTAGTAAACCTGTTTTCTTTATAAATTACCCAGCCTCAGGTATTCCTTTGTGGCAACACAATAATGGCCTAATAAAAATCCTAAGGGAGTTTTATAAACAGAAATGAGAGAACTATACCTGCTATCACAAAGACACACCAAAATATATGGCACACAGACCCTATACAACAACCACACATGGAAACTAGAAAATAACCAGCTAACAACTTTATGACAGGATCAAAACCTCATGTATCTATATCAACCATAAATGTAAATGCTCTAAATGCCTCACGTAAAATGCACAGAATTCCAAGTTGGGTTAAAAAAAAAGACCCATCAGGATAAAAAATCAATGTACAAAAAGCAGTAGCATTTCTAAACACAAATAACATTGAAGCTAAGAGCCAAATCAAAAACACAATCCCATTGACAATAGCTACACCCAAAAATAATATACCATCTGCAGTCTTGAAGGGCATCTTTCACATGTAATGACCCCCATAGGCTCAATCAAAGAGTTGGAGAAAGATCTGTCATGCAAATGGAAAACAAAAAGGAAAAGGAATTGCTATTCTTATATCAGATAAAACAGACTTTAAACCAACAACAATAAAAACGACAACAAAAACCAAAAAAAAAAGAAGGGCATTACGTAATGATAAAGGTTCAATTCAACCAGAAGACTTAACTATCCTCAATATATATGCTAACTATCCTAAATATATATGCACTCAGCATTGGAGCACCCAGATTCATAAAACATGCACTTCTAGACCTGTGAAAATACTTAGACATCTGCAGAATAATAGGTAGGATTTCAACACACCACTGACAGCATTAGATAGATCATTGAGGCAGAATAGTATCAAGTAAATTCTGGACATAAATTTGACACTTGACAAGCTGGATCTAATAGACATCTACAGAATAATCCACTCATCAACCACAGAATATACATTCTTCTCATCTGCACATGGAACATACTCCAAGATTGGCCACACACTTGGCCACAAAACAAGTCTAAATACATTTTTAAAAATCAAAATCATACTAACTATACTCTTGGACCACAGTGAGATAAAAAAAGAAACCAATACCAAGACGAACTCTCAAGACCACACAATTACATGGAAATTAAACAAGTCACTCCTGAATGACTTTTGGTTGAATAATGAAATTAAGGCAGAAATAAAAAAATTCTTTGAAATAAATAAAAGCTGAGACACAACATACCAAAATCTCTGGGATGCTGCAAAAGCAGCGGTAAGAGGAAAGTTTACAGTACTAAAGTCCTACATCAAATATTATAAAGATCTAAAGTTAATGACCTAATATCACACCAAGAAAAACTAGAAAAATGAGAATAAACTATCCCCAAAGCTAAAAGAAGAAAAAAATAACTAAAGATCAGAAGTGAATGACATTGATAACCCAAAATCCACACAAAGAATCAACAAAACCAAAACTTGGTTATTTGAAGGGATAAATAAGATCAATAAACCACTAGCTAGAATAAAAAAGAAAAAGAGTGAAGATCCAAATAAGAAACTAAAAAAGTGCTATTACAACATATCCCACAGAAATGCAAAAGCTCTCCAGAAACCATTATGAACACCTCCATGAACAAAAACTAGAAAATCTAAAGGAAATGGATAAATTCTTGGAAACATACAACCTCCCAAGAGTGAACCAGGAATAAAATGAAATCCTGAACAGACCAATAATGAGTTTCAGAACTGAATCAGTAATACAATCCTACCAACCAGAAATAGCCCTGGAGAAGAATTCACAGCTGAATTCTACCAGACATATAAAACACAACTAGCACAATTCTACTGGAATTATTCCAAGATTTCAAGAAGAGACTCCTCCCTAACTCATTCTATGAGGCCAGCATCATCCTGCTACCAAAACCTGGCAGAGACACAATGAAGAAAGTAAACTTCAGGCCAATATCCCTGATGAACACAGATGCAAAAATTCTCCACCAAATGCTAGCAAACTGAATCCAGCAGCACAGCAAAAAGCTAAACCACCACGATCAAGTAGGTTTTATTCCTGGGATGCAAAGTTGGTTCCACATATGCAAACCCATGCAAATAATACGAAAATCAATAAATGTGATTCACATAAACAGAATTAAAAACAAAAACCATATCATCTCAATACAGGTGGAAAAAGATTTCAGTAAATTTCAACATCCCTTCATAATAATGACCCTCAACAAACTAGTTATTAAAGGAACATACCTCAAAATAATAAAAGCCTTCTATGACAAACCCACAGCCAACATCATACTAAGTGGGCATAAGCTAGAAGCATTCCCCTTGAGAAGGGGAACAAGACAAGGATGCCCACTCTCACCAGTCCTATTAAAGATAATATTGTAAGTTGTAGCCAGAGTAATCAGACAAGAGAAAGAAATAAAAGGCAACCAAATAGGAAAAGAAGTCAAACTCTCTCTCTTCGCTGATGATATAATTTTATCCCAGGAATACCCTAAAGATTTCAATAAAAGACTCTTGGAACTGATAAAAGACTTCAGTAAACTTTCAGGACACAAAATCAATGTAAAAAATTCAGTAGAATTTGTAAATACCAATAAAGTTCAAGCTGAGAACCAAATCAAGAATGCAATCCTATTTACAATAGCCAAAAATAAATAAAATACCTAGGAATACATTCAAGCAAGGAGGTAAAAGACTTCTACAGAAGAACTACAAAATACTGCAAAAAAATAAATAAAAAAACAACAGATGACAAAAACGAATGGAATAATCTTCAATGCTCATAGATTGGAAGAATCAATATCATTAAAATGGCCATACTGCCTAAAGTGGTCTATAGATTCAATGCTATTTCTATCAAACGACCAACATTCTTTTTCCCAGAATTAAAAAAAGACTATTCTAAAATCCATATGGAACAACACAACAAAAAGTCCAAATAGCCAAAATAATCCTAAGCAAAAAGAACAAAGCTTAAAGCATTGCATCACCTGACTTCAAACTATACTGTAAGGCTACATTAACCAAAACAGTATGGCACTGGTACAAAAACAGAAACATAGACCAATGGGGCCGAGAACGCAGAAATAAAGCTGCACAACTACAGCCACCTGCTCTTGACAAAGTCAACAAAAATAAGCAATGGAGAGAGGACTTTCTAGTCAATAAATGGTGCTGAGATACTTGCTATCCATATGCAGAAGAATAAACCTGGACCCCTACTTTTCATCATGTACAAAAATTAACTCAAGATTGATTTAAATGTAAGACCTTAAACTCTAAGAATCCTAAATAAAACATAGGAAGCACCATTTTGGAAATCACCCTTGGGAAAGAATTTATGACTACATCCTCAAAAGCAACCGCAATAAAAAGAAAAATTGACAAATGGGATCCAATTAAACTAAAGATCTTTTGCACAGCAAAAGAAACTACCAACAGAGTAAAGAGGCAACCTACATATTGTAGAAAATATTCACAAACTATGCATCTAACAAAGGTCTAATATCCAGAATCTATAAGAAACTTAATTCAACCAACGAAAAGCTAATAACCTCATTAAAAAATGAGAAAAGGACATGAATAGACACTTCTCAAAAGAATACATACAAGCAGCCAACAAACATGAAAAAATGCTCATCACTAATCACCACGAAAATGCACATCAAAACCACAATGAGATACCATCTCATACCCATCAGAATGGCTATTATTAAAAAGTAAAAATCAACAGATGTTGATGAGCTTGTGGAGAAAAGGGAATGCTTGTACACCTTTGGTGGGAATGTAAATTAGTCCAGCCACTGTGGAAAGCAGTTAGGAGATGTCTGAAAGAACTTAATACAGAACTACTATTCAACCCAGCAGTCGCATTAGTGGGTATATATCCAAGAGAAAATAAATCATCCTACCAAAAAGACACATGTGTGTTCATTGCAGCACTATTCACAATAGCAAAAACATGGAATAAACTTAAGTGTCCATCAATGCCGGACTGGATAAAGAAAATGGGGTACATATACACCATGAAATACCAGGCAGCCATAAAAAAAGTGAAATCATGTTCTTTGCAGCAACATGGATGCAGCTGAAGGTCATAATTTTAGACAAATTAACAGAAAATGAAAGCTAAATACCACATGTTCTCACTTCTAAGTGGGAGTTATACATGGCAACAATAGACACTGGGTACTACTGGAGGGGGATGGTACAGCAAGGGGCAAGGTTGAAAAACTAACTATTGGGTACTATGCTTGCTCTTTGGGTAACATAATTAATTGTACCATAAACCTCACACAGTATACTCATGTAACAAGCTTGCCCATGTACCCGCAGAATCTAAAATAAAAGTTAAAATTATTTTAAAAAGGAATTAGGAAAGGAGTGAGTCCATTTAAAACTTCTGTTGGATGTATGTGCGAAGAGCTCTTTTGTTTGTTTCAATATCTTATTGCTGGGCTTATAATACTGTAATTTCTGATAACTGATATTTCTTATGTTTTTCAAATATTGGTGATCAAATATGCCTGATTATTTAACCTATTAAGTATTTTATCCCCTCCTTTTTGTTTATTGAGGTACACCTTTTTAGGCATGTACAATTCTATCACTTTTTGTTGTTGTTGTTTGAGGCAAGTTATTGGTCTGTTTCCTAGGCTGGAGTGCAGTTGTGTGATCACAGCTCACTGCAGTCTTGATCTTCTGGGCTTAATTAATCCTTCCACCTAATCCTAAGTAGCTGGGGCCACAGGCACACACGACCATGCCTGGCTAATTTTTTAAAACATTTTTTTGTACTGACAGGGTCTCCTTATGTTGCCCAGGCTGGTCTTGAACTCCTGGGCTCTAGCAATCCCCCAGCCTTGGCCTCTAAAATAATGGGATTACAGGCATAAGCCACTTTGCCTGGCCTGTGATGTTTGATTAACATTTCTACTCATGTAATCACTGCTACAGGCAATCGAGATAGAACATTTACCTCATCCCAAAAGTTCTTTTATGTATGTTTATAATTCATAGCCTCTCCCAATCCATATGTCCTGGCAACCACTGATCTGATTTCTGTCCAAAAAGTTTTCTAATTTCCATAATGGCATATTAGTGAAAACGATATAATATATAGTATTTTGAGTCTGGTTTGAGTTAACATAATCCATTTGAGAGTCATCCATGTTGTCATGTATACCAATATTTCATTTGCTTATATTGCAGAGGGGTATTCCATTATATGGATATACCACACTTTATCCATTAATTACCTGATGGACATTTGGTATCTTTCCAGCTATAGAAGATTAGGGATAAATCTGCTATAAGTATTATTAAAATATATTGTGCAAAGATATATTTTTCTTTTTTATTTGTATAAATTACTGGGTAGAAGTGTAATTTTGTTATAAGCATAGATTGTTATAGTGCTCAAGTCAGGGCTTTTAGGGTATCCATCACTCAAATAACATACATTGTACCCATTAAGTAATTTCTTATCATCCAGCTCTCTCACTTCCTCACCTTTGCGAGTCTTGGGTGTCTGTCATTTCACTCTGTATGTCCGTATGTACACTTTTTTAAGCACCCATTTATGAGTGAGAACATGCAATATTTGACTTTCTGTGTTTGACTTTCTGTGTTTCACTTAATGACCTCCAGTTCCATCCATGTTGCTGCAAAAGATGTAATTTCATTCTTTTTGCTGTCTAAATAGTATCCATTGTGTGTGTATGTATATGTGTGTGTGTATATATATATATATATATATATATATATATATATATATATATACGTTTTCTTTACCCAGTCATCCACTGATGGATGCTTATGTTTATTCTGTATCTTTGCTATTGTGAATAGTGCTGTGATAAACGTAACAGTGTAGGTATCTTTTTGATATATTGATTTCTTCTCCTCTGAGCAGATAGCTTAGAGTGGGATTGCTGTATCTAATAGTAGCTGTTTTTTAGATTTTTTTGAGAAAACTCCATACTGTTTTCCATAGAGGTTGGACTAATTTACGCTCCCACTAACAGTGTATAAGAGTTCCCTTTTATTTGCATCCTCACCAACATTTGTTATTTTATTTATTTATTTATTTATTTTGTTTCTTTAAAAACAGCCATTCTGACTGGGGTAAGATATCTCACTGTGGTTTTAATTTGCTTTTCTTGATAAGTGACGTTGAGCATTATTTCATATACCAGTTGTATGTCTTCTTTTGAAAAATGTCTATTCATGTCCTTTGCCCACTTTTTAATGGGATTATTTGTTGATTTTGTTCAGTTGTTTGAGTTCCTTGTAAATTCTGAATATTAGTTCCCTGTTGGATGAATAGTTTATAAATATTTGCTCCCATTTTGCAGGCTGTCTGTTCACTCTGTCAATTATTTCCTTTGCTGTGCAGAAGATTTTTAGTTTAATTAAGCCCCATTTGTCTATTTTTGGTTTTGTTGCCTGTGCTTTTCAGGAGTTAGTCATAAATTCTTTGCCTAGACCGATATCCAGAAGAGTTTTCCCTAGGTATTCTTCTAGCATTTTTATAGTTTCAGGTCTTATGTTTACGTCTTTAATCCATCTTGAGTTGATTTTGGTATACGGCCAGAGATATGGATCCAATTTCATTCATCTGCATATGGTAATCCGATTTTCCCAGTACCATTTATTGAAAAGAGTATCCTTTTCCCAATGTATGTTCTTGTCAGGTCTATCAAAGATCAGTTGGTTGTAGTTATGTGGCTTCATTTCTGGATTCTCTATTCTGTTCTATTGATCCATGTGTCTTTTTATTTTTATACCAGTATCATGCTGGTTTGATTATTATAGCCTTGGAATATAAAATCAGGTAATGTGATTCTCTCAGTTTTGTTCTTCTTGCTTAAGACGTTTTGAGTCTTCTGGTTCATTTTTGATTCCATAAAATTTTTAAATTGCTTTTTCTAATTCTGTGCAAAATTGTTGGTATTTTGATAAAAAATGCATTGAATCTGTAGATTGCTTTGAGCAGTATAGTCATGTTAACAATATTAATTCTTCCAGTCCGTGAGAATGAGATTTTTTATTTGTGTTATCTACAATTTATTTCATCATTGTTTTGTAGTTTTCCTTGTAGACATCTTTCACCTTCTGTGATGGTTAATATTGTGTCAAGCTGATTGGATTGAAGGAGGGAAATTATTGTTTTTGGATGTATCTGGGTGTTGCCAGAAGAGATTAACATTTGAGTCAGTGAACTGAGAGAGGAAGACTCACCCTCAAGAAGACCCACTCCCATTATGTGTGAGCACCATCCAATCAACTATCAGCATGGCTAGAGAAAGCAGGCAGAAGAAGGTGAAAGAAGCTGACTTGCTGAGTCTTCCCGCCTTTCTATTTCTCCTGTGAGGGATGCTTCCTGCTCTTGAACATCAGACTCCAAGTTCTTTGGTTTTTGGACTCTTGAACCTACGCCAGTGGTTTGCCAGGGGCTCTCAGGCCTTCAGCCACTGATGAAAGCCTGCACTGTCGGCTTCCCTACTTTTGAGGTTTTGGGACTCAGACTGAGCCACTACTGGCTTCCTTGCCCCTCAACTTGCAGATGGCCTACTGTGGGACTTCACGTTGTGATTGTGTGAGTAATTCTCCTTAATAAATTCCCTTTCTCATATATATATATGTGCGCACACACACACACACACACATATATATGTATATATACACACACACATATCCTATTAGTTCGGTCCCTCTGGAGAACCCTAATATAACTTTTTTTGTGAAATTTATTCTCAGGTACTCTTTTTTTGTTGCTATTGTAAATAATACTGCTTTCTTTATTTCTTTATCTGCTAGATCTTTTGGTTTCTACAAATGCTACTTATTTTTATACATTGATTTTATATCCTACAACTTTACTAAATTCACTTATCAAATCTAGGAGTTTTTTTGTGGAGTCATTAGTTTTTTCTAAATACAAGATCATATCATCAGCAAACAGGAATAACTTGACTTCCTCCTTTCCAATTTGGATGCCTTTTCTTTCTTTCTCTTGCCTGATCGTTCTGGCTAGGACTTCCAGTGCTATGTTAAATAGGAGAGAGGCAAAACTGATAAACTTCTAGCTAGACTAACCAAGAGGAGAGAATAACCAAATAAACAAAATCAGAAATGAAAAAGGAGACATTAAAATTAATGCCACAGAAACATGAAAGTTCATCAGAGACTATTATGAACAACTACATGCTCATAAAATAGAAAACTTAGAGGAAATGGATAAATTTCTGGAAATGTACAACCTCCCCGTATTGAGCCAGGAAGAAATAGAAAATCTGAACAGATCAATAATAAGATAGGATCAATAACAAAACAATCTCTCAACAAAAAAAAAAGCCCAGGACCAGGACCAGGACCAGATTGTGATATTCACAACCAAATTCTACCAGATATACAAAGAAGAACTAATACCAATCCTCCTAAAATCGTTCAAATCAAAGAAGAGAAAATTCTTCCTAATACATTCTACCATGCCAGTATCATCCTGATACCAAAACGAGGCAAGGACACAACAAAAATAGAAAATTATAAACCAATTTTCCTAATGAACAAAGATGCAAAAATCTTTGTTCATTACTAGCAAACCCAATCCAACATCACATCAAAAAGATTATACACCATGATCAAATGGTTTTTATGCTAGGGATGCAAAGATGGCTCAATATTCTCAAATTAATAAATATGATACATCACATAAAATTAAGACAAAAACGATATGATCATCTCAATAGACAAAGAAAAAGCATTTAATAAAATTCAGCATGACTTCATGATAAAAAAATTAAAAAACTATACATAGAAGCAACATACCTCAAAAAAATATAGGCCATATATAATATACACACAGGAAACATCACACTGAATAGGAAAAAGTTGAAAACATTTCCTGTAAGAACTGGAACAAAGATATATTTCTCAGATTGCTGGATTTATGGTAAGTTTATGTTTAACTTTATAAGAAACTGCCAAACTGTTTTCCTGAGTGGCTGTAACATTTTTTCATTCTCATCAGCAGTGTGTGTGAATTCTGATTGCCTAACATCCTTATCCACATTTGGTACTGTCATTTGTTATTGTTGTTGTTGTATCATTCTAATAGGTATGTGGTGACATCTTATTGTGGTTATAATTTTCTCTTACATTGAATTGAAAACATTTTTAAAATTCAGATATTTCCCTATAGCTCCAATATACACATTTAGTAACAAATGATACTATTATCGCAAAATTTGTGGATGGATTTAACTTCCTTCTTCCAGGTATATTCATCTTAATGATTGTTTTGAATTCAGCTTCCTTTATGCCATTATAGTTTTTTCCCACTAGATGGCAACTGCTCAGTTGTTTAGAACGGCTGAGTAGCTAAAAGCAAGGAACATAAAGGATAGAGTCAAGCTATGAATTGTGAAGTGCTTTACTCCAGGATTGTACAAAAAAAAAAAAAAAAAGCGACAAGACTTCATTGTCTGCCAAAAGTTCATCATAACTTAATGTGTGTGTGTGTGTGTGTGTGTGTGTGTGTATACTTTCTAAGTAATTTCAATCTAAGTTTGGAACTACCAAATGTGGATGGAGCACAGAATATAAAAATACAAAACAAGGTATCTTTTGAATGTAAGTTAGTGTCACAAAGTAAACAAATAGTTTGTAGAAAACATTCAGAAACTATCTAGTTTCTTCAGACAGTATATACTTCTGGAGAATATAATTTGAAACACAGATATTTTAGTAGTTTTGACATACCAAACATATATTTTCTGGAATACCTGTAGGTAAACTGAGAAGTTAGTTAAGGGTTTTCTGATTGCTTTTTGCTGTTATTTTAGCACCACATAGGACCTCCTCCCTGAGTTGATTTCATTCATTAATCAAATATTTACTAAGTTTCTATTCTGTTTCAAGCTTTGTGGTAGCATCAAGAATACTAAGAGGAAAACGACCTAATACATGATAATAAAATAATAATATAATAATAATAATAGAAATTGTCCTTTAAGTGCCAGAAAGTATTCTAAGACATTTATAAACATACTACTTCTTATTACCACAATCTTATGAAATGTTATTGCTCCTCTTTAGGAGACACAAATTGAAGACTGAGACCCTCTGACAACCGCAGTAGTTATAGTTGAGACAAAAATGATTTTAAAGAATATTCATGTTTAGAGTGGACCAGAGATGTCACCCCAAAATTACTCTTTGCAGCCATGTAGTATGGAAGGAAACAAGATATTTCCATGTCCTCAGTGCTGAACAACTTTTAGTAGTCGAGAGATTCCAAGCCTACCCATGCAGCTTCTATAGTGATATACAACAGAGATGGCAGAGGGCAGGGTCTAAGACAGAGGCTGGATGGAGGACAGACCTAGGATGCAAGAAGCAGAATTGAAGCCCAAATAGGAATCAAGATAGAGCCAAGTCATCGATCTCTAGCCATGCCAAAAGAAGATGCTTGGAATACCATTAGCAGCCACAATCTTCACTTGACAATATCAGTATGATTCTTGGAAATCAAGACAAGAAACACTTCCATGGATACCTGCAAAACCCCACGGGTAACAGACACACACATGTAGCCCAGGTGTTTACTCCCATTATAAAGACATGTAAACTTCCCCACACTCCAAGATACTATCCGGGGTGGATTAGATGGGAAAGACAAACTTTTGAGAGGAGAGAAATATAACTTGATTAAATATTTATCCAAAATAATATTGCTTTAAATATATCACTAGGTACCTTTAAGTTTTTAAGTTTTGGGGAATCAAAGATAACTTTGAGGATTTAGTAAAAGTTATGAACATTCTTTCCCACTGGCTTCCTACCCACCCACCTACATACACACATTCTCTTTCCCACTAACTACCCCTACCACACACACACACACACACACACACACATTAAAATGAGTAATTCAAAATATTTGCGTATATCTCTATAGGGCTTAGTGAATAACTGAAGCTTAGTCATTAACTCCTGGAAGATCTATGAATCCCGGGTTAAGAAATCCTAGGTTGTGGAAATGGCACTAGACTTGAGTTTTGACTCAATCATTTGCCACCTATGAGAACTTGAATAAATCAACTCTTCTCTCTGAATCTCAGGTTTCTCACTGTTTGTGAAATATCTATTACATGGAGGAGTGGGATAGGGATGGCTCTATCATAAAAAACATATCTTCTTTACACTCTTCTTTGCAAAATTTTATAATATATGAATACACTTACAGTCCTACATGGTCCTATATAGTTATTTTGGATCTGTCATTGATCACTTTTAATTTTCCTCTTAAGAGTGTCACTCTTTTTCTCTATCCCACCAGCATCAGCGTACCTTTCTGGCAGTCCTCATCCTCACATATGAGAAACTGCAGTAGCATCGTGTAGCATCTTGCTGTTTCAACCTTTAGTCCTTCCTATGTATGAAGCACATTATTCTCAACCCACTGCTTCTTCCTATAACTCTCTTGCTTAAAATCTACCAAGACTCTCAATTACATAAGAGATAATATCTAAAATCTAACAGTCAAAGACTTAAAAAAAATCAATTGATCTCACCCTGCTTAATCAATCTTACATCCTCAGCTCTAGTAGTCTAAATTTTACTACTAAGAGGAAGCTTTCATAGGAGGAAAAATGATGTGATTTGAAGTCGTTGGCTCAGTCACTTACTAGCTATTTTCATCCTGGGTAAAACACTTATCCTATCACGGCCTTAGTTTTCTCAACACTTAAATAAAGTATTTGTTCTGGACAATTTCTAAGATCCCTTTCAGTTCTGACACTGTCTGACTCCATCACCCTGTGCCCCTTAAATGCTAAATTCATTCCTACTCTGAATCCTTGATCTTTCTGTGTTCTCTTTCTGTAGCATCCTTTCTGCCAGACTAAGCATTTTCTGTTCTCCAAGGTTCAACTTATGTACTTGCTCATCCATGAAATCTTCAGAGCTCCAAAGTTTGTGAGAATCATTTCCTTCTCTGCGGTCTCATGGCATCTAAATTTTGTACTAATCAATAAGAGTATCTTACACTGATATAACACTATAGCTTTAGTAGAGATGTTTACATACAATATTTCACTGGAGCCTCTCAAAAGATCTATAAAGGTAATTACTATTCCTACTCAAACTCAGAGAAGCCTAAAATGTCTCAACTCTAATGCAACTGATCTAGAGTCAGAATTAAAGGTTTTTGATTCCTGTTTCAGAGTTTTTCCTCCATACATGTTCAACATGTCAAATAATTATTGGTATCTGTATGTTTCACCTATATAGCTATTATTTAGCTCAGTAAACATATATGTTAAGCTCCCATCATATAAAATCTGCTTAGGTATAAGCTATGGCTAAGGGAGTTGGGAAGCAAATGGAGTTTTCTAGCATGGGTGCTTGTAATTCTTATTTTGTCTGGTAACCCTTAACAATGAGCTTATTAAAAATAAGGGTATAGGCTGGGCACAGTGGCTCACACCTATAATCCCAGCACTTTGGGAGGCTGAGGCGGGTGGATCGCCTGAGGTCAGGAGTTCAAGACCAGCCTGGCCAATATAGTGAAACCCCATCTCTACTAAAAATGCAAAAAAAAAAAAAAAAAAAAAAAAAAAAGCTTAGCTGAGCATGGTGGCAGGCACCTGTAATCCCAGCTACTCAGGAGGCTGAGGCATAATTGCTTGATCCCGGGTGGTGGAGGTTTCAGTGAGCCGAGATTGCACCATTGCATTTCAGCCTGGGCAACAAGAGCGAAACTCCACCTCAAAATAAATAAATAAATAAATAAATAAATAAATAAATAAATAAATAAATTAAACAAGAGTATAGAACATAAAATAAGAACATTGTCCGTGGAGTCAGAAATATCTGGGTCCTCTCTCATTCTTTGTATTAAGGAAAATTTCAAATACATTAAAATAAGACTGTGTACCTCCTCATTCATCTTCAATAATGATCAACTTGCAACCAACTTTATGTCATCTATACTCCTAACCACTCCCTCAGATTATTTTGAAGCAAAATCAGACATCATTTCACTTCATCTGTAAATATTTTAAGAAGATCTACATATAAAGACTCTTGCTTTTAAAAATAACTCTAGTACCAACAAAAATTCTTTAAAATCATGAAATAGTTAATGAAGATTCAACATTTCTTGGTTTTCCAATTTAAAAAAAAAGCTTGCTCAAAAAAATGATCTTATATAAATAGAGAGTAGACTGGTGGTTACTAGAGACTGGGGTGATGTGGTGGCCGTTGGGGAGATGTTGGTCAAAGTATAAAAAATTTCAGATAGGAGGAGTAAATTTCAACAGATCTCTTGTACAACATGTTGACTATAGTTAATAATACATTGTATTTTTGAAAAAAGCCAAGAGAGTTGGTGTAAAGTATTCTCATCACAGAAATGATAACTATGTGAGGTAATGCATATGTTAATTAGCTAGATTTAATCATTCTACGATGTATGTATACTTTAAAACATCGCATGGTTCACATAAATACATACAATTTTGTGTCAATTTAAAAATAAATAAATAAATGTATGATGAGAAAAAAAGTTTGTTCAGATCAGGCTGCAAAACAAGGCTATATATGGTTTGCATGTCTCTTACGTTTCTTTTAATCTACAGGATCTCCTCATTCTATCACTCTCCTCTTGCAATGTATTTGTTTAAAAATATGCTTTTTTTAAATAAAAAAAAATTCTCCTGTAGTGCTTCTGACAGTATAATTTTTTTCTGATCATATTATCTTATGTTATGGTTCCCTATATCTCCCATGAATTGGAAGTTAAATCTAGATTTGATCAAACTGAGGAGCAATATTTTACGCAAGACTCCTCATGAGTTGTTAGGTATACTTCCATTAGAAGTCACATGATGTCTAATTGTCTTTTTATGATGTTGTAACCATGGACAAATATTTTGCAGATCTAGTAATTTAAAATGGTGATATTCTATTATTCCTTCATAATTGATTAGGTACAAGACCACTATAAAGAGAAATTTCATTTCACTTATTTGGTAACCTTGAATTTGAAATTGTATAGAACCAACAAGGTAAATGTTTTATTCTTCCTATTGATTCGTTTTCAAAACAAAAAATAGGTTCCCTAGTATTTCCAAATCTAGTAATCAGGTGATTTTTAAATAATATCTTTATGAAATCATGGATCTAAACATTTTTATTATGTTTTAACCCATTATAATTATTATCTTTATTGATGCTCAGATTGCCTTATTTTGACCAGTGGAAGCTGGTAGGCTTTCGAGTCCTTTTATGATGACACTCCATATCTTGGTGGATAGGTTAATTGCTTTCTGACATAACAAAATATTTCAGTTCCATCTTGTCATTTTCCTACCTAAGACCTAGAATAAGTCTTTTTCTTGAAAATCATTTTTTTTCCCAAGAAGATCTGTTACCTTTTATTAGGAAATGGTATTTGGAAACCACACTGGAAACACTACAGATGTTCATATCTACTATGCTATCATTACTTCTAGCTCTTTTAAGTGGACAAAACTAGGAAATATTCTTAAAGATAAAATATATCATCATCATGATTCATTCTGAACTTATTCAAATTTTACTTAACATTAGTCATAGAAGAAGTTTGGTTTTTATCCCAGCTCCCCCAGTTGCCTATAGAACAAGTGATATAAACTGTAACTACCCTAAGCCCTCAATTTTGTACCTGAAAAATTAGAATAATAAAACCAACTACTCACTTGAACACTCATAAGAAGATAGTTGGTCTATCCTGACCATATGGAAAATAATGAAGTATCATAAACCACAGATATATAGAACTAACCATTTGGTTTTATTATAAGAAAACGTAGAAATTCTGAAAGCCACAAAATTATCAATTCCAAGCTAGGACATTCCAGAAGTTAATAGCTAAATACAGCTAGAAAGAACTACTAGAAACTACAGGATGACTGATCACTTTTATAACAAGCTTCTAAGATAGAGCACTGAGCTCCCTATTTCTCTGTTCCGCCTTCCGTCCACTCATGTAAACACTGGCTTCCCCCAAAAAACATCAATTCCATTGTTAGGCCTTCTTCCTGTAAGATCTGAATAAAGCTCCAATGAGCCATAACCAATCTCTTCTGAAGCATTCCACCCATTGATAAGAGCTGCCTCAATTGAATATTTCCATTGCAGCAGCAATAGGGCAGACAGTTGCAGAAAATCCTCAAAAGAACTACCATAGACACAAAGTTAACTGGCAGTAAAAATCGCTCTGTGACACCACCACCCTATGTTCAGAAAGATAGGCAAAGCTCTCCTCTTTGTCTAGACCTTCCTTTAATTAGGGTCCCGGGGGCCAGGAAAATTCTCTGAAGTAAGTCTGTGCACTGCTCCGGCTTTTGAAGAGTAATGGCTTTGGTGGGAAGAAACATTTGTAAAAATTCAGATCTAATCTAGGAACCCAAACCAATCTAATTAGAGTGTCTGTGCACTGAGATGTTCACTAATGAGACTCAAAGAACCAACACAGGAGAAACAATGACTTTTTTGCAGCAGGCATTATCAGGCTGCCTTAAATGTGACCCACATTCACTCATGCCCCAGTACCCCAGGAGTAGAGCCATGTCCTTTTTCTAGATTGACTCTTGGCAAGTGTCTCTGGTAAGTTTTCCATTAGGGGGCTTCTGTACTTTCTATTGCTTCTCCATAAGACTCCATTGTTCTCTTTTCTTCTGCTTAGTGTCTGACCTGGCGTGCTCCAGATTCCTATGGTTTGAATTCTGTCTTTTTAACTCATGTCCTACTCTAGCCAAATCCAATTACTTGTCCTGTGCCTCTGTGCCTTTGCAAATGCTGTTCCCTATGCACAGAAGGCCTTTCCTTCTCTAAATAATTAATTTATTCTTTCTAAACTCTCATAGCTCCACTACAAAGTTTTTCTGAAATCCCTCTCTCTACTCCATCTCTACTATGAGGAAGAAATAAATGCTTATTCCCTCTGTTCCACCTCTTTACCCAATATATATCTCTACCACCTCACTTAGTATGGCAATTATGCACCTATATGTGTATTTCCTCTATAATATTCTGAGCCTTGTGTCTAAAGAATATATGCCTAATTTATTTTTCTGTGTCCAATTTCTATCTGAGTTCCTGCACATCATAGTACATTCACAAATACTTGAAGGCCCTCACCACTGGAAGATAAATTGCAGAACATCCATTAAACTAGTGGTTCATACAAAATTATGTGGGAATGTGAAGAAGGGAGAAACTGACCTGGCACAGTGGCTCATGCCTGTAATCCCAGCACTTTGGGAGGCCGAGACAGGTGGATCACTTGAGGCTAGGAGTTCAAGACCAGCCTGGCCAATATGGTGAAACCCTGTCTCTACTTACAAAAAAAAAAAAATTAGCTGGGTGTGATGGTGCATGCCTGTAGTCCCAGTTACTTGGGAGACTGAGGCATAAGAATCAGTTGAACCAGGGAGGTAGAGGTTGAATGAGCTGAGACTGAGCCACTGCATTCCAGCCTGGGTGACAGAGTGTGAATATGTCTCAAAAAAAAAAAAAAAAAAAAAAAAAGAAGAAGAAGAAACCACATCAATCTCCACAAGACACATCCAGATAAAGGACAAAGTAGCCAGCAGGTAAAAACAAAAATAGTAAAACAAAATCAGTCACAAATAATGGGGGTCTTTCCCCATTACACTTCTCACTTTCTCTGCTGAGAGAGGGTCAGAAAGCAAGAGCCTCCTATGTAAGTACTACGACCTATATTCAACATGAGGCACATTACTTGGAACACAACAGGTGTTCAAAAACTACTTACTGAATAAATAAAGTAGGTATGCGCTACTTTCAGAAATGTCTCTGTCACTGCGACCTAATAATATCAATCAGGGTAATAAAATGCATGCCTGTGGTCCTGAGTCATTCTCCACATACATTCATACCTTTGAGTGCATTTTCTCTTTCATTTATATTACTTTTCTTAGTATTCCAATGTATAATGTAGTTATAATACATTTTATAACGTATATACAATGTTTCCCTCTACTACTTGTGTATATTTATTATAAATATAGATTTATAGGTGTATGTCATATACTAAATAATACAGTTAAAATTATTTGATTACTTATCTCTCCTACTACAGTGGGACCTCCATGAGAAAGGGAAGATTGTCATTATTTCGTCCAAACATTTTGCTCTTCAATCACCTAGCAGAAACCTAGAAACAGTAGCATCACATAATAATGTATGTTGACTCAATAAACAAATGTATCAAAGTTAGCAGATTTGATCCTCCAGGGTTTCCTCATATTATGGTCCTTTTCCAGCCTCATCACTAAATGATATCATGGCGACTCAGGGAAGCTCTGTTTTCCTCACTAAGACCAGAACAGAAGATGGTGCTATCAAATAGAGTTTTTAAATCCAGAATGAATTCATCCCTATGCCTTGTCTACAGAATCACTCAGAAAATAATGCAAGGAAGTGAAACAAAGAGAGACATGCAAAAGAAATAATCTTGGCACAGCACCTTGCAAATCAATTTTCTATGCCCTTGTTTCTGAACTTTCCTGTAAGGTGGAGGCTTAGAAACTGCAGTGTTTTCATGATGATTGGATAGCATGTTCTGCCACTCACTGCCTTTCCTGGAGTTTCTAACAGGACTGCTACTATTTATCCTCCAGTTTCACCCAATCTGCAGTCTTTCTCATAATGGCTGCAGTGATCCTTCCCTAAAGTTATGTACAGCACTCAAAAACCTTCCTTAAGACTCACTTACTGTTTATCAAACTTTGTTAAATAGCATTAAGACAATGATTGAGTAAACATTTTAGGACAAAGCTTTATTTTTTTTCCTAATTTTTATTTTTTGTGGGTATATAGTAGGCACATATATTTATGGGGTACATGAGATACTTTAATGTAGTTATGCAATACTTTATAATCACATCACGGTAAATGAAGTATCTATCCCCTCAAGCCTTTATCCCTTGTGTTACAAACAATCGAATTATACTTTTTAGTTATTTTTAAATGTGCAATTAAATTATTATTGACTACAGTCACCTTGCTGTGCTATCAAATACCATCTTTTATTCATTCTTTCTAACTTTTCTATTTTTTCTATTTTTTTAACCATTAACCATCTCTACATCCCCCCATTAACCCTCACTACCCTTCCCAGTCTCTGGTAACTATCCTTCTAATCTCAATTGAATTTAAACAGTAAGTTCAATTGTTTTAATTTTTAGCTCCCACAAAAAAGTGAGACCATGCTAAGGTTTTCTTTCTGTGCCTGGCCTATTTCACTTAATATAATGACCTCCAATTCTATCCATGTTATTTGAAGTGTCAGGATCTCATTCCTTTTTATAGTTGAACAGTACTCCATTGTGTATATGTACCACATTTTCTTTATCAATTGATCTGTTCATGAACACTTAGGCTACTCCCAAACCTTGGCTATTGTGAAGAGTGCTGCAGTAAACATGGAAGTGCAGATATCTTTTCGATATTCCTGTTTCCTTTCTTTTCAGTATATAGCGAGCAGTACGATTGCTGGATTATATGGTAGCTCTATATTTAGTTTTTTTTAGGAACTCTAAAATGTTCTCCAAAGAGGTTGTACTAATTTACATTCCCACTAACAATGTAGGAGAGTTCTCTTTTCCACTGATCCTCTCCAGCATTTGTTATTGCCTGCCTTTTGGATAAAAGCCATTTTAACTGGGGTGAGATGATATCTCATTGTAGTTTTGATTTGCATTTCTCTGATGATCAATGATGTTGAGCACCTTTTCATATACCTCTTTACCATTTGTATGTTTTCTTTTAAGAAATGTCTATTCAAATCTTTTGCCCATTTTTAATCAAATTATTGAATGTTTTCTATAGAGTTGTTTGAGCTCCTTATATATTCAGGTTATTAATATCTTGTTAGATGTGTAGTTTGCAAATATTTTCTCCCATTCTGTGGGTTTTCTCTTCACTTTGTTGATTGCTTCCTTTGCTGTTGAGAAGCTTTTTAACTTGATGTGATTGCATTTGTCCATTTTTGCTTTGGTTGCCTGTGCTTGTAAGATATTAGTCAAGACATCTTTGCACAGATCAATGTCCTGGAGGGTTTCCCTTATGTTTCCTTGTAGTAGTTGCAAAGACTGAGGTCTTAGATTTAAGCCTCTAATCCATTTTGATTTGATTTTTGTATACGATGAGAGACAGTAGTCTAGTTTTATTCTTTTGCATATGGATATCCAGTTTTCCTGGCACCATTCATTGAAAAGACTGTCCTTCCCCCAGTGTATGTTCTTGGCACCTTTGTTGAAAATGACTTCACTGTAGGTGTATGGATTTATTTCTTTGTTCTCTATTCTGTTCTATTGGTCTATGTATTAGTCTGTTCTTACACTGCTATAAAGAACTGCCTGAGACTGGGTAACTTATAAGTGACTCACAGTTCCGCATGACTGGGGAGGCCTCAGGAAACTTACAGTCATGGTGGAAGGGGAAGCAGGCATGTCTTATGTGGTGGCAGGTGAGATCGAGTATGTGAAGGAGGAACTGTCAAACACTTACAAAACCATCAGGTCTCATGAGAACTCACTCACTATCCGGATAACAGCATGGGGAAAACTGCCCCCATAAACCAATCACCTGTCACCCAGTTCCCTCCCTCAACACCAGCTGAAGATTACAATTTGAGATAAGATTTGGCTGAGGACCCAGAGCCAAACAGTATCAGTCTATGCATCTGCTTTTATGGCAGTACCGTGCTATTGTGGTTACTATAACTCTGTAGTACAATTTGAAGTCAGGTAATGTGATTCCTCCAGTTTTGTTCTTTTGCTCAGAATAGTTTTGGCTATTCAGGTCTTTTGTGATTTCATATAAATTTTAGGATTTTTTTCTATTTATGTGAAGAATATCATTGCTATTTTGATAGGGATTGCATTGAATCTGTAGATTGCTTTGGCTGGTATGGACATTTTAACAACATTGATTCTTCCAATCCATGAACATGGAATATCTTTTTATGTTTTTGTGTTCTCTTAAATTTCTTTCATCAGTGTTTTATACTTTTCATTGTGGAGATCTTTTGCTTCTTTGACTAATTCCTAGATATTTAATTTTATTTATGGCTACTACAAATGGGATTACTTTTAAATATCTTTTTCTGATTGTTCAGTGTTGCCATATAGAAATGCTACCGATTTTTGTATGTTGATTTTGTATTCTTCAATTTTATTGAATTTATCAGTTCCGATAGCTCTTTCGGTGGAGTCATTTGGTTTTTCCCCATGTAAGATTATATCATCTACAAACAAGGATAATTTGGTATCTGCTTTTCCAACTTGAATGCCTTTTATATCTTTCTATTGTCTGATTGCTGTAGCTAAGGAGTTCCAGTACTATGCTGAATAACAGTGATGAAAGTGAGCATCCTTATCATGTTGCAGATCTTAGAGGAAAGGCTTTCAGTTTTTCCCCATTCATTATGATACTAGCTTTGTGTCTGACATATATGACTTTTATTATGTTGTAGTATGTTCCTTCTATACCCAGTTTTTTGAGGGTTTTTATCATGAAGAGATGTTGAATTTTATCAAATGCTTTTTAGCATCAATTGAAAAGATCATGTGGTTTTTGTCCTTCATTCTGTTTATATGGTGTATCACAATGATTGATTTGTATATGTTGAAACGTCCTTGTGTCACTGGGATAAATCCCACTTGGTCATCATGAATGATATTCTTAACATATTGCTTAATTTGGTTTGCTAGTATTTTGCTGAGTATTTTTGCATCAATATTCATCAGGAATATTAGTGTACAGTTTTATTGATGTGTCTGTCTGATTTTTGTATGAGGTTAATACTGGCCGTATAGAATGAAATTGGAAGTATTCCTTTCTCTTCTTTTTTTTTGGAATACTTTGAGTAGAATTGGTATTACTTCTTTAAATCTTGGTAGAATTAAGTAGTGAAACCATTGGGTACCAGGTTTTTCTTTATGGGAGACTTTTAATTATGAATTTTATCTTGTTACTTGTCATTGCTCTGTTCAGGTTTTGGATTTCTTAATAGTTCAATATTGGTAGGTTCTATGTGTCTAGGAATGTATACATTGCCTCTAGATTTACCAGTTTATTGACATATAGTTGCTCATGGTAGCCACTAATGATCTTTTGAATTTTGGCAATATCAGTTTTAATGTTTTCTTTTCATCTCTGATTTTATTTATTTGGGTCTTCTCTCTTTTGCTCTTAGTCTGGATAAAGGTTTGTTAATTGCATTTATCTTTTCAAAAACATCTTTAATTTCATTTATCTTTTGCATTGTTTTCTTTGTTTCAATTTCATTTATTTGTGCTTGTATCTTTATTATTACTTTTCTTTTACTAATTTTGGGTTTGGTCTGCTCTTGCTATTCTAGTTCTTGAAGGTGTATCATTAAATAATTTGAAGTTTTTCTCTTTTTTTGAGGTAGGCACTTATAGCTATAAATTTCCCACTTAGTACTGCTTTCACTGTATCCCATAGGTTTTGGTATGTTGTGTTTCCATTATCATTTCTTTCAAAAAAATTTTCGGTTTCCTTCTAAATGTCTTCATTCATACACTGATCATTCAGAAGCACATTGTTTAATTTCCATGTGTTGTAATGTTTCAAAATTCGTCCTTTGATTTCTAGTTTGTTTTCATTGTAATCAGAGAAGATGAATACTATTATTTCAATTTTTTAAATGTTTTAAGGCTTGTTTTGTGACCTAACATATGGTCTTTGAGAATTATCTGTGCGCTGAGGAAAATAATGTGTATTTTTGGCCACTGGATGAAATGTTTTGTAAATATCTATTAGGTCCATTTGTCCTAAAGTGCAGGTTAAGTCTGATGTCTCTTTGTTGATTTTCTTTCTGGGAGATCTGTCCAATGTTGACAGTGGAGTGTTGAAGTCTCCAGCTATTATTGTACTGAGGTCTATCTCTTTATTTAGCTCTGATGAATATTTGCTTTACATATCTGGGTGCTCAAGCATTGGCTGCATATATATTCACAATTGTCATATCCTCTTGCTGTACGGACCCCTTTATCATTATATAATTACCTTCCTTGTTTCTCCTTACAGTTTTTGTCTTGAAGTCTATTTTGTCTGATATTAGTATAGCTACTACTGCTCTTTTTTTGGTTTCCATTAGCATGGAATATCTTTTTCTATTTTTATTCTATGTGTTTCTTTAGAAAGGAAGTGTGTTTCTTATAGGGAACAGATAAATGAGTCTTGCTTTTTATGCATTCAGCCATTCTATGTCTTTTCATTGGAAAGCTTAGTTCATTTATCTTTGATGTTATTACTGATGAGCAAGATCTTACTCCTGCTATTTTGTTATTTGTTTTTGGGTTGTTTTGTGTTCTTCTCTTCTTTCTTTCCTTCATTTCTGCCTTCCTTGTAGTGAAAGTGATTTTCTCTGGTGGTATGATTTAATTTCTAATTTGTGTGTTTATGTATCTGTTGTATGTTTTTTGATGTGAAGTTACCATGAGGCTTGCAAGTACTATCTTATAACCCATTCGTATGATAATTTATCACTGATTACATAAACAAACTAATAAGGAAAAAGAAAACTATTTAGAAAGAATAAGACCTACTATTGATAGCCCAGCAAGGTGAATATAGTCAAGAATAACTTCATTGCACATTTTAAAATGATTAAAAGAGTGTAACGGGATTGTAACACAAAGGATAAATGTTTGAGAGAATCTGATGGCAGTGGTGGCCTGGCTGGAGCAGCTACTGCCATAACGCCAACTGCAATAGGGGAGGTACAGCTGGGGCTGTGTACTCCATGGAGCCAGTGGGAGCTGGGAACAGGCAGAAGACCCAACTCCTTCCGAGTTGGCAGAGTAGGAGCCTCATGCTCCCTGGGTGCAGCTGCAGCCACCCAGCAATGGTTCAACACCTGGGCATCCCTGTGCTCTTGGGGGCAGGGAGCAGGCAGAAGCCTCACCTCCCAGGATGCAGCTGCAGCCACCCAGGGGTGGTTATGGGCCCAGGTATCTCTGCACTGTTGGGTGTCCAGGAAGCCCCTCTGCCCTTGCAGGCTCCGAAGTGCCTGCTCCCGCTCCCTGGTCTCTCCCCACTCCTGGCACCCACTTTGATTTCAGAGGAAAATTGAGGCCAAGCCCAGGTGCTGTCACAACCCAACTGGGTGTGCACATGCTCAGGGCAGCACTGACATGCCAGCCCCTGCTGACTCAGCCCCCTCTGGACTTTGGCTGCTGACCAGCACAGAAAGGATGCCGAGGTGGGGCTGAGGGCAGCTCGGCAAGAGCCTGCAGGCACCGCTTGGCATGAACAGCCTGTGTGCCGTGGGCACCATCGATAGACAGCAGGTTGATGGCAGCAGGAGGCAGATAAGCTCCTGGGCAGAAAGGAGCAGGTCCCTAGTGAAGCCCTACCATCAGGCCTGGGACAGCCTGAAGCCTGGGGACCAGGCTACCAGTTCCATGGACAAGAGTGAAAACACATGGTGCTTTTTCCCACCCCACCCATCACTGCCTGTGGACCAATCAGCATGCACTTCCTCCACTCTTTAGCCCATAAAAACCCCAGACTTCGCCGGACTTGGGCAGATGTCAGGATGACCTGCCTGTGGAGAGGAGCTCCCCACTGTGGGTCTCCTCTTTGCTTAGAGCTGAACACTCAGGACACTCTGCCTGCAGAGAGGAGCTTCCCAAGGTGAGTCTCTTCTCTGCTGGGAGCTGAACAGATGCCAGGACAACCTACCTGCGGACAGGAGCTACCCACTGTGGGTCCAATCTCTGCTGAAAGCTGAACACTTGACACGACACCTTGTCTGTGGAGGGGAGCTACCCACTGTGGGTTTCCTCCCTGCTGAGAGCTGGACACTCATCAGGATGACCTGCCTGCAGAGAGGAGCTACCCACTGCAGGTCTCCTCTGAGCTGTTCTGTCACTCAGTAAAGCACCTCTTCACCTTGATCATCCTCCGCTTGTCTGTGTACCTAGACAGGGGACAAGAACTCAGGACCCACCAAATTGTGGAGCTGAAAGAGCTGTAACACAAACAGGGCTGAAACACATCCTTTGCCTGCCATGTTGTGGACAATGAGAAGAAGAGAAGAGAGAAGGAGAGAAGAGCTCCAGCCCTTTGGGGAGCCTGGATGTAGACGCTTCCGGAGCCAGGGCTGCCAAACCCTCTTTGAGGCTCTATGGTTTCTGGCATCTCCAAGCTTCCAAGTGCCACCATGTTCCCCGGTGCCCACCGTGAAAGCCACTTGTGGTACACCTGGTTCAACCACAGGCTCGCAGGAAGCCAGCACGCACGCTGACACCTGGAGCTGCCCTCCCCACCACAGCTGGTGTGCCTAGCTTTGCGCAGTGCCTGGACCCCATGCTCACTTGCTCACACACCCCTTGCCATTCTGTGCCTGGCTCAACCTGGCTCAAGTGCAGCCTGCCAGGCCAGATGGGCAGAACAAACCCAGTGGGCCCAAGCAAAACTTGGGCAAAGGTACCACTAGTCAAAGAGGTTTCCAGCTGGAAAAACGATACCCCAAGTATCTCGTGACAGATGGATACCCTATTCTCCAAGATGTGACTATTATTCATTGTATGCCTGTATCAAAACATCTCTTGAATTCCATAAATATATACACTACTATGTACCAACAAAAATTAAAAATAAATTTAAAAACTAATAAAAAATGGATCATTTTAACTTTGTCTCCCTGCTTTTTATCTTTTTGCTGTTTCTGTTTATGTCTTACTGTATTGTCTATGTCTTGAAAAGTTGCAGCTATTATTTTTTATTAGTTCATTGTTTCATCTTTCTACTTAAGATATTAGTAGTTTGCATGCCACAGTTGCAGTGTTATAATATTCTGTGTTTTTCTGTGTGCTTACTATTACCAGTGAGTTTTGTACTTTTGGAAGATTTCTTACTGCTCATTAACATCCGTTTCCTTCAGGTTGAAGAACTCCCTTTAGCATTTCTTGTAAGACAGATCTGGTGTTAATGAAATCCCTCAGCTTTTGTTTGTCTGGGAAGGTCTTTATTTCTCCTTCATGCTTGAAAGATATTTTTGCGGATAAACTATTCTAGGGTAATTTTTTTCCCCCTGCAGCACTTTAAATATGTCATGCCACTCTCTCCCGGCCTATAAGGTTCCCATTGAAAAGTATGTTACCAGACATATTGGAGCTCCTTTGTATGTTATTTGTGTCTTTTCTTTTGTTGTTTTTATGATTTTTTATTTTTTATTATATTTTATTTATTTATTTATTTATTTAGAGACAGAGTTTAGCTCTTGTTGCCCAGGCTGGAGTGCAATGGTGCAATTTCGGCTCACTGCAACCTCTGCCTCCTGGGTTCAAGCGATTCTCCTACCTCAGCCTCCTGAGTAGCTGGGATTACAGGATGCATCACCACACCTGGCTAATTTTTTCTATTTTTAGTAGAGACGGGGTTTCTCCATGTTGGTCAGGCTGGTCTAGCACTCCTGACCTCAGGTGATCCGCCTGCCTCAGCCTCCTAAAGTGCTGGGATTACAGGCGTGAGCCACCATGCCCGGCCTATGATTTTTTATTTATCCTTGACTTTTGGTAGTTTAATTTTTAAATGTCTTGAGGTAGTCTTCTTTGGGTTAAATCTGCTTGGTATTCTGTAACCTTCTAGGACTTGAATGTTTATATCTTTCTCTAGATTTGGGAAGTTCTCTGTTACTATCTCTTTGAATACACTTTCTACCCCAAACTCTCTATCTTCCTCCAATTTAAGGCTAATAATACTTAGATTTACCCTTATGAGGGTATTTCTACATCTTAGGCATGCTTCATTCTTTTTTGTATGTTTGTTTCCTCTGACTGTGAATTTTCAAATAGCCTGTCTTCAAGCTCACGATTTCTTTCTTCTTTTTGATCAATTCTGCTGTTGAGATGCTGTGATGCATTCTTTAGTATGTCAGTTGAATTTTTCAGCTCCAGAATTTCTGCTTGCTTCTTTTTAATTATTCAGTCTCTGTTAAGTTTGTCTAATAGGATTGTGAATTCCTTCTCCGTATTTTCTTGAATTAGATTGAGCTTCCTCAAAGAAGCTATTTTGGATTGTCTGAAAGGTTACATATTTTTGTCACTCTGGGTTTAGTCACTGGTGTTTTGTTCAAGTCATGTTTTCCTGGAGGTTTTGATGTTTATGGATGTTTGTCATTGTCTGGGCATTGAAGAGCTCGGGATTTCTTGTATTCTTCACAATTTTATGCTTGTTTGTACCTGTCTTTCTTGGGAAGTCTTTCCAAGTATTCAAAGAGACTTGGGCCCCAATCTCAGTAATGCTGTGCTTCCTGGAGACTCACAGAGGTACCACTATGGTGGTCTTGGATAAAATTCAGAAGAATTCTCTGGATTACCAGGCAGATACTCTTGCTCTCTTGCTCTCTTCATTTTCTCCCAAACAGAGTCTCTCTCTTTGCGCTGAGCCACCTGGAGCTGGGGGTAGGGTAACACAAGCACCACTATAGCCATGACGACTGGAACTGCCCTGGGTCAGATCTGAAGAGAATAGAGCACTGTACCTTGTCCAAGACCACTGTAACCACTGCTTGGCTACCACCTGTGTTCATATGAGGTCCTAAGGCTCTAGAATCAGCAGATGGCAAAGCCATTCAGGTTTGTGTTCTTCCCTTCAGTGTGACAAGTTGCTCTAGGCTCAAGAAGTTTCAGTGATGCTATCTGAAAGCCAGGGACTGAAGTAAAAAAAACCATCAAAATTTTCCTGGTATTCTATTCTACTGTCACTAAGCTGGCCCTCAAACAACACAAAGTCCTTCCCCCTCTTTCCTCTCTTTTCCACAGGCAAAGGAGGCTCTCTCCATGATCATCACCACCACCACTGGCCCATGGGGCATTCTGGCAGGCCACTGCCAACATTTTCTTAGACTCAGGGGCTCTTCAGTCAGCTTGTGGAGGATGCTGTCAGATCTGAGACTCACCCTTCAGGACAGAAGGCTCTCCTCTGGCCCAGGGAATGTCCAGAAATGCTGTCCAAGAGCCTTGGCCTGGACTCAGGAACCCCAATAGCCTGCTTGGTGTTCTATCCTACTGTAGCCAAGCTGGTCCCTGAGGCCAGCACATCTCAGTCCAACCTAAGGCCCAAAGCATACTACCTGGCTATTACTGTTGGTTATTCAGGGCCCAAGGGCACTTTAGCCATCAGGTGACATATACTGCCAGGACTACATCCTTCCCTTCAAGGCAGGTGGGTTCCCTTCTGGCCCAGAATGTGTCTAGAAATGTTGTCTGGGAGCTCGGGCCTGGTATGGGGGCTAGCTGCCTGTCACCCCATCCTAGTGTGCCTAAGCTGGTATCCAAGATGCAAGACAACGTCCTCTTTACTCTTCTCCTCTTCTCAAGCAGAGGAAAGGAGTCACTTTCATTGCTAGAAGCTGCACTGCCTGGAGGCGAGGATGGCACAAGTACTCCCTGAGCCATCCCATCTGGTGTCTCACTAGGTCACACATTGCCCCAGTCCACTGGCTCTAGGCCCACAACGGCCTCAAGGCTTGCCTAAGAATTACAGTCCTTGTGTCCCAGACTGCCTTTCAAGTTCATTTATGATCCCAGAGCACTTTATCTCATGGTGGCGAGCCTTGCTAAGAAATTCAAATTCTAAATGCTGGGAAGGGCTCTTCCTCTCTTGCTGTTCTGGTCCAGATGCTTTCTCTGTGGGACTGGGCAGCACTGAGTTCAATGCAAATCCCTCCAGCTGCTGTGCTCTTCCTCCCCCAAGTGCACAGATTCTCTCTTGGCACCATGCAGCTGCTGCCGGAGGTTGGAAGAGGGGTGGAAGAGGGGTGTCTTTCCCAGCCTCTTCAGTGCCTCTTTCAGTAATATAAAATTAAAACCAGGTATTGTGATTGCTCACCTGATTTTTTATTCTTATGAAGGTGCATTTTTGTATGTAGACAGCTGTTAAAATTTGGTGTTCCTCTTACGAGGACAATCAGTGGAGGCTTCTTTTCTGCTGTCTTTCTCCACACTCAAGGCTTTATTTGTAATCCTCTATCAATTTCTTACGTCTAGAGGAAAGATAATTTTGAGACTCTCTTCTTCTTCATAATTTTTTTTTAAACTTCTCAATTTTACTTGTCAAACGGCACTGTAAAGTGTTAAATCCAAAGGCGTCCAGGAAATATTCAAGAGGTAGTTATTTCCTGAGTAGCCTTCTCTGTTCTATTCCCACCCTCCTGCTTTCTAACTTTGGTCTCTAAGTGTTTTCATTTGTTTTTCTATTTTAAAGCAGTAACAGTAATAAATAATGTCCTGGAACCAGTGTCTAGCTGAATATTAATAATAATACTTTCCATTTGCATATGCTTTATGAGAAGCTCTTTCTCACATCTTGTCTGATTCTCAAAATACCTCTATAGAATAAATGGGGCATCAATAAAAGAGCCAAGTAATACCAAACCATCTAGTCTGATGGGGTGAATGCATTATGGATATCAAAGGATCAGGTTTTACCCTAAGTTGAGTGGAGACTAAAATTTTAAAAATCTGTATGTACAAAATTGAACAAGAGAGTAAGACCCAATACACAGCAACATAAAAGAGCTAGAGAAATTTTAGAAGAGAACACAGCTGACTCAGGCATTGCTCTCCCTTTCTCTCCATTCTTTACATATATTTCCTATAAATATAAATTTATAGGTGTTTGTATATCATTTTAGTTTTAAAATACACAGCATGCATGTAAAAATAATTTTAAAGATAGTGTTTCAAAATGCAGCATACAGAGCCTCTGAAATTTTTAATTAGCTGGTTGTACAGTTTAACATTTTCTAGCTGGAAATTGCATGGTATAATTAAGAGGATTTAAAGCATAATTTAACAAAATATTACTCTATACTTGACATTTTTTAAAATGACAAATTAAAATAGAAATCATGCCCTTGTTTTGCAGATAAGGATGCTGAAGCTAAAAACAATGTCCAAGGCCAAATAACTGACAAGAAGAAGGCCAAGGCATCTAGAAACCATGTCTTCTGATTCACAGTTGATCATATTTTTCTATCACCTTTGATAAGGCATAAAATATTATTTTGATGAGTAAATAAAAAGACTTTGGACACCTGCTGTTTGTCTAATTTATGGTTTCCTTCTCTTTTCTCTAGTTGATATGACTATATTAAGCCAAGAAAAAAGTTAGATTTGACAAACGGATTTTAACAATTTTATGCACAGAATATTTTTTAAAGTTATTTTTACGAGTCTACAGTTTTACAAGTTTAATGACATGTTCAGAGGGACTAGAAAATTTACAAATAACATGATTTATAAAATCCATGATTTCCCAGGAATATTTTTGCCACCACATGGGGGTGTAGTGTTCTTAATATGTACTTTGCAGGAATTCTGAGCATCTCAGCTGAGCAAGCCTGGGGAGCAGCAGGGAGAACTGGATTTTATGTGCAAGTTTGTCTTATCTGCACCAAGCATGAGGCCAGGAATAGGAGTCGATCTTAATTCATCCTCCAAGTGTCTCAAATATAAAATTGGCTTTGTGATATTAATTTGTTTAAATTGTTCAATCTCAGGAAAAACTTCACAGTATGTATGAGTTACCCACATACAGCAGCAATTTCAACAAAAGCAGCCATATTAGTATGTGCCATGCTATATTCTCCAGTCCAAGAAGGTTATTAGAAAATTGTTTAATTGAGGCCAGGCGCCATGACTCACGCCTGTATTCCTAGCACTTTGAGGCCGAGGCGGGCGGATCACGAGGTCAGGAGATCAAGACCATCCTGGCTAACACTGTGAAACCCCGTCTCTACTAAAAAAATACGAAAAACTAGCCGGGTGTGGTGGCGGGCGCCTGTAGTCCCAGCTACGCAGGAGGCTGAGGCAGGAGAATGGCGTGAAGGGCGCTTGCAGTGAGCGGAGATGCACCACTGCACTCCACCCTGGGAGACAGAGTGAGACTCCGTCTAAAAAATAATTGCTTAATTGAGAAAAAGTTGCTTTTGTCGCTGGAATTACTGTGAGATAATTGACCGTGATGGGAGCTGTGTCCCCCAGATGAAAGCAAATCATGGGAGCCAGGGTCAATCATATTAATGTCTGCAGTGAAAAGAGGTGTTGTGATCATCATAAGACATAACCATAAAATACTTAAAGTCTTAAATGGCCAAAGCCTTTAAACTACATTATAATGATTACAGATCCAATAAAGTTTAATTAAAACAAAACTACTACATTGAACATCCATAATGATTAGAAAGGTTTCTAATTGGGGACAAATTTGGTATTGAGAACACATCAAAAGAATTTCCCACGTTCTTTGTTACATCTGTTTGTGCTGGTTTTCTGCTTCTGCATCTGTACAGGGCACATTTCTAAAAAACTGACCAGTTTAAAAATTACTTTTTAAGTTTATAATGCTCATTTTAGGTAAGTCATTAACTCTTTCCATAATTTAGGTGATCATTTAATGTTTTAGGGATTGGGAAGCACAGCTTACTTTTAGTTAAAAAAAAAAAGCAAAAAAAAAAAAGCATGAGCTTTGGAATCAGGCAGCCTGGGGATTCTAGGCTAGAATTCTAGGTTTCTCATGTACTAATTGTGCAATTTAACTGCATAATCTCTCTGTGTCCATAGGGTCCTCAAAGAAAATAATAGGAAATTATGGATAGGAAATAGGAATAATAGGAAAGATGGAATTCCAAAGATAATGTAATAAAGGGAGGTATGATAGGTTAGGGGAATTAACAAGGAATAATGAAGCACTCCGGAACCCAGCAGCAGCAGCAGCAGCAGCAGCAGCAGCAAGAAACCTTTACTATCCCTAAGGATTAGGGCAAGAGAGAAGAAATAGGGAGTTACAGTCTGATGAGAAGAGGAGCCTTGGAAGAAGTGTTGACTGACAGGAGCTACGGTTATGGAGTGACCAACCCCAGTCACTACTATGGCAGAAAATAAATACCCTGGTATTTTTCTTCTCTTCTCTTCTGATCTCTTGCAGGAATCACCCTTTGGCCAAACCCAATTAGACAACCAGAAACAAGTCAGCAAAAAAAAAAAAAAAAACTCTGGGTGGTGCAGTCAATAGTGGTAAGCCCTCTAGGCACTGAAAAAAGGCCAGAGATGAGCAGAGGAATTGTTCTGTGTTAGGGGGGATGAAAGTAGAAAAAAGCAATTTACGCTCTTTGTTTCTTTTTCCTCATCTTTTCTTTTCTTTCTTTCTTTTATGAGGCAGAGCCTAGCTGTGTCACCAGGCTGGAGTACAGAGGCGCGATCTCGGCTCACTGCAACCTCCACCTCCCGGGTTCAAGCGATTCTCCTCCCTCAGCCACCTAAGTAGCTGGGACAACAGGCACGTACCACCACACCTGGCTAATTTTTTGTATTTTTGGTAGAGACGGGTTTCACAGTGTTAGCCAGGATTGCCTCAATCTCCTGACCCTCGTGATCTGCCCGCCTCGGCCTCCCAAAGTTCTGTGTTTACTGGCATAAGCCACAGCGCCCGGCCCTTTTTCCTTGTTTCTAAGTGGAGATATGAATCAACTCTTGTCCAACAAAATTGTAAAGATAAAATGAAATATACATAAAGAATATAATGCAGTGTAGAATATATTGTAGATGCTCAATAAATAGCTAGTGCTGATCTTATTTTTAACAGTAACCAATAATTGTGAAGTTGAATGTATATTCTCTATTAAAACCCAACAACCATCCAATCAATTTATCACTTAGGGAGCTATTCTGTGTCTTCTTTAATGAAAGCTGTTTTGTTTTCTTCTTTACAAAAATAGGAGACTATGAATAGAGAGATTAAACACTAGAAAAATTAATTCTCTAATACTGTCAATTATATGTTTACTTGGACTTTGATATGAGGGCCCTGAAAACGCAGTAAGTTATATATTTCTGATAAGCACAATCCTCCACAAAGAGCACATGGGCAGGCAGTGATTTAGACTCAGGGTTCTAACATTTTACACCTTACACTACATGACTACCCTATGAAATATCTGAAATGAAACTATGATTCCAATAGAAAGCAAAAGCTTGCCTTTTTGAGGATATAAATGTGCCTTTAGGTTTTACATTTAAAGTTACGAGTAATCATCAAAAGCATTGATGTTTGACAAATGACTATGTTGCACAGGTCTGCCTCGACTAGCCCATAAAGGAGTCCTTACTACCTCAAGCATTCTCTGCCACATCTTAAGTTTTTATTGTCCTTAAGGCATGTTTCTCTATCTGAAATGTTGCTTTCTGACTTCTTCATGAGAACAGAGACCTAGGCTATCCTGTTCTGCTTTATGTCTAGTATTTCCTAGAACAGAGCCTGATAGATAACTAAATGATCACACAGGTACAGAAAAGCATGCATATAAAAGTGGTAGATGTGAGAATTAAATGACATGATATACTCAAACTACTTTTAAAAATGCATTTTACTATGGTAGCAATTATTATTGTTGTTTGCATTATTATTGCTACTATTAAGAATGATGGATACAGTGGTTCACACACAGTAAATATTTTGGTGATGACAAATATTATTATTTTTCAAATTGACTAGTCTTTGCCATACATGCCTGCACTTAGGACAAGACTGGCAGCCTTTGCATTCAGACTGTGACTACTGCCAACTTTATGTTTACAGTGACTTTGCCAGCCAGAATTTGTAGCTTGGAATGATATCTCTCAAATATTAGAGGCAATAATGTCTCAGATTCCAGAACAAAATGCCAAGTGCTAAATGCCAAGTGCTAAACAAATCAGAAAAGGCAAAAGGAAAACCCACGTACTTCCACTTCCAAGAACATGAAGTAGAAGAGATTTTCTCAATTCTTCCTACTATGTACAAATAAAACCCCTGGGCATTATATATAAAACAAGCATGAGAATACTCTAAAAGTTGGAAGGAAGCAGTTAAAACAACTAGTGACCCTGGGACCCAAGGAACAACATAGCAGTAACTTCTCTAGGTTTTCTTTTGCTTCAAATATTCCAGGGTTGAAGCTGAACAAGCCCAAAACTCAGAAACATCAACAGAGGCACACAAGAACAGCCCTAACTAAAGCCTGTCTTCTTTAGCCAAAGGTCCAGGAAAAGGCAGAAAGAACATTTTTACATTATAACTGTCCTCCTCCAGAAAAACACTGCACAACAATCTGTGACCCTAACCCCACCCAAAAAGACCAAATGAGAGCCTGGAGTTGTACCCTTGTCAGCCTGTAAGGAGGTTCCCCATCCCCCTTGCTCAGACAGTATCAGAAGGAGCCTAGTAGGGAGCTGAAACTTTCATAGACACTAGGCAGTAGTAAAGCCATCCCTCCAACATTGTAACCGTGGAGAAAAATTAGGGAGCTTAGATCTCCACTCCCACCTGATGGCAACAATATCCATCCCTTTCCTGGCTAGGGTGGTATCAGAAGAGGCCTTCTGGAGAGTCAGAACTTTCATACCTGCCCAAGAGTAAAAGTATTGCACCTTCCCACCTTTGCCCCTCATTGTGTCAGTAGAGGCCACATGCACAGTAGCAGTAAAAGTGTATTACTACCCCTTCCAGCCACAGAGCTAACAATGGAGGCTTAGTGGGAAACGGGAACTCCCACTTCCACTCAGCAGTATTGAGGAGCCATGCCCCCTTGAGTGTCAACAGAGACAGCATGGGAAACTGGGAATTTTATCCCCATTTGACAGTGATAAGGCAGTATCCACTCCTCCCTTTCTCCTGCCCCAAAATGTACAGAATTACATAGAAAATCAGTCATATTACCAAGAACCAAAAAGACCTAAAGTAGAGAAAAAAAAATAGAGAATCAATAAATGCTGATATCGTTTAGATCTGCGTCTCCACCCAAATCTCATGTTCAACTGTAATCTCCAGTGTTGAAGGAGGGGCCTGGTGGGAGGTGAGTGGATCATGGGAGTGGTTTCTTATGAATGACTTAGCACCATCTCTTTGGTGCTGTTCTCATGATAAATTCCTCAAGAGATCGGGTTGGTTGTTTTAAAGTGTGTAGCCTCCCCCCATCTCTGTCTTCCTCCTGCTCCAGCAATATGAATTAACTGGCTCCTCCTTTGCCTGTCACAGTGATTGTAATTACTGGCTCCAACTTTGCCTTTCATCATGATTGAGGCCTCCTCAGAAGCCAAGCAGATGCTAGCATCATGCTTCATATACAGCCTGCAGAACCATGAGACATTCAAACATTTTTTTTTAAATAAATTACCAAGTCTCAGGTATTTCTTTACAGCAGTGTGAGAATGAACTAATACAAATGCCAATACCAAGGTGAAAGTTAATGTCATAAAAATGCTTCAAAGAGCAATTTTGAACATACTTGAAACAAATGGAAACATAGAAAGTCTCTGCAAAGAAAGAAAGTTTCAATAAAAATAAAAGGTATGCAAAAACCAAACTGGAATTTTAGAAATGAAAAACACGATAAATGAAATACCATACAAAACTCCATGGATGGGTTCTGTAAATGAATAAAAGAGACAAAAGAAACAATCAGTGAACTGGAAGATAAAGCAATATGAATTAAAACAATATATTGACCTAAAAAATCACAAGAGCCTCAGGGATCTGTAGCATTATTTAAAAAATCTAGTATTTGTGTCATCAGGGTTCCAGAATGAAAGGAGAAAGAGTGGAGAATGAAAAAAGCACTCAAAGAAAACATGGCTGAAAATGCTTTGAAATAACCAAACAAATCATAACAAACAGATTCAAGAAGCTGAGCAAAACCCAAATAGGATAAATGGAAAGAAATCTGTGCAGGCAATGATACATTATAGTCAATTTTATGAAAACTAAAGATAAAAAATTCATGAAAGCAGCAAGAGAGAAATGACATTTTACCTATAGGGAAAAATCACTTTGAATGACAGCAGATTTCTCATCAGAAAACATTTTAGAGGTTATATGGAAGTGATACAATATTTTCGACTGCTGAAAGAAAAGAACTGTCAACCAAGAATACTATACTCAGTGAAAATATTCTTCAGGAATTAAAAGGAATTTAAGACATTCTCAGATAAAGGAAAACTAAGAGAATTTGTCACCAGAGGACCTATGATAAAATGGCTTCTAGAGAAAGATTTCTAAACAGCAAGAAAATAAGGAAAGAAGAATGCTTCGAACATCAAAAAATAATGATAAGAAAAAGCCATAGTAAACCTTCTGGGCAAATACAGTAGATTTTCCTTCTTCTCTTGGATTTCCTACATTATATTTGATGGTAGAAACTTAAATAGCAACAGTCTAATGTAGATGAAATATTTTTTAAAAAATATATAGGGAAGACTAAGGGAATATAAATGAAAATAAGGTTTCTATGCTTCACTCAAACTGGTAGAAAGACAACACAGTACACTGTCATATATAATGTGATATTAATACTTAGCCCAACACCTAAGAGGAGGAATTAAACAAAAAGGTGGACCCAAACATACTCTAGGAAAATAAAACGGGATTGCAAAAATTGTTCAAGTAACCCACTGGAAGGCAAAATAAAAAAGCAGAGAAATAAAAAACAGAGAGAACAAATAGAAAATTAGAAATAAAACAGAAGGCCAGGTGTGGTGGCTCACATCTGTAATCCCAGCACTTTGGGAGACCAAGGCAGGCAGATCACCTGAGGTCAGGACTTTGAGACCAGCCTGGCTAACGTGGTGAAACCTCGTCTCTACCAAAAATACAAAAATTAGTCAGGCATGGTGGTGGGTGCCTGTAATCCCAGCTACTCAGGAGACTGAGGCAGGAGAATCGCTTGAACCCGGGAGGCAGATGTTGCAGTGAGCCGAGATTGTGCCATTGCACTCCAGCCTGGGCGACAAGAGTGAAACTCCATCTCAAAAAAACAAAAAACAAAAAAGCAAAAAAAGAATAAAACAAAAGATTTAAGCCTTAACATATTAATAATTACCTTAAATGTAAATGATCTAACTTTATCAATTCACAGTCACGGATTATCAGAATGGGTTAAAAAAAATAAGCCAACTCTATGCTGCCTAGAAGAAATTCACTTTCAAATGTAATCGAGGCAGGTTGAAAGTGAAAAATAGGAAAGGTGTATCAGGTAAATATCAATATTTTTAAAGTAGAATTATCTATTGTAATACCAGATAAAGTATACTTCAGAGCAAAGAAAGTTACCAGATCAGAAAGAGACATTATTTAAAAATAATAGAATCAATCCACAAAGAAGACAGCAGTCCTTTACATGTATGTACAAATAAGAGTTGTAAAATATATGAAGCAAAAGCAATAGAACTAAAAGGACAAATAGACAAACACATAATTATAATTGGAGACTTCAACACTCCTTTATTGACAATTCACAAAATACCTACGCCAAAAATCAGAATGCATATAGAATAATAACACCATCAGCCATCAGAATCCAATTGACATTTATAGAATTCTCCATAAAAAACTAGAAGAATACATATTTTTTCTCAAGTGCCCATAGAACATTTACAATGCATTGTATCCAGAGCCACAATGCAAATCTCAATAAATTTAAAATAACTTAAATCATAGAGAGTGTGTTATCTGACCAGAAAAAAGCAAAATTAAAGATAACACAAAGAAAAATCTCCAAGTGCTTGGAAACTAAAAACCATACTACTAAATAATACATGTGTCAAGAGAAAGTCTCAAGGCAAATTAAAAAATACACATTTCAGTGACTGAAAATCAGAATACAATATATCAACATTTATGGGACACAGTTAAAGTCACCCTAAAGTGAAATTGAAGGCATTAAATGTATATATTCGAAAAGATAAAAGTCTCAAATAATTAGTCTAAGCTCCCACCTAGGAAATAGTAAAATAAAACCAACGCGAACAGAAGGAAAGAAATAACAAAGAGCAGAAACAAATGTAATTTAAATCAGATAATCAAGAGATAAAATCAATGAAACAAAGAATTTGTTGTTTAATAAGATCAATAAAATTAACAAACCTCTAGCAAGACTGATAAAGAAAAGAAATAGTATAAATTACAAATATCAGAAATGAAATAATTACTAAAGACCCTGGAGACATCCAGAGGACAAGAAGTGAGTACTACAAACAGTTCTATACACATAAATTTGACAACTTAGATAAAATGTACCAATTACCCAAAAAACACAAACTACCACAAGCAACCCAATATGTGATAGATAATATAAATAGCTCCATTACCTTTAAAAGACTTGACTTTATTATTTTAAAAATTCCCAAACAAAAAAAGAAATCTTTAGGCTCAGATGATTTTACTGGAGAACTCTACAAACATTTAAAAATAATTAAGATCAATTTGATACAATCTTTTACAGAAAACAGAAGAGGAGAGAACACATTCCTATTCCTTTCTAATATTATTAAAATACTTCAGACAAAAGACAAAAGAAGAAAACTACAGGTCAATATCCCTCATGAATATGGACCCACAAATCCCTTAAAATTAGCAAATAAATTTCGACAATATATAAAATAGTGGATACCATGATCAAGTGGAGGTCATCCAAGCATGCAAGACTGCTTCAGTATTTGAAAATCAATCCGTGTACTCAACAATATAAACAGGCTAAAGAAGAGCAACCACATATTCATTTCAATCTATGCAGAAAATACAGTTAATAAATTTCAACACACATTGATAAAAAGTCTTAAAAACTGGGAATAGAAGGAAACTTTCTCAACTCAATAAAGTGCATCTATAAAAAATCTGTACCTAACATTAGATTTAAGGGTGTAAGATGAATTATTTTGTACTATGATTAGGAGCAAGACAAGGATATCTTTCCCACCACTCTTATTTACCATAATGCTTTAAATTCTTGCCATAAAGAAAAAAAAAATAAAAGTCATAAGAAAGAAAGAAATAAGACTGTTCCTATTTGCATATGACATGATCATCTACAAAAAAAGAAAAGAAATCCTAATGAACCTACAAAGAAAAAAATCTTCTAGAACCAATAAATAAGTTCAGTAGGGTAACACTATAAAAGCATACATAATCAGTTGTGTTTCTACATATTATCAATCAACATGTGGACACCCAAATTAAAAATATAATACCTTTTACAATTGCTCAAAAATACTTATTCTAAATAAATACTGTATATCAAAAACTATAAAATAATGATAAAATAAACCAAACAATTTTATTCTGAAGTGTATATGAAAATACAAAAGAACTAGAACACTTAAAACAATTTAAGAATGAAGTGAGAGAAATCATTCCACCTGATTTCAACACTTACAGAGCTACAGTAATTAAAACTATGTGGGGTCCAAGGCAAAATGGACACATAGATCAGTGGAACAGAAAAGACATGCCCAATTGGCTTTTGACAAGGGTATAAAAGTCACTGAAAGAGAAATAATCTTTTCAACAAATAATGCTGGAGCAATAAACACCAATAAGCAAAAATAGAAATAAAATAAAATCTCAACCTAAATCTTATGATATAAAATTTAACTTAAAATGGATCATTGATTTCATAAAAAGAAAAAACTGATAAACTGGATTTAATCAAAATTGAAAACACTGCACTGGAAAAATCATATTAAGAAGATGGAAATACAAACTACAGCATAGGAGAAAATATTTGTAAAGCACATATCCAAAAAAGATTTGGTGTTGAGAATATATAAAGAACTGTCAAAACTCAACAAAGTAAAATAATCCAATTGGAAATTAGGTGAAGATAGGAAGAGATATTTCACCAGAGGAAATACAGATTGCAACATAAGCATGTGAAAAGATGTTCAATATCTTCTACCTGATTTCAAGACACATAACAGCCACAGTAATTAGACACTAAGGACATGCAAATTAAAATCACAGTGAGACATCACTACATACAAAATGGTTAAAGTAAAAACATATGACAGCAATTGCTATTTAGGACATGGAGAAACTGGATCGCTCACATTCCTGGTGGGAATATAAAATGGTACAACCACTCTTGAAAACAGTGTGGAGGTTTCTTTGAAAACAAAACATGCAACTATTAACAAATAACCTAGTAGTTAACCTAGAGAAATAAAAACTTATGTTCAAATAGTTTTATTCACAATAGCCAAAAGCCTGAAATAACTCAGACAACCTCAGAGAGAATAATTAAACAAGCTGCAGTGTGTCAGTACCATGGAATACTGTTCAGCAATAAAAAGTAACAGACTACTGATACACATATCTTAAATGAAATTCCAAAATATTATGCTGAGTTAAAAAAAATCTCAAATGTATGATGATTTCATTTGTATAACATTATTTAAAGTGACGATATTATAGAAATGGAGAACAGATCAGTGGTTCCCAGAGATTAAGAAGAGACTAAAAGTAGAGAAGGGGGTGTGGCAATGAAAGGACAACATGTGGGGTCCTTGTGATAAAGAAAGTTATCTTCATCTTGACTGTGTAAATATTTTGATTGTAATATTGTGCTGTAGACATTACCATTGGGGGAAACAGGGTTAAGGGTATAGGGGATCTAACGCTCTGTATTATTTCTGACAACTGCATGTGAATGTATAGGTATCTCAAAATAAACTTAATTTACTAAAGTGATGACTTAAATAAAATTTCCTTCCCTGTCATTCCCCAACTTCCACCTCACCTCCTGTACTTCTTGTAGCTGATTCAACCACCAGCTGGTATATAAGGTATGCATGTGTGCATATGCATGAGTATGTTTCTGTGACAGAGTGAAAAAGAGGGGAGCAAGAGGATGGCTCTTCCAATGCTAGCCCTGCTGTGCACACACAGTAGGGGAGTAGGAGAAAGTGCAATAAGGACCTCAAGTGAGTTTAGGTGCATTCTGCCTTCATTATAGTAACATAAACCTTTGGATATGAGAGTGCCAAGGAGGGAAAGCAGTGTCATTTTATTCAGTCAGTCTTACTTTTTTTTGTTTTGTACATGGAAAATAACATTAGGATGAGGATACTAACAACAAAGACAATTAGGCCATTCCCCTAGTCTCATCATCTTATAAGGGAGATGTAGGCTATTTTAAAAAAGAGAAAATAGGAGATCCTGAATAACATTTCTCCCCCACATGATTATATGTAGCTATATGACTGATAGGCTTACCATTCATTCACTTATTTATATATCCATTTATTTATTTAAAAAATATGTACTGCATGCCTACTCTGTGATAGAAACTATGCTAGGCCATAGATATTCAAATGTGAAAAAGACACATATTCTTTCTATAAAGTAGCTCAGAATCTATTAGAGAGGCAGATTCTTCAAAACTGTCAATTTTAGAACAATGTAGAATTGTTCTGCTTTATTCAGGAGCTATGAACAGAGTATCACAGGAAGATACAGTGAGTGGGGAACCTAACCCAGCCAGGCACAAGGGTGTCGTGGAATGCTCCCAGAGAACATGGCCCCAGAACTGAGCTTATTTATAATTCCACAGTTATTCTCTGTCTACCATGTGTAAGTCATTATTCTAGGTTAAGATATAGATAAAAGCGTTTCAGACACTGAAGATAGAAACAGCATGATCCAGACAAATATGATCCAGCATTATCCAGCAGCACCTCAAATATTTATTAAATTAAGTTGAATTAAATTTGTGGAAAACTAATAGAAATGTACTTAAATCTTTCTCATGTTGAGAAGAAGAGGCTTAAGACTTTGAACTCCAGATAAATAAAATGTTACTGTAAAATACTGGAATAATTGAACTTTATAAACTCACAAACATACTTGCACCTTTATAGGCACATACTGTGTGGATTGATGCCTGGTCAGAGATGAGTCAACAACTAACTTACAATGTAAAAGCACAGAATAGTATCTGATACTTTTGTGTGCACAATAAAATTTTTTTAAAGCCTCAGATTGCTTAGCCTCCTATGCACAGATTGCACTGTTCACTAAAATGCTCAAATTAGTTATGCAAATCCTGTGTCATGTGATGCCTCTCCACCATATGTGACTAGTTACCATAGCAGTCAGCTTAAGTGCATATTTTCCATAGCAACGTAGGAATCTTTACCATACAGAGACCTAAGTGAGACAGAAATGAAAGCAATTCCACAGCAATATGAAATATAAATGTTGGCAACATCCCCTGAATGCTTCTTTAAAACAACATTGACTTTTAAATGTCACAGCCTCTGGGTGGTTCTCTTTTAGCCTATATCAGCACCTCTCTCCTGTTGGAAATGTGAAACTCTTTGAGAACACACAACATTTATGATTGGGTTAAGAAGACTGAGCAGTGGTATCTGCAATCTGCAAATTGAAGTTCCATATGGTGGTGTGATGTGATGCAATTGTCGTTTTCATTGGCTCACTGTGTGGCCACAATTCCTGCCTCATACTACAAGGCTGGAACCAAACGGAGCTGAAATTTTCCCTTGTCTTGTTGGTCTTTTGAGAGCGGTTATCCACCCAGTTACATCAATCTCATTCTTGATGTTTAATAGGAAGGCTGTTTATCCTTAAAAAGGCTTCTAGATCCACTGGCATATATAAGAGTGAATATATAGATGAGAAACAGGATTCCAGAAACTCCATTCATTTATTGTAGGTTTAATCTTTTTACAAAATTAAATACATACACACACACACACACATACACACACACACAAATGTAGGCCTGAGGAGTGGTCCTGGTGTTGAGCTAAATTTACCTGTGGGTAACACTATGAGAGGTTGCCATTGAGCACTAATGTGCCAGGCACTATCCTAGCCTTCTAGATCCATTATAATGAACCTTCATAGCAACCCCTTGAGAAATGGCAGCAACTCTGAACTTCCCGGAGGAGATAACTGAGGTACAGAGAAGATGATTAACACCCTCCCAACCACAAAGATACCTGATTAGAAAATAATAGCACTAACATTGAAAGTCATGTTTTTCTACTCTAAGACCCAAACTCATTCCACTATTCTTTGCAATGTATAGGAAAATAAAAAAGAGAAAAGAGCTAAGACTGAGAAGAAAAAGGCTGGTGTGGGACTCAAAGATATGTCCAGATTGATGGGGAATCGCTGACAGAGAATGCAGGTGGAATAACAGATATTGAGACAACCCCAGGCAGGTCTCAGAATGACATAGAATGGGTCTTTTGGGGATGTTGTCCTCATTAAGCACTGGCTCCATCCATGGTTCTCCTGGATTCTTTACACATTACGTATTTAAACGATGTGAAGACACATAGCTTCTCTAATGGTGATTACAAACCTAATAGAACACTTTTTCTATTACTCAGCTTCTCAGTACCCCAGTGTTAATTTCCCCCCTCCCTCTACACCTCTCACTGGAAAGAGACTAACTTTTCTTGCTCTTCTATCATTTGGAAATAGGATGGTGCTCATTTCAGAGCCAGAAGCTGTAACAGAAAGGAAAAGAAAATACATTTTTCTTGTTTCTACACTATATTCCTGCAGAGTAACCCCTTAGGAGAAATAGTCTATTTGATTCCTAAAACATTATTATGAAAAAGTAACCTCTTAAAATTACACTGCTGTGGCTTTAGCGAAATGCGCTTGTAGATTTTTTACATTTGTTTCTCATTTTCCAAGACTCCCCTCAAAGAAAGTTTGCAGTGGATTGCTGAGCTGTGATCATTCATGTGAATTAGTTAGAGACTGTGCCAAGGAGTCTCTGAGCCTACACCCAGCACGTTGAGCAGTGGATGAGCATACTAGTGTAACTGGTATGCAATGGAGAAAGTCGCTATCGGGACCTCAAATCTTTCCTTTTAAAAGTAAACTGGTTATGAACTAGACAGTAATCTAGGCTTTTTCTGCTCTAGATCACTGGATTTCAGACACCCATAGCTACCAGAGTGATCAATCCAAAACAGAAATCTCACCATGTCTCTCCAATACGCAAGCCCATAGGGCATGGCTCCCCACTGCCTTTCTAACATGAGAGTCTAGGCCTTCCCTGACCCAGCCCTTTTTGCCTTCCAGCCCCCACTGTTACCACTCCCTCCCTCCACAGCCTTCATACTCTGAAACACCTTAAATTACGTGCAGTTCTCTCCATGCATCATGCTTCTCATCTCTGAATAGATGTTTATGTTTGTTCATGTTTGTTCCTCTGCTTAGAAGGATCTACTTCCCCACTTCACCCCCACCTCCTGCATTTGTCTAGCCAACTTCACTCATTCATTAGGGTCACCCTGAGTTAAATATGCCTTCTCTGTGCTTTGCTATACTCTTACATTGCTATTCATTACACTCACACTGTCGTATTATAATAATAACAATATGGAAAGAGGTTATTTGCTCAGGAAAATCTCTCATAGTAAAAGGTCTGCTTTATTTTTTGAAGACATGCTTTGATGAGCCTATTTAACATATAGATGCTTTGCCTGATGGGGCTGCTTTCTGGGAGACATGTAGAGAAGGGGAGTATATGCTGAAAGAGAAGTAAGAGAAGGCTTTGGAAGAGGAAGAGGAGCATTAGGGAACCAGCACCAGAGGCAAAGGTGGAGAGCAAGACAGTAGGAAAGTCTCATGATCTCAAATTTGACCTCCTCCTCACTGTGACTATTTAGTTCACAAAGTCACTCAACTCTCAAACTGTTTGTAGGAAATACAATTTAAGGAATAAACTAAGAAAGAGGCTTTGCTTTATATCTGCACTCACTAGGAGAGAGGAAAACAGCCATATGGATACAGAAAACACTAGAGGAATAAAGGAATAGAAAGTAACTTAGAGAAACTAGAAGAAATTGTGAGGAGAGTTTTTGACTGTCCCAGGACATGGAATCCTGGTTTAGTCAAAATTTGATGACATCTCCAAGGGGCAGAAGGTGTCAGTAATATCTGGCTTACATAATTACATGAAACGTTTCTGCTTCCATCACCAACCTGGGGAATCTTTACCTGCTGCATCACCGAAGCTATCCTAGCACCTGGTATATTGTAGATGTTCCATAAGCAGTAGGTAAATCAATATTATTCATATGCTATATGAATCGCTAGTTTAAAGTAAATTTAAAAGAATGACATCTTGAGAATTGTTTCCTGGATCCTAGAGACAGCTAGAGATATCCTTCATTAAGAAGAAAATTACTTGAAAATTAAGAGTCTAAGGAAAACTAAATTAAGAAGGTCAATTTGCCGAAAAATGCATTTAATGATTTTCAAAGCCATATATAAATGAATCTTGGATTATCTGCCCCAGTGCTCACATCTATTAACTGGGAGGAATGCATAAAATGGGTTATGATGAGAGGGTCTGGAGCTGTTAAACATAGTGTGCCACCTCATAGTGGGGTCTCAAGCCATTTCCTTCTCTCATCTTGAGCCTAAAGTGCATCCATTGCATTTTTCATGTATCAGGCTCCAATGTAGCAATTGCCCAATAGGGATGACGCTGATATTGGCTGTTACTCTTTCAGTTTGCTGCAAACAACTTTCATTTGTCCTGCCAGGATGCCTGTGTTTGGGGGTAAGGACAAATGAGTGGAAGTAACACATCTCAACAGTTATACTGTCTCAAAAGCTCTGCATCATAGAGTGGCACCAGGGGGTTGCTGGCTCATTTTAGATTACAAATGCAACACCTTTTTGAGTTGCTCCATACGTTTTCTGCCACCTGAAGCAAAAGGAACTTGATTCAATAGTAGGATGAGTTTGATTTATTAAAGTTGTAGACAGAGTAGGGGCTGCCTCCAGAGGAGCAGAGAAAAGAAACAACTGGTACCATTTTATTATTCCTGTCTCCATTCATCTGAAAACTAAACTGGCCACTGGAAAACCTTGGAGTACAATTTGTTAAATACCTTCATCTCAGATCAAATAGAGCCAAGAATCTTGGTAACATACACAGAGACTGTTTTATCTTAAGGCCGTTTGAAATCTAATGAATTTTCTTCTTCTTTTCCACATGGTCTCGGTGTTCTAATTTTCAAAGTGGTCTAACATTTTTTGATTCATAGAATGGTTAATAACAAAAATGGCAGCTACTATTTTTGAGCATTTACTGGGTGCAAGAATCTGTACTATGTACCTTATATACAGAATCTCTAATTCATATAACAGCCCTGCAAGAAAGCTGTTATTACCCTCACTTCACTAAGAAGGAAACAGAGTTCAGTGAAGTGAGGTATCTTGCTCAAGATCACATTGCTAGTAAATAATGATGCTGGAACTAAAATAAAGATCTAACTCATATCCCCAACCATTACAGTCAAATTGCCTCAGAAATAATAATATACATGAAATCTCTGTGTAAACTGTAAACCAAAAGCAAAACTATGTATAATGAAATGAGAATTATTTTGGACTTCAATAGCTTATATACAACATTTACTGCCATTCTGTTACCATATGGTCTTTGCCAAGTCATCTAACCTTCCTGAGAGTCAGTTTCTGCATCTGTAAAATAGGTATCCCATTACCCATTTTATTACCTACTTCCTATTACATTATACTACAGAAGAACTAGTCCTAAGAGCACATTAGATAATGGATGTGAAAGTAATTTGTAAACTGTAAAGCACCATGCAAACATGAGTTTCGCTTAATGAAGTATGGAATCATAAATTAGGCACTCAGAGCAATCTTTTAAAAGAGGACAAGCACTCTCTCTGATTGGTGCCTAATTTGATGCTTACATTGTGCAGGAACCATTTCAGTTGAACTGTTTGAGTGGCTCAAAGCAAGTTACTTTTTCTAGGCAGCTTCCATTTCAATATAAGTGCCAGTAAAAGATCATGCAAAGCAAAAGGGCCCTCCTGAAGGTGATGCGGAGTCAAAGCTGTCTGTACACCAAGGACCTACCTAGGTCCTGAAAAAAGCAGCCCCTTTAGGCTTAGAGTAAGGACTCATATTATGTTGTTGTTTTTCAATCCAGGAAGAGCTCTAGATGTGCCCAGCATGAAAGAAAACAAGTGATACACATTCTTAAGCTTACATCTCAGATTTAGGGGGTTGTTTTAGAGAGAACATCTATAAAACTCTCTTGGATTCTAGCCAGTAGATTCTGAATACTAGTTGACAAAGAAGATTACTCCAGCCACCTGCAGCTTATGAGTCTGGGAGAGAATGATCATATTATTCTACTTTTAGGTTAATGCATATTATGTATTCTCTACAGTAATTTGCTAGTGAAGGTATAACAATGGTTTCAACTAGTAATGGGTGAAGACGATTACTTTGGCAGGAAGATGTCCTCACCTTGAATGTCATCAAAAAATCATCTCCTGCTTAGATGGGAGGAATTTCCCTTCAACAAGACATTTCTGAAACCAGAGGGAAAGAGAAAGGGTTGGGTGCTAATACAAGTAAATCTGTGATCACATAATTCAGTGGACAATAGGAAGAGGTCTTCTTCTGAGAATATTTTCTTCTCTAAAATAATCATAACAATTATATATTAATATTACTAATAACAGATTCCTAGTGCTCCCCTCAATCCTGAGTACTAGCATATGCCAAACAGATGATGAATATATGAAAAAATAAATACATCTTCCTAACAATCTTAACTGATGCCTCACAACTCTTGAGCTCTGAAATATTTCTATACTATTTCATAATACTTCTCTATCAGAGGAGAATGACTTCAAGGCACACTGCAGAATTCAAACACTTCCACGTAGAGGACAATGACTGGCAGGCATTCTGCCCTTAGGAAATTCTGTCTCTATTTATTACTCATCCAAGAAATATTCTATTCTTCCTATGCCTAGCACAGTGCCGAGCACTTACATAGTCAGTAAATGTATGTTTCGAAATGGAAGTGCCCTGCATAAAGCTATAGGAAACTTTTTTGGTTTAGATTTTTTAAGAAATAAAAACCCTCAATAGAGTTCTTTCTCTCTTCTTCCCATAACTTTCCCATTTATTATTTATAAGCCTTAGGCTTGTTATATTAATAAATTTATATTTATTTTCCATTAACATCTCCAATAAATATTTCTTACATTAAATATATTATATAAATATACTTAACAAGCCAGAAGTTCAGAGACATTTACCATGAAGCTAAAGAAGGTCTCTTACTTGCATGAACCCCTTACAAAGCCCTGTATCTAATTTTGTAATTACAATTTGTGCTCTTTTTCTTAAAGTTTTCTATGCCAAGTTATAGAAAGCTCAGGCACACAAAAATTAGGTCTATCTCTAGAGAAACTTCACTGTGTATTTTAATCCTATAAGGTACATATGTTATAGACACAGGGCTTGAGAATTACAGAGGTATATGACTTGCCCAAATACTCATCTTGAGTGGCAGACTAATGAATCAAGCTAAGATCTTCAGCCTCTAAATTCAGAACTTTTTGATTGAGCCACAATGCCTTCTTCTCGGATATGGATGAGACTGTCATGTTCATAATTTCCAGGCAGTCCATTATCATCATTGCTGAGATCAGCCATCTGTTTCACAGGTGGGCAGAAGCTAATACATTTAATGAGAGCCCACGACTCACCAGGCACTCCACCAGGGCCTTTTTACACATACATACACTGGCCCACACTCCCTCACTCACAAATACACACACACACACACACACACACACACACAATTTCGTTTGATGCTTACAACAATCTAGTAAAGGTACACAGAGAACAGAAGAAAGCCTCTAAAAGATCAACTTGCTGTAAGTCTCACAATAGAAAGTATGTGGTATTTAAACCTATATCTACCTGACTCTGAAGTCTATGATGTTTCTGTTATATAAAGCTACTGCTTCTTCCTGTGTCAAAACTGGGCAAACTAGTCACCTCACAGAAAAAGCCAACTCTCTTAAGTCTTGGAAGCCTGCCAGGACTTCCAGTGCATGTCAGCAGTGGTTTTTCTTCAGTGACACTGAGAAGAGAAAAGCCTTCACCAGTCCTCTTCAGATTCAAATGTCACAGGTGAATATTTGAGATTCTAACATCACTCTCTAACACTCCATCGGCTGAAAATGAGCCCTTTTCATGCCTATATGCCTGGCATTGTCATGATCTCTTAGACAATGGAGATAACCTGATAAAAAAAAAATCACTCTACAATCCGAGCCTGCTGTAATACCCAGATTCACTCTTCAAATCCAGATAAAATGAAGCATCAACTAAATTACCCATTGACCTGCCAAGGAGAAGAATTTAACAGGAAACCTCAGATAGCTGAGTTACCGCCTCACTGGGGATGTTAGAAACACTGACAGCACATGCCCAGATTTAGCCAAATGGCTTTGAAGCTCAGGAATGAAAGTGGCAGCAGCTGAATTCCACAGCTTGACAAGTGATCACATGGGGTGTACCATACAGCCATGAGGAGAAACCTGAACAGAGCTGCAGCATCATTACTGTAGGAGTGAAAGCTCCCCAGCACATCTGGAGACCTGTCTGGGTAAGTGTCCACATAGTCTTACCTGGAGATTTATGAATCTGCTACAAAGAGGTAGGATTTCCAGGAAAAATTCTACTTTTCAGAACCAGGGTTTCCAGGCCAGAGCAGCCCCTCATACTAGATGTAGGGCCTCTTCTCATTGTGGATTTAAAAGCACAGAGATCCACAAGACAATGTACAACTGTAAATTAAATACAACTGCAATTAAGGCCATTATACCAAATACTGGAAATACCAGCAGGACTCCCTTCTTCTACCTCCCAAGATTAAAATCTAGGATATTCAGAACCATTATCAGGGCTCAAGCTGATTTTAATATAAAGGCATGGAGCAATACAATCTATTACTTTTCAATAACCTCCTTGTGATGGCCTTACTTCACAATGACCCTTAACTCTCAATTGAACTATAGTTACAGCCTCATAACCAGTATCCCTTTCCAGTTTCTTTCTGTTCCACTTTATCTTCTACATTGCTGCTGGAGTGCTTTTGAAAAGTGTACAGGTAATCACGCTTTGCCCCTCTTAGGATCTCTGTTGGCTCTCTATTGCCCAAAGGATACAGGAAAAATCCCCTGGACTCACAGACAATGCTTTACACAATCTTTTCCTCCAAATTCCAAACTTATCCTCAAATTTTTCCCTTGATGAAATTTGTACTCCAGCCATATAGTCTTCCTTGACATTCCCTGGACACCCATATTCTTTTATGTCTCTGTCCAGTGCACCTTGGTTTCTGTTCCTAAAATGATATTTTCTACTTTCAAGCATGCAGAATCAGTATTTATCCTTCAGATAAAGTGAAATACCTTTTTTTTTTTGAGAAGCCGAGCCCCACTCTTCTGTAAGGAATTATTCTTTTCCTTATGATCCTATGGGATTTTCACATAGAATAAGAGAAACACTTCTCACAGTACATTGTAATTACTTGTTCCAATGAGTCTCTTCTTCCATAGTCTGTGAATTTAGCAAGGGCTGAGTTCTTTCTCATTCTACTTTGTGTTACCCTGAATTGTTTCTCAGCCTTTTGGCTAAGATCAAGTGTTCTACCACCCTAGAAACTTGGCATGGAGTAGATAGACTGTAAATGCAGTAGATTATAATAGAATGAATGAATGAACAAATAAAATATAAGGAAATGCAGAAAAAAATCAAATGTGACACAAGAATGTACCGTATAAATTAGTATGTTTTAAATTTTTACTTAATGATAATCATTTTTCCAAAGCAATTTCATTTGAGTGCTAAACAATAGTTCTCCTCCAAAGTAAAAGAGACAACAGACGAACAACTGTGTCTTCCCAAAGACAGACCACTTTCACTTACTACAATCTTATGATTCATGAATATAAAGAACTCTGATCATGATCTGTACTAGGGGCCAAAAAACTTTATGAAACGCAGATAGAAAACAGTTTAGGCTTTCTGGGCCCTATGTCTCCATCGTAACTGTTCTACCTTGTCATTATAGAGTAGAAGAAGCCATATATAAATGAATAAACGTGACCATATTCCAATAAAACTTTATTTATGGGCACTGAAACTTGAATGTTATGTCACATTCATGTTTCACAAAATATTATTTTAGATTGTTTTTCAACAATTTAGAAGTGTAAAGACATGTCTAGCCTACAGAGTGTACAAAAACAGGTGGTGGGCCAGATTTAGCTCCTATGTATAGTTTGCTCACCTATGGTTCATACAATGTAAAAAAAAAAAAAACAACAACAACAAAAAAAACAAAAAAACAACTTTGGTTAAACTTCTAGTCATTTTTTGTTGTTGTTGAGTTCCTTTCCAATGTAGAAGATTCTTTGCCACTGGAACTGATAACCCATTGTGTATTACAAAGAGTTAGAAACATAAAAGAAAAAGCAAGATAAATGATTTGTCTTACTGAATATAGATAGGGCTTGTCTGGCTTGGTATATGGAGATTACAGGATGGAAAACAATGCTAACTTTTTTTAATCATATCAAACAAGAAACAAGCAGATGATCAGTCTAGGTTGATTAGATGACTATTTGATGAAAAATTCAAAATATCCTATAAAAAATTCACTGCCAAATGCTATTGTTATTTTTGATTAGATGTGCTACATACTGGTAAACAGAAGCAATATTTTACTATTCAGCAAAATTATGAGAGAAAGCCATTTTGGTAAATAATATCCTTTGCCCTCCAAAAGATACGGCCCATAAGTGGCAACTCTGTCACAGTAGTTTACCTCTGCACAAGAGCCACATCTAGTCTCTTTGAATGTCCAAAACACTTTATGTGGCAAAGTGTTTTCAATTATTTATTAGTTAATTAAACTAATTAACTCCTCCTCCTACTCCCAGTTGCATTGATACAGCATTTTATAAATGGTAAAATCAAGACATTTATTACCTATTTAAGGTAACTGAAATGACTGGCAAATGATAATTGGAAGGAGGGGTAAGCTTATTTTTTAAAACAGATTAATAGGAAAAGAGTATGAATAATTAATTAGATAAGGATTGTGAAAGTGGTTTAAATGTGATAAAGCACTAAACTCAATTATTAAAGTCCATTTAGTTATTTTCCAAAAATTTAAACTCGCCTCAAAAGTTGTTTATGAAACATTAGGAATCATCTTAATCTAGACTTCATTTCAGAAGCTGAGATCTGTGAAGTTTAAAGAAACTGTCAAGCTTAAATGGCAGGGTCACAGGAACTAGCTTTCAAAGAACTATGTTTCTCTCTTAAGATGTTAAGATGGTAGTATTTATAAACTACATTGTATTTTCTTATGGAGAGAGAAGGACTGGTCTTTGGAAACCTTGACACATGTCTACACTTTTCAGAAATACAATGAGGATATAAAAAATACTTTCACCAGAATTATATTTTCAAGGGATTAAATGGGTAAAAGGTACTGTTATTTGATCCTCTGTCTAAATTCTCCTAACTTAATTGAGCCACAGTATTTATAAACTGTTTTGTACACTACGTGTATAATTATCTCAATTCCCTTGTAAAATAATGAAGCCTTTGAAGACAGATAATATATTTAAAAGTAGTTTTGATATATCAGTTTCCTCATCTGAAAATAGCAGCACATATAAAAGTAGTTACTTTATTAGGTTATATAAGGGTAATTTAAAAATGCATGTATGTAAAACATCTTTTTAGCATATAGTGAGTGTTCAATAAATATAAGTTCTAATTAAAGGTGTTCAATAAACACTCATCAAATAGTAAATTGATGAAGAGGAAGGAATAAACAAATTAATGAATGAATAACATTGTGCATCTGATATGCAAATTTTCACCTGACTTTTAGAAATCTACTAAAGAATGCCATCAAGTCCTTAAAATGACCTACTAGTATTATAGAATTGAATATATTAAAGGAATACATACATTTCTATATATAATAAGAATAGGAATATAATAGGAGTTTGTCTCTTACTGTGTTCATACTTACCCCTCTCCTCCAGCCACACCAGCCTGGCCTGTTTGCTCCTTGAAAATGCCAAACATACTCCAGCCTCTAACCTTTTTACTTGCTATTCCCTCTACTTTCTCCTAGGTAATATGTGGCTTGACCTCTCACTTCCTGCAGATCTTTACTCAAATCTTATCTTCTTAGAGTGGCCTTCCTGAACCATCCTGTTAGAATGGGATGGTTGTATATCCACACACACACACACACACACACACACACACACACACACACACACACTTCATATTCCCCTGCCGAGCCCAGTTATTTTCTCCATAGCACATATATCATCACTCAACATAAAAAAAAGTTCCATATTTCTTTTTATTTGGAATGTAACTTCCATCATCTGGGATTTTTGTTTGTTTCGTTCACTGCTTTAGAACATAAGTCATTTGAATAGTGTCTAGCTCATAGTAGATACTCAATGATATTTGCTGAATGAATAAACCACACAAAGATACAATTTTAATATAAAATTGGTAGCATGACTATATAAGATATAAAAATATAAAAAGGTGGCACGGCTCTGTCCATTACTGCAAAAAATATTGATTGAGTGATTACTATGTTCTAGGCATTGTGAGAAGCACTTGAGTGAGTTACTAATAGGAGTAAAACAATCTCTGTATAGAGGTTGGAACTAACAAACTGGCATTGGGGGTTTCAACAGCATTCTTTCCTTCTTGTCCAAAACTCAACTCTTGTTGTATGTCCCTCTCACCAATAGCAAATCTAAAATCCTAGCAATCCTAGCAACCAAACACTTTGCAGGCAGAACTGCAGCCTAGCAAGAGAAACACTAACTTCAAGCTGTGTCCTTATCTTCTGCTCACATCTTTACAAATTCAGGCAGCTGATAAACATTTAATGAGGTCCTCATTCTATACTAGGTGCTATGGAGGATTCAGAGGATTTGAGGCACAGCTACTGATCTCTAAGAGAAGAGAACAATGTTAAAATTAGAAACACATAGCTAACAAAAAAAGAGATTTTCAGTAACTGTGAAATGTTTGATTTTAAACAGTAAATACTATGGGGTTTACAAAGATAAATTTCTTTATTTGGGATGATTTATGGGCAGAAATTTAGTAAGTGATGTTGGAGGTGTTGTATGCTCTATTCTTGAGAAGGTTGCTTTTTATTCATGAAAATCAGAAGAAAGCTACCAACTGATAAGTCATCCTGCTGGGTACCTTCACCTGTTTTCACAGGATCTTTATGACAGCTCAGCAAACTTGGTCATATTGTTCCCATTTGTATGGAAAAACTGAGGCTCAGAAAGGTTTTGCATCTTGTCAGAGGCTCTTCAGAGTTGCTTGATGCCACTGGCCATGTTGTGAAGACCACATAGGCTGTGTATGGTCATAGGCAAAATGTGTGGCTCAGGCTTAAGTGTCGCAACACTCAGAGCTAACAATTACCAGACGCCCACAGTGCATGTGTGGCAACATACCAGGGCTCTCTTTTTAGCAGGTGGCCTCCCCCTCAGCCACATCTCCCATATTATAGGGAATTAAGCATTTGTTCTCCACGAGACACATTGCTCCTATCCAAACTGACCTTGATTGTGGGCTCTTGACATTTGGAATCTTTAGAACTGTAAGGAAAAATCACTGTGGGTGTGAGAAACACTATTGAAAATCCTACTTATTACCATTAACTCACTTCATCACCTATTTATTATGGTTTACTCTTCTGAGAGACAGTCTCCGGGAAGAAACAATGTTTGGTGGGGAATCATCTGCTCAAGCTCTGGGCACAGTGTGATATAGCACACCCTGGACTGGACTTCAGGCCCAGGTGTTAGGAGACCTGAGTTTGAATGTCAGCTTAATGCTCACATGCTGAAGTCTTGTGATCAGATCATCTTACTGTATTTGTATTGGTACAATGAGGAAGTGAAGGTAGACAGAATTTACTGTCCTTTCACATTCCTAAGGCCCGAGCTGACAAACTACACACACTCAACAGAGGCTTCTGCAAGTCATGAGGACCTTGGAAATTTTCCATGGGTTCTTGACTTAATAAGATCCTTTTAATGACCCTGTTTCTTCTTAAAGAGACACCATCTCTGAGAAATGAACTATTTAAAAAATCCAAAAGCAATTAAGTTCAGGAATGCCGTAAGCTGTGATAAAGTTGTATTTCTTGACTCCCGCTGGTGTTTATATTGCTATTTCTCTTCTGCCTGTCAGACACATTTCAGACTCCTATAATTACTGAGGGCAACCATCTCATCCAGAGATATCCTCACTGTGTAGTCTGTTTGGATTAGCAGGTGATTCCAGCAACTCCTCTTCAGCATCATTGTTGTTTCAAATTACATTATAAACCAGCAGGATGCAAAAATTATATTGGTTCATATAGCATTTCAATTACTGTTATTCCATAGACATATCCCTTGCCTCACTTGTTCACCTTCTTCATCAGTCAGTCACAGAATGTTTTCTTTCTCTTCTTTTATTACCCTGTAAATGCTGTTTTGTTACCCTTTCTCATACAGGATCTAATCCATCCTTTCCCTTATCTCAGCATCTCCAGTCCCACTCCTCCAAACCAGAAAAACATTTAATGGTTTGATATATAACATACACCCTCAGTGTTTATTTTTGGGGGGTTTGTTGTTGTTTTTTGCTCCTCACCATGCATTCTATCTTTTCTTAATTTTTAATTTTTCTGGGTAGATAGTAGGTATATATATTTATGGGTTACATGAAATATTTTGACACAGGCATGCAACATGTAATAATCATATTAGGTTAAATACGGTACCCATCACCTCAAGCATTTATCCTTTGTGTTTCAAACAATCCAATTACACTCTTTCAGTTATTTTAAAATGTACAATTAAATTAGAATTTACTATAGTCATTCTTTTGTGCTAGCAAATAGTAGGCCTTATTTATTCTTTCTAACTATTTTTTTGTACCTATTAGCCTTCCCCCTTTTAACTTCCACTAACTTGCTTAAATCTTTGACTTCCAGAATCCATTCCACATCAACAGCCTTGCTAAAGTGTAAGAGATGGTCTAGGAGAGCCTCGGAGGCAAAAATACAAACTCGTTCCAATCACATAGCTTGTAGTTCTGTGCTCCCATTGCCAAACAAACAACTGCAATTTCCTTCTGGAATTGTTCTTTAATTCCTCAGTATCAGAAATATTATTTCTCAGCAAGCTATGCTCTATTTACCTTTATTAACTTGAACATTTATGCCCAAGCTACTTAGTCCAGGCCTATTTTGGGGCCCTGGTAGAGTCTAGAGACAGTGCTCTATTCATTTGTGCCTCACATGGTAGAGAACTTGATTGCATAGAGGGCACACTGGCACTGCCATGGTGTGAGGTGCCATGTTTTCTAACCAGGACAACCTCTGCTGCTGCCTTGCCTCTACTCTCAATTTTCTTTGGTCCTTCCTCCACACAATAACCAGACTAACCTTCTCAACAGGAAATCTTATTTATTTTTCTAATTACTTCTTCAAAATCTTTCAATATTTCTCCTTGTCTATATGGTAAAGTCTAAGCCTGGATGTTCAGTAAAGAATGGAGATAGACTTTCTAACAAGGTTTTTCTGTGTGACAGGGGAGAGACTGGATTGAAGAGTATTAACAAAACTCAATTTTTTTACTATCTTCAATATAGCTGGCACTGTGGTGTGGTACGGCCTCTAAAGAAACCACCTGCTTCATCACTAATAATACCGCAGAGCACAGTAACTCAATATATAGTTGAGGAAAATGGAAATGATCATACAAGTAAGGAGTGACCATATAAATTGACCAAAGTCACACAGATAGTAAGTGATGGGGTCAACATTCAAACTTTCCTTATGTTAAAGTCTCTCACTACACCGTGTTCGAGGGGGCATCATGGTAATAAAATGGGCTAGATAGGACAGTGATTACACAGAGACAGGAATGGGAATTTACAATGACTAGAAGACAGCTCAGAAACCAGCTAGAAAAACTAAAAAAAAAAAATTTATGTCTGATGCAATTCTGATGTGATTTCATGGGGTGTTTAAAATCCAGACAGTGTTCATTCTTTAGTCAATAGGAAGCACAGAAGCAATTTAGATTTTTGAACTTAGGAGGATAATATTGATTGATCAAAGTAGAATTTTTGGAAGAGTAGACTGGGTATAGGAGATGAAATCCCCATTCCAAGAGTTAGGCAGAAGAGCATGGCAGGATGGCAGCCAGAGGGTAAAGCTTTGGGAACGGTGGAAGTTGATGGAAGCACTGGGAACATGATAATAAGGCTGGAACTGAGTACATACAGTCAAAAAAAAAAAAAAAAAAAAAAGCCCAGGTCAGAAATACAAACTTAGAGACTTTGAAACAAAGACCAAGAGCCATTTTTTTCTATTCACTGGTGGTCATAAAAAAAAATTCCATCATTTCCAACGACATGGATGAAACTGGAGATCATTATATTATATGAAACAAGTCAGGCCCAGAAAGACAAATATTGCATGTTCTCACTTATTAGTGGGATCTAAAAATCAAAACAATTGAACTCATGGACATAGGGAGTAGAAAGGTGCATAGGTTTTTATTTTACTATTATGCTTCATAATGTAGATATATGCCATGTGTATGCTCTTATATACATGCCTTAAATACGTCAGACATTTAAAATAAAATAATAAAGGTTGATAGACAACTTTTGACATGGCGGTGGAAACGTTTGTAAAATTGAATGTCCAATAGCCATGCCAAGATGGAAAACTGAGAATAATGGTGGGCTCCAAAAGGACTGGATAGGCAGGGGCAGGAGAGAAAGAAAGCAGGGAAGTGTCATTAGGTAAAACAGACAGGGTGGGATAGGCTGGCTTTCATTGGAGCTGCTAACATTTTACATCTATATGTTCAGTGAGGAATTTTGTAACTTTGGTTCTTAAAGCCAAAACAATTCTCCAGCCATTTCTGTTATCTTTCATGAATAAGGATGGAGGAAGATACTCAAGACAGGAAGACAAGCTAGGAGACTTTCACTTTATTCAAGGACTAAAGTGTTGAAGACCAGAATAAGAATAGCTGATGAGACAGTAGAAAGAAATGAAATGAGAATTCCATTTTAAAGGGATAAATAGCAGTAAGTAAAAATAAAAGAAAAGAGCACTTACAGAAGAATCACATGAAAGATTTTCCTCTGACTTTACTCTCTTGTTACCACCTATACTCATCTCCTGTCATTGATCTTCTCATATTTAATCTGCCAGTGAAGCCAAAAGAATTCTCCTTTGGTGAGAGTAGTGAGGAAAAATAAAGACATGGAGGTGCCAAAGCTAAGGCACAATAGAATCACCTTAATACCATCAGCTTGGTTTGAATTGAAAATACAATTCTAGCCCAGTACATAATCTCAGAAACACAATTTAAGCTCTACTGAATGCTGTAAAAATGCAGAATAATCATTTATTGTACGGCTATGTGTTGGTATGCTCAAAAATGGCTTAGAGCACTGAAAGAAATGAACTCAGGAAATGGCAGGACAGTCCCTATGTACTAATGCTGCCAATGCAATTTCCATAGTATCACTTCCCAATAATACTGTAGTCCATTAGACAGACCAAATCAATGGTGAGTCTCTGGCTGAGTCTCTTTTCAACAGAACCCGCCTCAGGCTCTCTGTCCCCTACCACACTCAGTAGTGGATATTTCAGGTTACACAAAGACATTTTTATATAAGCCTGAGTAAAACATAATTAGACAAGAAAAATAATGATATATAATCTTATGGTAGATTATTGTAATTCCCAAATAATCACTGTCCTTCTTCCTGTGTGAGGAATATACCTCCCTGCCCCACTCACATAGGACTTGACCATGTGATTTGTTTTGATTAATGGAATGTGAGCAGAAGTGACATATGCCACTTCTGACAAGAAGCTTTAAGACTCATCATACAGTTGCATTCTTGCTATTTTTCTCTGCCTGAAGACTTTCACAGCCACCATAGGGGCTGTTTCTTTAGCCTGGATACCAGAATAATGATTCATAATGAACATATTACATAGGTGAGATGTATACTTTTGTGGTTATAAGGCATTACAACTCTGGATAAACTGTGCTGACAAAAATGATCATGAATTATAAAGGTAATTTTACATTATTCTTAGATATGGAAAGGCAGCGTAGTAAAGTGGAAAGACCACGGGCTTAACAGTTAAACAGGTCTATATTTTAATCCTGCTTTAGCTCCTTAAGCCTAGGTGACTTTGGTCATTAATTAACCTCTCTGAACTCTAGATTCCTTTCCAATCCCAAAGTTAATAATAATTATTTCTTTCAGAAGGGTCGAAGATAATGAGGTGTCTCATGTAGTGTACTTAGTACAGATAAAGCCTTCAATAAGTGCTAGTTAAATCAAAAGATACTTGAGACATTTTCTGTTTTTATTATTTATGGAAAAAGTGATCACATTTTCTGCAGTAAAATTTGGGACATACATTTAAAAATAAATAGAATAGAATAGAATATCCTAACTCAGGTCTACATTAAGAATGTACAATCCTTTAATTTACAACATAAGTCCAAAGATAGGATTTGAGGCAGAGAGTTTAAGTCATCAATGCTTCATTAGAAAAACTTACAACAAAGTTGGGTAACCGCTAACTGCACAGGAAACATCAGTGAAAAACATCTATCATTATATATAATATACAAATATCAAACATTAATTACTACCATGTATTCAGAGCTTTTACATGTTACATATTATGCTTAGTGATATTTACTCTTACATTTTTTCCTTACCCCTTCATTTTAGAATTAAGGGCACTGGTGCTCAGAGAGAGAAACAGATAGAGAACATTCCCTGTCCTGGTATGAGGAGGCAAGTATGAATGAGGCTTAACTATTCTGTGCCATAGATCATATGACCTTCACAGAATAAAAATGTAGGGGGTCTCTACCTTTTAAACAGTATAGCTCTCTGTCTAAATGAAATTTTGACAGCAGGCGTCATCTACGTTTTTTTTTTTTTGGCAAGTGGAGGAACTTAAAGGAACAGGCAGAAGCCATTCTAAAAGGAAAGTGTGTTGGAGGTGAAGTGAGAAAGAGTGAAAAATGGTTTTCAGTTAATTTATCTAAGTTTATCTTCCAGCTGAGGAGTGAACTCTTGTCACCTTGTGAAATTAGGCAAAACAAAAGCCTTCCCACACAAGTCCCAAGTGACTCCAATATGCAAAGTACTCTCCTTCACCCTTCATACTTGTAGCATTAAACTGGGTCAGGAGGAAGAAGCTTGTATCCAAGATTTAAATGCAGGATGCTCTGACTGAAGCCTGCATAAATGTAAAATGAGAGGAACTTGGTAATAAGCAAGCAAGGTATTAATTAGTACATATGTAGATTCCTAGAGAAAACCAACCAAATTTAATCTTAGAATATCTTTACTTTTCAATGTATAAGATAATAAGATAATATTTAGCCTGGCCTCACTTTAAAAATTACCTCTCTTAATGAAATACAAGAATACTTGCAAGAAATAACAGTACAGTTGTGTATAAAACTTATAACATTAAGCAAAGGAAGCAGTCTCTCTCTCTCCTCCCCCCACCCCCCCCAGCTCTGTCTCTATTTCTTTTCCCCCCATATTGAAAAAAGAAGCACTTCATAATACAATACATTTTAAAGAACCAAAAAGGGGCAACAGATCTCCTAAAAAAAACTGTTCTCTCTTTGAGAACATGCATTTCTAGGAGTTGCACAGATATAGAATTCTGAATATCAAAGTAACACAGATGTCCATATTTGCTTTCAACTCTATAGTGGCTGACAGAACAAAGAAGCAGAAAGGCAATTTAGAGAAAGACAGTTTAGGTCATTTAAAAAGGGCAAGTGAGAGATTAGACACGTTTGGGGCATGGGTGTATTTCTATTTTACGTTGTTTCTATGTCATCTCTTACGAATAGCTGCTACTTATCTACTCACCCCCTCCTCCAATGTGAACAGTAAAAAACAGAAATGTGTTACCTATGTTATATCATTAGATTTTCTCAAAAATAAACTGAGATAACTATCATATCTACTTTAAATCTTTGTGAACTGGGTAAAGGAGAGTATAACAATTCCAAATCTCATTCAAGATCACACAGCAAGTAAGTAAAATAAAATGAAGTCACGAATATAAACTGACTTCAAAACTTATGTTCTCTTCACTTTACAGGAAAAAATTAAAGGAATAAAAAGAAGGCAAAAGATAACTTTCTCCCTACCCCTGAATTAGGTTTCTGATGGTTTACTGTTCTACTAATTCAACACTGCCTAATAAACATCTACACTCTGCATTTCTGGCTGCCTTTACCACCTCATTTAATAAGCCACGCCCCTTCAATATTTAAATGGAAGGCAAATACTCATATTCAACTGTTTCCCCTCACAGAAAAAAAGTTTAACTATTTTAAAATAATGTTTGAACTATTTAGAAGTGCAGTTTCGTGGGATGAACTGCATTTAATAGAGCAGATACAGTGACGACCTGCTCTCAGAGGGCTTGCAACTCACTTCAGGAAACAGAGCACAAGCTCATTAATTGAACAATTAGTTAACAGCCTCTTAAATGGCAGGTACTGTTCAAGTTCCTAAGAACTGCAGGAAATAAAAAGTATTGTGGCTAAGCAGTATCTGCCATAGGCACAGGAAAAGCAACTTCAACACATGATATATATTTGCCAGCCCTATCCTAACCCATACATGAAGAGGAATTCTGGATTCTTCTTTTCTTCCTTTCTGTTTTTTACTGCTTTAAGCTCACAGTTAGAAACTTTATTAAAAACAAGAATTCCAAAGACAACTCAGAGGAAGAAATCAAATGAAATAAATTTGCACCAGAAACTTAAATCTTTGGTCAGCACTAATCTAATATCAAATACTAGCTGAAACACTCAGGTTTTGTAAGACTGATTTAGGTTCAGAAGCAACAAACCCTTTTGGTCTTTTGGGTTAAAGTACATTTTACAGGTAATAAAAAGAAATGCTTTTGAAGTAGGACAAACAAAAGCCTGGTGCTTCTAGAAATCTTAGGAGTGGCCTTTCTTGACTTCCAAAAGGTTAGTAACTTAACTACAACATAAAACAGAGACAACTCCAGAGACAAAGCACGGAAAAGTGCAGAGGAAGGTGCCCATGATTTCAGCAAAGGAAGGCAGGACAACAACCATTAAGTACTTTTTTTTATTCAACCATGGGATAACTGTAATAATTCTTAGGCCTGAAAAGCAACATAAATAAGTAATCATACATTATGGGATCAGTGACATACACTCTGATTCTATTTATGAATCACAGTACTTGACTGTATTACTTATTTATGTTATTTACCGACCTAAGATTGAAAGCCAAATATTCTGCTGATAGAAATTTCTTAAGCTTACAAAACTGCTGAAGTTCAGCACTCCAGAAAGCAATTCCCCCCTCCGCCCCCAGTTTGGATTATATCCGTGGCATTTAACACAAGTGATTAAACTGCTAATAGCAATTTTGCTCAGCAACTTCCACCAGCTTTTACTGTCTATATCCCAAAGTCTTATCTGTGCCAGGGTATATCACCTAAAGATGAAGAACGAGAGTTGTATGTGAGTTTAAAGCATATATTTTGCTTATTTGGTATGTTGGACTATGATTTTTAATAAGCAAAGTCAAACTTTTCAAAATGAACTATAGAAAAATTTTATAAATTTGCTCTAATTGAATCCTCACTCCCAAAGAAGGTAATTGAAAGCCTTCTCTATTTAGTGAAATCTAAATTTAAAAAGAAAAAAAGAAATTATCATTGATTTTCCTCCATGCCACAGAGTGCCCTCTGCCCCCAACCCTTCACTTTCCCAACAACCTGAAACTACTGAGCTTACTGAGCTAATAAATTCACATCAGCAGGCAGAGGTAGCTGAAAGCCAATACCAGTTCAACGTCTCTCAGAGCTTCACTTCAGCAGGATGCTTATTTACTGCTCCTAGCACAAGAAAGGGAATAGAATGGAATGAAAACTGGTTTTTATCTCACCCCTAAAATGTGTCTCACCCCTACAATACATTTATCTCACCCCTACAATACTTAGACAATGCTCTAAGTATTTTACACACATCCTATAGAACTGTGACTTAGACCACACTGGGTTTTCACATTGACATCATCAACTCCTTAGTATGTAATTTAGCTTCTCTGAGCCCCACTTTTATCACATTTAAAAAGGAACTATCAGCACCATAACAACAGGGTGATGAAAAAAAAAAGAGCAGGGAGTGGTGGCAGTTGTGGGGGGGTGGGCAATTATTCTTACCTTAGTGGGTTGTTATGAAACCAAACTAAGATAATGGAAAGTTGGTTTAAATCCAGAAGCCACAAACACCTGTTAGCTCATGCATTAAGGTCCATTTTAAAGGCAATAAAAACTATTGTTTTTTGCACAGAACAGACTTCAGATTTTTCCTGAAGTCAAGTGGCATTTCTGGACTTCCAAATAGCTGTGAACTTCTCAACGGCAACTTGCATAGAGTTATGTACATACTTGTAAAATTGGATGTCAAGGGAATGGGGCAAATATTTGTTACAACGCCTACCATATGCTAACTTGGCAATTTACACTCCTTACAAAATAGAGTAGGCACAAGTTTAAGGGCATTTCCTTCATAAAATAATAAATACACTTCTCTGGATAGAAACTGTGTTAGATATTTCTAAAAACTATAATTTTAGGAAAACCCTTTAGAGAGGACAGTAGAAATAATTTCTAATATTAATTAAATAACCATTTCAAATAGCAGTTTTTACTTTGAATGTGATAAGGAAAATAAATCATTTCCCTTAGTTATTTACAAACTAAAAGTTTAGACCCCAAATCTATTCTGAAAACTCAATAAAGCTAAGCAAAGAAAAAAATAAACTACCCACAATACCTCACTTCTCAATCTCCATCACCTGGGAATGATCTTTTCCAGCTGAGGTAAACTTTTATTTTTGGTTCTACTTGTTCACAGACAACTTTAAAGGTAAACAGCTCATCTCTTTTCTATCCTCTTCCCTAATGTTAAAAATTCCTTGAAATTTTATTTGCCTATTGAACAACCTCTGCAAATCCCTCCAAATTGCTCCTCCTCAGCCTTCACCACACAACTGAACCTATTAGGCAGGCAGAAAAGAACATATTGTGAAAAAAATAAAAATGAATGGTGAAGTAATGGGGAAAGCACAACTCTAAAGAAAAATAGCAATGAAAGGAAGAGAAGCAGGGGGTTAGGACTGAATATGGAGTCTTTTTTATCATGAGGTGCAGGGCAAACATTTTGGAGGAATAAGTCATTACCATAACTTCATAGGAGAGCTGCTGTAAGATACACTGTATGAGATTTGGAGTACTAGGAAAACACAAATGCCAAGAATTTTAGTCTTTTCTCAGAAAAAAAAAAAAATCAACAAAAGGATTAAATATCAAAGAATTTCTCCAGGGCAACATTTCCTAACCTATGTTTCATGGAATACTGGTGTCTTTCAGGGTGTTAATGAAAAAAAAAAATTTTTGGGAAAAAATCTGACATCAATTAAGTTTGGAAAATGCTAATACTTCCTAATAATAAGACTTCTCATTGACTTTAGTAAGCTAATGTGTGATGTGCACCTACCTCTAAGACAGTGATACAGCATGCAGAGTGTCCTAAAGTTATTAGAGTTTGGATTACTTTTTCATTTAAAAGCAAAAACAGAAACACTGAAGATACCCTTGGTAATATTATTTAGGAAATTCTGTTTTATATTTACTCTGGGCTATTTGTGCTGTATTTAGAGCCAGATTTCAAATCCAAGAGGGCAGGGATACTTTTGTTTTGAAAATTTTTTTAATCTCAGGAACTAATATATAGATAACATGCAATAAACATTTATAGGAGTAGTATATAGAACTTTAGTTCTGGAGGTAGACAGACCTACATTTTAATCTTCCTGTGTTTGCTTTATGATAGATGCAAATTTGGGTAACTCATTTAGACTCTCTATGGCTATGATTTCTTATCTACAAAATGGAGTTAATAATATTTTCTTCATAGGGCTATAGAAAAATTGGAGATCAATTTATATAGTGCATATGAAAAGGTTAGCATAATAACCAGAAGCCAGGAATTGTGCAATAAATTCTATCACCATTATTGTTGTTATGCAGTGATTTGTCTTAGTACATATGACTTTCCGCACTAAATCTTGCCTATTGAACAACATGTACAAATGCCCACAAATTCTCCTTCTCAGCCTTCATCATACAGCTGGCTGTACTGGCTATATACATTTTGATTAATATATTTTTACGAATGAAAACTTTTTCAAATGGTAGCTATCTATATACATCATAGTCATTTATTTATTTCAAAGGCTATTATATTAAATATATTTTAATGCTATTTAATCAATGAATATAGATGTAATAATAAGGAGATTATGTAAATCATGGTAAACAGTGATCTAAATTGATGTCTAGTTGCCTCTTATTTAAGCTGGAAAAATGTAGAATTTAATAACAGAAACTCAAATAACCTTAAATTTCTTTAGGCCTGCAAATCATCTTTTTTACTAAAATAAACTGAAGAATTACAGTATGGCTGCACAGCCTGAGAAGAAAGAAAACAGGAGAGCAGGAACTCTGAACTCAAAATTCCACCTCTCAGTGTTTGCTTCACTGACTTACCCTGAGGCAGTTACTCAGTGTCTTTAAGCTCAGCTCTCTCATTATCTCTGTAAAATATGGATGATTTTTACAAGATTCCAGTAAGAGAATTGGTAATTAATTGTACAATAGGGTCTGAAAATACAAGCTGGTATAAAATATTTAATACTTAGTCAGAAATTTACAAGTAACTTAAATACTGTATTTTTGTTATAACACTGAATGGTTCATATTAGAAGGAATTGGTGGCGCAGGAGTGGGAAAAATAATATTTTTTGAGTGCCAATGTACCCGTCACTTACTTCATTTAAATTCCACCACAATGATCTTAGACAAGGAATAGTATCCAGTGCTCATTTTATAAACCAGAAAACTGGGTTCAGAAAAATTGATAAAGTCATCCAAGGACACTCATACAATAAAACCAGGATTTAAAATGTCCCATGGACATCAAAGCCCTTGTCTTTTTATTGGACTACTCTAACATTCCTTATCATTATTTTCTATTCATTCCTTTAACACTTTCTCTATGTAAGGGATTATCTTTAACAAGGGTTATTCAAAAATAAGGAAGACAGCTTTTGCCCTCAAGGATCTTACAGGCAAAGTATACAGAAACCTGCCTCACCTTTATACAGTGCTGATTGCAATATAAGAAATCTTTTATATGTTCTATTTCTAACAACCTATAATGTTATGCCATAACATTGATTTTATTTTTGTTGTTAAAAATCAGTAATATTTTATTTACAGTGTACCATAAACAGGGCTCTCAAATGATTAATTTATACCCAGTGTCCATAAAGCATATACTTTTTTTTATTACACTTTCAGTTTTAGGGTACATGTGCACAACGTGCAGGTTTGTTACAGATGTATACATGTGCCATGTTGGTGTGCTGCACCCATTAACTCGTCATTTAACATTAGGTATATCTCCTAATGCTATCCCTCCCGCCTCTCCCCACCCCACAACAGGCCCCAGTGTGTGATGTTCCCCTTCCTGTGTCCATGTGTTCTCATTGTTCAATTCCCACCTATGAGTGAGAACATATAACATATACTTCTTAGCAAGCCTATGACCATGACTGTATTAGCTATATACATTTCAATCAAAACAGTTTTACAAATAAAAACTTTTTTCAAATGGAAGGCATAGGAAGAAATGGTCTAAAATGTGTACCTGTTGAAGTAGGTAGGTTCCCAGAATTTCACCTTGCTTCTCTTTGGTATAGTATTGAAATTCTCAAATTTAAGTGAAGAATAACTGTAAATATTATGTAAACACCATTGTTTAAATAAGGAAGATCACTGAATATCTCAGTTTGAAGACACTGATGAGAAGGCAAGGTGCTGGAAAGGAGGGCAAGGTGGATAACCTAAAATCAAAATAAGAATACCTGGCAACCCCTGCCCATTCTCCTAGATGGCTCCTAGTACGAAGTAGCTCCCTATTAGTAAAAACTGCCCTAAATCTCAACCTGCTTATTTTAGCTCATTTGTAATCAGAGTCAGACACACAAAAAGAGGCAATGAAATTCAACCATTGTGTGATTTTATGATTTTATGAATCATCAGGGAAATATGCTGAGTAAAGAAGGAAGGTAGAACATTATCCCATTGCTATAGGAATTTTCACCCAAATAAAGCATAAGGGCATTCAAGGGAGCCCCAATATTACATAGAGAGCAATATCAGTGCCTTGATAAGTGGAATAATAATGTAATTCTGAAAACACTCATTCCGCAATCTCCAGTGACACACCACTCTTGCTGATGCATATGGATTAGGTTCTCAAAGTGTGGTTTGCCAGACCAGCATCAAGAGCAAATAACCTGGGAGCTTGTAAGAAATGCAAACTCCCAGGCCCCACACCAGACTCACCGAATCAGAAACTCAGTCAGAGCTTGTGCCTTAACAAATGCTACAAGGGATCATGATGCATGTCAAAGCTTGATATCACTGATCTAAGAATATTTACACACATAAACAAAGAAAAGTGTACTTAGTGATTATGTTGAGTACTTCTTAAAATAGGGAAATAAAACAAAGCAATATTAACTAAGCTCCTATTACAAATCAGACATCTGATATTTAATTTCTATAACCTAATTATGTACATATTAGAATATTTATATACCTCAAATTACCATGACATGAACCTCCACTGAGTTTGCTCTCACTAACAAGCCTCCTTCAAAGTGTTCTCCAGCTATTTACTAGGAGTTCCAAGAGGAGGTCTTATGTCTGCCTCAGAAAATGTTTCTTCACCAACAATTGATACTGGGCTTAAGCTAGTGGATCCTGTCTTTATGTGTTTTAGCCGAAGCACAAGACAGATTGAATGACTGAAAAAAAAAAGGAGGATGCCATGTTGCATCTATCAAATAGACAAAAATCACTGAAGTATTGGTGAGGATGAAGGGAAACATATACATTGCTGTTGACATTGTCAACTGCTACAACCACTTGACAAAGAAATTTGGCAATATGCGTGAAGTTAAAGGTGCACATACCTAGTGTTTCATTTTTATTCATAATCCCTAGAAACTCTGGCACAACTGCACAAGGAAATGTATATAAGAATGTTCACTGCAGAATTGTTTATAAAAGTATAAAATCAAGGCTGGTTCAACATATGCAAATCAACAAACGTAATCCATCACATAAACGGAACCAAAGACAAAAATCACATGATTATCTCAATAGATGCAGAAAAGGCCTTTGACAAAATTCAACAACGCTTCATGCTAAAAACTCTCAATAAATTAGGTATTGATGGGACATATATCAAAATATTAAGAGCTATGTATGACAAACCCAAAGCCAATATCATACTGAATGGGCAAAAACTGGAAGCATTCCCTTTGAAAACTGGTACAAGACAGGGATGCCCTCTCTCACCACTGCTATTCAGTGTAATGTTGGATGTTCTGGCCAGGGCAGTAAGGCAAGAGAAAGAAATACAGGGTATTCAATTAGGAAAAGAGGAAGTCAAATTGTCCCTGTTTGCAGATGACATGAGTGGATATTTAGAAAACCCCATCGTCTCAGCCCAAAATCTCCTTAAGCTGATAAACAACTTCAGCAAAGTCTCAGGATACAAAATCAATGTGCAAAAATCGCAAGCATTCCTATACAACAATAAAAGACAAACAGAGAGCTGAATCATGAGTGAATTCCCATTCACAATTGCTGCAAAGAGAATAAAATACCTAAGAATCCAACTTACAAAAGATGCGAAGGACCTCTTCAAGGAGAACTACAAACCACTGCTCAATGAAATAAAAGAGGACACAAACAAATGGAAGAACATTCCATGCTCATGGATAGGAAGAATCAATATCATGAAAATGGCCATACTTCCCAAGGTAATTTATAGATTCAATGCCATCCCCATCAAGCTACCAATGACTTTCTTCACAGAATCGGAAAAAACTACTTTAAAGTTCATATGGAACCAAAAAAGAGCCCGCATTGCCAAGACAATCCTAAGCAAAAAGAACAAAGCTGGAGGCATCATGCAACCTGACTTCAAACTATATTACAAGGCTACAGTAACCAACATAGCATGGTACTAGTACCAAAACAGTTATCTAGACCAATAGAACAGAACAGAGGCCTCAGAAATAACACCACACATCTACATCTGATCTTTGACAAACCTCACAAAAACACGAAATGGGGAAAGGATTCCCTATTTAATAAATGATGCTGGGAAAACTGGCTACCCATATGTAGAAAGCTGAAACTGGATCCCTTCCTTACACCTTATACAAAAATTAATTCGAGATAGATTAAATACTTAAATGTTAGGCCTATAACCATAAAAACCCTAGAAGAAAACCTAGGCAATACCATTCAGGACATAGGCATGGGCAAGGGCTTCATGACTAAAACACCAAAAGCAATGGCAACAAAAGCCAAAATTGACAGATGAGATCCAATTAAACTAGAGAGCTTCTGTACATCAAAAGAAACTACCATCGAGTGAACAGGCAACCTACAGAATGGGAGAAAATTTTTGCAATCTACCCATCTGACAAAGGGCTAATATCCAGAATCCACAAAGAACTTAAACAAATTTACAAGAAAAAATCAAACAACCTCATCAAAAAGGGGGGAAAGGATATGAACAGGTGCTTCTCAAAAGAAGACGTTTATGCAGCCAACAGACACATGAAAAAATGCTCATCATTACTGGCCATCAGAGAAATGCAAATCAAAACCACAGTGAGATACCACTTCACACCAGTTAGAATGGCAATCATTAAAAAGTCAGGAAACAACAGGTGCTGGAGAGGATGTGGAGATATAGGAATGCTTTTACACTGTTGATGGTAGTGTAAACTAGTTCCACCATTGTGGAAGACAGTGTGACTAATTCCTCAAGGATCTAGAAATAGAAATACCATTTGACTCAGTGATCCCATTACTGGGTATATACCCAAAGGATTATAAATCATGCTACTATAAATACACATGCACACATATGTTTATTGTGGCACTATTCACAATAGCAAAGACTTGGAACCAACCCAAATGTCAATCAATAATAGACTGGATTAAGAAAATGTGGCACATATACACCATGGAATACTATGCAGCCATTAAAAAGGATGAGTTTATGTCCTTTGTAGGGACATGGATGAAGCTGGAAACCATCATTCTGAGCAAACTATCACAAGGACAGAAAAGCAAACACTACATGTTCTCACTCATAGCTGGGAATTGAACAATGAGAACACTTGGACACAGGTCGGGGACATCACACACCAGAGCCTGTCCTGGGGTAGGGGGCAGGGGGAGGGATAGCATTAGCAGAATACCTAGTGTAAATGACGAGTTAATGGGTACAGCACACCAACATGGCACATGTATAAATATGTAACAAACCTACGTGTTGTGCTCATGTACCTTTGAACTTAAAGTATAATAGTAAAAAAAAAAAAATAGTAAAAAAAAAAATGGAAACAGTAAGTAGGGGGGATAAACTCTTCATTTATTGCCACACTATGCAGCAATAAAAAGAGTGCAGTAAAAATGATCACATAAGAATGAACATCACATGACACCATTTATGTAAAGCTTTAAAATCCGTAAAATAACACCATATATGTTCCGTTATATAAGAAAAATTAAAACCTGGATGAGTATGATACATAGCTGTACCAAGAGCAGGATTACTTTTATATAAGAAAGGAGAAGGGGATGAGGAGATCCCAGTTTTGCTGTGCCTATTTTGTTTCCCGAAAGTTGGGTTGTGAAAGAAATAAAAAATAATAACATCTGTTAGCTCTGTGTTTGAAGTATATGCATGAGAATTTTGTTGTTTTCCATGTTTCTATATATGCTTGCAATATTGGATAATTTAAAAATTCTTAATTGAAAAATCAAATGCTAATTTAGACATAACAATTATCTGAAAAATTAAACATTACTCTGATAACATCAGTATAAATTTCTAAGTTTTTCATCTGTTTTGTTTACCTATTTTTAGTTATTCCTTGTAGCTAGAACAGTACCTGGTAGATGGTAGGCATCCATAAATATTTATTCTATGAACAAATGAATCTCATTTTTGAACAGATTAAAATTTTCTGAAAAACACACCACTGAACAGTTCCATTTTTCCACATTCCTTTATGGTCTTTTCCAATGTGCACATTATGTTACAGTATAATCAAAGTGCATATATCATTTTTATTATTTTTCACTTCACACTATAGCATAAATACAATTCCCTGTTTTAGTCTTAGGTCTTCCTAAGAATATGCTCATTTGATGCATCATAATTTTTTTAACCATTCCTCTACAGGTTTCTAAATTTTTATTATTACAGATAATGTTGCAGTAAACATTGCTATATGGACAGCTTTGTGCTTGTATCTTTCTTCTTATGATATATTATTTCCTAATGATAAACTCCCAAAATTGAGATTCCTAGATCTATGGGCCTTGAACACCTTTATGGCTATTTTTACTTACTATATTCTGAAATGGTTATATGTATTTATACTGCCACCAATATCATATAACACATCATCCCTTCCTTTACCTATCAATCTTGCTAGATTCCCAGTCTCAGAATCATGAGATCAAGAGGGACTATAGAGATGAGGAAATCTAACCTTCCAATAATAAAGACACTAACCAGGTTTCTACTATAAACCAGACATTATTCAAAATACTTTACCTGAATTATCTCTGCTTCTCATAACAATCTTGCTTGGTAGGCATTCTTATCGCCACTTTACAGATGTTAAAACTGAGATTCAAGTAATTTATCCAGGGCCACCAATTAATGCATGATGTGCAGGATTCAATGTCCCCCGTATGTCCATTATTTAACTTACCTCCTAAATGAATAAAGTTTGAGGTATGATTCCAAAACACATTCACTACTGAGCAGGGTGATGTCAAAGAAATAAGTTCTAGAAGTTCCTAACTACCACAAGCAGGGTAGAAAAAATCAATAGTTCATCCTTTGCTCTCAAACGCACTTTACTTCATAGGGCCATACACAAATGCCCCGTCCAGAGCACTTCAATAGTTAGAGAAATTTGCTCCAGTTTTACCTACCTACCAGCTCAAGTGCCATTTCCACAGAAAGGTTGTGCGTAGTAGTAGGAGGATCTAAATAAATGGTTCCCGAGATTTTGCAATGGAAGAGAAATATCTAGTATACCAGAAGTTTTAGGATCATTAAAGGAGAGGGTATAATGAATATCTGGACAGATATTTGTGTGTGTGTGCATGCATGTGTGGATGCACACATATATGTGTGTATACAGACTCTTTCTTGGTATATTTTACCACCACCATTTCTATCCCAAACCCCAACACACACAGCAAAAATTGGCCGAGTTATGTAAGTGGCAAGGGCTCTGGAAAACATAGATATATTCCTACCAGTTATCTTGACTTCATAGTAAGAACAAAGAATACTGTTCAATGGGTATAAAGTTTAAGTTATGAAATGTGAATATATTCTAGATATCTGCTGTACAACATAGTGCCTATAGTTAACCATATAGTATTGTGCACTGAAAAATGTGTAAAGAAGATACATCTTTAAAAGAGGGATAGCAGTGCAAAACTTTTGGAAGTAATGGATATGTTGATTAGCTTGATTATGGTGATGGTTTCACAGGTGTATGCATAGATTCAAACCCTTAAATTGTATACATCAAATACATGCCATTGTTTGTATATCAATTACACCTTAATAGTACTGTTAAAAAAAAAAAACAGAGCAAGGGATTCGGTACTGGATCTGTCTTAAATTCTTATTCCACCACTTACTCACTATATGACTGTTGATAGTTACTTGAGTGAGCTTCTTCATCTATGTGTATAATAATATGAATATTACTGGAATATGATAAACATATTCCCCAGAATGTACTAAGCACGTTAAGTACATTTTAGCCACCTCCATCATCATCATCATTATTCCTTTGTATAATAGGGAGAGATATAAAAAGTGTCCTTGGGGAGTTGGTTCCAGGAACCCTCCCAGACACCAACATTCACAGATGCTCAAGTCCTTTATATAAAATGGTATAGTATTTGCATATAACCTATACACATCCTCTCATATACTTTAAATCATCTCTAGGTTACTTATAATACCTAATACGATGGTAATGCTATGGAAATAGTTGTTATACTGCATTGTTTAGGGAATGATGACAAGAAAAAAAGTCTATACATGTTCAATACGGACACAACCATCCTTTTTCCCCAAATATTTTTGATTCACAGCAGGTTGAATCCATGGATGTGGAACCAAAGAATACAGAAAGCTGACTGTGTGTGTATATACTTATTTCTTTATTTATCTCTATAATATTTGTATGTGTGTATATATATGTTCCCATTATATGTCCTATTTATATACATATATCCCCATTATATGTAATAGATACATATATAAAGGTGATATATATATTATGTTCCCATACATATTTTTATGTATATGTACGTCTGTGTGTACATATATATATATGTTTGTGTGTGTGTGTGTGTGTGTATATATATATATATATGTTTGTGTGTGTGTGTGTGTGTGTGTGTGTGTGTATATATATATATATATATATATATATATATATATATGTATCTCCCCATTATACAAATGAATATGATGATGATGATGGTGGTAGTGCCCAAAATGTATTTAATGTGCTTTGTACATACTAGGGAATATATACACACACACATTACTTTTTTTTGCAGGGATCTTGATACATAAAGATTACATGTGTAAAGTGGCTAGCACAATGCCTAGCACAGAATACATACAAAATGGGTATATCTGTTATGATTAGTATTGGTAATCTCAGGTAGATGAGAGGACGGTCCCCTCCCCACATTCCACAATTTCTCTTCATCCCTCCAGGGACTACCCATCTTCAAGTACCTGTATTCTCTCTGGATCATTTCTATCTCTACCTCTTCCTCACTTTTCTCAAATGGCTTCCTTGTTTATCCCCATCCTTCTCACCTGTCTGCTACCTCACACTTTTTCTCTTTCTTGCTCTATTTTTATTTCTCCTTTCAGACTCTAGGTAACTTCTTCCCATACCAGTTGTCTTATATCTAGGTCTCTAGACAGTATAAATTAAATTTGGAAGTAGAAGCAACCAAGTAAATTAAGCAGTGTGTATGCTCATTTTAAGTTAAATCTCTTGCATGTTACGTGTATGACATAAAATTGTGCATTTAAAAGATACATATAACAGGTTAAATTATTTGTTGTTTTGCATTGCATATGTTTAAAAGACTGTTTTGGTTATATCATTTAATGTATTACTTATGTGAACATCTTCCCTGTTACTTGAAGTGCAAAATGAATGGATTGATATGCAAATGATAAGCAAATCCAGTGAATATGCATATTAACATTGTTTTGAAGAACACTTGCATTTTAAGATAGAACTTCCACAGAAGCAAATACAAATTTTATTATTCCAATCATAGAGTTAATCAAACAGCAATGACTATTACATTGCTTTTTAAAAATATGCCTAAGGGTTAACCACTAGAATATTCTCAGTTAACCTACAACTGTGTGACAGAATATCTCAGGAGACAAGGGTTGGTTTAGTAAAAAGAACAGGAAACTTGTGATTCAGACAACTAAATTTGAAATTTGGTTATCCAATTTATCTCCCATGTGAATCTAACATTTCTGATCAAGTGTCCTTTTCAGTATAATGAGAATAATTATAGTTACTTCCTAGGATTATGAATAAATGAATGAATGGTACATATTATGGGCCAGGTACAATTTTAGGTGTTGGGGTACAACGATACACAAAACAAACAAAATTCTCTGCTCTCCTGGCACTTAGATTCTAACAGAGGACAAAGACAATAAACAAATAATGATATAATGAATATATGGAAATAATATATATCACTGAACAACTTTTCAGGATGAAATGAGATCATCACTACTAACATCCAGTGAACATGTCTATGTCCTTATCTTATAGATCATTGATGAAATCTAATGGACATCTGTTTGTCTTTATCTTATAGATCTATTGGCAGAATTTTAATCAGATAACCCATCCTTCCCTATTGAAACACTTCCTTCATTTGAATTCTGTGATCGTCACTCTTTTTTTTTTTTTTTTGACACAGGATCTCACTCTGTCACCCAGTCTGGAGTGCAGTGGCCAATCTCAGCTCACTGCAACCTTCACCTCTTGGGTTCAGGTGATATCCCTGCCTCAGCCTCTTGAGTAGCTGGGACTAGAGATGCACACCAACACACCCAGCTAATTTTTGTATTTTTAGTAGAGATAGGGTTTCACCACGTTGGCCAGGCTGGTCTCGAACTCCTGATCCACCTGCCTCAGCCTCCCAAAGTGCTGAGATTACAGGTGTGAGCTACTGCACCAGGCCTGATATTTACTCTTTTGATTATCATTGTACCTCAAGGTCTTCTCGTCTTCTTTGCTGTCTTTTTTTCCTCTTCCTGACCTTTAAAAGTTGGAGTTTTCTAGGTTCAGTCCTAGGTTCTCTTATCTGTAACTCCTTTCAAGGTGATCTCATCTAGAATCTTATCCTCTTAAATATCATACATATTCTTATGAGGATGAAATATATATCTCTATCCCTGACCTCCTTTTCTGTCCTGCAGGTTTCTATATATATCTACTTTTTGACTTGAAATCTTCACTTATGTGTCTAACATATCTCTTAAACTTAACAAGTCCAAAACAGAACTATAGGTTACCAATGCCTCAAACCTCTTTTCTACCCCATGTAGAGGTAAATGGAACCATCTTTCATTCTGTTACATACGCCTGTAAACTAAGAATCACTCCTAGTCTTCCCTATTACTCATCCTTCACAACCAATACATCAACAGGTCCTTCCAAATCTATCTCCAATTATTTCTTGAATAGTTTACTGCTCTCTATCTCCATTGTTTCTGCTCTGTAATAAACTACAACTACTCTCACCTGTGATACATCAAAAATGTCACCCTCCAATCCATTCTCTCCCTAGCAATCACAGTAATGTTTAGGAAACTGAAGTTATAACGTGTGGTAGCTGGTTTCCAAATATTGCCCCCAATCAATCCTGTTGCTTCTTATTAGAACCCTATGTAGTCCCTTCCCACAAGGAACTTTGACTGGTCTGTGGCTTATTTTAACTAATGTAATGTATCAGAAGTTACTTTATGCCAGTTTTGAGCCTAAGCCTTAAGAAAGCTTGTCAACTTCTGATTTGGAGAGTCATGAGTGTCCATGTAAGAATTATGCCACTATTTAAAAATATCCATGTATAAATATCATATGCATATCTATATATGTGAGATTTTTTTATATGTGAGAAGGCAAGCCCTGAGACTACATATAGAGAAAAAGAGACTCAGCCATCTCAGCATCACAGTCAGGCTTCCATATGAGTGCAGTCCCAGCTGCTATTTGAATACTGTCAATTTAGAGACCCTCAGAAGAATTTCTTGGCTGAGCCTACTTAACTCACAGAAACATGAGAGAGAATAATAAATAGTTGTTATAAGTCATTATATCCACATAGCAATGAATAATCAAAACAGAAATTGATATTTGAAAGAGAGCCCTACCGAAACAAAAATATAAAATATATAGCATTGGCTTTGGAACCGGATAGCATGCAGAAGCCAAGAAGGGCCTACAGGAGATGGTTAATGATGACTGGAAGAAAAGTGGGGGAGCACTGCTATCAGAGGCTAGAGAAAAGGTTGTTTGCATGACAGTGTAAAGTATGACATTATCTCTTGCATTAACATGAAAAGTAGAAAATATAGCCAATGAACTTGTCTATTTAGTTAAGAAGATTTCCAGGAAGAATACTGAAATTGTCCAGTTTGTTTTGGAGTTTGGGAGTTTTATGGGTTTTTTAGTGATGTACAATAAATACCAATAGCTATGAGCTAATGAAGGAACTGTCCAGTTTTCAAGCACAATCTAGAAAAATATGACCAATCTAGGACTTGCTAGGTTGGAGAAGAAAACCATTTCTTCTTCATAGCTTTGCCAGACCAGCAGAAGATTCTCAAAGTAAGAAACGGCTTTAGCTCAAGAAACAATTCCAAGGTGCTGCCAATAAAGCATGGCCTAAGGATAAATATTTGATTAAGTCTCAGAAAAATTTGAGGCCATGCCTGATACACTCTTTTGACTGGGAAAAATAGCTTGTAAGATTCTCAATGATATTGCCCCACAGACCTCAGATTCTAATCCCAAGGTAGAAGGGGGCCTATTTCAAAAATGTATGGGTGTGCCTTCTGTCTCATAAAGTACATTAAGATCTTAATATACAGGAAGCTGACAAAGTTTTCAAAAGAATTATATAAGCTTAGACTGGGAGGGACAGAGGCCATCAAAGAAAAGGGACATTTGGGTCTCCAACTCCCTAGAGACAGAAAGAAGATGAGGAAGCTACTCAACTGTAAACATTGGTCATTTTTTATGGAAAAGTGAAAATGAGTCAGAGGATGGAGCCAGAAGCCCAGAGAACAGCGAAAAGAACTGAAGAGAACTATTCCCGGAGAGCACAACTATTCTCTAATCAACATGCATTCCTTGCCCCCAGAACAGTGAGTTGGTAACATGTGCCAACCTAGATTTCAGAATTATTAAAAGCCAGTGACGGCCTGGTGTGGTGGCTCACGCTTGTAATCCCAGCACTTTGGGAGGCTGAGGTGGGTGCATCACTTGAGGCCAGGAGTTCAAGACTAGCCTGGACAACATAGTGAAGACCCATCTCTACTAAAAATACAAAAATTAGCCAGGCATGGTGGTGCATGCCTGTAATCCCAGCTACTCGGGAGGCTGAGGCAGGAGAATCACTTGAACCCAAGAGGCGGAGGTTGCAGTGAGCCGAGATTGCACCACTGCACTCCAGCATGTTCGACAGAGTGAGACTCCATCTCAGAAAAATAAAAAATAAAATAAAAGCCAGAGAATGCTATGTTTACTCCCCAACTCCAGCTTTTTACATGGAAGTGTATATTAGCGTACACCTATCCCTGTCTCACCATTTTACGATGGGTATGTGGGAGAAAGATAACTTGTGTCCCTGGTTCATAGTTCTATAGATCCATCTGTACCAATACATAATTTAGCTGATAAGATCTTGGACTTTAAATCTATGCCTGCTGCTTTAATGGATGAGACTTAAGGCTTTGGGGTAGAAGGAAAGGATATTTTGCATGTGGAAGGGACATGGGTCACTTGGGGCCAGAAGTCCAACTGTGTTAGCTAGTCTTAATGATGGTACTTAATTAAGCCTAACTTCTGGTATCCATACCCTTATGCGGTCCCTTTTTCCACACTGACTCAGGACTGGTCTGGGACTTATATTAATCAATATACATAACAGAGGTAATACAGTGCCAGCTCTAGGCCTATGCCTTAAGAAGGCCTGACAACTTCTAATTTTGTGTTTTAGGGAGGCCTGAAGTCACCATTTAAGATGCCTAGTTACTTAGCTGGAGAGCCTACCTGGCAAGGTCACATGGAGAAACAAGTGGAAAGATGAGGTTATGAGAGGAACCTCATAGAGATGGAGAGAGGCCAAATTGTCCAGCTTCTGAACCAACAGTCAAACAGCGTAAGAGACTCAAAATTAGACTAAAGAACTACATAGCTGAAACAAGTCAACTCATAGAACACTGAGAGATAATAAAATGGTGGTTGTTTTAAGCAATTATATTTTAGAGTAGTTTGCTATATACAACAATAAAACGTGAAACAGCATGTCAAGCATGTCGCTCATTCACCTAACATCAATGACTTCTCATTAACAGATAGAATACCATCCAAAATCTAAAATCCTTCCCATTACATTTAAGTTCCTCCATAATACTTGTCCTTTCCTACATATACAACCTCATCTTTTGCCATATTCCTCTCCATGCTATAATCTAGCCATATTATCTCCTTTTTTTTTCCTAGACCCTAACAAGGTGTTGTTGTTGCTGTTGTTCTGCCATAGTCTTTGCACTTGTGGTTGCTTCATTCTTGAATTATTTCTCATCATCTCTTAGCACAACTGGTTCCTTCTTACCCTCTAGATGTTAGTTCAAATGTCACTTCCTCAGACAGGTCTTTCTTACCTATGTTTTCTTCAGTTACGATATGTCACATTTTCTAAGGCATTTCTTTTATAGCACTTACAACGACACTGTTGCAAGTATTTGTGTACTTTGGTGCTGTTTCCATCTTAGAAAGCTTGAACATCAAAAGACCTATGACATTATCTATCTTTTTCACTGCTGTGTGTCCCCACTTCTACACCTAGACAGGTTTTGGCATGTAGTTGGCAGTAACATATTGCTATTGAGAGAATGATTTAATTAAAGTGAAGAAATGGGTATTATTTATAAAATATTTATTATGATATCTAACTGCCTCCAGAAAACGATTTTCTTTTACAAAATATTCCATTTCTAATTATTTATTCAATTTTGCCTTACTTTGACTGATTAAAAATTCCTTGATGGTAAAAAACCATGTTATTTCTGACTAATTAATGCCCCTTGGTCTTGGGCAACTAGGATGGTTGGTCATTCTATCTGCCACACACTAATGCTGCTTGAAGATATATGTTGCCCTGTTACTGAATTCTGACCAATGGTATGAGAAAAGAAATCATGTACCTCTTTTCCAGACCTAGCCCTTAAAAATTTGCTATGCAACATCTTATTATTTCCCCAAATGGCAGTTGAACAGAGAGAAGTCTGAAGACTTAGAGGAGGAAGAGTCTGAATTGCTAAATGACTAGCTGTAGCGGACCTTACCACCCACTTCGACTTTAGCAAAACATACAGGACTGTGATCTGAGCAATAAATAAACTTTTATGGGATACTCACAGCTAACATCACACCTAATGCTGAAAGAATGGATGCGTTTCCACTAGGGTGAGGAATAAGACAAGGGTGTTTGCTCTTACCACTTGTATCCAACAATGTACTGGAATATCTAGCCAGGGCAATTAGTCAAGAATATAAAATAAAAAGCATCTGGATTGAAAAGGATGAAGTAAACTTAACTCTATTTGCAGATGACATAATTTATACAGAGTATCTTAAAGAATCCACAAAAAGCTAATAGAATAAACAGATTCAGCAAGGTTGCAGGATGCAAGATGAACATACAAAAATCAGTTATATTTTTATACACTAACAATGAATAATCCAAAAATGAAATTAAGAAAACAATTTTATTTTTAATTACATAGAAAGAATAAAATATTTAGGAATAAATTTAGCAAAATAAGTAAAAGACTTGTATACCAAAATTACAAAATATCATTGAAAAAATAAAAGTTCTGACCAACTAAAAAGACAGGTCATGTTTATGGGCTGCAAGGCTTAATACTGTTAAGATAACAGTGCTCTTCAAACTAATCTACAAATTTCATGCAATCTTTTTCAAAATCCCAGTTACTTTTATTCCCCCAGAAATTGATATGACTCAAATTAATAGGAATAAGTGAATGAATATTCAAAAACAGAACATATCATGTAATCAGCATCCAGAACATTACTTGCATCCCAGAATACCTCCATATGCTGCCATCCAGTCACTTCTTTCCAAGAGTAGCCATTATACAGCAATGTGACAGGATGGATTAATTTTAGCTGCTTTTGTACTTGACAGAATAGAATCATGTTGTGTGTACTCTTTAATGTCTGTCTTCCTTCACATGTTATTATATTTGAGAGTTTCATGCATATTGTTGCACATATTTTCTGGCAGTTTATTTTTATTGCTATATAGTATTCCACTATATGAGTATATGACCTGTAATACAGTGAGCCTGGCTCTGGTCCCTTGACATATGGTTCTCTCAGTTCCTATTAACTCACTGGAATTGAATTCCTGCCCAAATTGGAGCCCAGGAGTTTTGTGGCTTCAGCCCCCACTGTTAGCTGTATGTTTCTATTCCATTTCTGCCCTGAAGAAAGATGATTATCAGTCTTACATGAGCAATGCAATGCTATTATCTTTGTACCACCTATGACCATGGGTTTAGAGCAGTAAGATGTAAACTCATAAAACCAACTTTTTGGGGAGTTGATGGAGGGTGTAGTCTTTCTGATTTTATCATAAAGAAAGTCTCATTTGGTGTGAGTAAATCTCAACTATACACACACATATATATTTTTTAAATACAGAGATAATATGTTTCTTAGAGTCATTAACAGACAAGGTTTCTAGCTATAATTTAATAATATCGTTTTCAAAGTATTTTTATTTAAATTATATTCTATATATGTTAAATGATATAGATTTTTATTATGATAGTTATATACAATTTTGTATTTAAGTAAACATGAAGTAAAATTGGGTCACAATAAAAATATTAATTAAATAATATTTCAGATGGTAAATGAACATGTCAAAAATCATTAAGGTGGTAAGTAAATGATTTAAGCTTGGGATACTTTTAATGAACCGATTTGACAGCTCAGCTTTCATTTATTTATTTAGAATACAAATTCCAGATCTATATTTACCTTTTGGATCAATGGGTGAGCCTACCTGCAGGAAATCTGCAGCTATAGCTGCTTCTTTTTATACATCATCCCTTGCTCTAATCTCCTCCATAGCAATCAGAGCTAATGAGCTGCAACTGATTACATAGGGTCATTGTGTTAATAATTCCATGGAGTAAAAACATTTTCAAAAAGATCCTTGGATCTAAGACATGATAAGACAATCCAAGGAAAGTGCACCAGATGATATAATTTCAGGCACAACATCAAGAAAACGTGATGCAAGTCTGAACCTTACTTATGGTTTAATCCATGAAGGGCAAATAGGTGTAAACTCACATGCTAACACCAGCCTATTGATACTTGCCTCTGTAGTGTTGTGTTCAGAAGGATTCTGAAGGAAAACCTGCAATATTAGGAAAGAATGTCACCGGCATGGGTGTGGGAAGTGTCAGAATTTGTGGTATGCGTTTGCCATCTTTGATTTAGAGAGTAATAAATAGTCCTGATCTTTGATGATCTCAGATACCAGAAAAAAAGTTCTTCACTAGAATGCTGAAGTATAAGACAGTATATACTTAAGGTAACTACAAAATAAATGAAATATAACCTGGTTCATTGTACCAAACATATGTTTATTGGGACAAATCAACTTCAAGAGTAAAATAAAATGAAAATACTAGAAGACAAATGGGTTAATAAGGATGGAATAAAAAAGGGATTTGGCAGATATCTGGTAGCTTTTAAGGAGAACAGTTTAATCTTCAAAATTAACAACACTAGAGAAAATGTCTTTCCAGAAAAAAATAAAATAAAAAAGTTGCCATAGTAACTAGTGCTAGAACCTCCACACAGACCAAATTTAGCAAAGCTAAACTTACTTTTTAATTGTATAAAATATTCAATTGAAAAAGGAAGAAAAGCAAAATTGGATTTATTTTGCACCTACTATGTTCCAGGTGCTTCACACAGTTTCCTCAGTAATTATCATGAGAATCCAGTAAAGAAGGAAGTATTAACTTCAGTTTTATTGATGAAAAACTTGAGGTTCAGAGTGGTTATTTGCTTTGAACTACACTAAAATTGGAGGAGCAAGGTTTCCTGAGTCTGTGTTTTTAAAAGACTCTGAATAACCCTATTTGCTTCTTTGATAGACTACATTATTTGTCTGGAGGCTACAGAAAGACACTATTGCCATTTTGAAAGGCAAACGTGACCCAGTGAACATCAGGGTCTTTTATACTAAAGAGATAATATAACGTGAAAAGGGAAAGTTTCTTTTTCAATAATATTACTCACTGGGGAACTGGTGGACTGCCCAATTCTTCCTGAGGACAGTCAGACTTGTAAGAGAGGCATCTGGACAATTTCTTATTTGTCTTGTTCAAACATTATCCAAATACTTACCAAACTTCTCTCAAATCATATATCTTAAAATAAGATAAATATCATAATTTCCATTCCAATTTCAGTTTATCTGTTCTCTCATGTATTAAAGAAACATTTATTTAGTGCCTACCCTGCATCGAGCACTGTGCTAGGTCTTAGGAATTGGAGAAAATCAGTCCAGCAAGATAATGCTTTCCTCTGCCACATGACATTAGCAACAATCCTTAACTTTACTGAGGGCAAACAAGACCATTGAAAACCCCTAGTCTTCCTTCTTCTCACAGCAAACCATTCCACAATTAGCCCAAGTCTTTGTTCAGAAATTGAATCATTTGTACTCAAGGGAAATTCCAATATAAGCCCTCTGAAATTTGGTTATCTGAGGATTTTTATCAGACAGGGAAGTAAAGCAAGCTGACTGAATACCAATAAAGAATTTGATCCGAGTGGGAGTTAGATGATCTTTCTCATTTTAAGATGTCTTAAGGAATCAGTAAGAGAACAATTGAAATGTGGTATGTGAGCTCTGGAGGCCTGCAATTGTCCCTAACAGCCATGGAGGATGGGGAAATCCCATTGACCTAGTTTGCTACAGACTCATAATACTGGGGATTAACTAAGCCATTGCTTATATGTTGACAGGATGAGGTGAATTGGGTTCCAGCCTAGTTCCCACAAGGCATTAAGGACAGAAATGTCTTCAACAACCATCCACAAACAATGGAATAAAATCCAAACTTCTTAGACTAACTTTCAGCATCAAATCACTGGCCCTCTTACAATCTCTTGTTATTGCCCAATATAAACCTGCCTAACAAGTAGAACAAAAGTGTATCTGTGACCATGGAAAAGTTTTTCTTTTTTTTTTAAACCCCTCTGAGCATCAGTTTCCTCATTTGCAAGACTGGAATGGTATTAGTATTTGCCTCTAGACATTCCTGGATGATTAAATAAGTTAACACATACAAAACCTGTGAAGTAGCAGATGATGCTACCACCACTACCAATCATACTACTTTTGGTAACAGCTAGACTCACTGTTCAGCATTAAGTTTACCAAAGGCAAAAACATCCACTGAAAACCCCTGTCTTCTATTTTCATGAAGCCAACTATTTCCCAGTTAACCCAAATCTTTGTTCAGAAGTTGTATTATTTGTACTCACGGGGAATTCCAGTGAGAGCCATTTTGAAATTCAGTCACTTATGGGCATCTGCATGATTTATACATTCCTGTTTCCATGTCTGTCCCTGCCCAAAATGCCTTCTTCATTCCTCATTATCGAGGCAAGTTCAAACCGTGTATTAAAGCCTACTATAAATCCTACCCACCCATGAATTGTGGACTGCTCTCTGTACCCCATAGTGATTCTTTTATTGTGAAATGCCACTTACTGTGACACTCATCACATATTTCTATTATATATTGGTGCAAAAATCTTCTCTCATTGAGAAGACTTAGCTCTGTGAGGGCAGTTGCTAAACTGTCTACTTTATTTTTAAACCTCTCTAAGTATCTACCTAGCACAATTCATATCTAGAAGGTGCTCAGGAAATAATAGTTGGTTGACAGATTCAAATGGAGGACAGGAAGCCTTGTAGTTCCATGGTTGTGTCAGATGACGGGCTCAGAGGATTAAGGCTTTAAAACTACTAGAGAGGCTTATTCATGAGGCCTGAGCTTCAACTGGCCAATCATGTTTCTGCCCCATGTTAACTGCTACTGGCATAAACAGATAATTTGGTTATGGAATTTGAATCTCACACTTGGATTTAACATCAAGTATTATACAAGCTAGTACCTGTTTCTGCTCATAAATGTGACTCCCATTTTGCTTCATGAGCAAGGTTTTGGTATCAAAGTGATAACCGGGAATAATGAATGCAGCTCCTTACTATATTTATTGACAGAATTGCTATTTTAATGTGAACAACAGCTAAAAAATGAAATGCCTTGTTTCTTACTTAAACAGCAGACAGGCATGAGACAATGTAGCTAGAGAGTAAAATATCTGAAGAGAACATTATTTTCCCCTTATCTCTCTGGCACTCAAAACTCTCCCATATTTCTAGAAGCAAACAATTCCCTTGTTTGGGTCATAAAAACAAGAAACATCTTCTCTCATTATTAAAACATGCAGCTCTTCCAAGGTGGTCACTCCTTGCTAGCTAAGAAAGGCAGAGTTCATACTGCAGAAGAATTATGCATGAGTTAGGGCTAGGAGTTACACTTGGGTAAAATCCTCAATTACTGTAGCTTCATTAATACATTCTTGGTGTCTTACTGCTGAGTGACTGTTCTGAATAAATTTTCCTTTCATGCATGCACTCAAAGAAATGACAAAATTCTGAATGAATTAGCAGTCAGCATCCAGGAGAGATTCTTCAGGTCATAGTTATTCAGAACTTCCTTTATTTGTCATAATGGGAAGAAAAGAAACGTGGAAATTTCATAGAACCACAGAATCTCAGAGTTGGAACAGAGGCTAGCGATCATCTATCAGGTCACCCCCTTCCCAGATCCTCTTCCATCTGATGTGTAAATCCTCTCTAAAATAATTCCCCTGAAATGGTCACAGAGGGTTGCATAAAAAATTCCAATTGCAAGGGCCTTACTAACATCTCCTGATGCATTCCTTTTCATTACTCATTACAAAGTCATTTATGCTTAACTAAAATCTGCCTTCCCATAGGTCCTCATTGTCCTCTCTAGGGCCACACAAAGTCATTCTAATCCTTCTTCGAAAAAACAGTCTTTTCAATATTTAAAGGGATGTCACATATTTCATCCTGTGAAAGTACGTTCATCAATGATAAGGAGACTGAGGGCTGCAAAAAGTCATGGCACTTCTCCATTGGGAAAGCTATTGGGAAATAAGGACAGTTGGGTCCCATTAGCATGGAAGAGAAGGAGATATCATGCAGGTTCCCTTCAGCCACCAGCTTCACTGGCTTCCTTCCTTGTGTTGTACCCTAAACTTTCTCCTCTCTCTGAAGATGACTCTGCCATTTACCAGGTGTTCAAGCTATAAACTACCACTGTGTTACCCTTCACATATAATCCATTACCTGTCCTAAATATACCTTGAATATATTCACTTATTTCCATCTTTATCACTATTTATACTAGTCTAAGCTATTATCCTTCTTTATCTAAACTCATTTTAATTTTCTCATGGCTAGTCACCTCACTTCCATGCTTGTCAGTCTGTATTCTAAATTGAAAATCAGATCATATCCCACTCCTGCTTCAAACCCTTCAAAGGTTTCCTGCTCCTCTAAAGACTGAGACGAAAGTCCCTAACATAACTTTCAAGGCTCTGCCTCTCCTAGTGTCTGCCTTCTCTCAGCCTCTTTCTGCCTCTTCTCTATACTAGCCTTGCTGCGGTTCTTGTTAAATAAGAAAAGAGTAAAGAAAATAAATCTGAGGAGGCTGAAAAAGTAATATAAACAAGTAATATGAAGAAGTTATTGAGGAAGTAAAAGAACCAAAAGTATGTTTTGTCACAAGCCAAGGGAAGAGATCATTTCTATAGGAGAGGAGTGTCAACAAATTCAAAGGCTGCAAGAAGGTCAAAGTAAGAAGAAGTTTGGCATCTTTGAAGCCATTGGTAAAATTACCAATGGCTTCAAAGATGCCAAATAAAAATACCAACTTTTCTGGGCAAAAACAGTTAGAGATACAGACAGGTTACAATGAAGTGAAGCAAATATAGAGGGGAGAAAGCAGAGTAAGAAAAGTAGGAAGTATCTAGAAGGAGAAGCAAAGTCGAAAAGAAAATCTGTTTGTTTCTTTTTTAAATGGGCAGGTCCTATCAGGATTGAAGAGGTTAAAGAAACAATAAAGGAGTTAACTGATTAAACAAGGTTCCAGAAGAGATGAGAAGGTAAGATCAAGGCAACACATGATTATGCAAAATAGCTAGCACAGTGAGTCCTCAGTGAGTAATTTGAATATATGAAGAAGTAGTATTGATTTTTTTTTAATGAGCTGGAAACTAGTATGTTTCAAAGGCACAGGAGGAATCAGTCTATGGAAAAGAGAAGGAATTCTTATTTCATTTTTAAGTATGTAATATACAATGGATTTAAATAAGTTTTCTGTGAAACATAAGCAAATGTTTTAAATATTTTTAGTAAGTGTACTTTTAACACTAAATTGGTATGCATTTAACATATTCTTCATACTTTATTTAGTCCCTATTTTAAAAATTATTCCCACTTTGCTATGTCTCCCCATCTAATCCAGAATTATACTCATCTCAACATTGATAAATTACAGTCTAAGTTGGATTCTGTACTTTCACATCTTGTCTTAAAGGAGGAACCAAGATCTTTGGCCTGTTGTTTGGATCTGTAGCTTGACATCTTGTTATTTCAATTCTAAAGTTGTTACCAATAAAATATGCTGTTATTCACCCAATATTTGTAGCCACTAACTTTTTTTTTTTTTCTTTGAGACAAGGTCTCACTGTGTGTCATGCAGGCTGGAGTGCAGTGATTCAGTCAATGCTCACTGTAGCCTGGACTTTCCAGACTCAAGCTATCCACCTTTTTTAGCCTCTTGAATAGCTGGGACCACAGGTACATGCCATCACAGCTGGCTAATTTTTGTATTTTTTGTAGAGATAAGGTTTCTCCATGCTGCCCAGGCTGGTCATGAACTCTTGAGCTCAAGTGATCTGCCTGCCTCAGCCTCCTAAAGTGCTGGGATTACAGGCGTGAGCCACCATGCCCAGCTAACCTAAAAATGTTTTCTTTTTTTTTATTTGCATATCCTTAAGGGCCAAGTTTAGAAACAGCAGTAGGTTTATAGTTGCCCAGAAAAGTCATTCCTACTATTAACAAGTAGAAAAGTGCAAGTCTGATTTTAAAAAAAAAAATTAAGTTACACAAAGTGCAACTTCTGATAGGAGTACCTGTTGCTTGAAAGAGTGGAAATCTGGGAAGATGGTAGAGTGAGATTTTCTTTCAAACAATGGCTCTGAAATTGTGCATTTGTCAAAGATTTGGTTAAAATAAAGCATTGAGGACCTTACCAGAGCTCTCTTCTTACTGATAGAGATGAATTAAGAAACTTCCCAATTGTCTCATATCTTATTTCTACTTACTGGTAATCTCTACTGTCTTTCCTCTTTAGAATCCCAAACTCCTGGCACATGGCAGGATATTTTTGTGAATTAATTAACACATGAGACATGTTTTTGTGAATTAGACAAGTACTCAATTACTTGAGACAAGTACTCAAACAAGTCTCAAGAATTACATGAGACAAGTACTCAAACAAAAAGAAACAATTAGTTGTCTTTTTAATAAAAATATACACACTTTAAAACTAACATCATGGGAAATAGTTTGTACTTGTTTGTTTGACAAGTACTCAAACAAAAAGAAACAATTAGTTCTCTTTTTAATAAAAATATACACATTTTAAAACTAACATCATGGGAAATAGTAGAAAGAGGAGAGGAAGCAGATAACCAAGGTCTAAATCACATTTCAGGCACTTATTGTTTAGCTATATAACTTTGGTCAAGATGCTTAATCTTTTTATAACTTTTTATACGCTTCATCTTTTTATACCTTAGTTTACACGTCTACGAAATGAGTTAATACAACCTACTTCATAGGACTCCTGCAGGGACTAAAGTGCCAGATACGAAGCACCTAGCATAATTCTTGCAACCTAGTAGGTAATAAATAAATGTTTCTTCACTTCTACTTCTTCCCCTGAAAAAGTATAAAATGTAATTTGTTGCTCTTAAAGAAATACAAACCAATAGGAGGATATGTGTATATATACATATATATACATGTTTTATATATGTATATATGTACATTTCATAAACATATATACCTATATATGTATATCTACATATATAGGTATATATGTAGATTTTATAAACATATATGTATATATACACATATATATGCATACATATATATGTATATATACATATATATGTATACATATACATATATATGTATATATACATACATATATACATATATATATATCCTCCTATTGGGTTGTATATATTTTATATATATCTAAACTTATATTGAAAAAGTCAAAATATGTTATAACCAACATACTAAAATACAAGTAATGTTAGAAGATCAAAGGAAAGAATGCTAGATAATAATGAATTTGTGGAAATAACAAGTAGTAAACATAGCAGAATATGCAGAAGTAATATAAAGCCACTATTTTCCTCTTTTTCCTTTTATCTTTCCATTCTACAAAGTTCTTCTATAAACTGTGACACTTGTAGCAAAATACCTCTGATCTCTTCATTTTCCTCAGCACCATATAATTTAACATCCACTGCTGATAATAACAGTCATGAATCAGCACACTCAAAGAGAAGTAGAGGCAAGTTTAAAAAAAATCAACTGTTTCACTTTCCTCTTAGAAAGTGCAAACTGCCCTTCAAAATTCAAGACTTAAGTTAAAAGTCACCTCCTCTACGCAGCCTCTCTGACTTCTTGAACAAAGCCTTCTGTATGCTTCCTTGTACACTGTCCCTCACATTATTGTTACAACAGCCATGCATTGTAATCTTAACAGGCTGGTAGCCCTTCAGCAGCAGAAACTGATTATATTAATCTTGGCATCCCCAGGATCTAGCACAATGTTTTACGTATAACCAGAAATCAACAAACATTTGTTGAATGAACAAATAAATAAATTTCAACCTCTTCGACTTAAAAAAATATTTATTGTATTGGCTCATAAGCTAGTGCTAAATGATACGCCTCCTCAACCTCATAATTGTTTCACATTTGCTAATTATATTCCTAAAAGAATACTGTAAACTCCTCAGGTATGACCCACAATCTATGTTTCTTTGTTTCTGTCACCACCTCAACACTAATCCCAGTGGGGACAAGTACAATAGCAGAGAATGTTCATTAAGTACTTTCTGACTGACTTATCTTTAGAAAGTAATTTTCTGACAATGAAGCTAGGGCTTCATTTGTAGGTAGAATGTATTTTATGTGTATGGACTGGGATTTTCTATTGTTGAAAATAAAAAGCTATATTAATGGTGACTTTCATTTACACCATTAATTAAATTCCTTTCCACCTCCTGTCAAAAAGCCCTGTCATGCATATACTGTACTTCCAAGTTGACTGGTAAAGAAATTCATCTGATGAATCACATAATAGTGTCTGTAAAATAATAATAAAGGACACCTGTGTTAGTAATAACACACATAGGTAGACCAAACTCTGCCTTCTTTTCATTGTCAGTTTACTGGCACTTGGCAAGTAGCTAATGTTTTGGAATATTATGCATTAGTATCTAATCCAGAAGATTTAACAAAAGATATAAGTCAAGCAAGAAAAATGAAAACACTGAAGACAAGAGAATTCCCAAAGCCAAGGGGGAACTGCAATAGCCATGAAAGGAAGGGGGGAGGGGTGATAAATAAATACTAAGAATGAAAAAAAAAATAAGCTTTGAGTTAGAAAGAACATGCACTTATTTTTTTATCCAGTAAATATTTACTGAACATCTACTATGTGTTCATACACTACACCGTATGCTAGGGACTTTTAAGGAGCTCACAATTAGTAAGAGGAAGGCAAAGAAGTAAACAACCACAATACAGTATGAGAAATACCACTAAAATGGTACTTGGTAACAGCACAGGCTGCTATAGGAACAAAAAAGGACATACGCTTCTGTTGCTTGAGGGTCAGGGAACAATTTCCAGTGGTGGGAATATAAGCTGAGAGATAAAAGAACTGGCTTCCTAAAGGAGATCATATGAGGAAAAAGAAAGGGGGATAAGCATGTGAAGAAAAATCTTGGTTTGTTCACGGGCCTGAGAGAAGTTTGTAGAAACAGCAGTAGGTTTATAGTTGCTAGACTGGTATGGCTAGATTCAGATCCAACCTCTGCCTCCAGCTACGTAACTTCTGACATTACCGACCCTTTCTGAATCTTGATTTCCTATCATTTGAATACTTTATATTCATACTACTGGCATAGTAACTGTCACCTAGAGGAGGCTTAAGGGATATTAGTTCCAAATGGTATTGCCTAAGTTTTCTTCTAGGGTTTTTATGGCTTTAGGCTAAAACACCAAAAGCAATGGCAATAAAAGCCAAAATTGACAAATAGGATCTAATTAAACTAAAGAGCTTCTACACAGCAAAAAAAAAAAAAAAAAAAAACAAAAAAAAAAACCTATCAGAGGGAACAGGCAACCTACAGAATGGGAGAAAATTCTGCAATCAATCCATCTGACAAAGGGCTAATATCCAGAATCTATAAGGAACAAAAACAAATTTACAAGAAAAAATAAACAACTCCATCAAAAAGTGGGCAAAGAATATGAACAGACACTTCTCAAAAGAAGACATTTATGAGAACAACAAACATATGAAGAAAAGCTCATCATCGAGTTCATGTCCTTTGTAGGGACATGGATGAAATTGGAAATCATCATTCTCAGTAAACTATCGCAAGAACAAAAAACCAAACACCGCATATTCTCACTCACAGGTGGGAATTGAACAATGAGAACACATGGACACAGGAAAGGGAACATCACACTCTGGGGACTGTTGTGGGGTGGGGGGAGGGGGGAGGGATAGCACTGGGAGATATACCTAATGCTAGATGACGAGTTAGTGCGTGCAGCGCACCAGCATGGCACATGTATACACATGTAACTAACCTGCACATTGTGCACATGTACCCTAAAACTTAAAGTATAATAATAATAAATAAAAAATAAAAAATAAAAAGAAAAGCTCATTATCACTGGTCATTAGAGAAATGCAAACCAAAACCACAATGAGATACCACCTCATGCCAGTTAGAATGGTGATCATTATAAAGTCAGGAAACAACAGATGCTGGAGAGGATGTGGAGAAATAGGAATGCTTTTACACTGTTGGTGGGAGTGTAAATTAGTTCAACCGTTGTGGAAGACAGTGTGGCGATTCCTCAAGGATCTAGAACCAGAAATACCATTTGACCCAGCAATCCCATTACTGGGTATATACCCAAAGGATTATAAATCATTCTACAATAAAGACACATGCACACGTATGTTTATTGCAGCACTATTCACAATAGCAAAGACTTGAAACCAACCCAAATGACCATCAATGATAGACTGGATAAAGAAAATGTGGCACATAGACACCATAGAATAGCATGCAGTCATAAAAAAGAAGAATTCATGTCCTTTGCAGGGACCTGGATGAAGCTGGAAACCATCATTTTCAGCAAACTAACACAGGAACAGAAAACCAAACGTCGCATGTTCTCACTCATAAATAGGAGCTGAAAAATGAGAACACATGGACACAGGGAGGGGGACATCACACACCAGGTCCTGTCGGGGGGGGGGGGTGGGGGACTAGGGGAGGAATAGCATTAGGAGAAATACCTAATGTACGTGACGGGTTGACAGGTGCAGCAAACCACCATGGCACATGTATACCTAGGTACAAATCTGCACGATCTGCACATCTATCCCAGAACTTAAAGTATAATCTTAAAAAGAGATATTAGTTCCGTCCTGCTTCTCTCCCACCAACTCTGCTTGCTATCCTTGTCTTCCCTAAGGAATTTATTAGCCAGTTCATGTGAACTCAGGATTCACCTGACCAATGAAATAGCTGTACGTATTTAATGTAGATCCTTTTATCACAATTTAAAGCTGACCTTTAATTGTCCAGGCCCAGCTGTTTATGCGGCTGCAAAAGTTCACAATTCCAGTTTTAAAAGCCTGCAGTCTAATGGATTGTCCAGTTTCATTCTTCTAATAGCTTCTGACCCAGTGCCAGCTCTTGCCATTTAGATCTTTACTATGGCTGTCCTTTCCATCTTAAATTCCCTATTTGAGGAAGTTTGACAATTTTCCTGGATAAACCTCTGTATTATCTTCTTTTCCTTCATAATGTTTTCTCAGTTAAGTGAGTGTCTCAGATGCGCTTTTCCTTATCCTGTGACATATATTAATTTGTTGTAGAAAATGGAAACCATCTATATTGATAACATTGTGAAATTAATTTTATTTCTTATTATTTAATCCATCCCTTCCTTTACTCTCTCATTACACCAACACACATATTGAACAAACACCATACTTGCTTAAAATACACATAAAGAAATCTGGCACTATTTCTTTGCAAAGAACAAGGCAACATCCTAGCACCAAATGGGCTTCCATGGAAGAAAAAGGCAAGGAAGGAGCTTAGACTCTGATGAAGAGATAAAATGGAAAGATAAATACAGTTAATAAAATAAAAGAAATGATGACTGTGGTAAAAGAAATAAAGCAAAAACTCTGGAAGTTCAAATAAAAGAGCATGGGATTTGCAGTGCACTGAGGATCTAGGAATAAAGCCCAGCTGGGTTGTTTTCTGCAGCCTCGGACCAGTTGCTTAACCTCTCTGAGTTACTTCATATTTAAAATGGATACAGCTCCATGTCTGTATGGTTTGAGTTTTTAAAAAAATACTGCTGGTAAGGATTCAGTGAAATAAAATACATGGGATTTCTTTATAAACTGTGAAGTTTCAGGTAATTTTAATGAAATAGGCTACTACCTGGGAAGAGATACTTTATTCAAGACAGTGGAGAGGAATATATTGGACAGGTTACATACTTCTACACAACCTTATTAAAGACTGGTGGACATGGGTTGCAGCTCAATTCTCTGACTACATGTTTGGTTTTATGTACACAGTACGTTAAAAAGAGAATTTGGAAACCTTTAGAAGGGATGTGTGCTTCTCAGTTGATTTAGTCCCCACCTATTTCCCTTCTGACCAGGCAAGAATTTATTAATGTTCTCAGATACTTGCAAAGAAGCCTTAGATCTACCATATATGTCCATCTAGGAAAAAGTAAACTCTGTCCTCAGTCTGAGGACATGCAGAACCTATACATACACTTCTATGGATTAGCCTGGATCAATTTCCTCATTCTTCCTGTTAATGTTCTTCTTTGGCCACACATAGTTTTACTGTTTTCTTTGTTGGATTCTACATCAAATATATATTTCTCTTTTCTTTACTATCTCCTTCCCTCTACCCTCTCAGCCTCCATTGCCACCATATTTGCACCCACTGTATTCTTTATAAGCTTCAGAAATCCAGTAACTTTAAATAAGGAACTATGGGTTTTTCTGAACAATGTTCGATCCACTTCAAGTCTACAAACATATGTATAATATTCAGGGCTAGATTCTGGGATGTAAACAAGTAATTACAGAGCAACATGGCAGTGTAACAATAGAGATTCAACTAATTGTTATGGATAGATGAAAAAGGGAGCCATTTATACTACCCGGGAAGGTCGGGAAAGCTTTACGGAGGAAGAGACAATATTTCGGGCAGCCCATGAATAGTGAGAAAATTTTCTCTAAATGAGAAAAGAAAGGACAGTATTTTTAGGTAGAAGAGATGGCTTAAGCAAAGGCATGGAGATATGAAAATTCATAGGTGTTGGGGAGTGAATTATTTATAATTCTTGGTACACAGGAGTAATATACCAAGACAGAGTAATACACTACATTAGGCATATACAAAGAAAAATCTGACTAAAGATCTTTAAAAAGGGCTTGACAGTGGCCAGAGGTACCCTGCTTAGGATTCTATTCATAACAAATATATAAAAGGTTACTCTCTATTACGAAGCAACATCATATAACATAAAATTGTCCAGCCCAAACAGAGATGATGGCCAGGGTAGGACCACTCCTGACTCTTGCTGTATCCGTGGAACACACTGCTAATCAATCAAAACATTTGTCTTACTAAGGCTGGATATGGCCTCAGAATCCTCCCCAGTAGAGATTTATATAAGGCCTATAACTACTGAAATGAAACATATTTCCAACACTGTTGTAGGTTATGCATTGAGAGTGAGGAATGACCCTAAAAGATATATTGATAAGCCAGTAGAAATTATTTCATTATACCTCACATTTACACATGTAGAGCCCAGGAATGCATTTCTGCTATATTTATCTTGGACTATGTCCATCAGTGACTCAGAATGGCCCTATGCTTTGGGTCAGAGAGTTTGGACACTAAATTTATGAGAGAAAATGACAAGCTTCAATCACACCAAATTCTAAATGTAGCCAAAAACCACATAATTAACTGCAGATTTTTCAAAGGTAACAGTTATTGATTTTAAATTAATTTTAAGTTAGCCCACACTGCTTAACAAAAGTATCCTAACACAACAAATAGCATAGACAGGCTGCATAGAACAAAGCCCCGAAAACAATCTTCAATGCTCTTATATGTGAATTAGCCATCAAAGCTGAAAATGTTTGGAAAAAAATCCACTTTCACAAGTTGATTAAATTATTTCCTTCATAAGCATAAACAGTTTAGAGAAGAAAAACCCAAGACTGATTGCTCAGAATCTCCAGGGTAAAAGAAACAAACACATTTTTAAAATCTTCAGCCTCACAAGGTATCCTTTGCCAACCCCCTAAGGAGCAACCTTAGAATCTGCTACAGGCTGCAGCAGCTGCCTGCCCACTTTCTCAGCAGCAAGAAATATGCTAAGCAGTGATTATCAACAGGGAAGAGGATCAAAAGGTTGAGGGAATGATTAAGCAAGATACCATTTCTTCTAAAAACCAGTTTCCTATAGAGGTTGTAAATGATAGAAGCCAGGGTAATCTCAAATTTCAATCAATTACATGTGAAACACATCTATTCTGTGCTCCTTCTGTGGGAGCTCCCACTAGTGTAGTCTTCTGACAACAGGAGCAGCATCAAAGCCAAGGTGATTTGCTGCTGGAGCCTGATCAAGTATGTGTCTGTCCCTTCCAAACCATTAAAAACAACAACAACAACAACCACAAAAACCACAACCCACAAACCCATGTGAGGAGACCAAAGCCAAAGCCAGAGCCAGATTCTCAGTCTTCCTTGCAAAAAGCTTGTAGTAAGATTTCACTTGGAAGTTATCATTGGTACAAGCAATGTTACACTGAGGGAAGGCAATGACTTGCAGAAAAGAATCAGAGTGCGAGGAGGTGTGAGATGTAGAATGGAAATCCCTCTCAATCTGCAGATGCTAGGTAGAGTCTTGTCTTGCTACTTACTGGCTATTTGAGCCTGGCTATTTGAGCCTGGAATCACTGCTAACTTCACTGAACTACACTGTTCTCATTGGGGTGAATGAAATCCATTTCTTGCTCTATTTACAGGATAGTTATGAAGAAATAGAAGGGAGGGAAGATTATAATAACTGAAGACACAACTTATCTCATATTGTCTCATTTAATCTTTATTATAATCCTATGCGGTAGTTATACCATTTTTTTGAAAAAAGTGAAGAAACTTAAAAAGTGAAGAATCCAGAGAGGCTGTGAAATGTCTAAAGTGATAGCTGATAAGTGGCACGAGAAGAGTTCAAGTCTTGACTCAAAAGTTAATATTCTTTTCTCTGTGTTATATCTGTCTTTTTAGACTGTAACATTTTTAAAGGCAGGGGCCATAGTTGTATTTTTCTTGTATCCCTTGCACACATTCATTACATAGTAGGTAAGCAGTAAAGATTTTATGAATAATAAATAATGTCTTTAAGTATATAAACTGGTTCAGCTCAGTTTAGCTAAATAAACATTGAGTATATTTTATTGTCAGACACCTTGTTTCTAACTGGGAGCTAGGGATTCAAAGATAAATAACAGTCATTTCCGGCCCTCAAGGGAGTCACAGTAGAGTGAGAGACACATACAGAAACAAAATCAACCTTCCACAGGTTTTAGTTTTATCTTCTGAGGTTTCAGAGAATTCATGAACTCCTATTTGAACACGTGCTGGAAGTGTCTGAAGTTACCTCTCTGCTAGCCATTGGCCTCACTCAGAGTGGGAGTATGGACTCCTTTAGCTTGTTGCAGAGAATGAGCCATGGTGAACAGAGACAGTTGTTTTCGGTTCCCACTTTGGAATTTCCAGGTAAGTAATCTTTGAGTCTCAAGGTTCAAGTTTTGGAAGGTATGAGGACCCAAATACTCACCATGCTTCTAAAGCTAGCTTTTCTGTCTCTAGTTAGCCTTTGTTTTTTAAGGCTAAACATCAGCAGCATTATTAGAACAAAGAAGAGATTTGAACAAAGTAAAAACTTACAGAGGATTCAAAATGCAGGGAATTAGAAAACACTGCCAAGCACAGAGTAATAATAATACGGCCACTTAGTAGAAAGAAACATAGGTGTCTCTAGGACTAACATGGGCATCAAGGAGACTCTTATGCTGACAAATCCTGAGAATGTAAACACATCAAGGGTACCAGAGTAAACACAAAATTGTCAGGACCTTGTTTCATAATAATTATGGGGCCGGACGTGGTGGCTCACGCCTGTAATCCCACCACTTTGGGAGGCCAAGGCGGGTGGATCACGAAGTCAGGAGATGGAGACCATCCTGGCCAACACGGTGAAACCCCATCTCTACTAAAAATACAAAAAATTAGCCAGGCGTGGTAGCCGGCGCCTGCAGTCCCAGCTACTCGGGAGGCCGAGGCAGGAGAATGGCGTGAACCCGGGCGGCGGAGCTTGCAGTGAGCTGAGATCGCGCCACTGCACTCCAGCCTGGGCAACAAAGCGAGGTTCCGTCTCAAAATAATAATAATTCTTATTAATAATATATTATTATATATTAATAATTATATTTATTAATATTTTATTATTATATTTATTAATATATTATATTATTATTATTATTGTTATGGAAGCATGTAACTATCATGGCCATTGAAGGTTTATTTTATTAGGTCTCTTCCTGACCTAGACAGAGTATCCAATAAGGCTATCAAGTCTCCTCTTGTTCAAATTCGAGGCTTGCCAAGAAATTTGCAGTAGTAAATAAGTAAATAAGCCTTTTTAAACATATGCATTTTCTTAAACACATGCCCTTTGATCTATTCAGTCAGCAAGGTCATTCTGCATTCATTGCTTCAAGTAAGAGATAGTTCCAAAACAAACAAACTGGGATTCAATTTTTGGCTTTTGAGTTTTAAAAGTCTATTTCGTAACCAGAGAAACAGAAATAACTCCCTGTAGATTTGGGGGAATATGGGATGAGAAATGACAACTTTTCCCACCTCTGTAAAAATCTCCTAGGCTAGGAGGCAGTTGACTTTTGAAAGGAAATAGGAGTGTGTAGATGTTGTAAACATCTGACGAGGCAGGAACTTCTCAGTCTCAGCACAATGATGAGTCGGGCAGACACAGACCCCCGACATAGACTCGTAGGATTCATTCACAGAAGAGATCTGTAGCTCAGCGACGTTGCCAATATCTCAGACAAAACAAATGACTACAAAGGTCATTTACTAGGAAAACTTGATAACAAAGTAAAATTTACTAGCAAAATTTATCAGCAAGGTGCTGGGCATATAGTACAAGCAAATAATTATTGAATAACTGGATAAAGTCATATCTGACTATACTATGAGTTTTCAAATTCTACAGCTGGAGACCAGGCTTTGACAAGAGTGACTAAACTATGTCAAGCTAGCATATTGTTAATACCCCCTAAAGGATGTGATATGAAAAATTTTACATATCTCTAACAAATGTTATCAATTAAGAACAGGACAGAGTAAAATGTACATTTAGGTTCCTACTTGCCTATTTGTTACAGCTGCTGTAATATCACTATTTCTCTGCATCTGGCTTATTTCTAATCTGTCCACAATGCACATCATACGGAATTGAACATACAAGTCACTGATACTGTTCTTATTTCTTTTCTGGGCTTTATAGGCTGGAAATAGTCATTACGTGGTAGCTACTGAGTGATCTGTGGTGCCATGGACCTTCCTATTTAGTAAGAGGCTTGCTTGAATTTTAGAATATCAGATGCAACAGGCGGTACCTAATGGATAGCTGGATTCAATGGCTGAGCCTTTTACTGCCTTCACATGTCACGGGCAAGATGACAAGGATGAGTTAAGATAGTTCTGTTTCATGCCATTTTTTAAATTAGTGTGGCTCTGTCAATCTCTGAAAGGTTGAACCTTATATATAATCAAAGTGAACAAAAAGCTTCTTCCTCTTCAATTTGAACTAACTCAGCTATGGAATCTACAAATATTACATATTTTATGCATCTGATGGACAACCTAAGCATGTAGAGAAGATGCTATATAAATCAAAAGATATATTAAAGGCTCCTGACAAAATTGCCACTAAGAGAAACCCTACAATAAATCATTTTGTATAACGATTTTCTCCATTTGTCTCTTCTAGACTATACTCTCTGAGGAAAGGGGCTGTCTCTTCTCAACTCCTGAACTTCAGAGCCCAGTACCACGCCTGGGTTGGTAGAGGACGAATAGGCAGTGGTTGGTAATAAACCTAAATAACCAACAACTAACTTATGCAATTTGTGAATTTAAATTAGGTATTTCAGGGTTTTCCTAAACTAGAATACTTAAGAGTATTTTGGAATATTCCCTTCCGTTTGGCAGAAAATATGTTTTTGGAAAAATGCCAGTGGAGATGTACATGTGTCAGCACAAAGATGGAAGGACTCAATTCCACTGGCTTCCTGGTTTATTGCATGGGTTTTTGAAAACATAAAAGGATAACCCATGAAGCTGAGAAATACACTAAATAGAGCAGGTTTTGATGAAAATATATTAAGTTCAATGTTGTACATGCAAAGTATGGAGTACATATATGCCATCAAGGTGGACATATAGATTTGTGTGTCATTAGCATCATTTTATGCATAATATGAGTGAATTACATCACCCAAAGAGAATAGATAAAGTGTATCCAGCCCCGGGAAGAGCGATGTTTTAGCAGTAAGTGGAAAAAGAGGAGCCTGTGAACCAGGATGAGAACAATTAGAGATGTCAGAGGTTAAATTGAAAAACACTCTTCCTCTCATTTTCTTTCCAGCAAGATCCTGTTATTCTTCAAGCTTAACAAGTGACCTAGAGGAAGAAAAGACTAAGATATTCCAACTGGTTTTTTGAAAAGGCCTGTTATGGTTCCTTTCCTCCCCGATTAATAGGATTATGAGAGAATGACATAAGAATGCTTTTTTCTTAAGAGAAAAATGCCTATTTTAATATTATTCCTATTGATCACTTCTGAATCACTCTCCAAGTAACTCGCAATAGCTGTTGACAATGAAGAAGTGAAATGCCATACAGATAGATGGGCATATGTGTGTCTTCCTGCCTATTTACATATATTCATCACTGTGTACATAATACACACATTTATATATTTACATATACACATACCTTCCCACTTAGTAACATGAACTCTTTTGACCCTTCCTATTTGTAGTGTGACAGAATATAAATGTGATCAAGTTCAGACTATTAATATCATCCTCTTCTTTCAGGGGAAGACATGCCCATGACAGAAGAGATTATTACAGTTTTTGGACCTGAATTTACAACAAAAACCAAACAAACAAAAACGAAGTGAACTAACATTTATTCAGAATCTATTATGTAAAAGAACTGTTCTAGGTTCATTATATTTATTATTTCATTTAACCATCCTTTTACAAAATGCACTGGCATTGTATGTATCATGATTGCAGCTAACAAATAGGAAACAGCCTTCGGAGGATAATGGCTGGGACATGTTCTGTTTCAGATATGCCTCTTCACACTTTTCTCTGCCTTCAACTACTCAATTTATGGGCATAATCACTCCAAACTTAAAGACAGGCCATAGATTTCCAACACCACTGGTGCGTATGAGAATTTACAGTGGAACTTCTGAAAGCTACTCAGACCCTTTTCCAGGCTTCCTGCATAAGGATCTCAGATAGCTCCCTAGAATCTTATTTTTCTAAAGAACCACAAGTGATTCTGATGCTGAGTCAGTATCGGAAATCACTGGCTGTGGTGTTCTCAGGACTTCCAGAAAGCATATGACAGTGTGGTTTGGAAAGCCATTAAAACTATAGTGGCTTAACAACCTTCACAACCTATTACCCAGATTCTGGAAGTTTGGGGACCACTATTTGTAACATAGGCTTTTTGTTTGTGTGCTTGAACCTTGAGGAAAGCTATAGTGAAGCTTGAGGAAACCATAAGATTGTTGCTAAATAACCAAAGGGATGAAGAAGACTCTTAAGTAGACATTAAAAGCATATGATTTTTTAATCTGCAAAAAAGCAAGCTGAAAAGAAATATAATTGGGTATAAACATTACTGGTGGGATAGAGAACTGAATTAGATTCATATGCTCTGAATCTAGTATATAACTACATCATTTCATTGTTTATTTATTTATTTATTTATTTATTTAATGAGACAGAGTCTCCTCTATCGCCCAGCCTGGAGTGCAGTACCACGATCCTGGCTCACTGCAACTTCCGCCTTGTGGGTTCAAGCGAGCATGTGCGGCTAATCTTTGTATTTTTAGTAGAGACGGGGTTTCACCATGTTGGCCAGGCTGCTCTCAAACTCCTGACCTCAGGTGATCCGCCTACCTCTGCCTCCAGCAGTGCTGGGATTTCAAGCGTGAGCCACCATGCCTGGCCTGATTAAGATTTAAGTTAATCTAATTAACTCAGTTAATGCAGTATTTTAAATGTTCACTAACAAGTTTATATCCTATCTAATTCCTCTGAAGGTACATTTACTTTTCTTTACCAGTACTCGTGAATACATGGCTATGAATCTGTACTGATCAGGTATTGGAGTGCACTTTATGCTGGGAAATAATGCTACTGACTCATCATTAGTAAGGGCATGTGTTCAGATTTGCTTTCTCAGGAATGGAAGTAGATTCCTATTGTTTCATCTTTACTCTTTCAAGCAGTCTTATTATTGTGCTCCTCAGTCAATCTTGAAAACTAACTAGCCAATTAATTAGTAGAGGAATATAAAACAGGCTTGCAAAGGGATTCATTCCCTTATAAAACATCATTAAAACACCAGCCATGTGTCTGACAGTGTAATAGGCAGCATCAGTACTAAGAAAAATGAAACAGAGTCCTTGCCCTTGAGGATCTTAAGGGTAGTTTGGGAGATAGTCATGTAGCTAGATCAATACAACACTGTGGAATGCTATAATAGAGTTGTACACACAATGCCCTCGTAGCAAAGTGTAAGTATTGCCCAGTTTTATTAAGGAAGTCATCAATAATTTCACAAAAGAGATAACATTTAGGTTGTATCTTGAAAGTTGAGTTGGATGTGCTTAGTTACCTCTAATCTTTGTTGCTTTTTAGTCAGCTATAATGTGCCCGAATTTCACATGTAAGCAAGGAAAACCATAGTCTCACATTTTTAAACAGTCTTACTCTCTTTACAGTTTCACAAGGTAATTTCTATTAGATCAGAGATTGTAATTTAAGTTAACAAATTATGCTTCACATTTGAGCAATGATGGAAACTTAATTAAAGACACTAACTATAAGCAACTGCGATACATACATGGCTTTTTATGTGGGAAAAATCAAGACCTTAAGTGAGGCACCAAAGAGAAAAAGACATGCTACAAATTTTTGTTTCTGGACTCAAATCCTACCTGATTAGCATTTTTAGAAATATGGAATTGTTACATCTATTTCACATGGTAGACAGAATAATAGCCCTTTCAAAGATACCTATGTATCAATTGCCAGAACCTTTGACTATTCCCTTACATGGCAAAAGGGATTTCATATACGTGATTAAGCTAAGGAGCTTAACATGGGAAGATTATCATTAGCTTGGGTTATCCAGGTAAGCCCAATGTAATCACAAGGGCCTTTATAAGAGGGAGGTAGGAGAGAGTCAGAGTTAGAAAAGAAGATGTGATGACAGAAGCAGAGGTTGGAGCAATGCACTGTCAAGGTGGAGGAAAAAGCCACAAGCAAAGAAATGCAGGCAGCCTCTAGAAGCTGGAAAAGACAAGAAAACAGATTCTCTCCCAGAACCTCCAAAAGGAACACAGCCCTGCTGGCACCTTGATTTTATACCTGTAAGACTCATTTTTGACTTCTGACTTCAGGAAATGTAGATAATAAGTTTGTGTTGTTTTAAACCACTGAGTTGTAATTCATTACATTAGCACTAATAACTAATATATTTACCAAAGCCTTGAAAGGATAACTAGAGCAGTAAGCATGTAAGTAAGTAAGCATGGAAAGCCATACAATCCTGTGTCAGGTATGCCAATTCTACATGAGAGAACAAAGATTTCCTGAAAGATTAGGGAGAGAGTTACTCCTGATCATCACTCAGGAATTTTGTCATTTTCAGCAAAGCTACAGCATCCCTGCTCTTTTCCTTAAAATTTTCAAAAACCGTGTTGAGGTTCATTGAGCAATAATACCCTGCCTTTAGGCTCTTTAACCATCTTTCCTGAAAATAATAACTTGAATCTTAACAATCTATTGATAAGCCAACTGCTCCTTATCTGAATAAAATTAGCAGATCAACTGGAAACTGAAAGATGACTAATGGTCTAATGACAGTCCACAAGATATGGAGCGGAATCATTTATCATGATGGTCAAATCTGAACGACATCACCCTTCACCTTACTGATCTTGCATATAAAGCTCAAAGAAAGTGTCAAAGCACAAGGAAAAACACAGAGATTAAAAACCCTAGGGGAAACTAAACCCTCACATCTTTTGTCATTTTTCTTAGGAACAAGGATGTGGATGAAAATTATTGGTCTCAACAACTTCACCACCACTGGCAGGTGTCTTAGTTTGCAGAAAAGATTGTTGGGGCATAACACACATGAGGGTATTAATAAAATCATAGGATCCTATGAGGAAGTACCTTTATGAGAATCCTGACTATCTTATAAATAGTCAAGGAAGGCTTCCTTTGAAGAAATGTGAATTAAGCTGACAATAGAATAAAAGTAGAAAATCCTTGGGAGAAAGAGAGGCAGAATATTCCAAATAAGGCAAGAAGCATGTGCAAAGATTCTATTATGGGAAGGAGCTTGATAATATTCAAGGAACTGAAAGAAGAGCAGTGAGGCTGCAGTACAAGGAGAGAGAGAGGGATTGGCCTGAGATAAGGCTGGCAGGGGGTAATCACCCAGCATTTTGTGGGCTATCATTAAAGGTTATGAACTATCTCTTTAAAATGAAATGCTGTCAACAACTTTAAGTGGGGACAAATTGTGGTAAGATTTATCTCTTAGAAATCTCACTCTAGCTTCTATGTGGAAGATGGATTGGCATGGAATAAGAATTGAATATGGAGAGACTAGTTAGCAATTCATGTGAGAGATGATTCCTTGAATTAGACTGATAGAAGGAAATGGAGATTGAAAGACATACATAAGAAAGATTTAGGCCGAGCACTGTGGCTCATATCTGTAATCCCAGCACTTCCGGAGGCCGAGGCGAGCTGATTACCTGAGGTCAGGCATTCAAGACCAGCCTAGCCAATATGGTGAAACCCCGTCTCCACTAAAAATACAAAAACTAGCCACACATGGTGTCAGGCACCTGTAATCCCACCTACTTGGGAGGCTGAGGCAGGAGAATTGCTTGAACCGGGAGGTGGACATTATAGTGAGTCGAGATTGCACCACTGTACCCCAGCCTGGGCAACAGACCAATACTTCATCTCAAAAAAAAAAAAAAAAAAAGAGAAAGATTTAGGAGTCAATATTGACTGATGCATGAAAGCTGATAAGGCAGAAAAGTGAGTCATGGTATCTGACATGACCAAATGTCAAATGATGGGGCCAATTCGTGATATTAAGAATGACGGAGGAGGGGATTTTTCAATAAAAAATTATAAACTTAGTTATGGATACATTGGTTTAATACTTTTGTAAGGCATCAAAGTGAAAATGCTGAGAAGGCAGTTGGATATATAGGTTAAGAGTTCAGAATAGAAGTTTCAGTGGCAGATACAAATTTGGGGTAAAAAGTAAATAAATGATAACTAATTTCATGCAAAGAAATTATCCCACCTTGGGAGAATGTTTAAAATAAGGGTACTGAGGCCCTCATCTACAAGGAAAATGTACACATGGACATGACTAAACAGCCTATTAGGAGCTCAAGGGCTTTGAATCCAATATGAATTCTTGATTTCCTGGTGGAAAAAAAAAAAAACTCCACTGATGATTCTTCATCAACTATGTACATCATGGTTTTCCTTTCTCCCACCAAACAATCCTATGTTACCTCACATTTCCTAATTCACTTTAGGTTTTTTGCCATTATTACCTATCATCATCAATCAAGAAGATAGCAATATTTTTCATTGTTGCTGTCATATAAGATCTAAAAAGAGGAGCAACTGGACCTCAATAAAAGTAGAAGAAAAATCTTATTTCCTTCTCCTTTTTTTTTGAGATGGAGTTTCACTTTTGTCGCCCAGGCTGGAGTACAGTGGTGGCGATCTCAGCTCACTGAAATCTCCACCTCCCAGGTTCAAGCGATTCTTCTGCCTCAGCCTCCTGAGTAACGAGGATTACAGGTGTCCGCCACCATACCTGGCTAATTTTTGTATTTTTAGTAGAGACGGGGTTTCACCATGTTAGCCAGGCTGGTCTCGAATGCCTGACCTCAAGTGATCCACCTGCCTTGGCCTCCCAAAGTGCTGGGATTACAGGAGTGATCCACCATGCCTGGCCTTTCTTCCCCTTTTCACTTGCGTTATTATTACTGTTATTATTCTCCTTGACATTTTCCAGAATTCTATGTTTTAGATGAAGCCCTTGAAAATGAGACAAGTTAAGCAACTTACCCAAGAACGCACAGCTAATCTAAATATCTCTTTTTGATATAGCAAGCTGTGAGCTCCCTGTGTTGGCTGATAAGAAATAAATTGTTTGGAATAGTTTCAGAAGGAATGATACCAGCTCCTCTTTGTACCTCTGGTAGAATTTGGCTATGAATCCATCTGGTCCTAGACTTTTTTGATTGGTAGGCTATTAATTACTGCCTCAATTTCAGAACTTGTTATTGGTCTACTCAGGGATTTGACTTCTTTCTGATTTAGTCTTGGGAGGGTGTATGTGTCCAGGAATTTATCTATTTCTTCTAGATCTTCTAGTTTATTTGTGTAGAGGTGTTTATAGTATTCTCTGATGGTAGTTTGTATTTCTGTGGGATCAGTGGTGATATCCCCTTTATCTTTTTTAATGTGTCTATTTGATTATTTTCTCTTTTCTTCTTTATTAGTCTGGGTAGCTGTCTATTTGTTTTGTTAATCTTTTCAAAAAAACAGCTCCTGGATTCATTGATTTTTTGAAGGGTTTTCCCTGTCTCTATCTCCTTCAGTTCTGCTCTGATCTTAGTTATTTCTTGTCTTCTGCTAGCTTTTGAATTTGTTTGCTCTTGCTTCTCTAGTTCTTTTAATTGTGATGGTAGGGTGTTGAATTTAGATCTTTCCTGCTTTCTCCAGTGGGCATTTAGTGCTATCAATTTCCCTCTAAACACTGCTTTAGCTGTGTCCCAGAGATTCTGGTACATTGTGTGTTTGTTCTCATTGGTTTCAAAGAAATTATTTATTTCTGCCTTAATTTTGTTATTTACACAGCAGTCATTCAGGAGCAGGTTGTTCAGTTTCTATGTAGTTGTGTGATTTTTTGAGTGAGTTTCTTAATCTTGAGTTCTAATTTGATTGCACTGTGGTCTGAGAGACTGTTTTTTATGATTTCCATTCTTTTGCATTTGCTGAGAAGTGTTTTACTTCCAATTATGTGGTCAATTTTAGAATAAGCGTGATGTGGTGCTGAGAAGAATGTATATTCTGTTGATTTGGGGTGGAGACTTCTGTAGATGCCTATTAGGTCTGCTTGGTCCAGAGCTGAGTTCAAGTCCTGAATATTCTTGTTAATTTTCTGTCTCATTGATCTGTCTAATATTGACAGTGGGGTGTAAAAGTCTCCCAATATTATTGTGTGGGAGTGTAAGCCTCTTTTTAAGTCTCTAAGAACTGACTTATGAATCTGGGTGCTCCTATAGTGGGGGCATATATATTTAGGATAATTAGCTCTTCTTGTTGCATTGATCCCTTTACCATTATGTAATGCCCTTCTTTGTCTTTTTTGATATTTGTTGGTTTAAAGTCTGTTTTATCAGAGACTAGGATTGCAACCCCTGCTTTTTTTTTTTTTTTTTTTTTTGCTTTCCATTTGCTTGGCAAATATTCCTCCATCCATGTATTTGGAGCCCAGGTGTGTCTTTGCACATGAGATGGGTCTCCTGAATACAGCACACTGATGGGTCTTGACTTTTTACCGATTTGCCAGTCCATGTCTTTTAATGAGGGCATTTAGCCCGTTTATATTTAAAGTTAATATTGTTATGTGTGAATTAAACTAAAGAGCTTCTGCATAGCAAAAGAAACTGTCATCAGAGTGAACAGGCAACCTACAGAATGGGAGAAAAATTTTGCAATCTGTCCATCTGACAAAGGGCTGATGTCCAGAATCTACAAGGAACTTAAACAAATTTACAAGAAAAAAACAACCCCATCAAAAAGTGGGAGAAGAATATAAACAGACACTTCTCAAAAGAAGACATTTATGTGGCCAACAAACATATGAAAAAAAGCTTGTCATCACTGGTCATTAGAGAAATGCAAATCAAAACACAATGAGATACCATCTCATGCCAGTGAGAATGGCAATCATTAAAAAGTCAGGAAACAACAGATGCTGGAGAGTATGTGAAGAAATAGGAATGTTTTTACACTGTTTGCGGGAGTGCAAATTAGTTCAGCCATTGTGGAAGACAGTGTGGTGACTCCTCAAGGATCTAGAAACAGAAATGCCATGTGACCCAGCAATCCCATTACTGGGTATATACCCAAAGAATTATAAATCATTCTACTATAAAGACATATGCACATGCATGTTCATTGCAGCACTATTCACAATAGCAAGGATAAAAACCCAAATGCCCATCAATGATAGACTGGATAAAGAAAATGTGGCACATATACACCATAGAATAGTATGAAGCCGTAAAAAGGATGAGTTAATGTCCTTTGCAGGGACATGGATGAAGCTGGAAACCATCATTCTCAGCAAACTAACACAGGAACAGGAAACCAAACACTTCATGTTCTCACTCATAAGTGGGAGTTGAACAATGAGAACACATGGACACAGGGAGGGGGACATCACACACTGGGTCCTGTCGGTGGGTGGGTGGCTAGGGGAGGGATAGCATTAGGAGAAATACCTAATGTAGATAATGGGTGGATGGGTGCAGCAAACTACATGGCACATTTATACCTATGTAACAAAGCTGCACGTTCTGCACATGTATACCAGAACTTAAAGTATAGAAAAAAAATCCAAAAAAGAAGAAATAAATTATATTCAGTCATTGTGGAAACAGATCTTCTCTAACAGAAAAATATAAGTGAGCTACAAGACAACATTTTCTGTATCAAATTAGAAGACAAGGATAATTCAGTTTTTTCCATTGACTTACTATTTTTTGAAAGATGGTTTCACCATGCTAAAGCCTGATATTTGCCCCCTGTGGCAAAGCAAGGACTAGAATTCCTGTTTGTCTAGAGACTGGAAGCAAAATTATTGTGTGGTTGAGGTAGGATTACATTTGTAAAATATGAAATTGCTAGATCTTCTCTGCTAATCAGCAGGGGTGTAGAGCTTCCCACAAAGTAATGAGAATGAGTCCCCCACTAAACTATAGTTGTGAAGCATTTGTGTTCCTTCAGGCTGTACATCTGGTTTCTCTAGCTTCTTAGCAACTAGTTGTAATGGCCAGGAGCTTCTCGGAGTCTCTGTCAATCACTCTAATGGCTGCAAGTCAATCACCAAAGATAAGTTGCTTCTTTAATGACTCCATAAAATACCTACTGCTCACAAACAGGATAAAATTTCTGGTTCAATTAGACTCTTAGAAATCACCAAATATTTATTGAGTGCCAAAACCCCATGATATATTTAACACTGTAGACTACTAAGAAATATAAGATAATTCTTGGCTTTCAGAAACTTACAATTTAGTGATAGCTCAAAATGATTTTACAAAACTATAGGTTGGAAGGGCATTTAAGCTTATGTATTCAGGACAGAGTGGTTAGCAGGGACACTTGGGAGGAGGCCTGATCTTTGTTTGTGTGTGGGTGGTATTCCAATGATGAAGATGTCAAGAGACAGGGTCAGAGGAAAAGCACATTTTCAGTCTGATTAGGAATGTACAATATGGTTTTGGGATGTTGTAAGGCAGGATGGAGGTCTGTTGGTATGAAGCAAAAGTACTGGTTTTTAGGGCTAGGACGTTCAATTGTCAATAATCATTATCTGTTGGTGATACCTATGACTGCCTGACAGTATCTCAGAATCATATGTATGTCATCTATCAAAAATAGAGGACCACTACTGTTCATTTATTACAAAGTTTTAAATCTATGAGGTTCAAAATACATTTTGATCAAAGTGTAAAAGATATCAAGCTCCGCTAATCCCAACTTCTTTTTTGTGGCAGTGAATTCTGGCACTTAAATAGACAAAAACGCAGCCTAGCATAATTTATACTAACAGATGTTTCTAGAAAAATTCCAAATCAGTGACAGCCTAGGAAAATAACCAATTTCAAAGGCTGTTAACAAGCAAGCTGGAAATAAGAATAGTACTATAAAGTGATTTTTTAAAAAAGCACAAGAATCATACTATTAATATGAATCACTTGGGACAAAGAGATGATGTAGTAGTCATAGTGAATGAGAATAAATGGAGGGGAAGCATCTCACCAGACAGAGAGATCAAATACTGGAGAAAGAAATCACCATGAGGATGCACAAGGATAACCCTAAGCCTGACTAAGGAAATAAGCAGGAAAAGTAAAGGAAGGAAAGTTGGCTCTCCCCTGCCTACAAAACAGAGCCAGCCTTCATTGGAATTGAGAGCACACTTAAAACATGAATAATTTCCAACTGGGAATCTGTATTGAAACACAGACATTAAAGTGCCCAGCCACCGGGTGACTTATTTCAGAGCCCCTTCCTATGTCAGTCACCATACACCTAGCAAATTAAATGGTGCACAAGTTTAGAGCTGGAACAGCCTGAGACATGGTTGCTTTGTCCCGAATATTTTGAAAGGTATATTTTTCACACTTCCAATTTGAATAAATATAAAATAATTAAAAGATAAATATATGGCCTTGCAGATGCTTATGCTACAGATGATGAAGATTCTTTGAACAAATAAGCAGTATGATAATATACCCTATCTCCCATGTTATAAGTACTTCAAATATAACATTTCCTTCTTTCAAAGTAGAATATCTAACAAGCTTAGGACATGGTGTAGCTGAAATTTTAAACTTTGGCATTTTTGTACATAATAGTCAACTGTGTTCAGAATGCTTATTGCATTGGTATTGGTTGACTTTTAGGAGAGTACACATAAAAATTCAATATGGTCTAAGCTCTTTCAATAATTTACTATCTTTTGACTTGTACTGTGAAATAATTAATTAAGGAAATAAATCATTCATTTATTCATTTAACAAGAATTTGTTGAGCACCTATTATGCAAGGCATGTTTCTAATAGTAGGGTTACAGAGATTAAAAACTAACAGATCTTTACGTTTTCGTGGGTCAGATATAATTGTAAATAATTATACGAGGAATGTGAGATATATCAAAAAATAAGACTGTAGCATATTGTAACCAAACTGAAATATAGAATTTGTCATCATATTTTCAAACTAACCTACCAGTGTTGGAATAAGTGGGGGACAACAAAAATTAGTAAGTGCCTGCTGATCAGACCTGGAGATGTGACCTTTCCCATGACATTTGCAAAGCCTCCTATTATCTCTTCCTGATAACAGGTTATAAGATTTGGTTTTGAAAATATTACAAGATGTAACTAATTCCATGTTCTCCATGTCAGCTTCCCAACAGAAGGGAATGGAGTTCACCAAGACAAGCAAGTTTCATGAATTTCTCTTTGCCAAATACTCCTCCTCTCTCTCAGGCTGAAGCCAACAAGGGAGATCACAGCCTGATCACTGACTTAGACTTGAAGCATGTTGTAGGAATCCCAGATAAATAACATGTCTCAAAGGCAAAAGCCACCTTAGTCAACCCAAAACTGGGGTGCCAATTCAAAGGGTCCAGTATTTCTTAACGGGGGTGCTACTGACATTTGGGGCACATGATTGTGCACAATTGTCTCACACCCTGTTGGATGCTTATTACCCCTGGCCTCCTCTCACTAAATGCCCATAGCTTTCCCCAGTCATTGCAACAAACAAAAACTTGACCAAACATTTCCAAAAAGTGCCTAGGGGGATTGCATTGCCTCCAGATGTAAACCACCATTCAAGGCAGACTGTGATACTGTAATGATGCCTGGTGGAGAAATCAGAAAGGCAGATGGTAAAGTAATAAAGTAAGCAACTGGAAGTGACACAAAGAAACCCCAAAGGCTGTAGGCCTACACCTCTTATAACTTTTAATGCTATCCTGAACTAGGTTAGCCCCAAATGCTGTCCAGGATTAATTAAAGTTTCAAAAACTCAGCACATATTCTACCTTTTATTCTGTTTAAAGTTCTTAATATACTTTCAAAATATAATTTTAAAATGTTTGCTTTAATTGATTTGTGGCTATTGTTCTCAGATTTGAGTTTTGCTAATAGGATGCTGGTCACTTTATGGAATTCTTGCTGATTCTAAAGGAATTATTTTAATCCTTGAAATTAAATGAAATTACTACTACTCTAAATCTCTTGTCCTTAAATGAGACAGTACACCTTCTTTAAGGTGGGAGATCACTATAAGAAGAAAGAAAGCTGTGTCAACACCAAACTTTCTGAAGGAAATGTAAATCATACTCCCAAGGCACAGCAAATGTCAAGTGCCTAGGAAAACAGGTTCTTGTGGGGAAAGGGTTTGTGACTTAAACAAACAAAAGGCAAAAAAGAAAAAAAAATGCCGTGTGAGGACATGTTTATTTTCTTCTGGAATCGGGGAAAGTTTGGGATTTTCTTTTTTCTCCCTTAAGAAGTAACAAAACAAGCCTTCTCCTACAGGTGTTCAGGGCATGAACACTTACACTAGGAAAATAAGGTTAAGAGAACACTGATAGGGTCATTTGCAAAATGTAGTAGGAAGAATCAGAGGAGAGTTAGAAAAACAGCACCAGAGCGCCCCTGAGTCATGGAGATAAGAGAAATATCTACTCACTCTTCTTTTCCAGTGATTGTGAGAGATTTGAGATTGGACTTTGGAATCTGCAGCCTTATTTTTAAAAATGTTTTCGGTAAATCAAATCTATCCTTATTCACTTACATGAAGTAATGTAAGGGAGATGGGTACATTCTGTGTGCCTGGATTTGTCCTTTTGGGGCACCAGAATCTTCATTAAAAATTAAAGAATCCTTGTATTCAGATGAGTCAACCTAGTTCTGTAGTAGAATTTTCAACAGTTCTTTAAAGCCTTTCTTAAGATGATGAAAGTTTTAGAGAGGATGACTAAATCCACACTCCTAAGTGAGAATTGTATACAGAATTTTCAATAGGAATTTGCCATTTGACCCAGCAATCCCATTCCTGGGTATATACCCAAAGGATTATAAATCATTCTGTTATAAAGACACATGCACACGTATGTTTACTGCAGCACTATTCACAATAGCAAAGACTTGGAACCAACCCAAATGCCCATCAATGATAGACTGGATAAATAAAATGTGGCACATATACATCATGGAATACTATGCAGCCATAAAAAAGGATGAGTTCATGTCCTTTGCAGGGACATGGATGAAGCTGGAAACCATCATTCTCAGCAAATTAACACAGGAACAGAAAACCAAACACCGCATGTTATCACTCATAAGTGGGAGTTGAACAATGAGAACACATGGACACAGGGAGGGGAACCTCATACACTGGGGCCTGTTAGGGGGTGGGGGACAAGGGGAGGGATAGCATTAAGACAAATACCTAATGTATGCGGGGCTTAAAACCTAGATGACGGGTTGATAGGTGCAGTACACCACCATGGCACTTTATACCTGTATAACAAACCAGCACGTTCTGCACATGTATCCCACAAAAGTAAAAAATAAAATAAAATACATCTACATGTTGAATAATTTTAAAAAACAAAGACATTAAAAAAAGAAAATTAAAAAAATATTGTTCACATATCAATCTCCATTCCTCCACTTCTCCTCACTAATTACTGACAATATCCCTTCACCTGTGTGGGTAGAAGAAAAATTCTAGCAGTTCAAATCCTTGGCCTAAACCATCATTGCTAAAATATTCACTTTTTAACTTCCAAGAAGTTAGTTAAATCATATTCTCACTCAAAATACAAGTAATTTAAATGAGTTTTTATCAGTGAGTTTCTTCTGGAGGCTTTGTTTCTTTCATTACTCTCAGCAGCATGTAAGAAGCAATAGGGTGATACTAAAATGGTTTTGTCTAACCTGAACGCTGTGTGTCTGGATCTTCATTCACTCTGTGGAATCTGTATTCTATGGAATTTTAAGTCCTTTTGGCAGGAAATTGTAAAGTGAACAGAAACATGGGTCCCATGAGACTTCTTGTGCCAAAACACTATGCATTATCCTGGTACCTTTAAGTCCAAAGAGAATTGTTTAACTTCTTCATTCTTAATATTATGTTGATAACAATAACAAATAAAGGATTCTAAGCTACTCACACATGACATATAAATTAAAGAGTGTTTTTTGTCACCCAAAGTCAAAACACAAATTAGGATATTTACTCTCTTGCTTTCCGAGGGTGATTTCTATTGCTGTAGACAATTTTTAGAGAAAATAAAAGCTTTTAATTTTAAGTGACCTGATAGTCTGATGTTAGTTATCTCTGTTGAGCATTTTCTGTTGAAGATAGGCTCACTTTATCTTTAGGCTATGAGGTCTTAGTGTGATGGATTTGTCTAAATGTAAAACAAAACAAAACAAAACAAAACTATGGTCTCTAAGTAACCACTAAATTCTGATTTATAAATAGAAGGCTAAAAAATGAAGGGTGATATGCTACTTGAATTCAATTAAAAGGAACTAAAAAATAAATTATAATATTATGCAGAAGCATCCTCAGATCTATTTAAGTATTTCAGCTTTATAGTCCTAAGGAAATTCAAAAGCAGTGACAGTAATGGGTGACCATTCAATGTAACCTTGATTGGACAACTTTGACTATACAACTAACTTCAGATTAATTTTTAGTGAGAGTTTTTAAATTGCTCTTTGTAAGGTGGACAGTGATGTGAGTGGTCCTTTTAGAAGTTTTTTTTTTCCTGATCTCAACCACTAGTATATTTTATTTTCATTAGCATATCCAGGGGATACAGTATTGCCTTCTTATCTGCAGATTCTCTTTCCACAATTTCAGTTACTTGTGGCCAACCATGGTCCAAAAATATTAAATGAAAAATTACAACAATAAACAATTCATCAGTTTTACATTGTGTGCCTTTTGAGTAACATGCTGAAATCATGTGCTATCCCACTCTATGCCACAAGGAATGTAAAATGTCCCTTTGTCCAGGGTATTCACACTATATAAACTAGCTGCCCATTAGCCATTAACATTGTCTGATCCTGACATCTAACCAACAACATCATCATGGCTTGAAGATCCAGGATCACCTAAAGCTATGTCGCAATGCCTGCATCACTCACCTCACTTCTTCTTATCATACAGGCATTTTGTCATCTCATATCATCACAAGAAGGTTGAGGACTACTGTAAAATGGAAAGCATATCCATTAACCTCACAGAGATCAGTACCCTGGCAAAGGTTGTTTGCATACTGGAGGACAAATATTTTATCGTAAAGAACTTAGAAAACTTTCAAAAATGTTTTGGTAACAATTTAATGAACCAGAATTTTTTAAGCATCTAATGATTTTCTGGCATGCACAAAGGTATGCACATTAGGAAAGCAATACAGAATAATTTTTTTAAGAGATGGGGTCTTGCTCTGTCACCCAAGGATAGATTGCAGTGGCATATTCATAGCTTATTGCGGCCTCAAACTCCTGGGCTCAAGTGATCCTCCTGCCTCAGCCTCCCAAAGTGTTGGGATTACAGGTGTGAGGTACCATGCCTGGCCTGGAATAATGTTTTGTAATGTTTTATAGTATGGAAATCAGAGTTGGAAATAAGTGACTTTAATTCTTGGTCCTGCATATTACTGGCTCTGTGAGGTCAGGCAAACCACTTAGTTCCTTAAAGCTTCAGTTTTCATACCTGCAAAATGGAGATTAAAATACCCATCTCATAGGATAAATGTGTGTAGCACAGTACCTGGTGCATAGTAGGTATTCATGAAATGTGGCTCCCGCTATAAGCAATGAAAACCAGCACCACCTTAACATTGACCCTTTTAGGATACAACGTTCCAAGGAAAAGTTTAATTTTGCACTGGTTAGAAGGAATTTCAAATCATTACCAGGGGAAAAGTGTAAAAACTGCAAGATAACTCAATAATATTGAGTTATTCTCAATAGATACATGAAATAATATTCTACTTGGAAATTCAATTAAATAAGCTCCACAAATGTTTATTGAATGCCCACTATTCACTAGGTATTGCATTGGGTTCAGGAGATTTAAAGATTAGTTAAGACAGGGATCTTGTTTCCATGGGGCTTACAATCTCATGAGGGAGATAGACTCACAAACACAAAAATCCCTTAAAGGAGTTTCAAAGAAGGGGAGGCAACAGCTTAACCTGGGAAGGTCAGGAAAAGCTTTGAAGAATGGATAATACTGAAATATAAGCTAGGTTTAGTTGCTAGAGTGTAACAGGTTTTCTTTATCATCAATCTCTGTCAACTGCCTCATCCTCTGCCACAACCCCAAGATATTTCCTAGAGCTACTTTCAAATTTTCATGTCTTTTGGGGAGCAGAAAAGACATATGCTTATTGATTATCATATTTATAGAAGAAACAACAAGATCATTTTCTTTACTGTTACTCATTGTCTACCAATCTATTATGGCTAATGAATGAGAAGAAAAAATAAGGAAGATGTTTAGAGTTATTTTCCTTAAAGGGAGATTCCACATCCTGTGCCTGCCTTGGGAAGCCTTGAAGAAATGACTATGCTTACCCACAAACATCTCTTGGCACCACTGTCAGGTTTGAGTGGACCACAGCCACAACTCATGAGATCATTTATATTTGTATATTCGTTGTGTATAAACTTGGAATTTATCTAAAAATAGCACATTAGAAGGTGCAAAACCATTTAATTTGCCAAGTACTTGTCATAACCTTAATGAAGCAGTTCACTTGGTTGGGAACCAATAATAACATAGACAGGTAGAAAACACAGTGATCAGGTGAGGACATGAAGAATGTTTGACAGAATGTATTTATTTCTGTTCATCTTCACATGCAACCTTGTCAAACACGGTCAAATTTTCAATGCAAAAGATTAAGCATGCTAATGCATAATTCTGAGATACCTATTTTAAACTGCAGGTTGCATGAAATTAATCTTTTTAAACTACTCATCTTCAGGAGTTCTCACCCTTCTATCAAAGTAGTATATAAGCTCAGATTCTCATTCAGATTCTAATTATATCAAACAATCACAAGAATGCTACTAAACTGAAGAGATTCTCTCTCTGTTAAGGGAGAAGTGTTGATGTGGACTTGAAACTATACAGTCACTTTTCCTTTTCCATATATTTTCAGTTATACAATGTTAAATTCATACTTTAGGTTCTGATATGAAAGAGATACAGAGCACCTTTAAAAAGACACTGAAAAGCACCATCTGTTCATGCTCAAATCTTGAAGAAAAAATTTTTAACTTGTTAATCATAAATTGCTCTACAAATAGTATACTGGAAACATCCGGATGTGAGGTTATAATTAAAAATGAAAGCAAAACAGCTTCCCTGAAAAGAAAGAAAACTCTTAATTCAAACCTACCAGATAGCTGATTTATGAAAGTGAAAATGCTGGCATGTATAGATATTGGGAAGTCTTGGGATCTGGATTTTATCACTGACCATCTGGTTATAGTCAGAGTGAAATTTTAAAATAGCAAAATATTCATTAAAAGCCTGAAAGAAGCTCATAACAACTGACATGCCACAATTAGTTATATATCCATGTATCCCCTTCTGATATCAATTATGTCAGTTTCCACTGGTGACATCACGCTAATATTTGATGACACATAAACGTCCAGTCCACTTAATTAGGATCAAGAGAATGGGCATCAAATGAGTATTTTTCCGTCAAGCTGTGGAATAATAATACTTTATCAAGTACCACCTTTTGATCCCTACATGTGGGAAAACTGAGGCTCAGACAGTTAAATTACTTGCCCATAGTCACATTTCTAGAGATTGGGAGAGGAGGAAATCAAATCTAGGTCTATCTGCCTCCATACCGTTTCTTCACAAGAAGAGACTATCGATTCCCTGAGCTGCATAATGGGATTTGTTTGTTCCTTTCAGTTTCCTCAAGCATGACCACTACATCTGCTGTAACTAGTATCCACAATTACCCAGCTGCATTTAACTAATTTAAAGCTCCTCATACCAATTCATTACCTCAAAAACTATTTGAGAGTTGAAGAAGTTTCTCAGAAATAATGTTGTAATAAACAACAACAACAACAATACTGTGGCCCTCTCATTGATTCATATTTTCTTATTTATCCCTTCTCCATAGAACACTGCAAATTGATAAACAAACAGAAATTTCTCTTTGTGATAGTTTATTTTACATGTCAACTTGGCTGGGCTAAGAGATGCCCAGATAGCTGATAAAACATTGTTTCTGAATGTGTCTGTGAGGGTGTTTCGGAGTAAATTAGCATTTGAATGAGTAGAATGAGTGAAAAAGATCGACTCTCACCAATGTGGACAGGTATTATCCAATCGATTCAGGGTCTCAATAAAACAAAAAGGCAAAGGAAGGGTGAATTTTTGCTCTCCCTTCTTGAGCTGGGCTATCTATCTTTTCCTGCCCTCAGACATCAGACCTGCTTGTTCTTGGTCCTTTGGACTCTAGGACTTAAAACAGCACCATTCCTACTTTTCAGTTCTTAGGCTTTTGGAGTGAAATTGAATGATACCATTTTCCAACTTGCAGACAGCAAGTGATGGAATTTCTTGGCCTCCATAATCATGTGAGCCAATTCTCATAATAAATCTCTTTCTCTCCTTTTTATATATCTCCTATTGGCTATTTCTCTGGAAAACCCTAATATACTCTTGTTCATATATTTTGTTACTTTTAAACTCATTTGCATCTCAGGCAAAAAAAAAAATCTTTTCTTATTAGCTTCTATCCTCCAATTTCTTTCCCTATCTCCAAGAAAGATCACTATCAACCCTCTTCTTCCTTCATTCTTTCCAGAGATGTCAACCCATGTTGGCTGGTTCTGCTATCATCTAAATCATTCTGCTATTACTGTGGTCAGTGGGGAGGCAGAAGTGATAAGCAGCAAATATACATCATCTAGAACTTCAGTTCTGACCCACTGGCAAAGCGTCTTCACCACAACTGAAAAGGTTCTGAGGTAGATCTGGGTTTATTATGAAAGATTGACACAATTGAATATTAATGTCTTCCACTGAAGAAGAAAGGTAATGATACCTATGTCTTATGTTTTCTATCCTTGGCATAAGGCCTCAATAATCTCAATTCAAATCCAAAAGTTTTCAGGAGGAAACCTCTGGACACATTAAAATCTCTTAAACTTACAGATATTTATTTAGACCTTTTCATGGAGTCTACCATGGCTTATCACTGACAAACGGACAAAGAAATATAAAGGCACGATCCTCATCTCTATAGTTACTTAAAAGGGCAAGACAAACTCTACAGCATTATGGATTGTTAAGCGCTAGGTAATAGCAAATAGAATAAACAGTATAAGAATGCATTAGATGATAACACTACTGAGGGCTGTAAAAATCTCTGAAGGCTTCATGGTGAGGGGGAGATTTAAACTGGGCCTTAACTGATTTGCAAAACTAAAACAAGAAGACAAGATATGGGTGTTCCAAGATAGAGTGGGAAGCTTTAGCGGTGGTATTTGGGGAAAATTAATTGGTCAGTATTCCTACAAACAACCATTACTACAGAAAACAGACAACAGTATAGACAAGGAACTGTCTGAAGGGACAAAAGTGAAATGTTCAGCAGGGTAAATAGGGGATGGTGTGATAATGATAATTTCTTTGATTATAGCTATCTGCTAAGCCCTGTGCTAATTTAATTTTTTAAATTAAATTAAAACTGCATAATTCAGAGATAATTATTATCGCTTTTTCTTATCAGAAAATTATAAACAGTTGAGGTCTTCCAAGGCAAAGCCCTTGTTGTTACCCATCATGCTGAGGGTTAGTTCAGGTGCTTGCGCAATGGCATGTACATCTATCTCCTTTGTTTTGATACATCCATCCTTGACTCAGGAATAGACCTAGAGACCTACAAAAGTCTCGAGTTTGCCAAGACACATGGCAGATGAGGGAACACACCACTGTGGTTCCCTCAGGAAACAGATTCTAATCTGGCTTTACATTTTCCATTGTAATCTTGAGATGCCTCATAGTCAAATAATAGTTCCTCAGTGAAATATATGGATAGTCATATGATAGTAGAATGAATAAAGACCTTATATAGCTACTTGGCATTTCAGGCCAAGTTTTATTGACAGACTAGTTTGCTACAAACTTATGAAACCCTTTTTATTTTCTAGATGGCAAAATGTTAACAATTAGGGGACCTGATTGAAGGGTATAAAGGATTGATTGAATTATTGTTGCAGTTTTTATCTAAGCTTATTTTTTAGTACTTTTTGGATATTGGAAATGTGGCTAAGAGACTGTGGACACTTAAGCGTTCAATAACTGTTAGTTCCCTTCTCTTGTGCTGTAGAAAAAGTACAAAAGGTCCAAGTTACCTCTCAGACATCAGGCAGATGATTAATTGTACTGTGAAGCGGTCAAGTCCTCCAGAATACTGCATTTTGGGAACACTGATTAGTCATATTCTTATAAGAATTGGGAGCTGCCATTTTTAACAGTTTGAATAAGAAAGTTGCATTGCCAATTCTGTACCTATCTGATATGTTCTCTCCCCGGAGGAGAAGAAACAGGCCTTATTCATCTCCCCCTCCCCAACCCTAAACATTCTTCCCAAGTCCTGAATATGCCTGAAAAGACATGTCATTATGGTTTTTCCTGTGGAGTCTAGAGTTCCCCCACCTGCACCCTACTGAAGTCATTCATAGGAAAAGGCAATGACAGCCAGATCTTGACAGATCACCCCTAGCACAGTTTCACTGTGATCCCACAGGGGCTTTACTGAATATCAGTCCCAGAGCTGTCTGTCTTTTCCATTTGGGCTGTGGCAGACTGAGCTGAGTAGGTCAGGGATATGTTTTACAGGCATTACGCAGGCCAGTCTTCAGAGGCCAGTGTGCATGGTGGGTCCAGCCATCCTCAGACATACTCTGCACATGTCATGCTGGGGGACAGAGCAGCGTGTGTGCTGTCTGGATGATTCCTCTTGGAATGTTGGTTGCCTAGCAACAAGATCATGCTTTGCTCTTAAGTCCAATTCTCAGGACTTTGGCTTAGTTACTTCTGATCCTTAGACTTTTTCTTACCATCCCTCACCCGGGTTCCCAGAAAGTACAGGGGCTCCAAATTCCAAATAATGTAGTTATTTTAGCTACGTGGTGGCAGTCTATATGTTAGATTTCCCTTTGGCATCCTACCTGTACTTTATACACACCAGCATTTCTCTAACAGTTTTAAATATGCTACATTTTAAAAGACTACACAGTTGGCTTTCCTTTTTTAACACAGACACATGTACAGCATATGTATGTATTAGAAAAAGAATGGAAGGATATACCACAATATAAAATAACAGCAGCTTTCCCTTTATGGTAGGAATATTAGTATTTTTAAATTATCTTCAATAAATGTGTTAATTTTGTAATAAGGATAAATATTAGCATAATATATATTGGGATTATATGCTATTAACTGACATTTAAAAATATATACAAAGTAATGGTAAAGGAAGAAATACTGTCACACATAAGTACACCACAATTTCAACCCTATATATGTGGAAAAATATGACAGGAAATTAATGAATGAAGAGGGTTTCATCAGGATAACAGTAATTTTTTCTTAAATTCTTGAATTTTAATTTAAAAATAACAAACCTTAAAAATATATAGTATTGGCATATTTACAGCCATATGTTTTAAAAGGCAGAGGAAATCATCTTTATCATGGCAACAAGGGTCATTTGGGCAGATTCCCATAGTAAAAGATTAAAATATATTTTGGACCCAGAGTTTGTTCAATCATTCACTTCTTCATTCACTCAAAAGCCATGTCTAAGCATCTGCTTTGTGCCAGATATGTGAACAGCCCTGTGAATACAGACCTAAAGCAGAGCATCTCTGCCCTCAAAGAATCTATATTAAAAGTCAGATGAGGGATAAAAAAATAGGATGCACCATTTATTATAATACTTCTCAAACCATGTTTTGTGGGTGTTTTCAAGTGAATTTTAGATTTCTCTACAAGTCTTAATTTTATATTTATATGGTAATCTATTTAATTAAGCAAGTTTTTCAGAATCATTTAAATGGCACCTTATAACTGAGTGCTAACACAGGACTTCAAGGTCTACAGTTATACTTGGGAATATAATTGCATAGTACTGAGTATTATTTCATAGTCTTGGCTAATGAGAAAGGGACCTAAATATAAATGATATGTTGTGACACATGAAAGGCAACTGATGTCATAGGATATTTGCCAATAATTTGAATAGTGACAAATGGCCAGATAATTGAGTCATATTGGGATGTGCAGGATGGCATGGTCATGCCAAACTCAAAAGCTGTTAGAACTATATTCATGCTGTAATCAGAGATCTTGTTTCAGCAAAATGTCATTCTTTATATTAAATAACCATTGTTAATGTTAATTTCATTCCACTAGAATGCAGCTCTATGGCAAAAAAAAGGCTTTATCTGTTTTATCTGCTGCTATACCCCTAGTACCTGGCTCATAACTGCCTATTAAACATTTGCTGGATGGATTAATAAATAAATTGAGTATTTTTATTTATTTATATATGTTTTCTAAATTTATGCTTATAGTTTAATAAAAGTTATGCCTGTTTTGTGTTGACATGTGTTTAAATATATTTTATAATAAAAATAACACTGGTGGACTTAAGAGAATTTTTCTCCTTTAAAGAAGAAATATTTAATATTAATTAAGGGTGCTGTTGGCCCTTTAAAAACCATAGGGTTAAACCTAACTCTTCCTTTTTCTGTGATATCCGTTTTCTGGCTCTTCTCTTCTACTTTTGCTTCCCACCAATTCACTTTTCAAAATTCCCACATGCCCTTTCTCCCTCTTACCCTTTTACTTCCTATACTTGCCAACCCTAGCAACTTCCTCACTCTATCATCATACACTAAAACAGAGGAAGAGAAGAGAAGAAAAAACAAACCAGAGAATAAGGCAGGTTTTCCACAGCCCCCCAAGAACCCTCAAGTGAAGGTAAGAGACTCAGAAGTTACACAGACTAGGGTTCAAATGCTAATTTCACCATTTATATACTGCCCATCAGAAACCGAGTAGACATTAAACAATTTTGACGCGTACTCTTCTTGTCAATAAAAATTTTAAGCGCTTAGCATATTACTTGCCAATAGCTCTGGGCTGGAGCATCCGTTTCCTCTGTTCACATACTTTAGAAGGTCTCACTCCGATCTTTCTCTGATAAGAACTCCTCCTCATCAGGTGAGGAGCTTGTAGGATCAAGGGGATGTGCCCATCTGGTGCCTAAGCACCACCTCATCAAGAGTTCGACCCTGCATCCTGCCCAAATTGTCCTGTTTCTAGACCCTAGATATGTGCCTAATTCATTTTTTAATGGTGGACCATCTCTGCGGGTGTGTGTACTCCTAAGTATCACAATGGGTTTCAAATGGTGTGGCTTAAAAGCATGTGCTAAAGTGTCAATAGCTCTAAATGTGAGTCATGAGACAGTGCAGAAGAAATCTTCATGGGGAGGGAAGAAAACGAGGTGGTTCTTAGCCCAGGAGCTCAGGTCCCTTCTTCCTATGCTACCTCCTTATGGCTAGGAATTCTGAAGAGTCTGAAAGTTTACTCAGTTGAGTCTCACTTTGAACGTGGATTTGCAGGTTCATTTTGAAAAAATATTTGTTAAAGTAGGAGGATTAAATATATTCAGTGACGGTTTGTTAGCTTGTTTTAGAACTTTAAAATATTTGGTATATGACTTCCATTTGAACTTTTGTTTCAAGCCACATAAATGTTATGAATGAATCTCCCTGAGACATAGTAACTGTGTAAGTAGATGCTATTATTATTAATATCTTACAAGGTGATTGTATAGTCAATTAATAAGTATTTACAGGAAATTGTTAGCTTACAGCACTGTACAGGCACATTTGGGCAGTACAAAAGAAAGAGAAGAAACAGCATAGGCTTTAGGGTATTTATGACCTCGCTGGATATTATAAATTATATACATAAGAAATTTAAGAATAATCTCAGAAGTGTTCAGAATTTTATGAAGCCAGTTCTCTGTAATGACTATGGAAAACAGTCTCAAATGAATTATGGTCACTGAGGTTCTATAAATCTATGTATACAATGCCATCCTTTCTTTGACTGATTAAACTTTCTCATCTTTCAAAGGTTCTCAAGCTTGGCCTCCTAGGTAAAGCTTCTTGGTTGCCCTTCTCTGGAATCCTTGTACAGTCAAGGTCATCAACAAGACTTTAGTTTTTATTTAGTCTTTAATCATTTCATGTTAATCAGTGTATGTTCCTAGGAGGACAGTATTTAAAAAGCAGAAATCTTATCTTGCCTTTCACTTAAATAATTTTCTTTAAATTGTCCCTTCCAACTTCTCCCACTTCCTCTTCTGCTCACTCTTCTTTACCACTCAAGCTTCATGAATTGCCATTTCATGAATCCGCTATTCTTGTACAATTCCATGTTAAGCTCCAAATTATGGCGTGTAATTTAGTATACATACACATACTCACCACATGTTTACACACACAAACTCCTGGGTCTCCTACTTGGTGGAGTACTTAGTAAAGAAGGGCTTTCATTAAATAAGAAAAAGAACTCTACATTCTTGTTCCAGTGAAGACAAGAATTGTTTGAGTAAATATGAAGTTCTAAGGCAGGGAATTCTTTGAAGAGTAAGTAGCCACATTGTTGGAAGGAGCAGGAGGGAGGCATTGTTGGGAGTTAGGTTCAATGATACTCTATATCACATGGATCAGGCAAGGATCACTGTTTGACTAGTGCCTACTGGGATAGAGATGGAAGGCTGACTACTTAAGTTACATGCTCAGAGATGCTAAGACCAATCTCCTGCCTCTGGCCTAGGATGTCTACAATTTATGTCAGTGTCTTTCACCACAGCACACCTGCTGAGACCCCTTGCGGATTCTGAGCCAGCTTAGTCCTGCTAGTGCCCTCACCAGGCAAAGGGGGCTCCACGGGGCAATGTCTGTCTCACTCATACTTGAATCCCTAGTACAAACTGGATTTTAATATTGTTTCCATTATTAACACACTGTATGACATTGGATAAGCCACTTACATATTCTCATCTAAAATTTAATTTAAATGAAGTTAAAATTTAATTGTAGAATTATTACAAAATTGTGTTTACTCAACTTATTTACATGATTTGCCTCATTTTAGAGAGGGTGTAAAATGACGTTTAAACATAACAGAATTTAAAATTAAAATATTAATATTAGTTTAAATAAGGTTGTAAAAAATAAATAGAAGAAGAAAAGATATTAGTGGAACCACATTGATGCTATTTTAAAACAAAGCAATGGTTAGTTATTGAATACAAATATGATACTAGGCACCTCAGCAGTGGGAGAAAGATATAATCAGTAACCTGTTTCACTGTGATTTTATTATTTTTTAAAAAAGACCAAAAAGACCAACGCAAATGACTCAAGAATCAAATAAGGTCATAAAAATATTTCTTCCATGGGTTCTGATAAAGATTAATACAATGGCAGAACACTACTGTAGACAGAGCAATGATATCATAGCTTTGCTTTTCTTACCACCTACATCTATGACATCATTTCAAACTACAGTTCAATAAAGTAATTTTGGGGGCAGTGAGAAGCACACCAGTACCAAATTAAAAGGCAGATAGTTTTTTAGTTTTATTAGTTTTATTGTAAGGGGAGTTTCACAAAGTTTAAGGCAATCTTCCAAAAATATCTGTTTCTCTGAGGCAATATTTACTAGTTATTGGGTATTGACTAATGTGAAGTTATAGTTTGAATAAGTATTTTGGTCATGTATCAAGTTAAGAGCAGAGGTATGCACTATAATAATCATCTGAGAATGGAGATTAAGTGACATCTTTGTATGAAATCTGAGAATCCAGATAGTTTATAACAACCTGTCAGTGCATGTAGGTGTTCACCAGGGCACCTACCACTTAGCAGACTTGCAGCAAATGGCTACTTTATTAATATTTTTGAATTTATGAATGTATTAATAGATATACTGTATCTATCAATATGTATCATTTATTAACTGGTTGATTAGTTAGGAGTGAGCACAGAAAACAATGAAATTAACAGTGGGCTTCAGTCAGATTTTCTATGAGGAGAAAATATTAACTGTGAAATATTGACTCTTCAAATTGTTTAAATCATTAGCTTTATATACATTTTGTAGACTTCTATTTCAATGCAGAATGAAAATATGATCTTTAATATATTTATGCCAGCAACAAATCATTATCCAAACTTATATGCAAATTCTACAACGAGCAGAGGGTCCACTAATATTGTGCCAAAGATGGTGATGAAGATGGAGAATTTAGTGAACCACCTACATGTTCTCAAACAGTTAGATGCTTGTTAAAGATGTGGATGCTTAAGTGCTACAAGTTTTTCCTCCCAATATTTCCCACGATGTTGTTGATATACTCATCAACAGCAAGAAATCTGGGAAAATCTAACACATCTTTGATAAGAGAAGGTGTAATCCATTTAACAAGTATTTACTGAGTAACAATGATAAATAGTAATTGTATCAATAATAACAGAACCTGCCATTTGTTGAGTTCTCACCATATGCCAGACTGTCATTTTTGTCATAAAAATGTATGATGCATATGAAAACAGCATAAACAGAGATAGTAGTTGCCACTTATCCACAGTTTTGTATTCCATGGTGTCAGTTACGTACAGTCAACTCTGGTCAGAAAATAGATGAGTACAATATAGTAAGACATTTTGTGAGAAAGCAATACTATGTTCACATAATTTTTATTAGGGTATATTATTATAATTGTTCTATTTTATTAATAATTGTTCATCTCTTACTGTGCATAATTTATAAATTAAACTTTATCACAAGTATGTATGTATGCATAGCTGGAAAAAAAAAACATAGTCTATTCAGGTACTGTCTACAGTTTTGGGCATCCATTGGGGGTTTTGAGCATATCCCCTGTGGCTAAGGACTACTGTACATACAATTTTTTTCATTATAAAATGAGTTTCTATGTACCAACCAACCAGCTTAAGAAATGTATTAATACAGCTGACTCTGAAGCATCTTGTGTACCATAACTAATCAAATCACACTCCTTCACCCCACAATATTTTTTGTTAATCATTCCTTTGCTTTTCTTGTACTAGTTACATATATATATATATATACCCCTAAATAATACTTTCTAATTTTGTCTGTTTCTGAACTTTATGTAAATAGAATCACCTTATATATTGTCTTCTCTTTTGTCAATTCATCCATTTTATGGTCTATATGGGTAATTCATTCATTTTTACCACTACATAGTATCCATTGTATTAATAAGTCACAAAGTACATACATTTATGTTGTTTCTAGTTTTTGCAATTATGAACAATAATGCTATAAGCAATATAGCTTAAGCATGTTCTGTTAATTCAACAGTTATTAAATGAACCTAGAGAAAGGGCATGGCCTTGTTTCTCTCCTATTCTCCCAAGTAATTTCCTAGAGATTAAAATAATATTTATACTCTTCTCTTCAACCATGAATCTATCCTGGTATCTGGCAACCATGATCATTTTTTCCAAGAACTCACTTATCATATATCTTTCTAGAGTGAACAGCATTCTACTGAAGATACTCATCAAATATATTCCTAGAATTTCTAGGAGACTATAAAGATTAAATTCTTCTGTGACTTTCTTAAAAAGACTAAATAAAAATTAGATGCTGAGTTTTAAGGAAAATATCTGTATCTCAATTACATAGTGTTTCCTAAATCGAGGCTTTGGGAAGCAGGAGTCTTATGATTTTATAACTTCTTTAGAGTAAAGCATTTAAGGTAATTTAACACTTACTGGATCTGGCCGTGTAAAAAATATTGGGTAAAATGGTCCAGAGATAATATGGAACACATAGTTTCTACCCACATGAACTATTATTGTTGGAAAAATACATAAGCTCCTATAAAAAAGACTGAAGTCTATTTCAAATTAACTGTGCTTTTCTACCCTGAAGACAGCAAACTTGATGGTAGGTAAGTTTGAGATGGATCTTTACAATTCCCTAAATAACTCAGTGTGAAAAATAATTTTAAGTTGAAAATATGGCTTCACTTTGCAAAGATATAACAATAAAAATGGTCACTTTATATAATTAAAATGTACTTTTTTCCTACTCAGTTTTTACATGACTTTGTTAAATAAGCTAAGTTTGTATTAGTTGAGCACAGAGCTAGGTGGGAGAGTAAAAAATTTCTAATCAGCTGTAATACTTCACTAATTTATTAAACAAAAATAGTCATTTTGCTTGAATAGTATCTTCATGTTTTTGCTTTATTGGTTTCTTTCCTTGTTCTAAAATATCAAATCTACCCAATCCCCAAAGACTTTTATAAACCATGCTTTTTTCGTTAGCTACCATCCTATCAATCTCCTTCCCTCTACCACTTTCTTGAAAGAGTACTCAAAGCCTCCTGCATTATCTTCATCATACAATTTCATTTCTTACTTCATGTGAGAGTAAACTAGCTTCTGTCCTTTCCCTTCTACTGCAAATGTTCTTTGACATTAGAAAACCAAATGCCAAATTTAGAATTATTTCTGTTACTATCCCACTTAATATTTCTGGAAAATGTGCCACAATTTCTTATCCTTTCCTAGAAGCTCTTTTTTTGGCTTCCATTCCCAAGTATACCAAGATCCTCTCTCCCCTCCACTGTTCTAAACTACATGGCATACCCTCTTCCTAGAATGCTTTTTCTTACCTTACCTGCCTTTTCTTCTAAAAAACTATCTAGCTATCTTCCATGGCCCAGCTTAAAACATCACTTCCTTCCTCTGTATGTTCCCCTCCCCAGCAAAGATTCAGATTGAATTTAGTCATTTGTGTAGTAAGCTCTGTATATCTCTATTACAGCTATTATTACACTTTATAACAATTATTCATTCATATGCCTACCTCTATGTACTAAACTGTAAAATTCCTTGAAAGGTGAGATTGAATTTTATTCATTTTTGTATTCCCAGTGCTTGTGCAGAAGCTACATGGTGGGAAATCACAAATTTTTGTGAATGAGTGAGTGACTTAAAATAGGCTTCAATTCCGGCCAACAGAATAGATCACTAAATAATCTTCTATAAAGAGAATTAAATAAATAAAACTGATATTTCACTGAACAGAGAAAACATCAAAACCTATGAAAAATGTATCAAAGAATGTGTGATGGTTCTTCAGATACAAAACCCCCTCTAGTGTCATGCTTCCCCACTCTGATGAAATTACAATAGATTTGAGGAAGGTTTGCTGAAGGCAAAGTTTGATCTGCTATGGTTGACCTAAAGAAAATCTAATTGTGTAGCAAATGTCAAATCTGAGTCACTGCCACAATTATTTCAACACTGTTGCCTCCTAGCTAGCCCACATGACTAAATTAAAAGACAAAGAACTAAAAATGTTGGTAATCTCACTTGCATCTAGCAATTACTGGGGCCCAAGGGACCTCACCGTGCAACAAATGTTGGTAACATCCAAAAACACGTAACATTTTTCTTCCATAACTTCTCTTCTTCCCGCCACCTCTGCTATCTGCTTCTGCTTAAGGACAGTTTGGAAGCACCAATATTATTGGTTTATATAAACCATTATATTACATAAATGTCAATTTTAAATAAAGCTACCCCATAATCTATTCCAATTCCCCTAGAAATGGCAGTGAGCAAAAGAGAAGCAGGGAGCATCTTCACCACTCAGAGATACATTTACATAAAGAATTGTCTGTGTGTGCTACAAGGTAAAGCTATGCATTAGCTGTTTCCTTTAAGCATCACCTTGGGAAAATATATTCTGAACCAGATTTTTCCAATGCTTAAACTTCTCTCTGGGAAGACACAGGCCCTTCTGGAGGCTGCAATAACTGAGTAAGACCACTGGGGTACCATTTGGTAAACTGCAGCTTCAGTGCACTCAATAGTACCTTAGTGGCCTGAAAGAGTTAATGCAGCATCTAGTGGTACATGACTTAATTCCTTGGGAATTATTTCCAGGCTGAGAGAATTTGCCTTAGATCATTAAGAATATTTCCTCTGACCTTCAGTATCTTACATATGATGGCTGGTGGTAAGAAATGCTCTCACCTAATTTGTAGGACAAATAGATTTGATTAATGATTTGAATATTTTGTCAGAGGCAATACTGAATACATTACTGAAACTTTTCTTTCTGGTAAGCAACACCTTTCTAAATTATTTTTCTTAAATCATTTTACTTATCAAGAACATAGATGTGAATTTTAAAATCAAGGATTGTAGGTAAAACCTAACTTAAATAAAACAGCTCTATTCTTAGCAAATTAATTAGGTAATATAGACATTAATTGAACCCACAAATATTCTGTACTATATTATGTGTTAAACTCTAACAGGCACTGGGAATACAATCGCAAATAAGCATCCTTGTCTTCAAGATACTTTTACTCTTTTGGGGGAATGAAAAGTAACTAGAGAATCACATTCTTCTATAAAAGGGATATATCCTTCAGCATACTTTAACAATGTGAAAATCTCTATTAGTCAACTATTTTAATATCATAAAGCTTAGTAGTTAAAATATAAAGAAATCAAATTTAGATATCACTGTATACATGCAGAGTACTACATTTGGTGGTTATTTTCATAATAAGAAACAACATTATGTTCATGCATAACTGGATCATTGAAGATAGAACTAAATGAAATTAGCTCTTCAATTCACTTTTCACACATTTAAAAATGATCTTCTGCAACAGAAATGAAAATATATTTCTTGGGAGTTTTATTCCTTTTTCTATTTACCAAGCTTCTGATCTACATAGGTTACGTAAGGTTTTAAATAATACATTATTTTAACCCTTGAGATCAAAATGTCAACCTCAGTATTAATTTTCAGTACACAATATGCAAGGCCATTGAGGATCATTATAAGAATTTATTATAATTCTCTAAAGTTCATGTTTTTCCTTCCAGCCTTTCTTTTATTCTTCTTTTCCTCTTTCAGATACTTAGCGAGTCCATATGTAAATTAGCTAACAAAATAAAAGGTAGAATAAAATGTTTTTAATGTAAAAGAAAAAGCAATTAATAGACATTTAAAAATCCATTTAAAAGCGAAGACATACCCTCTGACACCATGTTTTCAGCTTACTAGAAAAGATCCCCAACAATAGCCATAATATATATTTCCACATGATAAATGCTATGAGAAATTACAACAATCTTCAGTGGGAGCAACTAGAGTAGTAGTCATTGAGAATCTTCTTTTAGTAAGCCCAAGGCTTCAGGAGGGTCACAGGCTGAGAAGGAAGGGATGAGGAATTTAATGAAACTGAGAGCTAGGTCTCCGCAATATATCCTGACAATCAGTGGGATAAGAGATGCCATAGCCAAGTTACTCACGCACTTTACTAAAGAGATAAGTTGGTTTTGAGCCCTGATACCACACATTCAATATTCAATCAGGAATTTTCCACGTAGTTCCCTCTTCTTGAGACTTAGAAAAATGAATATCCTTCAAAATTAAACATTTGGTGAAAGTTAATTAATCTTAAACTCTGTTACTCCATTAACTAGAATAAATCTTTAAAATCAAACTTCTTTCAGAATAAGAGAGTTAACTATAATTTTATATTTAGATACTCCCTTATATTAATAATGTGTTTTAACAGCTTAAAATGTTGTTATAGGGTCATTTGATTTATACAGCAGACCAGTAATTTAGCTATTACTCACATTTTGCAGATGAAGTAACTGACATTCATGAAAATCTAGTTTGACATCAACAATTATCAAAAGTAGAAAACAAACTCTTAATATATTTGAATCCAAATTCTATAGCCATTTCTATTGTACCACACAGTTTACTAAACATTTTCTTAGTGTTGAATTAAGGGGGGAAAAAAAGGAAGGCTGAGTTTGCAACACTAAATTCAAAATATAGGAATTCTGGAAATATTTTGGGAGATAAACATATAGGTTATAATAAGAAATTATTTAATTTTCTTCCTATTGCCCTAATAAAAATATCTCCAGTACTACAAATTCAAAAAAAACTATGTACAAATGTTAAGCTAACCTTGTTAATGAAAATCTCTTGGGCTTTCTTGGAAGGCAATTTTGTAAAATTCTTGAATGGAAATCTGGACGCAGGCCTTGTTTCTCCAGCACTCCATGGGAGATGACTCAGTGGCAACATACTTGCTTACAGTTACTACAAATTCCCAGATGGCAAATCCATGGCTACAGTTGGAACCTGCAAAACTAAGAACTCTGGCTCTTGTTTAGTCTTACAAAGGCTTCTTTTACCTTAGCATTTGAAATGTTTTTATAAAGTATCTGCTTACAGATTTTCACAATGCCTCTGAGGTTAAAATGGCAATTATTCTTCTGCTTCAATGCATCATGTGGTAGCACTTATCTCTATCCCCTTACAGAAGCCGAATATCTTAATAATAATACCTTATATCTAAAAAGTGCATTATCACTCAAAGTGCTTTCAGATATAGATCTGATCTTCACAACATCTCTCCCCACAATGGTGGTATCCCCCAGGGTTCTGTCCGTAGCTATTCTCCTTTCACTTTTCACAGTTGCCCTGGGAAATGTTATCCACACCTGTGATTTCAACTGCCACTTACATAGTGATGATGGCCAGATGTCTATTTCCAGCTTGCTATTCACACCAGAGATGCAGACTGGCATGTATAGCTGTCCACTGAATGCCTCTCAGGGCTTACCCATAGTACTCAACACGTGCAAACTGTTATTTTCTTCTCCAGGTCTGTGCTGAAATTCTCTAGGATAGCTAACAACACCATAATCTTTTCCGCTATCCAAGCTGAATGTATGAGTCTCAGCTTCTCCCTCTCTGCCACTCCCGTAACTCACATAATAGCTCACAGTTATTGTCTTACTTTTACTCCCCTAAATCTTTCTTCATTAGGGTTCTTTCTTCCTTTCCCAAGTTATTTTCATAGGTCAAGCCTTTACCTTTTCTTTTCTGAAGCATTACAATAGCTTCTTAACTCTATTCATCATTTCCTCTCTGATTCCATACCCAGGCCATCTTCCAACTCTCCTGTGAAAATGGTCTTCCTAAAAGCACAAATCTGGTCAGAACACTCCTCTATTTCAAGACATAAGAAAAATTAAACTGGTGATACTATAAAACATACAAGAGAATGAATTCTAAACCTTTAGCGAATACAAAGACCTTCACAAGATTACTCCAAATTATTTCTTCCCTTCTTTACTCTCTGAACACAGTAGACATATATGCTATTTCCTAAACAAGATCAGCATCTTTCACCACTTTCATGCCTTATGTTTTAACTAACAGATATCTCCTACCTCCTACTAATTCTTTAAGAGTTGAAAATTTCCCCAACACCCCTTTGCGTAGTTAGCTAAGGCCCCACCATTCCTATAGAGTATGCTTACATCATCATAATGATATAAGCACATAGGTACCAGTATGCCCTTAAGAATATAAGCTACTCAGGGGCAGGAATCTTTCTTACTCATCTTCATATCCCTGATAGTTGGCATTGTTCACAAACTTAGTTGAATCAAGTAATGTACACATATAGTGTTATCTCCATTTCATAGATGTTTCAAAAAGTCATATTATCATACAGGTAAAGCTAGAGTCAAGTTGCTGAATATAGTTTCCCTCAACTACAAAATTAGGATAGTTGTGCAGTTCTTTCTCTACTTCAAAAAGTTTTAGTAAGAATAAAATTTTAGAGAGTATTAAAAGTAAAAGGAGCCACAATACATAGAAATGTTTTTTGGTTCATTGAGATTCATAGCCAATAATGATTAAAGGCAAGTTACATCCACCTCAGAAAAATTATTTCCAACAGGTGATAAAAATCATTATTATTCTTAATATGTAAAAAAGTTTTACAGATAAATGAAAAAATTTCCAGTTTTTTCAATAACATGATGTGAAAGGCAATTTACAAATGGAGAAATACAAATGACTATAGGCTTATGCAATGTTCAACATTATTGAGAACGTAAGAAGTGAATCAACACTGAGATAAAAGTTTTAACCAAACTGACAAAGATTACCATAACAAAAGTACTCAGTTTTAACAATAATTCTTTAAAATTGGCATCATATACCCTTGATAAGAGTATAGAAATCTTCTAGCAGAGCAACTAGACCCATACGCACCAAGTCTTAAAATGTCACACCATTTCCTCTGGAACATAATGGTGCAACAAATTCTATCTATATTCTACCTACTGTGTAATGATACACTTCCTTTTCTTCAAGATCACATTTTCTTAAATTTCATTTTAATTGCAATTATATCCCTTTGTTTGTGTAATTACATTGTCAGATGCATCATGAACAAAATAATATTCCAAAAACTTCATAATGTTGCTTTTCCACTCTGAAAGCTCACCTCGATATTCATGATATGGCCTCCGTTTACTTTTTCAGATCTTATTTTTTAACTAAATCAGACTATACTGTTTCCTAAATGTTTTCTATGCTTTCCTACTGTCACACATTGCCGTTCGCTACTTCTTTTGCTAGAAATGGCTTTTCTGCTGCCCATAACTGAGGGTTTGAATCCCATTTGTCCTTTAAGTCCAGCTATTGAAACTATTTCCGTCATTTAGTTTTTCCTGATCTGTAAAATGTAGATAATAAACCAATCTTAAATGGTCATTGTGAAGTTTTAATAAAACAGTGTCTAATACACACAAAAAAGGCAAAATAAACATTTATGGAACAAAGTTCTTCCCCATTTCCCTGCCAAGGCCCTGCCAAAGTCTGAATACACCACAATTTCTTACATTTTCACGGTGCAAATAATGGAGAAATTTACTTTAATGAGCACCCTGATGTTTATTAGGCTCATTGTAATGTATATCTCTATAAAGCCAACTGGCTTGACCTGAATTTTTTGTTTTGTTTTTTGAGACAGGGTCTCGCTCTGTCGCCCAGGCTAGAGTGCAGTGGTGCTATCTTAGCCTCCCAAGTAGCTTGGATTATAGGCGTGCACCACCATGCCCAGTTAATTGTTGTATTTTATTTTATTTTTGGTAGACACAGGATTTCACCATGTTGGTCAGGCTGGCCTTGAACTCCTGGCTTCAGTGACTCTCCCATCGCAGCCTCCCAAAGTGCTGGGATTACAGGCATGGGCCACTGCGCCCTAAAAATTCAGGCATGACCTGAATTTTTAATTGTTTAGAAAAACATCTGGAAGTTTTTCTATCGGTTTACATATCTGTGTACAAGTTCTTCTTTTTCTACTTCTTTAGTCTCTCCTCCAATGTTAAATACTTTTCAAAACTCAAAGAATTTTGTAAAATCTAATATCCGAATGAAGTATCCAATGCTTTCTCTCTCTGCCATTAAAAGACAGCCCCCAATAGACTCTATGACTTAACACAATACACTTCTGAGATATTTTAATTTGGAATTCAAAAAGATTGGTAATAAAATAGATTTTCTCTTTTTTTCTGCATTTTAAAACCTTTTGTATTGTAAAATAAAACAGACACAGATAACCACAGGAAATGTATGATTTGATGAATTATTTAAGCACAAACTCCTGTAACCACCACTCACGTCAATAAATGGAACTTTGCCAGCCACCACAGAAGTCTCCATGTGCCTCAGGCCAATCAAACACCCTCCTTTCCTTCAAAAGTAAGCATGGGCTGACTTCTATAATAATCCATTTCTTGTATTTTTTATAGTCTATTCCTGAACACTATAGCTTAGTTTTCTATGTCTCTTAAACTTTACAGGTTTTTACTCCATCTCTTTCTTTTTCTTATTATTAATCTGTTGAAAAGCCTGAGCCATTTGACCTTTAGACTTCCCCAAAGTCTGGATTTTGTTGATTGCATACACATGGTACAGTTTAACATGTTCCTAAAATTGGTTTTTAGTACCACTTCCAGATTGTCTAAAGTATAAGCAAATCACACCAATGATTAAAAATGCCTTGTATAAACCTCATCTGGCAGTTAAAGCCTAGTTTAAACTAAGATTCCTAGTTCAGCAAATTCAGCACAAATAATTGCTCTAATGGAGTCACATGGCATAGCTAGAATATATGATCAGTCAAATATAATTTTAAATATTTACCTTAGGAATACACTCTATAATTTTTATTTTCTTGAACAACAGAGTTAAGTTCCCTTTTTTCCTTTTTTTTTTATCTTTATCTTGAACTAATATAAAAACAAGTTTTGGTTTTTTTGTTTTTTTTTTTTTTACATCCCTAAAAAATTAACTTTTAACATACACCAAAATACAGCAGGTGAGGTATGGGCACATGTGTGTGACAGGGAAAAAAGTACTCGATGACTTGACCTGTGTTGTCCATTACCCACAGCAAGGCTAACACACACACACACACACACACACACACACACAGAGAGCCAAGGGGTGGCAATAATTAGTGTGCTTTAAGTCAGGGAAGACGGGATGATGGATATATTATCAAATAAAAACATATGAGACAGGAGACATGATAATTTGGAGACAATTAACTGACAGCTTATTAAAAAAAACAAAAAAGCTTGCCTCCTTCTACCATTTATGACGCCCATAACTCCTAAGGATATAATGTAGGTAAAACTGATATGGTTCCTACCACCATGGAATTTGAAGTCTATCAGGGAGGCATGTCGTAATCAAATAATCAAAGAAATACACATATTTTAGCAAAGTGTGGGCAGGGGGAAAAAAATGGAAATAGTGAGGCCAAGGGACTAGGGCTAGGATTTATCCATATTCAAATTATCTCCTATCCTGACATAGCTGCATAGAAAGAGAGAAAAGAACTGAATCCAAGGCATGGAAAGCTAAAAAATTCATTCCCTTCTTCTTTAAACTGTTGTAGATGTTTAATGCTAAAATGAGGGTATCAGTATACACAGGTTTTATAATCAATTTTCTGGGGAAATGGAGCCATTTCTAAATCCCACCTTGAGAAAGCCAAAAGGCCAAAAGGAGTATATTCTTAACACAAATTTCAAAATAGAATTTTTAAAACCCAAAAGGAATGAAAGCTGAATTTGTTTTCATGAGAGACTAACTGCTAACTGGAGATGTGGCATTTAAGGCATACACCATGGAAATGAGACTGCATGAATCATGGCTTCTTCAGGCCTACTCAATCCGCCCCTGACTGACAAGTCCGACTTCATTTATTTAGAGAGGGTCCCTTTGATGAGGCAATTCAACATACGACTAACTGGGAGATTAAGAAAGAGTGAAGGAATGATATTTCCAAAACATGACAGCATTTTCCAAGTATGAGTGATTGAGAAAAAATATATATGTAAAGAAAGAGAAAGTTGAGGGTTTTGTTTACTATTTTAATGAAATTGAATAACAAGAATAGAATAGGAAGATTCAGGACATCAAAGGGAGTCTGTGAGAGTTTTCCCAACAACAGTTCAATTAAACTAATATTTACTGCAGGCCTAACATGTGCCTGATGCTAAGCCCGCAAAACAAGCACCTTGAATTAAGGAGTTTATGTGTGAGTCAGTCAACACAAAACAGTTTCTTCGGAGCTGAAATAGAGCTATGTAAAGAAGGAAGAATAGAAATTAACTAATTTTGCCTGGGATAGGAGGGATCCACCGAGGAGATTATACTAGTACATAATTTTGAAAGTCAAATAAGGGTTCTCCTCTGGGACCACTTAGAACATGGCAGAGGAGAAAAATTTCCATTCCAAGAAAACCTGTCTGCACCCAATGACAGAGTTTGCATTCTCCCAAGACAATATAAATATTGAGAAGAGTGGTCATGCACTTGAGAGGCTGTACATTTTAATGGAAAAAGTGCTGGACATTAGCCTTCTGGGCAAGTCACTTAACCTCCTTGGACTGTAGTTGAGTGTTGAAACTTGGAATCTCAAAGTTCCCTTTTAAATCTAGCATTCAATGGTTGTGTCAAGATCCAGGACTACAGAGCTAGAAAGATTCTTACCCATCCTATCTGTCTTTCTCAAGATAGGGAGGAAGAGCACAAACCACACTGATTATAAAAACCCTTTCAGAATATCAATGTCAAGGGCCTCTCCATCCATGGAAAGAACGAGTTACCCTTTAGCCTCCACAACAGCAATGTCTAAAAAAAATATAATAAGAACCACAAATGAGAGCCATATATGTAATTTTAAATTTTCTAGTAGCCACATTGAAAAAAGTGGAAAAAAAGAGGTAAGATCAATTTTAATACTACATTTTATATAAACTAAAATATACAAAATATTATCAATTCAACATATAATCAAAGATAAAGATTAATGAGATACTTCATTTTTTCATACTAAATCTTCAAAATTCAATGTGTTTTTTACACTTACAATGCATCTCAGTTCAGACTACCAATACCTCAAGTGCTCAACAGCCACATGTGTCCAGTCGTTACTCTATCAGACAGTACGACTCAAGTGTGTGTCTTCAGAAGCTGCTGGATAGCCCTAGGGACATCCATATTTCTCTTCCACATGAGGGTTTAGACTTGAAATTTATTGTTATGGCTGAATTTGATACAGATTTTTAAGGCTTTGATTCTCAGAAAGTTTCCCCTGTGAGTAGTAACATTGCCCTTATTTAGACCTCATCGGAAAGAAAGACTGGGAATTAGTTTTCACATTATGTTGTGGGGAAGGGTGGGACATCACTGAGAAAAGAAGGAATCTACCATTGAATCAGATTTTTTTTATGTATAAGACACCATGGAGGGCTTGTAAGATGGGATGCTAATGTCTATCATATAAACAAAGATTTTGTTGAAAAACATATGTTGAAAGCATATTTCAACATATAAGCACTTATATGCTTTCAACATATAAGTTTTTCAACAAAATCTTTGTTTATATGATCGACATTAGTATCCCATCTTACAGCTGAAGAAACAAAGGCTAAGACTGGCTAAATAACTAGCTCATGATCACACAGCTGGTAAGAGGTAGAAATAAATTCAAACCTAGGGCTATAAGACTTAAGTGGCAGGGTTACTAAAGCTAACTCTACTTGTTCACATGTAATTCCACAGCAATCATGGTCTGAATAGTCCAGAAACCTGAAATTTCTTTTCTCGTCTTTGAAACCCTGCATCGATGCACCTTTTAACCAGCCTGAGCTAAATCTTTCCTAAATAGTATTTGAGGTTTCTCTCTGTTCCTGCTCTTCCTTAGCTAAGCTACAAAACCGTTCTTGCTCATTTCTTTACAAGATTACTGAATCAAAACAAATTCCAGTATCTTTCCCTTGATCTTTAAACAGAGGGGTAATGTTTCCACTCTTTTTAATTATCATAGCTTTTATATAAACTCTCAGAAAGAAAAGTCTGCAGTTCTGGAAGACAGAATTGTGTGTATAGAAAGACTAGCTTTGCCATTTTCTTGCTATGTGACTTTGGGTATGCTAATTTGCGTTTCTAAGTTTCAGTTTTAGAGTCTGTTTAGTGGGGGCAGTAACCCTCACCTGACAGGTTTTAATCATGATTAAAATAAATAAAAATTAAGAAATTTCTAGCATGCAAAAAGCAATCATTGAGTACATTCTTTTCTTCTGCAATTTCTTCTGGTCATCTACGGCCCAATTATGTACTACTGCTCTTTTGACCCATTTTGATAGGTGGCCTCTTCCCCAGGAGTAGTGTCTATCTATCCGAATAGGCTCAGTAAGAATTATACATGGAAACAGGATCTCAGGGCTTTCACTACTCAGTGAAATTGCAGTGAACAAGATAGACATTTTATGTGCGTTTTTCCTCTGGAGGATATATTACCCCTTAAGTTAAGACTATATCAAAAATATTCTGCCCAGGATGTTCCCATGAGATTTGATGGCACTGACCATCCCCCGCATACCCAGCCAAATCCCTGCATCCTGCCTCTGGCCATTTTGGTTTTACAGGCTCTGCAGATTGTGCTGCACTCCAGGGAACATGGCTTTGTTTAGCCCTGAAGGAGGGGATAATGAGGGAAGAGGTGAGAATCACCTAGTGCTGTAAAAATCAATGTTATTGACTGCTGGACAAAAGGAAAAGGAAAACAGCCTTGCTGACTGCAGTGGACTGGAAGGAAGGGAGGAAATTGGAGGTGGGCAGCAGATCTTCCTAATGAGAATGGGCAGACATCCCTGACTGAGTGATTAAAGATCAACCGCCTTGTCTAACCAACCTCTACCCTCCTTCAGCCTCTACTGCTCCAATCATTTCTGCAAAACTATCTTCCAAATTGTTTATAAGAATGAAAACAATGTTTTAGGCCTAAGGGAAAAAGTAAGTGCTATACTGGTGAAGCTTCAATTTTTCTTTAATGTATTTTGAATTTTTCTTATCTGCTATTTTCATTACCTGAATTTTTTTCTTGAACTAGTCAAATGCTTTCCTAGAAATTTGTATTATAAAATTTTTTAGACAGAATGATTTTTTTTACTTCAAATCAAATTAACTTTAATAAATAAAAATTTAATAATTCATTATTACCCATTACAGACAGACACAAATAACATTTCTTATTAATGACTCTGGCCCTTGTACAGAATACAGTGTTTAGCCCATAAGAGAGACTCAATTAATGTTTACTTTTAACAAATGAACTGGAAAAGATATAGAATTTGGCCAGGTGCAGTGGCTCACGCCTATAATCCCAGCTGTCAGGGAGGCAGAGGCAGGAGGATAGTTTGAGCCCAGGAGTTCGAGACCTGCCTGGGCAATATAGCGAGATTCCCTTCCACAAAAAGGAAGAAAAAACAACAACAACAACAACAACAACAACAACAACAACAGATACAGAATTCACATTCTGGTAAAGAAAAGCAGATATAAACATCTCCAAAACAAGGGATATACTAGTGTTACACTAGGAATGCAAAGTGTATTAAGTGTTACACTAGAAGTACAAAGTAATAAATGTATAGAAAACAAAGAAGTTCCATGTTAGAGAAGAAACTAGATGGCAGGGTCTGGAAGGACAAGACAATTATTATGTAGAGGAAAGGAAAGGTAAATATTTTTCTGTACTGAAGTGACAGATTAAGCAAAAGCAATTAGAATGAAAAATAATTATTAATATTTTTATAATATTCTAGAATTCACAAAGTAATCCCACATGTTATATTGTTTATGCTTCATAACAACCCAATAAGGTGCAATGTTAATACTTTGTTGTTTTAAGGCATCTTTCTTGGACAGAAAAGATTATGTGGAGCTCTTTCCCTTGTGAAATTCATATTTAATTTGTAAAGTTATAAATTCAAAAGCCTACATGTTGCTTAACTTTTAAATTTTAATTCATAATTGTACTGTTTTACTTATAAACCTATCAAGTTTTTTACAATCATCATTAAGGGAGTTTTATGACTTAATTATATCCCATTAAATATTTTAACCTGTATTTATAAATTTAATATATTAAAATTTTAAAAGCATTTTATCTAAACAACAAAAAACTTCTCAATTATTTGAATCATTCTTTTAAATCTAATAAATATTAATAAAACAAAGTGTGAACATTTTAAGCTTTTTTACATGCTCCAATACAACTTACAAATGAATAAGGTTTTAAAATATCCTTAATCTTAAAATTGCAAGTCAAAATCAATTCCTTGACATCCAAACACCAATCTGTTAAATGTTCTAATCTGGCAAATTATCTTTAAAAACACAAATATATATAAATCCAAATGTGTACAAATATCTTAACATAAAAATATTAATTAAAAAGTTTACTTTCCTCCATTATTCTGTAATTAATCTAAATCTTTTCAGGATTAGTGACCTCTATGCACCAAAGAAACAATTAATGCAAACTTTGTGATTGCTTTCCCAAGCAATTTGGGGAGTGGTTATATTTAGATGATTACTATTGTATATTACGTAGAGGTCTTGGCTGGGAGATATATAACTGCCGATACTGCAGTTAATTTTTTTCATCTCCTCAACTGTAAGACTAAGCATCATTTTATCATCAATATCCCAAAATTTTACAAAGGAGTTAGGTCCTAGCCCATGTTCTTGGGATCCAAAGTATACCATAAGGAAATGTTCAGCTACATAAGCCAGTTTGAGATAACCACCAAATTTAAAGCTAACCTTCACTGCTTCAGTTAACATTTCCTTGGCTTTCACAATTTATTTATTTATTTATTTATTTTAAGACGGAGTCTCACTCTGTCGCCCAGGCTGGAGCACAGCGGCGCGATCTCGATCTCGGCTCACTGCAAGCGCCACCTCCTGGGTTCACGCCATTCTCCTGCCTCAGCCTCCCGAGTAGGTGAGCCTACAGGCACCCGCCACCACGCCCGGCTACTTTTTTGTATTTTTTGGTAGAGACAGGGTTTCACCGTGTTAGCCAGGATGGTCTCGATCTCCTGATCTTGTGATCCGCCCGCCTGGGCCTCCCAAAGTGCTGGGATTACCGGCGTGAGCCACTGCTCCCGGCCTTTACTGAAATATTTTAACATCTTCTGAATGAATCTTGCATATATCTGGGGCTTTTTTTGTCTAAAGCCTTGCTCATGATACAAGGTAGATTCTTATCATTACTAACCATTTCAATTACACCATCTTGAAATTAAGCATCAGAAAAACTGATTTCCTCACCTAGAAGCATTGCAGACTACTTTGTAAATGGAGATGACGGATTTTCAACCCAGGCTTTCTACCAAACACCCCAGTTTTTCCACATCTCCTATATGGCGTGAGCCGTGGATGGGAAGTATAGCTGGAATTGATTCTGGCTGTGTGGACTGAATGAGGTTACAGTAGGTCTCGCAGAAGGTAATGATGGAAAGTGACTGAGGCCATCATGAGGATGAAAATTTTGAAGGCAGTGAGAAACACATAAGCTCTTGAACAGAGAAATGGATGGCCAGTTCTTATCTGTATTTAACAAAAATAAGTCTGGTGCCAATATGGGGAGGACAAATTTGGAGAGGACAGAGGGAGATTAGGGAAGCCAGTCACAATGTTTCCCGGGGCAACACAGTGAGAAAAAATGAGAGCCTCCACTGAGGAAAGGAGAGGCAGAAAGAGACAAAGTCGAAGAAATTACAGGTAGATTCTACAGGATTTGTGGATTAATTAGCTCTCCATGGTCTCTGGAGAGTAAAAATGATTTCAATGTTTTCAATCTAAGTGCCTGGGAGAATAGTGATAGTAAGAAAATTGTCTGGTTGGCTTCTGTTTAAAAGAATCATTAAAACCCCAGCTCAAAGCCATTATTTGGCAGGACTGGGTGTTGAGACAATGTTAGGAGACTAGCTAGAGAAACTTTTGCATGAAGTATGTATTTTTTCCCCTGTTAGAACTACAATGGCAATTATCCTTTTGAAATTCAGACTCACCATATATATTTTTTTCCCAACTGCATCTCATCTCAAAGCTATTCCAAGGTTACACTTGAAAGCTTTCTAACCTCTGCTGAAAAGTAATGGTCCAAGAAAAACAATGCTTTCAGTCCCTGCTTACCTGTATTTATTTACTTTTCAAAAAGAGAATAAAAAAGCTTCCCTATTATGCAGCCACTTTAAAAAGAAGCCTATGAATAATTATTAATGACATGATTCTTATCTTATCACATAGTATGAGCAAGAACACATGACAAATAATACATCTTAATCCAATAGACATGCATTCATATACATATATATAGGATAAAAGAATATACATTTCTATATATGAATAGCAAGGATATGAAGAAGTATACATTTTTGTCATTTTCTGTACTTCTATAATTTCTATAATAAACATGTATTACTTTTATAATGTTAAAAACATTGAAAAATATAATGTATTCTGACCCACTTAAAACTGATTCATTAGTTTACTTTTCCTAACGAGTCTGAAAAAGTGCAGTTCATAAATTAGTCAACTAAACATCCAACACAAATGCAAAGGGCTCTTTTATTTGCGCCAAGATTCAGAGGTCCATTTCAGAAATCTCCCTTACTCCCTCCCATCCAGGCTCACTGTAAACTCCTTTGGGCCAGTTTCCTCTTCCAATGTAAGTACTCCTTGAAAAATGAATTAGACACTTTTAAAATAAATAAATGTATGTGTACCTTTTTAAAGTTGTAAATCTAGTTATACCTATAGAAATAAATAACAAATAAATTTAAAAACTCAAAATAAGCCTCCCACTAGTCATCTAACTTTCATTTTAAAGAAAGGTATTCCCTTGGCTTCTTTCAAATTCTGCCTATTTTGAAAGTGCCAAAGTCTACACAGAAAGAAAAAACAAAACCTCCAGCTGAAATTTGAGAAATATTTAAGGCCAGACCCTCCCATGGTCAAATGACTTTTTATTTTATTGTCTACTTTTCTCTTGTCAATTCTCAAGAGCTAGGTTCCCCAAGACACAGTACAATATCACTTCATCGTGGGGAGTTTTATTATCATATTCACTGCATTAATACTAAGTGCAGATATTAGCAAATAGATTTCTTTCAACGGATGCTCAAACTTCAATTTGTTATGAAGTCTTCTAAGTATAAGCACCCCAACCCTGACCCCAGATCCATGGGAGAATATAGGTTATCAGGCCCATAAGAATTCTTCTGGTCCCTGGCTAATGAAAGAAACTGTGACACACTCAAGTCAGGGGAACCTAAGTCTAATAAGGGTGAGGAATGCCCAATGAAGTCATCAAAACCAAATGGATGCAAAGCAGTCCTTTCGAGGCACTGGCCTGTCCTAAGCATTGGTGCCTGAGCCTAGCATTTATTGTGGTTTCACCAGTTACTTGCTGTGAGGCCCGGAACAAGGCTCTAAACCTCCATGGCCCAGTCCTTTCACATGTAAAAATAGGTTTAATAGAAAACTTTCTCTTGGGGTTATTGTGAAGATGAAATGAGTGATGTACACAGTGCCTGACTCATCATAAATACTAAACAAACATTAGTTATTATTATTAAGAATATTGAGGTATGTAAGTGGGTAGGCTAAATCCCAAAGGCCAGGGACAGGGAAGTAAGCACCGATCTATGAATTCCCAGATGAATATGCTAATCGGCAAATGAACCAGGCTATATGGAGAAGCCCTAGTGTTGGCTTCTTAGTGTTGTCTGACTGTTGTAATTCATCATCTTTTCATTTGCATATTCCTAATTGAGGTTGTATTTTTCTTAAGGCAGGGAACATGTTACAGTGTTTTTCAAATTATGAGTTATGACCCATTCTACACCCCTTCAAAGTCAATAAAGAAGGTTAATGAAGGAATCTTTTAAGCGGGTCAATATGAATTGTATTTCCCCCCCCATTATTTTTCTGATTATAATACATTTAATCTTGACCAACATTATAAAAAAGAAAGAAATTGTTAAAAGTTGGAACGGAAAATATCACAATGCATAACTTTTGCTAAAGGAGGTATTGCTTTTTAAAACATACTGAGTTGCAATTTTAAATTTATTTCTTGCTGCATGTTGCAATCCAGCATTTGGAAAATCTTTGGGTCTATATGTTACTTAAACAACTATTAACACATAGCAATTTCTGAACACACTTGAGAATTCCAAACATATGCTATATGACAGTGTTTTCCAAACTTGTCTTATGAATGGTTTACCTAGGGTCATTTTCAGATTCCCAGGCTGCTTTCCTAAGATTCTGATGCTGGAAACATACTATCATAATGAACATTAGAGAGGAAATTAATTAGAGATTAATTAATTAATCTTAATTTTTCATTAGAGAGGAAACTCTCCTTGTTGTGCATCTATTCTTATTTGGTGGTAACACATCCAGTCCAAAGAGGTACTTTATAAAATATTTCCAGCTTTCTGAACGGCTAACATTCATTCATTCAGTCCATTATTTTCAAATATTTATTAATCATTTGTCATGTGCAAGGCAATGTGTACAAAAATACATATAAGAGACACAGTTCCTGCCCTCAAGTAGCTTATAGTTGACTCATTTAAGAACTAGGGCAGCATCCCCTGAGGATCAGAAGAACTGAGACCAAAAGAAAAGGAAATCATGAACGTATACATATGACTCAAATCTAGGGTAACCTACCTTCTAAAAATGTTCAGAGGATTAAGAAGCAGGCCGGGCGCGGTGGCTCACGCCTGTAATCCCAGCACTTTGGGAGGCCGAGGCGGGCGGATCACGAGGTCAGGAGATCGAGACCATCCCGGCTAAAACGGTGAAACCCCGTCTCTACTAAAAATACAAAAAAAAAATTAGCCGGGCGTAGTGGCGGGCGCCTGTAGTCCCAGCTACTTGGGAGGCTGAGGCAGGAGAATGGCGTGAACCCGGGAGGCGGAGCATGCAGTGAGCCGAGATTGCGCCACTGCACTCCAGCCTGGGCGACAGAGCGAGACTCCGTCTCAAAAAAAAAAAAAAAAAAAAAAAAAAAAAAAGAAGCAGTAAAATGGCATGGTAATTACTTATCAAAGTATTTTTCTCTAATTAATACAGCAGAGCTGAAAACCCACACACCACACCTAAGGAGGACTCAATATCAGTGTCGAAAAAGACAAGAAGATAGATATCAAAAATTATAATTATATACAGAATTGAACAACTTGTCCCCAGTCCCACTGGCACCCATCTGATCTAAGTTTTCAACATATTTCCCCTGGATTACTGCAGGAACTTCTACCTGGTCTCTCTGCTCCTGCCCTTGCTCCCTTAAAGTCTCTTTTCAACATAGCAACCTGAGTGATCCTATTTAAATGTTAGCTAAATGATGTGACCCTTCCGTTCAAAACACAGCTGGCTTCCCATCTCACTGGGAAAGTCCTACACGATCTTTTCACTGTGACATGCTCTTGACCTTTCTCTCTTCAGCCACACTGGCTTCTTAGATGTTCCCTAAAATGCCAGGCAGGCTTCTAGCTCAGGGCCTTTGCATGTGCACTTTCTGCTACCTTTTCCAACATGTATATTTTGTTTATGTGTTTTAGGTCTTTACTCCAAGCCATATTCTCAGTGAGACCTTCACTAACCATCTTATCTAAAACTCTAAACCAACCCATCCCCCAATGCACACTTCCAATATCCTTCCATGATTTTTTGACTTAGCACTTATCACTATGTACTATGTATTTTACTTAACTGTCTTATGTTCTACCTACCTCACTAGCAATAAGTTCTATGAGGGTAGAGATTATTGTCTGTTTTATTTTACCCTTTATTTATAACACCTAGGTCTGTGCCTGACCCGTAATAGGTACTATATCAAATATTTGGTGAAGGATGAACGCAGAATACAAAAGAAAGCCTCAGGCCTGACTCTGGCCAACATGTATTAGAAAGAAGCCAAGAAAAGGAATGGCAAGGTCATGCTATGTAAGACATATGCAATTTTATTGTTTACTTAATTCCTTACCTAATTTTAAAAAAAGATTTGAGATGTCTGTAACATATTCATTGTAGTTTTCATATCTATATTATCTATTTAGGTAGATTGCTAAAAAGGTTTCCAGTGGAACAGACTTGGTTTAGAAGGTGACTTCACTGGCACTTAATATTTGTAATATTAGGCAAGTTATTTGTGTTCTCTAAACTTTAGTTTCCTCATATATAAAATAATAATGATCAAAATGCATAAATCTTAGGTCATTGGGAAGCATTTTGAGAAAATACATTCAAACTTGTTGATGTAGTCTAGGGTCCATACTAAGAGTTTGACAAATGGTAGCTATTATTGTTATTGTTCAATGTGCTGTTTTATCCTTTACTTATTAACTCCTTGTTTAATTTTTTAAGTTTTGAGTTAATGGGCTTTGTTAGAAATTGTAAATCTAACACGTTAAGTAGGCTTAGATATTATAAACCCAATATACCAAATTGGTGTCCAAATGGCTCACAACCATTTGGAGACCATACTAAAGGAGTCCAGTAAGGAACTAATACGTTATAGGTATCCTAAAAGAGAGAGTTATTCAACTGGAACCCTAAGAGGTACCATCTCTGACTTGTTATGAGCCATAGGTGTTACTCGAACGGTCCATACATTGTGATTCATAATTCCAAGTCCTGCCTACAACAAATTATGTGTTTATTAAAAGCATCAATATGTGGGACACATCATAGGATCTAGCAAAGAGTAGGTGTCAGCAGCATAAGGAGACAGAGTTTCTGGAAGTTTCCCTTTCAATTAGTCCACTGATCATTTTTTGAATTCCTAAATATAAATAAACTGTAAGGAAAAAATCAAGAAAATAGTTTATAGTTCCTGTCTTCAAAATTCTTAAAATTTAGTTGGGGTGAGGGCAATACCCAAACATAAGCAAAATTAACTACCAGTATAAAATAATAATGCAAGTTATGATATAAGGCAGTATAAGATGTATTGCCATAAATGATGGAGAAATTGTACTCACTAAGTCAAAGGAGAGATAAAGCACTGGAGTTAGTGTGACTGGGTTCCAGTTCTTCGAAGATAGATATAGACACCCTGTACTGTTTATTAAAGGAAGGACAGAATTTAGACAAATATGGTCAATGCAGAGAAAGGATTCCCATCACAGGAAAACAACTCTAGAAAATGATCGGGGCAGAGAGGGTGGGGTGTTTGGAAAAGAGCAATTTCACTGAATAAACCTGGTGAAAATTAGCATGATAAATGTCTGAATTCTAGAGTGTTTAGGCTTCAATAAATTGTTTTAGTGTGAATTATTGACTCCCTCCAAACTAGCTGTACAACCTGGCTGAGCAGATCCAAAAGAGTATGTGACTTAGTGTAAGTGGTTTGCGATTGGCAAATCCAGTACTATTCAAACTGAAGCCTATATGACTTCAAAGGCTATGAGGTTTTTTCTTCCTTTTTTTCTTTCTCTCAAAATAATTTAACCAGCATTAAGATAAACAAATAATCTGAAAAGAAGCTGAGTGAATAAAAAAGAAATGTGAGATTCGCTTAATGCATTCATTTAAAGCATCTCTTGAGTACCTACTGTGTACTTAGCATTGTTCTTTGTGCTGATGATATAAAGGTGAACAAAACAACTAGAACTCCAGGTTCCATGGAGCTAACATGTGAATATGCATATATGTCATTGTGATGGTTATTATGGTGGGACAGGAAATATTATACCTAAATGTGTTTCTAATTAATTATAGCCATATTTTAATTGAGCCCAATTTCTAATGTGATTCTTATTGAAGGCAACTCTGAAGCCTTACTGCTACTTGGTGGTCTTCATTTTCTCAATGATGAGTTAATTTGATTGAGTTATTACTATAGTCTAAGAACTTTTTATAGGGTTCACATGCCTTATCTAACTTACTGCTTATAACAGCTAAGAGCTATTATTAAACCTTTTTCACAGATGAGAAAAAACTAAACTTTCTTAAGCTATGCAATAAATGGGGAAGACAAGTTCAAAGTAGTTCTTTTGAAATCCCAAAAATCCATGCTTTAAAACCATTCTGTTACACTCTTTTTCTTAAAAGTTATTGTATTTACGCTCAGTAAATTTTAAAAATAAAGGAGCAGAATTCTTGAATTTATGCAGTAGGCAGCAGGATTTACTCTAAAGAGTAGTAAGTCACCGCTCAAGAGACTCTGCTTCTGACACACTGTGGAAAAGAGTAACTAGTCATTGCCTCTCTCTACCTTAGTTTTCTTACCTGTGCTATAGGTCTAATACTTGCAATTCATATTTCAGGGATTGTGGTTTTGTGAGTGTACATGTGGGTATGTTTGTAGTAGCAATGAAAAAAGGGAAATAGTGCGATGAGGAAGATAAAGTTATTTAGAAAATTATCGTCAGTATCACTACCTTCAAAAATTGATCCATTTCCAAAGACAAAATGATACAGACATCTGATGCAACAAGCTTCCTGCATATTTTCTCATTAAAGAGGCACTTTTCCTATAATATAGACAATTTCAGATGGAAACTGAACTGTGTACGTGATGATCACATTGCTTCTTTTTAGTGAGTAGACTAAAACTAAATTGTATTTTGTAAAACTAAATCATATTTTGTAAAAAGTTAAAATAAAAACCCAAGCCAATGTAATGTGAACCTTTATCAAACTCTATTTAAAACTAACAAGAAAACACAGGACATAAATAATGGACATTGATTAGAAGTTTTCATTCATTTCATTTCCTTCTGTTGAAAGCTCTCCTTCTAGAAAATAGGTAGCAAAGTAAAACAATTTACAAAGTGTTAGATTGTGATGACCACTCAGTCAATTCAAGCAGCATTGGTTTATCTTTCTTTTATGATTTACCCATTATTTCACTCTTCAGCCTTGTAAGAACCCATGTTCTAACCATTTCAAACTATTTGCAGCTCTTTGAAGTGCTCTGCTTCTTAGCTCCATGCTTTTGCCACTCCCTTTACCCAGCATGCCTTCCTTACTCCAAGATGCTTGGCAGAAGTCCATTAGCTGTCAAGATTCAACTTAAAAGTGACCTCACAGCAAAACCTTTCTTGATTAGTCCAGGTAAAATTAGCCTGTGATTTTGTTTGTTTGTTTTGTTTGCTTGTTTCTTTCTCCTACAACAAACCCTGCATAGATGTCCATTATGGGTCAGAAATACTTCAAAGCATTTATTTGTTTATAGTCTGTGTCTTTTTCCGACTGGAAGCTTCTTAAAAGCAAGCACTGTTTCTATCTATCCTAGTTTCCAAGACTCTAACATAGTGCATAAATCATAGATGTCATTCAAAAAATTGTAATAGATGAATGAATAAATGGTGACCCAGGAGTCATATTCTGATGTTTGTAAATATGTGTGTGTGTGTGTCTATACTAGTGGTCCAGATTTAATGACTTGTTACATAAAAATATATGAAATATCTTAAAACATACCACTCTCAATAAAATTCTTTGTTATATTTTATAAAGGTCCTATTAACAAAAAAGTTTATTCTAGAATAAAAGATCATGACATTAGTGGTCTATTGTGTGCAGAGAAAAAAAAGACGAAAAATGTTTCTATCCTTTGAATTTTAACCATCTTAAAGTTTTGGATAACTGTAACAAGAATCATGTTAAATCATGTTAAAACATGAGAAACTATATACCATAAGAGAGAATTCAACAGAACCAAGTGATAAGTAGTTCTTGTAACAATAGAAATAAAAGCAAACACTTTTAAAATGTAATATAAATAAAATAAAACAAAAGTCAAAATAGATAAAAATATTAGATGAAACTTTATTGCACCAATGTGATAAAATAATAGACCGCAAATGAACTGCAAACTCTTTGGCAAAACTTGTTGTCTCAGAAAGACAAGATAACCCTAAAAAATTATGAATTATCTAAGGAAGTGCAAGAGCTAATTACTGAAAAGGTAGAAGCATAATTCAAATTAAAACTAATCTACTCAAAGGAAGGTTATATATGCTGTTTGTGGCAATGCATATGGTCTCAATTTCTATCAATCAATACATAAGAAGTATATCTCAGTACAGATTAGCCAAAGTACTAGGAATTTATTATTCAAAAGTAATCTGAATTTAGTTAAGATATTGTTAGTGAAGCTTTTATTACTTTGCTTATGAATTTAAATGAGAAAAATGTAAAGCTAAATTCATAAAGACGACTGTTAGTAGGTAAGAGTAAAAAGAAATTTCCCAAAGCCCATTATGAAAGGAACTTTGGACTTAAGTTTTCCTGCACTTCCAAAATATAACAATGAAATAGCAAAACAATTGTTATCTCTTTATCTAAATTATTTATGGAGCTTCCGCTGAATAAAGTACTTTTCTCCTTTCAAAAAGATGAGGAGGGAAAACATTTACAATTTACTGAGTTTACAAAACAATGCATGTCATACCCATACTTTGGAACAGAAGATGATAATAGAGAAAATCCAAGATGATATTTGGGCACACTTTTCATATTTTTAATTATTTTTTTCATGTTGTTTACTGTCTACATCTTATACATGGAGGAAAATTGACTGCTAAAGTTCATTTTAAAAGTAGTAAAAAGCAAATTCTATAGAACTCTGCAAAATGATCCACAGAATGCTTCCGGGTTGTAGTTGTAAAAGAATTGGTCATCAAAACATAAATACCTACCTGTTTGAAATTCAAATAGAAAACAGAAAGGCTTACAAAAGAGTGAGCAGCAGGGAGTTCTTTAATAAAACTTGCAAACACAGAAAATGAAACTTTAGTACCCAGACACATTAAAACACTCCCCTAGTAAAATAAAAAGGGGAAACACTTTATATTGACTTTAAAAAAAAAAAAAAAAGATTCCTATTTTAGGTTGTCTTAACTGCTTCTTAATTATTTTTTCTCAAAGGCAATCACTTTCCTTTTGGACTTCTTTCTCCAAGAAATGTAAGCTTAAAATGTTAACCAAGGATGTAATTCACTTAAATTATGCAACTGGAATTCCACAGCTGGTCTGGCCGGCTCAGTGCTGAATGAACACAGTGTCAGAAAACCTTCTCAATAATAATGCCCTGTTCGTGACAAGGGGTAAATCTCCCAAACTTGGGCTCAACTTCAGAGGCTCATTAGCTACAGCAAGTGAATGTCAGTGGGGTGACAACAGCGGGACAGCAGCGCCCACGCAGCTGAAGCAACCAGCCCACCCAGAGCTGACGATTTGTATAATCAGTATCACCAATTTCCAGTGAAAATCATTTGTTGATATGCACAGGATGGTCAGGTATCCCACAGAGCACATCTAATGCCATTACAGTCACTAGATTTAACCCCCCGGCTCTTAAACAATTCAGCTGCAAGAACACAGGAAGCTCACAGCACTTTTTAAAAGAAAGACAAAATCATAATTCAAAGCATGCTTTATAGCTTTTTACCTTCTCTGATTTCTTGGTTCTGGCCTACCTAAATAATTTTCATCTTTTCTTCCCCCCTCTCCACCCCCCAACTATGAGCGTGAACCTGAATTACAAACAGTTAAACCTGAAGGTCACTTCACAGCAGCGTTCCAACATGCTCCCCCAGCGAGGCTGCACGGCAACAATAAAACAAAGCCTTTGCAACCACCTGTAATAATCTGCCTGCTCAGCCAGCAATCCGAAAAGTCCTGAAGCTACACAAGGTAGACATTTTCTGCAGCTGGTTTAACATGTATATTGTGCCCAGTTGCCGGCTCGCCTCCTCTTACCTTCACGTTAGTCCGGAGTGCACAGTAACATGCAAAGAACATTGCAGTAAATAAGGAGCATATGGACCGGTATTCAGCTTCTCAGCACAGCGCAAGCCCCACACACACGATCCTGGGCATGTGCTACTAAAGAGCATCCGTTCCCTCTGTCAGTTTGAAAATGCATTGATCTCTGTTTTCTCTGACTACAAAACGACATGTCTTGAAGGCACTGAGTGAGAGCTCAAAATCTCTTCATTGGCTATATATAGCATTATGCCCAGTAATTTCAATTAGATGAGAATTCAGCGTCTGAAAGTTAAGACCTCAGTTGCTTTTCCTTCTAGCATTTTAAATCACTGGATTAAAAAAAAAAAAGAAGAAGAAGAAGGAGGGGGGAATGAGCTCACTCAGGAAGGAGGGGGGGAAAGGTGAAGAATTGAAATTTAACCAATGAGTTACTTATATTTCTGGAGAGCCCCGGTGTTATCCTATTAAATACTTTACAATGGGATCGCATCGCAGACTGTAAATGAAGAGGAAACCCTTCTTCCTTTGGAGGTTTAATATGAGCTCTGCACTATATTCCAGGCTATTCTGGTGCAGCACCCTGTTTGGCAAATACTACAAATCACCGCAAGCATGTCTCATTCTGCTTCTCCATGTGGAACAGGACCAGGACCAGAGGATCATTGTCATATAAAGTCCCCTAAAATGTGAACTGGGTTCCTCTGGGGTGATCTGTGGTTAAAGGACTGAGAAGTACCACCTTCTCCTACTTCCCTGCCCTGTTACATCTTTTAGAGCTATCTAAAGTTGCCAGACTCCATAATAAAATGATGTGGCCAATTTTCCAAAACTATGTTTTATTGGTACATGACAATCAGTAATGAGATGGGGTTGAAATGGAGACAGAAGATTTCAGGGGATAACATAACCTCAGATTCAGTAGCAACTGCTGCTGAATGTAAAATGTTCAGCAGGCTCCAGAAGGGAGAGAGCAAGAGAGAAAAATAAAAGCTTCTGCCCCTATAAGTCCGTAAGGAAAAAAAAAAATTAAAAACATCCGTCAGATCCTTCTATCTGTTGTCATTCCTGTCAGGCACCGGATGCTGCAAATTAACTCAATTTTTACTTAATCAAAAGGACAAAGTACAATTTAGGGTGCTATACCCTTATTTCCAGCCTTGGGAAGCCGATTCTCAGCTAGAATTCTAAAGCTATCTGGCAAAATGCAAGCAGAAATGAACAGTTTTCACTGCAGCAAAAATAGTGGGAGGAAAAAAAGTGGTTATGTCTTTGCCACGATGCTCCCCATCAGCTTCCAGCAACAAGGAAGATCAGCATAACTCACTAGAAAAAGCTGCAGTGACTTTTAGGATCTTTCTTTAATATGCTTTGCATAAGCCACCTCCCCTCTGGAGCCTGCAGAAGTGCTGAAGCACCATCAGAGTTACTGGGCATTTCTCCTGGGCAATGAGGTGAGGCAGCTTCAGGAGGAAGAAAGGTATTTCAGGGAGAGAAATTAAAGGAAGAAGAAAAGCAGGATTTTCTATTTCTCTCTTAATGACAAGCATTCAGAAAGTGTCGTCAGTTCTGACTAAATAGCTATTTTGGGCTGTCATTGTTTGTGCCTTTTTTTAGGAAGAAAAAGGCAGTCTTATCCTAAGCTGGAGATCCTTGGGCAACGTAAGAGAAGGCAGCCACTTATTTTGATTTCCAGTTCCGTCTGTCTTAGGAGCCTAGGTAATTTACAAATTATAAGCACTTACAACACAACCAGTGACTTCCAGGACATTAAAAAATCGACATGGATGCCCAGCTCTCATCATTCCACAACTTTTTCTACGGACTTTAAATGCAAAACTGAGTATTTCAGTTAATAACACTTTCCCCTCCCAAGGTTATAGCAGGTCACATTTCCTGCAGCTCTTCCTAATAAATGAACCCAAATATAACAACTCAATGCCATGCAAAACATAGAAGAACTTAAAAATGCCTTTCTCCACTGAGGATTCAGAGGAACTTTTAAAAACCTACTTTATTCAACCTGTGAATAAGTACCATTTTTTTCCATTAGAAGCTGGGAAAATGAAATTTACCTATTTTATTAATATTATTTTAGTAGTTGCCGGGATATTTGGATGGCCCAGGAGAGAGAGACCAAAAAGAACTGGAAAATGTTACAAATCTCAGAACAGCTCGCAAGCAAGGATTAAATGAAACAAGTTACAGGTGAAGAAGTACATGTAGGTTTCCCTGTCAAGGCTATCAGGGAGGACTTCTAACAGGGCTTTAGATACCATTTTAATGTGTATACATTTTTTTAAAAAGGCCCTTAGCCTTAAAAACTTCTTTAAAACACCTGAGTATACCTGTCTAGCCTACAAAATCCCAGTGCTATACCTGTAGATTTACTGCCTAATTTTCTTAAGTGGACTAGGATAGCCAACTTACTATTCTCATTTTATAGATGCAGGAAATGGGGCATTAACTACAATGGCAATGTCCCACTAAAGAATATTCCATATTTTAAGGCAAGGAATTCATCAGAACAGTATATCTGCAAGAATAATAACATTTGCTATAGTAGAAGAAAGTTATAACTGCCTATGCATATTTTTGTAGGCAATAGAGTAAGTCTAGGCTTCCATACTGCAAGTGAGTAGTCCTGGAAAATCACTTCCATGCCAGATTCCCATTTGTAAAATGGGGATAACATGTATCTCATAGTGTCCAATGAGAATATTAATGATGAACCCTGCCATCAAAATAAACTCTGGAAGGATCAATGATTTAAATATAAAAATTGAAACTGTAAACATACTAGAAGAAAACACAGATTTGATTTTGCATAATATTGGAATACAGGAGCCTGAAGCCATGCAAGAAAAGATAGACAATTGTGACTATATGAAAATATAAAACTTCTCCTTGGGTAAATTATACACAATGACAAACAACAAACTGGGAAACTATTTACAACACATTCCATTGGGAATTGTTTTAATATACAAAGAACTTTCATAAATCACTAAGAGAAAACATAAAACTGAATGAAGCACTCAAAGAACATAAAGTAGCAATTCACAAAAAGACCACAAAACACATTTAAAATGCTCAACCTCATATTTAAGAAAAAACATAAAAGTTAGAAAAGGTTATTAAAATTGACACATCAAGTATTTATGGAGATGCATTAATTGGTAAAAACTTTTTGGAAGGTAGTTTGGAATTATCTATCAAATATTTAAAGAGGCAAATTATGATTGATGTAGTGATTCAACTTTCAGGAATTTATCCCAGATATATGTGTGTATGTGTATCTAAAATATCCATCAGTATGGAATTTATTTCTTTAAATTACAGTTTATTCATAACATAGGAATATAAGATATATATACATATTCTTATGTGGAAAGATGTCCAAGTTATATATAATATTATATGTAAAAATAAGTTTGCAAAAGAACTGATATTGTGTGAGGCTATTTGTATTTGTATATTTACATACACTTGTAGGGAGAGGTGTGGGGTGTGGGTGTGTGTCTGTGCATGTGTGAAATTTTAACAGTGTTGCTATTGGCTTAGGAAGGGATGCATGACAGTTTTTATTTTATACCTCTATACTATAGGAAATCATTCACAATGAACAACTTATCCAATCCAACTATCCCTTGTCAGTAAATGAGAGAAATACAGATATAAGGAAGAAGGAAATACTAGAAACTGTGAGGGGATTTACCCCATTGCACTCCATGAGCAAAAGTCAGGGAATGATTGTGAGAGGAGAAATAAGAATCTATCAATTTCTGAATTGATCTTAGATCTGAGTGTCTCTCTGAATGTGAACATCTCCCAGTAATGCATGTAATTCTAGTGTGTATGTATGTTTTTCTTAAAGCATAGCCCTTAAATACAAGCCAACTACCTTGATTCCCAAAAGGAAAAAGTGACTATCAAGAAAATTGGACTAGTTGATTTTCACCTTATGCACTGAATTTAAACCTATCTACATATATTTGGCTTGTATTTTTAACAGTGGGCATGTAATACTTTAAAAAACATAACCTGGATTATAAAAAAAGTTTTCAATATTAAAGCAATATGCAACTACAATTTGTTACAAATACAATAACAGCAACACCCTCTTTTAATATGGACAAATAATTCATATTGCTAGACATCTTTTTCCTAATCTATAAAATAAGGAGATTGGACTATCTAGTTCTTATAGGTAGATAGAGTAGTTTTGTTAGATACCTTGCTTTTTGTTTTGTTTTCTTTAGATAGGACAAATTAGGTAAGTTTATACGTTAAGGATTCTCTAGATTGTACTACAGGCCAATTAAGTCAGAATTTCTGAGGGTGGGAATCAGGAATCAGTATTCTATAGAGCTCCCCAAGTGATTCCAGTGTCCAGCTAGGATTGAGAATTACTGCCTTAGAGCATGGGTCAGCAAACTGATTCTGTAAATGGCCGGATAATAAATATTTCAGGCTTGTAAGCCATACGATCTGTCACAACTACTCCATTTTAATGTTGTAGAGAGAAAGTAGCCTACATAAATATCTACTTAAACAGACATTACATAGTGTGTTCCAATAAAACTTTATTATTGATAAACATTAAAATTGAATTTCATATAATGTTCACATGTCAGAAAATATTATGATGATGATTATTTTAACCATTTAAAAATGTACACCATTTCTTAGCTTGTAAATTGCCGACTTTTTTCTCTAAAGTCTAGAGCAGTGGTACTCAAAGTGCAGTCTTTGGGCTAGGTGCATCAGTGTATGTTAGGAATTTGTTAGAAATAGAAATTCTCCATACCCCAGACCTACTGAATCAAAAACACTAGGTATGTGGCTCAGGTATCTGTGTTAACAAGCCCTCCAGGTGATTTTCAAGTAAGCTAAGGTTTGAGAATCACTGCTCTGAAGAAAGAGAGGAAAATTGATGGCTTTGGCTCTCACAAAAAATAGGAAGATATCAACTCCAGAGCACAGGTATAAAAATTAACTTTATAGAAGAGGAAAGTATAGAAAACAAACAGAAGGTAATTTCTGTTGTAAATGAGATAATTTTAGAGTGGAGGCTAAAGATTCTGAGATGGATGCCACTTGAGAAAGGAACTATATAATACCTGATAATTTAGAATCCTTTCTCTCTTAAAAACTCTAACAGCTCTTGGGCCTTTGAGTAAAAAAATAAAATAAAATAAAAACAGACCTTGGTTTAAATTCCTTTTCTTGCACTTGCCAGCTGTGTGACCTTGGGTAAGTTACATAACTTCTCTCTGCCACAGAGTATTCCTCTGTAAAATAAAGGTAACAAATCTACTTCATAGGGATGTTGTGAGAAGTCAAATATATAACTTGTGCACATTGCTAGTCCCATTACCTAGAACATGGTAAATGTAATAAGTGGTAGTTTTTAGTGAAAAGAGAACTGAAATGATAGAGGTAAAGGTGAAGGTAAAAAGGTGCTATCATTCCTTTTGACTGGCTTCTTTTAAATACCTAGACGATTCTTTCAGGGGTTTGTAGATCATCTAGAACTTCCCTAGTATTTCCAGTCAGCCATAAAGAGGATTCTCAGAAAGTCTGGCAATCTCATTATAAACCCTGAATCAATTTACTATTATTGGAATTTCTTGCATCCTCCTTGGGATTTTCCTGAGATAATAATACCCAATTTACAAATTAAAAATCATTTCAGGGCTTCTCAAAAATTTCCACAAAAGTATCCCTAAAGTCATAAGATAATGCATTTATATACCTGGAAGTGTATAAAATATATAAAATTGGATGTCATTTTGTTTCATTTCTTATCTTAAAAATTGATATAAATTTAACAAGCCAAGAAGGCTATGCAATACTTATAATACTCTCTGATATGTGTGTGTGTGTGTGTGTGTGTGTATATATATATATATATATATATATATATATATATATATATATTACTGTGAATGCCTAGGGGTAGGGGTATTCTTGCCTCAGCTCACAAGTAAAGATATATCCCATTTGATTTTTGATCCTTACATAAGCCCTAAAGATACTGCCACCATCCCCTGGTGTCCAGTGAGGAAAACTGACACAGTGATTAAGCAAATTATTCAGATTTATACAGAAGCTAGAGGTGGAACTCCAATACTAAGTCTTTTAATTGTAAAGCCCAGAGGAAATTTCTCAAGACCCCAGTGCCTATACAGTGGTTGATTAACTCTTTCACACAAAACAATTCTTTTATATATAAATATGTTTCATATTCTACTTACAACCATGATAATATAACCTACTTTTACATGGAATTTAAAAACTCAACATAACATATGATATAAAGAATTAAACTTAAAGTTGAAATTAAAATAACGTATACTTCAATGGCAATACTCAGGCAAAATTCCATCAATGGCATAATTAAATGGGCAGGTGCTTGCACCCACATGTATAGACAGATGCAGGTATATTGAATTGGCTACACAAAGCTTAAAAGCAGCACTGCTATCAGTGACACAATATTCTGAACTGTTGAAAACTTTTGGTAAAGTTCTGAGTAAAACAAAGAACATTCTTCCCTTATATCAGAACGGAATTTCTTATAGAGAAATTGCGTTATTGAAAACTTCAGTGTATATCAACTTAATGCAAGAGATGCTTTGTGTTAAATACATAAAACGAAGTATGATTCCAGGCTCAGGAAATTTTATCAAGTATCTAATATAAATTAATGTCCAGTAAGATATTTAAAGAGGGTAGTACTGGCCTTAATGAGAACCACTTGAACGCACAGCCTGAGAGTAAATGTAGATTTAGGAATACATACTTGCAAAGATTTTTTTAAATTCCTTACCACAATTACTCACCACCCTGTACCAAGGAAGTTCTACATGTACTTTCAGAGTGTAAAAAGCCTACTCTTCTGGATAAGAGAAAAGTCTAAGAATGAGTGCCTCACAAGCAATCACACATTCTAAATTAAAAGACTGAAAGGACAATGGAATGGACATATCTTAACCAATAAAGAAAAAAAGCCTTCAGGGAGTGACCATCTCAAAATCCTGTTACTCCTTAATGGTTGGATCAGAGGCTATCTTTTTATGAGATCAGCCCCTACAGAGTCTTTTTTCTGAATGCCTTCAACATGTATTATTTGTATTGCCCAATTTAGTACCTGATTATACAGTGTCTTGTATTGTTCTCTTATTGCCTTTTGTGCCTAAAATTCATCTCAACCCCACATTAAGCACTTCAAAAGTAAAGGACAACTATGAGCTGGAAAATAGTTCCCTTGAGCACATAGTATTGTTAATTATTCTTCATGAACTGACAGATTGGTGAGCAGCTGGAAAAAAATTAATGAAAAACCTCAAAAAGGCTCCAACACTGCCTGATAATCCTACCCTGTTCTTTGAACAACCTCCTCCATCCTCTTTTGAAAGGCGATTGCAAACATTCTCCACTCTCCTCAAACCTCACACCTTCCTCCATCCTCATTCCACTTAGTAGATAGTTGCCTTCTACTAAGAAGAAAACAAAAACAAAACAAACAGAGAAAACAAAAGCCAACACACAAGTCCTCAACTTTTACCGCAAAATAAAAGAAAAATCAGTGACTGCCCTTCCTTCTTTTGCTCCTCTCAGTGTATGTTCCCCTCTCATCAAGACTGGATCTTTCTCTCTTCGTGATCCTCCTTATGACAATTTATATTCATGTGCAAGACTTTCCCATCTAAAAACAAATGCAAAACTATAACTACTTCCTCTAATCACAGTTCCATATCAAGCTACTACTATCCTTCCTCATTCCTTGACACACAACCTTTTTAGGAAAGCCAGCCCCTCACTCTCCATCCATTTCCTCATTTTCCACACTGACTCTGACTTCTTAACACATTGATTTATGTCCTGTCCCCAGCCCCTTAAAATTGGGCATCACAACCAACATGTCACTTATTTAACTGTCACTTCTCTATCTTCACCCTCACCCTCCACACTTCTGGGCAGATTCCAAACAGCTGAGCTTCCCCTCCTCTTGAAACACCCTTACCCTACGGCTTCTGACCTTAGGTTTCCCCACCACAACCTTTCAGTATTTTTTTTTAATTTTAAGTTCAGGGGTTCATGTTGAGGTTTGTTAATAGGTAAACTTGTGTCATGGGGGTTTCTTGTACAGTTTATTTCATCACCCAGGTATTAAGCCTAATATCTGTTAGTTACTTTTCCTGATCCTCTCCCTTCTCCCACCCTTTATTTTCTGATATATGAAATTGAATGTCTTTGTGTCATTCCCCTCTATGTGTCCGTGTTTTCTCATCATCTAGCTCCCACTTGTAAGTGAGAGCATGCAGTATTTGCTTTTCTATTCCTGTGTTAGTTTGCTAAGGATAATGGCCTCCAGCTCCATCCATGTTCCTGCAAAGGACATAACAACTGTTCATTTTTATGGACGCATAGTATTTCATGTACTACATGAAGAAAACATACCACATTTCTGCAATGAACATATGCAGCCATGTGTCTTTATAATAAAATGATTTATATTTCTTTGGGTATATAGCCAGTAATGGGATTGCTGGGTTAAATGGTATTTCTGTCTTGAGGTCTTTGAGGAAATGCCACACTGTCTTCCAATATGGTTGAACTAATTTACTACTTTACTCTCCTAGCAATAGTGTATGTGTTCCTTTTTATCCACAACCTTGCCAGCATATGCTATGTTTTTGACTTTTTGATAATAACTATTCTCACCAGTGTGAGATGGTATCTCTTTGTGGTTTTGACTTGCATTTCTCTAATAATCAGTCATGTTGAGCTTCTTTTCATGATTGCTGGCTGCATACATGTCTTCTTTTGAAAAGCGTCTGTTCATGTCCTTTGCCCACTTTTTAATGGGGCTGTTTGCTTTTTTTCTTGTAAATTTGTTTAAGCTCCTTACACATGCTTATTATTAGACCTTTGTTGAATGAATACTTTGCAAAATTTTTCTCCCATTCTGTAGGTTGTCTGTTTACTCTGTTGATGGTTTCTTTTGCTGTGCAGTAGGTCTTTAGTTTAATTCATTCCCATTTGTCAATTTTTGCTTTTGTTGCAATTGCTTTTGGCATCTTTATAATGAAATCTTTGCCCATGCCTATGTCCTGAATGGTACTGCCTAGGTTGTCTTCCAGGGTTTTTATAATTTTAGGTTTTACATTGAAGTATTTAATCCATCTTGAGTTAATTTTTCTATATGGTGTAAGGAACAAGGTCCATCTTCAATTTTCTGCATATAACTAGCCAGTTAGCACCATTATTTACTGAATAAGGAATCCTTTCTCCATTGCTTGATTTGATTATTTTATGTTCCGGATACATGTGCAGAACATGCAGGTTAGTTACATAGGTACACATGTACCATGGTGGTTTTTTGTACCTATTGACCTGTCCTCTAAGTTCCCACCCCTCACCCCCACCACACAACAGGCCCTGGTGTGTGTTGTTCCCGTCCCTGTGCCCACCTGTTCTCATTGTTCAGCTCCCACTTATGAGTGAGAACATGCAGTGTTTGGTTTTCTGTTCCTGTGTTAGTCTGCTGGGGATGATGGCTTCCAGCTTCATCCACATCCCTGTGAAACACATGATCTCATTCCTTTTTTATGGCTGCACAGTATTCCATGGTATATATATATATACTACATTTTCTTTATCCAGTCTTTGATGGGCATTTGGGTTGGTTCTATGACTTTGCTATTATAAATAGTGCTGCGATAAACATGTGTGTGCATGTGTCTTTATAGTAGAATGATTTATATTCCTTTGGGTACGTACCCAGTAATGGGATTGCTAGGTCAAAATGTTATTTCTGGTTCTAGATCCTTGAGGAATCACCGTAATATCTTCCACAATGCTTGAACTAATTTACATTCCCACCAACAGTGTAAACGCATTCCTATTTCTCCACAGCCTCACCAGCATCTATTGTTTCTTGACTTTTTAATAATTGCCATTCTGACTGGCATGAGATGGTATCTCATTGTGGGTTTGATTTGCATTTCTCTATCAGTGATGTTGGGCTTTTTTATATATGTTTGTTGGCCACATAAATGTTTTTGTCAGCTTTGTTGAAGATCAGTAGGTGTTCAGTCTTATTTCTAGGTTCTATTCTGTTCTATTGGTCTGTATGTCTGTTTTGTACCAGTACCATCCTCTTTCAGTTACTGTAGCCCTCTAGTATATTTTTAAGTCAAATAGTGAGTTGCCTCCAGCTCTGCTCTTTTCGCTTAGGATTTCCTTGGCTTTTTGGGCTCTTTTTTGGTTCCATATGAATTTTAAAATAGTTTTTTCTAGTTCTGTGAAGAATCTAAATGGTAGTTAATAAGAATAGCATTGAATCCATAAATTGCTTTGGGCAGTATGGCCATTTTAATGATATTAATTTTTCCTATCCATGAGCATAGAATATTTTTCATTTGTGTCATCTCTGATTTTTTTGAGTAGTGGTTTGCAGTTCTCCTTCTACAGATCTTTCACCTCTCTAGTTAGCTGTATTCCTAGGTATTTTATTCTTTTGGTGGCAGTTGTGAATGGGAGTTCATTCATGATTCGGCTCTCAGCTTGATTGTGGTTGCAGAACAGGAATGCCAGTGATTTTTGCACATTCATGTTATATCCTGAGACTTTGCTGAAGTTGTTTATCCACTCACAAAGCTTTTGGGCTGAGACTATGGGGTTTTCTAGATATAAGATCATGTCATCTGCAAATAGAAATAATTTGACTTCTTCTCTTCCTGTCTGGATGCACTTTATTTCCTTCTCTTTCCTCATTGCCCTGGCAAGGACTTCTAGTACTATGTTGAACAAGAGTGATGAGAAAGGGCATCCTTTTATTGTGCCAGTTTTTACAGGGGAATGCTTTCAGCTTTTGCCCATTCAGTACGATGTTGGTTGTCGGTTTGTTCTACCTGGCTCTTATTATTTTGAGGTATGTTCCTTCAACATCTAGTTTATTGAGTTTTTAAAGAATTTTTAACATGAATGGATGTTGAATTTTATTGAAATCCTCTTCTGCACCTATTTAGATAATCATGTGGTTTTTGTCTTTATTTCTGTTTATGCGATAAATCACATTTATTGATTTGTGTATGTTGAACCAACTTTGCATCCCAGATATAAAGCCTACTTTATCATGGTGGATAAGCTTTTTGATGTGCTACTGGATTCAGTTTGCTAGTATTTTGTTGAAAATATTTGCATCAATGTTCATCAAGAATATTGGCCTGAAGTTTTCTTTTTTTAATGTTCTTTTTGCTAGGTTTGGGTATCAGAATGATACGGGCCTCACAGAATGAGTCAGGGAGGAGTCCTGTCTCAATTTTTTGGAGTAGTTTCAGTAGGAGTGATACCAGCTCTTCTTTGTACATCCTCTTTGTACATCTGTGAATCTGTATGGTCCTGGGTGTTTTTTTTTTGTTTTGTTTTGTTTTTTTTTTTTTTTTTTTTTGGTGGGTAGGCTATTTATTACTGTCTCAATTTCAGACCTCATTATTAGTCTGTTACAACCCTCAGGGAATATTATGAATACCTCTATGCACATAAACTAGCAAATCTAGAAGAAATGGATAAATTCCTGGACACATACGCCCTTCCAAGATTGAACCAGAAAGAAATTGAATCCCTTTTAGTATTTTTACTGTCTCTTCCTGCAGTACCAGACTTTTATATGCCCGAGTTCCTTAAGACTCAGACTTTGTTTCTCTTGTTTTTCCATTTCATACCTTTTCCTAGGTTTTCTTGTTAATTCCATTACATCTTATTATCACTTCTGTGATGATAACTTCCAAGTCTTTTTCTAACCCACATCCATTCTCTGAGCTCCAGACCCATTTACCAAATTGTTTGCCTGTTACTGGAACTTCGAATTCATTATTGCCAAAACTAAACTGAATTTCTGCCTGAAACTTCCTCTTCCTCCTCTCTTTTTCCTATTTTAAGAAATGGCACTTCATTTATCCAGTTACATAAGTCAGAAATCTAGCAGTCACCTCTGACAATCTCTTTCCCTGTACTTCCAACAGTCAGTAAATTATCAAGTCCTACTAATTTTCTTAGATATTTGCAGAATGTGTAATGTTTTCACCAGATTCACAGTAATTATCCATATTCTTGAGTGGTTATTGCAGAAATCACCTAAATGTTTTCCTTAAATATATTCTTGACCCCTCTAATCCACTTTTGACCCAGATCTATGAAAGAGATCTTTTCTAGACATAAATATGAATTATATCATTCTCTGTTCCTCACAAGTTTGCTAGCTTCTCAGTACTGTTTAAATACAGTCCCAGATATTTAACAGGATCCTCAAGGTCCTGCATGGTATAAACCCAGCCTGATTTAGAATCAGGTATCACTTCATATTCTATGATCCAGCCACATTGAACTTGTTTTGATTCCTCTAAAGTACTATGCCCTCTTCAACACAGGACCCTCCTACCTGCTTTTCCATAGGTCTGGAACAGTGGCTGTCAACCAGGAGTAATCTCACCCACCCTCTAGAAGACATTTGGCAATGTCTGGACACACTTTTGGTTATTATAACTGGGGAAGAGTGTTATTGGCATCTAATGGGTAGAGATCAGCAACAATGTTGATCCTCCTGCAATGCATAGGAGAGCATATCATGACAAAGAATTATCCAGCCCAAAACGTCACTAATGCTGAGATTAGAAAACTCTAATCTAGAAAGCTTTCCCTTCTACCTGTACCCCACATGACCCTGCATCTAGCCAAAACATATTTAAATATCCTGTGTCAGCTTAAGTGGCCTATCTTCAGAGTAAAACCTCCCTGACTTTTGTCTATAGGTCAGGTCTACCTCCTATTTACGCTTATAATATTTTTCTTTACTTTTTTAGCCCTTACTAAAATTTAAAACTAGTTACTTATTCAGTTAATGTTTGGCTTCCATGCCAGATTTTAAGCTCTGTGAGGTTAGGAAATACATTTAATGCAATATCCTTATCATCTGGCTAGATACTCAACATACTTATTAAAAAGTAAATTAACGGATGAATGAATGAAGCTGTTACCTAGAAAGAAGAATGTTAGGCCTACGATACTGTATAAGTGATCCTAGCTTTGGCATTAACTAGATATATCTCTGAATAAGTCCTTTAACCCTTCATGTGGCCTCATTTTAAGTTATATAAACTTTTACTATAATGAGTTTTATGAGGATTAAATATTTTGATAATTCTAAAGTATTTTGTAGTCCTATTAGAAATTATAGGTTAGCATAAAAATTGGTACAACTACATGGAAGGGATTAACATGAAACAAAAGCCTTAAACACATATTTTTACTTAAATATTTCACTTATAAAAATTTATGAAAAAATTACTAAGCAAAAATATAGCTATGTGGATTTTATCATTAGTTAAATAAATAAATGAACTATAGTGAATATTTTAAATATAATGTATATTTGATAAGGAAGATATATATGTGCAATATAATACAATTCTATATACATATTTTATACACATGTATACACATGTACAATAAAAAAATCTAAATATCAAAATACTGGCAGTAGTTATCTTAAAATTACAGGATTATGCAAGTTTTAATTGTCTTTTTCTGTTTCAGGACTTTCCTAATTTTTCTACAATGAGCATGGCTTTTGAAATTTAAAAAAAGGTAAGAAATGAGTGCGGAAAAGCACGTCTTACACTATGAAGGGACTGTAAGGAGTTGCTATGTTATAAAGAATAAGATATAAACCTTACCTTTTAGAGGTTTTCAAATGAATTATAAAAATAAAATACCGGCCGGGCATGGTGGCTCTGGCCTGTAATCCCAGCACTTTAGGAGGCCGAGGCAGCTGGATCACTTGAGGTCCGGGGTTTGAGACCAGCCTGGCCAACATGGTAAAACCACGTCTGTACTAAAACACAAAAATTAGCCAGGTGTGGTGGCAGATGCCTGTAATCCCAGCTATTCAGGAGGCTAAGGCAGGAGAACTGCTTGAACCCAGGAGGCAGAGTTTGCAGTGAGCCGAGATCATGCCATTGCACTCCAGTCTGGGCAACAGAGCTAAACTCCCTCTTTAAATAAAACAATCCAATCAATACCTATCTAGATAACTGTTAGATAAGAAAAAAAGTTAAGAACAGTTTCCATCATAATCATTTAATGAGCACTTACTACATCCCAGGCTTTCCATGCATTAATTTATGAAATCTGTAAAACAACCACATTAGTTAGGTTTTATCATATTCATTTAATAGATGAAGAAACTGAGGCCACTGGGGTTAAACAAACTGCTAGGTCATACCAGACCAAAAAAAAAAAAAAAAATCAAATTCAAACTAAAGTCTCAGTGATATCAAAACTTCTGTTCTTTTCAGCAGGTACTTATAAAAGATATATAAGTCAACTGGGAGTCCAGAGAAGGGGTGGTTACTTGACAGTGAGAAGGCAAAGGAAGCGTATATACAGGAGTTAACAGTTTAGCTAACTCTGGAGGACGAGTAGGATTTTAATAACTGAAGATGGGGGAGAGGACATGAGGAAAGGCATTTCTTACCAAGGGACACTTGAACAAAAGTGAGAGGTAAATGGATAGTTCATGAAATTTTGGGGGAAGTTTGTAGGCAGACTGGTTAGAAATGAATTAAATACAGGAATTTTGTTTAATCAGTAAAGGGAATTGAAATTTGATAGGACTTCAAAGATCAACAGAAAGTGGGGTTAGAATACTAGAAAATCTATAATATTTTGACATACTAGAAATATGACTAGTCTTAAAAGTACAGCATATGATGGCACATTGCACTGTCTGTGTTTTCAAACACAGAGAAACTTAGAGGTAGGAGGGGACTTGGAGAGCATCTGAGAAAACTCTGGCCCAGAACAGAGAAATTGTTGTCAAAAGTCATAAAACTAGACTAGAATCCAAGTCAGCTCAGTCCTCATTCTGGGGTCAGTTCCTAGAAAAGGAACCTTGAAATACTGTGTGGCTTTTTAACAGTTCTGTGAGGTTTGTATTATAATAACTATTTCATACCAGCAGTCACTGGAGCTCAGAGAAATTAAGTAACTTCTACAAAGTTATGGAACCAAAGCTCATCTCACCCAGAACTAATGACCTTCTTATGAATGGAGATATTGCCTTATTCTGCTATTATGTCCCCATAGCATCTTCCACAGGGTTCTTAGATACCCAACAAAAATCAATAAAATATCAGCCATTATTCATTACTCTTGATAAGGATCATATATATTGATTTTATGGATAGAGAATACTAGGTGACTAAAGAAGGAAAAATAATTGAGAAAATCATAAATTATGAATTTAATTACATATAAATTTTAAACATAGCTTACTTTTGTTAAGAGTTTTGCCTTGATTATAGATCACTAGCTGCCACTAAAAAAGTAAACTGTTTAGATTTTGAAAGTCTTATATTTCCCACTAAAGAAATTCAGCCAACAGATCCCTATGGGAAATGTTTCTTTCTTGTAAAGCATACAGATTTACTTAAATCCTTAAATAATTAGACTTCAGAACCAGAATGCAATTAGAATTAAAATTCATAAATGTGTTGTCTTTTTCCATTGGCAAAATGTATATGGAACAATCCACAGCTGGCCACATCTGCATATGCTACCTTCCCCAAAGCCAGCAACCATGCTTTCTAATTTTCGCCAGGGGTGTCTAACTGTGAGTACACAGGAAATGAGAGCAATAAGGTTATTAGGGGAAATGCTTCATCTTATATAAGAACATTTGATTATGGGAAATTTATCTAAAATATAGATAAATTATAAACATAGATAAATATAACCCTTTGTGTGCACATGTTTGCATTTCTTGAAGTACTCCCAAAATAAAATTAAGCACATTCAAAATTATAGTTGGATGGAAACTTTGTAGACAAACGGCTAAAATTTCCTTTAAGTGTTCAAAAGGAGATAAATTAGAAAGATAAATACATAAGATAAAACAATATGATTATCTCCAAATAATACAAATTTAATGATTACTTATTAAAAATACAAAATTACATGAGAAGTGACCTTATACAACTTTGACTAAGTGTCCTTATAGCTCCCCAAAGATATTATAACAAGTATACAACTCAATTTGAGAGCCTGACTATACAAAAAAATGGCCAGATCATTTACAACAACAGATCTTAAAAATAAATATTTATTTTTAATTTTTATGGGTACTTACTAGGTATATCAATTTATGGTATATAAGATACCTTATAGAGACATACATTGCATAATAATTACATCAGAGTAAATAGGGTATCTATCACCTCAAGGATTTATCAATTCTTTGTGTTATAAACATTCCAATTTTACTTTTAGTTATTTTGAAATGTATAATAAATTTCTGTTGACTGCAATAATTCCATTGTGTTATCAAATACTAGATCTTATTCATTTTATCTAACTATATTTTTGTACCCATTAACCATTCCCATTTCCACCATCACCCTTCCCACCATCACCCTTCCCACCACTATCCTTCCTAGCCACTGGTAACCATCCTTGTACTATGTCCATGAGTTCAATTGTTTTCATTTTTAGCTCCCACAAATGAGTAAGAACATGTGAAGTTTGTCTCTCTGTGCTTGGCTTATTCCACTGAACATAATGTTCTCCAGTTCTATCCATGGTATTGCAAATGACAGTATCTCATTCTTTTTTAGTGGATGAATAGTATTCCATTGTGTATATGTAAAACATTTTATTTATCCATTTGTCTATTGATGGACATTTAAGTTGCTTCCAAATCTTGGCTATTGTGAATAGTGCTGCAGTAAACATGAGAATGCAGATATCTCATTGTTACACTGATTTCCCTTCTTTTGGGTATATACCTATCAGTGTGTTTGCTGGGTCATATAGTAGTTCTGTTTTTAGCTTTCTGAGGATCCTGCAGACTTTTCTCCATAGTGGCTGTACTAACATGTATTTCTGCCAACAGTATACAAGGGTTCCCTTTTCTTCACATCCTTGCCAGCATTCATTATTGCCTAGTTTTTGGATAAAAGCCATTTTTACTGGAGTGAGATGATATCACACATTTTAGTTGTGATTTGCATTTTTTTAAATGGACTCTTGCTCTGTCTCCCAGGCTGGAATGCAGTTGCACAATCTCAGCTCACTGCAACCCCCGCCTCCTGGGTTCAAACGATTCTCCTGCCTCAGCCTCCTGAGTAGCTGGGACTACAGGCATGTGCCACCACACCTGGCTAATCTTTTTGTATTTTTAGTAGAGACAGGGTTTCATCATTTTGGCCAGGCTAGTCTTGAACTCCTGACCTCAGATGATCCACCTGCCTAGGCCTCCCAAAGTGCTGGGATTACAGGCATGAGCCATGCCCAGCCATGATTTACACTTCTTTGACGAGCAATGATGTTGAGCACCTTTTCAAATACCTATTTGCCATTTGTGTGTCTTCTTTTGAGAAATGTGTATTGAGATCTTTTGCCCATTTTTCAATTGAATTCTTACATTTCTTTCCTATTGAGTTATTTGAGCTATTGAGTATATATTCTGTCTCTTAATCCCTTGTCAAATGGGTAGTTTGCAAACATTTTATCCCATTCTGTGGGTTTTCTCTTCAGTTTGTTGATTGTTTCTTTGCTGTGCAGAAGCTTTGTAACTTGATGTGATCCTATTTTACATTTTTACATTGGTTGCCTGTGCTTTTGAGATATTACTCAAAAAATTATTGCCCAGACCAATGACCTAGAGAGTTTCCTCAATGTTTTCTTTCAGTAGTTTCATATTTTCTGGAATTAGTTTGAAGTCTTTCATCCATTTTGAATTGCCTTTTGTATATAGTAAGAGATAGCATCTAGTTTCATTCTTCTTTAGATGGATATTCAGTTTTCCCAGGACTATTTATTAAAGAGACTGTCCTTTCCCCAATGTATGTTCTTGGTGCCTTTGTCAAGAATGAGTTCACTGTAGGTATACAAATTTATTTCTGGGTTTTCTATTATGTTCCATTGGTCTGTGTGTCTGTTTCTATGCCAGTAATATGCTGTTTTGGTTACTATAGCTCTGTAGTATAATTTGAAGTCAGGCAATACGACTCCTCCAGTTTTGTTCTTTTTCTCAGAATTGCTTTAAATATTCTGTATCTTTTGTGTTTTCACATAAAATTTTTAAGATTGTTTTAGCTATTTCTGTGAGAATGTCATTGGTATTTTGATAGGGATTTCACTGAATGTGTAGATTGCTTTGAGAAGTATGGATTAATTAATAGATTAACAATATTGATTCTTCTAATCCATGAACATGGAATATCTTTAGATGTTTTTGTGTCCTCTTCAGTTTCTTTCTTCAGTGTTTTGTAGTTTTCATTGTAGAGTTAAATTTTATCAAATCTTTTTTCAGCATCAATTAAAAGGATCATATGGTTTTTATCCTTCATTCAATTGATTTGATGTATCACACTGATTGATTTGCATATATTGAAGCATCCTTGTATCCCTGAGATAGATCCCCCTTGATCACAACGAGTGATCTTTTTAATGTGTTGTTGAATTCAGTTTTCTAGTATTTTGTTGAGAATTTTTACATCAATATTAATTAGAAATATTAGCCTGTAGTTTTCTTTCTTTCTCTTTTTTTTTTTTTGATGTGTCTTTTTCTGGTTTTGACATAAGGATAATACTGGCCTCACAGAATGCATTTGAAAAGATTCCCTCCTCTTCTCTTTTTCAGAATAGTTTCAATAAGACTGGTATCAATTCTTTTTCAAATATCTGGTAAAAATTTAGCAGTGAAGACATCACGTCCTGGGCTTTTCCTTGCTGGGAGATTTTTTATTATGGCTACCATCTCATTACTTCTTATTGGTCTGTTCAGGTTTTAGGGTTTTAGATTTCTCCATGGTTCAATCTGGATAGGTTGTATCTGTCTAGGAATTTTTGCATTTCCTCCAGATTTTCCAATGTACTTGCATATAGATGCTCATAGTAGTCTCTAATTAGACTTTGAACTTCGGTGGTATCAGTTGTAATGTCTCCTTTTTCATTTCTGATTTTATTTAATTGAATCTTTTTTTCTTAGTTGGTCTGGCTAGAGGTTTGTCACTTGTATCTTATGAAAACTAACTTCTTATTTTGTTTATCTATTGTATTTTTGTTTCAATTTCATCTATTTCTGGTCTGATCTTTATTTTATTTTACTAATTTGGGGTTTGGTTTGCTCTTGCTTTTCTTGTTCTTTAAGATGAATCACTGGTTGTTTATTTGAAGTTTTTCTACTTGTTTAATGTAAGAGTTATTGCTATAAACATTCCTTTTAGTATTGCCTTCAGTGTGTTCCACAGATATTGGTATATTCTGTCTCCATTTTTATTTTTTAAGAGATTTTAACATTTCCTTTATTGACACACTAGGCACATTCAAGAGCATATTATTTAATTTCCATGTGTTTGCATATTTAATACTTCCCAAAGTTCCTCTTATTATTGATTTTTAGTTTTATCCCATTGTGGACAGGGAAGATATTTTAAATTATTACAATTTTTTAAAATTTTTTAAGGCTTGTTTCATGGCCCAACATATGGGCAATTCTTAAGAATGACCCCTGTGCTAAGGTGAAGAACATGTACTCTGCAGCCAATGGGGGAACTGTTCTGTAAACGTGTATTAGGTCCATTTGGTCTATGGTGCAGATTGAGTCTGATTTTTCCTTTATTTTCTGTCTGGATGATCTGTTTAATGCTGAAAGTGGGGTGTTGAGGTCTCCAGCTATTACTGTATTGAGATTTTTCCCTCTCTTTGGCTTTAATAATATTTGCTTTATATATCTGGGTGCTCCACTGTTAGGTGCATATATATTAACAATTACTATATCCTCTTGCTGACTTGACCCCTTATCATTATATAATGACGTTCTTTGTCTCTTTATATAGTTTTTGTCTTCAAAACCATTTTGTCTGATACAAGTATAGTGACTCCTGCTCTTTTTTGGTTTCCATTTACATTAAATATCTTTCTCCATCTTTTTCTTTCAATCCATGTGTGTTTTATAGGGGAAACATGTTTCCTGTAGGCCACAGATTTTTGGGTCGTGTGTGTGTGTGCGTGTGTGTGTGTGTGTGTGTGTGTGTGTGTGTGTGTATCTATTCAGCTACTCTGTCTTTTAATTGAAGAGTTTTGTCCACTTACATTCAACATTCGTAGTGATAAGTGAAGGCTTATTCCTGTCAATTTGTTATTTGTTTTTTGGTTGTTTTGTAGTCATCCTTTCCTTCCTGCCTTCCTGCCTGCCTTTCTGCCTTCCTAACTGCCTGCCTTCCTGCCTTCCTGCATTCCCACATCCCTTCCTCCCTTCCTTCCTGTATTCCATTTAGTGAAGGTGACTTTCTCTGGTGGTATGTTTTAATTTCTTTCTTTTATATTTTGTGTATCTGTTGTAGGTTTTTGGATTTGAGGTTACTAATGAGGTTTGCAAATAATGCCTCGTAACATGTTATTTTCAACTGATGACAACACAATTGCAAAAACAAGCAGAGGAGCAAAAAGAAAACTAATGAAAACTCAACACTTTAACTTCATCCCCCCGATTTTTAACTTTTTATTGTTTCTATTTATATCATATTATACTTTCTATGTCTCCAAAAGTTGTTGTAGTTGTCATTTTTGATAGCTTTGTCTTTTAGTATTTCTACTCATGATATGAATAGTTTGTATACCATAATTACAGTGTTATAATATTCTATACTTGTCTGTGTGCTTACTATTACCAGTGAGTTTTGTACCTTCAGATGATTTCTTATTGATCATTAATGTCCTTTTCTTTCAGGCTAAAGAACTCTCTTTAGCATTTCTTAGAAGACAAATCTATTGTATATGAAATCCCTCACCTTTTGTTTGTCTGGGAAAGTCTTCATTTCTCCTTCATGTTTGAAGGATATTTTCACTGTATATATTATTCTAGGATAAAAAGCCTTGTAAATATGTCGTGCCATTCTCCCAGCCTGTAAAGATTCTACCGAGAAATCTGCTGCCAGATGTATTGAAGCTCCTTTGTATGTTATTTGTTTCTTTTCTCTTGCTGCTTTTAGGATCCTTTCTTTATCCTTGACCTTTGGGAGTTTGATTATTAAATGTTGTGCAGTAGTCTTCTTTGAGTTAAAATGGCTTGGTGTTCTACAACCTTCTTGGACTTTAGTATTGATATCTTTCTCTACATTTGGGAAGTTCTCTGTTATTATCCCTTCAAATAAACTTTCTACCCCAAACTCTCCATCTACTTCCTCTTTAAGACCAATAACTCTTAGATTTGGCCTTTTGAGGCTATTTTCTAGGTCTTGTAAGCTTGCTTCATCATTTTTTGTTTTTCTTTTGTCTCCTCTGGCCATATATTTTCAAACTGCCTGTCTTCAAGCTCACTAATTTTTTCTTCTGCTTGATCAGTTCCGCTGTTGAGAGACTCTTATGCATTGTTCAATATATCAATTGAATTTTTCAGCTCCAGAATTTATGCTTAACTGTTTTTAATTATTTCAGTCTCTGTTAATTTTTTTTTTTTTTTTTGAGACAGAGTCTCACTCTGTTGTCCAGGCTGGAGTGCAGTGGCATGATCTCGGCTCACCGCAACCTCTACCTCCTGGGTTCAAGTGATTCTCCTTCCTCAGCCTCCTGAGTAGCTGGGACTACAGGCATGTGCCACCATGCCCGGCTAATTTTTTGTATTTTTGGTAGAGATGGGGTTTCACCATGTTAGCCAGGATGGTCTTGATCGCCTGACCTCATGATTTGCCCACCTCACCTCCCAAAGTGCTGGGATTACCGGCGTGAGCCATCGTGCCCGATCTTGTTAAGTTTATCTGGTAGGATTCTGAATTCCTTTTGTGTTCTTTTGAGTTTCACTGAGCTTCCTCAAAACAGCTATTTTGAATTCTTTGTCTGAAAGGTCACGTATCTCTGTCACTGTGGGATTACTCTCTGGTACCTGATTTAGTTTATTTGGTGAGGTCATGTTTTCGTAGATGGTCTTAATGCTAGTGGATGTTGGTCAATGTCTGGACATTGAAGAGTTAGGTATTTATTGTAGTCTTTACAGCCTGGGCTTATTTGTACACATCCTTCTTGGGAAGGTTCTCCAATCCAAGTATTCAAAGGTAACTGACTATTGTGATCTAAGTATTTGGTCACTATAGCCGTATCTGCACTAGGCGACACCCCAACCCCAAGCCCAAGAACGCTGTGAGTCTTGCAGACCTGTAGAGGTAACACCGTGGTGTTCTTGAGTGAGATCCAGGAGAATTCCTGAGATTACCAAGTAGAAACTCCTGCTCTCTTCCCTTACTTTCCCTCAAACAAACAAACCCTCTCTCTCTGTGCTGAGCTGCCTGGAGCTATGGAGGGATGACAAAAACAACCCTCTGGCTACCACCACTGGGACTGTGCTGGATCAGACCTGAAGCCAGCATGGCACTGGGTCTCGCCCAAGACCCATGTCAATCACTGACTGGTTACCACCGATGTTCCCTCAAGGCTCAAGTGCTTTACCTCCCACAGACAGAAATCCAGCTAGGCTTATGGCCTTTTCTTTAGGGCAGCAAGCTTCCCCCAGCCTGCCAGCCCAGGGCACGTCCAGAAATGCCATGTGTTAGCTATGCTGCCTGTGGTTGAGAAAGAGGAAACACAAGTGCTTCTTGGCCACCCTTGCTGGTGTATCACTAGGTAATGTGCATCCCACGTCCACTGGGATCCAGGATCTAGGTCATGTGCATCCGACATCTACTGGGATCCAGGATCTGGATTTGGGAACCTGAAGAAGCCACTTGGTGCTCTATTCAACTGCAGCTGAGCTGGTACCTTAGCCACAAGACAAAACCCTTCTCACTTTTCCCTCTTCTCTCCTCAAGCAGAAGGAGCTTCGCCCTGTGGCTGCGAGTGTCTCACTCAGGCCCATGGCAAGTACTGTCTGGCTACTTCCAATGTTCACTCAAGGCCGGAGGGCTCTTCGGTCAGCTTGTGGTGAATGCTGACAGCCCTGTGCCTCTCCGTTAAGGGCAGTATCCTCCCTTTGGCCCAGGATGGGACCAAACATTTCATCCAGGAACCAAAGTCTAGAATCAGAAACCCCAGGGGTCCACTTAGTGCTCTACGTCACTGTGGCCAAGCTGGTACCCAAGCTGCAAGGCAAAGTTCCCTTTATTCTTCCCTTTCCTTTCTTCAAACAGAAGGAATCCCTTCTCCATGGCCACCACAGCTGGGGATGCTCTGGGTCACACCTGAAGCCAGCCCAGCAATGAGTCTCACCCAAGGCCCATGACACATCTGGCAACAACTGATGCTTATTCAAGGCTCAAGAGCTCATTAGTCAGCAGGTGTTGAATTCTGCCAGGACTGTGTTATTCCCTTCAAGGCAGCAGGTTCCTTTATGGCCCAGGATGTGTCCAGAAATCTCTTTCAGGAGCTAGATCCTGAAATAGGGGCTTCAGGACTCTGCCTAGTGCCCTATTATATAGTTCTGGAGCTGGTATCCAACTTACAAGACAAAGTCCTCTTTACTCTCCCTTCTCCTCTCCTCAAGCAGAAGGAAGGAGCAACTATAGAGCTGTTTGCTTATGCTGTCTGTGGTTGAGAGAGAGGAAACACAAGTGCTTCCTTGGCCACCCTAGCTGGTGTATCACTAGGTCATGTGCATCCCACGTTCACTGGCTCCAAGCTCAGCCCAGCACCAGGACTTACCAAGGAATTTCAGTTATTGTGGCCTTGACTGCCTTTCAAATTTATTTAGAGCCCCAGAGCCCTTTAGCATGCAATGGTGGTGCTAGCCGGAACTCAGGTTCTGGCTGCTGAGATGAATGATTCCCCTCTGGCTAGGGCTGGTCTAAATTCTCCTTATATGTGTGCCAGCCAATTTTTGCTCTGTGTTGCTTTCCATTATTATAGGACAGCACTGATTTCCAATGCCAAGTCCAGCCATCACTTTGCTCTCCCTCTCCCAAGCACACAGATTCTATGTGCCATGCGGCCAGTCGCTGCCATTGCCAGGGGATGGGTGAGGGATGATGTTGGCAATTCAAGATGTCTTTGCTTCCTTCTTTAGTGTCTCCTTCCTTGATAGGATTTAAAAACCAGGTACTGTAATTGCTTACCTGATTTTTGGTTCTTATGAGGGTGCATTCTTGTGTGGATAGTTGGTCAATGTGTTGTTCCTTCTGGCAGGGGTAGGGGGCGATCACTGGAGGGTTCTATTTGGCCATCTTGCACCACTGCCTCTTCCCAATAGATCTTTGACCCACAGTCTCTGCAGTAACTGGCTCAAAATGGTGATGACTTGGTCAATGACTGCCAGCTTCCCTAATTTTTGCTCATAGTACCAACATAGAACCAGAGAAGAACAAATATTATCTGCAAACTAATCACATAGGATGTCCCACTTATAGTTAGGCTGCCTCCAAATTCCTCCATGCCAACAACCTCCAATCTCAACAGACTAGAAGCCTTCCCCCACCACACCCCTTGCTATGATGCTTTCCTACACCCTTACCCACTTTTGAGTCTGCCAAATCCAAGTGATGGTGGCTGACTCCTTTGCTATATAGAAATTTCTGAATAAATAGCCTCTGCTTGTTCATATTTGAGTGGTCTTCATTTACTTCCACAAATATTTGCAGAAAGTGGAGATTAATTTTATTTAGGATAAGCATTATTCTCAATTTACCAGGGTTAGTTCTGGGTTTTGCCCATTCTCTCTGTGTAATTAATAGTATGCTCTTTTACTCTCATAAGTGTCCTTGGTTGAACAATAAATTACATAGGTACTATGATTTTAGGCAATTTATTCATTAGACAATGGGAGTAACAGGCAAACTGTTATTAAATAACTTGTCCTAGAGCAATGATAGGTAACAAAGAGAAGTGTACTGGGCCGTTAGGTAGCTAACTTCCTCTCTGATCATAAAATCAATTGTCAGGTTAGAAGGAGAGAAGTATTCTACCTTTTGTATCAGAGTTTTTCTGATGGAATTTCTAGCTTTAGTAAACAGGAGATAGGATTTTAAGAGGTGTCCTCTTTTCCCCTTGAGGCATTCCTGCCACCCCTGCAGGATGATGCAATAGTTGCCATGGCAAATACTTCTCCCACGCTGCTGGAAGGCCTTCCCATAGCAGACTAACTTCTGTTCTGTTCTGTTTCTATTTTCCTTTTTCTCTCTCTGTTACATTGTAAGTTACTCTTGAGTTTAGATTCAGACTATAACCTTCTCTCTAGCTTCTTTTTTTTTGAAAGCAATTTGCTGTCTGTCTGCTTTTCTGCAACCTACTGTGCATATCCAGAGATAAGCCCTGATGGCAGTCATGTGGAAAAGTGTGGCAGACAGAAGACATGACCAAAGAAAGCAAGGGCAGGACTGGAATGAGTCAACTGAAAGCAGGGATTCTTCAATTTGCTAATCTCAAGTGCTCTGTTTTCCAATGAAAATACGAAATTTTGTCATCTAAATGCCCAGTTTATGCAAATGCATGGATTTTCCCTGAAGAACAGCACATTTTATCATACAGTAATATAGATTCAAGGGCTTCAATGTCAGAAACACCTTGTTTTAAATCCGTAAGGTTCAAGATACTGGAAACAATTTCTTTTTTGGCCACCAATATAAACCTAACCTGGATCTTGACAGGTACAAAATACATATTTGTTCCCTGCATGTCTGATTGATTTGTGATCCACCACATATAAGTACCATGACCTTGGTAAGTTACATCATTTCTCTGAGCCTCAATGTTTCCATGTGTAAAATAAGAAAAATAAAGCCATCTTATAGGATTGCTGCACAATTTAAATGAGACAGAGTATGAGAAATTCCTAGCAGATCCCTGCCATGCAGTACATATTTGACAGTTACTGCGTTCATTATTTCTGTTGTTATTGAAAAGATCAGTTTAGGAGGGTCCTACTGAAAAACATTTCAGTAAATACTTTTCGGAGGACCCGCCCCGAAAATCACGTAGGTTCTTTTCTATTTTCCTAAGCGTCGGCTGGCTTGAGAAATAAAGGGACAGAGTACAAAAGAGAGAAATTTTAAAGCTGGGCATCCGGGGGAGACATCACACATTGGTAGGATCCGTGATGGCCCACAAGCCACAAAAACCAGCAAGTTTTTATTAGGGATTTTCAAAAGGGGAGGGAGTGTGCGAATAGGTGTGGGTGACAGACATCAAGTACTTAACAGGGTAATAGAATATCACAAGGCAAGTGGAGGCAGGGCGAGATCACAGGACCACAGGACCACAGGACCACAGGACCGAGGTGAAATTAAAATTGCTAATGAAGTTGAGACAGGGATTTGAGATCAACCAGTCTGACCAAAATTTATTAGGCGGGAATTTCCTCTTCCTAATAAGCCTGGGAGCGCTATGGGAGACTGGAGTTTATTTCATCCCTGCAGTCTCAACCATAAGAGACAGGTACACCCTGGCGGGCGGGGGGTGGGCAGTTCAGAGACCTACCCCTAGGTGCGCATTCTCTTCCTCAGGGATATCCCATGCTGAGAAAAAGAATTCAGCAATATTTCTCCCATTTGCTTTTGAAAGAAGAGAAATATGGCTCTGTTCTGCCTGGCTCACCGGCAGTCAGAGTTTAAGGTTATCTCTCTTATTCTCTGAACAATTGCTGTTATCCTGTTCATTTTTCAGGGTGCCCACATTTCATATTGCTCAAACACACATGCTGTACAATTTGTGTAGTTAACGCAATTATTACAGGGTTCTGAGACAATATACATCCTCCTCAACCGACAGGATTAAGAGATTAAATTAAAGACAGGCATAGGAAATCACAAGGGTATTGACTGGGGAAGTGATAAGTGTCCATGAAATCTTTACAATTTATGTTTAGAGACTGCAGTAAAGACGGGCATAAGAAATTACAAAACTATTAATTTGGGGAACTAATAAATATCCATAAAATCTTCACAATCCACGTTCTTCTGCCATGGCTTCAGCCGGACCCTCCGTTTGGGGTCCCTGACTTCCCACAACAAATACGTCCAACTAATATATTCTGATTATTTACACTTAGTTGAATCTCAAATTAGAGTACATCATGCTTAACTGTCACTCATATTTGTACATTTTTAAAGTTTGGAGCATCTGCACTGTGCTAAGAATATTCCTGATTTCTGGTAGATTTCATACTGCTTTTTCAATGTTCTAACAACTCCTAATTATGAGAAGATTAATAAAAAAAAATCTATGGCTGTCTGTGGGTGTTATCTAATTCCAAGCCCTAGTCAGAGCAAATATGGCTATTTTAGTCTCATTACTAGAAAAGTAAAATAAAGATCTTTTGAAAATAGATATAACACAGATCTATTCCTCCTAACTTATACAGTGACAAAAATTCTGAATGACAAATAGACTTCCTGAAAGTAGAAGGCTATTTTAATATATTTATGCACATATGCAGCTACACTTTAAATATATATAAATCTATATACATTCATTAACAAAGATTTATTGAGCTCCTAAAAATGCTGTTTGTTCCAGACACTATAGTAGGTATTGATTATATAGGGTGAATAAAACAGATAACTTCCTTCTTGTGTGGAGTCAGTTTCTTTGCTCTTGCTCCTTTTCTCTTGTTCCCTTGCATATAGTCATAAGCACACACACGCACGTGCATACACACACACACACACGCACCCCTCCCACAAGCCTACATGCCTATCTGCGGATATCTGTGAGTATATATGTACACATATAACCCCAAAGCTTGGTCTACATAATATGAATTCCAAGGAAAATTTGGCTAGAAAAAAAAACTAAACTGCATATTACTAAAAGAAACAATGGAGTTAGTAACCATGAGACATTACTTCTTTACATATTTAATTATTTACTTTAAATCTATTTTTACTTTGGTTTGTTTCACATGGTATTTAAAGTAGACTCTACCAGATAAAATGAACTCTTCATTTCCATTAGGACAGTAAAGCCTAAGGGACAGCTGAGCAATGAATATGGCTTTCTGTTCAGTTTAGTTTTGCCAGAAGCACATCTGCATTGAAACTTGCATATGCTGAGAGGGAATGACTGACACTTTAAAAACTGTGCTTCTAGTTACACTGCAAGTACCCATACCATTTAGAATGTCTCATAATATGCTAGAAATCATGCCAAGAGATTTTTAAAGCATTATTCTAATCTTTACAAGCATCCTATATGGCAAGATCTTCATCTTAAAGATGAGACATGAAGTTTTTATAAACTCATGATACATTGTATTAAAAATATGAACTTCACAATTGAGAGAGCATGCTTAAGTTTAGGATAATAGCAACTACTTTATAGTGCTTTGTAAGGAGTAAATTAAATGGCAAACACTTGGTATATGTTTGTAATTAGGGTAGGACCTAATTATTAAGACCAGAGCATAAACAGAAATAAAATGTTTGATTTGTCATTCTTCTCTTTTATAAATACCGACGAGCATTAAAATTTTAACTACAATAAGTCCTCATATGTACATGGCTTTAATACATACATATATATATACACATATATATACACATATATATGCATTCTATATATATATACACATATATATGCATTCTATATATATATACACACACATATATATGCATTCTATATATATATACACACACGTATATATATAATATTTATAGTGTTTTGTGATTATTTTAGTTTGCATATCCAGGGCCACATACAAGATATGCAAAAATATATGTGGTTCATTTTAAAGAATGTATAAACATATGCAGATCATTCTGAAATATATATAGGCATTAAATTAATATACACTAAAATTCACTCTTATTCTTACTGCATTTAAAATCTTAAGAGTTAATACTATTGCTCTGTGTTTTGAAAATGCTTGACTTACTGGGAAACCAGTCATTGAATATGTGGATTTAGAAACTGCATAATTATAAATTTTCTCCAGAGTGGTCCTCACTCACAGGTGGTAACCTTAAAAAGCTTATAATGTGTCCTTTTCTAATAAACAATGTAACAATTAAATGCTTTTTCTTATCTCTCAGGGTACAAATCCAATTATGCTTACTTCTTCCTGATTGTACTTTGTATCAGCCATTAAATATACAAAAGAAATCTAAGACGTAAAGTAACTCACTGCCTCTAATGTGCCCCTCCATTAGCATGACCTTTTTCTCAGTGCTTAAGAATAAAACCAGAACTGGCCGGGCGCGGTGGCTCACGCCTGTAATCCCAGCACTTTGGGAGGCCGAGGTCAGGAGATCGAGACCACGGTGAAACCCCGTCTCTACTAAAAATACAAAAAATTAGCCGGGCGCAGTGGCGGGCGCCTGTAGTCCCAGCTACTCGGGAGGCTGAGGCAGGAGAATGGCGTGAACCCGGAAGGCGGAGCTTGCAGTGAGCGGAGATCGCGCCACAGCACTCCCGCCTGGGCGACAGAACGAGACTCCGTCTCAAAAAGAAAAAGAATAAAACCAGAACTTCATTTAATTCTAAACTTCAACAAGAGTGAGGTGCTGCAGTTTAATATTAAAAAAAAAAAAAAGACTGGACACATGCAGGAATTGTGGCTAGGCCTCTATCTTTAATGTGCTCACATGTAAAGTAAATAGTGAGGGTTGAGAATAGAGATTTTAAAAAAAGAATGTAATATTTAAGGTCATTATGAAGCACATGATTTTATGTTTATGTGTTAACAGTCCCAGAACTACATTGCTGAAAGGGTACATTGAGGGTTGTAAAATCTGTTCCTACAACCCAATACCAATTCAGACCTAAAGATGATTTTTCCATTTGTCTTTACAACCAATTCCAAACTTAAAGTCACTAGTCTCCAAGGTTTTCCGTGAGCTGAAACTTCTTAGCCTTTTCAACTTTATTTTCTACCAGTTTCTCAAAGTGCTTTCAGCTTGTTCATTCCACTTTGTAAATTAGGTTTCATGAAATCTTTCCCACCTTTTCATTTCTCCTGCCACTACCCTAGCTTAGATCTTCATTTTTTAAAACCTGGTCCATTATAATAATATCACAATTATCATCCTGGCTGTAGTCTCACACCCATCTTTACATTGCCTCTACAATTACCTCTTTGAACAAACAAATCGGTTCATGTCATTTTCTGAGGTGGAATTGGGGGTGTTTCCTATAGTTCCTGGTCATCTGTTGGATAATATCCAAATGCTTACTGGGTCTTGGATTATTTCATTCCAACATTATTTCTCCAGCCATATCTTCTGCTAAAACACAATGACACAGTCAAGTCTGAAGTTCCCCGGATGTGCAATTGATTCTCATATTTCTATTTTTTCATAGTAATTGTCTCAGCCTATAATACTGTTCCCCCTGCCTTTACCTGGCCAGCTACTTCCCATCCATTCCCCACTGTGCCATACTGCAGGAGAAATTAGGGGTAAGCCATAGCTATTCATCTTGAGAAACTTAATTTTAATTCAGCTCATCCATTTTTTAGCTTTGTAACTATGGACAGTTTACTTAATCTATCAAAATCTTATTCCCCTTATCAATAAAATAAAAATACTTATCTCTAATTTGCAGGGTAGTTGCAAATATTAAGTGGGATAATATAAGTTTAGCACCCGGCATATGGTATTCTTCTTTTAATCATGTTCCATCCTACTTTATTTTCCATATTGCATACAATATGATGTCTCTAGAATGCAAAACTAATCATATCATTTCTTTGCTTCAAGTCCTTCAATGCATTCCTATTTCTACAGCCTACAAGTCTCCCCTTGTTATCCAATACAGCCTTATTTCTCACCACCGCCCTTCTTCAATGCTTTGTTCCAGGCAGTTGAAATGCTTCAAGTTCCTCAACTGTACCAAATTTTCCCTCACCTCTGGGCCTTAGTATGCTAAGGTGTGCCTTAGTATATACATTGTTCCCTCTTCCATGAACACCATTTTCTATCATGCCTCTCTTTACACGTATCCTGTATGAACCATTATCACATTTACCTTTCCGCTTGATTTTATTGCTCTTCCCCTCACTATTAGGATTGGGATTTATGTCAGTCTTGGTCACGGTGACTCTTTAGTGCCCTACATAGCTTTTATTTGCAAATCTCTATCTACTTTAAGCCTACCCTTACTATAAGAAAAAGTTTAAGTCTCACCTGGACCTCTGCATTGGACTCTCCTCTTTCTACTGTCTAGGTGCTTTCACCAACTGAGTCACAACACAGTATCTCTCTGTGATAAAATAGCAATATGAGTTTCAAGAATGGGGAGATCAAGGAGCAATAGTCAAGGGAGGCATCTTAAAGGATAAAAAAAAAAAAAAAACCCTCACGTCGACATTAAAGAATGTATAGAATCAAGGAAAGTAGTGAGGAATTTCCAGCCACAGCTAATAATATAATGGATCACGTTCCTTTTATTCATTCAGTGAATCTTTAGTAAGCACTTACTTTGGGCAAGAAGACTATGTTAGCAGCCTATTACACACTAAGGTTGGTAAATGGATAGGCTTTATTGAGCAGAGGTTATAAGCAGGAATTCATATTGAATAGATTTTGGTGGAACCTAATTACAAATGGCCGCAATCCCATCAGACATTGGTGTAGTCATACTCCAAACACTGGGGTGCCTCCTTGACCTTTGTGACGCTTTACTCATTTTCTCAGGTATTGTCTAGACAGTCCCCTATTAGGCTTCTAATTCCATAAGGATTGAGATTTTTCTTGTCTGTTTTATTCACTAATAAATCTTCACTTCGACTGTAATCAAGCACAGGACACACAATTAATAAGTATACGCTAGGCACCGTGCTAAGCCTATGTACCATACTGCATAAAAATGTATTAGTTTATATGTCTCTTCTGTACTACACGAGGGTTGGCAACCATTTTCTGTAAAGGCCAGTTAGTAAATATTTCTGGTTTTGTGAGCCAGATAACCTCTATCACAATTACCCTACTCTACCCTTGAAGCATGACAACAATCACAGATAATATGTAAATGATACAAATTACTGTGTTTCAATAAAACTTTGTTTACAAAAACAAATGGCAAGCTAGATTTGGCCTATGGACTGTAGCTTGCAGACCTCTGTTCTAGATTATACTCCTTGAGGGAAGAATATTACTTGTTTTACATTGCAGTATTTTACCCAAAGCCTGGTCCATAACAGTGCTCAATAGTAAAAGCTCTAAGTTTTTATTCTGTACCAGTCATTCTTTTAAATAATTGACACGTAATAGCATATTTAATCTTCATAACAAACCTATGCAGCTGACTTTATTGTCCTCATTTACAGATGAGAAGACTTTGGCCAAGATAGATTAAGTAACTGGCCCAAGATTACATGGCCAGCAAGTGGCAGAGCTGGAAACCTCAGAGTTGGACCTCAGAATTTGTGCTCTTAATCATATTTTATAGCCTCACAATAAATTAGAATAAATTAACCGTTCCAAGCAGAGGATTTTAGACTTCATGCAACATGACAGTACTTCTCAAAGTTGTTCAGGGAATAAAACACTCAGAGAACTCTTATTAATATGTTTAATTTCATCAACCAGATTCAGCAAAATCACCAACAGAAAACAAGACTATGATACATGTGGACAAAAAGAATCACAGATATAAATATCCTGTGCTTTCTCAATAAATGATGCTGCCTTACTGAACTTGATTGTCTCTGGAATTTGTAAATATTTTCTACTTCTGTATTTGTTTGGTCATCTTCCAGCACTCTACTAGCTCATAGAGATAACAGATGCCAAATATTCTTAAAATACTGATGAGGAAATAACTTACAAATGGGTACATTATATCCATTAATTTATTTTTGGTTTGACAATTGGTAAAAGACATATTATTTGACCTTTGTGGAAGTACACATTGGAACAACACCTGAAATTAAATTCTGAGGTTCCAAAACAGCACAATATTAGAAGGCTTAGCAGATAATGGGAAGCACTGCATGTTTCCAGCAGAATAAGGGCCGGCAAGGAAAGCCCTGACTACCCAGCCAGGTATCATCAGCCTGTGGTTTATGATTTCAGATATCTCTAAATCCCGCCTGTCTCCATTTATCAGCATAGTTCTTCCTGTTCTAACTGATAAATAATTTTACAATCCCAGACACTTAAGTTGAGGTCTCTTTAACTCTGGCAATAACTCAAGCAAAGCAAAAAGCTGAACAATATTTCTAAAAATCAACATTGGGGGAATGTTTGTATGAAAGCTCAAAGAGAGAAGCAATACCAAATTAAAAAGAAAGAAAAGAAGAAGGAAGCCCATACTTGGAGACGATCTATCCTAAACATTACATTGGTATTGTCAGCCTGTTTACATTTAGTATGTGTAAATTATTCACAGTCCTGCCACAAGAGAAGTAAACAGTTCAGATTTGAACCAGGTCATATTTGAGCCTAAGTCGGCTACATATGAATACCCATTATCATTTCCCTACAACACAGTAGGTCTTGGCCAAGATCACATGCTAAGCCTAGGTCATAATCTTGCATCTGTCTTCAACTTCCTAGGATATAATTTGGCTTTTCTGCCTGTGTTTTTAGTTCTTTATTTGTAAAATGAGAATAGTAGCCTTGGCCCTCTGCTCCGGAAGGCACTACATACATTTGAAAGGAAGAAATGTAACTCAGAGAATCACAAAACCTCAGCCTAAAAGTTAAATTATAGAACAATTTCTCCAACCAATAGATTAAAAAATGAGGGTTAGATAGGTTATGTGACTCACCCTAGGTCACAGAAAACATGCTACCATGTGAAGTATATGATTCTAAAATAATTAAACTTCAGAAGAGTTGGTTTATTTCCCTGCAAGTTTAAAAGACAGTAGTCTTCAGAGAGGTAAATCTATAAAATCAGTTGCATTTTCAAGTCAGTGGCTCAAGGAAATAAGAAATATTTTCATATATCTTTGTAGTGAAGTTCATATATTAATTGTGCTTTCAAATGCATTGTAATTCAACATTAGTTGAATGTCTATTTTGTGCCAAAACTGTCCTAAGAACTATGAATTAACTAATTTTACCCTTACAACAACCTTAGGGGAGAGATACAACTATGATTTTCATTTGACAGATGATGAACTTAAAGATAAAATGGTTAAGTACCTGCCCAAGATCACATGGGACAGGACTCAAACCTAGACTTGCTGGCTCCAGAATCTGTCCTCTTATCCATTACACTATATTACCTCAATACTATAACACACTGTCTCAGTATATTTTGCTGTATCATTACATGATTGTTATTTATCACTTCATGGTTATAAATTGCTTTCATTTTCTTACCTCATTAATTTTATTAGCATCTATTTATAATTTAGTCCACATTATATGTGATATTTAAAGATAAAGTAGGGTTTTAGAAAACAAAAGAACACTTTAATGGTTCAGCCTTCAGTAATTTATATAGGGCCACCTCACATATCTTTACTCTGAGTGTATTCTCTCTGCCTAGAAGGCAGAGGCCAGTTCTTTTGAGGCCTAACTCAAATGCCACCTCCTCTTTGAAGTTTTCCTCACCCTCTCAGGCAAAATGGGTTACTCCCTCCTCTGTACTCTCGAAGTGTTTTATCCATTTATTACATTGAGTTGTTTACAAATACATCTGCCTGCATCAGAAGAGTCCCTTGCATCTAGCACCAGGACTGGCAGAAAATTGGCGTTCTCTACCTCAGTGAGTGAATGTGTATATTTTTCAAAAAAAGAGAGCAAAGATTAGCAATTAAGACTCACGTGTATCATCTCTCACCATTGTCATGGTATGATTGCTGTGTCTGTGCAATTCTGGAAAGCCACATGCTAACAAAAGATACCATATTCATTGGTTTGGTGCCTTAGTTTCCTAAGTGGAGGCATAAATTGGAACAATACACTTGTGCATAAGGAGACTGAGGGTATTAAGCTTTGAAATGAGACAGATCAGTGTTTGAGTCCCATTTGGCTACCTAGTAGATGTCTGATGGTGGGATACTAATACCATCCTTATTTCTGGGGTGTTATAAAAATAAATGAAAAAAAGGTAGAATTTGTTTAATATTATGTTTGAAGCATAGAATGCACCCAATATGTTAGTAGTTATTAATATTAGGACTGTTCTTTGGAAAGATTGTGCATTTGGTACATGCCATATCCTTCTTACTGGCCCTTTATTCATATATATTTCCTGCCCCACCCTGGCAAATTCCAGTTCTCTATTCCCAAGCCCAAGTTTTTTAGCCAAAGGACCAAATTCTACGGAGAAAGAGTAGTTGGAAAGTCCTCAAATTACGTTCTATTGGAAAGCATTTCTATTGCTTACATGGAAGACCAGCTCTGTGATTATGTAACAGCATTTGCTGACTGTAGCATCCCATATGAACCCACAGTATTTATTTAGCTCCTTGGTCAAAAACTCTTTCTTGGAACATAGGGCTTCCAAATTTGCCTCTGGGTTGTTTGTGCTTGGCTCCAGTAAAAGGCTAAGTAAACATTAAGCTAATAAGCTGTGATCTTTCAATCACCATTATTTCCAGTCCCCAAAGTTAGCTCAGTATACAGCCAGAAAGACACAGACGTGTCTTAGGGGAAGTAGGAATTCCACATCAATAAAACACCAGAGTCATATGACAGAGTAAACTCTGGTGGGAGTACTCTTTTGGGAGTTCTGCTCGCTGTCCAATCCAAGCATCATTAAATGGCCCTGCCTTGCCTACAGAATTTCAGTGGCCAATATTTAGGTCTCTATAAAATAAAATATTCTTAACTACAGAAACATACTACTTGCCAGCTACAAACCCTGACAATTCCTAAAAGACATCTATGTTCTCTATAACTGACCACAGACCCAAGCTTCAAGCACTGGTCTCCAAAAGAACTTTGCCTGACAATAAACATAGGTTGAATTTCAGTTTGACCATAACACACTTCTTAGACTTGATTTTAATATTTGGCATCTGGGTCCTTTGGACAGCGCTACAGGTAGGCACCTGCTTATACGTGGCTTTTGCTGCTGAGGCTGGCTCATTAGAGACGCTTCCCACCAGAGACAAAATTATATATAGCCTGACTTTGCTTTAATGCTCAGGAACTTCTGCTTCACAAATGCAAATGATGGATTCTAAATGAATCAAGGGTCCATTTCTATTTCTAGGATTTCCATGGGCTTGGAGGCTTCACACGGAATCTTAATGGTGATTGCTTTTGGGTAATATTTCCATTCAGACATCTAAAAATGCTATATAACATTAAAATTCTCCACAGAATGATTCAAGGCAATGAATGTATAATAATTACTTAATGCTCAACTCTATGATGAATGTTCTAGGGGCTCAGGAGGTTTACAGCAGGAAAATATAAAACAGAGCCCCTTCCTTGTTTTAATTGGGTGAAAGGGCATGCATCTACAGTACTTGGCAAACACCTTCTAGAGTATTTACACTTGTTTGTAATTACGCCTTTGTATCTGCTTCTTCAAGAGTGCTATGACTTATTGGATACAAGACCTCAGTCTTTTACTTCTGCAGATCCCTAAAGCTTAGCACAGTGCCTACTACCATGTTAGTTTCTTAAAAAAATAAAATAATTGTAATATCTGTAGTAAGGTGGTGTAAATAAGAGGTAAACATAATATATCACATTGATGTTCAGAGGAGGAAGATTATAATATTAATCACTTATTTAATTGCGACTATAATGTTAATTAGTCACAAAGGATCACAGAAAAGGTGAACTTGATTTACTTGTGAAAGAAAAGGTCAACCTTGTGTATATAGAAAGATATGAGTTGGATGTTCTCTTGGGCGTGGGAGAACTACAGGACAAAAGAAAAGGTAGAAATGTATATAGACAATGAGGAAAAAAAAACTGGTTAAGTAAAGGCTTAGAAATTAGTGACTTTAAAGATTGGTTCTGTGGGAGTGGTAATTCTGAAATATTTTCAAGGGGAAAGAATAAGAATTAGCATATAATAAATATCTACTATGTTCCAGGTCTTTGCAAGGTATTTTGCACATACCATCTCATTTTAAAGAAAAATATTATTGTACATACTTAACAGATGAAGACACTAAACTTAGAGAAAATAGCTTGTCTAAGGACATGGTGAGTGAGTGGCAAAGTGGGGATTTGAACCTACTTCTACTGAACTCATGTTCTTTTTATTCCTCATAGTGTCTTTTATTCGCCCATAAAGGTGAAAAGTCTTCCCCTTGGGTCTTACACTATTACGAATCATCCTGGTATACTCCAAATCCTCTATCTGCCGTAAATGAAATAAAGGAATATTTAATGTCAGTTTTTCTCCTCCACACAGAAATAAACAATTTTCCCTAAATTCCAACTCCTCTTATATTTGAATATAATTCTCTCACTTATTTCTATAACAAAATGTAAATTCTTTTAACTTTTTTTTTTTTTTGAGATAGAGTCTGGCTCTGTCACCCAGGCTGGAGTGCACTGGCGCAATCTCGGCTCACTGCAACCTCCGCCTCCTGGGTTCAAGCTGTTCTCCTGCCTCAGCCTCCCGAGTAGCTGGGACTACAGGCACACACCACCATGCCTGGCTAATTTCTTTTGTATTTTTAGGAGAGATGGGGTATCACCGTATTGCCCAGGTTGGTCTCAAACTCCTGAGCTCAGGCAATCCACCCGCCTTGGCTTCCCAATTAAAATTTCTTTAAAGGACATAAGCTTTATTTCTTCATCCATTATCTTTTCTTTTCACTCCGAGAAAAGAAGTTCTTATAGTAAATACTGATTTTTGATGATGATGATGATGGTGATGATGACAATGACAATAGTTAAATAGGACAATGAAAACAATTTCAAGTTTTTCATTGTTCACCAAACTTTGCACAGCCCCTGATGCATAATACACTGGAGCTCTGGGCTGATAAATACAGTCCTCTAACAAGTTGAGGTTCTTCTCAGGTCAGATATAACTAGCACATTCAATATTTATAAAGCAATGTTTCCCCTGTTGAGAATCTGCTCTGTAGTTATATATTGAAATGTAAATATATTGAAATGGAACTTTGCACAACAGTGTGGGGAGTAGGCTCACGCTCCATGCTTCCTTAATTGACTGGAGATGAGTAAAGCCTTTATATAGGACTTCAGTGGTCTTCTGCTTGGTTGGTGCCCATCACGTGATCTACACAAGCTCAGAATTTTCAGCATGGGTCTTTGAACTGAATGTATAATTGATAGTAGAAGTGGGTAAAAATTCCAACACAGGGTATCATACCAGTGTAGCTCATGCCTGACCTACCCCACTACCTCCCTATGTTATTATGAAAGCTATTTGTAGCAAAAATACATGGTGTAAATACAAAGCAGAGTGATCAACCCAGCTCAATGCCTGAGTCTCAGCATGCAACCATGATCCTACATACAGGCCCAACCTTTCTCCTGTATCCAATTCATTTTTAATCCTGGATTTTGCTTAGCTATTGTCCCTACCTCCAAGTTATATCCTAAGAATTGTATCTTTGTGTGTGTGTGTGTGTGTGTGTGTGTGTGTGTGTGTGTGTATGTGTATGCATGCACTAAGATGCTTTGTAAGCACTTGTTTGTTCATTAGTTCATTCATCCATTCACCATCATTTATGAAACTCCTGTCATGTGCCAAAAATACTGTGAAATGATAAGGACATAAATGTTAATAAAACAAAACTGTAAAATCTCTAAATATGCTCCTCCACCCAAGCAACTTTCACTTAAAGGCAGTTTTTCAAGCACTACGCAAATGAATGCATAAGTATAATGACAGACAAAACTAAAAGGTCTGTAGCTGAAACTGAAGAAAGGAGTCCTGCCCATGCCCACTTCATGCCCAGTCTACTTTCCAATCACATCCTCCTAAAACACTTTTGTCCAACTAATCCCTCCTTAGCCCCACCCCAGCCCCACTCCCACTGCCATCTCTGCTCTAACAGCCCCTGCCACTGACAGGGTGCTATAAGCTTTAGATGGAGGAAACAAATGAAGAGACAAATTGAGAACAACAAGAATTTACATTTCCCACTTAGATTATTAACCCTCACAATGGCAATGGCAACGGCCCAGGCCCCACAATGTGCTAAGCACATACACGGTGCTTTACAATCATCCTCTCACACAATCCTTAACTACCATTTACAGATAGCATATTATTGTCTTGATCTCATAGAAAAGAAAACTGAAACTTCACGAGGGAGAGTAACTTGCTCCAGATTAAACACGTAGTAGAGATAGAGCCAGACTTGAACCCAAGCTGCTGGACTCTTCTATTGCCATGAGCAAACTAGGGGTAAAGAACTCTGTGATATAGTGAAACACTATCGGACAGATTGTGATTCCAATTTCTATTCCACCTTTTATTAGGTGGGTAACCATATACCAATTACTTAGCTTTCCTCACCCTCAGTTTCCTAATATTAAAAAAATAAAGATACTAAAATATCAAATTTATATATTTACTATGAAGATCACCTGAAATCTTATGTGAGGCTTATTAACTGCAGGGGCCTTGTCTTTTCACTGATGTGTTCATGTCCCTAGCACAATGCCAGGCATGCATTTCAATAAATATTTGACAAGAAATACCATACTGCTTAGCCCACTGCAAGGCACACAGGATGTGCTCACTAAATATTCTCTCCTCTAATCCACAGAATTTCCTTTACAAAAATATCTTAGAGTCATCTGTTTCAACACTCCTTATCATATGGCAAAAGAAATAGCAGTAGTAGTGATAAGTTGAAAGAATGTGGGAAAGCTAGCTAAAGATACTTCTATTTCTTTCTTTAATGCTGCGTATTCAAAGCTAAGTATTCTGGCAGCTGATAACTTATTTCCCCCAAAATGCAAAAAGCAGAGGTAAAAATAATGTATTTCAACTAAAATTGCCTTATCAAGTTCTCATCTTTAACAAACCCATAGGACTATCTTGAAGTAGTTAGAGAGACTCATTATCTCTTATCCCTTACCTTCTAAATATTCTCTATAGTAAATTGCAGTGGCTCCCATAATAACTTGCCACAAGACTCTAGAAGAGCATTGCAGGACCAATTCTCAGCAAAAAAGGTCAAATGTCTAATTACCTTTCACAACTAAATAATTTCAGGATCTCATAAAATACAACTTTTTGAGAGCCTTTAGGTAAAGTGCTGCTGACATAATGTACCGCTGACATACTTAAAGGATGTGTCTATGGTAACATATGCCTATTATTGGAAACTTCTAACTCCCACATTAATTCTTGAGCATTCAGTCACAGAATCAAATCGGAGGGAAAAATATCTGCACTATATTGTAATTTCAGAACAAAGACAAACATGAAGCATTTTGCCCAAGGCCTCATCAGAGAGAGAGCTGCAAGGGAACAAATTCCTGAGAATAACCCATTTGCCCACTCTATAGACTGCCTCCTGGCTGTTTCAATAAGGTATCTGCAGAGGAACTCTGATACCATTATTCATTAACTGTTCCAGAGACAGCCTACATTATTATAATCCTCTTTTCATTTAGATTAAAAACACATTTATAGTGAAAGGGGAAATGTGAATTTTTAGAAAGACAGGAGGATGGCTATAGTTAACAGCTTAATTTCAGGATCTCCTTGGAGATATATATTCAGATGATTCATATGAAGGCATGCTGCACACATGTCTACACTTAACACAATTTATAGCACAAAATAAGTGCTCAATAAAAGGCATTCATTGTCATGCTCGTGATTATCATCATCATTACAATCTTTCCTACATCTGAGTTGCTTACTCTGCAGGTAACTTGGCATCAGAGAATATCTGAACTGAAAGAAAACTTAAAACTCACCTGGCACAAGTCCTTGACTTTACACAGGGGAAACGGGAGGATGTCTTTGTGAAGGTTACCCAGTAAAGTAATGGAAACTTTTAGAACTAGGACCTCTGTTCTCTTCATACCTCTAAGGTGCATTAATTAAAATATATCTATTTTGTAAAATATATTTCCACTTAATGAAGCTAACCGTATTACCAGTCAAAGCTTTCTGGAATCACTCTTAGGAAACATGGCTATAAAAATAAGAAAAAACATTAAGGCAGCCTAACTTCATTATTAATTTACGATTCAAAGAAAAGATCAGTGTATAATATATTTGTTCATTTTCCCTTCTCTGGCATATATCAGAAAAAAAACAGAAAAGTATTTGATTGGAAATCATCTTTGTGACCTCTTTGGTTTGCCCATTAAAATGAAATTCATATACAACCTTCAGGTCAATTTCCAGATAATATCTGATCCTTGGCATTTTTACTGAATTTCTGCTGCTAAGGAGCATTAGTAATTAGGTTAACTGATTTTTGAAATTTAATTCTGCCACTACTCATAAACAATATTACCACCATTAAATTTTAATTAATAAATACATTGACAATAATGAAAAAGCTATAATGTAGCCACTAAGTCCAATTCCATTTTCATCTATTCTATGCCCCAAAATATTCATTTCTAACTCTTAAATGAAATGAAGATCCTATAATATTGTTTGCTTTGCTATACATGGAGAAAATAAAGTACAAGACAACATCCCTCTGCCGTTAATATGTCAGAGTTTGTTTTTTCATTCAATGAGCATTAAATGAATATTAAATGTGCAGGCACTGATGTAAAAATATTCATGCACTAAGTTTATTGCACTTAGTCTTTACACAGTTTATGTGGGGTAAGCAAAATTACACCTATTGCAGATGTGAAAACAGAGGCTTAGGTTAATAGCAGCTACAGGAGCCTACCCCAGGTCTTTCTAATTTTAAAATTAATGTAGAGATAGACATTTAAACCAAAAATGAAATATAATACAACCAACAGTATGATAGATATGTGAATAAAATACACAAGAATACACAGAAACACATATACGAAGTGTGATTAATTATCAAATGGTTAGAAAATTATTTTCATATCCATGTCCTCAGCTGGCCAAAATAATTCATAATTATCTTTGGAAGGAAACTTTGCCGTGTATATTTTAATATTATTTATACAGTAAATTTTGAGCACTCTATACATTGTATAAATAGATCATAAGATATCTAAATGTTTCATAAATTGCAGTACTGCACCTACTACTGTAGGACAAACTGCAAGTTTTCCCAGTATGTTCTGTATCACAGCATCTTGGGAAAATATTAAGCCAAATTTTATCCAACACAGCAGTAAATGTGTTCAGTGAGACCTAAGGTCAGACTTCTTGATCTCCCAGTGGCTGGGTTTTTGTGTGTGTGTGTGTGTGCACGGTTTTAAACTTTAGAAAAAAATTATGATATCAAATGTTCTCTTTAGATTGCACCCTCCACTTGGGAAGAGGTGCCATCACAGAAGTAAGGACACAATATCCTTACTGAAGTGAAGAAATACAGCCTTGGTGAACACCAAACACAAGAGACTAATATCTGAAGATAGAAACTGTGCGGGACTTAAATGATCCAATTCAGAGGCATTCAAGTGCTATGGATGAGGGGTCATCAAGACTAAAAGAATTTATAAAATTAACTATTTTTAATTTCTCCATTTTGTTCATGTGTTAACTTCTATTTCTTCTCAGTAATCAGCAACAAAACCTTAAAAGGAAATGGGCCTACGGAAAGTGAGGAGTCAGAAAAACTGCATTCCATTCCACAGACAGCCTTGTGAGGAGATGCATTTCAATTACTAGAGGTAGTCTCTCCAGCTACTAAAGGTAAGGAAAATATGCTAAGAATCTGAGATCTGCAGTCAAATTAAATAGGAGAACACGGGGAGATCGGCGCCTAAAAAAGGGCCTCTTATCTAAAATCTGGAAAGAAACATAGGAAGCTTCCTATACTGTTATCCTCTGCCTCCATTAACCTGGCCCAGGAAAGATACGAGTCTTCTAAATAAGGCAGAACTCAGTTTAAATTCACTTTTTAAAGTTTCTGTACATACTTCCAAACTGGGATAATATATCTTCTTCGAAGGACTTGGAGAAAGATTAGTTTGCTCATTCAATATGTGTTTAATGAATAAAGCACATGTTTGGTATTTATTGGTGAGGCAGATAATAGGTGTATGTTGTATACTATCTAGTAGCAAGAGTAAAGGTTACTCTTCTTTCATCATAATTAGCTTAAAGCTGGAAATGGTAGTAGATCTATCTATCTATCTACCATGTATCTCGCTGTCTATCTATCTATCTGTCTGTCTGTTTGTATATCTATATCACAGTGTGTGCATTACCAACATACCCCAGTTAGTATTACAGTTCACATAAAAATGAAGCCATTCTGATTGCAGCAGGAACTGGGCCAGAACCCAGTAGCTTAACCATCTTTCTCACATAATATGTTTCCTGAGGCACCACAACAGAACCCTAGAACTCATAGGTCCATGATTCAAAACCATCACAGAAAACAATAGTTATTATTCCTGAGAGGGAAAAACATGACTTGAATAGTCCTATCAAATGAATAGTTGGAAAGTATTATAAAGGAAGGATTGGAAGACGAATCTACTGGTGGCAAGAAGACCATCTGGGAGGCTCTGGCATAGTCTTGGCATGTGACGAGGAAAGACAGCATTGAGAATTGAAATTGAAAGATATTTTTAGAAAGGCAACTTTGGTGACAGACACTATGTATGGTTAATTATAATTTTATCTTAACCAAAAATTGGGATCATACATGGTCTTTCCGAAGATTTATGTGCCCATGTATAAGTGAAGGATATAAAATCAGAAATTGGAAAGAACATCACATTTCTGGCATTTCTGAGACTTTCTACAGTACACGGGAAAACAGAAATAATTTTAAAGATTCTGAAAGTATGGGGCGTTGGATCATCAAACACATAGAGATAAAAGAGAAGCTAAGGTTTTTAGTCTAAGAGACTGGAAATCCAGTAATTAAACTGAGGGAAATAGAAAAATAGAAGCGAGAAATGGTTTGCCCTCCATTGGTCTGGGATGCAATAACTCTGAGGTGATGGCTGGACCTACTGAGCCAAAATGCCTATAGGCAACTAGAATTACACATTGGTAAAACAAAATAAAAACATCATTTTAAATAACTTCCAAAGAAATCAACAGATTATAAACCAACTGCTTGTAATTCCAGCTCAATGTTTTTAAGAAGGCAAGCCATACTTTCTTACTGTAGTATAGAAATTACAAAATCTTGAGCCATACTTGGTTTTTTGAAGAATGAGGCAACTATCGGGAACACATCTTTAAAACTTTAAAAAACAGGAATTGGAAAGGTCATTTCATAAATGAAATATGCTGGTTGCCAGTGAAAAATTACTCACTAAGAAATGGATAATCCACAAGCCCTAGAAAGGTCAAAAAGGCTGCCAAGGTAGCCCTGATAGAAGAGACTACAAAACAAACACAAAATGAATGCAAGCTGTTCTTTGGGGCAGGGGCTGACAAATATTCTCAAGCAGGATGCTCACCAAAAGTAATTTTCTCTTATACCAAGAGAAATGTGGCAGATAGAAAATGTGTTGATGTATTGTGATTTAATTTCAATTTTGTTTCATAGAAGAGATAGAGAAAAAGTTGGACCTTTATTTCAGTATTATTTTTTAAACTCATGATGTGGCAAATGACCCCTTTAGTGAATCTTACTTGAAGAACATGATATACCTGCAGATAATTAAGATAAAAAACTGAGGAGTCAGATCATTTTAACTTCCTTCTAATGTTATATTTCCATGATTGGAAAAATCCTCAAAGCAATTCTCAAAGACTGAAAATTGCATAACCTGGAAAAATCACACAATGAGTACATTTTTGCAATCATTAAACCTTTGTTGTTTCAGTAAACAACATATAAACTGATCAGCTATGTTCATTTTCAATATATTTTCTAAGAAAATAAGCTTCTAAAAGGTCCTGTTCTTCAGAATAAGCAATCTGTATTTCAGTGGAATAACCTAGAAAAGCCAATAAATGGAAACCATATTGTTAGAAATAATCAAAGAAGCAACTTTTAGACAATCATGTTAAAGAACTAAAAAGAAGTATATGCAAACATTTATATGAATAGAAGTTTATAAAACTTTATTTATAATAACCAAATGTAAATATTCTAAATGTTCAAAAAAGGGAAGCAATTAAATAGCCATAAGACATCCATGTAGTTAAATACAAAGCAGTCATTAAAATCATTTTTAGAATAAAATTATATATGACAAAATTCATAACATCTAACATATATAATAGATTTAGCACAATGCATATTTTGTAATAAATATTTGTGTATATGTACATGTACCTGTGTGCACTGAAGAGAATGGAGGAGAATATAACAGAATAATAACAGAGGTAACTTCTGTGTGGGGAGTGGTTCTTAACTTTTGGGGAGTCAGATGCTCCCTTGAGTGCCTAATGAAAGCTGTGAACTCTTGCAAGGTCAATACACCTAAAACTTACCTAAAGAATAAAAGTCATTACGTATCCCTTAGAGTCTGTCCATGAACTCCAATCCAGAATGAGCCTTTTGAGGGTAATGGTATTATAAAAATTTTTATTTTAGTTTCTGTACTTCTGTATGTTAAGAACAATTATACTGAAATGTATGTTACTTTCTTATGGAAATTAACCAAAAATGATTTTTGAAGACTATGGTAGAATTTTATACATGTTAAAATGTTTGAAAGTAATGTTCTCAGCTATTTCTCAGTGCAAGTCAGCAAATTATTATAACTTTTGTTTTATACGTGGGAAAATTAAGGGAGAGGGCAATTTTGTGATTTATTATGGCTACCCAACATGTTAGTGGCAGAACTGAGATTACAACACACTCCTTCTAGGCTCTGATTAGCCTATAGAGTTACAATAACTACAAAATGTCATAATTTTAAATGCAATTTAACATTTTTAAAAACACGTTTTACCCTTCATCTTTAGTTCTTTCGGAAAAATAGTTCTCTGCTGGAGCAAGACTCTAACGTGTGTAGAGCAGTATATATACAATAATTGCTTCAGTTGAAAGCCTCTCTACTTAAAGCCTAGAAATCAAAAACTCAAAGGAAACTTTATTCTTCACTTGCAAAAAAAAAAAAAAAAGTACAGAACTGTCTTCCCTCCTTTGTTCTAATCTGAAACAAGTTAGATTACCCATAATACCTTAATAACATTTTGGCTCATGAACCAAAGTTATTTAAGATTCCTTAGGGAGCACCGTCAAGAAACAACTGGAATTCAGTGGCCTTTGCTGCTCAGCCTCTGATGCAGTATCTAAAGTGACCATAGTGATGTCACCTCCAGCCAGGGCCAGGAATGTCTGGAGCTAGTGGCTGGGAGTGCTGTGTCTGAGACTGCTACTTACGTCTGCTTCCTACCACTGAATCCTGGCTTATCTCCTCACCAAAACCACAGTGGCTCTCATTCTCTTCTCTATATCTTCTAGAACTTTATATGAGGAATGCATTATAAGCAAAATTCCAGAGAAAAATCTTTTTTGGAAAATCTCCATCAATGATAAAAGCTTCCAATCTGGGACTCCATGTGGGGAGTTCCGTTTATTTTTCCTTGTTCCCCAAAGAACACAAAAGAAACTGTCATTTTGGAAAATATCATTTCTTTTTCTTTGAGAGACTAGAAAAATAAGTTGTCTCTAGAGGAATATATCTTATGTCATGCTGAAATCTATAGTTAATCAGATTCAGATGTACCAACAAGAAAAGACACATGCACATGTTTACTGCAGCAGTGTTCACAATATCAAAGACTTGGAACCAACCCAAATACCCATCAATGACAGACTGGATAAAGAAAATGTGGCACACATACACCATGGAATACTATGCAGCCATAAAAAAGATGAGTTCATGTCCTTTGCAGGGACATGGATGAAGGTGGAAACCATCATTCTCAGCAAACTAACACAGGAACAGAAAACCAAACACCGCATGTTTTCACTCGTAAGTGGGAGTTGAACGATGAGAACGCATGGACAGAGAGAAGGGAACATCACATAACGGGGCCTTTTGTGGGGTGGGGGGCTAGGAGAGGGATAGTGTTGGGAGAAATACCTAATGTAGATGATAGCTTGATGGGTGCAGCAAACCACCATGGCACGTGTATACCCATGTAACAAACCTGCACGTTCTGCACATGTATCCCAGAACTTACAGTATAATTTAAAAAAAAGGAAAAAAGAAATATACCTTCTTTCCATTCCCTCTGACCAATACTAAGCCAAATTTTAAAGTAGTTGAAGACAATCTCACCAGTTTATCTTTCAGAACTTCCCCCATCCCATCTGAACACTGTCTCTACTCCTCTTCCTTTTCTCCCTACCCTAAAGACTGATACATCTACAGATGCTCAAGGATTCCATCTGCCATTCATTCATTCAGTACATTTTTATTGGGTGTCCCTGTCTTAGTCCATTTGGGCTGCCATAACAAAATACCATAAACCGCGTTGCTTATAATCAACAACCATTTATTTCCCACAGTTCTGGAGGCTGCCAAGTCTAAGATGAAGACTCCAGCAGATGTGATGACTGCTGAGGGCTCTCTTCCTTATAAATGGCTGTCTTCCCACTGTAACCTCACATAGCAGAAGAGGTGAAACACCCCTCAAAGCCTCCATTTCCTAATAGCAACCCTTTAGGGGTTAGGACTTCGACATATGAATTTTGGAAGGACACAAGCATTCAGATCATAGCAGCTTCCTATGTGCCAGGTACTGACATTGAGAAACACCTAATGGCTTCCACCAAAATACTCCTCTTTATTTTCACATTTATTTTTTTAACTAATGCTTTAAGAAAAATATCCTATTTAGCAAAATATTAACTATCAATGGTGGTATATTAACCATAGCAGGGAAGCTTTATTAGAGGATAGAGAATAGAGACCTTCAGGCTTTCTGGAGGAGTCTACCAACTCTGCCATAATCTATTTTCAATACTTATTGAATATCTAAGATGCATGAGAATTGTAATTCACTAGATTTTAAATTACTTGGGGTATAAGGAAGTTTTCCTTTTAGGGATTAACTGTCAGAGTATCTGATGCTATGGTGATCCAAGACCTGAAAGATGAACTGATGATGAATTGAAAGCATCCCACTGAATAACATGAGAGGTACAAAGACGGCAGTATTTTAAATAAATTTACCGTTCATTCCCAATGTTTGCCACTTTTACATACAATAAACATAGCGAAAAAATGTGTCCTTTGTTGACTTTAAAAGGAAAAAGAAAATGAAAAGCACAGAGGCAAGAAAATTTTAGCTATGCTTAGCAAACAGTATGCAATCAAGCTAGACATGTAACGTTTCTCATAAAGGAGATATAGACATAAGGATGAAAAAGTAAGATGATGTGTTAAAAATCTGCTCTAAAATTTATGTAACATTTATGAATACATTGTGAGTTATGCTGATAAAAGTTGAGATTAGATTTTACGCACTTAAGATAAAAAAACTATTCTGGAGAAACGAGAATTGTAGAAACAGAAGCTTATGGAAGATAGGAGAAAATGAGTCCTTTTCCTCTCAATTTCAATTGCAGGCAAATAAGATTTTTTACATAAGAATAACTGTTGAGATTTTAAAATGTCAAATATAGATTTATTTGCAGATAGAGAGAAATAAAAATTAGAATGACTCCTGGATAACTTTTTTTTCAATGTGCTAATTAGTTTAAAAGGGTAATTCTTTGATGGTATCAAAAGCCCTACAGTCATGTTAAATGACCTAGAGAAAACTTCAAAATCAGCCCAATACTATATATTATAATTTCCACTGTTAAATTTTTTTCTGTTGTACTGAATAAATTAAGGAAGTCAAAAAAGCTTTTGGCTTTGTGATAAAATGTAGGCGAGACACTAAAGGAAGAATGTAGGAGGGAATGTCTACTAGAGAGAAAATAAAATCCCCAAAGAACCAAGGGAGAATTTATATTTCTAAGGCACTTTGCTTCTTGCTGTATAGTAGCTCAGACAAACACTAAAAATAAACCTATGTTTAAGAGGAAAAAAAGGCTTTCTTGCTCAGTGGTACTTACTTATGACTCAGAGGGGGGGAAAACATAAAATTTTAGATGCCACACAACACACACACACTGTTTTAAATTCTTATCACCCTCTAATCAATCATTTTCTAAAAGACCTCTTTACCTGTGCTTCTTATACAATGAACCCTTATGTTATTAAGTGAACAGAATAGAGCCTCACTAAAGACCACAAGATTTATGAGGCCTCATGGTCATTGGGCTTGTGTTTCCAATAGGCTCTGAAGGAATTGTTTTACATTTGCATACACAGTCTTTCCTATAAAAAAAAACTGAGTCTTTTAATCTACTTTTCCCAACACTCTGATTAAGTTAGAGATCAAGCAGTTGAGCTAAAACAGCAATACATGCTGATGTCAGTTTTGAAGGGAGCTGGTTTTGTCTATTACAAGTTGTTTCTAAGTTTCCTTTCTTGATGAATCCTTCTTTGCTTTGTGGTAATTTATATTAATTCACCAAAGAGCTAAAAGGACTCCTTGGGTGATTCAAACAAGAAACTTTTAAAGCGAAATGGTGCAACTTCCCAAACCAAAATATGCAAATATGGCATCTACTCTCTTGGTTAAACGCTTAACACTAACAGAAGGTGCTACCTGCCTCAGAAGACAACCTATTGCTTTTAATGGGCCGCTCTGTCAAGTGTTCTCCCGAATATTAAATTAAAAGCTGACTTCCTAAAACTTCCTGCTCCAGATTTCTTAAATTTACATCACTCACTTTCCCTCATGCCATCCCTCAAACATTTAAAAACAGCTCCCCTGGACCCTCTTAAATGTTTCTCTCTTCCAGCTTGTTGAGACTGCAGACTTAGCAGGCAGACTGCCTGGGTTCAATTTTTAGTCCCACTGTCCATTGTATTCTAGCTGTGACCTTTGGCCAATCTAAGCCTCAGTTTTTTGGGTTTTTTTTTTTTTCTTTTTTTTTTGAGACAGAGTTTTGCTCTTTTTGCCCAGGCTGGAGGGCAGTGGCGCGATCTCAGCTCACTGCAATCTCCTCCTCCCAGGTTTAAGTGATTCTCCTGCCTCAGCTTCCCTGGTAGCTGGGATTACAGGTGCATCCCACCACACCCACCTAATTTTTTGTATTTTTAGTAGAGACGGGGTTTCGCCATGTTGGCCAGGCTGGTCTCGAACTCCTAACCTCAGGTGATCTGCCTGCCTCAGCCTCCCAAAGTGCTGGGATTACAGGTGTGAGCCACCACGCCTGGCCTAAGCCTCAGTTTTAAATTTTTAATCATAGTGACATGAGAATATCTTTTTAATAATATTGTCAGGAGAACTGAGAATTAAATCAGATAGTGCAGGAGGCGTCTGTATTGTAGTAATCATGCAGCAAATGGCTTCTTATGTTCCTCGTGAAATGTACCTTCTGGAGCCCTGGCCAGCAGGTATTTCGTTGTCCAGATGCACTCATGTCTGTCAATCTCTCTCTCTTAATTCATGGGGTCAAGAATTGAAGAAGGGAAAGGTCAGCAAAAGGTAATCCGAGTTACAATTTAAAATTAAAGTGCATTATTAATTTCATTATCACTGAGGATTCACATTGATACAAAATGATTTGAGGAAAATGTCTTATACTTCTTTGCATTTCTAGCTTAGATTATGAAAAAATAGTTATCAATAAATGGGATCAGAAAACTTTTCTAAAAAGGGCTGGATAGTAAATATTCTAGGCTTTGCAAGCTATATGGTCTCCATTGCCAATACTCAACTCTGCTATTGTAGTACAAAGTGGCCATACATAATAGGTAAATGGATTCTTAGGGTTGTATTCCATGAATACTTAATTTATAGATACTGAAATTTGAATTATGTATAATTTTCATGTGTCATGAAATATCCTATTTTGTGTTTTTTCCCAACCATTTAAACCATAAAAGCCATTCTTAGCTTGCAGATTTATAGAAGTTCAGCAAGCTGTATTTGGCCCACTAGCCACCATTTATTTACTTATTTAAGATGAAAGTAGATAGTCCCATTTATCATCTGCATTAAACTAGAGAAATTATACAGATACTGTTCTCCCAAACAGACCAAAGGAAGTAGGAGAGGGAAAGCCAAGGGTGCAGGTTGGTCCAAGGCAGGACTTGACTAGACAGTTAGAAATGAAAAATTTCCTTGAAAGGGAGAAGAAAATGTGATTCACACAAGATTATCCTTGTATAGGTGTTCCTTTTCTGTTCTGCTTCATTTGTTTGCTTCAGTTGTTGATCTTTTCCAGAGGTGAAATTGCTTCTTTGCCATCAAACTTACTGGCATATGGTGGTATTAACAGTTAAGAATTGGGAAACTAGAATCTTCAAGCCTTTTGAATCCCAGTTCAGCCAGTTACTATTAATGTGATCTTAGGTAATTTAGTTAACTTTCTAAATGTCCTCACCTGTAGAATGGCCATAATTATAGAGCCTACCACTGGGTTGCAAAATAAATAATTAAGATAAAACATCTGGAATGGTTAGCATACTGTAAGTCCTACAGTGAGGCCTTCAGAAGTGTTAACTGTGTGAAGGGAATAAATGGAAGAGAAAACTTTGCATGAACAAGACACGTCTTCAGTTGATTTTATTGTTAAGGAATCCAGAATTATGTCTTCAAAGAGTGCTACTGCATCTCTACCCCACTGTGTCTAGTTCTTCAAGTGCATTAAATAGCAGTATGTGAGAACTTGTTAGAAATACACTCTCCAGTCCCATCCCAGATTTAGTGAATCAGAAACTATGGGGTTAGGACCCAGGAATTTGTATTTTAGCAAGCCCCCCAGATAACTGTGATGCATGCTAGAGTTTGAGAATCAAAGGTCTATGTGAAATTTGGTTAAAATAAACAAGGGCAACCTTGAAGTTATAAATAGGTATAGACTTCTTGATAAATAAAATGATTTAATTTGATCTCCAAAAACCTAGTGTGAGAGGTGTGTCAGATATTATTCTCAGATTTTATACAAGGACATTGTAACTCAATAAGAGTCAGTGATTTTTGCAGGTGTCATAGTAAGTAGCCAAGTCTCACATTCTACTTCTGGGCACTTTCAACTTTACTTGATGTTAACAGTGAGAATGGGTAAGGAGGAGGGGTGGGGATGAATAGGGATTACTGTTACAGGGGTATCAACCTAAATGCCTTAAGTGGCAGACTACTATTTATCTATCCATTATCCATTTTCCCTTCTTCTTTACTAAGAGAATCTAAATTTGGTTCACAAAAGCAATGGGCTCAGCTAATAATATACACTTTCAAGATTCCTTTGCATAGGTGGGGTGATGATGCTATAAGTTCTAAGCAGTGAGATAAAAATGGAAGTCATAGTATCAGCCTTCTTTGAAAGTTCCTTCAAAAAAGAATGGGGAAAACTTAGCCGATACATATCTTTTGCATTTTCCTTTTACTTTTTAACCTGGCACTGGAATGCAATGCCCAGTACTTCAAGACACATTTTGTGATCATGAGAAATACAACAAAGTGATAAGCTTAGCAGAATTAGAAATATTCAAGGAGAATGAGTTACAATGACATTTTTGAGTTGCCACATCTGCCCCAAACTGTCTTATGTGAGGGGAAAAAATCAATTTACTTAAGCCACTATTTATTCAGAATTTTTTTGTTATTCATCAACACAATCTTAACTGCTACTCCCTATTAAGAAGAGGGGATAATTGACTTCCCAGACATTTTCAAACCAAAATAAAGTTACTCTGAAAATATACAAAGTTTCTGGGCTTGGGACAAATTCAAACTGTCTTCCTCTCCTGGTCCTCCAGCTTCTGCATCTGGTTGATCTGCACCTCACTCCCCAGATTTCGTTGTTTTCCGCCAGTCTTCATGTTTAGCACTTCCATTCTCTCATCTTATTCTTCAGCTCTACCAAACTACTTGGAATCTCCATTCTCTCCACCTAAAATGTCATCCCTTTCATTCCTCACTTTCTTGGCACCTTGCAAACTCTTTCTTATTCTTCAAGAGTCAGCTCAAATATCCTGTCTCCAACAAAGCTTTCTGTGACTACATCTGGCTGACTTAGCCACATCTTTCTCTATCCTCCCTCCTTGAATGTGGCTCTATTATAAGAATGGTGACATTATATGGCATTATGTCTTATGACTCCTTTCTACACTTTAAACTTGCTGAAGACTGGAATTTTTTTGTGTGTATCTTCAAAACTTAATATATTACATGGTATACAATGGGAAGTTGATACATGTTTTCTGCAAGAATAAACAGATTGGGGATAGATGCAAAGAGATAGTAAAGTTATTTAATACCAATTGAACTAATTAAACAGTTGCCAGGGGGTATGCTGTACCCACGACTGTAAGACTGAGTATATCAGCTCTAGAAAGATGACTACTAGGTCACACATAACAGAGAACCTATGTACTTGTGATAATAAATCATATTCCTTGGGTGGTTTCATCTATGGCCTTTTATAGTATATGTGTATATATAATTAGATACATAATGCAAGAAATATATTTAATATTTTTAAATTTTCTTATCTTCCTTTTATCAAGTGCCAGAGTAAATGAGTGGTTTCCTCCAGCCAAAGTCAAGGGTTTCTAGACTTCTATTTATTATTTTAAAGTTGTTTTATGTATTTGCTTCCTTTACAATAAAAATACACTATAGGAAATATGCTGGTATGTTGCCAGCTGACAAATTTATTGAGCTACTCCTGACCTTTTAAGATACAATTTTACTTATTTTTAGACAGGTGCCTCAAAGACTTAAAACACAAATGCATTATGAATTCTACTACTAACAGCAATACTCTTACAATTTTTCTATATTTTAATCGATTCTAAGGTCTAAGTCTGAACCTCTGTAAATAAGGAAAGAAATCTGTGCTTTGGAACACATATCTCCTGTTTTACATTCATTAGTATTTGGGTTTTCCATCCAGTCTATAAGAATTCCAAGAAGTGAAACTACCCAATTCCTCTACAAACCGGTTACAATGTAGCTATATAGAATATGCTATTGCTTGCTTACCCATCACCTGTGCCTCTTTTTTTTTCTGACAGAATCGTAATTCTGTTCAAGTGTTTACTTGTCTTTGAAGTAACTTAGGAGAAGTTGATCCCAGTCACTCCAAGGGGTGTATGCTGATTAGTCTGCCTATTGACACATGGCATTCCCCTAGTAACAATGGCTGATCTGAGAATGGGCAGATCTAAGAAGGGTTCAATCCTTCTGAAGGAATGGCTCTAGTTCTAACTCTTTCTCTTTCTATCTCTTTTTCTCTCTCCCACTCTATGTGAGTAGGCAACATCTTGCCTGAATTACTACAGGCAGTTTTTATAAGAACATGCAGAATCAAAGAGACGGCAAGTCATCCTTCATGACCCCTTTGAGCTTCTGACTCAACTAGTGCAGGAATCCAAGCTACCTGTAGGCTCTTGTTGTGAGATGAAGATTTTTCTTATTTTTAAAGCCAATCACTTTTCCATTACAGAAAGCATCTAACTGATACCCTTATGCCCTGACCCCTTAGAAATTCTGATATTCATTAACTCATGTTCATCTAGACCTTTTGTTCTAAGTGATGAAAAACTAAAATAAATAGAAAAACCAAACGCTACCCTTTTCTCATGCACATATGGATAGGAGTCTGTAAAATAGCATCAATTGTGTCCTTAAGTGTTTATAGATCACAATCAGTGACCCACTTCTCCTCATTTCCTATATTTTCCTATTAACACAGGTTTTGTAAAGGCTATGCCTTAATGCATATATTTAACAGGGAATTCCTGATAAATATTTTGTACCTGGGGGGTGCCATGATGGAGATTTGTATCATTTACTCTGTCAAGTATCATTAAGAGTTTAATCTCATCTTAAATTTCAATGTCTGAAGGCCAAGACCCATTTGAATACTCTTCCATAGGTACTGGAGAATTATGAAGTAACTGTTCATCCAAACCTTGAGTCTGGCCTTGAGGAGAGAAGAAATTTATCTGTATTCTTTTTATTCTAAACTTTGAGTTGGTAAAAATTCCCAAGATATTTAGATGTCTAAATGTCTTGAAGGGGAAGGGGAAAATATTGTTTATATTTGTTAAGGTACACTGAAAATGTACTTCAAAATTGCCTACTTCCTAAAGGACTTCCAGAGAAATCATTTAGAAAGATTTCCAGAGAAAACTCCGTCAGAAAGCTAAAGGAGTTTTCTAGTCAAAGAAACACTGAAGGAGACGTTTAAAAACTAGGCTTTTCATCCCCATCAAGCTACCAATGACTTTCTTCACAGAATTGGAAAAAACTATTTTAAAGTTCATATGGAACCAAAAAAGAGCCCGCATTGCCAAGACAATCCTAAGCCAAAAGAACAAAGCCGGAGGCATCACGCTACCTGACTTCAAACTATACTACAAGGCTACAGTAACCAAAACAGCATGGTACTGGTACCAAAACAGAGACATAGACCAATGGAACAGAACAGAGCCCTCAGAAATGGAACACAACAGAGCCCTCTACAACCATCTGATCTTTGACAAACCTGACAAAAACAAGAAATGGGGAAAGGATTCCCTATTTAATAAATGGTGCTGGGAAAACTGGCTAGCCATATGTAGAAAGCTGAAACTGGATCCCTTCCTTACACGTTATACAAAAATTAATTCAAGATGGATTAAAGATTTAAATTTAGACCTAAAACCATAAAAACCCTAGAAGAAAACCTAGGCAATACCTTTCAGGACACAGGCATGGGCAAGGACGTCATGTCTAAAACACCAAAAGCAATGGCAACAAAAGCCAAAATTGACAAATGGGATCTAATTAAACTAAAGAGCGTCTGCACAGCAAAAGAAACTACCATCAGAGTGAACAGGCAACCTACAGAATGGGGGAAAATTTTTGCAATCTACTCATCTGACAAAGGGCTAATATCCAGAATCTACCAAGAACCCAAACAAATTTACAAGAAAAAAACAACCCCATCAACAAGTGGGCAAAGATATGAACAGACACTTCTCAAAATAAGACATTTATGCAGCCAACAGACACATGAAAAAATGCTCATCATCACTGGGTATCAGAGAAATGCAAATCAAAACCACAGTGAGATACCATCTCACACCAGTTAGAATGGCCATCATTAAAATGTCAGGAAACAACAGGTGCTGGAGAGGATGTAGAAAAATAGGAACTAGTTTACAGTCACACACCTGTAAACTAGTTCAACCATTGTGGTAGGCAGTGTGGCAATTCCTCAGGGATCTGGAACTAGAAATACCATTTGACCCAGCCATCCCATTACTGGGTATATACCCAAAGGATTATAAGTCATGCTGCTATAAAGACACATGCACATGTATGTTTATTGCAGCACTATTCACAACAGCAAAGACTTGGAACCAACCCAAATGTCCATCAATGATAGACTGGATTAAGAAAATGTGGCACATATACACCATGGAATACTATGCAGCCATAAAAAAGGATGAGTTCATGTTCTTTGTAGGGACATGGATAAAGCTGGAAACCATCATTCTCAGCAAACTATCGCAAGGACAAAAACCAAACACCGCATGTTCTCACTCATAGGTGGGAACTGAACAATGAGAACACTTGGACACAGGAAGGGGAACGTCACACACCAGGGCCTGTTGTGGGGTGGGGGAGGGCGGAGGGATAGCATTATGAGATATACCTAATATTAAATGACAAGTTAACGGGTGCAGCACACCAACATGGCACATGTATACATATGTAACAAACCTGCATGTTGTGCACATGTACCCTAGAACTTAAAGTATAATCATTAACAAAAAAATCCTCCTTCAAAAAAAAAACAAAAAAACTAGGCTTTGTTATTGGGTGCACATACAAGTATGTGTTTACTTGTGCAGCCTTCAGAGATCCTCATTCCCAATCCCTGCCTATGTTTCCCTATCTAGCAATGCCTCTTGGCATACAGACATGCTTTATTATTTAGGAACCAGAAACCTGCTATTAATGGCCTATAAGGTTTTCAAGGGTTTCAAAAATTTTTGGAAACCTTAGTATCATTTTCAAAATGCAAAAAGATACACTTAAAATTGGAAAACTCTAAATATTTAACTAAATAGCTATAAAGCATACCATCGTGTCAAGTAGTCAGTTGTAATACTTAAAGCCAAAATGAATAATGTATTCCTAAAAATTAAGAAAGTTATTAAAATTATTTCTAATTTTACTTAACAGAAGTACCTCTCATATGGAGTATTAATACAATAAGATGTAGGCTAGAACCTGCAAAAATAAGTCTCTATCACCTACCCAGCATTTAAAATGGTCCTGGTGGCAGTTCTCACCAAGAATAAGGCCTATCTTCTACTCTTAAAACTTTTAGTAACTCTTGCCTGTATGAGGGTACTTTCTGAAGCTTAAAACATTGGAACATTCCTCCCCCTATACAGGCCAATCAACACTGTATCCTAAAAAGGCTCATCACTGCCATTCACTTACCCAGAATAAGAAAGCTTTCATCACATCAGATAAGACCCTTCATGTCCCCCTGGAACTAGGACCTTCCTAGATGCCCAGAACCCAATAAGAAACCCCAAACAGGGTTCTTGATACCTTTCAGCCAATTCCAGCACCAAAACATTATAGGTAAAAGTTAGAATACCTAAGGTTAGTAGCTTCTGACCATGATTATCAACTTTCTTTTAACCACAGTGAGCCCCAAGTTTCTGGAGATAAAAGCATCCAAATTTCTTTACAACTTGGCCCTTGATTACCTATCCAGCTATGTTTCCTATGATTCCGTGTGTATTAATTTTTATTCTAGTTATTTGCATATAATGCCTTGAAGTGCTCATGTCACTTGGTGTGTTCCTCACTTTGGTACATAGCTATCTCTGACTCTCCTGGCTTGGCCTGTTGAGCTTTCCCAGAGCTGGTTATATTGGGGCATATGCCTTTCTTTTGTGCTCTCATAGACTCTGGGCATAGCTCTATCACAGCGTTCACCACACAGTTTTATAAGGGTCTCTTCTTCTGGCTTATGAGCTTTTAAAGAGCATAGCCTCGGTCTAATGCATCTATATTACTGGTATTTAATAAAGTGCCTGGATATATGCATTTAAAATATATTGGTTGAATTAGTGAGTCATGGACTCTATATGCTCTATTAAATTATTATGAAAATGAACTAAACTAAGAACTTTGAAAAATATAATTTTTCTCTAGAATAAATATATTTTGAGAAAAAATCAATATAAGTTCTATTACTATCTGTGCAGAAAGAAATAGCATTTATATAGCATAACTGAGAAACCTTTCATAAGACCTGGCACTCATTTCCTTGAGGCTGAGAGTTATGAGGAAGGGTCGTGACCGTAGGCCAAATCCAAATAATACTGAGGGGCTATAGGAAGCAGTGTTGAGTAACTCTAAGCAGATCTGGCACTGTAACTGTGTATGTCTGACAGCTGCTGCACCAAACCCAGCTCAGAAGAGCCCATTCTTGTGTTTTGAGCTCTGATTGGAGGTCTATAGGCTCCCATTTCCCAAGTTATGTGGGATGACTCATTTTTTTCTGTTTTGCTTATAAAACAATAGACAGCATTCCTAAAGTCGAGAAATACTTCCATAAATGAAAACTTATTAAGAAGCCCAATATAGCACCATTTTAACATGTATAAGCCTTTCTACCTAAAAAAAATAAATAAATAAAAGATGCTCTCATGACTATTACATCCTCACCCAGTTACTGCCCTGCCTCTCTCCTCCCTTTCACAGCCAAAACTTTGAAATGGTTGTCAATATTCACTGTTTCTACTTCCTCACCTCCCACTCATCTTTCACTCCATTCAGGCATCTACCCCCTCACTCCACGCAAAGAGCTCTCATTAAGTTTACCAGTGGCTTTCCTGTCACAAAATCCAATGAAAGGTTTAGTCCTCATTTTACCTCTCCTTTCAGCACCATTTTATAACAACTCCTTTTCTTTTTGGCAATAAGAAACTCCTTTTCTTTTGGCAATACTTTCTACATTTTTACCCTTTACCTTCCACAGTATCATGCTTTCTTGGCTTTAATCCTATTTCTCTGGCTGCTAAAGTCTCTCTACTTTGTAGGCTCTTCCGCCTGTAGCCACCTATTTAGTCCACCAAGCTCTTCTTACTCTATATTTGCTCTACTAACAATTTCATAAATCTATATAATTCTAATAGCTACCTCAAATTACTTCAAACATAGTCCCCTTCTCTGAGTACCCAACTGCCTGTGTAACATCTCTACTTAGCTATCTTAAAGGTACATCACATACATCATGCCTAATACTAAACTCATGATCCATCCTTTCCACCCAGAACCTGACATTCCTCTAAAGTCTCTTACAAAGCGGATGATATCTCTATCCATCAGTGTATAAACCAAAAACCTATGAGTCATTTTTCACATGTTCTCCTCCTTAAAACCCCATGCCCCATACATCAACAGTTTATATATATTTTCTTATATTCTTAAGTTAATCAGTATTCTCCATCTCCTCATTGATTGTCCCAACTACCTTTTAGTACAAACTACCACCTATAACTCATGTGAACCACCCCAGTAGCCTTGTTGTTAGATCTGTTATCCAACCTGGAAACACAGCCAGAAAATATATTTTTATGATACTACTCTGGGTAGATGCAAAAATCCTTAAACAAAATATCCTCAAATAGAATTAAGCAATATATAAAAATAATTATATACCAAGATGAAGTGAGGTTTATTCCAGAAGTGCCAGACTGATTCAATATTCAAAAAAAAAATCAATATGGTACATCATATTACCAGGCTAAAGAACAACAAACACATGATCAGATCAATTTATGCAGAAAAAAAGTAACAAAATTTTACACCCACTCGTGATAATAATTCTTGAAAAGTAAGAATACAGGGGAACCTCTTCAATGAAGAAATCTAAGGAAAACCTACAGATAACATTATATCTGATGGTGAAAGACTGAATGGTTTTCCCCTAAGGTTGACTACAGGCAAGGATGTCCACCCTCATCCTTTTTATTCAATATAATGCCAGAAGTCTTATCCAGTGCAACAAGGCTGGACAGTAATGCAAATTAAAAGAATACAGATCACGGATGGACAGAGCAGTGTGTGGAGGCTTGCATTGTGAACTTTTGTTCCAAAATGACTGCAGGAATACACTAGGAAAGCCAAGAGAACCCACAGGCCCTCTGAAGGAAGCGGATTGCTCCTGAAGGACCCAGGAGACGCCCCAAATACTGTGCTGGTATCCATGGCTGAGAGACCCACAGACGGTTCACATCACAGGACTCTATGTAGACAACCCGCATTATCAGCCCAGAGCCTGGTAGACTTGCTGGGTGGCTAGATCCAGAAGAGAGATAGCAATCACTACAGTTCGGCTCTCAGGAAGCCACATCCTAGGAAAAGGGGGAGAGTACTAATACATCAAGGAAACACCTCATGGGAGAAAAAAAAATCTGAACAGCAGCCTTGAGCCCTACACTGTCCCTCTGACAGAGCCTACCTAAATTGAGAAGGAACCAGGAAAACAACTCTGGTGATATGAAAAAACAAGGTTCTTTAACACTCCCCAAAAAATCACACAAGCTAACCAGCCATGAATCCATACCAAGAATTGCTGATTTTTCTGAAAAAGAATTCAGAAGGTTAGTTATTAAGCTAATCAGGGAGGCACCAGAGAAAGGCAAAGCCTAATTTAAGGAAATTTTTTAAAAAATAATACAAGAAGTGAAGGAAGAAATATTCAGTGAAATAGACAGCATAAAGAAAAAACAGTCAAAACTTCAGGAAATAATGGATGCATTTATAGAAATGCAAAATGCTCTGGAAAGTCTCAGCAACAGAATCGAAGAAGCAGAAGAAAGAACTTCAGAGCTCAAAGACAAGGTTTTTGAATTAACCCAATCCAACAAAGACAAAGAAAAAAGAAAATTGAACAAAGCCTCCAAGAAGTCTAGGATTATGTTAAGTCTAGGATTATGTTAAACAACCAAACTTAAGAATAATTGGCATTCCTGAGTAAAAAGAGAAATCTGAAAGTTTGGAAAATATATTTGGGGGAATAATTAAGTAAAACTTCCCTGGCCTTGCTAGAGACCTAGACATCTAAATACAAGAAGCTCAAAGAACACCTGGGATATTCATCCCAAAAAGATCATCACCTAGGCACATTGCCATCAGGTTATCTAAAGTTAAGATGAAGGAAAGAATCTTAAGAGCTGTAAGGCAAAAACACCAGGTAACCCAGATTTCTATGCAGAAACTCTAGAAGCTAGAAGGGATTGGGACTCTATATTCAGCCTCCTTAAATAAAACAATTATCAGCCAAGAATTTTGTATCCAGTGAAACTAAGTTTCATAAATGAAGGAAACATACAGTCTTTTTCAGACAAACAAATGCTGAGAGAATTTACCACTACCAAGCCAGCACTACAAGAACTGCTAAAAGGAGCTCTAAATCTTGAAACAAATCCTGGAAACACATCAAAACAGAACCTCTTTAAAGCATAAATCTCACAGGACCAATAAAACAAAAATACAATTGAAAAAAAAAAAAACCTTCCAAGGTATACAGGCAACAAATAGCACAATGAATGGAATGGTACCTCGCATCTTAATACTAACATTGAATGTAAATGGCCTAAATGCTCCACTTAAAAGATACAGAATTGCAGAATGGATAAGAATTCATTCTCTGCTGCCTTCAAGAGACACACCTAACATAAGGACTCACATAAACTTAAGGTAAAGGGATGGAAAAAGACATTCCATGCAAATTGACACCAAAAGCGGGCAGGAGTAGCTAGTCCTACATCAGACAAAACAAAATTTAAAGCAACAGCAGTTAAAAAAGACATAGAGGGACATTATATAATGATAACAGGCCTTGTCCAACAGGAAAATATCACACTCCTAAATATATGCAGCTAACACTGGAGCTCCCAAATTTGTAAAACAATTACTCATAGATCAAAGAAATGAGATAGACAGCAACACAACAATATTGGAGGACTTTACTACTACACCACTAGACAGATCATCAAGACAGAAAGTTAACGAAGAAACAATGGACTTAAACTATACCCTGGAACAAATTGACTTAACATATTTACAGAACATTTTACCCAATAACTGCAGAATATCCATTCTATTCAATGGCACATGGAACTTTCTCTCAGGTAGACCATATGATAGGACACAAACTGAGCCTCAATAAATTTAAGAAAATTGAAATTATATCAAGCATGGTCTCAGACCACAGTGCGTTAAAACTGGAAATTAACTACCAAAGGAACCCTCAAAACCATGCGAATACATGGAAATTAAATAACCTGCTCCCAAATGATCATTGGATCAAAAATGAAATCAAGATGGCAATTAAAAAATTCTTCACACTGAACAACAATAGTGACACAACCTATCAAAACTTCTGGGATACAGCAAAGGTGGTGCTAAGAGGAAAATTCATAGCCCTAAACGACTACATCAAAAAGTCTGAAAGAGCACAGACAGACAATCTAAGGTCACACCTCAAGAAAAAAAGACAAACATGAACAAACCAAACACAAACCCAGCAGAAGAAAGGAAATAACCAAGATCCGAGCAGAACTAAATGAAACTGAAACAAAATTAAAGCAAAAGATAAATGAAACAAAAAGCAGGTTCTTTGAAAAGATAAATAGGCCCATCAAGGTGGCTCATGCCTGTAATCCCAGCACTTGGGAGGCCAAGTTGGGCGGATCACTTGAGGTCAGGATTTCAAGACCAGCCTGGCCAACATGATGAAACCCGATCTCTACAAAAATACAAAAATTAGCAGGGCATGATGGCGGGTGCCTGTAACCCCAGCTGCTCAGGAGGGTGGGGCAGGAGAATCACTTGAATCCGGGACACGAAGGCTGCAGTGTGCCACGATTGCACCATTGCACTCCAGCCTGGGCAACGGAGCAAGACTCCGTCTCAAAAAAAAAAAAAAAAAAAAAAAAAAAGATGAAGAGAAGATAACTAAAATTGATAGACCATTAGCAAGATTAACCAAGAAAAGAAGAGATAAAAATCCTAATAAGCCCAATTACAAATGAAATGAGAGATATTACAACTGACACCACAGAGTTACAAAAGATCATTCAAGGCCCCTACGAACACCTTTAGGCACATAAACTAGAAAACCTAGAGATGGATAAATTCCTGGAAACATACAACCTTCCTAGCTTAAATCGGGAAGAACTAGATACCCTGAACAGAAAAACAACAAGCAGCGAGATTGAAATGGTAATTTAAAAAACTCCAGGACCAGATGGATTCACAGCAGAATCCTGACAGACAATCAAAGAAGAATTGGTACCAACCCTATTGACACTATTCCACAAGATAGAGAAAGAGGGGATCCTCTATGAAGCCAGTATCACCCTAATACCAAAACCAGGAAAGGACATAACCAAAAAAGAAGACTACAGACCAATATCCCTGATGAACATAGATGCTAAAATCCTTAACACAATACTAGCTAATCGAATCCAACAACACATCAAAAAGATAATCCACCATGATCAAGTGGGTTTCATACCAGGGATCCAGGGATGGTTACGTCCAATGTGATACACCACATAAAAAGAATTAAAAACAAAAATCACATGATCATCTCAATAGATGCGGAAAAAGCATTTGACAAAATTCAGCGTATTTTTATAATTAAAACTCTCAGCAAAATCAGCATACAAGGGACATATCTCAGTGTAATAAAAGCCATCTATGACAAACCCATGGCCAACATAATACTGAATGGAGAAAAGTTGAAAGCATTTCCTCTGAGAACTAGAACAAGACAAGGATGCCTGCTCTAATCACTCCTCTTCAACACAGTACTGGAAGTCCTAGCCAGAGCAATCAGAAAAGAGAAAGAAATACAGAGCATCCAAATTAGTAAAGAGGAAGTCAAACTGTTGCTGTTTGCTGATGATATGATTATTTACTTAGAAAACCTTAAGGCCTCCTCCAGAAAGCTCCTAGAACTGATAAAAGATTTCAGCAAAGTTTCTGGACACAAAATTAATTTACACATATCAGTAGCACTTCTGTACACCAACAGCGACCAAGTGGAGAATCAAATCAAGAACTCAACCCCCTTTACAATAGCTGCGAAAAATTAAAATACTTAGGAATATACCTAACCAAGGAGGTGAAAGACCTCTAGCAAGATAAACTACAAAACACTGCTGAAAGAAATCACAGACAACACCAACAAATGGAAACACATCCCATGCTCATGATTAGGTAGAATCAATATTGTGAAAATGACAAATGACCATACTGTCAAAAGTAATCTACAAATTCAACAAAATTACCATCAAAATAACATCATCATTCCTCACAGAATTAGAAAAAAAAATTTAAAATTAATATGGAAGCAAAAAAGAGCCTGCATAGCCAAAGCAAGACTAAGCAAAAAGAACAAATCTGGAGGCATCACATTACCTGATTTCAAACTATACTTTAAGGCCATAGTCACCAAAACAGCATGGTTCTGGTATAAAAATAGGCACATAGACGAATGGAACAGAATACAGAACTCAAAAATAAACTCAAATACTTACAACCAACTGATCTTTGACAAAGCAAACAAAAACATAAAGTGGGGAAAAGACACCCTATTCAACAAACAGTGCTGGGATAATTGGCAAGCCACATGTAAGAGAATGAAACTGGATCCTCATATCTCACCTTATAGAAAAATCAACTCAAGATGGATCAAGGACTTAAATGTGAGACCTGAAACTATAAAAATTCTCGATGATAACATTGGAAAATCCCTTCTGGGCATTGGCTTATGCAAGGATTTCATGACCAAGAACCCAAAAGCAAATGCAATAAAAACAAAGATAAATAGCTGGGACTTAATTAAACAAAGAGTTTTTGCATGGCAAAAGGAATGGTCAGCAGAGTAAACATATAACTCACAGAGTGGCAGAAAAATCTTCACAATCTATACATCTGGCAAAGGACTAATATCCAGAATCTACAATGAACTCAAACAAATGAGCAAGAAAAAACAAACATGAATAGACAATTCTCAAAAGAAGATATAAAAATGGCCAAGAAACGTAGGAAAAAATGCTCAACGTCACTAATGATCAGGGAAATGCACACCAAAAACACAATTTGATACCACCTTACTCCTGCAAGAATGGCCATAATCAAAAAATAAAAACAGATGTTGGTGTGGATGCAGTGAACAGGGAACACTTCTACACTTCTAGTGGGAATGTAAACTAACACTACACTATGGAGAACTAAATGCAGAACTACCATTTGATCCAGCGATCCCACTACTGGCTATCTACCCAGAGGAAAAGAAGTCGTTATATGAAAAAGATACTTGCATATGCATATTTATAGCAGCAAAATTTGCAATTGCAAAAATGTGGAACCAATGTATATGCCCATAAATCAATGAGTGCCTAAAGAAACTGATATTATATATATTACATATATGATGGAATGCTACTCAGCCATAAAAAGAAATGAATTAATGGCTTTCGCAGCAACCTGGATGAGATTGGAGACTATTTTTCTAAGTGAAGTAACTCAGGAATGGAAAACCAAACATCGTATGCTCGCTCATAAGTGGGACCTAAGCTATGAGGATGCAAAGGCATAAGAATGACACAATGAACTTTGAGAACTCAGTGGGGAAAGGATGGGAAGGGAGTGAGGGATAAAAGATTACAAATTGGGTGTAATATATACTTCTCAGGTGATGGGTGCACCAAAATCTCACAAATCACCACTACAGAACTTACTCACGTAACCAGACATCACCTTTTCCCCAACAACCTATGGAAACAAAAATAATAATAAAGAATACAGATCAGAAAGAAAGAAAGAAAATTCTCCTTATTTGTAGATGACATCAATTTCTACATAGGAAAATCCTAGTGTATAAAAACTCCTAGAACTAATGAGTTCGGCAAGGTCAGAGGATACAAGATAAACATAAAAAAAATTAGAACTCCACATATTAGCAATGAACATGCAGACACAAAAATTAAAAATACACTATTTACAACTGCTCAAAAAAATGAAATAGTATAACAAAACATATACAGGACTTGTATTCTAAAGACTACACACACAAATGAAATAAATAAAAGAAGTTCTTTTTTTGAGATGGAGTTTCGCTCTTTTGCCCAAGCTGGAGTGGAGTGGTGTAATCTCAGCTCACTGCAACCTCTGACCCCCAGGTTCAAGCAATTCTCCTGTCTCAGCCTCCTGAGTAGCTGGGATTATAGGCATCTGCCACCACGCCCGGCTAATTTTTATATTTTTAGTAGAGATGGGGTTTCACCATGTTGGCCGGGGTGGTCTCAAACTCTTGACCTCAGGCGATCCACCCACCTTGGCCTCCCAAAGTGCCGGGATTACAGGCATGAGCCACCATGACTGGCCATAAGTTCTAAATAAATGGAAAGGTATACCATTCCATGGATTGGAAAACTCAACATAGCACATCTCCCCAAACTGATAAAGATTTAATACAATTACTATCAAAATCTCAGCAAGACTTTTTGGCTTTGTGGATACAGACAAGGTTATTTTTTAAATTATATGGAAAGGCAAAGGAGCTAGAATATCTAAAACAAATTGAAAAAAGAATGTAGGAAGACTCATTCTACCCTGAGTTCATTCAAGATTTACTACATAGCTAGAGTAATCAAGACTGTGTGATGTTGGTACAGGGACAGATACATAGATTAATTGAACAGAATGGAAACCCCTTATAGAAATAGACTTACATGAATAAGTATAATTGATTTTTGACAAAGGTAAAAAACGATCCAGTGAAGGAAGCAATTCAAAGAAGAAAGATAAGACTTTTCTACAAATGGTGCTGGAGCAATTGGACATCTAAACCTAGCATTAGGCAAAAAATTCTTAGACTTAAAACCAAAATTACAATCCATAAAAAGAAAAATTAACAAATTAGACTTCTTAAAAACTAGAAAATTTTGCTCCTTGAAAGACCCGATTAAGAAGATGAAAGCTACAGGACAAGAGTACGAATTATATATCCAACAAAGGACTTGTATCCACGATATGTGAAGAACTCCACAACTCAACAGCAATGAAAAAGCCCAATTTAAAAATAGGCCAGTGACTTCAACAGGTATTTTATCAAAAAGAGAATGTAATGATGAAATATCAGCACATAAAGACGTTCATCATCTGCTATGCTTTGAATGTTTGTAGCCCTCTTAAATTCATTTTGAAACTTAATCCCCAGTGCAATGCATTAAGAGGTAGGGCCTTTAGAGGTGATTACATCACAAAGGCAAAGCCCTCATGAATGAGATTAGTGCCCCTATAAAAGGGCTTAAGGGAGTCTGTTTGGCCCCTTTTTGCTTTTCTGCCATGCAAGAATGCAGCAAATCACCATAAAACAGAAAATGAGCCTTCATCGGACACCAAATCTGCTGATACCATGCTCTTGGAATTCCCAGCTTCAAAACTACGAGAAATAAATGTGTATTATATAGACATTATCCAGCCTAAAGCATTTTGTTATAGCAGCAGGAATGGACTAAGACATCAGCCCTTAGAGAAATGCAAATTAAAACCATGATGAGATACCACCACATACCTATTAAAATTCATAAAATAAGAAGTAGCGACAGCACTAAATGCTGGAAAGAATGCAGAGAAACTAGATCACTTAACATTGCTAATGAGAATCTAAAAAGAAAACTGGAAAGTTCCATGAAGAACTAAAGTTTTAGTTTCGCTGCTGTTTCTTTGACAACTAAACATGCAATGACCATACAACCCAGAAATTGCACTCCTGGTTATTTATCCCAGGTAAATGAAAACCTATATTCACACAGAAACCTGTATATGACTACTGATAGTAGATTTATTCTGAATAGCCAGAACTAGAAACAACCCAGATGTTTTTCAATGGGTGAATGTTAAACTACAGTATATCCACACCATGGGATGCTACTCAGCAATAAAAAAGAATGGACTATCAGTACAATCAACAAATTACCAGATAAATACACAGAATGAAAAAATATATACCAAAAGGTTACATGCATGATTTAATTTATATTGCAAATTTGAAAAACAAAATTACAGAAATGGGGATTCGATCGGTGGTTGCCAGAGATTAAGTATAAGATGAAGAAAAGAAGAAAGTGGGGATGTTGGGCATAGTGGCCAGTGCCTGTAATCCCAGCAATTTGGGGGACTGAGGCGGGAGGATCGCTTGAGCCCAGGAGTTTGAGATGGCCTGGGCAAAATTGCAAAACCCCGTCTCTACAAACAATATAAAAATGAGCTGAGCAGGGTGGCACTCGCCTCTTGTCCCAGCTACTCAGAAGGCTGAAGTGGGAGGATCGATTTACCCCAGAAGGAGGAGGTTGCAGTGAGCCATGATCACACCACTACATTTCAGCCTGGGCAACAGAGTGAGACACCTTCTCAAAAAAAAAAAAAAAAAAGAAAGAAAGAAAGGAAGAAAGAAAAATAAAGAAAAGGAGGAGGAGGAGGAGAAAAACAAGAAGAGGGAACAGAGGAAAGTGGGTATTGCTATAAAAGGACAACATGACTGAGATCATTTAGGTGATGAAAATGTTCTGTATCTTTACTGTATCACTGTCAGTATCCTGGTGCTGATATTGTACTACAGTTTTACATGATGTTACTATTGCGAAAAACTGGGTGGAGGGTATGGCAGATCGTCCCATATTACTTCTTACAATTGCATGTGAATCTACAATTATTTCAAAATAATTTTTAATTAAAGCTGTTATATGTATCATCTCTTCTTATGTTTGGAATCTTTCAATAGCTTTACATTATTCTTAGAATAAAGACAAAATAACTAACTTGATATGCAAATTCTTTTTGGTCTAAATTTATCTCTCCAGCCTAATATCATACCTTTCTTTCCCTTATTCTTTTGTATTCCAATCATGAAGGCATCTAAGTTTTAAATCCATTTTTCTTTCTACCAATGGCCTTTCCACATGCTGCTCTCTCTCTCTCTGGAGTGTTTCTTTCTCTCCTTCATTCATCCCTCCTAACCATCACTTCATGTAGTTAAGTTCTCATGTTTTCTGAACTTACTCATGCGTCTTTTTCTTGGGGAAGTCTTCTCTGAACCACAGGTCTAGTTAAATTACTTCAATATTTTTTAAAGAATTGTATGCCTTCCTCCAAAGGGCTTATCTAGGTAAGTAATATGCATTGGATTGTGTGGTTATTTATGTTTGTCTCCTCCATTAGACCATAAGCTCCATGAACCAACCCTTATTGACAAATATGTTCCCAGATCCTAGACTGATATCCTGTAACTGTTTAAAAAATATTTTTAAGTAAATATATCAGTAAAATAAGAAGTTGTTATGCTTAAAGAAGATACTTAATTCCTTCCATCCTTCTCTTTAGCATCTCCTGAGGCACCTTATTTAAACCATAGGGCTCCATGGAACACAGTTTATTTGAAAAGTGGCACTTCATCAGCATCTGTTGTTTCCTGACTTTTTAATAATAGCCATTCTAACTGGTGTGAGATGGTATCTCACTGCGGTTTTGATTTGCATTTATCTAATGACCAGTGATGATGAGCTTTTTTTCATATGTTTGTTGGCCACATAAATGTCTTCTTTTGAGAAGTGTCTGTTCATATCATTTGCCCACTTTTTGATGGGGTTGTTTTTTTCTTTTTGTAGATTTAAGTTCCTTGTAGATTCTGGATGTTAGACCTTTGTCAGATGGGTAGCTTGCAAAAATTTTCTCCCATTCTGTAGGTTGTCTGTCATTGTGGAAGACAGTGTTGCAAATCCTCAAGGATCTAGAACCAGAAATACCATTTGACTCAGCAATCCCATTACTAGGTATATACCTAAAGGATTATAAATCATTCCACTGTACAGACACCTGCACACATATATTTATTGCAGCACTACATACAATAGCAAAGACTTGGAACCAACCCAAATGCCCATCAATGATAGACTGGATAAAGCAAATGTGGCACATATATACCATGGAATACTATGCAACCATAAAAAAGAATGAGTTCACGTCCTTTGCAGGGACATGGATGAAGCTGGAAGCTAACTAACAGAGGAACAGAAAACCAAATACCACACATTCTCACTCATAAGTGGGAGCTGAACAATGAGAACACATGGAGACAGGGAGGGGAACATCACACACTGGGGCCTGTCGGAGGGTGGGGGGCAAGGAGAGGGAGAGTGTTAGAACACTACCTAATGCATGCAGGCCTTAAAACCGAGATGACAGGTTGATAGGTGCTGGGGTTCAATCAGGCTGGTGGGAAAAATATTAAAGATAGGTATAGTAATAGCCAAAAACTATCTTGGAAGGCCTGAGAGTTTGCATAGCTTCAGATTTCTTGGCTGAATGCAGCCAGAGTGTCTTTGCAGGAGCAAGAAAGATTAGGGTGCAAGTGTAAAGGAATGTGGGAAGTTTATCTTACTAACCTGTTTACTTATATGGGCTTAAGACTGTCCTTTGTCCTACCGTGGGTACTTTACTGCCTCGCCACTGCCTCCTACTGTCGGGGAGGAGGGTCAGCAGAAGTTTATTACCTGTAAATGGTGTTTGCTTTAGGCCTAGGAACCTGGCCTTTAATCTTTACCTCTAATGGTGTTTACTCACAACTTTTGTTAATTAGTCTTACAGAATAAATGCGAGCCTCACTAGCTAATCAGGGCCAAGTCCCAACTGTTTACAGGACTCAGCAGGAAGCCTATAAGCAGCTTGGACTGTCAGCTGGACTGGCAGAGCAGAATATCTATCAGTGTACGTTTATTCATCCATCTCCAAATCAGGGGTCTGCAGGAACAGACCCCGCACCAGCAGCTAGTGCCCCCATGAAAGGAGCGCTCCCTCAGACAGGTGCAGCAAACCACCGTGGCACATGTAAACCTAGGTAACAAACCTGCATGTTCTGCACTTGTATCCCAGAACTTAAAGTAAAATTAGAAAAAGAAATTAAAAAAATAATTTAAAAAAGTGACACTTTGGAGTCCCATCTATTGTAGTAAAATCTGATGGTAAAAACTGTGGCTCTTTCTGTCAACATTTGGGATTGGTTTGGGACCAAACAATATGTAGTCCAGGTTTAGCTACTCTTAGCCCTAATACAAACGTGAGCCTCAGTCTCTCTCTCCAGCTCTACTCATCTCTACTGTTTCCTCATGTAGCCACTATTTTAAATTTTCTGAAGCAAAGTTTGTCATTTCATCAAAACAGAATTGGTACTTCAAGTGGGATCATTCCTGTAACACCAGAATTATGGCTATATATTAAATGTAAGGGAAAATGGTGCTACATACACCACATCTAAATACACTGCATCTAAAATTTGGAGAGCAGCCAACTAGCCACTGAAGTTAAGGTGGTTACTTCTCTGTGCTGATGACTTACACTGTTCCTCTAGACATGGACTACCACCGTCACCACCACTCTTATGTACCAGTATATGAAAACATCACACTGTATACCACAAATGTATACAATTTTTGTCATTTAAAATAAATGAAAAAGTAAAAACAAACAGAGCACAGGGAGCTTTGGGGGAGATTATCACAGTGTTGTGTTTTGGGGGGAGATTATCACAGAGTGTTGTGTTTAGAGAAGTTATTGCCAATTCTCACTCTAGGGGAGAGAGGAGAGCATTTTCATCTCCCCAAAGCCAAAAAGGGAGGCATCCATAGAATAATTTACAGATAATGGGGGTTATTGAAGAAACAACCAGCCTTGTGTTTCCTGGAAACAAGCTTGTTGAAATTCAGAACATAGGGCCTCTCTCATGATATCACTGGAGACATCATTGATGAAAAAATTCTTAAGGAACTTAATATGTGTCCTCTGGAGTCTTGGGGTGTGTGTAAGCACACAGATAGATTCTTCTCATCTGGAGACTTCTGAATGCAAGAAATCTCCTAGGAGACCCATGCTAAGAAATGCTGAAAGACCTGTGGTACCATGTATTTGAGAAGAGGAGTGCAACCTTCACTTATTCCAGTTTGAATAGTGCTTTCACCATTTACTAGCTGGATAATCCTAGTCAATTTATTTAAGGATGATAAACTTTATTTTCTTCTTTTATAAATAGAGTAAGTAAGGCCAGTATCTTACGGTAAAGATGAAACATGATGACATTTGTAAAACTACTGAGTACCTGGCAATAATTTGTTGATATTTTTATTAGTATTAGGGAGGATACCTCTGTGGGCTCTGGAGTTGTATGTTAGAATCCCAGCTCCACCACTTACTAAGATACATGATCTTGGAGAAGTCACTTCAGCTCTCTACCCCTCAGCTGTTGCTCTGAGGATTAGTAAATCAATTAACAGTGCTCATCATAGCTCTTATAATCTTGTTAAGCATTAAAGTCAGTTATGTACATATTTGTCTCTCTCCACAGGATTATAAACTACTTAAACACATGCCGTGGCCTTGCATGTCTTCTTGTTGCCACTTCAACTCCATCACAATCACAACTAGCAACACTTTGAAATATATACACTTACATATAAATAAGCATTCAATAAATACTGAATGAATTTGAATTTTTAATTCTTGGAACATTTGAGAGATTGTCTTATTCATATTATGGTTAGAAATAATAGAGCCCAACTTAAAGTAACTTAAGCAATTTTTTTTTAAAAAAAAAGAGGAATGGATTTTATTGGAATATTATAAATTATTATGGAAGCCTAGGACAGGTGGGTCTCTCAAGGGGCTGAAGCCAGGTCCTGGGAAATCGTTAGCAATACAGACTATTCTCCCTGCCCATCTGTCCCTTTTCTTTTCCACAGAGATACCTGCTTCATTCATTCTCTCTGCTTAGTGGCTTGCACATGACAGGAAGAAAATAAGTTTATTTTTACTCTAACATTTAATCTCCTTTCTATTGACCAGCTCAGCTGACTGATCATCTCTTCGCATCTTCTATTTCTGTCAGGAGGTCTGCTTGCTGTTCCTTTGTGGACAATTTTTTTTTTCTTTCTGGTAGCCTTTAAGATCTTATTTATATTATGTTGACACAAAAGTAATCATGACAACATAATATAAATAACTTAATACTTTATGTTGTGTATTTTCATTATGATGTACCTAAGTGTGAGTTTGTTTTTATTTATTTATCTTGGAATTTGTACTTTTTAATCCAAAGATTAAATCATATATTTCTTCCAGAAAGTTCTCAGCCACTATCTCCTCCAAAATTCCACTGATTTTTCCTCTTTTTTCCTCTCTCCCTTATTTAAACTCAGGCCACTCTTTTTCCTGTCATCTATGTCTCTTAACTTCTCCCTTATATTTTATTTATCTTAATCTCTCGTAGTATATTTCAAATGATTCAAATCTATCTTTCAATTCAGATCTGTGTACTACTTAAGTCACCAGTGGTAATTCAGTAATTAAGATCTGTCTACTATTTAAGTCACCTGTAGAGGCTATGTTTACTTGTTTATTTGTTTCAGAGACTGTATTTTTTTGCTAGGCCAAGGTGGCCTACTTATCTTTTTATAATGTCCTATAGCAGTGACAAATATCATTACAAAATCCAATTTTAGAAAAATACTAATCTAATGTGGGGTAGTTTTTTTGGCAAAATACATTAAATGGCACTAATTACACAGTAAATATGAGGTAACATGAAATCACACCACTATCTGATTTACAGCAACATGGACTTGGTTGTACCTTTCAGGATGAGCACATTTCCAAAAAATGAGATTACCAGTGAAATCTAATTAGGAAGAAAGCTTTAAAATAATACTACATCAGAGCGTCTTGCAGCTGATATGTGACAGATAGGACATGTTATTTATAAAGTAGTTCCAGCCTTATTCATTAAAGTTACCAGCCTTTCTTCTTTCTAAAAAGGAGCAAGAAGTTAAGAAATGCCTTGAATTGGTGTCTGGTCATGCAGTAGTGCTGAGAAGGGGTAGTGAGAGTAGTAAAACAACCCTGGTGGGGCAGAGGGGTTGGATGTAAACGTCATTAATAATCATGGTTTGCTTCTAAATACAGTAGCAATATGACTTCTGATTTGTAATCTTAGGTAAAGTATAAATTGAAAAGGCCAGTAATAGTACACTAAGATTAATAAACTGCACATCAAAAATTACACGAGGGCTCTGTTTGCAGTGAGGTTTCACAAAACAAGTTACCTGTATTTTTCTTTTTACATCTGGCTTGCAAAGCCACTCTTGCAGACATTTCAAAAAATTCTCTCCATTTTCAGTTTTGCTGAATCCTCCAGGCACACAAAAGTGCCAACCTGGATTGTTATATCTCTAGGCACCCATCAAGTTTTACCAACTCTTGCTTCGTCTTGGTGAGATCCTGTCTTATGTGCCCATCCTTCAGAAGATGCATCTTGTTCCCAACTAGAATGCTGTACACATTGGGGCAGAAACGCTTACTCTCTAAGGTTCTTTGTCCTGGGAGGTTTTCTAAACTCCAAAGCTATTGATGAAGGAACACCTCAATATAACATTGGTGTCTGGGTAGGAAAGAGTCCTCAGGTGATCTTGACCTTCCTGCCCAACTGTGTCCCATATAGCCAACCCCATATACTTTCCTTTCACTTCAATGTCATCTATGTTGTTCTCTTGTGTTTGTCCCTGTGAAGACCATGAGCAAGCAGGTCTTGACATAGGCTCTTTCACAATAATCACCAGCCTCTTTAGCATGGCAGGGACATTGTAGAGAGCACCTTCTGTGTGCCCAATATTACGCTACGTGATGCAGCAGGCATCATTCACCGAGTTCTGTGAGACATGGTCAGCATGATAGAGAGGTTTCACAAAGTACATTAAACTTATCAGAAAACAGGCAATCAGGCAGAAGTCCAAATCCAGTTGCTGCTCTACCAGTCATGAGTTTAAAGACACCTGTGGGTTGGTACAGTGAAGAGTGCAAGCACACTTTAAAATATTAAAGATAATTATTTTAAAATTGTTTTTAGATAATTTTATTATTTCTTTTTCTTCGCATATGGTACCTCATATTTGCTGCTTAGTCTAATTTCTTCCTATCATATTAGGTTGGTGCAAAAGTAATTGTTTTTGCACCAACCTAATAGATTGACATATGTATTAATAGGGTTTGGCTCTGTTTCCTCACCCAAATCTCACCTTGAATTGTAATCCCCATAATCCCCAGGTGTCAAGGGCAGGACCAGGTGGAGGTAATCGGATTATGGTGGCAATTTCCCCCATCCTGTCCTCATGATAGTCTTACAAGATCTGATGATCTTATAAGCATCCGACATTTCCCATTTGCATTCATTCTCTCTCCTGCTGCTCTGTGAAGAAGTACCTTCCACCATGATTCTAAGTTTCCTGAGGCCTCCAAGACATGCAGAACTGTGAGTCAATTAAACTTCTCTCCTTTATAAATTACCATCTTGGGTATTTCTTCATAGCAGTGTGAGAATGGACTAATACACATATATAATTTTTATCTCTGAATGTATCTTTAGAAAGAAATATGTTCTAAGGTTCTGCATTTCTAAGTGGTGGTATCATGGTTGTTGATGGTACACAGTAATTTGGCACCAAGAAAATCTGAGCAGGTACGTAAAGTATGTCCTTTTATACCTTCCAAGACCTGGAATTATTAGCCTGAAATTATTATAATTTTCATGTTGCCTCCCAAGACCATAAGCGGATTTTTTTTTGTCTTGTGCATAGGGTCCAATTCCAACTGCCCACCATGTATGGAACTTTTGGCCTCAAGTATCATGCCTATGAGGCATAAAGCCCCAGTTCTTGGGTATATACCAGACATGCTATTCCTAAAAGTAGCCCTGCTTCGCCTTCTACTTACAGTGAGGATTCTCTCTGTTTTCAACATTTAAGGATTTCATTTTTGTCCCTTTTAACTTATTATTACAATTATATATATATATATATTTTATTTCTAAGTGTTTGGAGTGAGAGTGCAGAGTTCTTGCATCAGCTTAGTCTACCATTTAGATCAGAATCTTGGATTCACTATACCTTGGTCCCAATTCCAAATATCAGGAGGGGAGAATGATTGGCTCAGATTATATCTGACCACTCTTGGATGAATCAATTATAGTGGTGCAACATTATGTAATAGAAACATGTCTGTTAGGGGCCACCTATGTGTGTGAAAGGGCATCCTACATTACAAGGTTGCTAGGCAGATACTCCTATAAATATTTACCATAGAAATCCTAAGAAATATTTTTACTCATTTTTTATTCTCTGCTTAGATTTCCTCATCTAAAAAATCAAGATGGCAAATTTTCTGCTTATTACATGTTTTAAAGTTGACTTGTTTAAAACCATCATGTTCAAAGAGAGATATATCTGGCCTTATATAAATTTTAGATATCCTTCACAAAAATGAAGGAAATAATCATCACTTGACGTATGATTTGGGTTTTCTGTAGACATCCATGGAATAAAAATGAGCAATAGGCTCTTATTCCTACCAAATGATAAGTGAAAATATGAAAATAACAATATATAAAATATTTCCGTTAATAAGGTTCACTGTGGGTTGTGGTTTCAGTTGTTGTTGTCTGTTTTTGTGGTTTTTAAAAGCTTCAAAGCAGCCTGAGTGATTGGTTAATGAAAGAGGTGGAGCCTTTATATTATGAAATGTTCGCATCATCAAATTGATTACTGGCAGGAATAGGGTTTCAATTTAGCATTCCAGGGTTCACACAATTGGATACTCTCATGTCTATAAAAAGAAAACTCTTGCCTGGGGCTGAAAATTAGTGTTTGCCTAAGCTTAGGTAAGGGGGAAATAAACCTTGCATACATGTAGAGATAAACAAAATGCCTTAAGAAACATGGCAGATCTGCATCCTATTCCAAAGAAAATTCAAGAATTTATTCACATTGGCAAGTTTTTTGTAAAGAGTCTTTACAAAAGATCTTAAATATATTTCAGATCTTCCCTTCAGCTCTTATTCCTGTTAACTGAGCATTATGTCTCTTATCTCTAACATACCCGTGCATTCCTTTAAAATTACCAAGTGGATTTTGTCCGTTTACCTTCCTTTCTAGTGCACTTCAAGGACTATACTGTTAGAAACAAGTCAGCAATGTATGTCAGGTAAAGAGTGTGTGCTCATTATAAGCCTGCCAATAACTCATATTTGTACAGTATTTTTTTCCAAAATATGTTTGCTACATTGCTCATTCGATCTTCAAGACAGCACTGTAAGAGTTAAATTTTATAACTAGGTCCAGAAAAGCTTAGAGGTCTTTCTGGTATTTAATCCACTAACGTAATTCTCCAAAAACATATTTGCCGAATGAATGAAGCAGTAGGAATACTGAGTTGGAGTTTTAAGGCCTTATTTTTTTAAATCCTAGCCTTCCAATTTGGTAGTTTGGACAATATTGGGAAAGTCAGTTAATATTTCTGAATCTCTGTTTCCTCATCTATACACACAAAACAATAATACTTGATTTACATGTTTCTTGTATGGATTTGGTGAATTAGGGAATGTGAATACCATTTTTTAGGATCTGGCCTATACTACATGCTTAATATGTATTTGTGGAATAACTGAACTTACATCAAAGTGTTGCTTGAGAATTGTCTGCTTCAGAATTAGCTTCAGGTTAATTTGAAGATTTTTAACTTTCTTTTACGTATTTCATCATTAACCATATTTATATCCTAGCTCTGCTCTCCTCTGTGGGGAGCAAGGGCATTGCTTCACCAATATGGCTCTGAGAAGGATTAAATATTTTGAAGAATAAATTACACGTGCAATTTTAATCTCATCTGAGAACACAGCCTCATCATTGTTACAAAGACTATATTAAGTTATGTAATATAAGTAGATGCATTTCATAACCCAACTCCTCTCTGCTACTATTAGCTGTCTGGAACACTGTATTGAGAATAGTTCCAAGGCCAATCTGGTTTAATAGAAAAGAACCCCATGCATTTTTAGCAATAATTACCCTTAATACAAGACAGCAAGAAGAACCCTTTTGCCCCACCCATAATACCCCCTCAGTTATAGAAAGAACTTTTTTTTTGAGACAGTATCTCACTCTGGCACCGAGACTAGAGGGCAGTGGCATGATTACCGCTTCCTGCAGCCTCGATCTCCCACGTTCAAGTTATCCTCCTACCTCAGCCTCTTGAGTAACTGGGACCACAGGTGCACACTACCATGCCCAGCTTATTATTATTATTATTTGTTGTAGAGACAGGGTCTCACTATGTTGCCCACACTGGTTTTGAACTTCTGTTCAAAGAACTTTTAAGAGCTTGAATAAACCACATTAACAGATATATTATCTTAGAGAGGTAACCCAGCAAAGAAATGTTGAGACATGATGAGAATGAGGTAAGCAATTGTTAGGTCTTAGAAGTCTTTACAGACCATGCTATGGAGCTTAGATACAACTCTCAGATGCTGGATGTCATCAGAGAGTATGTAAAAATATGAGTGACATGGATGGTTTTCTTTCAGTTATCAGTGATTCTTAAGCCTGATTGACAATTAGCTTTAACTGAAGAGCTTTTAAAAATTACTGATAAATGGGAAGAGCACAGAGGATTTTTTAAGGCAGTGAAAGTACTGCTTATGAAACTATAATGATGGACACATGCTACTACAAATTTGTATAAACTCATCAAATGTATAATACCAAGAGTAAACCCTAATGTAAACTATTGACTTTGGGTGATAACGATGTGTCAATATAGGTTCATTAACTACAACAAATGTACCACTCAGGTGAGGGATGTTAATCATGCATGTGTGGGGACAAGGAGTATATGGGAAATCTCTATATCTTCTGCTCAATATGGGGTATATGGGAAATCTATTTTCTGCTCAATTTGGCTATAAACCCAAATCTCCTCTAAAAACAACTTCCCTAAAAAATAAATTCTCTTAAAAAATGCTGATATCCTTTGCCCCACCTGAGACCAAGTAATCATAAGCCCTGGGTGTTGCCCAAGCAACAGTGCTTTATTAAGGTGATTCCAATAGATAGTCAGTGTTGAAAACTACTGAGCTTGATCAATCTTTGTTTTAATTATATCTACTTGCTTCATCCTGGGATACACAGGTGTGATTTTTTTTTCTCAAACCCCCAAATACATGCAGTCTCCTTTTGAGAAGCTATAATTTCCTACCTCTAAAAATATCACATCATAAAAATAATGCCCTGATTTGGCTAGTTGCTAGTCTGTGGGAAAGAAACTTGGGATTGCCTTAAAAAGAAAGGTATTACAAAAATGTCAATGGCTACAACAGTCTCCTATTTAGAAGAAATGAGGAACCAAGCTTAGCCAGTTGAAAGAGAAAATGGAAACAATGATAATGCTTTAAAGATGATATGCTAGTCTAGTGTTTCTCAAAGTAGGGCCCTTGGACTATCAGAAGTCTGTGGAGGTCTACAATCTCTCCATGATAATTGATCTTTAATTTGGCCTTTTCCTTTTTTATCATCATCTAAAAGTACTGGTAGAACCATGTGCTGGTTTACCTGGATGACCAACTTTTAAGTGAATGTGGCCTTGAGATTTTAGTGTCCACATTGGTATTTGTGTTTACAACCAGATGGGTGCCAAATAGTACTACAGTCGACCCTTGAACAACATGGATTTGACCTGCAGAGGTCCACTTACATGGGGATTTTGTTTTAATAAAAGTTACACTGAGTGTGCCGCTTCTCCTGCCTCCCCTTTCACCTCCTCTATCTCTTCTGCTTGGCCACCTCTGAGATAGCAAGACCGACCTTCCTTTTCTTCTCCTCAGCTCAAAACAATGTGAATATGACAGGGATGAAGACCTTTATGATATATTTTCTCTTTCTTATTATAGTCTCAATAATAACATTTTCTATTCTCCAGCTTAATTTATTGTAAGAATATGGTATATGATATGTATAACTTACAAAATATTGTTAATATAGTATTTATATTATTGAGAAGGCTTCCAGTCAAATACTAACAGGCTGCTTAAGTTTTTAAGGAATCAAGAGTTATACACAAATTTTACATGGCATGGGGGATTGGCATCCTTAATCTCCACATTTTTCAAGGGTCAAGTATATTTTAATTGTTCTGAGCTAATAAAAAAGAACAGGGGAAGGCTTAATATGTAATGATCCATTCAAGCCAAGTGTATGAAAGTGTCAAGAACCACTTGTTTGAATACAACGTAAATAACACAAAAAATTTCTGGGAGAATTGAATTGTTATATGGCACACACCGATGACATCCCATGCATTTCAAAAAAAATATTCAGAAGTAGTTAATACCACATGGAAATTGCAAGAAGGTGACATAATTACAATAAACCGTTGGATATACTAAAATAATGATTTTTTATTTCGATTGTATTTGATTGCAGTTTTTATTATATGTAAGTTGTAAATCTCTTTTGGTTTAATATTTGTATAGGAACTATTAGCATATGGAACTTAAGTCATTTAATCTTATGCATACGTAAATAATACAAAAATAATTTAATTTAAATGTAGGAGTTCTAGGAGAATTATTTTTCTTTGTTAAGGGTATATTACTTCAGCTTGAGAAAAAAATGAGACCTTCTTTTGTTCAACAGATGATTTTTGCCATTGATAACTTCTAGTCCTATAGATAGATGGATAATTAGTATATTTAGAATGTCTATTTTTTTCATTATACTTTAAGTTCTGGGATACATATGCAGAACATGCAGGTTTGTTACATAGGTATATATGTGTCATGGTGGTTTGCTGCACCCATCAACCTGTCATCTACATTTGGTTTTTCTCTTAATGCTATCCCTCCCTCTAGGACTCACCCCTGACAGGCTCTGATGTGTGATGTTCTCCTTACTGTGTCCATGTGTTCTCATTGTTCAACTCCCACTTATGAGTGAGAACATGCGGTATTTGGTTTTCTGTTCCTGTGTTAGTTTGCTGAAAATGATGGTTTCCAGCTTCATCCATGTCCCTGCAAAGGACATGAACTCATCCTTTTTTATGGCTGCATACTATTCCATGGTCTATATGTGCCACATTTTCTTTATCCAGTCTATCATTGATGGGCATTTGGGTTGGTTCCAAGTCTTTGCTATTACGAACACTGGGCAATAAACATACATGTGCACGTGTCTTTATAATAGAATGATTTATAATCCTTTGGGTATATACCCAGTAATGGGATTGCTGAGGCAAATGGTATTTCTGGTTCTCCATCTTTGAAGAATCGCCAAACTGCCTTCCACAACGGTTGAACTAATTTACACTCCCACCAACAGCATAAAAGCATTCCTATTTCTCCACGTCCTCTCCAGCATCTGTTGTTTCCTGACTTTTTAATGATCGCCATTCTAGCTGGTGTGAGATGGTGTCTCATTGTGGTTTTGATTTGCATTTCTCTAATGGCCAGTGATGATGGGCTTTTTTTCGTATGTTTGTTGGCCACATCAGTGTATTCTTCTGAGAAGTGTCTGTTCATGTCCTTTGCCTACGTTTTGATGCGGTTGATTTTTTCTTGTAAATTTGTTTATATTATTTGTAGATTCTGGATATTAGCCCTTTGTCAGATCGATAGATTGCAAAACTTTTCTCCCATTCTGTAGACTGCCTGTTCACTCTGATAATAGTTTTTTTTAATTATTTTGCTATGCAGAAGCTCTTTAGTTTAATTAGATCCTATTTGTCCATTTTGGCTTTTATTGCCATTGCTTGTGGTGCTTCAGTCATGAAATCTTTGCCCATGCCTATGTCCTGAATGGTATTGCCAAGGTTTTCTTCTAGGGTTTTTATGGTTTTAGGTCTTAGGTTTAAGTCTTTGATCCATCTTGAGCTAATTTTTGTATAAGGTGAAAGGGAGAGGTCCAGTTGCAGTTCTCTGCATATGGCTAGCTAGTTTTCCCAACACCATTTATTAAATAGGGAATCCTTTCCCCATTGCTTGTTTTTTGTCAGGTTTGTCTAAGATCAGATGGTTGTAGATGTGTGGTGTTATTTCTGAGGCCTCTGTTCTGTTCCATTGGTCTATATATCTATTTTGGTACCAATAACATGCTGTTTTGGTTACTGTAGCCTTGTAGTATAGTTTGAAGTCAAATAGCGTGATGACTGCAGCTTTGTTCTTTTTGCTTAGGATTGTTTTGGCTATACAGGCTGTTGTTTGGTTCCTTATGAAATTTAAAGTAGCTTTTTCTAATTCTGTGAAGAAAGTCGGTGATAGCTTGATGGGGATAGCATCAAATCTATAAATTACTTTGGGCAGTATGGCCATTTTCACAATACTGATTCTTCCTATCCATGAGCATGGAATGTGTTTCCATTTGTTTGTGTCCTCTCTTATTTCCTTGAGCAGTGGTATGTAGTTCTCCTTGAAGAGCTCCTTCACATCCCTTGTAAGTTGGATTCCTAGGTATTTAATTCTCTTTGTAGCAATTCTGAATGGGAGTTCACTCATGATTTGGCTCTCTGTTTGTCTATTATTGGTGTATAGGAATGCTTGTGATTTTTGCTCATTGATTTTCTATCCTTAGACTTTGCAGAAGTTGCTTATTGGCTTAAAGAGATTTTAGACTGAGGTGACGGGGTTTTCTAAATATATAATCATGTCATCTGCAAACAGAGACAATTTACTTCCTCTCTTCCTATTTGAATACCTTTTATTTCTGTCTCTTGCCTGATTGCCCTGGCCAGAACTTCCAATACTATGTTGAATAGGAGTGGTGAGAGTGGGCATTCCTTGTCTTGTGCCGGATTTCAAAGGAATGCTTCCAGTTTTTGCCCATTCAGTATGATATTGGCTATGGGTCTGTCATACATAGCTATTATTTTGAGATACAATCCATCAATACCTAGTTCATTGAGAGTTTTTAGCATGAAGGACTGTTGAATTTTATCGAAGGCCTTTTCTGCATCTATTGAGATAATCATGTGGTTTTTGTCATTGGTTCTGTTTATGTGATGGACTACATTTATTGATTTGCTTATGTTGAACCAGCCTTGCATCCCAGGGATGAAGCCAACTTGATCTTGGTGGATAAGCTTTTTTATGTGCTGCTGGATTCAGTTTGCCCATAGTTTATTGAGGATTTTTGCATTGAAGTTCATCAGGGATATTGGCCTGAAATTTTCGTTTTTTGTTGTTGTGTCTCTGCCAGGTTTTGCTATCAGGATGATGCTGTCCTCATAAAATTAGTTAGAGAGAAGTCCTTCTTTTTCTATTGTTTGGAATAGTTTCAGAAGGAATATTACCAGCTCCTCTTTGTACCTCTGGTAGAATTCAGCTGTGAATCCATCTGGTCCTGGGCTTTTTTTGGTTGGCAGGCTATTAATTACTGCCTGAATTTCAGAACTTGTTATTGGCCTATTCAGGGACACAACTTCTTCCTGGTTAATTTTGGGAAGGTATATGTGTCCAGCAATTTGTCCATTTCTTCTACATTTTCTAGTTTATTTGTGTAGAGGTGTTTCTAGTATTCTCTGATGGTAGTTTGCATTTCTGTGAGATCAGTGGTGATGTCCCCATTGTCATTTTTTATTGTGTCATTTATTTCTTCTCTCTTTTCTTCTTTATTAGTCTGGCTAGCGGTCTATCTATTATGTTGATCTTTTTCAAAAAAAACAGTTCCTGGCTTCACTGATTTTTTTGAAGGGTTTTTCTTGTCTCTATCTCCTTCAGTTCTGCTCTGATCTTAGTCATTTCTTGTCTTCTGCTAGCTTTTGAGTTTGTTTACCCTTGCTTCTGTAGTTCTTTTTAATTGTGATGTTAGGGTGTCGACTTTAGATCTTTCCTGCTTTCCTCTGTGGGCATGTAGTGCTACAAATTTCCCTCTAAATATATTTCTATTTTCATACAATAAGTATAGAATCTTAGCAAATAATCTTTAAACCCTAGAATTTTAATTAAAAAGCCCATCTCCATAATATTTTAAGTTTCTTTCTACTTTTTGAGAACTTGATTTATTTTCAATAATTAAAGAATTTATAGTTCATAAATCATTTTAGGCAATCATATGATGATTTTATTCTTATGAAACTCCGTGAATTAGAAGTCATGGTTGCAAATATAGTTTTTAGGGCCAGATTTTCCTAAGTACAAATTCCTCATGTGCTATTTATACTTGAGTGACTTTGAGCTAAGTACATAACTCTCAAAGAACCTTACCCATATGAAGATAATATTGGTACCTTTGTCAGGCAATTGTGAAGATTACCAAGATAATCTATGTGAAATGACCTAGATAAAAGAGAAAAGTATGATATACATTAATATCTTTTCTGTGTGTGACTTGATCAAAAGTTTTATGGATCAGAGTAAGAGATATGGCCGGGCGCAGTGGCTCACGCCTGTAATCCCAGCACTTTGGGAAGCTAAGGCGGGTGGATCACGAGGTCAGGAGATCGAGACCATCCTGGCTAACACGGTGAAACCCCATCTCTACTAAAAAAAAACACAAAAAAAATTAGCCGGGCATGGTGGCAGGTGCCTGTAGTCCCAGCTACTCGGGAAGCTGAGGCAGGAGAATGGCGTGAATCTGGGAGGCAGAGATTGCAGTGAGCCGTGATTGGCCACTGCACTCCAGCCTGGGTGACAGAGCAAGACTCCGTCTCAAAAAAAAAAAAAAAAAAAAAAAAAAGAAAAGAAAAGAAAAAGAAAAAGAAGAAAAGAAAGAGTAAGAGAGGAGAAAACTCTCTGGTTTTCTACTTGATTTTATGTAATACAATCTCCTAGTTTTCTCATCTGCAATATAAGATTGTTAGACCACCCTCTTTTGTGACTTCACTGATCTTAATCTCCTAATTCCTCAATGAAAGGACATGTGATTGAAATTATGTCTACCCTACCTTACCTGAAATCCTTAGGGTCAGTTGTGTTTCAAAATTCAGAAATATTTGGATTTTACAAAGGTTACACATTGTGTGTACCAAGTATTACAGAACAGTCCCCAGCAGGATCTGGGGCAGAACTCCATAATCAAATGTTTTAGTATTTCTACCATAAAATATATGAATAGTCACACTAAGCAGAGAACACGAAAACTATTATATAAATAGCATTACATTATTTTATGTTAGGTTTCTGCCATGAAATGAGTTTTGATATCAAGAGTATATAAAACTTTTCATTTTATGAAAGTTTTAAATTTTAGGGTTAAAGATAAGCATTTATGCATCTGTGTAAACTACTCCATGGATTGCTTCCACCACTAGAAGCATGCTGTAATAAAAATATGATATAATAAAACTCAAAATTCTGGATTCAGAAAATCTAATTCCATCCTTGATTCTTACTGTCTAGCTTTGTGAAATCAAGTAACTATATTTCTCTGAATCGTAGTTTCTGTATTTGTAAAATCAAAGTTTGAATAAGAAATTTTACAGGGTTCCTTGTAAGATTAATAGTATATTTCTTTTAGGGAGAAGTGAAGGGGGAAAAAGAATATAAATGTGTTTATTATCACTGAACTGTACATTTTAAAATGGTAAAGACAGTAAATTTTATATGTATATTTTAACTCAATTAAAAAGTGCACAAAAATTTTAAGTAGTCCATTTATCTTAAATGAATGAAACTATGGACACTATTAGTTTAACTATATATAACCTAACTAATTCATTCAATGCATAAATATTTATTAAGTCTTACTATATGCCAGCACTTTTCAAAGTCTTGTAGACACTGTGATGAGCAATTCTGCTGTCATTAAACTTATATTCCAGTGGAATGGAGACTAACAAAAAAAACCCAGCAGATAAACAAATAAACAAGAACATTTCATATACTGATTGATGCTATAATGAAATATAAAAAGAAAATAATTATAGAGAGTAACATGGGACAGATATTTCAAGTTCAGTGGTAGAAAATACTTCTCTGTGGAGCAGAGATTTGAGTTTGAATCACAAGGATGAGGTTAGTTCCATGAAAATATAGGGGTAGAGCATTCCAGAAAGAAAAGATGACAAATACAAAAGTCCTAAGGCGGGAAATAGGCCTGTAGAACTGAAATATAGAAATTAATAAGAGAGTTACAGGAGATGAAACTAGAGGAAAAGGTAAGGTCAAGATTGTGTTGGGTTTTGCAAGCCATAGTAAGAAAGGAATGATTGAAACCAACCTTTTGCCTTAAGAATGCTTGTATAAGACCTATTAATCTCCAGAGACCTATTATAACCAGCCCAAAGGAATAAAGCCTCTATTTGTCTCAAGGAAATGTTAAAATGAAAATAAAATTCAGTGATACCAAATAAAAGTTCCAGTGAAATATCAAATCAAGAGCTATAAGAAATAAAATAAATGGAATCATTTGATTGAGCTGCTAAAACAAATTGCTTCCAATGGTTTCTAGAACCTTTGTACAGAAACAAGCCATAAATAAGTTTATCAGCAACAGTTTTAGAATAATTATCTGACAGTACATCTTTAGGTATTGTAGGCCAAGTGCAAAATCAGACAAATAAGAGAAAAAGCCAGACGCTATATAAACTGGAAAGATATGAATTGTAAATATCAAAAGATACTCCTCAAATTCATTTAATGTAGAAACTTTTTTTCTGTTCTTAACAACACAGAACTATTAATTATTGAAACATTTTATTGTATATTACTAATACTTATTGGATGTATATCAATTCCAGTTATACAAACGCCAAGAAGCTTATTTTAAACGCAAAACCCATTTTTAAACGGTCAGAACTCCAAAGATGGTGGCTATTGCTATCGATTTCTATAAATGCAGCAATTAGAGTTTACATAGTTTAAAAGAGAAACTGACATATTAATACATATTGCTTACCAGATTCTGTCTTCCTTAGGGCCACATAAAAAGTCCCTAAACCAGCATATGTAAATGCATCTATGCTTTGCCATGGTTCCTGAAGACATCCTTTGTACACATGTAGGTTGCCCAAGAATCCCAGCAATTTTTAAAATAAATTCAACTTAAAGTAATCACACTATGAACCTAGCCATTGTTTTCAGGTGTGTAGGCAATAAGTACAAGCTGGGGTACCTATAGTCAAAAAAATTCAACCTTTGGAGGAACGGAGCCAAAACATATAGTACAAAGATCAATGCAATCTGAAATATATCTGAATACTTAGAAATGTGATTATCAGTAAAGTGAAATTTATACTCTGCTTTCTATACTATAATAGCAACTAGTAAAATCATCGTATGCCTTTGCTTGACACAAGATAATGTCTTTCCCTCTTTAAAGGAAACCGTAAAAACATTCTTTCCAGTCTGCATCCAATAAGATAAAGACACTCTGATGACACATTTTAAGTTCTAGTAATAAAAGAATGTGTCAGCATCCTTACCACCTAAAGACCATAAATAGCACAGTTTGTTCAGTCTCCTGAAAGATGTTCTCAGAGTTCAGACCCAATTCTATTAAGCACTAGTCCCAACCCAATTTATATATGATTAGAAGATACACATGTCCTTGGATTGTCCTCTCTATAAAACGTTCTAGTGGGCGGGTAAAGATAGCTCTAAACTGTACCTTTTCTTCTAGTATTATTTCTGTTTCTCTTCCACCTGCATTGTCCAAAGGGACAGTGATTTAGGTTACATGTATGATGAATTCTCTGAAGATCTAACATTGACTCAAGTGGATGCTCCAGAATTCATCCTAGAACTTGACCTAGAGATCTGTTTTGCTTGGTATTTCACTTATGGGCTTCCTTAAAGTCCAAACTCTTACAAAATAATTTAAAGTTGCATTGAAAGAAAAAAAAGATGCTAATTGCTTTTGGTTTCCACCGCAAAACAAAAACCATCCACTCACCTTTTATTGACAAGTGGCATATTGAGAATAAGAGACATTTTCTCAAGCAGTTTGTCTTATAAAGAAATTTTAGAATTAGAAAACTTAGTTTTAGAATTATAAAAAGATTTTACTTACCCTCAGCAGGGGCACTGCTGGCATTTCAGACAAGAAAGAGATTCATTATATAAATCTGTCCCACCCATTTGAAGACTGTTTATTTTTCCTGGAACTTTTTCACTAATTGCCAATATGCCTCAGTCATGTGACAAACAAAAAATTCCCACCAACACTTACAAACAAGCCTTGAGCATTTTAACACCCTTGAGTTGAGAACCACAAAAACTACTTCATTCTGCAATGAATAGACTTGGAAACAAAATGCTTTGCTAGAGGATAGAAAGACAGTAAATGCCAGAATTGTGACTATTTAGTGCTTTTTCCATAATAACAGACCTGCCTCTGAGAAAAACATACAGTAAAAATGAGACCCATTTTCCTCATTTTCTCCATGGAAAGCTAGTTGATAACATCATCAAATATTTGGCGTGGGATGATGTAATCTATCTAAGTCATTGGCACTACATAGAAATATACTGCAAATAAGAAACAATCTTCCAAAACTGACAAAAATATTTGACTGCTTCTAGAAACCTATTTAACACTTAGTCAAGAGTGCATTGAAAAGAGCAAAAGAGTAAGTAAATATAGATAAAAATACTTTCTTTGACTTCGACTGACTGTATGACCTTAAATTACACTATTTATATACTCTCTCCAGGCCTCAGTTTCTCCATATGTTAAATAACGCAGTTGAGTTAAATTATTCTTAATGATTTCCTCTATAAGAAATTTTTCACTTCATGGTTTTCAAACAGATTTCACTTAATGCAGTTCAAGTTTATTTTATATTATGCAAAGATAGGTAAGAGAATTCCAGTCTCTTATAAGACTCCTCCATCTATACAGTTTTATCCTACTATGGACAGGGAGTGGAGTTTTCTGGGTAATCAAATAAGCTGGCAAACAAAAGAATATATCATGTATTACCAATAGTATAATTTATTCCTTCAGCAAACATTTACTATTGAGTATGCTTTTTACTATTCTAGGTTCTAGAGGCACATATGAATTACTCATTTTCCCTGATTTCAAGGAAACCATAGACTGGTCAACAAGTTAGGTATATAAACAGATCATTAAAATACAATGTGGGCCAGGTGCAGTGGCTCATGCCTGTAATCCCAGCACTTTGAGAGGGCGAGGCAGGCGGATCACCTGAGGTTGGGAGTTCGAGACCAGCCTGACCAACATAATCTATGTGAAATGACCTAGATAAAAGAGAAAAGTATGATATACATTAATATCTTTTCTGTGTGTGACTTGATCAAAAGTTTTATGGATCAGAGTAAGAGATATGGCCGGGCGCAGTGGCTCACGCCTGTAATCCCAGCACTTTGGGAAGCTAAGGCGGGTGGATCACGAGGTCAGGAGATCGAGACCATCCTGGCTAACACGGTGAAACCCCATTTCTACTAAAAATACAAAATTCGCTGGGTGTGGTGGTACATGCCTGTAGTCCCAGCTACTTGGGAGGCTGAGGCAGGAGAATCGCTTGAACCTGGGAGGTAGAGGTTGCAGTGAGCTGAGATCGCGCCATTGCACTACAGCCTAGGCAATAAGAGCAAAACTCTGTCTCAAGAAAAAAAAAATACAATGTGATAGGCATTATAATTACAAATATAATTATTATGCTAAGCAATGAATTGTACTTACCATTACAGTGGTAATACAAATAATGAAAAAAATTATTTGCTGATTAAACAAATAGATAAATCATTGCTTTTGGGGTTACTGTTATGGATATAAAATATTAAAATACCATAGAAAGAAGGATATTCTGATTAATATAGGACTCCATTTACTAAAATATCAAATGAGTATTTTTTCCCGACCATTTTTGCTAAAGTGATTTTAAGAAAATGAATGGATTTTGGAGTATAAAAAACTTGATTTGAATTCCAGCACTGACACTTAGATGTTAGGTGACTTTTAGACAAATTTTATCACCCCTTAGAGCCTGTGTCATCATTTGTAAAATTAAGAGAGTTGTTGTAAGCAATAAATAAGGTAATGCATATAAAGTGGCAAGTTCATAGAAGGTCTTTTATCAATATTAAATATCTTCTCATTTTCAGTGTGGAAAAATTTAATGTCATGTACCTGCCTTCAGAGATAGTATTTAATATCAAATTGAATTTTCCAGAAATGGTTGCAATACTTTTTGTTCCACATGCTCTTGCTAACGTTTATCATCCCTATTGAGATGCAGAGTCTATGAATCCTTCCCTTGAACCTTTTATAGCACTTGTAGTATAGTAGCCTTTGTGACTGCTTGCCTCAATTAATAGAGTATGGCAGAAGTTATGTTATATTTCTTTCAAGATAGTCTCAAAAGGAGATGTAGCTTCTGTCTGACTCCCTCTTTCCTGAACCATGTATCTTTGGATCCTCAGATAACATTAAGACTTCTGGTTGCTCTGAAGTAGCCATGGTGGAAGAATTGCATGGAGAAACCACACAAAGATAGAGCAAAGATGCCCCAGCTAGAAAGATAAATAACGATTTTGTGATTCTTGGCTAAAAAGTACATTCAAAACCCTAAGTGTCCTCATTGTTACTAATGTCCTAAATCAGAGCATATGATAAAAACAGGAGAAAACAAATTATCAGCTCCTGTTCTCTGATGATTTGAAAAGTATGAGTGCAATTGTTCTAAATAATAAATAACAGGCACAAGTAAATATCTAGCTCATGAAATCAAAATCTTCAAATATAGAAGGAAAGAAATGCCCATAAGAGAAGATAAAATTTTTGAAAATAAGTTAAGTTACTAAGTATATTCTTTATAACTATTTTGTCAAGTTGCATGTAAAATTCTTTTAGAAATCTAGTGAAAAAAATCTATCCTAATGTGAAATACTGGCAGATGACGTTCATGTGAGCAGCAGTTAGGGTTTATAGCAAAATGGTTATTTTTTTAAGGTGCATGCTATTATGCTATCAAAAGCTTAAAATATTAGAATGAGTGATTTTTCTTTAAAAGACTTTTTTTGGTAAGAATACATAGTAAGTTTCTTTATTTGTATGTCATGTTAGCACTTTATTACTAAATTAATTTGTATATCAAAATCTGGATTCTCCTCAAAAGAGAGGACTCCAATATCAAGAAATCTAGATTCTTACAGTAAAACAAACAAGGATATCAACAATAAAAATAGACTGGTACTGTAAATTATAAGCTTAAGAGTTAGGCTTGGTTTATACTATGGCTTCACTCAAATCCAGCTGCATAGCCTTGGGCAAACTGCTTAACTTTTCTGAGCCTTAATTTCTACTTGTGTAAAAGCAGTGAAATAATACATTTACCCAGTGGGTTGCTGTAAAGAATAAGTGCAACAAGATATGCAAAGTTCTTATCACAGGACATAGTACATATTTGGTGCTCAATATGTTTTAGTTCCTTGTAATTCTTCCTTATATATGCAGTTTTTAATTTAGGAAAGAGTAGGTATTACTTAAGGATGACTTGCTTTCATCAGAAACTATACCAGTGCACTAAACAGATGGAAAGAAAAAGCATCTTTATAGCTTCACCCCTTAATATCTCACTTCAAGCCCTCTCCTCAGCTCTTTACTATAGAGGGAGGGTTACATGCATCCCTTTCTCCTCCATATTTCTGGCTCTGCCCATGGTAAGGTAGCTATTTCTACCCAGCAAGTAAAAGTACAGTATTGATTTACTTCTTTTCTTTGGTTTTAACCCTCCAGAAGAAGAGAACTGGTAAGTAAAATGATTCATACTTCAAAGCCCCACCCGGACCTAACACACATCAGCTCCACATACCTCCTTTGGTACACCCCAAACCTGTATTGGTTCTACAAATGGTCCTTTCTACCTGTCCAGGGTACCTGTCTTGGGCACCTTATGCCTCTGGAGAAAATCAAATTACTTTAGGAATTGGTAATTGCACCAGATTTATGATCTCCAAGCTCTGTGAGGGCCTCACTACTGCCGAGTTATCCCGAGTCTCCTATCGCCACTCTTCTGTGTCTCTTAGCAGATTATGCCTCTTGAAGTTATCAGACAGCTTTCAACTTCCATACTACCTATAGAACTATTTATACCTGTACTTGTATTTTAAGCCTCCCCTCTTGACTCAGAATAATGGTGTCTCTTGTGTTCATTGAAGGCAGCTAAGTCACCAAGAGCACTGAAATGAATGCTTGCCAATTTACAGAAGAAGTAGATGCCAAAATTGTGTGCAATTGATGTGGCTTTTCAAACTGAGTATCTCCCTTTGTAACATGTTTTATTTGGTCTTTGGAAAATTCTTAATCATATGCTGCACATACATTCATTTGCTATGTTTTAGGTTAAGTTTATACTTCTAAACACACTGTCTATTTGCAGTCTAAAATTTAACACATTAGTTTATGTTCTAGTCCAACATTTTATTCTTTAATTATAAGAGACAACCTAATGAAAATACATTTCTTTCAGTAGGAGATTAGCCAGTGTTATTTAAAAAAAAAAAAAAAAACTTGGCAAAACAGAAAAAAAAGCCAACTAGCTTTCCTAGCTGTGACAAGTTTCTGTTTTTAAAAAAGTAATCTTAAATAAACTACCAGTCCTTCATAACTGAGTGCATTAATTACTTCACCTTAAAATATGTATAAGATGATGCCTTAAATTCACAGGGCAAAAAGAGCAAAAGCTTGAAAAAGATGAAAAGAACACAATTTACAGATATTGGCAAACACTTAAAACTCCAGCCTCTATGAACTTTCCCAAATAAATCTATAAAGCTCATCATACCGTGCCTGTTACTTAGAAAGTATATACTCAGTAAACCGTAGCTATTTATCTTCTGTGTCAAGAATTGTTTCCACAATTCGAATCAAGTGTTATATGGAACTTCGTGCCATGATTTCATCTCTTAATAATCTTAAATTCAAACTCTTATAATACTTTATGGTAACTTATCTCATAGAAATTACAGAATGGAAATCAATGTTATCTCTGATTCTATGAAATGAACTAGATTTATGAATTGGGAGCAGCACAAAAACAACATAATGTCTACTACAAAAAAGTCAATATTTGAAAACTAGTTTTATTACAAATGAAGTAATTTTCAAAAGTTTAAAAACGTTAAAATAGAAATTAAAAAAAAACTATAGGTAAAAACGTCATTGTCAAATCCCCATGTTGCTCCTACTGAAATTAAGTAAGGGTAATTTCATATAATAATATTGTCATTGATGTTTTAATAATCAAAACTCTAACAGTTGAGAAAATAAATTGTGTATGTTTCTCTTTTGCACCTATGTTATTATCAGCCTCAGGTAGTAAGCTTTACTCAGGATAGCAATCTATCAAAAATGCATGCTGAATATTTACTAAATTACTATACTTTTTGACCTCAATCTCCTATCTTAATGGTTATTCACTCCTTTTTCAACTCCTATCCTTTAACCTCACAGTGATATCCATCACTTTAATCTTTTCATTTTTTCCTCAGTTTACTGGTCCTTTATCATCTTGTTCTTTAGCCAGCTTGAAACTAATGACTGTTCATTTGAACTATTTTCTCACCAATACCTTTGATTTCTTTTACTGTGATTCTTCAGGTGCAACTCTTCAGCAAAATCCAAATCCCAGATAAATACTGCATCTGGTCTCTCTCAACTCACACCTAGGAAATGAAGCTCTGTGGGAAAGGAACTCACACACACACTAAGAGCAATTTCTATGTAGTCAGTTTCCACACTCAGCTACGCACTGTCCTTTAATCAACTTCCCCTCTCATTTCCCTCAAAAAACTTCTCAATCATCCCCATCTGCCTCCAAGTCCTTAGTTGCCTTTAGCTCCTCATTTTGACAGGTTAGATAGCCCTCAGTCTCCTAATAAAATTGAGGTTATTAGGTGTGTTCTCCCTGCACAGGTACACCACAGCCAGACCCAGAAAGCTAACCCACAGCCACAGCCATCCTCACCCTAGGCCTTTTCCTACTCTCTTCTGTTCTGCTCTCCCATCTATAGCAGAGGTTGGCAAACCTGTTGGTCAAATCTGGCTTGCTACATGTTGTTATAAATAAATTCTTATCGAAAACAGCCATGCCCATTTGTTTATATATTTTCTGCAGCTGCTTCAATGCTACAAGGGCAGAGTTGGGTAGTTGCTACAGATATCTTATGGTCCTCAAAGCCTAAAATATTTACTCTCTAGCCCTTTACTGGAAAAGTGTCCTGATCTCTGATTTATATCATTGACATCTTCCTCTTTCCTAAATCTTTTCCTTCAGCCTGTAAATATGGTCAACTATGTTCTAGTCTAAAAATGTTAGTTTAGGTGTTTTGGTTTTTTGTTTTGTTTTGCTCAAACTCTCTCCAGTTGTATACCAATTTCTGTCTTGCCCTCCTCATAAAACTTGTCCAGGGAGTATGTCATATTCTCTTTCTCCACTTTTTTTTTTATTCCTTTCTTCCTGTAACCTGATTTTTGCCCCTACTACTTTGTTGAAATTTGCTCCTATTAAAATTAATGATGACCTTCTCTCTGTCAAAGTTAAATTTTAAATGCCTAATCCTAAACTAATTGACTCATCTTTAGGCACACTCCCCTTAAAACTGTAATCCAATATTCTTAGCAAAGAGCACACAACAGGATCATTTCTAGAGGCTTCCGCCTTTATGCTATCACTAACCGGAATTACTCTTAATTATTACAAGTTGTTGCTTCAGAGATAAGGGATTAATTTTACTATTCCAGTATGAGAAAAGTAATCAAGTCACCACAATATTGTGGTAAATGGGAGAAGAAAAGCTACTGGAGATATCAGTCAATACACAACCTCCACCCTCACCATATAGGATGCAAACAAACACTTGCCCTTGAAGAACACATTTGCCCCAATTACCCTTCCTTCTCTCTCTCCTAGGGTCATCACCGTCATCTGTTCACTAGCGAAAACTGACCAAAAGATGTCCAAGACACGTTGGAGTGCAAGGCTTTCTCAGTTATCTCTTAAAGTGAAGAAAAAACCACATAAGGAACACGGGGCCTTCATTTCTCTTGGAAAACTGATATCCCTATGGACTAATGATATAAGTGTGTCTGGAAAATATGTGAGATACCCTTTTAGAGATGCAGATGATTAATCACAATTTTAACTTCTTATAATGATGCTTGGCACAGGATAAGCAAATAGAAATTAAATGTAGAAACCAACAACACATGTTCACTTATTTAATATGGAACTCCCATATTCTTGAATATAAACTACCACATTAATGAGCAAAAGTATAACAAAATTGAAAGAACATAATCAGCTTTCTTTTAGGGTAGGAAGACAGCTATTTAGGATTCTTCCTCACTTATCAATTAAAAGAACCATGAAACTAACAAGGAGACACAAATATGCAAAATCACTGATAATCGCAGTCAACACTTTATATGTACCTGGAAGGGGGAAAAAACCTTTTTAGTTCTGTTGTGGTAGGGATAAATTAACTGTCTCTGTCTGACATATGTTTTGAATTTTAAAACTAAATAAAATCAGTTAGAAAGCTAATGGAAAGATACATATGTCAACTTCTACTCTGTATCCCTATCAAAGATTCGTGTGATCTTTGCCTCTAAGTAAAGCAGCATAGCAGCCACGGATCTCACATGGGAAAGTTCTTTCAGATTAGAACAGAGATATCCCTTTCTCATACCTCTACCTCACACTCTCTCATCCCACAAAATCTTAACTTTGGGAGGGACTTTAACATGAATATTCATGCTCTGATGGCCCAAGTAAGTACGATTAATATGTAAAGATTGTAATCATACAATTAATAAGGTAGATGTAATAAACGTGAATGAAAAATTTTATTCCATAGAAAACATGCCTTCTTTTTTTTTTTTTTTGTCCAAATTCCTGGCTTAATAAGGACTTGTTTATTTTGAGGAAAAAAGGTCTGAAACATCAGGCTGTTCAAAAAATAACCCACAGTATCAACTTTAGAAAACAAATCTTAAGACTATAACACTTTTTCTAGAGGATGCATTTGACATGCCAACTCTCATTCACAGAAATACATTGTAACATTTGTGTTGAACTGCCCCACACAGCATACTAATGTAGGGGTGTAACACACATACTTGTAACTCAAAGCTGCTTTAAGGAGCCACTCAACTAAATGAGATTGCCTTTGCAGTTAGGGAAGAAACTACTGAACTTATGTATGAATGAAAAGAAATGTACTCCCTGCATAACAAGAGATTACTTTGGAGACAGTTGATGAAAACCATACATCCTTTTTATTGTTAAGTCATAAAGAGGTATCAAAATTAAAAGCAAAAATTACAGGGTAAGACTTAACAAAACTACTAGGAGTGTCAAAGGAAGTGAAAATGGGACTAGGCGCAGACCAATATGAATTAATGAACATGGGAAGGACAAGGATAGGGGAACACTGAGCATGTGCTGAAGATACTAGGGGAGAGGATCTGGTGAAAAATTTCAACTTAGACAAGTGCCTAGGTAAAGAAATAATGGGATAAGATTTCTTTTTTATTATTATTTTATTATTTATTTATTTTTCATTATACTTTAAGTTCTGGGGTACTTGTGCACAATGTGCAGGTTTGTTACATATGTATATATGTGCCATGTTGGTGTGCTGCACCCACTAACTCGTCATTTACATTAGGTATTTCTCCTAATGCTATACCTCCCCTCTCCACCCACCCCACAACAGGCCCAGTGTGTGATGTTCCCCACCCTGTGTCCAAGTGTTGTCATTGTTCAATTCCCACCTATGAGTGAGAACATGCGGTGTTTGGTTTTCTGTCTTTGTGACAGTTTGCAGAGAATGATGGTTTCCAGCTTCATCCATGTCCCTACAAAGGACATGAACTCATCTTTTTTATAGCTGCATAGTACTCCATGGTGTATATGTGCCACATTGTCTTAATCCAGTCTCTCATTGATGGACATTTGGGTTGGTTCCAGTTCTTTGCTATCGTGAATAGTGCCGCAGTAAACATACGTGTGCATGTGTCTTTATAGCAGCATGATTTATAATCCTTTGGCTATATACCCAGTAATGGGATGGCTGGGTCAAATGGTATTTCTACTTCTAGATCCTTGGGGAATCGCCACGCTGTCTTCCACAATGTTTGAACTAGTTTACAGCCCCACCAACAGTGTAAAAGTGTTCCTATTTCTCCACATCCTCTCCAGCACCTGTTGTTTCCTGACTTTTTAATGATTGCCATTCTAACTGGTGTGAGATGGGATCTCATTGTGATTTGGATTTGCATTTCTCTGATGGCCAGTAATGATGAGCATTTTTTCATGTGTTGTTGGCTGCATAAATGTCTTCTTTTGAGAAGTGTCTGTTCATGTCCTTTGCCCACTTTTTGATGGGGTTGATTTTTTCTTGTAAATTTGTTTAAGTTCTTTGTAGATTCTCGATATTAGCCCTTTGTCAGATGGGTAGACTGCAAAAATTTTCTCCCATTCTGTAGGTCGCCTGTTCACTCTAATGGTGGTTTCTTTTGCTCTACAGCTCTTTAGTTTAGTTAGATCCCATTTGTCTATTTTGGCTTTTGTTCCCATTGCTTTTGGTGTTTTAGTCATGAAGTCCTTGCCCATGCCTATGTCCTGAATGGTACTGCCTAGATTTTCTTCCAGGATTTTTATGGTTTTAGGTCTAACATTTAAGTCTTTAATCCATCTTGAATTTTTATACTGATCTTTGACAAACCTGATACAAACAAGAAATGGGGAAAGGATTCCCTATTTAATAAATGGTGCTGGGAAAACTGGCTAGCCATATGTGGAAAGCTGAAACTGGATAATGGGATAAGATTTCTAAACCCTGCTATGTGCTTCAAAGTCATCCTCTCCTTCCTCAGCCTCTTTTTCATCATCCTTGATCAGCTCCAGCTGGCCATCCCCCAATCTTCATTGTCATCATCCAGTAGGTCCCCCTCCTCAGCAGAGTCATGTGCATCCCCCTCCTCAGCAGGGTCATCTGCACCGCCCTCAGACTCCAACTTCACATTAGTCTCATCTTTCTTCACGGAGCTGCTGCTCTGCTCCTCTTCTGACTTATTATTCATATCTACTGCTTGTTTGTTCTGTTCCTTTTCAATTTCTTCCAGGTTTCCCAGGAGAGAATCCACTTTTTGTTTTATCTTGGTCAACTCCTTCTTAATTGCCTGAAGAGTCATCTGCTTTCAACTTTCCAGACTTAGAAGATCCCCGCTGCCCATTCTTAGAATTGAAGCCAGCTTTTTCCCTTCGTGAGTTGTTTCCTGATACACACTGACGTTTCGAGGGCACTACAGCCCGAGCAATAGGAGGAGGAGGAGGAGGTACACGTGCTGGGTGACTGTACATCCTATCATAATAATCCCACTGAAAGTCATAGTCTAAGTCGAAAGAAGAGCCATACATCTGTGCTGCAGATCGTTTCACACCTGCTTTTCCTCGGTTCACTTTTGGCACTGGAGCCAGGTTAATATCTAAAACCTGGTCAGCAATCATTCTGCCATCCTCTCCTGCTACAGCAGCCCGGGCATTTCTCTCATTAACATACTGAAAGAAGGCAAAGCCGTTATGAACAGAGGAGTCCACAATTTTGCCATACTTCGAAAAGATTGCCTCCACATCAGATTTCTTGACCACAAGAGTGTTGAGATTCCCAGTGAACACACGGGAGTTCATGGAGCGAGGATCTGTCTTGTTGGTAACGTTGCTAGCCATTGTGTTTGATGATAAGGTTTCTCACACAGCTGAAAATGTGGCTGAAGATCAAAAAAAATCCCATAGGAGTGAGGAGGGAGAAGAGATTCGATTCTGAGTCTCCTACTCCTGGGTTCTACGTGGAGAACCTGACTGCTGCTCGAGGTGGGTAATGCAGCCACAACTGCTCAGTCTTTTTCTCTTCACAAAAAGAAAATTTGCCTTCTTTTCACACGTCATGGAACTATACAAAATTTTATCATTTATTATGTCACAAAAAATTAGTATATATTAAAATGCAAAACTCATAAAGGCAAAATTCTCTGAACACAGTAATTTAAAGCTAGAAACTAAAACTAGCTTTAAACTAATGTTTTGGAATAAAACTAAATACATCCTAGCCTTTCAAAAAATTGCATAAAAAGGAAATAAAATTAAACACTTAGTCATAAAATAGGAATGTAATATATTATATTTATGGGACACTTTCAAACATATTTAGAGACTAATTAATAGACTTAAGGCACTATGGTTATTTCTAAAAGAATGAAAATAAGGTGAGTCTATATATCAAGATATTAGAAAAAATGCAATCAGAATAAAAATAAAACAGAAAGAATGAAACACTAAAAAGAAAATTAGAAAATTACTTAGAGCACAAAAAACTGGTAAGAAATAGAACACTTGGTTCTTAAAATAGAAAATGAAATCGATAAACTTCTCACAGATCTAATGAAGACAAAAATAATATATACTTTGCGACTAAGGAAAATAATATAACCACAAATACAAAGAAAGTATTTTAAAATGGTAAGGGAATTATATATATGTTACTCTGGATTACCTATAAACATAAACTAGGAACTATAAAACATAAGGAGGATACTATGTCACAAAAGCAAAGAACACGGTTTGGATGCAAGCTATACTGTGTACTAGTTATAGATAAGTTACTCAACTGCTTTGAGCCACGTTTTGTCTGTAAAAAAAGAATTTAAAATATCTTTAATAATAGTGTTTTCAGAAGTATTGCTTATGTCATTGTCATCTTTGTTGTAATTCTCTTTTCTTCCTCCTCATTATTAATATTCACTACCTTTGAGGAAAACTTGATATGTACCCGAACAAGTTGAAACTTAAAAGTTATTTTTCCAATCAATACTTTAATCCATCCATAAGAACCAGGTGCAATGCATACCATTTACCTTATTACTTATTTTTTCCCCAAATGCAAGTATTAGCAACATTCACTGCATCTGAGAATATAAAACCTTAATGACATATCCTCCAAGGGAAAAAAATCTTACCCAACTTAGAAGACCTGCAAGGATTGATTGCACTTAATGAATGTAGTGCTCTTAGAGTTATATAACTGTCATTAAACAAATACATAGGCATCAAATTTAAAGAAAACCAAGAAGCAGAGCTAAACAACATCGATACTAAAAAAATGAAAAGTTAGGAGTTTTTTTCTCTCACTTATCAGTAAACCTGAAGGCTTAATATAAGCCTATAAGATTCTAAAAACAAGAAGGGTGCTTTATTTGTATTAGTCCCTAAAAATCTTAGAATGAGGTAAAAATAAAAAATAAAAAACAGTAACACTGGAGCTCTCAGATTTATGTATGTCCTTAGGCTTTTTCTTACAGTTTCAATGTGGATTATTATTGTCAGAGTAAAGTGAAATGGGAAAGTAAAATGTAAAATTCGATTTGCAACCCCTAACATTTTCTTATTTTAGACCTAAATAACAGTTATTACCAACTTAAAATTTGTGTAACAGAATCTATCCAGGGAAAGAAAAACAAGTCATTTTGGTGCACAATTGCAAAATGCCAAAAAATTAATAACTTTGTCTACTTATCTCCTTGTATTAAGATTTTGACCCATTTTGAATTAATATAAATATTTAGAGCACAAGATAATAGAGATTAAATAAATACACAAACAAAATAGTTTTCTACTCTCAAGAAACACACAGAAGACTTCAGCAGAAAAGAAAAAATCAATTATAAAACTGTGTAATAGAAGTATATTGTACCTATATATCTATGTACTATATCTCGATAACTATTCTAAATAGGATATCAGAGAATATTCTATATAAGATATCATAGGATAGAGATATATTTAAAAATACTAGTAACTTATTGAGCATCAAAATATAGATTGCTAAGTGCTTCATTTATATTATTTCATATCCTCATTAAATTCTTGCATGTTAAGAATTATTATGCCCATTTTACAAACATAAAATTGAAGTTTATGGAGTTTAGATTGGTAAACAAATAAAGCCAAAATTAAGGTACATTTTTGTAGCTTCGCCACTCATACCCTTTTGGCCACCCCACTGTTTTCATTAAATTAAGATAATCCGAGAATTTGTCAAATCGTGAGGTGACAAAATATGTATATATACACTGTTCTAAGATTCTGGATCTTACCATGTCTTCGTTTCTTCATCTAAAAGTGGATTATAATTAAACTGTCCCCATTAATTTCAGGGGGTTGATGGGAAGATCAAATATAATATATGAGACAGTTATTGAAAAGTTAAGGCATTTGTAAAATGAGATGCAGGATTACAGTAATGAAGCTCTTCCTCAGCATTAGAAACTAGGCCAAGCAACCCAAGAACCAGGAGCTAGTTACAGGATGGGAAATGTATCTGACGCACATTTTACTTATTTAAAATATTTAAACATGACAACCTTTGTTAAACAACCTCAAGGTAAACGGCACCAAAACTGTGTTTTTGTATCTAATTACTGCTAGAGTAACAATTAAAACACAGACCAAGTAGAAAACTGTGTGACTTTTTTCCTCAGAATTCAGTCAGCAAAGACTAGAAATTTGCATAAATGCAGGCCCCCAAAGCAACTTTTTGCCTCTGCAGCACATTCCTGAAGCCCAAAAGAAACGAATAATTGTCTCGACTCTTCATTGCATGTTGTCTATATAGCCACCATCGTACTTTAAATGTGCAGAAAAAATAGTGCCAGTTGTTAGCAGAGAAAATCATCTAAGCCATTTGTAAGCACTCTGTTGTCTCTGTTCCTACCATAACCCTCTCCATACTGGCTTAAGTTTCATGAACGTACTCCCCTTGGAATTCTGTCCTTTCTGCAAACACTTTTTTTCCAAGTTTTGTTTTAGGCTTTCCTAACATATTTTCAGGTCTCTCAGTTAACATAAATTCAGGTTTCTCAAAATGTCTGCAGAGGGACTAAAGTTATTCCTTCCAAGGTGGAAGTGCGTTCTGTCAAAATAAATCAAACATCAGTAAGTAGATAAATAAGGAAAGTTAGAAAGTAGAATATTCCATTGATTGGCAAAATAATCCTCATTCAGCTCTATTAATTTATTATTTTAAAAATCACCACCATATTTACGTCTGTGCAATATTACATGTAATTCTGTCTCAGGAGGATTAGGTGCATGCTTAGTTGTGAATGAATGACCATGGAGAAGCATTTTTAAATTAAACGTATTCTATAATTGTAGATAAATTTTCCATTGTATCTCGCAAGAACACAGATACATACACTCATCATACCATGATAGCACTGCATTTATGTATATTTGAGTACATAGGGAATGCTAGCAAATTTATTTAACACAGAGGACAATAAACAAATTTCCTCATATTGATGCTTCAATTCAGAATGCGCAATACTGTTGACATCTGGCCTCAGGCTCTGACCAGAACTGTTACCATAAAGAAGTGTTGTTGGAGTCTGACTTTCCTCGATGAAATGTTAGACACTATAGCCAAGTGCAGCTTCATATATTAATAGATGCTAATGGTTGTAATTTAGACCAAACCACTTTGATACAATTTGGGAAATTTAGTTCTTCTAAACAAATGATACAACTTTATTGAAAGACACAAAAGATGTCAGCATATATCATGTTCTTGTATAGGATTACTTAATATAATTAAAATGCCTATCATCCCAATTTAATATATACAGTTAATGAAATTTTAATTAGAATTGCAAAAAATGTTGGAGAAAATCATTCTAAAATTCACTAGAAGAATAACAGTCTGGTAATTGCAGAGATATTCTGTAAAAGTTGGCTAATAAGAAGGTTTTGTCTATTCAAATATTAAATCTTACTTAAACACTATCTTAATTAAACTAGTATGGTAAAAGAGTATATCAGTGGAACAAAGATTAAAAATAGATTTGAATATGTATTAGAACTCAGTATATGATAAACATAACATTCTACTTTAGAGTGCAAAAGATAATCAATAAATGTTTTAGATACACATGATTATCTATTTGTTAGTACATAAAGTTAGAGACCCTCTTGACATTATATTCAAAATAAATTTCAAGTAGCTTAGTGGTCTAAATGTACATAAGACAATAAAGATTTTCAAAAAAATTTTGAAGTTATTTTTATAAACTTGATGGTGCAGAAGATCTTCTGAAACATAATTTAAATATCAGAAGCCAAAAAGAAATAAAATTTACATATTTGAACATAAGAAAGTTAAAATTTTCAAACAAAAGGCAGCAAAAAACAAGCCAAAATACAAACAATAAACTGGAAGAAAATATTTATCAAAGTTATAGTAGCCAAAAGGTTCTTAAATATGAAGAGTTCTGCAAACTAAAAAGTAAAGAACATATTAGAAAATGGTAATTTAAAAAAGCAAAGAACATGAAAAGAAATTTGGTAGTAACGGAATTGCAAATCCCAACCTCAGTTATAAGGAAGATACGTAAATTAAAATATGAAGACTTTTTCATACAACAGCAATACTAAAAGCATGTTAATACTATCTAGTGTTCTGAGAAATGTGTAGAAATAACAACTTTCACAGAATTTTGTTGGGAATATATATTGTTAAAGCTTTATTGAAGGGCAATCTATGAAATATTTTAATATTTAAAATAAGCATATTCTTTCGGCCGGGCGCGGTAGCTCACACCTATAATCCCAGCACTTTAGGAGGCCGAGGCAGGAGGATCACAAGGTCAGGAGATCGAGACCATCCTGGCTAACACGGTGAAACCCCATCTCTACTAAAAACACAACAAATTAGCCGGGCGTGGTGGCGGGCGCCTGTAGTCCCAGCTACTCAGGAGGCTGAGGCAGAAGAATGGCGTGAACTGGGGAGGCAGAGCTTACAGTGAGTTGAGATCATGCCACTGCACTCCAGCCTGGGTGAGAGAGCAAGACTCTGTCTCAAAAAAATAAAAATAAATAAATAAATAAATAAAATAAGCGTATTCTTTCATCTTACAATTTCACTCTTACAAATTTGTTTTACTGAAATATTTGCCTATGAGTACAGAGCTGTAAGTCTAAGGATGACCAATACAATACCGTTTCTAATAACAAAGGATTATAAATAATACAAATACTTATTAATAGATAAATGGTTGAGCAAATTACAGTTTGTCCACATTATAAAATAATAGGTGTCAGTCGCTAAAAGAAAGCAGAACTACTGAGTTAGACAGAAGCTCATTATATATTTAAAAGAAGTGAAAAGTTGTAAAGCAGCATATACAGTGTGGTCTCTTTTTTTTTTTTTTTTTTTTTTTTTTTTTGCTGAAAGTGCATTTAGCAAAGAACTAAGATATAAAACTGTTAAATACACATATGATATACACATACATCAGAAAGAATTTGGCAATAAGTTAACACCAGCAATGTCTGGAGGTTGGGTTATTCGATTTTTTTTGTTTCCCTTTTCTTTACTCTATCCAGAAGCAGGGGCTATAATTGTCACGGGACCCTTGGGATGTCGATTTGCCAGCCAGAAACCTCTGTGGCAGGCAGCGCCTTCTGCCTGAGTATTGCTCGCGCCCACAGGGCTCGTTCCACCCACTTGGCCTGGCAGGCTGCGCTTGGCTCACACTACTGGCCTCGATCTCACACCTGCCAAGGGGGAGCCAGGCACGGAGTGGCAAAGAGTGTATGAGCGAATGAGCATGGGGTCCAGCCACTGTGCACAGCCACGCATGCTAGCTGCTGTGGCAAGGCAGACAGCTCCAGGCACCAGCACAAGTGCCAGCTTCATGCAAGGCTGTGGCTGGACCAAATGTACCACACATGGCTTCAGCTATAGGCACCTGCATCTGGATAAGGGGAACACAGTGGCACTGGGAAGCTTGGAGACACCAGGAACCAAAGAGCCCCAAAGAGGGTGTCACAGCCCTGGCTTGGGGAGCCCCTAGGTCTGGGATCCCTGAAGGGCTGCAGCTCTTCTCTCCTTCTCATCACCCATAATGTGGTAAGCGGGGGAGGGGGGTGTTTCAGCCCTGTTTGTGTTGCAGCTCTTTCAGTCCCACCATTTGGCAGGTCCTAAGTTCTTGTCCACATCCAGGTAGAATGAGGTACATGGATAATTTGAGGGTGACCAAGGCGGAGAGGAGACAGAACAGCTTCATCAAGAGGCAGAAGAGCCGAAGTGGGTAGCTCCTTTCTGCAGGCAGGTTGTCCTGAGAAGTATCCAGCTGTCAATGAAGAGGGATCTGCAGTGGGTGGCTCCTTTCTGCAGGCAGGTTGTCCTGACAAGACAACAGCAACCGAATTGGGTAGTTCTTTCCCACAGCTCATCTCCAAGGTCTCTGTGAGTCTGGCTGAGTCTGGGGTTTTCATGGGCTTCAGATGGGAGGAAGTGTGTGCGGATTGGTCCATGGGCAGCCAAGAGTAGGTCGGGAAAAAGCACCATAAGTTCTCACTGTAAGCCACGGACTCTATGCACAGTTGACAGCCTGGCCCCCATGCTTCAGGCCGTTCTTGGCTTGAAGGTGAGGCTTCACCGGGAACCTACCCCTTTCTGCCCAGGAGCCTGTCTGCTTCCTGCCACCATTGATCATGTCGTCCACAGAGCCTGCAGGCCCACATCGAGCTGCCTCAGTGCCCCCTCAGCCTCCCTCCCATGCTCACGGGCACCCAAAGTCCAGAGGGGGGGCTGAGGGGGCAGAGGGCTGGCCTGTCAGCCCTGCCGTAAGTGCATGCAGCTGGGTCGCGACAGTGCCTAGGCTCAGCCTCAACTTTGCTCTAAAATCAGAGTGGACACCGGGAACAGGGAGAGGCCAGACAGTGGGGGCAGGCACTTCTGAGCCTGTGGGGGCCAGGGCTGGAGAGGGACACTTCCCAGCCCCTGAAAGCACAGGGAAATCCAGGTCACTGCTGGGTGGCTGCACAGTTGCACCCAGGAGGGGGAGGCCCCCACCCCTCCAACTCTGAAAAGGGCTGGGCTCCTGCCTGTTCCTGGCTCCAACTGGCTCTGTGGAGCGCGCAGCCCCAGCTGTGCCTACCCCGCTGCAGTTGGCGTCTTCTCAGTGGCCGCTCCACACAGGCTGCAGCTGCCCTCATAATGTAATATGAAAGTATCAATATTTATCCTTTTAACTTATGAAGGGGAAGCAAATACATTAGTATTTGCTAAAAGCTTTCAAAATTCTTGGGGTGGGGATGGTATATGAAAGCACAAAGCAGTTAGTTGCAATAAGTTCTGATTTATTAGAGAAATAAACATTTACTAGGCAAAGAACCTTAGAATAACTGGAATTCATCAAGTTACCACTCTTTTTTTTTTTTGAAAAGACCAAACAATTTTGGAATAACTCCACATAGATGAAACAACGTAAACTGCCATGGCTAAAGCCAGAACTCTTGTAATGTCTGTTAAAGTGACAGGTAATTTGAAAGCTGAATGAACCAGTGCCCATTCACTGATGTAGGTGACAATACAGGACTCTCCATGTGTCCACATGTCTTCACTGATGATTAGGAGGTACAACATGGAGAAGAGTGTTCCAACCCCTAAGGTGTTATCTGGGTGCTAAGATAACAGTTGTCTATTAAAATCATTAGGGAAATTTTTAAACAAAATAAAGTTGCCTAAATATATAATTGAGAATTCTCAGTGCTAGCAAATATCAGAAAAGAGAGTAAAGCTATCAGTATTAGGCCCCTCCAATGTGTGGGGAACAGTGCAGGTGACATAGACTGTTAAACCAAGTTTAGCCTAAAGCTGCCTCCTTACCTATCTTAAATTCAGCCCAAAGATTTTTCTGTACATTATGAACTATAACAAGTGGAGCTGTAAACAGACCATAGCCTACACTTCTGCCAATCACTGAGTTTTGGCCAATTAAATGTAGCCAACTCTGAACTGAAAGTCTCCTTTACTCCTTCAAGTGATTCTCCTGCCTCAGCCTCCCATGTAGGTGGGCTTACAGGCCTGTGCCCCTATGACTGGCTTGTGTGTGTGTGTGTATGTGTGTATTTTTAGTAGAGATGTGGTTTCACCATGTTAACCAGGCTGGTCTTGAATTCCTGACCTCAAATAAGGCAAAGAGCGAGCTGTAACCAATCCAGTTGTTTCTGTACCTCACTTCTGTTTTATATATGTCACTTTCCTTCTTCTGTCCATAAATCTTCTTCCACCAATTGACTGCACTGGAGTCTACCCTAGCGGGGAAGGCTGCCCACTTCGCAAATACTTCATTGCTCAATTAAACTCCTTTAAATTTAATTCAGCTAAAGTTTTACTTTTGTCAATATTTATCTTTTCAGTTGATCCTTTTTAAAGATGCACTCATGGGTGACTCAGAGAGGTTAAAAGGTTTTGTTTTGTGGGTTTTGGTTGTTGCTTCACATAGGTTCGCTAAGTCAGTAAATGGAGTATATTGAATTTCCACTGACTATTGACTCTTTTATCCAGCTGACTCACTAATTTCTTAGAGTATTACTTTGCTCTTCTTGGAATTGCTTTTTCTATAGTGTCACCTACATATAATGCTAAATTTTCTACTGTTTTATTAAAAAGTTATACTGCTTATGCTATTATGTCTTGCATTATTAGAATCTTCAAAACAGTAAGAGTACAAGCAGTGATCAAATTATGTTTTCTGATTTTGTTATTCATGCTTTAAAAGTTGTACTGTTATTGTTTACTGTTGCATTCAAGTAAATAGCCTTTATCATAGGAAGAAAGTTCCCTTTACTCCTATTTTACAATAAATTAAAAAAATTGGAAATCGCTGCCAACTTTCGTCAAATGTTTTATCTTTATAATCCATATGTAATCATGAAATTTTTGGTATTATTTATACTTTAAAATGTACTTGGTGACTTTATTTTCTCTTACATTAATCCCACCTCATATTGATACTTAATTTCCCTCTAGTGTCTTTTGATTCATTTTATTGTTCCTTTTTTATTTTCTTCAGTTTAAGACAATTTTATTTTCGATTTTTATTTTTGATAATAAAAGCATTACATCTGCAATTTCCTCTGAATGAACTTTTAGCTGTACCCATAAGTTTCTTTTTTAAAATCTTTTAAATTTTATTTTATTTTAGATTCAGGAAGTACATGTGCAGGTTTGTTACATGAGTATATCGCATAAGTTTCTAGATGAAATGTTCTATTTTATATTGATTTCAGAGTAATCTATGATTTCAGCTTTTTTTTATATATAGGTTCTATTTTAAAAAGAAGTGTCATTTCATTTTCAATGGCTAAGGCTTTTTGTTTCTTTGGGGCTCTTCATTATTTTGTTTTGTTTTGCTTCTGTGAGTTTTTCCTTTGACCTTGAAATCAAATTAACCAGATAGTAATAGTCCATTCTCTTCTTTCAATTAGTTTGCTATTTCCTGATATGTTATTCACCTACACTTTTGTTTAAAAATAATCTGTCATTGGTTTTAGGTATATTTATTTCTAAGCAGTGTACAGCTGATATTTATTTTTAGACTAATTTGAGAGCCTATCTTTTTATAATAGTCATCCCACTCATATTAATTTTGACAACATATATGATGGTTTTATTTTTCTCATACTATACTTACTTTTATATGTTTGGTTTGGTCCTTTCTTTTTTCTACTTCTTTGCTTTTGTTATATTCTTCTTAAATATTACTTTCCTTCTTCATAATAGTGTAGGAATCCCACCACATATCTCAATTAACTGTAGACCATCTTTCCTTTTTTTAATAATCATATTTAAATCAGTGGTCTTCAAAAATTAAATAAGACCACACTCCTCTATCAACTGTTTACTATTATTTCACTCCCTTTACAATCCAATGTTTGTTTCACTAAAATAATGTAGAATTGGAGTCTCTGTGTTAACTTCCGAGAGCTACTTGAAGCAAACCTTGTAGTCATAAATATTTATTTATTTATTTTGAGATGGAGACTTGCTTTGTCACCTGAGTGGAGTGCAGTAGCAGTATCTTGGCTCACTGAAGCCTCAGCCTCCTGGGTTCAAGCAATTCTCCTGCCTTAGCTTCCTGAGAGGCTGGGGCTACAAGTGTGTACCCTGACAACTGGCTTTTTTTTTTTTTTTTTTTTTTTTTTGTATTTTCAGTAGAGGTGGTGTTTCACTATGTTGGCCACGGCTGGTCTTGAACACCTAACCTAAAGTGATCTGCCCACCCCAGTCTCCCAAAGTGCTGGGATTATAGGCATGAACCACCATGCCTGACCACCATACATATTTCAAAAAATAAAATGCAATTTCTGTAACTTCCCTCAAGTTTATCAATGTTGAAGTAGAGCTTTTCATACCATATTTATTCATTATTGTCCCAACAATAATCCAGGTGATTGTACAGAAGAATCTTTCAATTTCATTTTAAAGTTTTCAATCCATCAGTTGTTTTCTTTCAAACATTGATTGCCTTCCATGTTTTATGAAGTTGAATATTTACCCTTGCCTATCCAGAGAGAAGCATTATAAACAGTTTTTACAAATGAGTGTCCTATCCTCCAAATTATAAGTTCTAAAAAATGAAAATTCATTTGAAATATCCTGTTTGAGAATGAATATATGGCAAATAACAATGTAATTTTAAAGCAATCTTTAATGAGTCTCTATTGGATGGTCAGGTAATATATTAATCAGTGTAGCAGGATCTATTTTTTCCTCTTTGTAATTTGATAAGTGAAAGGTGGTCTGCTCTAAAGTACAAATATATTTTTACAAAGGCATGAAATTCTAATACTCATTTCGTCAGAATCATTATTATTGGTTATCCATTCAGTGATAAGAAGTAAATTATAGCCTATCACTTCTAGTTTTTACCACCTAATTGGATAGGTTTAAAAGTGTGTTTAGAGAAAACAAAGAAAAAAAAGAAAAACTGGATGAAGACTACACAATGTGCAACTTACTAAGTGAAAGTCAGAGGAAGGAAGCCTCTGTTAATGAACTGTACCAAGAAATGACTTGGATTCAGAGAGCAATGGTAGAGATGCCTCAAAAGCCTACTCTTGTTCAAACTCCTTACAGGCTATTTCTAATGCATTAAAAGCATCTGTTACCACATGTCCTACCAAACATGCCAATAAGTGAGACAAGAAAACGTCCTAAACTTTATACATTGCATGCCAAGTGAAAAGCAAATCATACTCAGTCTTGCAAAATGCAAAGCCAACAAAATGAATGAAATATTATTTATATGTGCTTTGGTGCAAAAAGTTCCCAACAGATAAAAAAATAACTGTTTTTTGTCTGTGGTTCTGAACTGTGAATAAGATTATAAAATAAAGAGTTGAAGCTAGTAATTTTATTACTATAAAAATCCAGCTTATTTAAATATTAATCTTTTCAAATGAGGAAGGCAAGCATTCCATTAAAAGATGTTATTTGAAGACTGTGCTCAAACTATAGAGAATATCCCCTGGAAATTATTCCTAGTCAGGGACTTGTGCCCCAGAAATAAAGGCTAGCATGTGCTCCTTACTGCATTTCAAACAATATATCCTAGCAAAAAAAAAAAAAAAAAAAAAATTCATACAAGCATCTGGTAAGGATAAAAAAATAGAAAGCAACTTCATAAAAATTTGAACTTAATTTCAAAAAGATTTTATATGGTTCAAGCAAGGCATTTTGAGATTTATCTCATCGCCAACTGGCAATAGTATTGCTTGTATTTTTGTGCTGTCCTCAAACCCAGTGGCAAATGGAAAGTCACCCTTTGAGGGATTCACAGCACAGTAGAGTAGAAAAGTCCTCCAGTGAGCTCTACTCAGATTCATAATTGTTTGACCTTGGCAATGTCATTTAATCACTCTGAGTTCCAGTTCTTAAATATCTAATACACAAATAGAGGGGAAAACTATTTGAAATATTTTGCTTGAAGGATGAATACATGGCAAATAAGAATGTAAGTTTAAAGCAATCCTCCATGATTATCTGATATTCAGATGATGTATTAATTCCACTGGAATATTATGATCTATTTTTTTCTTCTTTATCGTTAGATATGTGAAAGAATTTTTGTTAAAAAAAATAAAACTTTTTGCAGTGGCGTACAATTGGAATACTAATTTCATGAGAGATTTGGTCTTTACAGGTATTAGCCTAATTGATGTGAAGGACTTTGGGGGTTCACTGTTCTTTCTCCAGGAAAATGCAAGAACCATGGGGTCCAGCTAGTATTGTCCTGAGATATATTAGATTTTTTTTTTTTTTTTTGAGATGGAGTCTTACTCTGTTACCCAGGCTAGAGTGCAGTGGCGCAATTTCGGCTCACTGCAAGCTCCACCTCCCAGGTTCACGCCATTCTCCTGCCTCAGCCTCCCGAGTAGCTGGGACCACAGGCGCCTGCCACCATGCCCGGCTAATTTTTTTGTATTTTTAGTAGAGACGGAGTTTCACCATGTTAGCCGGGATGGTCTCTCTCCTGACCTCGTGATCCGCCTGCCTCGGCCTCCAAAGTGCTGGGATTACAAGCTTGAGCCACAGCATCTGGCCTAGATGTTCTTGGTTGTAGGCGTAGAGCTGGAAATGATATCCAAAGCAAAATCTTCTACAGTTTTCAGATCCTATGTCAGCATAGAGCCTGACTACCAAATAAAAATAGAGTCAATGAGAATGGTAAGCCAACGTGAAGTAACAGGAGAAATAAGAGTCAAAGTATGCCAAGGAGAAAGAAGTCGAGGCTGGACAGAATTCCTTTTTTCTCCAGCATAAGAACTGAGAGTAGTTTTTCAGGAAAACTTCAGAGTCTAGGCTTGAGCAAGCAGGGAAACAATGAATAAAAAGACATTAATATCTTTTCTGAGCATCCTCACATTCTGTACCCTATGCTTCCCCTTTGCTGAGACTCTAGTTTCAGGGCGATCCTGTGGTAACCTTTTGCCCTTACAGTGCATGGAGGAGTAATGTACTCCCATTTCCCAGCTATATCAGAAATACCAATTTTGGTATCCTTGATGATTCTTTTTCTGATTATCCATTCATTTTCCTGAGTTTCCTGCTTATTATCATTGGGATTCTACATCTATTGAAGCATCTGCATTTGAATTAAGGTAAAATTCTGGGCCATACGCCAAAATCTCAACCTCAATGCACCAGCCACTAGATAAATAATAACAGAAGGCACTCTTTTGATATGATATTTTCTTTTTATGTCCCTCACAAAATACAGAGGTCAGTTTGTAATATTGGAATTTCTATTTCTTCCTGTAATCTTGTCCCTGTGGCTTTATCTGGTGTTTCAGCCAATGGCCAGCAGTCAGACAATCTTTTGACCTAATCTGTCTAGAATACTTGGCCAGCCTGAGTGATGTTATTTCTATCAGGTTGAACTCTTACAAATGTGTTCAGATTGAAACAGCAGATAGAAGATGGAAATGGGAAACTTAACACTCACCCCTTGAAATAGCACTATTTCTTGAAAAATGGCACTGTATTTATGTGTTTCACACTGTTATAAAGAATACCTGAGACTAGGTAATTTAGAAACAAAAGAGGTTTAATTGATTCACAGTTCCACATGGCTGAAGAGGCTTCAGGAAACTTACAATCATGGCAGAAGGTGAAGGGAAAGCAAGGCACGTCTTACATGGCGGCAGGCGAGAGGTGAGAGAGAAGGAAAAACTCCCACTTTTAAAACCATCAGATCTCATGACAACTCCCTTGCTATCATGAAACCACCCCCATGATCCAGTCACCTTCCACCAAGTCCCTCTTTTGACACGTGGGTATTACGGTTCACAATGAGATTTTGATGGGATACAGAGCCAAATCGTATCAGATACAAACTAACCAGCCCACCCAAATACTATCTTTAGTAATTTACATAGATTATCTCTAGAAAATTAGTGAAGACCTGCAAATCCCAAAATGATCACCATCATAGAAACTTTGGCTGGGCCCGATGAGGCTACTGCCTTTGTTAGCTTTGATTAAGCTAAAAAGAAACATGCTTATCTTGAGTTATGATAACCCCCACCCATCCGTCATGCATATTTGGCTTCTGAATATGTTTATTTCTAAATATGTGTGCAGTTAACTATCTTAAAGCAGGCTTCTCACTCTACTTCAGCTTTTTCTTGCTTTTGTTGAGAATAAAAAAGGTTTCAAAATAAAAAGTTAGGTGCATAGAGCATGGGTTTAAATACTATTTCTGTCATTTTCTATTTGTATACCTGAAGCAAATTACTTAGTCTTAGCTTCCTTATGCATAAAATGGAAGAAAAGCATAGTGCCTATCTCAAAATGTTATCCCTCTGCCTGGAATTTTCTTTTCCCTGATATCCACAAGAATACTCTCTTACCTTCTTCAGGTTTTTGTTGAAATGTTACCTTATGAGAGGCTTTTGATTGATTATACCACTTAAAATTACCTTTCCAAGCACTTCAGATCTCTCCCTCTTTATTTTTCTCTTTAGCAGTCACACTACATATTTTCTTTATTTGTTTTTTGTTTTTCCTTCTCCCCATCTCCCACCCCCACTAGAATGTAGGCGGGATTTCATCTGTCTGTTCACTGCCACATCTTCAACATTGGATTATGCCTAACACGTGGTCTCAATAAAGAGAAGTACTTAACATACTATGTAGCACAGTGAATCAAATAGAAACTATTGATAATTTTAAAATTATATTATTTCATCAAGTAAGACTACATGTAGAAATAAAATGTTTCTATAGAGTCCAATCATATAGCATAAACAGAGAAAAACAAATGCCTATAATAACCAGTAACAACTTTAGTTCTATAAATATTACCATGCATTTATTATTCATTCATTCATTTATTCAAAGAGTATGTTATGCCTACTCTGTGTACAGCACAATATCTTTCTTTCTTAAAAATTTGTTGAAGTAGCATTCTTTGATCTTTACATGGCTTATATAAAACAGCAGTTCTATTTTGGCTTGATTTTCTGTTCTGACTATCTACAACAGGGATCAGCAATCTATTAAAAGGATGTATCAAGGCACTTCATTTTCTGGGGAGGAGGGAGTGCTGATCAGTTACAAGTACTGACATAGCTTGAGAGAAAGACTGCAATAATGTAAACTCCACAAGGATTTTTCTCTGTTTGTTCTCAGAAGTACCCCCAGGACTTAGATTAGTCTGTGGAATGTGATAAACACTCAATAATTTCTTAATATATTAATGGCTGAAGGCACGTGGTGCAGCCTGCCAGCTCCTCTGAAGGCTGTTGGCATCACTTTACAGCTAGGAGAAAAGATTTGTGGTACAATCCATCAACTCACCTGAGCAATAGTTTTACTATGCATCCACATGTTTTCAACTCCTGGTCTTTGCCACCCTGAGTTCACTAGATAAGCAATTATATGTCCCAAAACATCATATCGTCACAGTCTCCAGAATCTTGATGTGGTGGAAAATGTATAGGCTTTGTAGTTAGGCAGACTTGGATTTGAATCCTGGCTCCATCACTTATTTGGCTACCAGCAAAACTTCAAATTTCTCTGAGACTAAGTTTCTTCCTTTATAAGTTGAGGATTATAATGCCTAACTTAAAGGGTTCTAGGTATTAAATAATGGTATGAAAACTGACTTAAATTTAATGGAGTAGACATTGTTGAATGCCATAGCAGTATTTCAGAAAAGATATATAAATATGAGCATATCCTCAGGAGAGTATAATGACAGCAAAGAATTGTTAGTATTAGGCATTATTATTACAAATATTATCTGAACACTGCATCTAGAAAAAATTAACCTGAGTGTTATCTTAAAACGTAAACCCTCTCTTTATAGTTAAAGTTAAAATGTGGTGGGTTTTTTTGCACTTACTTGAAGTTCATCTATTCCTTACAAAAGCAGAAAAGCAGTTTAGAAAAGTAACTTTAATTCAGTTCAAAGAATATGAGAATCTTAAAATTAACCTAAATGTAGGGGTGGGAAGAGACAGTTTCTAAAATAAGACACATTTACCTTATTTTTTATTACAGATTGTACATCTCTGTATGAATACATAATAGATCTTAAAATATCAAACAATAATATGGGTCATGTCTGAGTATGTGGCATATTGGAAATAATCTGGTTAATGAGTCAACCCAGGTTCTCAGACAGCAAACATACATGAAACAAAACCTCTGAGCTCTGATTTAAACCCCTCCAAATAGGAATCTGGGTCCCCTTACTTGCCTGTGAAAGATAAAACCAATGCATGTAAATATTTTGTGTAGAGCCTGCATATGAATGACAAGGAAGTCAACTCAAGGACATGAATGGTTCATGGGGTATGATGATTCTAGACCTCATGATTCAGTTCACATTAGAGGAGAATAAAGATCTCTCTTTCTCACAAAAATCAGAAGTGATACATATTGATCACTCAGAAAGCTACAGATATAATGGATCTTGTCTTTTTCTGAAGTTCCTTGAGATAATTTTTGTGAAGTCACTTAATCCCATTTTTTTTCACAGAAGGAATACAACAACGTTTTGACAGAAAAAAAGTTTTACTTAAATAGCATAATAGTAATTGCTGACAATTCATCTCTGAACTAAGTACCTGCACCCACACAGATCATTTCTTTCAAGCCTCACAACAACCTTGTGAGAAATACTCCGTTTAAAGATGGGGCTACTGAGGTTACTGAGATATTTACACAGAAGTGACAATTAGGATTCACATGTCTTTCTCCATATCGTGCTTCCACTTATGGATCATTCTTGCATTATATCCCGCCTCCAACTAAAAAAATTCAACAAATTATTGCTTGAGGACAGTGTTACTTTCAAGTGTTCCTTTAATCAACTTAAAATAGTTTTCTAATACATCAAGAGGGATGTCTTCATGAAGTAAAAATTTAAAGAAAACAACCATGTGAAGAATTTCTATAAAGTGGCCACTGATGTCCAATAAGTTCCAGGTTGAATGAAGGCTGTAGCATCTGCCTGGACAATGTACAATTAAATTAGACACCACATATGGTTAGAAGACAAAATTATGGTCCAGTGTGTTCTGTAAGTTCAAACATCAGAGCTTTCCAATGATACAATTTTTAAAATACCTTTTTTTCTCAGTATACCTGGAACTCCTGGAGATTATATGAAATTTGACAATATTTGTTACTTCCATAAAATTACTGTAAAAAATAAGAATAGGTATATATTTACATAACGTTTTCCCCTTTTGTCTGCTTTGTCATTCTTTTAAAATCACTTCTAAAGAGATTTTAAATTACATAGTCATTTTAGATTCTAGTAAGTAGTCAGACATTGTTTATCCTAAATTTTTGGAATTGCTGCTTTGCCTCCAGTCAGCTTTTGGTTTATTCACACAAAGGACCTTAGTAAGAGGAATTTTTCTTCCTGTAATTGGTCCTACTCCCCCTCCAACTTTAGAGACATTCAGTCTCTAAACAAGTTCTACCCAAATGTCATAATTCCCCAAAGTTTGCCGTCTCTCAAAATTCACCCACGATATCTTATATCCAGTCTAGGTAGTTGATCAGTACACGCCAAATGCTGAAATACTTCTTCACTAGTGATATCCAAATGTGAGGCAATATAGCATAGTTATTATGAACAAGGTCTCAGGCTTTCATTTCTTTTCCTACCATTCCCTAGTTGTATAAGCTTAAGTAGGTTACTTGGCATTTCTGAGCCATGGTTTCCTCATCTGTACAAGGAGGATATTAATAACACCTATCTCATAGTTATATATGTTAAATAAGTCATATACATAATAAAGTCCTAAGCATGGTTTCTGCAAAACAGTACTATATTAATGTTAACCATGATGTTGGGGACAATGTTTGAATTAGCACGAGAAACAGGTTACCTAAGAGAAAGTTCAAAAATGGATAAAAAAAAAGTACAAATTTGTGGGCCTCCTCATCACCTTACTCTCTCATTTTATTGATACACTATAAGCCCCTTGATGGTATATATCACTTCTTATTTGACTTTGTATCTTTAATATCTAGCACAGTGTCTGCAACTTGGTAAGACTCTTTAAATTTTGGTTGAATGAATGAATTTCCATAGATACTGTCTAATTCACATTGGCAGTCCTTAGTAATTCACAACATAAGAACTATACCTTTGTGAATTCTCTCCTTTGGAAGATGGAGAGAACACCATCTGGGGGAGAGCCTAACAAAGGGGAGAAGCAGGTGAATCCGGATTCCATAGCAAAATCGTGCTATAGATCCCAAATTCAAAAATGCTCTGTAACTTATTCAATGTGCACTTTCCGAGACAGTTCCACAAAAGATCATAAATTATAACCCTATTGTAGATTAATTCTCAAACCCTGGGTTGCATTTTCCCCTTTAAACCTACCAAGGATGAAAAGAATTGCTGAATTCTCCTGGAAAAGTCAATGTTAATATAATTTTTAACCACTTCTTGTAGCATGCTCAATCAATTCAAAACACAACGAAGTAATCCAAACAAATGCACATGACTCAAAAGCAACACAAATACTTCTTTAGTTACCCACTGTACCGTGTAATGTTATGTTATGCTTACCACAAAACTGAAATACAAGTCACATTTGACTATGTAAAGATAAAACTAGAATATCTACTCATGGCATGATGATAATTCTGCAACAAAATGAATGATCTTGCCAAAATACCATTTCAGCCAGTGACCAGAGAGTGAGGTTTTCTGTGGAGGAAAATTTTATAATATGAGTAGCAACTAACAGATACTTCCAGCTATAAGGTTTATTCAACACATCCCACAATTACTGCTCTGCCTTGTGAACTTTTATAACCTCACTCTGTTACAGACACCATCAATCTTGTAACTGATAAATGTTTAGAAGCAAACAGCAAACATATGGCCTTTCTCTCTCAGAAAGTATAGAAGTACTACTGCCAGAAGTTGTATTTACCTATGTTGATTTGTTTAATCCTCATTTTTCATTCTTGATTGGATCATTCCTTTTAGCATAGAAATTCACCAAGAGGAATGTATAAAGTTCTAAATACAGCAACTAAAACCTAGTTAGTACCATAAAGTAGGAACTAGTATTATTCCTATTTTATAGATGAGGAAACTAAGAGAAAAACGATTTTTTAAAAAATTACACACCACTTTCCAGTTAGTAATAGGTGGAGCTGGTTTGTGTTCTTAACTATTACATTATATTGCCTCTCAACTTCATGACATACAGTTTGGGGTCTTTAGGGAATAGGCAGGGGGAACAGGGGTCCAATTATGCAAGAAATTCTGGATCCCTAATTTCATTTTTCTTTCACCAGTATTTCTTAATTGCTTCTAATTAATATTACCTTGCCAAAACGAAATATATCTTTACGAAGAACTTGGAGGGTTTAAATAGCCTTCATGGGTATAATAGCAGTGCAGTAGCAGTGATACTATAAGATATAAAAAGAGACAGACTCCTTTGGGATGTGGCAACTGATTAGATTTTATTGACACTGGTGAGAAGATACTTATGAAAATAAGTGCCTCTTTATTGCTGGATTTTATATTCCAAGTTTCTGCTTCATCAGCCTATCTGATTCACTGTCACTAAAGCAATATATCAAGCATGGTACTTTGACTCTTAACCTTATTTTACTCATCTAAAAATACAAAGGAAAAGGCATGTCAATTTCATAGAGTTGTTGTGAGGATTAAACAGGGCATCAGAGAGATTTGAGCAGGGGAGTGGCATAAAAAAGGCTTTGTATTTTAAAAGCTCACTATGGGCTTCCACATAGAAAATGTTTTAGAGAGGGATAATACAGGAAATGAAGTCAGATTTGGAAATACATGGTTTCAATAAGAGATGATGCTGATTTTGCAGTACAGTAGTGGTGATTAAGCTGGGGTAAAATCAATGGATATTCAGCTGTACATTTGGATGCAAAACCAATGACATTTAGAGATAAACTGAGTACAAGGAGTTAGCGATAGGGAAGAGAAAGGAAGAACTCTCTGTTTTTGACATAAGCATCTGAGTAAATGGAGGTACCATTCACTAACATGGACAAAAATCAAAGATGAGCAGCTCTCTATGAGCAGAAGCAAAGCAGGGGCACACAGAGTGGTATAATGAACATCGGAGAGTCAGAAGTGAGGCAGATGGGAGGGGAGAAATGAAAAATTACCTATTGGGTACAACGTACACTATTCCAGTGACAGGTATACTAAAAGCCCACACTTCACCACTCTACAATTCATCCATGTAACCAAAATCACTTTTACCCCTAAATCTATCAAAATTGGAAAAAAAATAAGTTGGGTTAAAAAAGGAATGCAATTGGAGACACATTAGCTTTGAGACAACCAAGAGGTGATGTCAAGTAAGACAATACATGAATAGGTTTGAAGCGCAAAAGAGATCTATATGTCAGCTAGATGTATACGTTTGAGAATTGTTGGCATATTCATAGCACTGAAAACTATAAAAATAAATAAGGTATCCAAAGGCACAGCTTGAAATGAGAAAACAGGATGAAGCCCTGGGAACTTCAAACTTAGTTGTTGTTTTAAAAGTTGCTAATATTTATTCAGAATTTACTTGGTACTAGGCACTACACTAAGTGTTTTTACATAGATTATCTTAATTCTTGCAACATCCAATTTTCCATTTTAGTGAAAACTAAGATTTAAAATGGGTTAATTAATCTGCTTAAGATCACATGGCTAGTAAATGGAAGAAAAGGACTTTGCTCTCTGACAAATGACCTAGTCTAACAGAGTGGAAGTTGACAAAGGATTAAATAAGGCATGTGAATCTCTAAGAAGAATGCTTGACACAAAAAGGTACTTACAAGTAGTAGCTATTGTTATTTTCTTAATAAATAAGTTGGGGAGTAAATAAAGTTAGTGGATTGCCCACACTCTCATAAGAAATCTGTCATGTATGATATATTTAAATACCTTTCTGTATATAAAGGTTTTACCACTCCAATTAGATTGCCAAACAATTTAAAGATAAGCTCAAAGTCAATTAAAATTCATATGCTTCAAATAAAAATGTGGTAAGGTATTTATGGAAGATATTTTAGAAAATAAAGGAGGAAAATAACCAATCAGAGTCTCACTGCAAAATTATATTTTTGTATCTACTGTTGATAGTACATTTTTTCTGGTTTTCATATTTTGAACTTCTCTATAGAATAATTTGAACCATTTCAGGCATATAATTTTATATTTTATTTTTAAAACCTGACATTACATCGTCAGCCTTTGCTATCTTATTATAGTCTTTGCAACAACATAATGACTGCCATCCCTACACTAATAGATTTTCTAGTTCATGTAATAATTCCTGTCTTATTGAACATTTAGGTTATCACAATTATAGGACCTTACACAAAGTTCTGTTATAAATAACTTTATTCCCCAGCCCTTTGTACTTAAAATTATTTACTGAAGAGAGAGTTCCCAAGCTGAAATTACTAGGTCAAAGATTTCTAATTTGTACCAGAATCTTAATGTATCAAATTTTATACTGAGCTTATTTTTATTCTCCATAGTACCTAACATAATGCTGCACACAGAGTAGGTATTTTATAAATACATATTGTTTAAATAAATAATAAAATAGATGAGAAAGCTTCACCAAACCATTATTATCACATAGACTTAACCTATCATTACATTAAATAAAATTAACAAGGAAGCCAGCATCATTATAAATACATAACAACAGAAGATCAACAAAAATATACTTTAAAAGTAAAAGGCACTGTATGCATGCAAAATGCATTATTTAAATACATGGATCTCTAATTTCCAATTTAGAGAATTTTAGCTTAAAAAGCAAATTTACAGACTTCCTTAGAATTCCTTGCCAACAACAAAAACAAACAGAAGAAATGACAGAAAAATTGTTTTTAATGAAATACTTTAAAATAACTTTTAAAATCTAACTTTCTATTAGCTCTATTTTTAATAGAAAATTACATATAAAGTAGTGATTCAATACACAATGAAAATGAATATTCAGCTTACCCAAATATGTGCTCAATCTTTTCTCTCCCTAATCCTCATAACCCTATTGCCCTGCCACCAGTTCCACACTGTCATAAACCAATTTTATATATACTTATTGGTATGTAAGGTTGTAATCTCAAATTCAAAGTTCAATAAGACATTTATATATACAGAATAACTTTAATAAACACTGGCCATATTCCAGGCATTCTACTAGGAACTACCCTAAACTATTTACAAGTTTCTGAATGGCCCCTGATCTTTCTCTTCTGGACCTCCATGCACATGCTGTTACTTTGCCCCATTCATCTTGTTTCACTTAGTAACTTCTTTATTTTATTTCAAGTTTCCATTAGCTATAACCTCTACTACAGAGTTTCCTTTTGTGCTCCAAGAATGTGTTAGATGCTGCTCCTGTTGTGCTACTATAAGCCTGTGCTTATTTCTTATCATATTATATCATAATTGCCTATTAACTTTTTGTCTCCTCCACTATACTATCACTGCCTAGAGGATAAATGATTTACCTTTCCTATAAATTAAGAGGATTCAAGTTACCCTTATTACGTACACTCTTTTGAGTGTGTTGTGTGTTTATAAATGTTAACTGTCTTGAGACTAGATGGTATATATGGCCCAATTTCATAATTATAATTGGCTCTCTAGTTTTCCATGCATTATATTCATTCCTCTGATTAACTGAAAACTTTCAGGGGTCAGGGTTTTTTGCCTTAACCTTCTCACGCAACCTCCAGAGTGTTATTACAAAATAGTCATTAGTTAACTGTTAATGAGTAGTTACTTTGGATACAATCATGATCTAATATAACTACCACTGGAGCCCAGGTCAGGGGCAGTTTTAAATCACTGCTTAAACTTGCCTATATGAACCAGGGATTTGACACAACGTAATCTGTGTAACCCATCAGAAAAGCAATTTCTTAACATTTTCCAGGGAGCCAACAAACACTCATATTCCAAATTCTCATTTCTCAGAATCTCTTCAAAAATAATTTAAAAGTCAGAGACTACTATTTTCATGAAAATGTTTATAGGAGTTTCATTTTCTCTTTAAAAATAGATGAAGCTTAAGTAAATGGGAAATAAGTTATCTCCACCTGAAAAATTTTTCCTCCTATGGCAGGATACTGATATAACTTCTGGCCTTTCTCTGCCCGTTAATTCATTTTGCTTTTCATGAGAGCTGGAAATAGGAAAGTAGGATGAATTATTTGACTGTCATTTTTGGCAAAATATAAACCAGGCATGTGTCGCCCACCTGCACCCTTCTTCCTCTTGGGAACAAGTAAGCCAAATGGAGCAGCTGGTCTCCAGTGCTCTCCAAGGGTCTGATCTTCCTCACTGTTGAGAGCAGGCCTAGTTCATTACTGGTTGCAATTGAGAAAAGGGGAGGGTGGAGAGGTAGTCTGCCTATGTCCAAGGTTTAGTTAGCAGACCGATTTGGCTTTCATAATAAGCTATATGTTCCAACCTAGGCTTAATGAGTAATATAGGTAATATTTTGGCTCCATCTGCCACTCAGTTGTTTTATTCTCAAGTTATTCAAAGCCTAGGCAGAGAAGAGGAATGGCTTCCCTAAGAAACCAACAGATGGGAATATGCAAAAGTGAAAATAGCTTGCTTTTGTGGTAGTTAAACTATAAGTGATTCTTCCTTTCTGTTTTCCTAAATTTTCATTACTGTAATACAATATCTTCATTAAAAGAGAGAGGTTGTAGGAGGGCTAAACAACAACAAAAGACAAAATAAACAAAAAAAATGTCCTTACTAATATTAGGTTAATCTTTTATTATTGCACCTGCTTGAAAATAATTAAACTGGATTTCAAAAGTAAAACAAAATATTTTAAAAGACCAAGTTTTCAACATAAAATAAAAGTAAAAAACATATGCCTACTTGTAAAGTTCAAGTGCATGAGCTTAGGTGCTGTAATTTGAATAGTCTGAGTTTTACAGAAGGGAAGAGGAAATATGATGACTCTTTTCAACTATTCTAGAAGGCAAGGCATTTTGGAAGAGAAGAATAACTTCTCTAGCGATGTCTGTTATTCTCTACAGGATTTTAAACATCATTATCACTAGTTGGCAGAGGAAGGATCCAATATGTCACTGAAAAATACGTCTCTAAACGAATCAAATGATGCCAGTGAAAAGCTTCATCTAAAACTAGGCCTACAATTTTGCTTCTTTGAGTCTCAGGTTTAGTAGGAAGCACCAAACTGCAACCTCAAAACTCTGACAGCAACCCTGCTTCCTCCATATTATTAGCTCCCATAAACCCCCTTTCTATTTCTTGGAAACTTGATTGCTTCAGTTCAAAGGATCCCGAACAGAATTTGCAAAAGCGCAACCTAATTCCCTCTATGATAAAGAAAATAATTTAGTTTCTATCTGAGAGCTGTGTTATCTACCACAGGGCAGGAGCTTTGGGTGGAGATCCCTCAGCAGTATATCAACAGCTACCACACAGTACTCCTTACTTACTAAATCTCAGCAATCTTAGTTTGTATTCTGATACAGGAAGAAATACAGTTAGATAAATTTGAGCATAGAAATGGAATTATGAGGATAGGCTAGAAACTTTTCAGATGAGGCAAATAATTAAATTACCTTGACCAGTGAAGCAAAACCAATTCATTATGAAAATATATCATACCCTGATTACTGAATTTTATGTTTTTATCTTTCTGCTTCATTTATCTAGTAGACTATTCCTAATGTAATCCACCAGGAGGGCACTTTGACTCCAAACATCAGTTTCATAATCTGTAAAATGGGGATAATATTTCAGAGTGAAGCTTAAACTAGGCAATTATTTTAGCAAAGCCTGTTACCTTCAACACTAATTTCACAGAAGGCCAAAAATGACCCTTATTTTTCACAATTGATAGGTGTCTGTCTTTCTGATCATCGGATTAACATAAATTACTTCCTTAAATTTCATGCAGCCTAACTATTGCCAACTTGCATTTCAAACCCCTTTGAATCCTAACTCTTTCTTCTGCTCCATCCTGTATATGTAATACCCAAACTTGCACGTCATCTCCTTTTCTTGAAGAGTCACAATGCGTCTTGGCATATTAGATGCACTGAGATGCTCTGCAGTAAAGAGATATGTTCTTTTTATTTGTTTGTTTGTTGACAATTTCTAAAAAGCTTTATTTTAATATTTCCTTGGCTACTTTTCCATAGAACACAGTGGGAAATAAGATGCTAAAATATAGAGATAGTTATCTCTTAGTGGCACAAATGTAGGTGAGTTCTATTTTCTTCTTTCTTCTTCTACACAATTTCCCTCCAAATCTGAAATTTCCTTATTTTATGATCAGGGAAATTATTCTTCTTATAAACAGCCTAGTGACACTAAGACTATATTTACCAAGTGCTTGCTGTTCCTAGATTGTTGTCCCTCGATTTTAGTGCATATCTTAATTTCCTCATTAAGTACCTTGGGCATTTCATTAGTAGAGTGGGCAAATCATTACCATAATACTTCTCATGGCAAACATTTTGAAATCTAAATACAATGAAATGCTAGCAAATAAGACAAGAACATTTCAATTTTAAGACTCCTTTAAAAATTGAAATCCAAGAGTTCATATGTAGAGTCATTGTACTAAACAATGATCAATTTGACCTTTTCAGGTTGAGGCATTCTAATTCAGACTTCATAGCTTTTGGAGTGAGAAGGTTTAGCCTCAATGAACATGTGGGCCATTTCTTAGCTGTGTTATCTAGAATATAATGTATTACATAATCTCCCTGAGTATCTGTTTTCTCATCTGCAAGATGGGAACAAAGTCACTCATACCTCTGGGCTATTAAAATAACTGGGACAAATCTCTGTCAAAGTACTTGGTAAATGAAAATATAAAATTATACAGAAATTATTTTAAAATAAATAAAAAGTATCATTTTTAAAATTCAAGTAGGAAAAAAACTAAATAAAAAATGAATGTCTCATGGTAGTGCTCACATTTCTTAAGGACATATCCTAAATACAGTTTTGCAAAAAATCACCAGTAAATGTCAAATAGACATTTCTTCTCTAACTAAAAGACATTCTGATCATTAGTAGGTAAAAATACAATTCTCACTAAGTGAGAGTTTTACCTGTTATCTCCACGAGAATTCTACTCCTGTTGCCTGAGAGATCCCTTTTCTAGCTTTCATTCATAGTAAGTAAAATGTGCAAAAGTTGCCTTCCTAATAGTCTACTAATTTATTTTACTAAAGATAATTTTCTCAGCTTTGATAGTATCTTGTTTTATAGAGCAATACCTTTTTTTGACCTTCAATACATGACACAAAGCAATTATTTCATGATTTTTAAATATAAAAGCACCTACTGTCAAACTGTCAGACTAAAAATGACTAGATTTCAAGATTAATGAATGTTAACAAGAAAACTAACCATCTTTCTCCTGTTAATTGTCCTTCTATGCAATATTAGTTTTTGTTATAACATGTCAAACCACAGGCTTAAATCGCTTAGAAATGGATATATTCCATATGCAACACAAGAAGTCCTCAGGAAGTCTATCAAATTAAAGACAGGATGGGGAATAAAAGATCACTTACTATCGTGGTACTCTACAGCCATGATTAAGATAAGGCTGACCAGAGAGAGACCTTAACAGGACCCCTTGGGAATCTGCAATCATACATTGTCTTTTCCACCTGTGGAGTCCAGAGAAATGTGAGAAATAACCTTTAGACTTCTTTATATTGATTATGTATCCATTTTAAAACCACTGGACACTATCAATTGGACACTATCAATTTTTAAAACATTATCCTATTATTTAGTTGAGCGATTCAATATCTGTGGCTTCAGTTTTGTCATCTGTAAAAATAGAGTCGGGACAATGTAAATTAGGGTCCATCAAAACAATGGGATTTTGTGAAGTCATTAAAATAATAAATGTGAATACTTCAACAGAATAGAAAGCAGATTTTTATGGGAGAAAATCAAGATTAAAAAATTACTTGCATACTTAAATTAAAACTATGCATAAATGCATTAACATGAACAACAATCTGAGAACATGGAGAAATGAATAATGTGTTCTTACGCTCTTTGTTATTTTTATATTGCCTAAAGTTCTTCCCTTTAGCCAGCAAAGTTAAATAAAGGGGTTAAGCTACTTTGATTAGCATTAAAATTCAATAACCCTATACCTCCATGATATGAATACATATGGTTGCTTTGTTCTTCAAGTACTTTGTATACATTCGTCATTCTCTATGAGTATATTGTGAGATTCCTAAAGAAGAAAACCATGAGTTTTACCCTTTCAATCTGCTGCACATAAAAACTCAGCACGTATGTCAAAGTTCATAGACTTAGGGATTCAGGACTTGCAAAATCCATCCTATAGTGAGTTAAATTATTTCCAGTCTCGTGGTACCAATTATATCGTATATCAGAACTCAGCTCATAAGCCCCCTTGGCAAAAGGAATTAGTAGATTTTAGGAGTATTTAAAAAATTTGTATCTTCCTAAATAGACTATTTCCGTGAGGGTAAAGATCTATCTGCTGTGTTGGTCATCCTATCTCTAGCACCTAGCACTATGTCTGCAATATGGAAGACTGGCCACAAGTATTTGCTATATCATTAGATAAAAATTCCTCAATCTGAACATTATTGACATTTTATTTTTTGTTGGAGGGGCTGTACACTGTAGGATGTTTAGCAGAATCTCTGGCCTCTACACACTAGATGCCAGTAATTATCTGCACTAGGTTCTCAATAAACATGTGATAATAGCTGAAATTGCTCAAAATTATTTTTAGTTGTAGTACATAATTGGTAGCAGAAATGCTGCTGATACTTTCTCATGGCACAGAATGTTAGGAAATATAAACCGGGACGTAAGTGAATATTCTTTACAAGAACTATTACCATCAGTAATGTAAGAATCTACCAAACACCCAGAGTTTAAAGAGTTCTAGGAAAGCTTTCCAGCATATAAAGAGATGTAAGGTTTATAACCAAAACTTAGGGGGTAAAATGATGGGGAAAATATAGTTAGAAGAAAGCTAGTTACATCAAAACAAAAAGTCATTAATTCGCTAATATCTAATATATTGCCAGATTTCTCATTCCCTTTCCAATAATTTACCTAATTTGAACCTATACATCTATGATGGGAATCTCTAGCTATCAGAAATTGTTAGGAGACCCTCTTCACCTTGGCTAGATGTCCAGTCTTTCCAATTGTCAGAACCCACAATGCTTACATTCTGAAGGAACTCCAACCTTCCCAGGAAGAGAACTGACCCACTGTGTCATCACACACACACACACACACACACACACACACACACACTGCACACATACATCTTCTGAACTGAGGGTAAAAAGGTTCATGAAGTCTTTAGTGGGAACAAAGAAGGAATTAAAAATGTACACTAAAAAATTCCTAATAGGCTGCTGTCCTATGTCTTTGCTTGCCCTCTTACTCTAATTACCTCGGCTAGACCACATAGAAGAAAATATAAAAAAGAATCCTTTCTAAAAGCAGAAAACAGTACTTGGCCTAAAGAACAAGACTTTGTCTTTCGTTTCTTTAGGCCTTACCTAGGCTTTCCAAAGAAAGCATCACCAAGATCCCAAGAAAATATCACCTCCAGCTTGAAGTTTCACTACCGTAAATGCAGGAAGAAAGGAACAAACAGGAAGACAATGGCATTTCCAATGCCTTCTCATTCCACTCCTCTCATGATAGGTTTCAAAACTTCCCTCAAGAAAGTGGCCAGAGTTTTGTTCAATGTTGGACGAGTACATGTTAGAGATGTCTTTTCTGAGCCCTCCTCTCAGAGAAGGCTGGTTTAAGACAAGAAAAAATCAAAGATATTTAATGAACAGAAGATTTATATAAAACGATGTGATTTGTTATGCACTTAATATATTTTATGTCAAACTTGATTACCACTCAATTTCTATGTGGATTTCAAAGTCAGATTCTTTCAATCATGTCTCAATGTATAAAACCTACTCATGCTTTTTTAATCTCAACAAATTTGTGATTTGCTGGGCACTCAGTCTCTGTTTGCTCTGCATTAGCATTATTGTAAGGCTTAATAGATTTCCCTTTTTCGTCTAGCTGGGTCTGAGTACCCAGTTAAAGCCTCAAGCCACTAGTGGCATCATTAATGCCACAATGATTAAGCGAGACAGCCAAGCGCCAGTGCACCATGAAGAACAACAGATTTCAAAGTCATCAAGTCTGAAGCATTGTCATGCTTCTTAAACAGGGTAAAATGCATTAAGTTCCTATTATTTTCACATTCTTCAGGTAAATGAAGAGGGTTGTTTCTAGCCTGTCAATAGTGCCTCAGAACTTTAACTAGATGTTAGGACACAATGATGTATAATCATCACATTCTTACCAGTTTCAGTCCAGCAGTATTGACTTAACTCTACTGGAAGAAATATATACTTGCAGTAAAAGCAGGCATGTTTATTCTAACTCTGTAAGAAGATAGACCATTGGCATTCCCCCAAAATTTGCTTGATTACTTATCAAATTATTCAAATTTGCAGAGATATATACTATATAAATTCCCTCCCCAAGAAATGAAATATAAATTTAAAATGTAAGTTCTTTCATTAATTTATCAATTCACTCATTCTACAAGTTGTATTCAGGTTTAACTACGTGCCAAGCACTATGCTAAGGGCTGGGAATATATTAATAAACAAAACAGACACAGTTTCTGCTCTTGTGCTAGCAGAGAAAACAGATATTGAAAAAAATATTACATATGTGATGAATATTAGAAGGAGGCGTGGAAAATGTTTGAATACATTTATAGTGCGGAGTTGTGAAAAACTATGACTAAGAAATTAGACCTTAATCCCAAAATTTAGCAGCTGTATAACCTTGGCTAGTCACTCAAAGTCTCATTTTTTCTAGTCTTTAAAATAGAGTTAATTATCTAATTATATCTTCCTCAGAGGGTGTGGTAAAAGTAAAGTATAAATTAAATTGCATGCAAAAGCACCCAGGATAGACTTGGCACAAAACACGCACCTAGTAAGTGATAATAGACCCTCAAGCCATCTGATAAGTCATGCTTTTTGAGTGTCGTTTGAAAATGTAGTAGCTTTTGTGCTGTAGGTCTTATCAATCAAAGTGATTAGTAGGTAATGTATTTAAAATTCTAAATAATGATAAAATAGCTAGAAAGACACTTCTCAGCAAGATAAATTTTTAAAAGAATGGCTAGAAAATTTCTCTTTTGGATCAAGAAGAAAAGACTGAGCATATTTGCTCCAAGAATGAAAATCAATATGCAAGAAAAGTGAAGAGAATGTTCTCTAATGTTGAAAATGTCATTATAAAGGGCAAGGAGGTATAATGAAGGTTCCTAGGTGACAAAAATCAGACGAGCATGGGAAAGTTTGGATAAATGAACAAACATCATCGTTGGGAGTTCATAGTCTATTTCTAAATAAGAAAATTCCATTCTGTAATATCAAACTGAATTCTTACTACTCACGAAGTGGTTGTCTTTGAAATCAAAGTAGTCCCTTTGTTTAAAACTTAAAACTCATAAAATTTAAATATTAACTGACAAAAGAATTTCAGGAGAGAATAGAGGTTTTCATAAAGGGCCAAACATTTTGCATTATATACCTTGAAAACTGTGAGCCACATTTGTTCTATTTTAACAACATAAGCAAAACAGAAACTTGGTAATGAATTTATAAGATATAGCAGTGAATGTTTTGATCTACTTATAATTACTTCACTGTTGTTAAAAGGATTTGGCAATGTAATGACTGATATAAGCACTAGAGTCATTAACATGTATTTACTGGTATGCAAATTGGTTGCCAAAGGAAACATCTTTGTATCTTTACCTTGTGTTGCTATGCACAATTTTAAAAAGAAGAGAAAAATATGCAAGCCTTCCCGTTATTTTATCAATTTGGGAAGGTCTAAGAATCACAACATTGGAAGCATCCTTAGAAATGCACTTGCTTTTGTTGCCTGTGAACTGGCAGGAAAATGGAAATTCTTCAGACCCTCCTCATTGTATAGTTCTGTGTTTAGTCATCTTTGGAGCTCAGAATCATTTCACTGTTCCTAGCTAAAGCCTTTCTTAAATCAATTTATTTACTACTCTATACGCTACTTGCCCTATTGTTTCCACTACATTACGCTTTTTAAATTTTTTTCTACATTGTCATATCTGCTCTAGTTTGGCTTTTATTCTATCACAAGTAAAGGAATGAATCTGGGGCCTGAACTCTGGTTCCAATGCAGTGACATCCTAGCTAATCGACTATAAGGAAGGCACTTCACCTCTATGGCCTCAGTTTTCTCTCTGTAAATTGACAAAAATTGAACTAAATTATCATTGAATTACCTTCCAGCCCTGCCATTCCATGATTTCCATAAAGGTTGATGAGGTGCCATCTGCTTTAGGAGGAAAAAAACACTAAAGAAAAAGATTCAGAATGTAGTGTGGGGTCTGCCAACTTGGGAAACCATGTTACCTCTCTGAGACTAATTTGTGTCATCTGTCAACTAGGCATAATTATACCTTCCCTGTCTACCACATAAGATGACTGATCCAGTGAGGTGAAGATACAGGTTAGCATATAGTATAAACTTTATCCTTACTAATCTCTTAAAACCTGGCAGACAGGAAAAAATATAGTGAGTACAGGCCGGGCGTGGTGGCTCACGCCTGTAATCCCAGCACTTTGGGAGGCCTAGGTGGGTGGATCACAAGGTCAGGAGATCGAGACCATCCTGCCTAACACGGTGAAACCCCATCTCTACTAAAAATACAAAAAAAAAAAAAAAAAAAATTAGCCTGGCGTGGTGGTGGGCGCCTGTAGTCCCAGCTACTCGGGAGGCTGAGATAGGAGAATGGCGTGAACCCAGGAGGCAGAGCTTGAACCGAGATGGTGCCACTGCACTCCAGCCTGGGCGACAGAGCAAGACTCTGTCTCAAAAAAAAAAAAAAAAAAAAAAAATTCATGGTGAGTACAAAAGTCCTCATGGCCTAAAGTGTAGAACTTAGAGAAAAGTACAAAAATATGGGTCAATTAACTAATGAAATAGTGATTCATTTATCTTCCTAGTAACGAACATATGAAAAAATTCTCTACATCAGTAATCATCAGAGAAATGCCAATCAGGCCAGGCACGGTGGCTCAGGCCTGTAATCCCAGAGCTTTGGGAGGCTGAGGCGGGTGGATCACAACGTCAGGAGATCGAGACCAGCCTAACCAACATGGTGAAACCACATCTCTAATAAAAATACAAAATTTAGCTGGGTGTGCTGGTGCATGCCTGTAACCCCAGATACTGGGGAGGCTGAGGCACGAGAATCGCTTAAACCCAGGTGGCAGAGATTGCAGTGAGCCGAGATCATACCACTGCACTCCAGCCTGGCGACAGAACGAGATTCCACCTAAAAAAAAAAAAAAGAAAGAAAAGAAAAAAAGAAATGCAAATCAAAATCACAATGAAATACTATCTCATACCAGTCAGAATGGCTATTATTAAAAAGTCAAAAAACAACAGACACTGACAAGGTTGCAGCATAAAGGAAATGCTTATACACTGCTCGTGAGAATGTAAATGAATTCAGCCACTGTGGAAAGCAGTGTGGAAATTTCTCAAAAAACTTTAAACACAACTACCATTTAACCCAGCAGTCCCATTACTTGGTGTATACCCAAAAGAAAACAAATTGTTCTACCAAAATATGCACTTGTACATTCACAGCAGCACTATTTGTAACAGCAGGTGTGAAATCAACCTAGTGCTCACCAACAGTGGGTTGGATAAAGACAATGTGCTACATGCACACCATGGAATACTACACATCCACAGAAAAAAACAAAATCATGTCCTTTGCAGCAACACGGATGCAGCTAGAGACCATTATCCTAAGTAAATTAACACAGGAACAGAAAAACAAATACTGCATATTCTCATTTATAAGTGGGAGCTAAAGACTGGGCACTTGTAGACTTAAAAATGCCAATAATAGACACTGAGGACTACTAGACAGGGAGCAGGGGAGATAAGGGTTGAAAAACTAACTGTTTAGTACTAACCTCAGTACTGGGGTGATGGAATCATTCATACCCAGTACGAACGCAGCATCATGCAATATACCCATGTAACAAACCTGCATGTGTAACCCTGAATCTAAAATAAAAGATTAAAAATAAAAACAATCTAAATTTGGCAGCACAATATTTAGAATAAAGAACAATGGACTGGATTCTAACACTATTTCTGTCATTAATTAGATGAATGAGTGACTTCAGACAAATTTGTCAAATAAAGATGCTCAAATGGACACAATCATATAAAAAATTTCTGCATTATAACTTTTCTTTTGGAATACAGATTTTTAAAATTAATGAGAGAAGAACAAACCAGACAAAGAGAGAGAGAGAAATTGAGGGAGAGAAAATTTCCACTTTGACTATGATAAACTAATTTATAACATTCTCTTGCTAAGAACAACTCAAAAGGATGGATTATAAAAAATATTTGAAGTCATAAACAAGTCACGAAGTCAGCCAGGACTTATGGGTCCAAGATCCCTGAGAGAAGAAAATTCATGAGGAAAGGTACTCAACACATCTTTTCCCCTCAGCTCATTTTCCTGTTAGAAGCTAGTGCTAAGCAAGAGACTGTGAAGCTGAACAGAGAGCTGACAGAGCTTTTGGCAGTCTCAATGGACTGGGGAAACAAAAATTAGGGTTCAGGGTTGAAAAGGACTCTATGACTTGATAATTCAAGATTTTGCAGTGACAAAAAGTACAAAGAAATGAATCCAACACTATGTGCTGTTTATTTTTCTCAAAGCAATAGTCAATTCATTAGCAAAGTGGGGAAGGAGACTATGAAGTTGGGAAGAAGGAAGTCTCTGAGAAGCTAAGAACTTTCAACAATCACACGATGCTGGAGAGTAAAAAAATGGGTTCAGGGCCCACCAATAAGGAATTAACTTGGTAAACATCTAAGGGTTAAGGCAGAGATAGGGTTAGGGTTAAGGTTGGGGATAGATATAGGGGAACAAACTAAAAATAGAACTTGCTCATAAAAACTGAAACATTGTGCTTGATCCAGCCCAGCCCATAGTTACATTAAAGTGATATCCCTGTACTCTAGCTGCACTTAATTTCTTTTCCTCTTTTTTTAAGTAAAACCTCTCCAAAGAGAGATAACATTCAGATTATCTACAATTTTTCATATATAATAACTGTCATTCAATAAAAATCAGCTATCCAAGAAATAATAAAAGAAAAAACAGAACAGAGTTGCCATTGATACAGATATTAGAGTTATTAGAAAAGATCTTTGAAATAACCATAATCGACATGGTTCAGAAAATAAATGGCATCCCTAAGATATGGGTACTTTTCTGTATAGATGTTATCCTTCACTAAAAAGTTTATTCTTAAATTTTAAGATGTAGAAAGTAGCAAATTTCTCCAGAAAACTATATCTTTGAAAAAGAATCAATGAAAATTCAAAAACTAAAAAATTCAATAAGTGAAATTCAGAATTCAATAGGGGAATTTAAAAATGAATATGTTTCAGCAGAAGAGAGTGGCAGTAAACCAGAAGAAATGTTAATTAATAGATCCAAGCACTAAAAGATTAAAAATTATTTTACAATGCCATAAAAGACATATACATCATTATACAAATAACGAAGTGTGTGTCAATGGACTCTGAGTATTGAAAGAGAGAGAATGTAGCAGAAGCATTATATGATGTATAATGATCAGTACATTTTCAAAACTGACAAGAAAAAAAGCTACAGATTCAAGAAGTGCTGCAAATCCCAAGTAGGGAAAGTACAAAGAAAACACACCAAAACATACAATAATCAAATTGCTGAAAACCAATGACAGAGACTGACTCTTAAAAGCAGACATTAATTATAAAGAAGCAAAGATAACACTGGCAGCAATAATGAAAGCCATAGGCATTTTTAATGTACTGACTGCCTAACTTGAATTTTATATTCACTGAAAATACAATTCAAAAACGTAGGCAAAATAAAAACACTTTCATCAAACAAAAAACAATGAATACACCAGCAGATCTATATTTTAAAAAATACTAAAGAGAGTACTTCAGGTAGAAGGAAAATGATACTGGAAGGAAGCAGAAACATACAGAAAGGATTGGAGGGCCAAAAATAGGGTCAATATATGGGTAAGTCTAAGTGAATATTGGCTATGCAGTCCTTAGAAGAAATTTGTAGCTATTATATAGCTTGTAATACATATATTTTTAAAAGGAGAATATCTAGAAATCAAAGTTTCCATCTCAGGAAGCAGTAAAAGTAAATAAAATAAAGCCCGGATATAGTTGAAGGAAGAAGATAATTAAGATGAAAATCAGTAACAAATAATATATAAATGTAAAATTGGAATTGCTTAGCTATTAGAAAAGGCTTTAAAATGATAACCATCTATTATAAATGATCAAGAAGAGAAATGGGACAAGTTACTAATATTAGGAGTAAAAAATAAAACATCACTTCAGATCTTACCAAAGACAATATAAACAACTTTATGCCAATTAAAGCTAAAAATTTAGTTGAAATGGAGAAAGCCTAGCTGCAAAATAACTTACCAAAACCAATACAAGAGTAAATTTTCTAATCTCTGATAAATAAATTGAATTACTAATTTAAAACCTTTACAGAAGGAAATATCAAGCCCAAAGACTTCAGAGGTGAATTATTCCAAATATTAAAATAATAATGTTAATCTAAAACAAACTCTTCCAGAGAACAGCAAAAGATAAATCATTTCCCAATTTCTTTTAAGGCCAGCGTATTTTTGATTTTAAAAAACACAAAAACAGTATAGGAAAGGAAAATTACAGGCCAATCTTTCTCATTAGCATGAAAGCAAAAAAAAGTAAAACAGCTACATATGAAAAGAATAACACCACATAATTTAAACTTTCAAAAATCAGCCAACACAATTCACCACATTAAGAGACAAAAAGGAAAAAAAATATGGTAATTTTAATAGATACAGAAAATATACTTTATAAAGTTCAACACTTATTTTTAAAAATCATAGCAAACTAAGAACAAAAGGGAATGACTTTAAACTGAAAAACACTTTTGAAACATTATATTAATGTGAAATATTAGAATATTCTTGTTTAATATTAGAATGCCAGCTATCATCATGTCTATTCAATACAATACTGGAGATTTTAGCCAGGAAAATAAGAAAAGAAAAAAATTAGAAGAGACCAAATAAAACTATCAATATTCTCAATTAATTCAAATTATTTACATAGTAAATCCAAAAGAATCTATAGACGAAGCATTAGAAATGTAAGTGAATTTAGCAAGTTGTCTACATACAATGTCAATATATAAAAATCAATTGCATTTCTTTAAATATATCACCAACAATTGAAAAATAAAATTTAAAAATGATACAGTTTTTATCAACATATAGCACCTCTGAACGAGTAAATGTAATGAGATGTTCAAGAATTCTACACAGTGAATTATAAAGTATTGAAAGAAATTAAAGAAGACAAATAAATATATGTACACATATATATCATGCCATTAAATTATAAGCTCAAAGTTTTAAGAACATAAATCCTTCTCAAGTTGGCCCACAGATTCAATGAATTCACAACCAAAATCGCATAAAGGACATCTGTGGAAATTGACAAGTTGATTCCGAAATGTATATGGAAATGCAAATATACAAGAATTGCTATGAAAATTGTGTAGAAATATCAAATTGTAGGACTTACACTACCAGATATTAAAACCTTATGTACAGTAATTAAGATAGTGCTCAGTTTGCATAAGGACAAATAGACCAGGTATTTGAATAGGGTTTAAAAATAGGCCCACTGATATAAGGTTACTTAATATACATCAAAGGTATACTATAATTAAATGGGGGAAAAGGTGTTCTTATCAACAAATAATTAATTATATATCCATATGAGGGAAAATGAATTGTGACCCCTTACCTCATACTATACACAAAATCAATTCCAAGTCAATTTAGATCTAAATGTGAAAAATTCTAAGAGAGAACATAAAAAATATTTTAACAAACTTGGAGTCTGCATAGATTTCCTAAAAAGGACACAAAAGGCACTTTATCATTTCATAAAGAAAAAGAATGATAAATTGGACAAAATTAAAAGTAATAACTTTAGTTCAAAAGTCGCCGTTAGAAAAAGGAAAATGCAAGAAAAAGAGTGAAATAAAATGTTTGGAATACATACATCCAAAATAGGACTCATATTCAGAATACATATAAATCAGTAAAATAAATAAGATAAAAGAAAACCCAGACCGATAAATATATAGAAAGATCCTCAAGCTTCTTAATGAGAGAAATACAAAATTGAAATTACAATATTTCTATGGACCTAACAAAGTAGCTACTGAAAAAAAAAATGTAGAGCAGCTGGAAGTAACATACATTGCTGGTGGGAGTATAGATTTGTATAATCACTTTGGAAAACTCTATAAAATTTTCTACTACAGTTAAACATATGCTTATTCTAAGATCTAGCAATTGTACTACCAGTTGAATAAATGAAGGCATATCACACCCAAAGTTTACAAAAATGTTCTTACCAGATTTAGTCATAATAGCCTGAAACTGGAAAGCAAACTAATATCCATCAACATCAGAGTGAACAAATAGTGAGGTGTATTCGTACAATGGATCACCATATGGGAATGAAAAGGGATAAAGTGCAATAACAGTTTCCAAAAGACAAACTGCAACAACATAAATGAATCTTACAAATATAATTTTGAGTGAAATAAGCAAGGGGAAAAATAGTCTACGATTCTAGGCATATAAGTTTCACAGGTGTAACTAATTTGTCATGATAAAAGTCAGAGGAGTGGTTATTTTTGCAGTGTAACTGTTAGTGATTGACAAAGTCCACTAGGGATATCGATTTCTCTACCTGGGAAGTTGTGTTCACTTTGTGAAAATTCATCAAGCTATGCACCCTGTGAGCTTTTCTGCATTGATATTTTATTTCAATTTTAAAAGATACACTTGTATAAATACGTAAATATACTAGAGCATAGTGTTTTTTAATTGTAGTAAAATAAAAATAACATAAAATCTACCCTCTTAAATTTTTAAGTGTACAGTACTACATTATTAACTATAAGCACAATGCTGTACAGTAGATCTGTAGAACTTTTTCACCTTGCATGACAAACTTTACATCCATTAAAGAAAAACTCACCATTTCCCTCTCTCTCCAGCCCCTGGCAACCACCATTTTACTTTCTGTTTCAGTGAGTTTGGCGACTTTAGACACTTCACATAACTGGAATTATGCAGTATTTGTCCCATCACTGGCTTATTTCACTTAGTATAATGTCCTAAAGGTTTATCTTTGTTGTACATATTGTAGCATATGACAAGATTTTCATTTTTTAAAGGCTAAGTATATGTATATAATATATAACATAAGCATATTATATACATATATGTATATATAATGTTATAAATGAATCTCATAATACATCACAAGATGTTATATATACATAACATTATATATGTGTGTGTATATATATGTGTATATATATACACGCATATGCATATGTGTGTGTGTGTATATATATGTGTATATATATATACACGCATATGTATATGTGTGTGTGTGTATACATGTATTTATATATACACGCGTACATATATATAACATTTTCTTTATCCCAACACCCCCAATGGACATTTAGGTTGTTTCTACCTCATAGATATTGTGAATAATGCTGCATTGAATGCAGAAATGCAAATATCTCTTTAAGATCCACATTTCAAATTCTTTTGGATAAATACACAGACGTGAGATTGGTGGGTCATATGAAAATTAAATTTTTTATTTTTTTATGAACTCAAAACTGTTTTCCGTGGCAGGTTCACTATCTTACATTCCCAGAAACAGTGTATAAGGGTTCTAATTTCTCCACATCCTTCTCAACACTTGTTATCTTCTGGGTTTTTCTTTTTTTGTTGTTTTTTTTTGTTTGTTTTGTTTTTGGTTTTGCTTTTTTGTTTTGTTTTTTAATGGTCATCTTAACAAGTGTGAAGTGATATCTCCTTGTGGTTTTGACTTGCATTTCGCTGATGGTTAGTGATGTTGAGCATCTTTTCATATACCTGTTGGCCATTTGTATGCCTTCTATGGAGAAATGTCTACTCAAATCCTTTGTCCATTTTTTAATTTTTTTGCTTTTGAGTTATAGAAGTTCCTTATATATTCCGAATATTAACTCTTTACAAGTGATGTGATTTGTAGATATTTTCTCCCATTCCATAGGTTGCCTTTTCACTCTGTTGTTTCCTTTGCTGTGCAGAAGCTTTATAGTTTGATATAGTCCCACTTGTCAATTTTTGTTTTTGTAGCCTGTGCTTTATTTTTTTAATTGAAATTTCTATCTGAGTTATTCTGACTTCACTCTTTCTGCACTGGCATCTTTTTTTCTACAAATTATTTCAAGAATACATACACGATTTGAACTATTCTGCTGTTTTTTGCTTAGATATTATTTGGCCTAGATGAGTTACAGAAACAAAATTTGCAACTTGAATTTCTCAGTCGCTGCAACAAATGTGCTGCTTCTGAAGGCATATCCCTCAGGAGGCAAGTATCATATAGTTTGAAGGGATGTGTCAGTCAAGGCTCAAAAAAATAATGCTGTAAAAACTGAGGAAATTTAGTATTATACTAAAGCTGATGGTTAAGATGTAAATATTTTATTTTTGTCCTTCCCAGAAACACATACATAATTTTAAACTTCTCTAAAATGAACACTATTGGCCAAATCCTAAGAAATTGTGAACGACAAATTCCATCACTAAGTTATCCCATATATGTGTACTGTATTTTTCTCATTTTTATTTTAGTGAATAGAAATGTTAGAAAGTCTATCAAAATAACCAAAATATACAAAATAACTAAGGATTGACCCCATTAACTTTGCCAACAGTCTTGCTCTCTGAGTGTTACTGAAGATCATTCTATCTTGCACAATTCAGGCAAGCACTCCAATTCTTCAGTCACTTTACTCCTAACATACCATGTGACTCTAGAAATTTCCCCCAGCCCATTTTACACTCGCATGGCTCAGTTGAAAAATTTGAGGTTAACACAACCAGAAGATTGAAGATGAACATAATTTATAAAAAGAGGGGTCACTTTGGAAGTTATAGTAAATAGGCAAGGGTTTCTCATTATTATACTGATAAAATCTAAAGCTAGGCCTCTTTCATTTTGGTTATCTGAAATTGAACAGAGCTTATATTCTATATACTTATAATGCTCTCTGAGCAATTCAGAAAAAAAGGAGGCTCTTTTATGCTATGAAGAAAAGTACAGTTTGACATTTATGGGTAAAAAATTATATCAATGCAATAGTTGAAAAAATGTAGGGGAAAGCTTAGATTTAATTTGTGTTTGATCATTGCATTCCAGGTAAAAATTTCATATAAAAATATTTTATTTGTAATAGATAGACTTTAAACACTTATCTGCAAATCTGGGCTCATGGTTCCTACTTTGCCCAAGAGAGAGGGTTGTTAAGAAGATAATAAATATTACAGGTAACATTTATTGAAAAGTCATTAAATGCAAACATTGTGTTAAATATTTTATCTTTATAAGATAGGTAGTATCACAGACAAATGAAAAAAAAAAACTGACAGGAAAGATAAGTTTTTACCATAGGTCATACAGCTTGTTAGGGCAAAGAAAGACTTTTAAATAATGTTTGTTTTATTTGCAAATTCATGTTATTAACTTACCTCACAGAGATCTAGTAAGATAATAGAAATGAGTGCTTTAAAAGTTATATGTCACTAAACTTCAGTTAGTAAACTAACTGAAGAGGCAGATCTGAAACTAAAATGGGCATTTTGCATGTATCTGCTTTTGAAGCCTCTGAAACCAGAAGACTAAAAGAGAGTTAGTACTCATCACAACTAGGTTGTGGTTTTTGAAATGAATAATCAACATAACAGAGAAATAAGCACACTAAGCAGTATACAACATTTTTACAATTGTTAAAATGCCTCTGCCAGCAGAGGTGGGGATGACTGGTATAACATCCTGAAATGCATGTACATATAGTATGTGCATATTGTCAAAATTCTAAATGTAGTGCTAAAGTACTAAGACGGTGATAACTTAACAAAATCTTATATTAAAGATTTTGTAGTGGGTACTGAGTTTACTGCACAGATTCCCCGCTTCAGGGTCAAAGCGCTCATTCTCGCAGCTGTTAGGAGTGTTAGCCGCTAAGGCTTACCATCTCTTGGAAGTTGCCTTGACCAAAATTACTTCATTTCTTCACTAGGGCAAACTGCATCCAATGATCCCCATAGGATCAGCTGAGGCCTCTGTTGAGTGTTCTCTAATAAGTTCTTGCATACAAATCTCAGAGTTTTGAGTCTGTTTTCTGGGGAGCCTGGCCTGCAACAATGATTAATCCCAAATTCTCTCATAGTCCACTGCATATGGTTCTTGCTATTATTACAAAAGATGTACTTTTTTCTATTTTCCCAATATCAAGTAATGGAGCAGTAAATCTTCTACACAGAACTGACATTACTTTATGGGGCTCCTAGAAATTTTATATAGAGTCTGTACGTAACAAGGCAATCACAGTGAAAAACGGTACACCTTATGACTAAAAGACTTTTAAAGACTTATATGGTTATTGGCTTAGGAGATTTCTTTCTACAAAACAAAAGTTTTAAGTTATAAAGCATAGACTTAAGTAGAAATGTGCTGTATTTCCCTCTAACTTGCGTGCAGCTAAATGAGTTTTTTTTCCCATTCTTTCTTGAATAAAATATAAAATCTAGGCTGTAAAATGGAAATAACCCCTGCTGCTTTATAAATCTATAAAAAGTCATTTGATAAGAAGCAATGATTTGTAGTACTTGTGGGATAATTTATATCAAATGGTACCAGAAACTTCACTTCAACAAAAATTTGACATTTATTAACCATCTATTATATGCAAGGCACTCATCTGGGTTCTGTGGTGACAAATAAGGCGATATTAGACTAAATACTTGTTGACTCAGTTGCCACTATTCCTTTCCTTCAGGATCCCATAATTTAGTTGAGAAAAAAGGGAAAATAAAAAATAACACAAATACAAGGCAAGCAGTTATTAAATCCATGGGTATGTTTGTTAAAAAACAAATACGAGGACAAAACTGAATGTCTGTCATATAATTAATATGTTTGTTTGCATATATCCAAGAAGCAGGAATACATCATAACCAAGAAATAATACCAAATATTTTCAGAGGATCTGTCCAGCCTGAATGTTAAAAGTGAAGAAACCATGCTATCACTGAGCTTATATTATAAAAACATTTTATCTTTTCAAAAATGTTCTAATAAATTCTATTCAATTCTAGGTACAAGAAGCTAGAGAGGCTTATGAATGAATACACTGAAAGGTCACTATAAAATGCACATTTGCCTATATATAAAATCATCATATTGCACATCAGACCTACTCCTTGTTCTCCTTTTCCTCTCAGTACGTGGCAGCAGTAATTGTTCAAGCTAAAAATCTGGAAATCAACTCTGACACTTTTCTATACCTCGCCACTTACATATAAACAAATCAATCTAATATACAGTATAACCTATTTTATCTCCTAATTATACATTTTCAAAAGGGATTATACCATCCCCTAGGGAGTGAAAATTGATTATGTAGGAAAGGGGTGCGATAGTTAGTTTTATCTCAACTTGGCTAAGCTGTGGTACCAAGCTGTTTGGTCAAACACTATTTGAGATGTTGCTTTGAAGGTATTTTTTACATATGATTAGCATTCAGAATCAGTTAACTCTAATTAAAACAGATTACCCTTCATAATATGGATGGGTCTTATCCAATTAATTAAAGGCCTTAAGAGCAAAGACTGAGGATCCCCAAAGAAGAGAGAATTCTATCTCAAGATTATAACATACAAATTCTGCCTTAGTTTCCACCCTTCCAGCCTCTCTCTCTTTCTCTCTCTCTCTCTTTCTCTCCTTCCCCACCCCACGTTTGACAAGCACAAAGGTGAAAAATATTTTTATGTATAAAGTACCGATATAGGTACTTTACATAAAGAGATAAGTAGTATATCTGTGGTATAAAAATTTCAAGAGGGGTGGAGTCAATTAGTACAAAAGTTTCTAAAAAGTCTCCTGGTCTCTGGGCAGTGGAGAGGGGTGGGAGGAGTAGATAATAAAAAATGGTGAAGAAACACTGTTCTAAACATTTCTTTAGTATTAGTATGTCCTCTACTGTGTATCTTTTGAACACTACCCTAGAATAGTCCACTATTTATTATTAGAAATATTGCTTCTAAAAGGGCTCTCTGTGGAGCTATCTTAATCCCCCATAAATGCATCTTCCACATTGTCTACCTAGTCTATGTAAAATGCAAATTTGACTATGTTACTCCTTTTTTTTAAAACCCCTTGATGGCTCCAGGTTTGGGAATCTCTCATTTCTCCTCCACTAGAAACCCACAGGCATGGTAAGAGTCTTCATCATTTCACAGAGGAGGATACTAAGATCCAGTTAGGTATAATGATTTCCCCAAGTTGCACAATTAAATAAAGGCAAATTCCGGATTTAAAACCAGGTTTCACAATCTACATATCCAGCTTTTTTTAAATTTTAATTTTATTAAAAATTTTTTTTATTATACTTTAAGTTCTGGGATAAAATAACATATCAGGCATTTTATTGGACCACAGTGGAATAAAGCTAGAAATTAATACCAAGAGGAACTCTCAAAAGTATAAAAATACATGGAAATTAAACAATCTGCTCCTGAATAATCTTTGGGTGAACAATGAAATTAAGGTGGAAATTTAAAAAATATATATTAAAGAAATAAAAATAGAGATAAAATATACCCAAATCTCTGGGGTACAGAAAAAGCAGTGCTAAGAGAAAAGTTTATGGTGTTAAATGCCTATGTAAAAAAAATAGAAAGATCTCAAATTAACGATTTAACATCACACCTCAAAGAACTAAAAAAAGGAATAAACCAAACCCAAAGCTAGCTTAAGAAAGAATAAAGATCAGAGCAGAACTAAACAAAAGTGAGATAATAAATGCAATACAACTTTTCACAAAATGAAAAGTGGGTTCTTTGAAAAGATAAACAAAATAGCCAGATTAACTGAGAAGGAAACACAGAATTTTCAAATAAGCAAAATCAGAAATGATAAAGGTGACATCACAACTAATAACTCAGAAATAGAAAAGATTATCAGAGACTACTATGAGCATCTCTATGAACAAATACTAGTAAAGCCAGAAAAGATGAACAAATTCCTGGAAACAAACAACCTCCCAAGAATGACCAGGAAGAAATATAAATCCTAAGGAGATCAAGAGCCAGTAGTGAAATTAAATTAGCAATAAAAAACTCCCCTCCCAAAAAAGACCAGTGACAGAGGGATTCATAGCTGAATTTTACCAGATGTACAAAAGACAGTGGTACAAACGCTATTGAAATTGTTCCAAAAATCAAGGGGGAGAGAATCCTCCCTGACTCATTCTACAAAGCCAGTATCACTCTGATGACAAAGACAGGCAAGAACACAACAACAACAAAAAATTATAGGCCAATATACCTGAAGATAGAGGCAAAAATTCTCAACAAAATACTAGCAAATTGAATCCAACAGCAAATTAAAAAGATAATACACCATGACCAATTGGGTTTTATCCAGGGATGTAAGGGTAGTTCAACATACAGAAATCAATAAATGTGATTCACCACATAAACAAAGTTAATAAAAAAAACTATATGATTATATCAACAGACACCGAAAAAGCATTCAATAGAATTCAATATCCTATCATAATAAAAATCATCAACAAACTTAGCATCAAAAAACGAGCTTCAAGACAATAAAAGCCATATACAACAAACCTACAGACAACATGGGGAAAAGTTGAAAGCATTCTCCCTAAGAACTGGAACAAAACAAGGATGCTCACTTTTACCACTTCTATTTAACACAGTATTAGAAGTCCTAGTTAGAGCCATCAGGCAAGAAGAAGAAATAAAAGGGATCCAAATTAGAAAACGGGAAGTCAAATTTTTCTGTTCACTGATGATATGTGCCTATATCTAGAAGACAATCCCATTACTGAGTATATATCCAAAGGGAAAGAAATCACTACATTAAAAAGACCTGCACTCCAGGAATTCATCCATTTCTTCTAGATTTTCTAATTTATTTGAGGTGTTTATAGTATTCTCTGATGGTAGTTTGTATTTCTGTGGGATCAGTGGTGATATTCCCTTTATCATTTTTTATTGCGTCTATTTGATTCTTCTCTCCTTTCTTCTTTATTAGTCTTGCTAGCAGTCTATCAATTTTGTTGATCTTTCCAAAAAACCAGCTCCTGGATTCATTGATTTTTTGAAGGGTTTTTTGTGTCTCTATCTCCTTCAGTTCTGCTCTCATCTTAGTTATTTCTTGCCTTCTGCAAGCTTTTGAATGTGTTTGCACTTGCTTCTCTAGTTCTTTTAATTGTGATGTTAGGGCGTCAATTTTAGATCTTTCCTGCTTTCTCTTGTGGGTATTTAGTGCTATAAATTTCCCTCTACACACTGCTTTAAATGTGTCCCAGAGATTCTGGTATGTTGTGTCTTTGTTCTCATTGGTTTCACCCTCCCAAGACTAAACCAGGAAGAAGTTGAATCCCTGAATAGACCAATAAGAGGCTCTGAAATTGAGGCAATAATTAATAGCCGACCAATCAAAAAAAGTCCAGGACCAGATGGATTCACAGCCGAATTCTACCAGAGGTACAAGGAGGAGCTGGTACAAGGAGGAGGAGGAGTTTTCCTACTGAAATTATTCCAATCAATAGAAAAAGAGGGAATCCTCCCTAACTCATTTTATGAGGCCAGCATCATCCTGATACCAAAGCCTGGGAGAGACACAACAAAAAAAGAGAATTTTGGACCAATATCCCTGATGAACATCGATGCAAAAATCTCCAATAAAATACTGGCAAACCGAATATAGCAGCACATCAAAAAGCTTATCCACCATGATCAAGTGGGCTTCGTCCCTGGGACGCAAGGCTGTTTCAACATATGCAAATCAATAAACGTAACCCAGCATATAAACAGAACCAAAGACAAAAACCTCATGATTATCTCAATAGATGCAGAAAAGGCCTTTGACAAAATTCAACAGCCCTTCATTCTAAAAACTCTCAATCAATTAGGTATTGATGAGATGTATCTCAAAATAATAAGAGCTATTTATGACAAACCCACAGCCAATATCATACTGAATGGCAAAACCTGGAAGCATTCCCTTTGAAAACTGGCACAAGACAGGGATGCCCTCTCTCACCACTCCTATTCAACATTGTGTTGGAAGTTCTGGCCAGGGCAATCAGGCAGGAGAAGGAAATAAAGGGTATTCAATTAGGAAAAGATGAAGTCAAAGTGTCCCTGTTTGCAGATGACATGATTATATATGTAGGAAACCCCATAGTCTCAGCCCAAAATCTCCTTAAGCTGATAGGCAACTTCAGCAAAGTCTCAGGATACAAAATCAATGTGCAAAAATCACAAGCATTCTTATACACCAATAGCAGACAAACAGAGAGCCAAATCATGAGTGAACTCCCATTCACAACTGCTTCAAAGAGAATAAAATACCTAGGAATCCAACTTACAAGGGACGTGAAGGACCTCTTCAAGGAGAACTACAAACCACTGCTCAAGGAAATAAAAGAGGATACAAAGAAATGGAAGAACATTCCATGCTCATGGGTAGGAAGAATCAGTACTGTGAAAATGGCCATACAGCCCAAGGAAATTTACAGATTCAATGCCATCCCCATCAAGCTACCAATGACTTTCTTCACAGAATTGGAAAAAACTACTTTAAAGTTCATATGGAACCAAAAAAGAGACCGCATTGCCAAGAAAATCCTAAGCCAAAAGAACAAAGCTGGAGGCATCACTCTACCTGACTTCAAACTATACTACAAGGCTACAGTAACCAAAACAGCATGGTACTGGTACCAAAACAGAGATACAGAGCAATGGAACAGAACAGAGCCCTCAGAAATAATGCTGCATATCTACAACCATCTGATCTCTGACAAACCTGACAAAAACAAGAAATGGGGAAAGGATTCCCTATTTAATAAATGGTGCTTGGAAAACTGGCTAGCCATATGGAGAAAGCTGAAACTGGATCCCCTCCTTACACTTTATACAAAAATTAATTCAAGATGGATTAAAGACTTAAATGTTAGACCTAAAACCATAAAAATCCTAGAAGAAAACCTAGGCAATACCATTCAGGACATAGGCATGGGCAAGGACTTCATGTCTAAAACACCAAAAGCAATGGCAACAGAAGCCAAAATTGACAAATGGGATCTGATTAAACTAAAGAGCTTCTGCACAGCAAAAGAAACTACCATCAGAGTGAACAGGCAACCTACAGAATGGGAGAAAATTTTTGCAAGCTACGCATCTGACAAAGGGCTAATATCCAGAATCTACCAAGAACTCAAACAAACTTACAAGAAAAAAACAAACAACCCCATCAAAAAGTGGGCGAAGGATATGAACAGACACTTCTCAAAGGAAGACATTTATGCAGCCAAAAGACACATGAAAAAATGCTCATCATCACTGGCCATCAGAGAAATGCAAATCAAAACCACAATGAGATACCATCTCACAACCGTTAGAATGGCAATCATTAAAAATTCAGGAAATAACAGATGCTAGAGAGGATGTGGAGAAATAGGAACACTTTTACACTGTTGGTGGGACTGTAAACTAGTTTAACCATTGTGGAAGTCAGTGTGGCGATTCCTCAGGGATCTAGAACTAGAAATACCATTTGACCCAGCCATCCCATTACTGGGTACACACCCAAAGGATTATAAATCATGCTGCTATAAAGACACGTGCACACGTATGTTTATTGTGGCACTATTCACAATAGCAAAGACTTGGAACCAACCCAAGTGTCCATCAATGATAGACTGGATTAAGAAAATGTGGCACATATACACCATGGAATACTATGCAGCCATAAAAAATGATGAGTTCATGTCCTTTGTAGGGACATGGATGAAGCTGGAAACCATCATTCTCAGCAAACTATCGCAAGGACAAAAAACCAAACACCGCATGTTCTCACTCATAGGTGGGAATTGAACAATGAGAACACATGGACACAGGAAGGGGAACATCACACACCGGGGCCTGTCGTGGGGTGGGTGGAGAGGGGAGGGATAGCATTAGGAGATATACCTAATGTAAATGACGAGTTAATGGGTGCAGCACACCAACATGGCACATGTATACATATGTAACAAACCTGCATGTTGTGCACATGTACCCTAGAACTTAAAGTATAATAAAAAATAAATAAATAAATAAATAAATAAATAAATAAAAAGACCTACACTCTTATATTGACTGCAGCACTATTCACAATACCACAGATATGGAATCAACCTAAGTGTTTATCAGTAGATAATTGGAGAAAGAAACCGTGTGGAGAAAGAAAGAAAATATGAAAAACCTACTCGGTACATTCAGGTGACAGGTACTTAAAAGCCTAGACTTAACCAATGCACAATATATTCATGTAACAAAACTGCACTTGTATCCCCTAAATCTATAAAAATGTTTTAAAACTTTAAGAAGTATAAGCACTAAACCAAAAAGTAAGTCCCATAGCCTGTATCTAGGTACTGGAAATTGAACCCAGGTCTATTTTACTACAAAGACTGTGCTTCCTCACTACACTCTACTGTGCTATATATAATCACTTACCATCCACCCTCTGAAGAATGAATCCTCTCCCACCTTTTTCACAGAGCCTGTTCTGACTACTCTAGCCCAAGCCATCTTCTTTGTTCTAAAATCTCATAGCATTTTCAAATTTTGCTTTGTGAAATGTCTATAATGTTACAACTTTTACCTTCATGTTGGTACGTAGGTCCTTGTGAAGTTGTTTTCCTACTCAAAACCAGGTTGGAGAGGAGTACAAAATAGCAGTGAAGAGCTTGGACACTGGAGTCAGTCTGTCTGAGCTCAAATCCAAGCACAACTGATTTTTAATCTGTGTGACCTTGGGAAAACTACCTGATCTCTCTACGCCTCTGTTTCATCATTTGTAAAATGGACAATAGCGTTTAACACATAGAGTTGTTGGGAGGATTAAATGAATTCATCTATATAAAGCTATCAGAACACTGTCTAGCACATTAGTCATTTAACTACTGTGGACAGGAGTTTGCTATCTTCATTTTTTATAATACTCTTTCCAGACTTTGAAATTAAACCTTAGCGTTACGTCCATGGAAGCTCAAGGTAGATATGTAAAAGAACTTCCCATTAGGATGACGCAGTCACTGGGGTGGAGATTACCCTGGTTGCATAAGTTGACTCCAAGCCAACCCAGACAAAATGACCTAAAAGTAAAGCAGATTTGGCTGTGAATTATTAATAGTAAGAAAGGCTATTATAATGACCAAATGTGATGTGTAGAAAAACTACTTTATAGATAATAACATAAGTGAATGTTGATTATTATTTGAAAGCGACAATATGATAGGCATCTCAAGAACTGGATGCATCTTGTTCATATGGAATATAAACCTTACTTTCTCTGGAAATATGCAAGTGCTTCATTGATGACATCTGTGGACATGCCAAATCATTGTTATAAACTTTATGACAGCCAACTCCAAAAGAATTTATATGTTTCCACTAAATGAAAAAAATTCAAACATAAACTGATCCTTGTATCTTGAAAAAAATCAGGCACTCTAGGGAAGAAGCATGCCTTAAGGTCTAATTTCAAGAGCAATTTAAATTCTGGCGATTCATATGATTAGAATAAACTGGACCAAGCCTTGAAGCCAAAGAGTTCTTTAAGTATCCTTACATCTCTCTCTTGTGTTCAGAAATGGAAAACATTTCTCTAAAAATGCTTTTCTAAAAAGAAGCAAAAATCATCCTACCCAGTTTTTATGCAATCTACCAAACAGGTGAAAATTAACTTCTTCATACAATTCAGTCCATGCCGCAACACAAATGAAATGAGAACGCATTTAATCTTAGCATCCCTATGTCACTCAAAGGTAAAAATGTGAGCATTTGTAGATTGCAATAAAACATGAATACAAAATGATGTGTATTCCCTCTTCAGTTCATTGTCCTCATTGTTACAATTGTACCTGCTACAGAAACAAGAGCTTATTGTTCTCTTACATTCTAATTTTTACAATAGGCCATCTTATTTACTTCCCTTGTGCCTAAGGCAGTCCTTGGCATATAGCAGTCACTCGTAAATGTGGCTGAACCAGGGTATACAGCATCACCACCACTTCAATTCTTCCTGTGTCCATGGTTCTCACACTTAAGCATGTATAAATTCTTTGAGTCCTACTGTGAAAATTTTACTACGCTCACTCTCCCCTCAAAGAGATTCTGAATCAAGAGGTCTGGATTAGAACCCAGGGATATAAAACTTTAAACAAACATTCTAGGTGATCCAAATGCAGGCATTCAGCAACTATATTTTGAGAAACACTATCTTTTGGTTAATTTCTTAAGTATTGATGATAATGGCTAACATATATTTAACACACCCTCCTTGCCAAGGGCTTTAAATACATTTCGTCATTTAATTATCATGGCAGTCTATAAAACAGATTACTTTCATCACATTTTGCAATGAGGTAATTAGGACTTGGAGAGGTTAAGTAATTTGTCCTAGGTTACAGCACTAATGGAAGAGAAAGAATACAAACCCAAGTCTATGGGATTCCAAAGCCCATAATAAATACACTTGGTTGCAAAGAGTAGGCTGCATGGGCTGCCAACAGTTGTCTTTAGCAACATATCGGTAAATGCCATCTACAAATCTGGCTATGAAAATTGATCAGTCATTCAGATAAATGACATTTCATCATTTGATAGCATCAACAGATATTTTGGATGATGGGTCAAAAAGGTCTCACATCCCATCAGGCTACAAAACAACAACCTAATGCATTCAAAATGAGGCCATTCAGTTTTTAATGTCAAAAATAAGAGCTTTTATGTGGAATGACAAGGTATTTATTAGATACTAGTATTTGTATTCCATTAACTAAAATATGAAGAACAAAGATGGCCAAAACACATTTTATCATATTAAACATATTTCAAAATTTTAAAAATACATATTTTCCCTTTGCCATATTAACATAGCACAGATTAAAAACTGATATATTCATACAGACAGACCCCTAAACCTCTTCTTTCTCACCCTGTTTGAGGTCAGAGCCTTAGAAAGCACAAGGAATTCCCTTCCAGGTCACTCCAGGGTGTCCTTTGTCTCCTCTGTGATGGTGAAAACAAATGGTGGATTTTCAGCTTCACTGGAAATGGCACAGAGAAAGAAGGCTTGTGCCATGGTAGTGGCTGAATAACCTTTTAACAAGTTCTTAACCTTTCTTATCAATAAAATTGAAATACAAATATCCATCTTAAAAGATTATTATCAGGATTGCGTAAGTAAATTCAGGCAAAACTCTTACCAGAGTTCCTAGTAATAAATGGTGGTAGTAAGTATTGTGTTCTTGGTGTCTTCTTGCCCACTCATATCCATTTGCTTTCAGCCTTTCACTAGTACCACCTGTAAATCTAGTTGAAGTTGTACCTTCTTACTACATTGTGATATACAAGGTAGCACATCAGTGGGATTAAAACTAAATATTAGATTAAGTCTTTCTGTCAAAGAATATTCTTTCTAAGGTTTCAAGAAGTAGGATATTGAATTACCATTCAACCCAGCAATCCCACTATTGGGCATATATCCAAAGGAATATAAATAATTATACCACGAAGATACATGCATGAATATGTTTACTGCAGCATTAGTCACAATAGCAAAGACATACAACCTAAATACCCATCAATGGTAGACTGGATAAAGAATCTGTGGTATATATACACCATGGAGTACTATGCAGCCATAAAAAAGAACAAGATAATGTCCTTTGCAGCAACCTGAATGTATCTGAAGGCCATTATCCAAGTGAACCAACACAGGAACAGAAAACAAAATACTTCAGGTTCTCACAAGTGGGAGCTAAACATTGAGTATATATGGACACAATGCAAAGAACAACAGACACTGGAGCCTACTTGAGTGTGGAGAGTAGGAGGAAGGTGAGGATCAAAAAACTACCTATCAGGTGCTATGCTCATTACCAAGGTGATGAAACAATCTGTACACCAAACCCCTGCAACATGCAATTTACCTAGATAAAAAGCCTGAACATGTACTGCTGAACCTAAAATAATTTTTTTAAGGTAGAATCTTGAGTCCCCTTGGGATTGAATCTTTTCTCTAAAACTTCTCAGACACACTTTCACCACTTCTAAGCCTTTATACAGCTTCTCATTTCTACCACTTTTTTGCCAGTGAATCAGCAGGTGCTTACAATCAGGAAGTAATGACCTGCCTTATATATAATGAGCAGGGAGGAAATTAATCCCATCAAGACACAGGCTAGAAGGATGAGATAATTATCTACTTTTCCTTTTATTCTGTAGATTCGCAATAGCTGGGAACATACCTTCTAAAAAAGGATTCATCCTTATATACATTTATCTGTAAAAACTTGGGCCATAAACAACAGAAGATCATTTCTGTTAACAGTAGAAGAATACTGGACATCAAATATTCTCTTAAGGAAAAGAGAATCAAAAACATCAATAGGTTTGTAAAAGGTAGCAATGCTGCTCTGGGAAATGTCTTCAAGAATATAGGAGGAGACTTGAGGCACTGGCATATGTTTCCCTCTAACTTCATGCTTTTGTGCGGAGGAACCATGACTGTTACCTACTCTATCCCCAGCCCTAGTACATGCATGAAAAACAGTATGTGCTAAATTTGAATTTGATTAATAAATGGAGGAACAAATGAACAAGTAAATCTAGAGAGAGATGCTCTATGGCAATAGGCCCTCACTGAAGTTACATTAAGCCTAATTTAGCCTACTTGAGATTACCATGCTCTCCTTTCCATTGTTTACTAAATTAGAACTAAAAGGGGAGGCAGGCAATCTAAGGAAGAGAAAATAGCAACAGGCAATAAATGCATGAGGATGTTCAGCCTTACACATGAGGAGTAACACAGGACATTCAAAATAAAACTAAAATGGGATGTTATTTTATCTAAAAAGACCGGTACAAATTAAAAACTTGTATAGCATAAAATCGTGGTGCATATATGAGGAAACTGATATTGTTTTACACTGTTAGTGAAAATGTAAATTTGTACAGCCACTTTGCAGGTTATCTTTGGCAATATCTCTTAAAATTTTAAGTATGTATACTCAGTGACCTAATAATTATAATTCTAGGTATAAGAAGACTTACCTACATACTGAAGGATGTGTGTCTAAGGATGTTCATTGCATCATTCCTAAAATCTGTGAAAACTTAGAAGCAATCTAAATATTTAAATAGGAAATAGGTAGAAATGTGGTATAGCCAAACCACTTAATAAGCATGTATTCAGTCACATATAATGTGGTAAATCCAAATATGGCCAAATAGATCTTGAAAACATTTTACTGACTGAAATAAGCAAATTTCAAAAAACCCCAAATTACAGAGTATACCACTATTTAAATAAGTTACTCTATCTCTTTCTCACATACACATATACTCACATATGCACACAACTGCACAATTATACTATATATTTTCTGAGAGTGTATATATATGCATATATGTGCATATACTCCCAAAAATATATAATTTTATGTATATAGGTATGTGCATACACTCTTACACTCTCAGAAAATATATAATATAATTGTAATGTGCAAAAACCAAGGTCTGGAAGAACACATGCCAACTGATCACAGTGGTAACCTCTGGGAATAAAACTGATTAGGTGTTTTAATCAAGGGCAACTTGTCTACAATGAATTTAATTATTGTAAGTAGAATGTAGTCATGTGTTATTTGTGAAATAAAAATTATACAAGGGGGATACAGGAACAGGAACAGCAACACGCCTTGCCATTTTACTTAGCAATTATATTTAGAGCTCCCCTACTTTGATGATCTCAAGTCATCTGGTAAATGAATTTATTTACTCACACATTAAGCTTGTTGGTCAATCTTTCATCAAAGTAATAATGAATTTTTACCATGTGTCAGAAAGTATGCTATTACAGCTAGAGATACACAGATGAATAAGGTATGTCCTGGATGTCAAAAAGCTTATCAGTCTTGCAAGAGTTTTGAAATTCCATTCCACATATGAAGGAATCACAGTATTTTTCCTCACTCTGGTAAGAAGCAACATGTATTTGGGTTAGTCTGAAAACTGTTGATTAAATGTACCACATGAGATCAAAACCATTTAAATTAAGAATTACTGATACCTAAAAAATGGGTACATGCTGGCAAACACTTCCTGATGAGTTCAATTTTCAAGTTTCATTCAGGAAACAGCCAATTAACTTTCTAAACTTTATTCATCCACCTGGAGGCAACAACCCGGAAATGGTTTGACAAGTCCTTCAGGCACCAAACCTGTCTCAAATTTTAAGAGTGATGCCATGTGTCACAGACATAATCAAGGTCTGCCAGAGAAGTAACTGCCTTGAAGCATCAGCTTCCAAATGTGGTCCTCCTCACTGACGCTCAGCACCCTCTGGGAGACTAGTCATACTCTGGCACACTCAGCTAATCTATCTAGAGCATTCCTCTGCTAATTGCTAGGCAGGCACATGTACATAAAAGGGACTACAGAGAAGCAGTAAAGGCCTCATTCAAACCACAGAAGCTCACAGATTCTCCTCTCTGGTACTTTAACGTTGGCTTGTCCCACAAACCAGAGTGAAAGATGACCCCTTGACTGGCATTATTTACCTTCCATTTAATATCTGCTGAGCTTTCATTATGTGCCTGGTACTGCATTTAGCACTGAAGACACAGACATGACCTTGTCCTCAGAAACTCCCACTGTAATGAAGACACCCATTAATTCATTCTACATATATTTATTTAGTGTTGTGCTAATTACCAGGCACATAAAGATAAGCACCTCAGTTATTGAACCTCAAAGAAATCACAATGTAATGAAGGGAAAGAGTTGCCAAAACCATGTCTCAAATATCTGTGTAACCACAGACTAGGACAATGCTTGGCACAGGCTCAGCAGTTCAAAGATTTTTGACTGCATGAGTAAAACCACATATGAAAAATCATGTCTGTACAAAAATATAATAACAATGATCACCATAAAAATGATATGAAAAAAGGTGTTGTGGTTAGGGTTAGAGTTTGGAAAAAAAGAACACCTGCGTTAAGGAGCATGTGAGTTAAGGTGATAAGGAAGACTCCTCATAGGAGGTTAATGTTCATCTGGTATATGATTTCCTATTAAGAGGCCCACATAGGAACTAAAAGGAGTGATAGGAACAAATTTAGACCAAGACTGCTTCAAAAAGCCTATGCTAGTGGAGTTGTTTGGCAATAAAATTTCCAAGTGCCTGCTTCTTAAATTTTTTTATGTTGTGTCTTTTCTTCCAACTTATTTGCTGGAACTTGAAAAAAACAGATATAAAGTTAAAAGCACAAAATTTAAATGCCAGTGAATGGAAAGTTGAACCTCACTCAATATTAATGCAAATCTATAGGTTAAAAATACATTTAACATCATAATTGTCAAAAGTTATAAAAATGAAAAATGTGCTACTGCACATATAATGTCATTTTTCAAGTTCAAAGCTGACACTATTTTTATCTCTGTGTGGGGAATATGTTCAAAGAAAAAGAGAAGAAAAAAGAAAAGTCAAGTTCTTTTTTCCTGCGTTACATATGTAGACCAGTTCTTGGCTTACAGTTTCCATTTATATTTAGAGGGATAGTCTCCATTATATATGACCAAGACATGCCATCTCTGACTTCAACAAAACAGGGTTGTGCTGTCTATAAGAATTATTTTGCATCATTCAACAATCATGTAGAATCCAAGAAGCTGTAAATGCTAACTAACATGTTATAGTCCTGGGCTAATATATGGAATATTATTTTATTTCCATTTCAACTTTAATTCAGGTATTATTACCTTTTTTACATTTCCATTTATTCAACAAACATTCATGGAACACCCACTGTGAGTCAGGTATTGTTCTATGGCCATAGTAAAAAACCGTGCAAAACAATATATCAAATCACTGTCCTCATAAAGCCTACTCTATTGGGGGAAATAAACAGGTAAGTTAATATCTAGTATGTCAAGTAGTGATAAGTGCAATGGAGAAAAATAAAGCAAGCTGAAAATGACAGGCAGTGTGTGTGGACTAGAGGAAGGGTAATATATAAGGTTATTGAGGAAGGCTCTACTAACAATGTTTAATCTGACCTGAAGGAAGTGAGCGAACTAGTTATGTGAAAATCTGAAAGAACATTCCAGGCAGAAGAAAAAGCAAGTGTAAAGGCTTTGAGGTAGGAGCAAGTCTGAAATGCTCAAGGAGGACTGCATGACTGGAGTGAAGTGAAGGAAAAGGGAAAGTAGTAAGACATATAGAAGGGGTACATCTTGAGATGTGTAGGCAACAATAAAGACTTCAGCATTTCATTTTAGTGAGATGGAAACTCAGGTGAGGATTCACAGAGGACTGAAATAACCTTTCCTGTATTTTTACAGCAGATTATTAGGGTCAAGAGCTAAAAAGCAGGGAAGACATTTTGGTAGGAGAAGAAGAAACAGGAGAGAGAGGAATGGTCTTGAAACCAAATAAAGAAATTTTTCAAAGAGGTAGGAATATTAAACCTTCATAGGTTAAGATGAGAACTGAGAATTCATCCACTGGATTTGTCAACATAAAAATTATTGTTAACCTAGCCAAGAGTGATTTGTCATAGTAGTAGAAACAAGATCCTAAATAAAATGCGTTCAAGTTTTGTAAACCAAAAGTATCTAAGACAGGTCTTAATCAATTTAGAAGTTTATTTTCCCAAGGTTAAGGACATGCCTGTGACATGGCCTCAGGAAGTCCTCAGAACATGCACCCAAGGTAGTACAGCAAAAGCTTTCTTTTATGTGTTTTAGGGGGGGGGTCTGAGACATCAATCAATACATATAAGTGGTACACTTGTTCAGTCTGGAAAGGCAAGACAACTGGAAGTGGGGAGATTGTTGCAGGGTGGCTTTCAAGTCCTAGGTGGATTCAAAGATTTTCTGATTGGCAATTGTTTGAAAGAGTTTATCTAAAGATCTGGCATCAGTAGAAGGGAGTGTCTAGGATAAGATAAGGGATTGTGGAGAACAAGGTTTTCATTATGCAGATGAAGCCACCAGGTAGCAAGCTTCAGAGAGAGTAGATTGTCTTAAGGTCTCTGTTTTAATGTTGATGCTGGTCACTTGGTGCCTGAATTCCAAGAGGAGGAGGATATAATGGGGCATGTGGACAACCCATTCCCATCATGGCCTGAACTCATGTTTAAGGTTAACTTTGGAATGCCCTTGGCCAAGAGAAGGGATCAATTCAGTTGGTTGGGGGAGGCTTAGAATTTTTTTTTTTTTTTTTTTTGGTTTACCTTATCCCCCTCTGGCCAAGATTTGCCAGAGGCAACATCAATGGCCAAACTTTTATTCTGTCCCATAGCATTTCCAAGGCGGCACAGCTGCCTGCTCTGGGTCTATCCTGTCCCTTGGTGGGACCGCTATGGCCAAGTGACTTTGAGCCAAAAGACCTATAGCTAATTTAAGTGTTCAAAGCCAGATGTGAATGGAGGTGGACAGGCATTCATCAAACCTTAAGATAGAAAAGCCAACAAATTAGCCAGCTTAGGTTTACAGGCATGTGCCACCACGCCTGGCTAATTTTTTGTACTTGTAGTAGAGATGGGGTTTCACCATGTTAGCCAGGATAGTCTCAATCTCCTGAGCTTGTGATCCACCTGTCTCAGCTTCCCAAAGTGCTGGGATTACAGACATGAGCCACCACACCTGGCCCACTAGGTATCTTGATATCCTCTCAGTAATTTTCTTTCAGTTAGAAATTCCTTATGATTGAGACGGATGGAAAGGGGCCATGTAAAAACCCAGGAGGCAAAGTCCCTTATTTTGCCAGCTATTTAGGCATCTATGTGTCTATCCTTGATTTGAAGAATTTCAACTAATTGTATCCCTCAAAATTGGCCCTTACAATCTCACATGCCCACCTGTTCTGTGATAGTACCTGAACCAAGAGGGATAGGTGCTTTTATATTTTTAGTAGTGGGGTGGGGCATTAGCAATGAAAATAAACCAGGTCCAGTAAGATTTTAAAAGGTTTTAAATTGGGAGGATATCAGCTAGAAAGGAAAGAAGGTAATCTTTTCTTGTTTGTTTGTTTGTTTTCACTGATTTTGTAAGCTATATAGAATTAGCAATGTTTTTTAAAAAAAGGACATAAGCTTTGTCTAGTTTTGATAATGACAGGTAAAGAAAACTCATGGGTAGCTAAACATTTAAATGATCTAATATTAACTCATAGAACAAATTATATTAATTTAGACAGAGGAAAAATTATTGAATTAGCATTCACATCTTTATATAGAGGCTTGGCTCAGTGTCATATGAGAGCAGTTTATTTTAGCTGTCATCTTCTCCCAGGTCTGAAGATGAGGCTTCGGTTAACTTGAATTTCATGCCAGATATTGGTGATGTTCAAGATTCAGTAGAAGTCAGTGCTCCTTTCTAGATGAGGTAGGTGTATGCAGAGTCAAAACACTGTAACTTAATACCACAAAGGGATAGTTAACAATATTTTATATAGACCCTTTTTAATGGGGCAGAGTGGAGTCTCTCAATTGTTGTCCAATCATCAAGCTGGAGGTGGTGTTTACTGTATCTTAGTTGGAAACCATAGAAGAATTCTGTAACCTTGGGGTGATTAATTTTTCTATTTGACAAGCCTCCAGCAATAAGTCTAAGTCAGAGAGTTAATTTAGGATTTGAATTGAGGATGTTTTTCAAAGATGTTAAAAAGGCTCAAAACATTTTATTAAAACTACATTATATAATAATAATTTGATAAAGAAGTTATGTGGGTATAAATTCTTAACCCTTTTAAAGTTTAGTTGATTTTTTTATAATTAAAAACCTAATAAAAACAAACAGGAATTATTTTGATAAAACATTAAAGCTTTGTTTCTTTGTCTAATTACCAAAAAGGAAAAAATAAAGACCCTCTGCAGTGACTTCTTTTCCTTATGCGGAGCCCATTTATATAACCTGAAAGTCAAACCTGCTGAAAAGAGCAATTGAGTTAATCAGACATGGGAATAGTGTGTCCGGCATCATGAGTAAACTCTATATTATAGCAGCCTTGAGCAGAGAATACGTGAGTCTTAGCAACAGCATGGGAAGTTGCCTGATTATATTGAACACTTAGGATATATGTTGGGCCTCAAAAACAATACCGCAAAGTGAAAGCCTCAGAAGTAAAAGTTTTACTTTGGCCTTCTTTTGCCCTTCTATCTTGCAGTTTCTCAAGGCTGGCCATAAAAACTAGAATCTTGCTTCTCAAGGTGGGTCCTAGAAACCAGAACTCCTTTTCCTCAAAGCCAGTCATAAAACCTAAAAATATTACTCTAATTTTTCTCAAAGTAGACGCTTAATGTCCTGCAGGACACCCAGCTAAGGACATTGAGGCAAGGGTGGAGACAGGTGGTGGCTGGTCTTGCAGTAGACTGCCCAAGGTCCAATTATGAGCTTTTTAACTGCAGCAACTTTAATGTAAGCTATTGGAGTTGGAATTACTGTGGCTGCTGGCACCAGAATTGCCCTCCAATATTCCATTATTCTTAGATGTGCTATCCAAGCAGCTAGGGCCTGCTGTGAAATCTTAATTTTTCCTCCATCCTTCTGTATACAGCTGTCTATAAAGAAATCATCTGACCTTACTTGTTGTTTGTAAATTATGAGACCCCTGTATCCAGGAGGAAGGAAATGCATACTTGGGGAGGTTAAGAAGAATCTAGACAAACAGGCCTTGCTGAGTTTCCCCACACAGGCTACTGGCAATGATTTATACACTTGTGTTTCATCATATTTTTAATGGCTATCCATAGTTTGTTGAACTTAACCATTTAAAAAAAATGGGCAATTTCTCCTGTATCTTAGGTCTTTATTCTGATAACTCCCAGATATACATGCCAAAAAAAATCTATGCCTTCTTTTTGATCAATTTGTCTTTTATGAGTTGATACCTTTAGAGGGCTCCTGCTCCCTAAACACATTAAGAAAAAACAAGAATACAGAATTAAGTTATACTGGAGGAAAATACTGCTTTTTTTAAAAAACCTTCAAACTAAAGCATTTCAGCTTCAGGCAATAACAACAGACTTAGAACTGGAGGAGGGAAAGAAAAAAATGTTACAGGTGCCAACAAAAATAGAAGGGGAGAGTTGCCATTCCAGGCCTTCTCAAATTTTCTCATAGTAAAAGGTGATCTCTGGTGCCTCCCAAAGCCAACAAGGTTGGGTAAGGCAATACAAGAAAGCAGAGCTTTAGACGTGAGAAGAATCTCCCCATGACTGTTTAAACTCCACCAAAAAAGCAGAAGACCCTAAAAAGAGGTAAGTTGCACCTTTATATGAGTTCTTTAAGGGGTCAGAGTCATTAGAAGCCTTCTCTTGATTGTTTTTTCACTTGGTAACAAAGACAGCAAAAAGGGAAGGAGGAAAAAAGTGGAAGAAAAGTAAATTAAAAAAACAATTTTTTTGAGAAAGGAACCAAACAGAGAAACCAAGCACATGGTTTTTTCTTTTCTTTCTTTTTTTTTTTTTTTTTTTTCACCTGAGGAAAATTTTAGCCAACTAAGAGGCCTTGTTCCCCACAATTTAGAATTCTTATTCTGATTTGAACAAGTATAATTGGTCAAATCCAATGAAAGAAAGTTCAAAACAAACAAACAACAACAAAACAATACAATTACTGAGCCATTCTCTAATGGTAAAGAGAAATTAAGACAAGTTGGTTGTTTATCTTAATTTTTAGCCATTAAGGAAAATTTTCAAGATAAAACCTCAATTTAGCCACTTACCAAGGAATGGGGCCCAGACTCAAGACCAAGACTACTGTCTACCATCTCAGTAGCAGGAAGAAACTCAAACTCACCCTCCCTGTTGGAAGTGAGCTAAAACTCCAGAAATGAGTTGCCTGCCCTCCATAATCATGGAAGCAGGAAAATTTGTCTTCCTTGTTGGGAGGGAGTAAAACTGCAGAAAAGCAGTTATACAGCAAAAGAAACCTTAGATCTCAACCAAATTTTGGAAGACCAGGGTTTCTCTGAATGGGGGAGCCTCCTGGGTATCAGAACCTGTCCTATTGGTTTGAGCAATAAAGACAGCCCAAGCTGGTACCAAGCACCAATAGGAGATTTGTCAAAGGTCAGGGCCTCCTCCATGCAGTGTCCCTTCCATTGGTCACCAATTTGTAAACCAAAAGTATCTGAGACTGGTTTCAATCGATTTAAAAGTTTATTGTGCCAAGGTTAAGGATATTCCCATGACATGGCTTCAGGAGGTCCTGAGAACATGTGCCCAAGGTGGTCAGGCTCCAGCTTGGTTTTATATGTTTTAGGGGAACATGAGACATTAATCAATACATGTAGGATGCACAGTGACTTGGTATGGAAGGTAGGACAACTCAAAGTTCGGCAGGGGGGCTTCTAGGTCATAGGTAGATTCAAAGATTTTCTGGTTAGCAATTGGTTTTAAGAGTTTATCTAAAGACCTGGAATCAACAGAAGAGAGTATGTGGGTTAAGATGATGGGTTGTGGAAAACAAGGTTTTCATTATGCAGATGAAGCCTTCAGGTAACAGGCCTCAGAGAGAATAGATTGTTTTAAGGTCTCTGTTTTAATGTTAATGCTGGTCAGTTGTGCCTAAATTCTAAGGGGAGGAAGGTATAATGGGGCATGTTGACCACCCATTCTCAACATGGCCTAAACTCATGTTTCAGATTAACTTTGGAATGCCTGTGATCAAGAAAAAGGGTCCATTCAGTTGGTTGGGAGGGGGCTTGGAGTTTTATTTTTGGTTGACAAAATAAAATGGGAAGACAAGAATTATAGACACAGAATTGGAGTACAGGTACTTATGGATTTTGCTCTAAAAAGGAGCAGATAAATAGAGCAACAGCTGAAAGAGTATGTGGGATAAAGTGATTTTTAAAATAAAAGATATTCCAAGAAACACTTAAAGGATATTATCCATAGAAGAAGAAAAATTGATTATGGATGAAAGAGAAGAGAAAGTAGAGAATTTCTGGAGCAATGTTCTTATGTAGGAAAGAGGAGATGAAACCTAGCACACGAGGTATGGGAAGTGAGCTCAAGTAGGGTACTAGAAGGAAAGTCAGAATATGTGGTACAGATGCAGGCATCTAAGAAAATATGGAAGTAGGGGCTGGTAAATGTTCTTTTCTGGTTTCTTTTACATTCTTAGTAAAATAGAAAGCATGAATTTCTGTTGAGAGCAAGAGTGTAGTTTTGAGGAAAGTGAAGATATGTTATAGTCCATTTATCTGAGTTGAGAATACATAAGCTAGAAATATAAAGTAGCATTAAGGGTGACCCTCAGAGTCCCCCTGATATGAGTAGTATCAACTAAAAGTGTAACCAGTCAGCATGGTTTTGACAGACAAAGATGTTACTGGCTAATCCAAGGACTCATAACTAGTGAGCAGCTCTATATCGGTTGCCATTTTTGTCATGGTAAATCCATATCTCCTCCCATTATCCTTCAACAATAGATAGACATAACCTACCATTCCACCTGTGATCACAAATATATGAGATCATTCAGAATAGAGACTGATTCACCTGGTGTTTCCGGTGACTGGCACAATGCTTAGCACATAGTTGTACTCAAAAATATCTCAAATTGAGCAAAACACATTTTCATTAGAGAAAGCACGAGTTTCTCAAAATGGTATAAATTTTGAATGTCGAAGATAGCCTCTCAAAGCTATGCAAATATAGCTTGAGTTGCTGAAATAACATGTTCTCCATAAACTGTTAGTTTGGTCCAGAGTTTGAAGGTCTACCTACCACTCACACTTTGTATATCTACCTCCAAAGGAAATTTTGATTCTGATTCTGTTGGTTATTTTTTCACAATCATGCTTATACACAATTTCTTAAGACACTGCAATAGAAACAGAATAAAAATTACAATTTTGTCCACTGTATTACTGAGAAATATGAGGTAGCATTTGCAGTCTTACTCTGGTACTGCACTGTACCTTACTTGGACTGCCATCAATCCATACTGTTATCCCAACTCAACAAAGCAGTCCATCATCCTATACAAGCCTTTTTAGTTATGGGCTTCTAAAATTAGTCTTAGATATATAGAAACTCCTAGATACTATCTCAAGGACATCTCATGATGCTAGAAACTGCTCTTTACTCCTCTAAATATCTGCAGAAAAACTGTTCAATTCCCTTCCTTTGTAACTTAACATTTGTTGCCTATAATTGTTCATTATCTTTGTGTGTTTGTATTTTACCTTCCCAATTAGATCATGAATTTATTTGTAACACAGTGAACATCCATAATATTTATAAATATTATATTTTTACCAAATATAACCTACTTATTAAAATAATGTTTATTTTAAAAGTAGGAATGAGAAAAGAACTAGACTAAGACTATCATTTATCAAATACTTATCCTGTACCAGGACCTATGTTGAGAGTTTTACACAATTTAATTACATTAATATGGAGATAACATTTTACTTCCATCTTAACTCTTTTTGCAAGGTTAAAGATTTAGCAACTTGCCCAAGGTCACACAGCTAACAGGTATTTGAACTGTGACTCCAAAGTCAGTGTCCTTAAACACTCACTACATTGCCTTCCTAGAAAAGTGCTTTTTATATAACAGATAATAAATATTTATTGGATGAGTGAATAGTTTTAGCAGCATTATTGTCAATTCTATGTGGTTAGGTTGTAATTAAAACAAGCTCTATGTCTATCCTAAGTGGTTAGGTTGTAATTAAAACAAATATATCATGAGTATTCTCTAGTTCATAATGTCTTTATCCCCCAAAAAACTTTTGCAGTTGACCTTAAGTGCCCTAGACAAATAGAAGATATACACTTAATCAGCTATTTTTTAAATCACTCATATTTTTATAATTTCTACCTGCCTGGCTTTCCATAATTCTAATGTTTTTTCCATACTTGAGATCTCATTTAGGCTACAGTGTAAATCAGTAGTGCCAAGGGTCTGGAAGCCATCCATCATAATCAATTTGATCTTATTTTTAGTATAATTGAGTCAAAGTTACTTATCCAATTTCTTTTAGGGTTTCCCTCCATGTCTGACACTATGCATAGAATCTTACTCATCAAATAAACTCTTCTGAAGAATCCAAAGTTTATGGAACATGGGATGAAAAACAATAGTTATAGAAAGTGAAAAAACATAGTTATCTTCAGACACTTGGTATGAGCACTACACTAGCTAATCTGTAATATGAAATCTGAAAGTAAAATAAAACCTAGAGGAAGAAAAAAATAAACAATTAAATGAAGACAGAGCAGCCAGAAGACACAATAATGTTACCAAATATTGCTTGGCATGAAGACCTAGTAGCTCCCAAAATTCAACTCTGTCTGAAGATAAACAATTCAGTTAAGCTAAAGCAACACTCCAAAATCAGGAAGGAGAGGCAAATCACACATATCTATAAGCCCTATGCATCTTCCTAGTATGCATTACTATGTGCATACATACATAAATGCACAAATCATCTAAAGGTCACGGGATTTGACTCTTCTTTTATGAAGCAGTTTGTTTCAATTAATTGACTACGGCATATCAATCATAGCAAGAGTGGCAAGTAAATCTAAATTGTGAAATGCCATAAATTTTCTTATAGCACAAAAGCAAATTGAAATATGAAGCAATGAAACAGTTCAGAATACAGTAAGTTTAACATAATACGAAAGCTTAGTACATGTATATGTCTTTTGTTTTTTAAATATCTTTGTGTTCATTTCCATATGTTATTTTCTCAATAGCCTTTTAAGGTCAAGCTGTCTCATTCCTATTGCTCTGTTCATTCATTTGCTCATTGTGATTCATTTTTGGATGAATTCATCATTAAACAAATATTTAATGAACTCTATGCCTCAGGCATTATGCTAGGTACTAGGTATATAGTGAACAGAATAGACAAATTCCTGGCCATTACAGAGCTTACAACCTGTAATGTAATTTAAAAGCTAAGCAAATAAAGGTACAATTACAAATTGTGATAAGGGTTTAGGGAAATAATAAGTAATTAGGAGTATGAGAGAGTGAAACAGTGAGAGAGAGAGAGCCCCTAGGAGGAATCCCATGGATAGAGAAGCCATCTCTAAAATGATTAACACTTAAGTTAAAATGTAAAGACTAAAAGGTGCCAGTCTTTCAGTGTATGAAGAATGCTCCAGGCAAATGAGACAGTGATGGCCAAAGCCCTTAGGCAAGAAGCCCTTGAGTCTTCCAAAACTGAAAGAAAACCATGTGGCTAAACCAAAGGGAAAGACTGTCATGCCATGAACTAGAGGAGACATGCAAAAACCAGATCATGGGCCGGGCGCGGTGGCTCACGCCTGTAATCCCAGCACTTTGGGAGGCCGAGGCGGGTGGATCATGAGGTCAGGAGATCGAGACCATCCTGGCTAACAAGGTGAAACCCCGTCTCTACTAAAAATACAAAAAATTAGCCGGGCGCGGTGGCGGGCGCCTGTAGTCCCAGCTACTCGGGAGGCTGAGGCAGGAGAATGGCGTGAACCCGGGAAGCGGAGCTTGCAGTGAGCCGAGATTGCGCCACTGCAGTCCGCAGTCCGGCCTGGGCGACAGAGCGAGACTCCGTCTCAAAAAAAAAAAAAAAAAAAAAAAAACAGATCATGGAGGGATTTGAGGACACTGTGTTAAGGAATTTAAAATGCATTCTTAGTACAATAAAAAGACATTAAAATGTTTTAAGAAAGGAAAAAGGGCAAGATTATTAGATTTATATTTTTCAAGTTAAGCTAGTAGGTTGATGTGTGAATAGTGTATTGTTGTAAAATAAAGTGATCAAGTTAAAATGCTATTGTTTGTAGTCCAGGTAATAGATAGTGGTAACTTGGACTCTGGTAGTATTAGTAAATATGGAGACAAATGAATTTGAGATATGCCAAAAATGATGATGGGTTGAATGAAGAAGGTAAGGGAAAAAAAGTCATTAAAAGAAATACTCAGGTTCTGGCTATAGCAACTAGGTAAATGGTGAAACAAAGCGACCTGAGCAATGGGAAAGGTCTTTCCCAAGAAATGAAGGTAATCGACAGAATCAATATATATTTCTGTTGTGTGAGCCTTTCAAATTTCATGCATTTTTATTTTAAGAGCCTCTACTGAGCATCTTATAAATGCTAAATCCTACTCTAGCCTCTGAGAAATGGAAGCTAAGTAAGATTCAGCGGCTTTGCACTAGGATTCAGACTGGGGAAGAGAATCATATAAACATTCAAATTTTCTTCCATGTGATTCATGTTACAATAATCTGGTAGGACTCAACAGAGAAACTAGAGGTCAGGAGAGACTTCAAAGAGATGACATCTGATCAAGTCTTCATGAATAAAAAGAAAGCATTATTTTATTTGAATAAGGTGAGGATAGCTACTTCTGTATTTTATTATATTAAACAAGAAATTTTGTATTTCCCCTGCGTTCCCAGTATGGAATGTCTAATATTTGATACATGCTTAATATACCCCTTTAAGCTTGTTAAAGAAAAATCAAAATAGAAGCCCAAGTTTAGAATACCCCTATTTTAAGCACTAGAACCACACAGTCAAAACTTAAGTCATCCTAATTTCCTCTAAACACTACCTCTAATAATAAACAAAACAAAAAGCAAGCTTTATGTCCTTGTCAGCATGGTTCAGTAACATTAAACCAATCAGTTATACAAAATCAGCTTAAATAGCTCTGCTTACCATAAAATAAGGGGTAATATAGTAGACAATCACAAGAAAACCTAAAAATATCTCCTCTTTTATGCTTTATAAACTATGCTGTGAGTGTTGCGAGCAGAGCTCCTTACCACTTGAGGGTCCAAAGTCTCCCAGTTTGAGAACTATTCTTTTGTATACTCAGTAAACTTCTAATTTTTTTTTTCAATTTCAACTTTTATTTTCTGGACGTACATGTGCAGGTATGTTACATGCATATATTGCATGATGCTGATGTTTGAGGTGTGATTCATCCCGTCATCCAGGTAGTGACTGCAGTACTCAATAGGTAGTTTTCCAAGCCTATTCTCCTCCTTCTCTCCCCAATTCTAGTAGACCCTAGTATTTATTGTCCCCAGTTTTATGTCAATGTGCATCCAATGTTTAGCTCCCACTTATAAGTGGGAACATGGGGTATTTGGTTTTCTGTTCCTGCATTAATTTGCTTATGATAATAGTCTTCAGATACATATGTTTCTGTAAAGGAAATGATTTAGTTCTTTTTTATGGCTGCATAGTATTCCATGCTATATGTACCTCATTTTCTTTATTCAGTCCACTGTTGATGGACACCTAGGTGGATTCCGTGCCTTTGCTATTATGAATAGTACTGTAATGAACATACAAATGCATGTGTCTTTTTGGTAGAGCAATTTGTTTTCCTTAGACTATATACTCAATAAAGGGATTGCTGGGTTAAATGGTAGTTCCAATTTTAGTTATTTGAGAAATCTCCAAACTGCTTTCCACAGTGGCTGAACTAATTACATTCACATCAACAGTGAAAATGGGCAAGGACATGAACAGCTGCTTCTCAAAAGAAGATACACAAGCGGCCAACAAAAATATGAAAAAGTGTTCAACATCACTAATCAACAGAGAAATGCAAATCAAACCCACAATGAGATATCAACTCACACCAGTCAGGATGGCTATTATTAAAAAGTCAACAAGTGACAGATGTTTGCAAGACTGCAAAGAAAAGGGAACTTCTATAATGTTTAAATTTGATCTGATTTTATTTCTGACAAGTTTCATAAACACTTAGTAACCCCTATTTTGGGCATAATATTCTATTATGCATTATGGAGCTATGTTCTTTGTCCCTGAGTTGTCCTCTTCTGTTGCAGAGATTAGGCACACATGTATATAAGAGTCAGAGAATAATGCTACCATGAGATAAACCAGTGGGGATGATGTGATGGAGACTGCCTCTATATAAAAGCTGAGGGGATTCAAAACAAAAAACAAACAAACAAAAACACTGTAGAGTGGGCTTGGTTAGAATGCAGTTTCCCTAATGGGTAAAACTTTCATTTACTCTCTGAAGGAACTCTAGGCAGTCTCACCTCTTTTCTCTGTCATCTTTTCCTGCTATTCTCTATAATGATATTTCCAACATTTGATCCCCATCTCTCCACATCCAATGGTCAGCAATTGACCTCCCTTACTTCCTATTTCAAAGAGTAAATAGAAGACATCCCACTGGACGTCTCTCAATTTCCCACCATAAACATACACATGCACTCATATTTTCACACATCTGTACTTAGATACATGACACTAACCATGACAAATACTTTTTGGATCTCATCCATTCCCATCTTCTGGGGAAACATTTCTTATTTGTTAGGTCTTCTCTCTTAACTTCTCCTCAACAATATCTCATTAGCATTTTTCAATGAAGGGTAAGCTTGTATTAGTCTACACATATATAGGCATACCTCAGAGATACTTCAGGTTCAGTTCTAGATCATCACAATAAAGCAATTATCACCAAAAAGTGAGTCATATGAATTTTTTTGTTTCCCAGTTGTCTTAGCCCATTTGTGTTGTTACAAAGATACCTGACACTGAGTAATTTATAAAGAAAAAAAGGCTTATTTTGCTCACAATTTTGCTGGTCAGAAAACTGGGCATCTGTTGAAAGCCTCAGGCTGCTTCCATTTATGGCAGAAGACAAAGGGGAGCCAGCATGCACAGAGATCATATGGTGAAAGAGGAAACAAAGAGAGACAGGGTGGTGCCATGTTCTCTTTAACAATCAGCTCTCATGGGAACTAATAGAGCAAGAACTCACTCATTACAGAGAGGACTATGCCAAGCCACTCATGATAGATTTGCCCCTACAACCCAAACACCTCCCATTTGGTTCCACCTCCAACACTGGGGATCAAATTTCAACATGAGGTTTGCGGGAGATAAACATTCAAACTATGCCACCAGTGCATATAAAAGTTACATTTATACTACACTGCAGTCTATTAAGTGTGCAATAGCATTATATCTCAAAAAGCCTTTACTTAAGGTATACATTTGAATTAAAAAATATTTTATTGCTAGAAAAGTGCTAAGGATGATCTGACCCTTCAGTGAGTCACGACCTTTTTGCTAGTAGAAGGTCTCACTTCAATGCTGATGGCTGCTGATTGATCAGGATGGTAGATGATGAAGACTGGGGTGGCTGTGGCAATTTTTAAAAATAAGACAACAATGATGTTTGCCACATTTATTGGAATTTCCTTTCATGAAAAATTTCTTTGTAGCACATGACGCTGTTTGATAGCATTCTACCCATAGTAAAACTTCTTTGGGAATTGGAGTCAATCCTCTTGAATTCTGCCATTATTCTATCAACTAAGTTTATGGAATATTCTAAAGACTTTGTTGTCGTGTCTACAATGTTCACATCGTCTTCTTTAGAAGTAAATTTTGTCTCAAAAAAACACTTTCTTTGCTCATCCGTAACAAGCAACTCTTCATCTACTCAGGTTTTATCATGAGATTGCAGCAATTCAATCACATCTTTAGGCACCACTTCTTAGTCTAGTTCTCTTGCTATTTCCATGTCTGCAGTTACTTCCTCCACTAAAGTATTGATCCTCTCAAAGTCATTAATGAAGGTTGGAATCAATTTCTTCCAAACTTCTGTTAATGTTGATATTTTGACCTCCTCCAGTGAATCATGAATGTTCTCAATGGCATCTAGAATGGTGAATCTTTACTAGAATGTTTTCAATTTACTTTGCAAAGATCCCTCAAAGGAATTACAATCTATGGCAGCAATAGGCTTATGGAATGCATTTTTTAAATAATAAGACTTGAAAATTAAAATTACTCCTTGATCCATGGGCTGCAGAACAGATATTGCGTTAGTAGGCATGAAAACACATTAATCTCCTTGTATTCTTCCATCAGAATTTTTGAGTGATTAGGTGCTTTATCAATAAGCAGTAATATTTTGAAAGAGATCTTTTTTTCTGAGCAGATTACAAAAGTGGGCTTAAAATATTCAGAAAACCAGGTTTTGGTCATAATCCCAAAAGACACAATCTCAGATGCCTTAGTCCTGAATGTTATAATCCCAAAAGATAAACATCCTGAAAGTCTAATATCCTGATAACCACAATCCTAACAAATTAAAATCTCAAAAATATAATTCTGAAAAAATAATTTTAAAATTTATTTAAAAGACACTTATTTACATTTTTAAAAGTGGATTTGAGAAACATACAAAAACATGACAGAACACTTCATAGGAAACATTACACAATGAAATAGGCAATAATACATATATATTTTGGCAAACATGAACACTTAGGGATACTAAAGACAGTTGCCTAGGTAATTTTTGCAAGTACATAGCAAGCGTATATATTTATTGAGTACACGTGACTTTTTTTTTTTTTTTTTCAGACAGAGTTTCACTCTGTTGCCCAGGCTGGAGTGCAGTGACACGATCTCGGCTCACTACAGCCTCTGCCTCCTGGGTTCAAGCAATTCTCCTGCCTCAGCCTCCCAAGTAGCTGGGACTACAGGCATGCGCTGCCACGACTGGCTAATTTTTGTATTTTTAGTAGAGATGAGGTTTTACCATGTTGGCCAGGATGGTCTTGATCTCCTGACCTCATGATCCACCTGTCTTGGCCTCCCAAAGTGCTGGGATTACAGGCGTGCACCACTACGCCCAGCTACATGTGATGTTTTGATATAGGCATGCAATGTGAAATAATCATATCATGGAAAATAGGAATATCCATCACCTCAAGCACTTATCCTTTGTGTAACAAACAATCCAATTACACTCCTTTTAGACATTGATTTTCGACTGTGGGGTGAGTTGTCACCCCTCGCCCCCTCATTGTTCAAGGGTCAACTGCAACGTGTTTTGTTACACTAGAAGAACTTCTATATCAGCAAGTGTTATTGATTCAGAAGGTTGCCGGGCTTGTTGAAATATATTTATTCTCTGACAAAAAACAATTTTGAAGGCAAGCACTGGCATTATGTGTCAAGGGGCAGAAGTCATACACAATTCAATCATTTGGCAAGGGAGTTTTTGTTTTTTTTTTGTATTTTTTGTGTGCATTTTCACTTCTATAATCTTCAAAAACACTTGAAACATCAAGAGCAGATATTCCCCACCCAGTACACTCAGACTCACACACTAATCTCCTCTGGAAATATCCTCACAGACACAGCCCAAATAGTGCTTTACCAGTGTATTAGTCTGTTTTCACACTTCTAATAAAGACATACATGAGACTGGGTAATTTATAAAGGAAAGAAGTTTAATGTACTCATAGCTCCACATGGCTGGGGAGGCCTCACAATCATGGTGGAAGGTGAGGAAGAGCAAAGGCGTGTCTTACCTGGTGACAGGTGAAAGAACGTGTGCGGGGGAACTCTCGATTATAAAACCATCAGATGTCATGAGGTTTATTCACTATCACAAGAACAGCACAAGAAAAACCTGCCCCCATGTTCAGTTACCCCCGACTGGGTCCCTCACATGACTTGTGGGAATTATGGTAGCTACAATTCAAGATGAGATTTGGGTGGGGACACAGCCAAACTATTATCACCCAGGTTTTGAGGTGTCCATTAATCCAGCCAATTGAAGCCTAACACTAATTCCACCCCTTATCAACTTGGGATCCATTGCATCTCAAACCATACTTAATTTCCAAATAAAGACAATAACAAGGTATAATAATAGTTCTGCCACCATGATGCAACTAATATGATGCAGCTATCCTGCATACAACTGAAAATTCATTAATCCCTTTCCCAGAATTAAGCTTTCAAGATTTCAACTTTAGGATTTTAATCTTTTTGGATTTGGATCTTCTGAGATTTCAACATTGGAATTATGGCTTTCAGAACTGGGACTTTCAGGATTATGATTGGCACTACAGTAAACCATGCTGTCATCCAGGCTTTGTTCTTCCAATTCTAGAAAATAGGCAGAGTAGATTTAGCATAATTCTTAAGGGCCCACAATTTTCAATATGGTAATTAAGCAGTGGCTTAATTTTCAGTATGGTAATTAGGCAGTGGCTTCCACTTAAAGTGACCAGGTCCATAAGTTCCTAACAAGAGAGTCAGCCTGTCCTTTGAAGTGACTTTTCCTCTTTATCTATGAAAGTTCTAGGTAGCACCTTCTTTCATTAGAAGACTTTTTTTCCTACATTGAAAGTCTGTTGTTTAGTGTAGCCACCTTCATCAATGATCTTAGCTAGATCTTCTGGATAACTTGCTATAGCTTCTGTATCCACTCTTGCTTCTTCACCTTGCAGTTTTATATAATATGGATGGCTTCTTTCCTTAAACCTCATGAAGCAACATCTGCTAGCTTGCAACTTTTCCTCTTGGTCTTCAGAGAATTAAAGAAACTTAGGGCCTTGCTCTGGATTAGGCTTTGGTTTAAGGGAATGTTGTGGCTGTTTTGATCTATCTAGACAATTAAAACTTTCTCCATATCAGCAATAAGGTTGTTCCACTTTCTTATCATTCATGTGCTTACTGGAGTAGCACTATTAATTTCCTTCAAGAACTTTTCCTTTGCATTCACAACTTGGCTGTTTGGTGCAAGAGGCCTAGTTTTCAGCCTATCTTGGCTTTCAACATGCCTTCCTCACTAAGTTTAATCATTTCTAGCTTTTGATTGAAAGTGAGAGAAGTGTGACTCTTCTTTTCACTTGAACACTTAGAGGCCATTGTAAGGTTATTACCTGACCTAATTTCAATATTGTTGTGTCTCAAAAAACAGAGAAGCTCAAGGGGAGATACAGAGACAGGGGAATGGCCACTTGGTGGAGGAGACAGAACACACACTTTTATCAGTGAAGTTCTTGATCCTATATGGGCACATTTTATGACACCCCAAACCAACCATAATAGTAACATTGAAGATACTGATCATGTATCACCGTAACAGATATAATAATAATAATAAAGTGTGAAATACTGCAAGAATTACCAATATGTGACAGAGAGACATGAAGTGAGCATATGCTGTTGGAAAAATGTTGCCAATAGACTTGCTAAACACAAGATTGTCACAAATCTTTGATTTGTAGAAAACACAGTATCTGTGAAATTCAGTAAAGTGAAGGTGCAATAAAATGAGTCATTTTTGTATTGTAAACATTCTCTTATTTGCTCTTCAATCCCTACCACTTTATTGAAACTACTGTAACAATGACTTTCTTGTTAAATAATCTACTGAACACTTCTCAGTCCTTAATTCAGTTGTTTTTTCAGTCCTATGGGCTCTTAAATATGCTCATTTTTCACTCTGAAAAAAAAATACTTTCCTTGACCTAGCATTTATTAGCTGGTACCAGCTCCTATCCCTCTTCACAGGCCAATTGACATCTCTACTTTCATCTTAAAGACTCTTCAAACTTAACTTTTTCAAAATAGATTTCATTATCCTCCCACTACCATACCTAAAATGAACCTTTTCCAGAGTTCCCAAATTCAGTAAATGACACTTCTGCACACAGTTTCATGCACACCAGGGAGCTAGGAGTAATCTCTAATACTGCCCTTCCTCTTACAGCACTCATATAAAATTCATCTCCATGCCTTGGCATGTTCACTCCCAAATATATCAAATTAATTCATTTCTCTTCTTCTTCACCAGCACCCTCATTCATGCTGACAGGTGAAGCCAGCTGAGCTTCTGGGTCAGGTGGGGACTTGGAGAACCTTCGTGTCTAGCTAAAGGATTGTAAATGCACCAATCAGCACTCTGTAAAATAGCACCAATCAGCACTCTGTGTCTAGCTAAATGATTGTAAACGTACCAATCAGCACTCTGTAAAATGGAATAAGTCAGCACTCTGTAAAATGGGACAATCAGCACTCTGTAAAATGGACGAATCAGTGCTCTGTAAAGTGGACCAATCAGCAGGATGTGGGCGGGGCCAAATAAGGGAATAAAAGCTGGCCACCCGCGCCAGCAGTGGCAACCTGCTCGGGTCCCCTTCCAGGCTGTGGAAGCTTTGTTCTTTCGCTCTTCACAATAAATCTTGCTGCTGCTCACTCTTTGGGTCCACACTACCTTTATGAGCTGTAACACTCACTGCAAGGGTCTGTGGCTTCATTCCTGAAGTTAGCAAGACCACGAACCCACCGGGAGGAACAAACAACTCCAGACGCGCCACCTTTAAGAGCTGTAACACTCACTGCAAAGGGCCGCGGCTTCATTCCTGAAGTCACCGAGACCACAAACCCACCAGAAGGAAGAAACTCCAGGCACCTCTGAAGGAACAAACTCTGGACACACCATCTTTAAGAGCTGTAACACTCACCGCAAAGGTCTGTGGCTTCATTTTTGAAGTCAGCGAGACCAAGAACCCACCAGAAGGAATAAACTCTAGTCACATTTTGGCAACCCAGATGGGACACATTTTGGCGACCATGAAGGGACACATTTTGGCGACCACGAAGGGACTATCCCCTATCACCAAGCGATGAGTACCATCAGACCCTTTTCGCTTGCCATTCTGTCCTATTTTTCCTTAGAATTTGGGGGTTAAATACCAGACACCTGTCGACCAGTTAAAAGAGATTAGCGTGGCCACTGGACTAAAGACACGGGTGTCAGGCTATCTGGGAAAGGGCTCTCTAACAACCCCTGATTTGGTTTGCCTGGAACTATCTTCCGCTTTTCCTGTACTTCTGGGCTGAGCCAAGGGTCGACAAAGAAGAAAGCCATTCAACTCCGGGGTCCCAACAACAAGTTGATTGACCCTGCGGCCATGAGCAGAACTCTAAAAGTCATGTGGCCCAAACAAGACTCACCCATCTATCCTATCTATTCTGAGCCTTGCCTCCTGGGTCCTAACGCCTGTCAGACAAACTTCCTCTTGCCTCTCTTCTCTCATCTCCCAGGGTAGTTCCACTTCTAAAAACCACTTCCTGTCTCTGGTGCTTTTTTAGTTTCTCCTATAAGAATGATTTCTAGTATAAACCTCAAGACTCTATTCCCTTCTTTAGGCACCCGGGCTCACCAATCAGAAAGACATAATTTTTGCCCAAAGCCCCGTCAGGCAGGGGACTATCTGGAATTTTAGGATCTCTCCTCAGACTAGCAGGCCTAACAAAAGTTCTCCAAGTCCCCACCCGACTCAGAAGCTCAGTTGGCTTCACCTCTCAGTACCATGCCTGGGACATAGCAGGCACCCTGTAAATATATATTGAATTAATAAAGGAGGGAAGATAGATGTATACACAGATTTGAATGAGCAAAATGAATAATGGTGATGAGCTATAGAAGACTCAGGCTGTTTAACAAAGGTTGCAATGAAAAACTAGCTATGGGCAACAGAACAGTTCTGAGGACAAGAAATTTAAGATTTTCCTCTTTTCCATTGTTTTTTCTTCAGACAATTGTAAAGAGAAGATTTTCCTGTATCCTACAAAAAGCTGTATTTCTGTTGCCAAGGGCTCTCCTCAGCCACAGGCTTACCAGATGTCTGGTCATGATGACTGAAGACACTTTTAGTTTATTCTGTATACATAGTATGAGGCTCCAGAAGGCCAAGAAAGTCCCTAGACCTGGGATTTTGGAGGAGGAAAGTGGTGATTTTCTCTTTGCTCTAAAATTATGTGAGTTGTCCTTACTCTGCATGCAATATTTTGCCCTCTTTAGGGGTAGAGTAGAATTAGTTGCATCATTTGTTTGACTTAATATGTTATGTTTGGGCAACATACATGAAAGGAAAGCCATTCTTTAAAAATAAGCTCTCAGAATAAGTACTCTAATCAATGGATAGGAAATCAATGAATAGCTTCAAACAACACTATAAATCATAAGATAAGGACTGAAGAGAGTATGTGCTGGAGTTTTACTTTTATCATCTCATTCAATCACAGAGATGACTCAAAGAGGCTAAGACATTTCCTAAATTAAGTAAGCAGTGGAGATAGGATTTTAACCCGGTACTGAGTGACTTCAAAGTCCATGCTCTTTCCAGTGTACTTCATATAGTGCAACGAAGAATAAAACCTAAGTACCTTGATTCTACAGTTTGGTGACAGAGAGGATTGTATTCCCTTCCACAGCCCAGTTTCTTTCCAGATTCTGCGCACTGTCCAAATGCACAGGGACTGGATTAGATGAGATTCTTTTTTTGGTTTTGTATAGATCTTCCTATAGACCTCAAGCTTTCAGAGAGTCATAAAACGGCCATTCCGTGTGTACTCTAGAAAACTGCTTTTGGACAAAGATTTTAGATATTAAGTTTTAGCCCAGAATGCATTTTTGCATCAAAGTTATAAACAGAGTACAACTTTTTAATGTAAATGCCAATACAACTTAAAGAAAAATGGTATATGACCAAATCCATTGCAGAAACAAACTGACTCTTTCAACAAAGTATTAGCATCTTTAAAGAGAGGATATATTTAAATGTGATTACATTATGCAAAAATTTTGCTTCTACAAAATGTAAATTGAAATAGCCTTCAAGATCAATTATCATGTTTATTTTTTTTTACCATAGGTTGATAGGTTTAGCCAATCCAGACGTGAATGCCATTAATTATTTTAATTAGGTGTTTGTTCTGAGTTGGATGAAAATATATGGACCAGCCAATGAAATATTCAAATGTTTGTACATATTTTCCCTCACTGCTATCCCTTCTCCACCTGCTCCAGTCATGCTCAGGTTTGGGGTTTTGATTAGATGCTTCTTGTTGCTGAAGCAAGGGAGTCAGTACATTAATCTAGGCTTATAATTTTATAAGGCAGGCAAAGGACTATGCTGCCTGCTGCCAAACAGGACCTCCTTGAGGAGCTACAGCAACTAATGTTCCATTCTTGTGTCAAGTGCTGTTAAAAGTTTTCTTCGGGCCAAAGTTTGTCCAAACATTTTGTACAAATCTGCAGAGCTCCTGCGTAGCTGGAGGCTGCTTCATGAAGTTTGGCACTGAGTCCTGCTTTGTATTGGTAGTAGGAAGCTGGCTGTAGCTACAGACATGGCCTTGTGGAACAGCTTTCGCTGCGTGGACTACCTGAGGCTAGATCTAATGAGGTGAGTCTGAGCATAGTATGAGCACAATCAGAAAAGCAGAACAAAAAGTCAGAACAGTAAGCAGATGCAAGCAAGTCATTGACAAGAAAGCCTCCATGTCTCTTTTATATACTTCAGGCACATTAACAACATCTCTTTGTTATTTCCTTGAATTTCTAGCTTTGATATAGATAATTTATAAGTACAAAAAACATAAAGAATAAACATTTTAAAAAGTCTGTAATAATTATTACTAAGAGTATACTCCTGTTCATATGTTGTATGGCCTTCTATTTTAACATTAAATTGTGTGAAGTACCCATCTCCTGAATGTTGTAGGAAAAGCTTTCTTAAAGAGACATAAGCAGTATGAAGTTTTCAAGTGGGATTATTCGCTTGGAAGAGCTGTCATTAATGTCCCCATATCTGTAGCTGGTCTATAAATAGCCACCAATACCCAAATTAAGAGCACTTGATGATGTCCGTGTTTGTTCCGCAGTGGTCTAACAATACCAGATAAAAGAGAACATGATAGATAGGGAGAGATGCCCAGGAGAGTTCACAAGACATTCACCTACTTTGTATCTAGAAAAAAATCATTATAATTGCACTGGACCTGGCACTCCATAACCAAACCAATCACTTGCGCTTCTAAAGGCTCCTTCATCACCAAAGGCTAGAACATATTTTCCAAAAATACTTTTCAGGAACTCAAGTAGCCAAAACCAAACGTACCAATGGTTCTGAGTTAGGAAATACCTTTCAAAGATATAGAAATTGTAAAAGAAATCACCATCAGAAAAAAATTAAATTCTATGCTCTTATTAAGTAAATTAACTCATATAAACATCTAAACTTCATACATTTCAGTTATATCTTACACTATCTGAGGTAAGTGGAAGTAAGTCAAGCTGTGAGAGAGTTCATTGCTCAAGTGCCTTTGAGAGGCAACATAGATTTTAAATGCAACCACCTTCAGAGTTCTCTAGTGCTGATAATAATAATATAATAATAACAATAAAATTAACATGAATTGAGCACCTACTATGCAACAGGAACTGATTTAGGCATATTTATATGTTGTCTCTAATTCTGAAAATAATCTTTCAATGTAGGTAATTATTTTTATTTCATAAATGAGGAAAGTAAGGCAAAGAGATATTGAAAGGTCATATGGCTGGTGAGAAAAAGACGATTTTAACAAGGTCTGCTTGACTCCAAAACTCATGTCCTTACTTCAATGCAATACGCCCTTAAGTGATGGCCGAAAAGATCAAAAGAACAAAGATTTATCTACACTGAAAAGCCCAAGTAATGCTAGTGCATGCCAATGCACTGTTAATAACCAGTAACAGTACACCACCCAAGGCAAATCTCCTTGCACATATTACCAGGGATCTCTGCTTTGCCATCAGTCTCTCCTTCCTTCAACACCACCCCACCATCTCTACCACAAACTCAAGCCAATGCCTCAGTTACTTAGGTTAGAGAAGAGAAAAATCTGCTACTCTGAGAGTTTATATAAACTGAAACATGCCAGCTACCTGGTCATCTAAGAACTGTCAAAGAAAGAGAGGCTCATAAACGTGAATCATCCTGAGAATTAAGGTTATTGGAGCATTATATAGTTTTGTATTTTGAATGATTTTTAAATTTGCAAATGTTTTTGGTAGCTACAGTTAAAAGACACAAAGGTAATTCTGATGTCTTCTCCAAAACAGCTTTAGAAATAATTTTAGTTTTTTATGTGTTGACTCATGACCAACATTTATGAATGTCAGTCAAGATATAAGGTTGTAATATTCCAGTGCCCCAGAACCAAATTATATCATAAAGCGTAAGAGCTTGTTATTGCTTTTAACACTTCTTTCTTTCCAAGCTGTCAGATGCCATTTCTCTTGACTGCCAATATAGCAGGCTTCAGCAATGTCCTCTCTTGAATTTCCATACACCTGCTCTCATTACCTGGATTTTCTAATTGGTTAGGTAATAAAATGCCATGATTATACGAGATATATCTGAAAAGTCTCTACAAGGCATTATGGGTCTCTCATGTTCAAACATGTATGCCTAAGAAATATTAAGAAGACAATACAGTAAAATCATAGAATAAGTTATCAGTAAATTAGTTGTGAGCACTGAAATACTGATTTAGTACACTTCAATGCCATTTTTAGTATTTCTCAGTTTATGCTATATAATTAAGGTTTGTGGGTATTAAATAAGTAAAATATTGAGTACAGCCCAAACTCCTGTAAGTTGATGTTAGAGAGAATAAGTACTCTATTCTTCCAGGTACTTTTTTTGACACAGAAACAGAAGTACTGAATTGGAAAAACTATGATTCCATCCCATTATGGTATTTTGTACTCCTAATAGCTTACAAATTATTGAATCACCATATTCTATTAGTAGCTTTGTACAAACCTGTGAAAAAATAATGCTGTAGCACACAGCTCTGTCACGAAACCATCTCTGGGAGAACATTTCGTATTCAATTACTGCAACAAAGGATGAAACCAAGAAGCAGAAAGATAGAGCTTAGCAACCCCTTAAAGAAAGCCCATTATTAAAATTCCTTCAGTTCTGAATGGTAGGTCATGCTGAATTTCTAAATAGTCAGTCTTGTAACCCTCTTTATACAGTGGCTATATACATGGTCTTCTCCAAATAAATAAGATGAGATTAGCAGTTCCAACAGTACTGTGAAGAAAGACCTTCAAATGTGCTTTTGTGGCTGCCAAGATGGTGGTTCAACACTCCAATACTGTCAAACTGCAATGCATAGAATCCATGTGGCATCTTCCACGATACAAAGCATAGCTAATTAAAAAAAAGCCTCTTCTAAATTCATCATTTTTACAGCTAACTCAGGAGCATCAATTTGCCTATAGAGATAGTAAACAATATCAGAAACAGAGCCAAATTGGGAATCCAAAGGAGTCATTCTGGCTCCCCTACGTGCTGATGATATGTTGCCAAAATAAGTTATTTTACTTCTCTGAGTTTCAGTTTCCTCATCTGTCAAACAAGGTAAGAATATGTTCCCTATTCAACCCAGAGTAAATATAAAGTCTGTGAAAGTATTTTAAACACTTGCAAGAAATAAGCAACTCAGAATCTTTAATGGTGCTATGTCATAGAAAAATAGCCCAGAGAAAGTCAGGCATGGATTATGAGTAGGTAGATTATGCTCTCAGGAATCCTAGAAAAGGGCTTCTTAATATTCTCAATAGAAAGCCAATACATTATTTTAGCAAATGAAAGTTTTAAGTATTAAAAACAAACATCAAAAGAAACAAACAAAAATTCCCCTTTCATAATAAAAACAACCAACATTAGTAATTAAGGGAACTTCCTCAGCTTGATAAAGGACATCTACAAAAATTGCACAGTTAACATCATGTTCAGTGATGAAAGACTGAATACTTTCCATCTAAAGTCAAGGAGGTCTGCTGGTACTAATTCTATTTAACATTGTACTGAAGATTCTAGCCACATCAATTGGGCAAGAAAATTAAATAAAAGGCATCCAGATTAAAAAGGAAGAAGTAAAACTTTCTCTATTTGCACATCACATAGTCTCGTACAGTATCTAGAAAATCCTATAAAATTTTCTAAAAAGCTATTAGAACTAGTAAGTTTGGTAAGGTTGCTGATACAAGATTAACAAATGCTGATTTTACTTCTATACACTAGAATGACCAATGTAAAAGTGGAATTAAGAAAACAACTTTGTTTACAATAGCATTGAAAAGAATAAAATATTTTGGAATAAATTTAGCAAAAGAAGGGCAAAACTTGTATTCCAAAAACTATAAAACATTGTAGAAAAATTTAAAGAAGACTCTAATAAATGGAAGGACATTCATGGATCAGAAGATATAATACTGATAAACAGCAATATTCCTCAAATTGATGTACAGAGTCAATGAAATCTCTATGAAAATCCCAGCAGGCTTCTGTAGAAATTCATAAGCTAATCCTAAAATGCATGCAAAAATGCAATGGACCCAGAATAGCCAAAACAATCTTGGAAAAGAACAGAGTTGGCGTCTCACACTACCAAATTTCCAACTTACTACAAAGCTACCATAATCAAGACAGTGTGGCACTGGCAAAAGGATACACATAAAGATTATTGAAACAGAGTTGAAAGTCCATAAATGGACACTTATACTTACAGTCAGTTGATTTTCAACAGAAGGGAAGGGACAACTCGATGGAGGAAAGAATAGATTTTTCAACAAATGATGCTGCGACACTTGGATATCCATATATACTATATAGAAAGACTAACTCAAAACTGATGATAGACCTAAATGCAAGAGCTAAAACTATAAAACTTTTAAAAGAAAATGTAGAAGGAAATCTTTGTGACCTTGGGTTATGCCAAGCCTTTTTAGATATAACATCAAAAATACAGGTGACCAAAAAAAGATAAATTAGACTTTATCAAAATGTAAACATTTTATGCTTCAAATGCCATTACCAAAAAGTAAAAAGATAACCCACAGAACAGGAGAAAATATCTGCAGATCACATATCTGATAAGGGACTAATATCCAGAACATGTAAAGAACTCTTACAACTCAATAATAAAAAGACAAAAGCATTAAAAATCGGTATAGGATCTTAATAGACATTTTAACAAGAAGATAAACGGTAATAAGTACATGAAAACACGGTCACATCACTAATCAATAGATAATTCAAAATCAAAACCAAAATGAGATACTACCTCACACCTATTAGGATTGTTATAATACAAAAGATAGGTAATAACGAGTGTTTGTGAAACTGTAGAAAAATTAAAACTTTCATATATTGCTAGAAGGAATGTAAAATGGTGCAAATGTTATGGGAAACAGTTTGACAGGGACTCAAAAAGTTAAACATAGAGTTAGCATATGACCCAGAAATTTCATTCCTAGGCATATACCCAAGAGAATTGAAAATACATGTCCACACAAAAACTTGCACAAAAATATTCATAGTAGCATTATTCATAACATCAAAAAGTGGAAACAATCCAAATGTCTATCAACTGATGAATGGATAAACAAAATATGGTATACTCATACAATGAAATATTATTCAGCAAAATAATGAAGAAATAATGGATGGTACAACATGGACGAACCTTGGAAACATCAGGCTAAGTGAAAAAAGCCGGTCACAAAGGCTGCATATTACATACTTCCGCTTATAGGAAATATCTAGAAAGGGCAAATCCATAGAAACAGAAAGTAGATTAGTGGTTTGTAAGAGCTGGGAGGAGAATGGGAAATTACTGCTAATGGATGTAGAGTTTCTTTTAGGGTCATAAAAATGTCCCAGAAATGTCCCAAAATTGATTGGAGTGATAGTTGTACAACTCTGTGAAAGAACTAACATTCATTGAATTGTATACTTTAAATGGGTGAATTGTATGGTATGTGAATTATATTCCAGAGATACTGTTAAAGGATTGAAAAACAAAAAAACTGATGGAAAACAACAATAAGAGCACAAACAAAAAATCCCAAACACTCATAGGAAGAATGTCATAAAGTTTTATATTCATTCTGTGTTCTATTAGATCTTTGGCTGAATGGCAAAAAAAAAAAAAAAAAAAAAAAAAAAACAGAGAGAGAAAGGAGAAAGAGGTGGGTGAATATTGAGGTCCACAAATCAGTCAAGTTGAATAAAGAGGAAATTCTAAGGAAAATATTAAAAATTACAGAAAGAGGAAGCTGGGGACACTGAGCATAAACTTTGATGACATCAATTTTACCGTGTGCCTATCCACTATTCCTCCACTTAGTTTCTCAGATCTTGCCAGCAACCTTAGGGCTTGCATCCTCCATTTCTTTGCTCAGGGCATGCTGAATACATGTCTATGTGTTTTCTGTTTTATTTCCTGTGTAGGTTTTATGTGTGCACACTGGGAATGCCCTTTCATCTTTCCCATGAACCAATGTCCCCCTCCATAAATACTGTGGGTTCCCTTTCTGGGCATATTTCAAAGATCAGTGTAACAAAATTATTTTATATGAGTATTACCATTCCCAGCAGAGTCTTTAAAACTAGATAGGAAACTGGTGTAAGTCTAAAATACTGTAAGGGCCAGAGCTTAGGGAAAAGAGCAACATATCTATTCTATCAATCTCATCTTCTCTATACTTTCATTGATTAAGAGCCCATGACTACAGCAAAAATGAAATTAGAGGCACTCTACAGAACTCACATTTCTTAAAGTAAATCATGCCTTTTCTGAGATAATTTCCCCTCTGGATTCTTTTCCAGTCCTGTGGCTACCACCCGTATGGCCAAATGTACTCTAATCCCACTGCCCACCAATTTAAGGTCCTGTACGCTGCAATTTTCTGCAATTTTCCTAAAGCTATGATTATCTGATAATATCCTGGCTTCGATTTATAAGAGGACTGCTGATAGCATGAAAACCTTGCCCTAAAAAATAAAAATTGTATGTAGTCTTTCGAAAGACAACTCTTCAAAGCCATTCTGGGTCTAATTTCCCAGCAGCAGAATTAGTCCAGAGGGTGCTGCCTTCATAGAAGCTCTGGAAACACCCAGAGAGCAGACACAACACTATTTTATAACTGGGTTAGATGCTTCTGAGTGCCATGGTCTGTGTATTTATGTAGGGTGTATACCAAATTAGGTCACACAATGCATTCTGGGAAAAAAAGGGTTGGGAGGAACTACCAAAAAAAGAAAAAAAAAAAAACCTTTAGGACTATTGCAGAATAGCTTATGCACACTGTATTAACTGGTTTCAATTAGACTGAATGATCCTGAATGTGGGTAATGTGAGGCAGTCTGGGAGAGCATGCTGGAACAATTAACACTTCAAAAGAACATCTCCTCTGGTTTCTGTGAGAAGTGTCTGTTTTTACTGATTCCCATAAAAGAGAGAAATTACTTTCATATTCTAGAGAGACATAGTAGGAAGATGTTAAAGTGTTTTTAAATGAAAAGGAAAACCTGGCCCCACTCCTTAAAAATGGCTGTATACAAACAGAAATGAAAATGGCTGAGAATATCAATAGCGCTCATTAATATGACACTCCTATGTCATCGGTTCCTGCCAGTCATAGAACAAAAAGTTTCTTTTTCAAGAACTGCAAGATTCTGCTTTCAAAGTCTTAAAGAGTTGTATATTAACTCCTAGAACCTTTTTCCAGAAAAGGTTCTCCTACACAGGTCTAAATGAGTACCCCTGATTTACTATTGGGTTATTGTCTGTTTTTTACGCTTTTTCTCACCAATTTATCCTGTCCCATGCACTCCCTTCTGGAATGACCTATCCTTTTCTTTCTTTCCTTCTAGCACTTACTAAGCACTTAATTATGTGCCAGGTGCTATGTTAACACTTATTATGCATTATTTCATGTAAATCTCAAAATATCCTGTTGTGTACATAAACTCAGATTAGGTAAATTGTCCAAGGTCATACAGCTTACTAGTAGAAGAGTAATACTTTACTCTTTCCACTTACTAGTGGAAGAGTTAATACTTTAACACAAATTTCATTCAATTCTAAAGGGTGTACCCTTAACTATGACCAAATATTGCATCTTTTGTCTTCCAAAATCCAACTTAAGGCAACTTCCCATTTGGAAAATGTATAGTGCTTTCTATAGACCATTATTAAATAATGTGTTGCCAAGTATAATTATGATTTATTTATACACATTGTTTTCTGCTATACATTGAGAAATCCAAGGGTCAGTTAAAATACGTGTTCAGTAACTACTTCTTGAATAAGTAAATGAGAGTTGACATATTCAGAATTCAGTGCTCTAATTTATAAATGTTTATGCTATTTGAGAATTTTTCACTTATCTGCTTATAGTATTATATAGTGATAGAAACCTATAGATATAGCAATGTCTATGATAAGTTCCATAATAGCAGTCAACTTAGCTTTAAGAAACTCCTTTCCCAGCATTAATTTCCAGTAACTAAGGGGTGTGCAAATATGCAACAAAACAAAAGAATTTTTGTAGCCAAATCATGTGTATTTATACTTTGCATGTCTAATTGATAAAACCACACATTATAGCCATTTCTGAGTATACCTAATAATTAAGAATTGAGGATATTCAGAACTGGGTTTGGGGATATTCCTCAAAATGATTAAATCCATGCATGGGCCATAGCCATACTGAGTGGTTCACAAATATGCTCTAAAATGCAGCAGCCACTCAAGCTTCTTACAGTTGGTCATATCCAAAGTTCTTTAATTCCAAGCGCCAAATGCTAATTCTTAGCCTAGTTCACCCAGATTCAGAGAGCTATCATTCTTCAGCTGAGTCCTAGAAACTGTGGACATTTTCTCAATTGTTTGCAGATGGCAGAAGCTCAGGTAGCTACTGTGTTCATATTCATGGTCATACAAACCAATGAGGCATATAATCAATTTAAATTTAAAATGTAAGGGTAAGGAAGGCTATCATTCTAGTGATTAATATAGCCGCACGATAGGAGAGAAACAAACTGCCACACTTTTCACTAGGGAAGATATTTCATGTATTCAGAAAGTTTAATTATGTCCATGTTTCTAAATAATTAACGGGGAGTATAATTTCTTTTCTGCTCAAACCCCAATCTGTACATTATAGTTACTACTGAAAGGACAAGTCTTAAAAAAAAAAAAAAAAAAAAAAAAAAGCCTCTCAGCCCCATTACTACATAGGTGCCGAGGGCCAAAAAACAAACAAATAAACACACACACACACACACACATCCAGGAAGAAAGAGAACAAATAGTTAATAGAAGCCATTTTCAAGGCAATATGTAACTGGTGACAGACATTTGCAAAGCAATCTGGAGGAGCCAGAAATCAAATGATAAAAGTTCTGCACTTAAAATGAACTTGGGGCAAATGCAGACATGAAAACCAAGGCTTTTTTGCAAAATGTAATAAAGCCTAATTATGAGGATACAATCATTCCAGAGTAGAACAACAAAGAGCAAGAATAGGACAGTGGAGAAAGGAATGTAGGAGAGAATAAACTGAATTTGAAAAATATACAAGGATAATAGAGACTATCAATTTATTAGGCCTGTAAGTATGAATTAATTTATTTATAACTTTCTTCAGTCCTTGGAGAATTTATGACAGCCAAGACACTCTCTTAAGCACAAGGTGAAGATTTTCACTATTTCCTGAGAGATTATAAAATGAATATTAATACCAGAATTTCATACATATCATAGTTTTTGGTTATATAAATATATGTATGTTAATTGTAGAGTTAACCGCCCATTTTTTTTATTCTATAAGATGAATTAAGGTATTATCAAATTATTATTTCATCATTTTTTAAATATACCCAAGTGTTGTCTGCAGTCAGATATTTGAAATAGATTATAAATTATCAAAATCCCAGTGTTAGTGCTTTTTTCTGAGACTACTACTTATTACACTAGCTCTAGGGGAGACTCAGTAAACATTGCTGACTAGTAGTATTAAACTATTTTCTTTTTCCTTTTGGTTGCAAGTAAATCAAAGAACAAACCCTATCAAAAATAAATAAAACAAAATCTAAATAATTGAGAAAGAAGTAACATTGATTGTAAGTTATTGAGGCCATTTCACAGACTCCAAGAGAGTTTTGAGTACATAATACCTAAGAAGGGCAGATACAAAGCAGCTTTAGAGGTCTAAGCAACTGAGCCTCACATAACTTTTTCCAAACTGTTCTCATTCATATGATTCAAAATTGATGACTACCAGTTTGGTATATCTCCAGTACAAATTTCAAATTCCCAGGAAAAAAAAATTCAACTGGCCCTGCTGGAATCAAATGTCTTCCTCCTGGATCAGTCAGTCCTGGCCAAGGGCAGGCTCACATAATCTAAACATGACCATCGGGAGCCCACCTCTGTGGACTGGGGGTTCTCTGCAGAGAAAGCAGATCGGTATCTGCTGCACAACTCCTTCAGAAAATATGTGTTTCACTGGGAGATATAATTACTTTTATGTAAATAGCAAAGTAAATTTATGAAACCAGTAGCCCCCAGTTCTATGGCAGAAATGAAAAAGAAACATCTACTTTCTGATTCTCTCACCTGACCACAGCACTGAGAATAAGACTTTAATGCTGGCGCTCTGACTTGTGATCTTCAGGAAGAGTCTTAAATGTAGTTGTTTATTTGTTCCTAAGGTTCTACAATACAACTAGGACCTAATCTGGGATTCCCAGATCCCAAGGGGTTCAACTCCAAGGGAATAATGAAAGATGAACGATTTATAATAATTCAAAAGACAGAATCCTAATTATGCAATTTCCTTGCAACAAGACTGCACAAAGTAATAAAATGTGAAAGTTCTTATATTAATATTTTGGGCTGAAATTACCAGTGTATTAGAGGATCAGAAATTCTTATTGGTATTATACATGATTGTGTTTGATTTACATAGGATTACTGCCTTATTCATGTTTATATTTCCAGCAATTGGCATAGTACTAGACACAACTGAATGGAATTACTAAACTTTGTAGCTTGAAAACAAAATTTCTGAAAACACACGTTCTATGGTATTCTCTTAGGAGAAAAGTGTTAAAGAATGATGAAGAGGAGAAATAGAAACTACCAGCCTAAGAGGGTAAAATACCATTATTAATCCTCTTTACCAAGAAATCTGAGAGCTGTGAAATAATTTATTAAAACTTACTAAAGAGAAAAATCAACATATAGGAGATTCACATATTGAAACTTAACTCCCAGAATTTCTGCCATGTACCAGGGATTTTACTAGCTGTGGATATACTAGGACCCCAAGGAGCACATTGTCTCCATGGAGAAACAGATGTAGGAATCAGTAGTTATGAAATGATACCATCAGGGATACAATAAAAGAAGTGTTCTATTTATGAACAAATAATAGAATTATTAAAACACATCCTTTCTCAGTTCAAGATCAGCCTGTTCAACAGGGCAAAACCTCGTTATTTACCAAAAATACGAAAAAAAAAATTAGCTGGGCTTAGTGGCATGCACCTGTAATCCCAGCTACTTGGGGAGGCTGAGGCACAAGAATCACTTGAATCCAGGAGGTGGAGGCTGCAGTGAGCCAAGATCATGCCACTACACTCCAGCCTGGGCAACAGAGTAAAACTCTGTCTCAAAAATAAAAACCAAAACCAAAAACAGAAAAACCACATCCTTTCTCTATCATAAGTAGTCCCTAAGCATGCACTCTCCTCTGATCATCTGCTCAAAAATTAACATTTTTATTCTCTGAGTCTCCAGCACATCTGGGCTCCCTCTGCACTGCAGGAATACCTCCAAAATTTAGCATCACCATCTCTCCTTCACTAAAGGTGATCCCACTTTCTCCCCCCTGCCACAGATAAACAAAAACTGAGGAAAAAAGCTTAATCTCTTACACAATCTGAGTGAAAATCAGGCTCCCCCAGGCTTACTGCTAACATAGTTGTAAGACATGTTATGTCAGTCCAGTCGTATCTTTCAGCACATGGTACCTCAACAATAGATAAAGATATTTAGGAAGCTCCACATATTACTTTTCCATTGCCTACAAGGGGAGTCAAATGAGGAGAATTTCCAAAAGGTAACTTTCTAATTTTTTGTCTCCATCATACACAAATTATTTCATGACAGCTAAACTCATTTACAGTACACGTAATTCCAAGAGACACCACTGTCATTTCTATTAGGCAATCCATGTATTACAGAGTATCATACATTCAGCCACTTTCTTCACACACTTCAGAGTACAGAAGTAGTAGCATGAGTACATGAAAGGAGAAGTAGGATGTCTGGGATCTGTTCCCAGTGCTACAATTGATGCACTATTCTTACTCCCTTTGCATTGAAATCTCCCATCTGTAGCACAAGGATAATGACATAGTACCTGTTTGTTTCTAAGGCACTGGAAAATTCTCTGGTAGAAGATACTATGCAAATGCAGAGACTATTATTACACCAGGAAGACTTGAAAATTGCAAGTTGGTGTGCTCATGACTATTAAGCAGTTGACACAGTGACAAAAGAGAGAGCATCTTTCTTCAAGGCATCTAAAATCAAGTATTGCTGAATATGCAGCTATTCTGAAAAACATATGTGCAAATATATTCGTTTTAATGACCTTCCAACTCTAACTCATCAATAACCCATTTAAAGCAATCCTTTCCAAGTTATCCTGACTCCAACAAAATGCATGGAATCCCTAATCACTGATATTTTTTATAATGCAAAGCTTTCTGAAAGATTATTCTTTCTCCTTGCAAAATATTTGCTTTACTCCAGAATTTCAGAGAGCATTCTGGCTCATTCCACTAAGATTATTCCAAAATATAAAAACATTTATCCTTCAATCTGCTAATCTTGGAATAATCAAACTTACAGTACAGTGGTGGACAGGCATCCAAGCAGGGGCTTCCACTGAACAATTCTGGGCTGGGCATCTGCCTTGGTTTTGCTGCAAATAAGTAAAAATTATATTATATTCTATTTATTATGGGCCAGTATGTATATATGCTAGCTGACATGTTTATTATCAATATGTTTATTACCTTATTTATAATCATAGAGAGAGAATGCTTTGTTGGTGCAATGCTGCAGAAAACTAGGTACATAATTTCTACTCTTATCAAAGCATAAGAAATTATCCTTTTCCTTTTTTGTTACTCTAAGGACTAGGTTTCTGGCACCAGGCTGTCTCAGCATCTGGCCTTCCAGGCTTCAATACCAACCACCTGAGAACTCTTACAACCCATAGGCTGACTGTTCTCTTCCAGGCTCCTAATCAACCCTGAAACATGCTGTACTCCTGTAAGATCACATGAGTCAAGGTATAGAATGGCTGTTTATTTGTCTCTGTTTCCAGACTATAAGCTAGTGATGGTGATTCTCTCTAGAGTGTTTCATAGAACTCCAGAATGTTGGGTTGAAAGGGATAGATCTCAGAGGCCTTCTTATCACATGAAAAACTGAAGTGCAGAGAAATAAAACAATTTTCTCAAGGAGTCAGAAATTTGACATTCTAAACCATTTTCCAGGCACTTCTTTATACAAAAGAAATTTATCTCTAGTTAACCTATACTTTTGTTGTAATTCCTGTAAATTTACTTCTAATTGGCTTTTAAAAATAATACAGTGCTTTACTTTCACCAACAATACTGCTACACCCCTTTGATAATGAAAACTGATTAGTCCAAAAGGGGGGGAAAGATTTTAATAAGCCATACTTTATCTTTTATTTTTTTCATTGTATTCTCAGTGATAATATAGGCATACTTATAATATTAATAATCGCCATAAAAACCACAGCTGTGATTTACTGAACAACTAAATATGCAAGGCACTATTCTGGACACATTATATTATTACTAGTCCCCACAATAAACATAAGTAGGAGTATTATGCTCACTTTCTAGTGGAGAAAACAGAGACTTAGAGAGGTTAAGCAACTTGGCTAAAACTCAACCTACTAGACAGCAGCATCTCTGAGATTGCAGCAAGACTCTGGCTGACTCTGGTGCCCATGTATGCTCTTTCTTTTATGAGAAGTTGCCTCTGTTATTTTAGACTGTCTCTTTAATGGGAGGTAAGCCATGTCATCATCCAATCTGATTTTATCTAATGAATGATCCTAACATTTCTGATTTAACTGAATAAAATACTGAATTCAGTACTCCTATCACACTAAAATTTTTGCCTGTGATTTGTAAGCTTTTTAGAGCAACTTTATTTGGTTGATCTATTTTTAAGGCATCACTAAGCCCTAAAATGCTGTATGAGTGACTATGGATAAAGTCATCATAAAAATAAACTTATATCATCAATCTCCATGATCAATTTCTTTAAAGCAAAATATGATATGCAGCAGCAGCAGCAGAGTACAGAAGGTACACTGGTCAGATAACCACAATTTTAAGCTAATTTTGGCCATGTGCTTGCTGCCATGAAATGCTCTTGACAGTCACAACTGTGAAACAGTGTTAGTATTTTGCCTAATTCACAGATAATAGATATAGATTCTCCTCAGATCATTATCACAATTTGCAAGGAAGCTACTAATGAGAACACACAACATATTCACAAAATATGACGGGTGCATAAATAAGGTGTGTTTCAACTTCTGCGGTGCTCAGCATGGGATAAAGAAAGATGGAAATGTGTGTTTCTGTTTTGCCTTCTATTATTACCTGATTTCTGACACTAAGATCTTCTCGTACGTGTTTTAACTAAGAAAATTAACAATGATTTTACAAGGCCAGACAAATAAAAAAGACTAGTGATGACACATGTCATGTGAACATAAATTATTCTTTAATCCTATTGTATGATAAGCAAAAAACATTGAAACAGAAGTTAGAACCTTGGATTTTAGTTTAGTGTTCCCATTGATCTACCTGTGGAACTTTGGAAAACTCACTTTAACACTTTAGACCACACTTTTCTCATCTGTAAAATGAGAAAGTTTCTTGGATCCATCATTCAATGTGGAGAGAGGAAGAGCCAAATCTACCCAAAGATCTTTCCCAAACTTTATAGTTCTACCAAGAATTTAATATTTGGTTTTATCTACCAAAGTGGTATACCCTGCAGTTGAGATCATTTATCATTCTGATATACTGATGAGACATCTTTTAGGGTCTTGGGAATATGAACAGGAAATGGTTATTTCCCTGTGAGTTTCAGTGCTAGCAAAGATCCACAACCACTAGACTAGATGGTCTCAAAAGAGCCTTCCACTTAAGTGTGGTTACTGAAAATCCTAACCTCATGTTTTGTCTACCACTTCGCTCTACTTCTAAAGAAGGCAAGATCTAACATGGATCAGGGAACCTACCACAGCAGGTGGAGAAGGAAAGGGATTTAAAATTCTTTTTCCTCGAAGTCTTCATTCTCCTTCTTCAGTATCTTTTGTTTTTAACATTTAATGTGTACACTGTGGCATAACAGAGTTTGGGCCTACCTCCTACTCAAAAGAGTAGGAGGTCAGCTCCTTAGAAGCCCAGCTAGAACCAGAATAAACACTAGGGGAAAGGACACTATCATGTCTAACTCTTAGTTAATTCTTAAGCCAAAAATCAAGGGAGAACATTAGAATTCCCTCAAGGGAGAACCTAGCTCTCTAAGCAAAGATTTAAGATAGAAGTTGGTGACAAAAGGTAAAGCTTTCCCACCTTCCTTCTGTCTCATTCATCTATCCAGGATGTTTATACCTGTAGATTAGTGATATGTGACTAGACCAGGATTCGGGGATTTGCAATGCTGACCGTTAAAAACATGTCCTCTTAAGAGACAAAACTATCAATGGGTCTTAGTCTTTTAAAAACAGACAGGTTGATGTCTCCAAACCTCTCATCTTCCTTGGTTATCTGTTTCTCACTTTAGAATCTTGACATATTTCATTCCAGAATATTCTGAGAACATTAGCTAAATATGCTGACCAATTACACCTGAGATTGATTGTATAAATATGTAACTACAAAGAACTCGAAAAGTGACCTAGAGAACCCTAAAGATGTTCTTCTCAAACAACCCCATCCCTCCAAAAACATGGGAATATTTTTTTTTGTGTATCAGGGGCTTATACACAGTTAGAGTGCTTTGGAGTTTAGAAATGCTTATATATACATTGAGCCCTTTCATCCCCAGAAAAAGTTGTGTGTGGCAGAGTGAGAGATGATTCATACAAATAAAATTTTGACCTAAATGTTTCATTAAAATAGCATGTTCTTTTGAAAGCAGAGTAAGAGCTGAAAGGTTCTGTTGTTCTACTGTTCACAGTAAAATGATCCTCATAAACAAAGGAGTTTTTTTTCGGGGTGGGGGTGCGGTATTGAGAAGTATTGCATGATAGAACTGTACACATATTTGCTCATTCATTTACCCATCCCTCAGTTACCAAAATACACTCCATGAATGGTACGTTAGGTATACATATAGATTTTAAATTTAGAACTAAAAAATTTAAATAATCCTTATTCTCCTAAAGCCCCCAACCTTTTAGGAGATACAATACAATGTGCTGAGTTTAAAACAGGGTTAAATAACAGGACCATTCATCCATTCATGTAGTTGGTCAACAAGCATTTATTGAGCAATTACTAAGTGCCAGCTATTGCATTAGGAATAAGGATATATCAAGAGTCAGTATCTGCCTAAAAAAGTACTTATTCTAAGGAGAAAGATAAACTAATAAAGCTGCAGTTATAAAGCAATATTACTGATATGGGATAAATAAACCATTTCATGACAGATCAAAAATATTCACTGCACTCATTCTTGGGGCAGGAGTAAGAAATGAACAAGCGTAAGGGAAAATTATACAGAGGAATTGAGGCAAAAGGTGGAAGTATTTAACTCTGGCTGGGTAATTCAGAAATGTCTTTTTGAAGAGACACTTCAGGTTTCCAACACAGTTTTAAGGAGGCGAAGGTGTAAGAAGAGGGCGTTACAGGCTAAAGGTAACTCAAAAGACCATCTGATAGTGCAAAGTAAAGACATTATTGGCCTTGTCAAGAAACTCCTCAATTCTGGACCTCAGAATCCCAGGACTGAGGAGAAAGAATGATTTTATGCTATACAGAGAGCTGAGTTCAGCCTTTCCCTTTATCTCTTCTTCACAAGACTAAATGGACAGCAGGGTGTGGGATAAATGAATCCTACCAGGAAGTGGACATGGAAGGACCCAGATCTGATCCTGTAAAACACACAAGAGGCCCTCCTGAGTTTAATCTTTGAACAAGCATTTCAGCTGTCTTACTCATCCGTGAGACTCTAAGGTATTTGACAGATGAAGAAAAAGAGGTCAAAACGTGATGCCCAAGGAGCAGAACTAAGTGGCTTTTTGCATGCAGAACTAAAATGACATGCAATAATGTGTATGCAAATGGACTGTGAGTTGTAAAGTACTTTAGAAATGTAATGGATAATTATAAAGCATTAATTATTTGAAAATTAATTTTATGAGCTAATTCTTGTTATTAAAATTACTAGAACACTTTCTGACTTCTAGTCCAATATACTCTCTAGCACATCAAGAGTTAAAAATTTTTTCAAAAAGTTTGAGGAAAAACGACTCAGAAAGTGCCTCCAAATCATCAATTTCATATATTTCTAAATATAGAGATATAATATATATCTATATTTGTATGTATGTATCTACATACACATCATGTGTTCATTATGCATCATCCACATAATGTGTCTATAGATACATATATACTTACAAATATGATTTATGTGTGTGTATACAGGTGTGTATTAAAAAATTATTCTGGCAAAATAAAGGTTTTCATTGAATTAGTTTTCTAATTTCCCATAAAGACATGTAATTTCAGAGTGAGATGTTTAAAAAAAGAGAAGATCAAATCTTGCCATGTGCTAATGTAAAATACATTATAGGTGGAAATATGTGCACAAAATGTTACATTGGAAGTCCTAAGACACCAAGATATAAAAATGAGATTCCAAAGGAGGCTAGACCACGTGTGCAATATTCAAATAAATTACCAAGAACCAACTTGAGGATCCTGAATCCTATCTATAATGTAATATAATGCTGGTATACAAAAGTTAGATGACTAAAGATTTAGAAAGGGGGAGAATATCTTTGAAGAGGGGTTGAGAAGTCTTACATATCACCTACAATTAGCAAAAGAAACTTCAATGGGACTGCACCTAGAGCTTAACATAACTTCCTTGGGTTTAGGAGGTCAGTATACTGGGATTTGACTCTCACCTAAGAAGCTTAACCAGTGAGATAACGTGGCAAATTGGTTCTTAAGTGAGAAGTGGCTTCATATGGGTTAGCCTGCACTCTCAGAGTTCGTCAAGGCAAAAGATTCATTCTGGAGCCATTGTAACACCTGTCAAGACAACCCTCCATATAGGGTGGGCTGCTGTAAAATGTGACGCTAAGGAAATGCCTCATCCACATCATAGGAGATTTAGGCCCAGAAGGGGAAACTTCCAAAGACTGAGGAAAGTGTCCATGAGGGAAAAACTCAAGCCAGACATTTTCTGGCTGCGTTAAAATCCCAGATCCACTGTTTGCTAGCTATGTAACCCTAGGCAAGTTGCTTTACCTCTCTTTGCATTAGTTATGAAGATTTTAAAAGTTATAAGTAAAGCACTTAAAACTATTTCTATACATAATCAGCACTATTTGTCAGTAATTTTCTTCCTTTTTGGTTATTCTTACTGTTATTATATGTCAGGTTCGGAAGGCAAAAAACACAATTCCAGTTTAATAAGAACTTTCCTTGTCTCCTTTTCTTATTTCCCTCTTATGCTCCAAACTTGGAAGGATCAATAACCAACTAGTAAATAGGTAAATAGAAAAAAAAAAAAAAGTAATCGTAAATAGGAATAAAAAAAAAAACTAGTAAAAAAAAAAATGAAAAGAGAAGTCTATGACATCCCCTTCCCCCAAAGCAGATGTCCTGTCTGAAGACCCCACAGTGGAAAAAAGAGAATCTTTCATCTGGAATGTGTTCAGAATTTTGACTAATATTTGGGACTGAGCAATTTTAATTAATACATTGGGACTGTATTTGTGATATTAAGTGATTGTAGGACTTTTCATTTCCTGTAAATGGAAAGTTATGAGAATACCCGTTTTCATTTAGAGGGCAGGGTAAGGACCACTGACATTAAGCCATTTTAAACAAACAATGGGGAATCCAAAATAAAATGACTTCTATTATTACATCCCATGAGTATTCCTTGTTCAATGTGTCAATTACAGATGCCAAACATACTCATGGTTAGTGTTAACTTTTTTCATTCAACTTTGGGCATATTCCTCAACATATGACTTCATCCCTTCCTGGGCTTATCCTTCCATTTGCTTCTTTTTATTTTCTCAGGCTTCAAAAGATGTTTAAAATAAGTTGGCCTAATTTGTTTCTGAGGAAATCCTTACTAAAACTGAAGCCATGCTGGGGAGTCATGAATTTGCCTCTTTTGTAAATGAAGAAAATGCTGCTGACCTATTCTCCAAAGGATGCTGAGAACAAGCGTTTTTCAGTGGGCAGTGATGATGGTGCTGAGTCATCCTCAACACTTTTCAAAATCCTTTGTGACTTCAGGCAGACATTTGCCCAGGTTAACAGAGGTGCAGTCTGTGGCTAACTAGTGCATAAGAGGATTAAACACTCTACATTAAAATATTCTAAGCACCTAGCTACCCAGATTAACAGTAATGAGTGGAATAGGCTCTGAGTTTTCAAGCTGGCCACATTAAAGGATTATAAATGGAAACCATTGTTGTGACTTGATATTTCAGGGTATCAATGGGGAGAGGACAGCGGGCTTTGACTTAGGAAGCATTTCCTAGATGTATGATGAAATAATACATTGAGCACCATTAGATCCCAGGCACTTGACATGCATTGTCAGCTCATTGTATCATCACATTAACCCTAGATAGTAGAGGAGAGAGTTTAATACCATGAGGAACTGACTGGACCCGGGTTACAATGCCAGAGTTTTCACTTTTTACATCTGTGGCTTTGGATAAATTTCTTAATCTCTGTGAGTTTCAGTTTTCTCATCCATAAAGTGGAAAAAATAAAACCTAGCTTAAGGAATTATTGTAAGGATTATAAAACTATATACATTATAATATATATAACATATATGTCTAGGGGCCTGATATATACTCTAATAGTAATAAGATAAATACTATATAATTTACATGTTAATATCTATCTTATTAATTGGGGATCTTTCTCCTGTTTCACTTAGCTCCTCTGAGTCTATATTCTTGTATCTGAGTATAAAATAGTAATATTTATCTCACAAGGTTACTATGAAAATTAAATGAGAAAAAGTACATGAAAGCGCTTAGCAAATGTCAAGAACTTTAAACTTAAGTTTTGTTTGTAACTTTTTTGTCAGTATATAGAAGATGGAAAGAATGTCTGAAATACTGCAGCAATTTAAGATAACTAAATTTGGGAGCCAAAACCGATTCTGCAGTCTGGGATTATTTACTTGAAATCATTGGTTATAAATATTTCTAAAAAATATAATATGGTATTTTAGTATTTTATGGAGGCATGTCCCAATATTCTCTGAAGCTCTGTCAGTCTCCAAAGTTTGAGTTATTACTATGCATAGTTGAATGCAATAGAGTAATTTAAGCTACTAAATACAAGATTTAAAAGCATAGTTTTGTGAAATATTTTTAATGTAATTAATATTTGCATTCTGTCATTGCATCCTAGTAATCAGATGAGAAAAACGGAATGGGCTGTAATTGTACTTTTCTCCTTGCAAAAAGGAAAATTTGGATATTATTACTACTATAGAAAATAAATATTTTTTCATTGGCAGATCTTATCTATTATAAACTACAAAGTCTCATGGAAACATAAAAGACTGTAACTTCTAAAACAAGCTACTTTTTTCTTCCAAACATATTTATAAATTCACTTAGTAAAAATATATGAAATTTCAGGACCCCAAAATAAAGTCAAACCTTTGAAGAAAGAAATGCCATTCAGAAACAAGATGAAAGTAATTCACTTCTATTCTCTCTGCTACCATAGAGACAAAGAAAAAACAAAGTAAAGAGATTTAGCACACTTAATTCTTCCTGAAATTTATAATTAACTACATGGGAAAGGTAACAATTACCATATTTCCAAAGAATAAAGAATTTTAAAAGTTGAGCTTTTGATAAGACATAATTACAACCTATTAAATATGCAATTCATACAAATTTGCTTATGATCTTCTTGAATTTCAAAAAATGCATATACATTGGATAGTGTTTTCTGAAAAGTACACATGGAATGCCACCAAGTTAATTGTACAGAGCTTTCTCTTATCGGAGGATTTTCTCAGTTACCTAAAATCTTGGCAAAACCTAACACAAAGAAAAGGGTCAATGGATATTACTTGCATATATGCCCTGTCTTCCTGACACCTATGAATATGTATTTTGGGACAAATGTTAATCAACAAGAAAATGTGCAGGCTTTTGTAGATCAAGTGCCATGGCCAACATCAAGCAATAGCCAGAACGGACTAGCAATTAGATATGTTCTCAGTTTAAACAGAACTTTAGATTTCTAAGTAAATTATGGGTGTATTAATTCAGGACAGTTTTATTTTAAGAGACTTGCAAGAAAACACCATATCTAGAAATCCTAAGAGATTCAAAACAAAGAAAGGGAGGAAGAGTTTATTTTGCTTAAAATGTATACTTTCATTTATGGTTTCTTTAGCAAATAAATTTTTTAAATTTTTATCATTAAGAATATCAAGAAATTATCCTTGTAATGTCCTATTTAGAACTCTATTTAAAAACAAATAATTTATTTTATTTTAGGGTATCTTAAAGACAGCATCAAAGGTTATATTTCTCATTGTAAAAGCATGAAGTATGCGAGAGGTAAGCTAAAAAAATTAATACTTTATGAAATGTGTTTTCATACAAAAATCAAAATTCTTGCTGGCATAGATAATAAATGGTATGATTTATGTCTTGAAATTTGACTTTTGGATATTCTTTTTTGAAACATAATTAAATGGTCTTCGAGGAGACTCTACTGCTAACTACATTGCTGCTTGGTAAAGTGGTATAATAGATTATTCTAAGTCATTTCTGTCTAGGGGTTTCAGAACAATTTTAAGGGAACATTTGAAAGTCTGTAAAGCTTTTAACTCAGATCTTAACCACAGAATAACGTAACATCCATTCAGCTCCTGTATGCATAGTGCTGGTGTCATCTGTGGCTAGTTGGACAAATTCCAAGTAATAATTACTATTATAGTTTTTTAAGTTCCTTTTGTAGGTTACTTGGGATAAAGCCATTTAATGATACTGATACACTTTGTTCTCTGAAATGTAAACCAGTATAAAAAAGTAGCCGAACTGCTGTGAACCTCTTCCTAGACAAGTTTGTATCCTGAAAGTTGAGTAAAACATAATGTATTCCACTTAAAAAAATTATATTATTTCTCCAATTATTTTATAACCTGATAATTTAGGAGAATAACATCATTTTTTAATTTTCTATTGCACACCTTTCTAACTCACTTTAATGTTTTCATAGTAAAATATACTACATTAATATTGTTATTCTTTTATAGTATATTTATGATAAATATGTTATATATATATTATAAAGTCAAATAATTTTCCCCAAAAAATACCATGCTATATTAAATCACTAAGAAATTAAATGAACATGAGTTGGCATTCTTTTATCAAACTGAAAAGCAGATCTGACTGCTTTAGTTTTTGTTTAATAAAAAGGTGCAATTGTCTTCTAAGTATTTTGTACTTAAATTTTAGAAATTTCAATTATGATCATGATAATTTGGTTTATCATAGATGTGATTCAATTGCCATTTTCCAGGTGTATATAAGGAATTTTACCTCTATTAGTCCATTTCTTTTATACAAAAATGACACTTCCAAGTATCATTTCAGGCTCACCAAATATTCACAGATAAGTTTACCAATTGGCTGTCTCTTAACTGAATAGTTTCTCCATCAGAGTACAAAGATTTCTTTCACAACTATTTATTGTGAAATGCACATTATATATACACATGTACATATGTGTGTACATGTATGTATATATGCTAAAACATTTGTGTATATGTGCACATGAGTCTATATATACACACACAGAAGTACATGGATATCTACATAAGAGTGTTGTGTGTGTGTGTAGTATGTATGTATGTGTGTGTGTAAATTAGAGGAAGGAAGAATTTCACCCACTCATTCACTTATTGAACAGTGAAATAGCTATCAAATGTCTGTTAAATGAAAGAATCAATCAACACTTGTAGTACATCTGCCAGTACCATGGTAAGTGATCAGCTATAAATACAACTAAGAACTTCCCCTGTCCTCAAGGAATTCACATTCTAGCAAGAAATAGGCACATGGAAAAGCTAACTACACAACCAGATAAAGACTATAACAAAGATGCAGACAATGTGCGGAGAACATGGAGGCTGATGGGCTCAGTCTAGTAGGACAATACCAAGGAAAGTACTTAAAGAGAAATCCGCATTTAGCTGAATCTTAAAGGTTAAGAAATGTATTAGGGAAGTATCAAGCTAGGAAGTTGAGAGGTATTCCAGGCATAAGAAAAAACAGGCACAACGAAGAAACAAGAGGATGAAATTCAAATTATTTGGGGAAACCAAATGTTATTGATTATAGTTGACTAAGGCATGAAAGGTAGTGGGATCTGAGATAGGCAGTTAGGCAAGGGATACAACATCGAGGGCCATGTGCTGCAGGGGAAACAATGCAGACTTTATCTTGAAGGGCAGTGCTTCTCAAACCTTAATGTGCAAAATCAACTAAGGATACAAATCAATTATCGATCTTATGAAAACGCAGATTCTGATTCAGTAGTTTCACACGGGGACTAAGATCCTGCATTTCCAGCAGTTTTCTAGCAGATGATATTGCATTTGGTGAACAAACAAAATTTTGAATAAGGGAGCAGTAGGGGACAGGGAATCCCTGAAGGATTATAACGAGAGTTGCAGAGTTGTGATATACATGCAAATTATATATATATATACACACACACACATAAATGCACACACATATACACACATATATATGTATATTTATACACATATACACACACATATTTATACACACACATGCATGTATGTGTGTCTGTATATATATTATATATATATATATATATATTTTTTTTTTTTTTTTTTTTTTTTTTGAGACAGAGTCTCGCTCTGTCGCCCAAGCTGGAGTGCCATGGTGCGATCTCGGCTCACTGCAAGCTCCACCTCCCGGGTTCATGCCATTCTCCTGCCTCAGCCTCCCAAGTAGCTGGAACTACAGGCACCTGCCACCACACTCGGCTAATTTTTTGTATTTTTAGTGAAAACGGGGTTTCACCGTGTTAGCAAGGATGGTCTCGATTTCCTGACCTCGTGATCCGCCCGCCTCGGCCTCCCAAAGTGCTGGGATTACAGGCGTGAGCCACCATGCCCGGCCTGTATGTATATTTTTTAAGGGAAGGTTCAAGTTAATGGTGTGGAAAATGTATAGGAGTGGAAAGATAGGAAAGGTAGGAAGACAAATAGGGATTCTATTGTAGAAATCCAGGTAAGAATTAGTGAGTCTCTGAAAAAGACCACTGGTAGTAGAAATTGTAAATAAAGGACAGATTATAAGGAATAGAATAAATAAGGATTGGGGCTGTGGGAGATTTAGGAATAAATAAAAATCAAGGTTAACTCCTACTTTTCTAACCATGACAACTGGGATAGTGGCATACAAAGAAATTGAGCACAGAGCAGAGTAGGAGAACTGTTTATGCTTGGAAGACTCCAGAGAGTAAACATTTTCCGGGAACTTTCGGCTTAAATTTACTTAATAGGTAAATAGAATTCCAAATTCCAAGAACTCATTCATTTACTCTCAAACCCGTTTCTCATAAAACCTGTCATCTCCAAAAGGTTAGCTCGAGAACTGAATTACTTAGATACAAAGAAAGTGATATGTGTGGGTAAGCATATTAAAACAGAGATATGAGGGGCAAAGGTTATTTTCATAGGCTTTTGAATCTGGTACTATCTTTGAACGCACAAATGGAAGAAGAAGCTAAAACATTTGGTATCTTTCTCTCACCAGTAAGAGGCTATAAACCTGCAAAGTATTATTCACTGAAGCCAGAGGAAATCCCCATCACCATGACTACACAAATAGAAATTTGCCACCAGAGTGGTAACTAGCTAATTGAATTAGTGAAATTTATCCTTCAGTGTCAGACTCCCAGAAATGAGGAAATGAGAGAGAAAGAGGAGAGGGAACAGAAACACCATCAGCTGCTATTTATTGGCTATGTGTATACATAGTTGCTACACTAAACCTTATGTGTATGTTGGCACTAGCTACTCCCCTTGTCTGGGATGTTCTTTGCCAAGACCTTCACAAAGGTGATCCTCTTAGATCTTCTTTTAACTTAAGTTTGCTTAAGTATTTATGTGACCTGTGTCACTTAAGATTACTTCTAACACATATACAGACACAGCTCTCATTTTTCTCTACCATACGGTGATGCTAATGGTAATGAAAGATGCCAATTTATGCTAGGATATCTTATTTTCAATAATTTCTCTCATCCTTTCCATGTATAGAGTACTTCGTACTTTTCAAATATATAAACTAATTTGATTCTGTACAATAATCCTGTTCAGGAACTACTGATAAGCCAGTATTATTACCCCATTTCAGACTTGAGAAAAATAAGGGTCAGAGAGGATAAAGTGAGTTTACTAAGATTACTAGTATAATAAATGGAAACCTCAAGTCTATATTTTCTGAATCTTGATCCAACACATATTCTCAGATTGCCTTTGGTGAAACATACATACATGCAACAAGACAGGTCCCTCAGGTAGCTATAATCATGGGTAATCTGCTTTAAGAAAATCTTATATTCCAAACATTCAAATTAAATAATGGATAAATACTAAAGGGCAGTGATGAATTCTTTTTTGTACATCATGAAAGATTTATAATATTTTTTAAAGTTTTGAGCACAGTAAAATTTTTTTTTTTTTTGAGACGGAGTCTCGCTGTGTCGCCCAGGCTGGAGTGCAGTGGCGCAATCTTGGCTCACTGCAAGCTCCGCCTCCCAGGTTCACGCCATTCTCCTGCCTCAGCCTCCCAAGTAGCTGGGACTACAGGCATCCGCCACCATGCCAGGCTAATTTTTTGTATTTTTAGTAGATACGGGGTTTCACCGTGTTAGCCAGGATGGTCTCGATCTCCTGACCTCATGATCTGCCCGTCTCGGCCTCCCAAAGTGCTGGGATTACAGGCGTGAGCCACCGTGCCCAGCCTGAGCGCAGTAAATGTGTAAATGTTATCTAAGTTGTAAAATTTCATTTGCAGTTGTTTCCTCTGCAGACCCACATTTGTCTGAGAATATAAGATTTATGTAAAGGTCTTATAAAGGACAATACTCTCAGTCTCATAGCTCTTCATAGCATTGTGTTGTTTTTACTCACAGAATCAAAAAGGGCTAATGTTATGAAGTAACATCCTGTAATCATGTTTGGAGGGAAAACCATTTACTACAGATGTGTTAACAGATGATTGGTATGATTCATATAATAAAGTTTTATTTTATTTCTAAAAGTTTAGTTTTACAGACTATGGATATATGTCTGAAAAACTACAAATCTACAACTAATTGTAATTTTAAATTAAGCCCTATATAAGTGCATTGCTTTTATTTAATTAGATATTTAGGTTGAGAAGGAATGAAATGCAAAGTATATTATCAAGAGTATATTTTAACTAAATAATAACTTTGTTGTGATTCAATCAGGAGAGAATAATAGTGAATGGGAACATGGATATTAGAGTCATAAAGACTTGAGTTGGAATCCCCACTATAAAACTTATTATTTCTGTGAATGCACCTCATCTTTAAGATATGAAGGATCACCAGGTTGGTCTAAAGACTAAACGTGTTTTTATTAAATTCAAGTACCTTCAATGTCCCAGACATTATACACACACACACACACACACACACACACACACACACACAAGAAAAAGGAACACAGTTCCTTTCCTTATGGAGTTTCTGTCTAGTCAAAAGAAAGACAAAATAATCACACAAATCAGTATGCACTATGAGTTGCTATGTGTGGAAATGTGGCATAAAAATCAGAGTGTACTCCAAGAATACATAAAATTTTAGGAAAGGTAGTGACATGTAAGGTGACATCTGGAATATAAGTAGAATTTAGATGGGTGGATGGTCATCTAGAAAAAAAAATAACAAATGGAAGTCGCCGAAACCAAAACATGGTTGACACCTTCAAAGAACGGCGGGAAGCCAGCAAGGCCAATGTGTCCTTTAGTTTAATGAAAGATAGGGAAGGTAACACAGATTTAAAAGATGGTCTCGTCCATGTATTTTCAACATTCTTGGAGTGTAAAATACAAGGTATAATGAAAGAAGATAAGACATGAGAGAAATTTAGGTTCTAAGTCAAAAGAGAATCGTATACTTTGGTAAGAATTTGTGTAACTACTCATCTTTCAATAGGTTGCTGAGAGTGATGTTGTTGGGTTTGTGTATTAGAATGATCCTCTTGCAGCTGGATGGAATACTTAATAAAAGAAAGTTAAGCTATTATATTAATGGCATTAGTATTTCATATGTCTGACACTATTAAATGGTTAATCCCAGGTTATTAAGACAGTCATAGAATCTCTTCTCTTTCTACACAAAAAGGTCAGGTTATGTTAAATTTTCCCTACTATTAGCTGTATTTATGCTCCTCTTTGCCACTCAATACATTTTTTTTCTGATACATCAAGCCCCCTGTTCCAATCTCCCCCACGTAGACATGCCACCTTGCAGACATTTGGTTGGAATGACAAGAATTAGAACCAGTGTCATTGGCAGGATAAATACAAGAAGTGCACCACAAAAAAAGATACAAAGATAAAGAAGCTATAGACCCTAACAAAGAACAGAGTGCCTACTCCCTACAAGGTAATATCCTAAGCATTTTATAGTTCTTATCTCACCGAATTCTTAAAACAACGCTGTGAGATAGGTACCCTTTCATGGATGAGAAAACTGCAGTGCTGAGAAGGTCATCCAGCTAGTAAAAGGGGAAACCATTATTTTACTGAACAGGTATAAGAATGGGCAACACAGGTTGTGGCAGAAAATAGGAGAGAGCTCAAATCAGGGGGATGAAATGGGAAAGAAGTCTGGGCAAGCTGGGATTTGGAACCAGTTTTAATGATGGATGGAATATCCTATTTCCTTTAAGATAACAAATATCTCAACTTCATGATATTTGTGACAGGGTGCTGATCTATCTCTGCATCCTCTATATCTTGTTACTCATATTGGACACCTTACATCCCAGCCATATTGTCCTTCCATTCTTGAAATGTGCAATTCATTCTCTCTCTCTCCCCCCGCCCCCCACCCACTCTCTCTTTCTATCTCTCTCTCTCTCCCCACACACCTGCCAGAGCTTTGCCTAAAACATTCTCCCAACCCCATTGTGGCTTTCATTCTGCAAATCAGCTTAATTTTCACTTCCTCAGGAAAGCCTCCCGATATTTATCCCTGCCTACCCTGCAACAAAGCTAATCAGGTTCTTTAGGTATCCCTGTATCCCTATCCTCATTTCCATAGCACTCTATATTCATTTTCTTATCAGACATCACTGCTATTTCTGTAATTGGTTGTTTTCCCCATTAGACGAAAGGTTCCATGAGAACAGATTGCCTGTTGTATCCCCACACCTTTCAACATGTCAAGTGCATAGTAAGCATTCAATATATACTTGTTAGATTAATAAAATGAATGAATAAATGTGATGCTTCTACCATGGGAGCAACTGTACACCAGCATGAATAAATAGCTTTGTCTATGAACACAAGACCACTCAGGAAACCATTTGTTGCCTTGGTGATTTGTTTCATTTTCTCTACATGAAGCTCTGGTGGAAAATAAAAATCATTTTAGCTTTTCCAAATACCTTATTTGCAAATATTTCTGTTAAGAATCCACTTACAAAAGGACAAGATGCCACCTTTTAAAAATTAAAGTCATAATAAAAAATATTATATTCACCAGCTGTGATAAAAATATTTTTAATGCCTGGCAATAACTTTTATTTCCTTTCAGTAATTCTGAGTGATTTTTAATTCTTATTAAAGATAGTGGGTTGACAGAGGCAAAGAGTGAAATCATATTTACAAAACAGATGTAGTATTAACTACATCAAGAAAAGCTTCTTTTGTGCTGCCTGGTCCACTTTTCACTCTGCTATGTGAATTTTATTATGTACATTAACCTGTTATACATAATAAAAATGAATAGTACCATCATGCCTTTATTAACAAATTATAGCAGTAACTTAACATATTGCAGTTTTATTTGTAGATTTTTTTTAAACTTTTTCAAATGTATAAGTATGGTTAATGGATATCTGAAATTATGCCAATGTGTGATTCACCCACTACTACTATTTAAGATACTTAACCTAAACAATTTTATCTTCAGAGAAAATATAGAATAATGTTAGATTCAAAATAGAAAAGGAAATACCTCAGAGATGCAATAAAATATACTCATTTTAAAGAAAAAGACAATGGTGGCCAAATGCCTTTGGGTGCCCATGGTCAGAAAGTAGAGATTTACTTTTCGCAGTTCCACACTTTTTTCTGTTCTTATATCAAATCCTTTATGTTATTACATATGATACTTGAGAATTCCTAAGCAGTAAAAGAAAAATTCTATTGACTCCTTGCATTTCATTAAATTAGGCAGAATATTCTGCCTGCGATCCAGAACTATTGTCCTATTGCCCAATCATGTAAACTCATGGCTCTGCCTAACATTATTTTCCTTATATTTTAGTTGTGAAACTTATTGGGATTATTTATCTTTCAACTACTCAAAACATACGTAGGGAATTCCATTATATAAAATGTGTTGCATTAGTTATTGGATTGTGTTTAGCCAGTGTTATTGAGATGACTTCATTTACCTCAATGATCATACTGAGGGGTATTCATTAAAGTTATAAATTGTGAGTTGCTGAATAAATTATACTATATACACATTTTTCCATATACCAGGAATTGTGCTAAGTACTTTACATACTCCACCACAACATCACTTAGACATAGGTAATATATCCTTTTCGAAGATGAAGAAATCAGTGTTTGAGGAAGTTAAACAACTTATCCACATCTTAAAACTAATACATGTCAGAACAACAATTTAAATCCAAGTCTCGCTCCAGTATCCTGCTATTCACACTAAAACATGTTCTTTCTCTTTCTCAGAAGTGATATCTGTGACAAAAGAGTTAAACTTGAAACTGGACAGAAACATTTGAGAAAAAGAGATGACTCAATCTTCTGAAAGTGGGTTGCCTGAGCATTTGACAAGACTTGGGATCCATGTGACAGAAACTCTGTATTTATGAATACTCTGATGATTTCCTAGTCTACAAGATCTTACTCCAAATCTGATACATTCTGCAAATCAATCTAACTAGACTGGAGCTCTTAAGACTTTAAACAATCTGAGTTAAATGGGGTAAGATCTAAGGTGGGATTATTTTATCAGAGCATTTACACAAAATCCACAATCATTTCCTTCCCTTTATATGTAGAAACAAAATAAAAATGATTCTCCATCACCATTCTAACTGGCATGAGATGGTATCTCATTGTGGTTTTGATTTGCATTTCTCTAATGAAAAGCAATCATTGAAAAGTCAGGAAACAACAGAATGTGGAGAAATAGGAACGCTTTTACACTGTTGGTGGAAGTGTAAATTCAACCATTGTGGAAGACAGTGTGGCAATTGTTCAAGGATCTAAAACTAGAAATACCATTTGACCCAGCAATCCCATTACTGTGTATATACCCAAAAGATTATAAATCATTCTACTATAAAGACACATGCACACGTATGTTTATTGCAGCACTATTCACAATCGCAAAGACTTGGAACCAACCCAAATGACCATCAATGATCAAATGGATAAAGAAAATGTGGCATATATGCACCATAGAATACTATGCAGCCATAAAAAAGAATGAATTAATGTCCTTTGCAGGGACATGGATGAAGCTGAAAATCATCATTCTCAGCAAACTAACACAGGAATAGAAAACCAAACACCACATGTTATCATTCGTAAGTGGGAGTTGAACAATGAGAACATATGGGCACAGGGAGGGGAGCATCACACACCGGGGCCTTTTGAGGGGTGGGGGGCAAGAGGAGAAATAGCATTAAGAGAAATACCTTATGTAGATGATGGGTTGATGGGTGTAGCAAACCACCATGGCACATGTATACCTGTGTAACAAACCTACACATTCTGCACATGTATCCCAGAACTTAAAGTACAATTCTAAAAAATTATTCTCCAGTATGTCTAATAGATCCTTTTATATTACCATTATACAATTATATTTTCTAGATTTATCAGCATCCCTCTGCTCATTAATCTTCTTACAATCTTTAGGAATGTGGAACAAAGACAAAAGGAGGAATTTATCTCTATAGTATGTCCAGTAGGGGAAAATGGCAGAACTCAGAGCTCACAGAGGTCTAGGAGGAGCCAAGGGGACAGTGAGGGACTTTCATGCCAAGGAAAGGGAAGGAGGAACAAAAATGCTATTACCAATGGAAATATTTCTGTTTTCCTGCCACTAAAAACTTGACAAAGGTAGCGGTCAGCTGTGGTATCGAAATGTGCTGTGAATGAAATGGAGCTTAGGACGTATCATAATTAACAGTTCCAGTCTCACATAAAGCTTCTGTAAAGCAATAATTGAAGACAGCACCTTAGCCAGAGCTATTGGAAAGTGAACTTATTGCTGGGGGATAAGGAGATGAGTATTAAACTAAGATATAATTAAAATTTCCAAATTGTGGGCAAGTTTCTTGTCAAACAGTCCCAAGAAAGTAGAGCAAGGGCATCCCAAGTGCATGGCCACTTGGGGAAAAACAGTAAAGTATCAACAGTGGTAGACTAAATAGATAAGATTTGCAGTCTAAAGTCCTCTAAGAGGTCTCTTCACCTATGTCCAGCTTTTGAAGCAATCATGCATTATTTACCATTTAAATATTACAATGTAACTTTGCTGTATGTTTGTTCTTTAAAGATGTTATATACATCACTCTAGAAATGTTCGTGGATATAACTAAGAAAATGAAATTTCATGTGGGTCTGTGTTTTGTTGATTCGTATAATTTATATGATAAATCACAATACTGGAGTAATGACATTTATCTCTTATTAAGAATTTAAAGCAAAATAATAATATGTATCACCTATGTACCTGTAGTCAATAATATTTTTATAAGTAAATATAAGGCATATGACATTTTTTATTAGATAATGTTTTCCAAATTGAAGGCACTTGGATTTCGGTATTGATTTAATTTGTATAATATAGTAGACTTCTAGTTTGGGTTCTCATTAATAACTTTTGATAACTTATTTTTACAATATTAATTATGTTTCACAGTATCTAAAATTATTATAATTTGGGAATAAATAATCATAAAACACAAGTAGATCAGATTTGGTAGTATTGTCTCAAGAAAAGTAACACAAGGGTAACACCTCAGGAAGAGTAACATATTTAAGAGGATATTTCCTTTAGTAGATTACATAAGGACATACAATTTCCTACTTAAGATTTTTTAAAATTTATTTTAGTTGATTTACTGATTTAACTGGAATACTGCATGAGATGTTTGGCAATTTTTAAAAGTAAAATAAGGTATTCATCTAATTTAGAGGCCTAGTCAACTAACTCAACTAGAAGTTTTAGGCTTTAAATCCACTAACATCAACTGAAGCTGCCATGTGATATTAGGCCATATGGGAAGATATCCATTATGATTTTCTGGGGCTTCATTTGTAAAAGTAATATATTTAAGGTCATACTATGGGGAACTTGGTTTGTGGCTTTGAAATTAAATAATCTTTTCTTCAGTGGTAAAAGGAGATCACAATGGGACATCTACACTTAGTTAACTCTCATGTACTAAGCTATTAATTTTGTTATGTTTAATAGTCATCTAATCAACGTGAGATACAAAAAGATATGGTTCAAATTAACTCATGGTATGCTTACATGCAAAATGAAAAGGGAACTAATGAATAAATGTCTATAATTAGTTTTTCCCAAAAATATTAGGAATATCTATTCAAATAATCAGTGATTATAAAATTTAAATACATTATTTAGAACTGATGACAGAATAAAATAAAATGCTTTTGAAATGTTTTGCTATTTTCTGTAAAACAAATCCATAAAACGATTGCCTATTGATTTTATTTCATTCCCACTTTTATTTATACTTCCAATAATGCAAATATTTGTGTATAATTAAAATAGAATTAGCTAAATATTAAATATTGTGTTTGTTTTAACTCAGGGCCTTGAGATTTTTTTCCTTTAAAATAAATCACTAAAATGCAGAATATCAGAATTCTCCAATCAGAAGCAATATGTCAAGTCACAGTAAAGCTGATTGGCTTCTTCAAACACAGAAGACATGGTTTTTAAATGAAAAGCTAATTATCACACTCAGAAAGACTGCCCTGATATGTTAAGTTAAACTGATGTGTATGTGCTACACTACTACTATAGATATTTCTATTATGAGCTATAAATAGATGCAAAAGCAAATCCTGCCATAAAAAAAAAACAAAAAACAAAAAAACAGGCAAATTCTCCTTCCATTTGCACAAACATGCAATATCACTTTAAGAAGTTAAAATCACATAAAGACAGGACCCCCCAGACCCTCAGGGAACAAAATGCCCAGCAAAGTAAATTATACTAATCATTTTCTCTCATGAACTGGCAGCACCTACTAGAACTGTTTAATTACGGGACCAGAATAATAATAGAAAAATGCTGCACACAATAACAGCCCTGTTTCCTATCCTACCTTTGTGGTGACAATGCACAGGCAATCCATCCTGGATCCCTACACAGGACTCAGTACATGGAAATCACACCAGCAAATCAGCAAAGGTGAGAAAAGCCTTTTGGAAATTGCACACAGAAAGAAGCAGAGCTTGGATTCTGTACAGACGGCTTTTCCAAGGGGGCCCCTCATGGGAAACTCGAGCCCTCCTCCATACAGCTCAAGGCAAGCAGGATTCTGCTAGGCACCAGAAAATCCCCTAGAAATCAGCTCCGGCAAAACTTCCCGGTGGCTTCCTGGGCTCCGTGGCTGCATGGTCTTTTAGCGGATTCCTTGATTGGAACAAGGCTCCTGTGAGTGCCCCGCACAGTTCTATCGTTGCGATGAGTGTAACACCAAGCACCAGGGAATCACATTTCAGCTCTTGCTCTTGTTTCTGAATTCTGATGTGCTGCTTCAGTATACTCATAATATTTTCTTTGCCAAAGTCCCCCCTTTGTTGCCTTCCTTTCTTACTAACACTGAGTAACACAAAAAACTACCCGTCCCATCTACCAAATGGCTGTCGTTCCAGTGCCAGAATAGCGGCTTTGGATAATAAAATGCTATTTATTATGAGCATGATTGCCGGGAGTCTAAATGACTCGAAAGATATGACTGAAAAGCTAAGGTGCATGTGGTACTGCATACATCACATCTCAACTCACTTGCAATTACAAGGGCAGCTTCTTACAAATGACTAACAGCTGGATAAGGAAAATCAAGCCAGTGACATAAGGAAACTGCGGATTTGGAGGTTTAACTTATAGAAAAGGGTTACATTTCTCCTTTTTTGTGTTTACCTATGTGTGTGGTCCATGACATATGCAAATACACAAACAACCTGAACATATAAATGAATATTATGAAATTGGGGTGGGAGGAGGTTCTAAAGTGTTTACAAAACTTCCACATTCTGAGTGAAAAAATGAGTTCTTTCCCAAACTTTTCCCTCCTCACTTGCTGTCTGCAGGCACTTATTAAGTGGGCAGAGCTTTGTGTTGCCTTCTGCAGCATTTTAACAGCCAAATGATTAGCACTCTCCCCTCCCCCAAATCCCTCCCTTTCTTCTAGTAAAGCTGCTACTACATAGACGGCCTTTGAGGTGCTTGACAAGCATCACTCTGGATAATAATATACTTTTTTTTCCCATCATCTTAGACACACAGGCAGTCACAGACTGAAACAGAAAAACAGACACAGGAGCTCAGAAAGGAGAGAGGGGGTGGGAAGGGAGAATGAGGGAGAGTGAGGGAGAGTGAGGGAGAGTGAGAGAGAGTGAATGACAGAATGGAAAGCACTGCCTGACCAATAAAAATCGAAAATCAATGATTCGCTTTCACTAGGAAGAAAATACATAGTCAACTGGACCATTGAAATATCAAAAATAAATGTCTAGGGACCCATACACTTTATCTCCTCAGGATACTGGCAGGACCATTTCCCACCCCACTACTAACCACCACCCTCTTTTTTTTTTTTCATAAAAAGTATACTTTCTTGGGAGGCCGAGGCGGGCGGATCACGAGGTCAGGAGATCGAGACCATCCCGGCTAAAACGGTGAAACCCCGTCTCTACTAAAAATACAAAAAATTAGCCGGGCGTAGTGGCGGGCGCCTGTAGTCCCAGCTACTTGGGAGGCTGAGGCAGGAGAATGGCGTGAACCCGGGAGGCGGAGCTTGCAGTGAGCCGAGATCCCGCCACTGCACTCCAGCCTGGGCAACAGAGCGAGACTCCGTCTCAAAAAAAAAAAAAAAAAAAAAAAAAGTATACTTTCTATGATAAACAATTTGGAAAAAAATAATATAAATAATATGTAAGACTTCTACTTTTCATGAATTATTGAGGTTCTAACCTCAATATCCCAATAACCTCCTGATTGCTAAATAAATGAATGTCTCAGAAACTGACATGTCATTATTTTACCCAAATGAGAGCACTGTTCATAAAGATTTTAAGTTCATAGCAAATCAAATACGTGTTCTGAGGAAAAAAAGAAGAAAAGACAAGCTCCTAAAGTTCAATTTGATATAAAAACCTTCAAAAGTGGCTCAAAAAATATTTATAGTTAAAAAATATAATTTCTTCTGAACTGCTATCCTACTGATGTAAGAAATTTCAAGTAAGTTTCAAGTTAAACACCACCAATAAAATCCATGCTCTGGTCCATTCCATTAGGTAACTCTGTCTTATGGTTCAGTAATTTGAAAAGGTCAAAGAAACACCAGTTTGTCTATTCACCCTCATTTGTTACATCATCACAATAATTATTTTAACTCAATACTTCCTAAGCTTATCTAAGGGTGCGTAAAACCTTATATCTTTATGTACCAGCGTGTTTCCCTGGCACAACTAACATCTAATAGGTAATTGAGACTTACTGCCATATTCATGTTCAAAATAATTAGTCTTTGTGTCCCTATAGCACCTTAAAGTTGACAAAGAACTTGTAACAGTCTCACAGGCTTGGGAAGTTTAAATGACTTCCTAAAAGCCTAGTAACTTTCAATAGCAACATTAAAGACCACGTCCCTTAATTCCAAGTCCAGGTCTTTGTTAGTCATAGAGACAGTCAGAATGGAGACAATCAGGGGTTAGACAGAGGAAGTAAATAAATTGGATAGCAGAGTAAGATGAGTATTTTCACAAGGTATCCTGGAAGATGATACCTTCGGAACTTCATTCCATCTTTGCAGAGAGGCAGACACTTAGAGAAAAATTAGCAAAGGGAGCCTGATTAGTCTTCTAACGTTGGTGGATCACAGAGGAAAGCACTTTGTAAACTATAGAGACTTGCAGAAATAAAACACAGCTTGTCTAGCATAGGTTCTAGAATACCTTAGGCAGTCCCTAAGTCATTCACCTGACACATGTTTGTTGAGCACTCATTATGTGATTATTTGATTAATGTCTATATCACCCTCTAAAATGCACTCCTTAAAGATAGTTTTAACTCTTTATTTCCATTGCCTAGACTAGTGTCTCATTCATTCAACAAATATACTTGAGAATCTACTTATGTGGAAACACAAAGTGAGGAAAAGCTAGCAAAATCCCTGCCCACAAGAGAATAAAAAACTATAATACCGTACAGAAAGCATTTGGGAGTGTTTTACGTCTACAAAATAGAGGCATTTAACCCAGAATGGAGCAGTGAGGGAAAGCTTTCTGGAGAGGGGCCTTGAGCTAAGATGAGGAAGAACCATAGGAGTTAACTAGAAGTTAGGAGAAAAGAGAATTGCGTGCACTCTATTGTATTTGAAAAAGGAATGAATCAGCAATATGTTATACCTTTATACAATCAGTTTAATAAATACATCCAATAAAAGTGCTTCAGAGCAAGCATTTTACAGCAAGCATTTTACAAACTGAATATGCAATCTTTATTTGAGAAAGAAGAGCATTGCTCATATAACTTTGAGTACAAGTATACTGTAAATGCATGTACAATATGTATGTTATATATTCATTTGTTTGTATTCGCCTCAAGTGATTAACTGGATAATGTATGTAGGTTTAGATATAAGTACATAACATTTTGAAGTGTAGACCCATTTGGGTTTTCCACTTTGTGTATACCTTATCTTTGATTGATTTTCCTCAGATATAAAGATGATAGAGGATAATTCACTCCTTTGCCTCAAGGGAAACATTATGTTGTTTTTATAATTAACAAGGTATTGACATGAAGCATTTTTTTTTTTAACAGACACAGTGCTCAGTTGGGCCTGTGATTTTCACAAGAAGTCTTTGGCAAGATAAAAAGCCTCAGCCTGCAAGCTGCTTTACTTGATATTCCTTGAGGTTAATGATCTAAAACTAGAAATATATTGATTCTTAGTAAAACCTATCATTGAAAGTTTGATATCATAAAATTACTCTTGTAAATTACTTGCACTAAACCTGTACCTTAACCACTTAAATCCATTATTACTTTTATTTTGTTTGTTTCCAACAGGGAAAAATATGTTTAGAAGTGAAGTCCAGTCAGTGTCTATTCTAGAATCTAAGCCCCTTGAGGGCAGATTTAATGTATATATCTGGCACCTAATATGGTACTGGCACTTAAGAGGCACAAAATCAATATTAGTGGAATGAAAGAATAATCACAGCTCTAGTTATGCTATTTTTTGATAGTTTTTAAAAAATCTATTTAAACTTATGATCCCTTATTCATATGAGAACCATATATTTATATTAATTATATACATATATACATATGTGCATACATAAAAATTTAAAAATAAATATATTGGTGCATGTAGCTGAAGGTATTTGCAAATAAAAATATTTTCATTGGAAAATCCAGTCTGATGTAAGAAGGTATGGTTTAGAACAGTCTTATCTATAATGGAGAAGGGCAATTTCTAGCTGAAGTGTTACAAGTACAGGATGCTACTGAAACTAGGTGCTTGCTATTGTGTTAGAAAAACAGTAATAAATATAAGCATGTTAATAATAATAGTAATTTATCAAGTGGCTATTATCTGAAGTACTGGGGTAAATACTTTGTAACTATTATCTCATGGTCATAATACCCTTTAGGAAATAATTATAATCCCTATTTTATAGTTAAGGAAACTGAAGTTGCTTGAGGTTCTATGACCTGCCGTGACACAAAACCTAGGTGACCCCAACACAGAGAGTGGTCTATGTTATTTCCGTCTCATCACACTGCAAATCCTGAAATCGTTTCTGTCCCTCTGGGTCCAAACTGAGAGTATGGCACAAACAGATACAAAAGGCCTTCTCCTTAGCCAAAGGTAGCCTGGACTCCATGCAGATGAACTATAAACAACCTGTGATCCTCCTAAAAAGATAGGTTCATCTCTGGGTTCCTATCTGACACCTTCCATAGCTTATAAGGGCCTTGGGAATAACCCCAGAAGGAATGGACTCCACATTAGAAAGATTAGGTCCAAAGGAAATAACAAGAAATCCACCCACCTGGCCTCCTATCCCTGTCTATCTGTTCCCCATATACCCAGAACAGCAGGCACACAAATGACATCTGCAAAGCTTGTTAGCTTAGTAAAATAAATAGACTGCAGGCAGGTCATGGCAAAATGCCTGCCCTCATTTCCAAACTCTCCAGAGGTAAGTAAGAAATTAGGATCAACTGAAAAAAGACTGAATTTTTCAGAGTTTCTATCATTAAAAAAATCAGGACAGTAATGGATCCCGAAAATAATTCATGAAAAGCAGGAGTCTATGTATTCTGTTCAAGTTAAATGTGTATCCTTACAAAAAAATATAAAAACTAAACAAGCAAAATTTTGAGTGAACCAATAATTGCTAATGAAATGAATTAATTTTTAGTTTTAACCCATCTTTTAATCATGATATTCAATTGTATGGACCTAAATTTTATGTCAGTTTTTCTCATGTGAGTTGGAACATAGTTAAATGATAGCCATGTAGCTCTCCCAGTTATTATCATCATCAAAATCTAAACAACCTTTGAAATTTTATATAAATGGTAGGTTATAATGTAAACATTCAATAAAAATTGTGTCCCTAACAAATCAAAGTTTACATAAACTTTGTTGAACATTAACTACATTTCTTATGAGGCTCAATTTTTCCTATTATACAATGCTGTGGGTTGAGTGGATTCCAGAAATCCAAATAGTTGTGTGCAAGCCACAAATCTAAAAAGCTATAATGGTCAAAAATAAAATTTTGCTTTCAAGTCAATATAAATAACCTCAGCAGTATTGCTAAATGCCATTCCCATACTCCACCTTCTTATACCCTGATATGGTTTGGTTGTGTCCCCACCCAAATCTCAACTTGAATTCTATCTCCCAGAATTCCCACGTCGTGGGAGGGACCCACGGGAAGTAATTGAATCATGGATGCCGGTCTTTCCCATGCTATACTTGTGTTATGGAATCAGTCTCACAAGATCTGATGGGTTTATCAGGGATTTATGCTTTTGCTTCTTCCTCATTTTCTCATACTGTCACCATGTAAGATGTGTCTTTCACCTCCTGCCATGATTCTAAGGCCTCCTCAGCCAAGTGGAACTATAAGTCCAATTAAACCTCTTGTTCTTTCCAGTCTCGGGTATGTCTTTATAAGCAGCCTGAAAACGAACTAATACATACCCAAAGCACACTGGCCTGTTACCTGTTCCTCAATATAGTGTTTCACTCTAATTCTTCCTCCGGGCCTTGAATTTGTTGTTTCTTCTGCCAGAAACTGTTTTTCCCTGGATTTGCACATGGCTGGCTCCTTCTCATCATTCAAGGCTCTGCTCAGATGTTACCACCTCAGCAAGACCTTCCCAAACTGATTTCCCCTAATTAGAATCTCTTCCATCCCTTCTCCATTACATCATCCCAGTTTATTTCCTCCATATGATTATCACAATCCAAAATTATCTTCTCTATTCATCTCTTACTATCTCCCCTATCTGAAGTTTACCAGTGAGAGCAGGAACCTTATGTTTTGTCCATGGCAATCTCACCAGTGTTTAGAACATAACAGATGCTAAACAGAGATTTTTGAATGAGTGAATGAATGAATGAGATGCATCACATGGAAACTCTTTAAAAAGTATATGGCTAGAATCAGCAGTCCAACATGAAATTTGCAATGCAAGATCTTTAACATAGTTTGGTTTCTAAGGATCTGATTTACACTAACAATAGTATTTACAAACATACACATAAACAATAGTTTTTTGGATTCAAAATTAATTTATTTTGAAATAAATTGTATTGGGAATAATTAAGGTATACAACATCATGTAAGATATATATACATAGTAAAAAGGTTATTATAGTGAAGCAAATTAACATATTTATCACTTCTCATATAGTTACCCATTTTTTGTTTTTGTGTCAAGAACAGCTAAAATCTACTCATTTAGCATGAATCCCATATATAATACAATGTTATTACCTACAGTCCTCATGGTGTACATTAGCTCTTTAGGCTTCTTCATAGTACATATCTGCTAGTTTGTATCCTCCAGCCTACATCTCTTCATTCCTCCCAACTCAGTAACCACTGTTTTATTCTGTGTGTGTATTTTTTAAATTTTATTTTGTATATGGTAAGTATGTGTATATGTATACACACACAGATAGATAGATTCCACATATATGTGAGATTATGCAATATTTTCCTTTCTGTGTCTGGCTTATTTCACTTAGCATAATGTCCTCCCAGGCTCCTCCATGTCATGGCAAGTGGAAAGATCTCATTCTTTTTTAAAGCTGAATATTATTCCATATTATGTGTGTACCACAGTTTCTTTATCCATTCACCCACTGACAAACACTTATTTCCCCATCTTGGCTATTGTGAATAATACCGCAAAGGTCATACGAGTGCAAATATTTTTACAAGATTGTGCTTTCATTTCCTTTGTGTATATGCCCAGAAGAGGAATTGCTGGGTCATACAGTGTTGTATCTTCAGTTTCTTTAGGGACCTCCATACTGTTTTCCATAATGGCTGTACCAATCTCCATTCCCACCAACAGTGTACAGAGTTCCCATTTCTCCACATCATCACCAACATTTGTCATCTTTTGACTTTTATTTAGAAATAGTAAACAATTTATATGACACTCCCAAAACAAAGAAAGGTATGCACAGAATAATTTTTGTAGAAAATATGCATTTGTAACCTATCTTTTTAAAAAATTATGAGTACATGATAGTTATATATATTTATAGGGTACATGTGATGTTCTGGTACAAGCATAAAATGTTTAATGATCACATCAGGGTAACTGGGATATCCATCACCTCAGGAACTTATTTTTTTTTTTGTATTAGACACATTCCAATTCCAGTCTTAGTTTTTTGATATATACAATAATTATTGTTGACTATAGTCACCCTGTTGTGTTATCAAATACTAGATCTTATTCATTCCATCTAACTATACTTTTATATAAATTAACCATCCCCACTTTTCCCCTCCATCACCACTACTCTTCCCAGCCTTAGGTAGCCATCATTATACTCTTTTCTCTCCATGAGTTCAACTGTTTTAATGTTTAGCCACATATGACACAGAACATGTGAAATTTGTCTTTCTGTGCCAGGTTTCTTTCACTTAACATAATGACCTCAAGTTCCATCCATGTTGTTGCAAATGATAGGAGTTCATTCTTTTTTGTGGCTAAATAATATTCCAATGTGTACCACATTTTCTTTACCCATTCATCAGTTGATGGACACTTTGATTCCAAATCTTGGCTAAGTGAATAAATAATAAATACAGGAGTGTAGGTATCTCTTCAATATGCTGATTTCTTTTCTTCTGGATAAATACCTAGCAATGGGATTGCTCAATCATATGGTAATTTCTATTTTTAATTTTTGAGGAATCTCCATACTCCTCTCCATAGTGGATGTACTAATTTATACTCCCATAAACAGTGTATGAGGGTTACCCTTTCTCCACATCCTCACCAGAACTCATTATTTCCTGCCTTTTGGATAAAAGCCATTTTAACTGGGGTGAGATGATACCCCACTGTTGTTTTGATTTGCATTTCTTGATGATTAATAATGTTGAGTATTTTTCATATATCTATTGGCTATTTACACATCTTCTTTTGAGAAATCTCTGTTCAGATCTTTTGTCCATTTTAAAATCAGATTATTTGTTTTTTTTCCCATTGAGTTGTTTGAGCTCCCTATATATTAGGGTTATTAATCTATTATCACATGAAAATATTTCCTCCCATTGTATAATTTGTCTCATTTGTTGATTATTTCCTTTGCTATGGAGAACTTTTTAGCTTGATGTAATGTCATTTTTCTATTTATGCTTTGGTTGCCTGCACTTCTGAGGTATTACTCAAGAAATTTTTGCCCAGACCAATGTCCTAGAGAGTTTCTTCAGAGTTTTCTTTCAGTAGTTTCATAGTTTCAGGTCTTATATTTAAATCTTTAATCCATTTTTATTTTATTTTTGTATATGGTGAGATATAGGGTTGTAGTTTCATTTTTCTGCACATGGATATCCAGTTTTCCTGGCACAATTTATTAAAGAGACTGTCCTTTTCCCAAAATATGTTCTTCACACCTTTGTCAAAATTGAGTTCATGGTAGATGTATGGATTTATTTTTGCATTCTCTATTCTGTTCCATTGATCTATGTGTCTGTTTTTATTCCAATACCATACTGGTTTGGATACTATAGCTCTGTAGTATAATTTAAAGTCAGGTAATGCAATTCCTCCAGCTTTGTTCTTTTTGTTGCCCATGATGGCTTTGGCTATCCTGGGTCTATACTGGTTCCATACAAATTTTAGGATTACTTTGTTATTTCTGTGAAGAATGTCATTGGTATTTTGATAGGGATTTCACTGAACGTGTAGATTGCTTTCAGCAGTATGAACACTTTAACAATATTGATTTCTCCAATCTATTAACACAAAATATCTTTCCATTTTTTGTGCCCTCTTCAATTTCTTTTACTAATGTTTTATCGTTTTCATTGAAGAGATCATTTACTTCTGTGATTAAAATTTATTCCTAGGCATATTATTTTATTTGTAGTTATTGTAAATGGGAGTTTTTTTCTTGGTTTCTTTTTCAGGTTGTTCATTGTTGACATTTAGAAATGCTAATACTTTTTGTATGTTGATTTTGTATCCTGCAATTGTATTGAATTTATTCTTCAGTTCTATTAGTATAGTTTTTTGGTGGAATTTTTAGGTTTTTCTAAATAGAAGATCATATCAGCTATGAACAAGAATAATTTGACTTCTTTCATTCCAATTTGGATGCCCTTTATTATTTCTCTCATTTAATTACTCTAGCTAGGACTTCCAGTGCTATATTGAATAGCAGTGGTAAAAATGGGCATCCTTGTCTTGTTATATATCTTAGAGAAAAGGCTTTTAATTTTTCCCCTTCAGTCTGGTACTGTGTAGGAGTCTAGCATACATAGCTTTTAATTGTGTTGAGGTATGTTCCCTCTATGCCACATTTTTTAGCATTTTTGTCACGAAGAGATGTTGAATTTTATTGAATGCTTTTCAGCATCAAATGAAATATGGTTTTATCCTTCATTCGGTCAATATGATATATTACATTGATTGATTTCTGTATGTTGAGACATCTGTGCATCCCTGGACGAATCTCACTTGGTCTTGATGAATAATCCTTTTAATTTGTTATTGAATTTGGTTTGTGAGTATTTTGTTGAGGATTTTTGCATCTATGTTCATCAGAGATATTTGCCTATAGTTTTCTTTTTTGATGTGTCTTTCTCCGGTTTTGGCATCGTGGTAATACTAGCCTCATGAAATGAGTTTGGAAGTGCTCCTTCCTCCTAGATTTTTTCAAGTAGTTTGAGTAGGATTGGTATTAGTTCTTTAAATATTTGGTAGAATTCATCAGTAAAGTCATTAGGTCTTGAATTTTTCTGTGATGGGAGACTTAATTATGACTTCTGTCTCATTACTTGTTATTGGTCTATTTTGGTTTCAGATTTTTTTCATGGTTGAATCTTGGTAGGTTGTATGTGTCTAGAAATTTATTTATTCTAGATTTTCCAATTCTTTGGCATATAGTTGTTGATAGTATCTCTAATGATCCTTTGAATTTCTGTGATATCAGTTGTAATGTCACGTTTTTCATCTGATTTTATATTGCGGTGTCTTCTCTCTTTTGTTCTCAGTCTGGCTAAAAGTTTGTTGATTTACTAATTTTTGCTTGTTTTGCTTTTGCTTTTCTAGTTCCTTACAATGTATCATTAGGTTATTTATTTGAAATTTCTCTACTTTTTAATGCAGGTGCTTATTGGTATACTTCCATCTTACAATTGCTTTTGCTATATCCCATAAGTTTATGTATGTTGTGTTTCCATTTTCATTTGTTTCATAAAATCTTAAAATTTCCTTCCTGATTTCTTCATTGACCTGCTTGTCACTCAGGAGCATATTGTTTAATTTCCATGTGTTTGTATAGTTTCCAAAGTTCCTCTTCTTATTGATTTTTAGTTCTATTCCATAGTGGTCAGAAAAGATATTTAATATAATTTCAATGTTTTGAATGTTTTAAGACTCATTTTGTACTTTAACATATGGTCTATCATTGAGAATGACCCATGTGCTGAAAGAAAGAATGTGCATTCTGCAGCTTTTGGATAAAATGTTCTATAATATCTATTAGGCCCATTTGGTTGACAGTGTAGATTAAGTCTGATGTTTCTTTGTTGATTTTCTGTCTGGATGATCTGTTCAATGCTAAAAATGGGTTGTTGAGCTCTCCAGCTAGTATTGTATTGTGGTCTTTCTTTCTCTTTAGCCTTAATAATATTTGTTTTATATATATGGGTGCTCTAGTGTTGGGTGCATATACATTTATAATTGTTATATCCTCTTGCCAAATGGACTCCTTTATCATTATATAATGTCCTTCTTTGTCTCTTCCTTTAGTTCCTATCTTAGAATTTATTCTATCTGATATAGGTATAGCTAATTCCTGCTCTTTCTTAGTTTACATTTGTACAGAATATCTTTTTCCATCCCTTTAATTTCACTCTATAGGTGAAGTGAGTTTTGTAGGCAGCATATAATTGGGTCTTTTTTTTTTTTTTTTATCAGTTTAGCCACTTTATGTTTTTCATTGGAAAGTTTAGTCCATTTATAGTAAACGTTATTATTGATAGGTAAGAACTTACTCCTCCCATTTTGTTATTTGTTTTCTGGTTACTTTGTGGTCTTCTCTTCCCTCCTTCCTTCCTGTCTTCCTTTGTGTAAAAGTGATTTTCTCTGGTAGTATGTTCTAATTTCTTGCTTTTACTTTTCTGTGTATCTGTTGTGGGTTTTTTGATCCGAGGTTACCATGAAGCTTGCAAATAATATCTTGTAAAAAATAATTTTAAACTAATGACAACCTAACTGATTTCAGAAACAATGCACAAGCAAAGAGAAAACTTAAAAAAAAACTCTACACTTTATCCTCCATGTTCTTTGACTTTTAGTTGTTTCTATATATTTTTATACTATCTATTTCTTAGAAATATGTTGTAGTTATTATTTTTGATTAGTTCTTTTACTATTCCTATTCAAGATATGAGTGGTTTACACACCACAATTACAGTGTTGCAGTATTCTGTATTTGGCTGTGTATTTGCTGTTACCAGTGAGTTTTGTACCTTCAGATTTCTTATTGTTTGTTAATGTCCTTTTCTTTTAGATTAAAGAACTCTCTTTAGCATTGCTCTTAGGACAAGTCCACTGTTGATGAAATCCCTCAGCTGTTATTTGACTTGTAAAGTTTTATTTTTCCTTCATGTTTGAAGGCTATTTTCCCTGGATATGCTATTCTAGGATAAAAGTTGTTTCATTTTTTTTTTCCTTCAGCACTTTAAATATGTCATGCACCTCTATCTTGGACTGTCAGATTTCCACTGAAAAGGTTGTTGCCAGATGTATGCTCCCTTGCAATGTTGCTTGTTTCTTTTCTCTTGCTTCATTTAGGATCCTTTCTTTATCCTTAGCCTTTGGGAATTTGATTATTAAATGTGTTGAAGTAGTCTTATGTGGATTAAATCTGCTTAATTTTCTATGACCTTCGTCTACCCGATAATATTTTTTCTAGGTTTGGAAATGTCTCTGTTATTATTTCTTTAAATAAACTTTCTTACCTGATCTCTTTCTTTATTTCCTCCTTAAGGTCAATACATTTTACATTTTCCCTTTTGAGACTGTTTTCTAGATCTCATAGGTTTGCTTCATTCTCTTTATTATTTTTTTCTTCTTTCCCCCATGGCTGTTTTTTATACAGCCTGTCTTCAATCTCACCAACTTTTCCTTCTGCTTGATCAATTCTACTCTTCAGAGATTCGAAAGCATTTTTCATTTTGACAATAGAAATTTTTCAGCTGCAGAACTTCTGCTTGATTATTTAAAAAATTATTTCAATCTGCTTGTTAAATTTCTGGGATAAGATTTTGAATCCCTTCTCTGTGTTATCTTGATGCTCACTGAACTTTCTCAAACAACTATTTTTAATTCTGTTTCTGAAAGTTCATCTATTTCCACCACTCTAGAATTTGTCACTGGTGACTTATTTAGTTTGTTTAGTAGATCATGTTTTCCTGGATGTTCTTGATGCTTGTGGATGTTTGTTAATATCTGGGTATTTAGAAGTTAGGTATTTATTTTAAGCTTGCAGTCTCAGCTTGTTTGTACCTATCCTTCTTGAGAAGGGTTTCCAGGTATTCAAATGGAATTGGGTGTGGTGATCGAAGTCTCTGGTCACTGAAGCCATATCAACACTGGGAGATACCGCAGAACTAGTAATGCTGTAATTCTTGCAGACTCCTAGAGGTACCACCTTGGTAGGCTTGGGTAAGATCTGGGGAATTCCCTGGATTACTGGGCAGCAGTCTCTGATTCTCTTCCCTCACTTCTCACTTTCCCCAAACAGAAGTCTGTCTGTATGTCTGTTTCTCCCTCTCTCTCTCTCTCTCTCTCTCTCTCTCTCTCTCTCCTGAGCTTCCTGGAGTTGGGGGAGGGATGGCACAAGCACTCCCAAAGCTATCACAGCCAGGACTGTGCTGGATAATACCTGAAGGCATCACAGTATTTGGGTCTTATCCAAGGTCCATGGCTACTCTTTCCTGGCTGCTAGTGATGTTTCTTCAATGCCCAAGGGCTCTTTAGTCATCAGGTGGCATATTTAGCCATGAAGGGGTCCCTCCTGTCAGGGGAGCAGGTTCCCTTCTAGCCAAGGGTAGGTCTAGAGATGCCATCCAGGAGCTAGGACCTGGAATTAAGGGTTTCAGGATCCAGCGTGGTGCTTTATTTTACCGTGGCTGAGCTGGTACCCAGGTTGCAAGATGAAGTCCTTTGTACTTTTTCTTCTGCTTTCCCAAAGTCTAAGGAGTCTTTCCCAAGCTGAATGCCTGGAATTAGGGAGGGGTAACACAAACACTTCCTTGGGTGTGACAACTAGTGTCTCACTGGGTTTCATGTACCCCAAGTCCACTGGCCCCAAGCCCAGAGCAGTGCCAGGACTTATCCAAGGACTGCAAACCTTGTTACCTGACTGACATTCAAATTTATCTAGGACATTAGGCTACTTTAGTCAGCCAATGGTGGAGCTACCCCAAACTCAGGTTCCTACCACTGGGGTGGAGAATTCCCCTTTGAATGGAGCTAGTCTAAATGCTTCATCTGTGGACACCGGTGGAATTTTGCCCTATGTTGTATTCTGCTGTGAGAGGGCAGAATTGAGTTCCAATGCAATGTCTCACAATCACTTCACTCTCTCTCCTGCGAACACACAGATTTTCTGAATACATGCCATCGGTTGGGGAAGGGTGGTATAGGCAATGCGAAACTGTCTTTCCTACCTTCTTTAGTGTCTCTTTCCTTGATATAGTATTTAAGCCAGCTACTGTGATCACTCACCTAACCTTTGGTTCTTATGAAGGTGCTTTCTTGCACAGATAGTTATTCAATTTGGTGTTCCTGCAGGGGGGATAATCACTGGAACGTTCTATTCAGCCATCTTCCTCTGCCTCCCTCCTATCTATTGACTTTTTGATAAAGCCATCCTAATGAGCGTGAAGTGGTTTCTCATTGTAGTTTTGATTTGCATTTCCCTGATGATTGATAATGTTTAGCCTCTTTTTATATACCTGTTGGACATTTCTGTCTTCTTTGAAGAAATATCCACCCAAGTCTTTTGCCCATGTTTTAATTAGTTATTTGTTCCACTACTGAGTTGTATAAGTTCTTTATAAATTTTGGATATTAACCCCTTATCTAATATATGACTTGCAAATAACCATTAACTTTTCATTTACCAAGTATAAATTTTCATATGCATAATATCATTAAGTATTCATAACCAATGAATTAAGTATAATTTTACAGGTAAAGAAACTCAGACTAAGAAAAACTGACTTACCCAAAGTTATTTAACTACTGACTTGATGAACCAGTATGGTCAATATTCTTTTATTTTATTTTATTTTACTTTATGTTCCAGGATACAGACGCAGAATGTGCAGATTTGTTACATAGGTATACGTGTGCCATGGGTTGCTGCACCTATCAACCAATCATCTAGGTCTTAAATCCCACATGCATTAGCTATTTGTCCTAATGTTCTCCCTCCCCTTGCCCCCCACCCCCTGACTGGCCCTGGTGTGTGTTATTCCCCACACTGTGTCCATGTGTTCTCATTGTACAACTCCAGCTGATGAATGAGAACTTGTGTTGTTTGGTTTTCTGTTCTTGTGTTAGTTTGCTGAGGATGATGGTTTCTAGCTTCATCCATGTCCCTGCAAAAGACATTATCTCATTCCTTTCTATGGTTGCATATTATTCCATGGTGTGTATATACCACATTTTCGTTATCCAGTCTGTAATTGATGGGCATTTGGGTTGGTTCTATGTCTTTGCTATTGTGAATAGTGCTGCAATAAACATACATGTGCATGTATCTTTATAACGGAATGATTTATATTCCTTTGGGTATATACCTAGTAATGGGACTGCTGGGTCAAATGGTATTTCTGGTTGTAGATCTTTGAGGAATTGGCACACTGTCTTCCACAACAGTTGAACTAATTTACATTCCCACCAAGAGTGTGAAAGCATTCCTGTTTCTCCACAGCCTCACCAGCATCTATTGTTTGTTGCTTTTTAATAATCACCATTCTGACTGGCATGAGATGGTACCTCATTGTGGTTTTGATTTTCATTTCTCTAATGATCAGTGATGTTGAGCTTTAATTCATATGTTTGTTGGCTGCATAAATGTCGTATTTTGGGAAGTGTCTGTTCATGTCCTTTGCCCACTTTTTAATGGGGTTGCTTTTTTCTTGTAAATTTCTTTAAGTTCCTTGTAGATTCTGGATATTAGACCTTTGTCAGATGGGTAGATTGCAAAAATTTGCCCCCATTCTGTAGGTTGCCTGTTTGCTTTGATGATAGTTTCCTTTGCTGTGCAGAAGCTCTGTAGTTTAATTAGATTCCATTTGTCAATTTTGGCTTTTGTTGCTATTGCTTTTGGCATGTTCATCATGAAGTCTTTGCCCATGCCTCTGTCTTGAATGGTATTGCCTAGGTTTTTATCCAAGGTTTTTATGGTTTTGGGTTTACATTTAAGTATTTAACCCATCTTGAGTTAATTTTTGTATAAAGTATAAGGAAGGGGTCAAGTTTCAGTTTTCTGCCTATAGCTAGCCAGTTTTCCCAGCATCATTTATTAAATACGGAATCCTTTCCCCATTGCTTGCTTTTGTCTGGTTTGTTAAAGATCAGATGGTTGTAGATATGTGGTGTTGTTTCTGAGGTCTCTGTCCTGTTCCCTTGGTCTATATGTCTGTTTTGGTACCAGTACCATGCTGTTTTGGCTACTGTAGGCTTGTAGTATAGTTTGAAGTCAGGTAGCATGATGCCTCCAGCTTTGTTCTTTTTGCTCAGGATTGTCTTGGCTATATGGGCTTTTTTTGGTTCCATATGAAATTTAAAGTAGTTTTTTTCTAATTCTGTGAAGAATGTCAATAGTATTTTGACGGGAATAGCATTGAATCTATAAAATACTTTGAGCAGTATGGCCATTTTCATGCTATTGATTCTTCCTATCCATGAGGATGGAATGTATACTTGTTTGAGTTGTCTCTTATTTCAGTATGGTGAATATTCTATTGACCAAGTGGATGAAACAGGATAAATCTTGATTATCTGATGCCACTTCCCATCCCATCTTTGTTCTAATAATCTTCTGCACTTTGAAAATCACTGAACTCATTGATCCAGGTAGTAAATAGCATAAACTTCAATGTTTGGTCCTAAGTGCTCTAAATCTGAACAGAATATACTTCATTGTTTTCAAGCAAGTATAAAAAAACAGAATCCTAAATACAGATGTATTCAATTAATATAATATCATTTCTGTAGTGTTTGTGTTGCTTTAGAGACAACAAAAAAATATATTAATATTGGACTGATTAGTTAAATAAAGCTTTATAAATATATGAGACTTAACAAAATTCAAACTTGACCAGATGGAATGAGCTACGTTGGGAGGTGGTATATATCCTACAACTTGAGGCTTTCCAGCAGATGACAGAATCCCTTTTAGCAGAGTGACAATAAACAATTAAAAACTAAGGAGAGCCACTACTCTATATTGCCTTTAAAATTACCTTTAATGCTGATTCTGTAATATTTTCAAACTTGGCCCTCTGGGAAGATTAACTCAAAAACATCAGTTTTTAATTTTTTTTTTTTTTTTTTTTTTTTTTTGAGACAGAGTCTCACTCAGTCGCCCAGGCTGGAGGGCAGTGGCTTAATCTCAGCTCACTGCAGGTTCCGCCTCCCGAGTTCACGCCATTCTCCTGCCTCGGCCTCCCCAGTAGCTGGGACTACAGGCACCTGCCACTATGCTCGGCTAATTTTTTTGTATTTTTAGTAGAGACAGGGTTTCACCGTGTTAGCCAGGAAGGTCTCGATCTCCTGACCTCGTGATCCGCCCGTCTCAGCCTCCCAAAGTACTGGGATTACAGGCGTGAGCCACCGTGCCCGGCCTCCGTTTTTAAATTATTATTGTATCATAAGAAGAACCACATAACCTTAAATTTATAATACTGACCACTCTTAAGTGTAGAGTTCAATAGTGTTAAGTATATTACATTGCTGTGAAACACATACCTAGATGAGTTTTTCATCTTGAAAAACTGAAACTATATAACCAATAAACATTAATTCCCCCTCCCTCATCTCTCCAGCCCTAGGCAACTACCTCTCTACTTTGTTTTTATCAGTCTGCCTACTTTAGATACTTCATAGGAGTGGAATCATACAGTGTTTGTCCTTTTGTGACTGGCTTATTTTGCTTAGCATAATGCCCTCAAGGTCCATTCATGTTAGCATATGATAGGATTTCCTTTTGTTCCTAAGGCTACATAGTGTGTGTGTGTGTGTGTGTGTGTGTGTGTGTGTGTGTGTGTGTGTGTGTGTAACATTTTCTTTATCCATTCTTCTGTTAACGGACATTTGGGTTGCTTCCACCACTTGAGTATTGCAAATAAGGCTGTGATGACCATGGCTGTGTAAATATTTCTTCAAGATCCTGCTTTGAATTCTTTTGGATATTTACCCAGAGGTGGAATTGCTGGATCGTACGGTATTTCTATTTTTAAAGTTTTCAAGAATCTTTATACTGTTTTCCATAATGGTGGCACCATTCCCACCAATAGCATACAAGCATTTCAATTTCTCCACATCTTTATCAACACATTATTTTCTGTTATTTTGACAGCAGGCATCCTAATGGGTGTGAAATGATTTTTAATTGTGGTTTTGATTGGCATTTCCCTCATGATTAGTGGGTTGAACATTTTTCATAGATGTATTGGCCATTTGTATATTTTCTTTGGAGAATTTTCTATTCAAGTCTTTTGTCCATTTTTAGTTGTGTTACTTGTTATTTGTTGTTGAGTTGTAGAAGTTCTTCATATATTCTGGATATAAAGCTTTCACATATATATGATTTGCAAATACTTCCTCCAGTTCCATTGGTTGTCTTTTCACTCTGGTCATTGTTTTCTTTGATGTACAGAAGTCTTTAAGTTTGATGCAGTACAATTTGTTTTTTTTTTTTTGCTTTCAGTTTCCTGTGCTTCTGGTGTCATATTCAAGAAATTGTTGCCAAATCCAATGTGTCCTGACATTTTTCTATTAGTTTTATAGTTTAAATATTACATTTTCTGTAGGCATTATAGAGTTTAAAGTCTTACTTATATCTTTAATCCATCTCGAGTTAATTTTTGTATATGGTATAAAGTAAGGGCCCAACTTTATCTTTTGCATGTAGATATCCAGTTTTCCCACCACCATTTGTTAAATAAACTATCCTTTCCCCAGTGGTAGTCCTAGCTCCCTTATTTAAAATAATTTGCCATACATGCAAGGGTCTATTTCTGGGATCTACATTCTCTTTCACTGATGAATATATCTGTCTTTATGCCAGTACCACACCATCTTGATTACTGTTGCTTTGTAGTAAGCTTTGAAATCAGGATGTCTGAGGTTTCTAAGTTTGTTCTTATTCTCCAAAATTGATTAGGCTATTTAGTGTCTCGGAACTAACGCTTTTAAAATAAGGATCATGGGAAGCATTTAATGTAAACATATAGAGACAAAGGGATTCTCATTCTGCTCTCATTCCATAAAACAAACAAACATAAAAACATTCTTTCCCACAGCTGAGTGGCATTCAGAAAAAGAAGCTCCCTTCTAAATATCAGAAAGAACAGTTACCAGAAAAATAGAGCTGAGCTACAAAATTCTTGTTAATTAGAAGGTGCAGCTATTTAACAGAGTATAAATATACACTATAGCCTAAAAATAATTAAGAGCAATGCTGAAATTCTCTAAAGTACATGATCATTCTATCAAAATATACTAAATGTATTATAATAGAAAGAACTCATAAGTTATTTATTTATTAATTTTTTTTTTTTTTGAGATGGAGTCTTTCCCTGTCACCCATGCTGGAGTGCAGTGGCGCTATCTCAGCTCACTACAACCTCCACCTCCCAGGTTCAAGTGATTCTCCTGCCTCAGCCTCCCAAGTAGCTGGGATTACAGGCACACACCACCACACTTGGCTAATTTTTGTATTTAGTAGAGATGGGGTTTCACCATGTTGGCCAGGCTGGTCTCAAACTCGTGGCCTCAAGTGATCCACCCACCTTGGCCTCCCAAAGTGCTGGGATTACACCTTGGCCTCCCAAAGTGCTGGGATCACCACCTTGGCCTCCCAAAGTGCATGGGCTACCGCACCCAGCTCCACAAATTATTAATATCTAATCAGTCTCTCACTTTAGATTAGGGTTTAGATTAGGAAACTGAGGCATACAGCTAGTCTAAGTGACTTGCCCAAGAACATTCAAATAGTAAGTGTATAAAGACAATAATCTAACATCTGTTTCCAGTTATGACTTACTCTTACACGATTCTTCCTTCTCAGTCTGATATGTGTCCTACAGTCAAATGTGTTTCTACCTTGTTACCTCTCTGTTCTTACTGAAAGAAACCTAACTTTCTGCCCCACCCATTGTGGTACTTGCATGGTATTTACTTAGTCTCTTAATCAACCAGTTTTAATTCATAAGATTGTCTTTTTCAGCAGAAAACAGAGTCTAGCCAAAGTATCAAACAACTAAAACAGTATCTAAAACAAAATATTCCTGAAGGCATTTAGTGCTCTACTCATTTCTCCAATTGCATGCAACATCTAGAGCATTTACCTATCAATCCTTTCATATATAACTATCCCATTTCATCCTCTTTATATTACTATAGTATAGTAACAATAGGTATAATCTCATTTTATCTCATTTCAGGCACAATAAAAAGTCATTTAATGTGCCTGAGGTCACATGACTAATTTGTGATAGAGCCAAGATACAAATCCTGGTCTCTGACTTTGGATCTTTTGTTCATTCCATTCTATCACACTGTCCTACTTTTGATATTACACTTGGTTCTCAACAAATATGCCCCATCTCCTCTAAAGGTATTTTCTTAGTTGTTCCCATAATTGAATTAGTCAACTCTATCTATCCATTAGTCAGCTTTCCTCTAAATAACCCCATTTTTGTGCTGATACCACCTAACTCTCAATTTACTTAGTCACCAAGTCCTGTCAATTATTTCTTTAAGATTCATCATTTCTCTATAAGCTGATTACAATTTTCATTGTTTCTCACTAGGACTCTGGAATATCAAATCTCCAAGCTTTATGCTTTGCATATTAGGTTTATTTAAACACAGAAGATATCCCTAAAAAATACTCCCAATTATTTTAAATTGTTCAAAGGAAATAATAGGAATAAAATAAAGAAAGAAACCATATTAAATATGAAGTATTTATTCCTCATTAAAGGTCTAAAGTTTTCATTAATATCTTTTTATTTTCCAAATGTTAATAAAAATATCAACTCAATAAAATAAATGCAAAACTTGCAATTTATTTCAATAGCATGAATATCTACTATTTGCCAAGCAGTACTAAGCATGTTCATATTGAGGATCACATTAAAATTTCAAAAGTACCCTAAAAGATGAGGAAATGGAAGCTTTTAGCATTTAAGCAGCATAAGCTAGCAATATGCTCTCCAATTATGAAAACAAGTTTCTCTAATATATTTTTCAGCATTTATTTAATTTAGCTGCCTGGAAGGTTGGCATATTTGTATCCCACTTAGGACTAATGACTTCATTTTCAGGAAGCAAAAATACAAATATCCTTGCGAACAGCCAGGAAGTACAAAAATGTGTTTTCTAAGTATTCATGAGCCCATCATGGATGCCCACCCTCCCTCTCTTCTTTTGGAGAAAAAAAAAAAAAAAAAAAAAAAAAACAGTCTCATTGCCAAATTAGATAACTTCCTTTCCTGGAAGCACATTTAGTATTTTATTACTGTCTCAAATAGTTAACATCTTCTAGGTTAAATGAAAGTATTTTTCAAGAGAGGAAAAGTGAAATAGCTTACAAAATGACTGTGTGATAACCAGCACTTGAAGACTACGTACTAAAACACAGAACCCAAAATAAAACACACACAACTACTCAACGTGATACACATTCAGTGTCAGCTCAGAAGCCTGAGAACCCAATATGCTGACCAGGCCAAAGCTAGAAATTAGGTTACACATTTTCTTTTCTTTCTTTAACACTACTAGCACTATCCACAAAGAACAAGACAAGTCTTACCCATGAAGCCTAGTAAGAAAAGAAAACAGTATAACACTTACAGTTGTCGTCTCATCAGTTTCATTTTCAAAACTCTGATTTTCTTTATTTTGCTCAATACATGAAGCATTTTCCTTTGATCCACTGCAATCTGTAAGCTAAAATAAAAGTTTAAAAAATCAATACTCCTTTTTTATTTTCTGCAATGTATATTGTTTTCAAACTTTGAATATACACATTAAAATATCTAAGGCCTGAATAAATATTAGATGTTGCTTATTTCAATTTTAGCATATGAATGTACTATCTAACCCATTTTTATATTGCTCCCAAAGAGAAAACATAAAATGGGACAGTTATTCAAAGGCCAATTTTAAATTTCAAAGGTTTCCAGCAGGGAGTGTTGAACATGGGCTATTCAAAAGTAAATGGATGATCTGGTTAAAGCTGAGCATGGTTAATGGGAAGATGAAGATAGAGGGCTGATTTCACTTTATATAAGTTCTCATGCTTGGAGAAATCTCTATGGAAGCTATTGGAGCTCTCAGAACTAGCAGTGGCATTGACTGCCTTTGCTTTGGGCTGTCTTTTTATAACTACAGCTTTAGATGATAAAAATAATGTCTACTTTCAAAGCAAAGGGTAGGTTTGCTTACTGACCATTATAAAACAGATGTTACCTAAACTGAGGGAACACAACCTACAATATGACCCATTGAATATGACTGTATCATGTGACCATCTTTGCCTTGCACTGTAAAAATTGGGGCTTGAGAAATTGGTACAAGAAGATGTTGATAGTCTACTGCTGTTGTTGCAAGTAATTAGTCTCTGCCCTACGATTCTTTTGGCAGCATCGATGAAATTGTGGCAGACTAAATTCTTAGTTTGCAAGTAGGATACAATCTTAGACTCCTCACAGTTCTTGAGAGTGACAAGGATGGAATTCTGACAGATTCATAGTGTTCTGGAAGAGGAAGGATCAGAGACTTCTAGGCTGATGAAAGGGATTCGTGGAACATCTTTAGGAACTGGGTAGTAAACATGCTGACCACACTGAATGTTCAACTGCATAATAAGGATTCCTCACTTTAGGCCAGGCACAATGTCTCACACCTGTAATCTCAGTACTTTAGAAGGCCAAGGAGGATGGATCACCTGAGGTCAGGAGTTTGAGACCAGCCTGGCCAACGTGGTGAAACCCTATCTCTACTAAAAATATAAAAATTAGCCAGGTGTGGTGGCATGCGCCTGTAATCCCAGCTACTTGAGAGGCTGAGGCAGGAGAGTCACTTGAACCAGGGAGGTGCAGGTTGCAGTGAGCCACTGTGCTCCAGCCTGGGTGACTGAGCAAGACTCTGTATCAAAAAAAAAAAAAAAAAATCCCCTCACTTTAATGCACGTTAATGAGGAGAAATTTCTAAAGTGGTTGCAGGCTAGGACAGCTCCCAAATGGTTTTTGCCAACTCTCCTCTGGCTGGGAGAACTTCCTCACCAACCTAGCAGTCGGCCTCAGTTTCTAAGATTCACTCTAAAAGGAGTGGGTGAACAGAAATTTCCACTCCTTTTCAGGCAATAGCTATAGAGACATGTACCTGCACTGATTGTGACAGGAGAGAAATTTGCAACCACTGTGGGCAGAAGGATTTCTCTGATACTAGTCTATTGTAGACTCTCCTCTTCTCTGCTCCCGTAGTTTACATCTATCATTGTAATTAGCATATTGTATTATAAATTACATAAATGTATATGTATATATATGTGTGTGTGTGTCTACATGTATGTGTTTATGTATGTTTATCTGTCCCATTAGAGTATCTTGTAAGACAAGCAGGATATCTTACTGTTTTTCAGTCTCTAGAATAAATACATATTTGTTTGATGAATGAAAAATAAAGATTAAATTAGATGAAAAGTTGATACATAGATAGATGAACAAACTGAGAAGATGTGTCATCTCATGAAGAGCAGTTTCAGGCTCAACCACTTTGGGATACCCAGGTAGCCTCTGTATCAGAAACATAGAGCTCTTTATTTTGTGCTCCCCTCTTTGGGCCACTCCTCTTTGGTCCCATGAACTATCCAAATAAATCAGGGCAGTCAATCTGACTGTATCTCTCATGTAGATGTACATAGTAAGGACCTGTCCTCTGATGAGACCCACTGGAATCAAGATGCTGATTGAGCCTGCACTGTCACCATTGCTAATTGGATCCATCATCATACTGAACACGGCGGCACATCCACCATCATAGACTAAGCGCAAAGTAAAAGACTGCTTCCCAGGCAAAGGCTACCTGGTTGTCCTAAGGTGATTGAGCTCGGCATTTCTCTTAGCCAGATCAGAGCCCTTATTCATTGTTTGTACATTTGTTCATCTATCTATGCATCTCTTTGTGATGGTTAATACTGAGTGTCAACTTGATTGGACTGAAGGATGTAAAGTATTGTTCCTGAATATGTCTGTGAGGTTGTTGCCAAAAAGATTAACATTTGAGTGAGTGGGATGGGAAAGGCAGACTTATCCTTAATCTGGGTGGGCACCATCTAATCAGCTGCCAGTGCAGCTAGGATATAAAGCAGGCAGAAAAACACGAAAAGATTAGACTGGCCTAGCCTCCCAGCCTACATCCTTCTCCCATGCTGGATGCTTCCTGCCCTTGAACATTGGACTCCAAGTTCTTCAGTTTTGGGACTCAGACTGGCTTTCCTTGCTCCTCAGCTTGCAGATGGCCATTGTGGGACCTTGTGATCATATCAGTTAATACTTAATAAGCACATATATATATATGTGATTCTAGAGGGACAGAATATTAAGGATGAAGTCCTTTCATTGGTTTGGGGGTTTCTGGAGTTGGCTGCTTAACATGATTCGACCCAAAAATGCTAAAGGCTCTACTTCTAGTAGTATGGAGAACACTGATAGTCCTTGGCATGAACTGTTTAGAGAGTTATGCAAGATGAATGCATTTGACATTCCTGATTCACCATTCGTGAGAGGCAAGGAGTTTAGCGACTCTATACATAATACATTTGACTATATGTGGAGAATCAAGGAATATAATGAAGCTGGTTGGTTGCTCCTGAGTTCAGTGGACAAAGTGATGAAAGGAAATGATGAAATCAGGGATTCTAAATACCAGCTTCAGAAGCAGATACGGAGCCTCAAATCTGCTAAGATTACCCTGAGTGAAAGTCTTATCTCCTGTAGAGAAAGATATGAAATTGTGGGAAAACAGACACAAGCCCTTAAAGTGAGGGCACTGATTGGAAAAGAATGGGACCCTGCAACTTGGAATGGCAATGTTTGGGAGGTCTCTCATGAAGCTGGGAACACTGAGTTTGTAAACTCTGACGAAGCTTTTTTTGCCAGAAGAAACAGCTCCCCCATTCCCAGTAGTGGCAACATCCCCTCCCCGACCCATTAGCCTTTCCACCGTTGTCTGAGGAGATAAACCCCGCACTGCCTGAGAAAACAGTGACACCCTCCCCTGAGGCAGTTGCCAGGCAAGATAATGTTGATTCTCCTCAGGAGCCACCCCCAACAGCCCTGTTTGCTTCTAGACTTATAACTAGGCTGACCTCTCAGTGGGCCCTAGAGGTGAAGTTCAGAGTGTGACCTATAAGGAGGTACACTATACTCAAAAAGAACTACTTGAATTTTCTAATTTATATAAACAGAAATCTGAAGAACAGGCATGGGAATGGATATTAAGGGTGTGCGATAATGGTGGAAGGAACATAGAACTGGATCAGGCTGAATTTATTGATCCGGCCCCACTAAGTAGGGACTCTGCATTTAATGTTGCAGCTCGAGTGAAAAAAAAGGTTGTAATAATTTGTTTGTTTAGCTGAAATATGGATTAAAAGATAACCCACTGTGAGTGAGCTGGAAATGCCTGATCTCCTTTGGTTTAATGTAGAGGAAGGGATCCAAAGGCTTAGGGAGATTGGGATGGTGGAGTGGATTAGTCACTTTAGATCTACTCATCCCAGCTGGGAGGTCCAGACGATACATTCTTGACCAATGCCTTACAAAATAGATTTGTGAGGGCAGCACCTGCATCTTTGAAGGGCCCTGTAATTGTTCTACTCTGTATGTCAGATCTAAGAGTGGGAACTGCAGTCACTCAACTAAAAAAAATTTAAATACAGTGTGAATAATGGGATCCCGAGGTGGCAGGGGCCAAGCGGTAGCACTCAACCTCCAAAGGCAAGGTAAGCATAGCTACCATAATGGACAGCAGAGGCAAAATGGCAATCAGAATAGTCTGACTCGTGTAGAGCTCTGGCACTGGCTAATTAATCATAGTGTTTCTAGAAGTGAAATTGATAGGAAGCCTACTGCATTCATACTTAATGTATACAAGCAGAAAACTTCTAGGTCAAATGGACAAAAGACTAATTTGAATTATAAAAACAGAATCATGGCCCCTCAATCAATTTCCACACTTGAGTCAGTTTACAGACCCAGAACCCCTTGAATGAAGGGGAGACCAGGTCCCCTTGAGGAAGGACCCTACTACACTACCAACAATTTATACTGTTAATTTTTCTCTCTCCTTCCCCAAGGAGACCTCCAGTCTTTTACCAGGGTATCTGTGCACTGGGGAAAGGAAAATGTTCAGACAGTTCAGGGATTACTGGACACTGGCTCTGAACTGACATCGATTTCAGGGGACCCAAAAGGTCATTGTGGTCCTCCAGTTAAAGTAGGGGCTTATAGAGATCAGGTAATTCATGGAGCTTTAGCTTGGATCTGACTTACAGTGTATCCGGACTCATCCTGTGGTCATTTCTGCAGTGCCAGAATGCATAATTGGCATAGACATACTTGCAAGCTGGCAGAACCTCCACATTGGCTCCATGACTGGTAGAGTGAGGGCTATTATGGTGGGAATGCCAAATGGAAACCATTAGATCTCCCTCTACCTAGAAAAACAGTAAATCAAAAACAATATTGCATCCCTGGAGGGATTGTGGAGATTAGTGCCAACACCAAGGACTTGAAAGATGCAGGGGTGGCAATTCCCACTACATCCCCATTCAACTCTCCTATTTGGCCTGTGCAGAAGACAGTTGGATCTTGGAGAAGGACAGTGGATTATCATAAGCTTAACCAAGTGGTGACTCCAATTGCAGCTGCTGTACCAGATATGGTATCATTGCTTGAGCAAATTAACTCCTGGTACCTGCTATGCAGCCATTGGCTTGGCAAATGACTTTTTCTCCATTCCTGTTCATAAGACCCATCAGAAACAATTTGCCTTCAGCCAGCAAGGTCAACAATAGACCTTTACTGTCCTACCTCAGGGGTATATCAACTCTCCAGCTCTGTGTCATAATCTTATTTGGAGAGAACTTGATAGCTTTTTGCTTCCACAAGATACCACAATGGCCCATTACATTGATGACATTATGCTGATTGGATCCAGTGAGCAAGAAGTAGCAAACACACTGGACTTATTGGTGAGACATTTGCATGCCAGAGGATGGGAAATAAATCCAACTAAAATTCAAAGAACTTCTACCTCAGTAAAATTCTTAGGTGTCCAGTGGTGTGGGGCCTGTCAAGATATTCCTTCTAAGGTAAAAAATAAGTTGCTGAATTTGGCCCCTCCTACAACCAAGAAGGAGGCACAATGCCTAGTGGGTGTACTTGGATTTTGGAAGCAACACATTCCTCATTTAGGTGCGTTACTCCCGCCCATTTATTGAGTGACTGCCGGTTTTGAGTGTGTTCCAGAACAGGAGAAGGCTCTGCAACAGGTCCAGGCTGCTGTACAAGCTGCTCTGCCATTTGCGCCATATGACCCAGCAGATCCAATGGTGCTTGAGATGTCAGGGGCAGATAGGGATGCTGTTTGGAGCCTTCGGCAGGCCCCCATAGGTGAATCACAGCAGAGGCTTCTAGGATTTTGGAGCAAGGTTCTGCCATCTTCTGCAGATAAGTACTCTCCTTTTGAGAAACAGCTCTTGGCCTGTTATTGGGCTTTAGTGGAAACTGAACGTTTGACTATAGGTCATCAAGTTGCCATGAGACCTGAACTGCCTATCATGAACTAAATGCTTTCTGACCCATCTAGTCACAGAGTGGGTCATGCACAGCAGCATTCCATCAGCAAATGGAAGTGGTATATACATGATTGAGCTCAAGGATGTCTTGACGGCACAAGTAAGTTACATGAGGAAGTGGCTCAAATGCCCATGGTGTCCACTCCTGCCACCCTGCCTTCTCTCCCCCAGCCTGCACCAATGGCCTCATGGGGAGTTCCCTATGATCAGTTGACAGAGGAAAAGACTAGGGCCTGGTTCACAGATGGTTCTGCACAATTATGCAGGCACCATACCCCTGCATACTACAGCTGCAGCACTACAACCCCTTTCTAGGACATCGCTGAAGGTCAGAGTGAAGGGAAATCTTCCCAGTGCACAGAAGTTCAAGCAGTGTACCTCGTTCCACACTTTGCATGGAAGGAGAAATGACCAGATGTGTGATTATATGCTGATTCATGGGCTGTAGCCAATGGTTTGGCTAGATGGTCAGGGACTTGGAAGAAGCATGACTGGAAAATTGGTGACAAAGAAATCTGGGGAAGGGGTATGTGGATGGATATCTGAGTGGTCAAAAACCGTGAAGATATTTGTATCGCATGGGATTGCTCTCCAATGAGTGACCTCAGCAAAGGAGGATTTTAATAATTAAGTGGATAGGATGACCTGTTCTGTGGACATCACTCAGCCTCTTTTCACAGCCACCTGTCATTGGCCAGTGGGCCCATGAACAAAGTGGCCATGGTGGTAGGGTTGGAGGTTATACATGGGCTCAGCAACATGCAGTTCCACTCACCAAGGCTGAGCTGCCTGGTTATGGCCACTGCTGAGTGTCCAATTTGCCAGCAGCAGAGACCAACACCGAGCCCTCGATATGGCACCATTCCTCAGGATGATCAGCCAGCTACCTGGTGTCAGGTTGATTATATTGGACCTCTTCCATCATGGAAAAGGCAGAGGTTTATCCTCACTGGAATAGACAGTTACTCCGGATATGGGTTTGCCTATCCTGCACGTAATTCTTCTGCCAAGACTACCCTGTGGACTCACGGAATGCCTTAACCACAGTCATGGTATTCCATATAGCATTGCCTCTGACCAAGGCACTCACTTTACAGCTAAAGAACTGTGATTGTGGGCTCATGCTCATGCTCACTGGTCTTACCATGTTCCCCATCATCCTGAAACAGCTGGATTGACAGAACGGTGGAATATCCTTTTGAAGTCACAATTACAACACCAACAAGGTGACAATACTTTGCAGGGCTTGGCCAAAGTTCTCAAGAAGGCTTTGTATGCTCTGAATCAGCATCCAATGTATGCTACTATTTCTCCCATAGCCAGGATTCACAGGTCCAGGAATCAAGGGGTGGAAGTGGAAGTGGCACCATTCACCATGACCCCTCGTGATCCACTAGCAAAATTTTTGCCCCTGTTCCTGCAACATTACGTTCTGCTGGCCTAGAGGTCTTAGTTGAAGAGTGACAAACTCTGCCACCAGGAGACACAATGATTCCATTAACCTGGAATTGCCACCTGGACACTTTGGGCTCCTCCCACTTTTAAGTCAACAGGCTAAGAAGGGAGTTATAGTGTTGGCTGGTGTGACTGACCCGGACTATCAAGATGAAATCAGTGTACTACTCCACAACGGGAAGTAAGGAAGTGTGTGCGTGGAATACAGGAGATCCATTAGGGCCTCTCTTAGTATTACCATGCCCTGTGATTAAGGTCAATGGGAAATGACAACAGCCCAATCCAGGAAGGACTACAAATGGCTCAGACCCTTCAGGAATGAAGGTTTGGGTGACTCCACCAGGAAAAACAAAAACAAAACAAAACAAAAAAGCAAAACAAAAACACACAACCTGCTGAGGTGCTTGCTGAAGGCAAAGGGAATACAGAATGGTTAGTAGAAGAAGGTAGTCATCAATACCAGCTGCAAGAATGAGGACTGTAATTGTCATGAGTATTCCCTCCTACTTTTGTTAAAAACATGTGTAAGCATATATACGCTTGTATTAAGAAAATATCTTCATTTTATTTCCTTTTTCCTTTATTATGTGACATAAAATTTATTGACTTCATATCAGCATTAAAGTATTGTTAACTTTATGTAGTAGTATTTGGGTTGGGGATTGGTGCATTTCCAGTTGTACAAACAATAGTTGTATTATGTTAGATGTAATTATGGCCTTATTATTGTCTTTATTTGAAGATTATGTATGATCTCAGGAGATGTACGTGGGTTCAAGTTGACAAGGGGTGGACTTGTGATGGTTAATACTGAGTGTCAACTTAATTGGATTGAAGAATTCAAAGTATTGATCCTGGGTGTGTCTGTGAGGTTGTTGCCAAAGGAGATGAACATTTGAGTCAGTGGGCTGGGAAAGGCAGACCCACCCTTAATCTGGATAGGCACCATCTAATAACTGCCAGCACAGCTAGAATATAAAGCAGGCAAAACAACGTGAAAAGACTAGACTGGCCTAGTTTCCCAGCCTACATCCTTCTCCCATGCTGGAAGCTTCCTACCCTCAGACATCAGACTAGAAGTTCTTCAGTTTTGGGACTCTGACTGGCTTTCCTGTAGACAACCTATTGTGGGACCTTGTGATTGTGTGAGTTAATACTTAATAAACTCCCCTTTATATATATTACACACACACACACACAGACACACACACACACACACACTATTAGTTCTGTCCCTCTAGAGAACCCTAATACACTATCTGATTTAATCTTTTATTTTTTTCATTCATTAAGCAACTATCTTTTGATCTCTGGAGACAAAATGACATTAATATGGACTGCCTGTCCTCTGAAGAACTCTAATTGGCCAGAGAAATATAAAAATACGTAATTTATATTACATATATAGATCATGATAATAGAAAGTATAGGAGGAGCATCTATATTAGACTGTGGAATCATGAAGGCTTCCTGAAAGATGTAACATTGAAATAATACTGAAGACAAAGGAGGTTATCTAGGCAAGTAGGAGTATTCAATCTAATAGAAAATAGTGTGGGCTTGAAAGGCAGCATGCTCTGAAGGAAAAGGCATAGATTTTAGAGTAAGAAAGAAATGGATTAAAATCCTTTCACTTCCACCTACTACCTATGTGGAATGGAGGCAATATTTAAATTCTATGACTATCATCATTGAAAATATGGAGATAGTGCCACCCATTGAATAGGGTCTTCTTCCACCTTACTAACCACCCTATAGCTGAGTTGGATGCCTTGGATTGTAGGGGAGAAAAAAATAGCTTTCCTCTACCCTCCTACATTCTTTGGCTGAGCTACAAATTAAATTGACATAAGGCAGCTTAACTGGAGAGACATTATTCTAATAACATGTGTACCCATGTATGCATGGGAGTCTCACAAAAATATGAAACTCAAATAAGGGACAGAATTCCCTTATTCCCCAGATTGAAGCTTATTTAGCATTCTGAGCTACAGAAAGAAATAAGGGCTTGGGGTTTCTGGGGCTGGTGAAGCCAAATTATAGAAAGGTGAGGGGAAGAAATGTATAGTGAATAAAGGTTGCCTTGTTATGCAGATCAAAGTCTCTCATCTGATAAAAGTTGTCATAGACTAACTCTCTTTCTGACACAAATATCTTTACTAATGAAAATCTCCTATATAAATATAAATTTCCTACATAAAAGGGGAGTTTTTCAATGCTACTTCAGTGTCTGTAGTTTCACAAAATAACCAGCTTTAAAAAAATCAGTATGCCACAGAGGAATATTTGGGGCTGGTACTCTGGTCTCCTATAGTCATATTTTTGGGTGGCATACCCTGGGCCCCAGTGAGATTTACAACCTTCCTACCTCATACCAGATGTTGTCCCATATATACATACATACAAAGCACTCAGTCTCAATATCATGACTGATTCTCTATTTGTTTATGTTTCCACCGTTACTTCATCCCCTGATAACTTGCTGTCAATTATGCTCTCATAGAAATAGTAAATTTCTTCTATGCTTCTATTCTTCCTTCATTTAAAAAAAGACCCTGATCACTTCAAAACTTTAATCTATTTCTGACTTTCTCCTCCCCAGAGTCAATTCTGTTGAAAGACATAATAGAAGTAGTAATAGCAACAATAAAACCGAATCATTTAATGAAAAGTTACAATAAGCTAGGCCTCTCTTCAAGGATACTGATATATATTTTATGTGCATTAACTCATTAGATTAAAAAGCATCTTATGAAGTAGGCTTATGATCTTTATTTTCTGGGTAAGAAAACAGAACCTATTTCTGCCTGAATGAAAAGCCTACATAACTAACTAATATACTAAACTCCTGAGCCACTTTCTTACTGCCCACACATCCTTTCAAATTGTGGTTCCCAGACCAGCAGCATCAGCACCACCCACAATGTCTTAGCAAGATCAACTCTTCAACCTACTGAATCAAACCAGTAGGGGTGGGGCTCTAAAGTCTGTGCTTCGATGAGCTCTCCAGGTGATTCTGACACATGCTAGTTTGAAAACCTCTGATCTAGTTAACAAATGTTAAACTATTCCAAGTTAGCAAGGTATAAGACACATTTACGAAGAGATAGATGATTCTCGGCACAATGGAAAATTAATGCCTGTCTAACAAGTGCAGTCTCTAGTCACTTCCAAACATTTGTTGCCAGATGTTTAAAACTATCAAGAGAACTTAGAAGTCTGAATTTTTATGTGAAATAGCTTGACTTCTAAATGTTGACAACATAAAAAAAGAGGTTATGGGAGGCCATTGTTTTGGACTGAGTTCCTTCACTAGGCCCCAAAAGACCAGACGAAATCAGAATGGAGTCATTCATGCTAGGTATCACATAATCAAACTGACCTTTAAAATGGGACAGTTTTCTAAAGAACAAGAGATTCACAGCAACCCATTAGAAGAGGCCCCATGGCCCCATCTAAGTAAACTGACCTGATAAGAATGTCTCCTCTGTTTTAACTCTATAAGGAAAGTACTTTGAAATGACCAGTCTGCTTTTTATTCCTTAGTTCTGCTTCTTTCAGCTCCTTTCTGCCTGTAAGGTCAATAGGCTCTGCTCAGCTCATCAGAACACCTTTCTACTTCATAGATGGAATGCTTCCTGATTTCAACAAATTTAATTTAATGATCAAACTGGTTTTCAGGAAATTTTGTTCTTTGACAGCAACTATATATTTTTAAAATATCATCTAAGCTAACATGCAATAGGCCAAACAAAATATAAACCTGCACTGCAGTTTCCATAAGGGCAGCCAGTTTGCAACCTCTGTATTAATCCTCAAATGCTGCCTTCTCTTCCCTGAATACTGAACTCTTAAAACTCACCAAGAACCTCCTAGTCCTCACTGTCTTCCTAGTTCTGTCCAAATGAAAAGCCTGTGCAGCTAACTACTACACTAAACTCCTGAACCACATCTTTACTGCCCACTCATCCTTTCAAATTGTGGTCCCCAGACCAGCAGCATCAGCGCCACCCAGAGATTTGTTAGAATCTTTTTCTGACTTTCTATACTCCTCATTATCTTCCACTTTCTCTGACATTTCACACGATTGACCTCTTCCTCCTTCTTGAAAGTTATACCTATATTCAGAAACATCTCTCTCTCCTATTTGCCACCCAATCTCTTGAACTCTCCTTCTCTGTCATTTCCTCTTCTTCCTTTTAACTCCTGAATCAGCTGTTACTCTGAAATTCCTTTTATCGCTTCTCTCACTACTCACTACTCAATGATTCTTCATCTAGGCTTTAGGAAGACATTCTTCCCAATTTCTGGTCCTACATTTTCAATTGCATGCTTGTATTTCCTCTAAAAAATCACACTGGTACCTCAAATCTGTTCTATCTAAATGCAATCATTTTTTTTTCAGAACCCAATTTGGCTACCTGGCTTTTGGTAATTCCACTACCCAAATTTCTTAAGAACTATTTATGACTCCCTCCTCCACACAGCCTGTGCTGATCCTCTTTCTTTATCCAGCTGGATGGGCTCTCTCAATCTATAATGCCTTCAGGAAATATTCTTCTCCTCTACACCTTTAATAATGATTAGTCCACCTGATCTCTTTAGGAACAACCTAGAATATAAAAAAAAAGGAAAAATAAACTTGTCATTGCTTATATATTTATCTTCTCCATTCAAGCAGATTTAAAGCTTCTTCAACACAGTAAGTTTATTACCATCTTGACATCCTTCATAGTACTTTAACAAAGTGAATGCCCATAGATATTAAGTTGTTTAATTATGCAGTGTTTATACAAGTATTTTCTACATTACACAATATGTATGGACAAATATTTGCCAACTTTACTTTAAATGTATTCATCTTTTATATACATATCCGAAAAGTTTCCTATATAAAAGAATATTATAATAAACTTAGAAAAATCTAGATCTCTTTTGTAGAGTAAATAAGTACTCAGTGGTTTAACTGTTTGGTAGATTACTTTTTTATTTATTTATATTATTTTGCTCAAACCTAGAATTCTTTTCTTTGGAAATGAATGTCAGTACTAATGAGCATCATGTACAAAATCTGTGTCCTTGCAGGAACCAAAAGCCATATAAACTCTAAAAATATATGTTAAAAAAGTTAAACAGAGTTCTACGATGCCAGGTCACTGGGAAGCACTGCCCCTTCCCATCCTCTAAGAATGTCAAGTGTACAGATCAGCCTGAGTCAGATCCCAGTTGTACTCTGGAGTAATCCAATTCTATTAATATTTCCTGGGTCTCATATTTATAGAATGCCTAGTTTACTTAACTCTATACTATTCTCTTCATACAAAAGAAATGTTACAAACTACAGAGGTATGAGGTGAGGAGGAGTCTTTAGGTGGGGTTCAGAACATGCTACCCCAAAATAGGGCAATGTAGCATTTGAGAAAACAGCAGAATCAGGAAGTTCACTCTCACTTTCCCGTCACCCTGAAGCAAGTGATAAAACCTTCATTCCAGAGGAACCCTCCTAATACCCAGAGGGAAAGAACATCCTTGTGCTCAAAGACACAAAGAAGACAAGAAGAACCTGAACAAACAGGCCTTAAGTCTGCCTAGTTTATTACCATTAGATCATATCTCTTTTGCCAGTCATACTTCTGCATGGCTGCCCACTCTTCATCAAATTCAGCATAAAAATACACAGGTTTCCCTTTTTCTTTAGGTCTTCACTTCTCTGTCATGTAAAACTTATGTTAAATTAATGCATATGCTTTTCTCTTGTTAATCTGTCTTTTATTATAGGGGTCTTAGCCATGGACCTAGCAATGGATAAGGAAAAGATATTACTTTTTTCCCCTACACTTTTATTTTACAGAAAACAGCATGCTACCATTTTATAGACTACTTCAGGATTACAAACAATGGGTAAGTTTAAACTAAGTAGTTCTCCTCTGCTGAAATAATAATAAACTTCACTCTCTTAGCCTAAAGGCCTCAGGATTCCTTGAAAAAACTGGGCACAGACAAATAAAACTAGGCACAACCTAGGAGTTCAAGAGAAGAGAGTATCAGTTATCAAGAAAAGTGTCCACCTTATTTGTTGATTCAATATACATGTATTAAATTGTATTACATGCAAAGCACTAAAGAAGATGTTTTGGGGAAAACACAAAGAAGACAGTGTCCAAAAAGAATTTAGTGTAAGAAAGGAAACAAATATATACAAAAGTCACTATAAAACCATGTGGAAAGATTTGATTGTCAAAAATGAAGTGCAGACAACATGCTCTGAAACTTCAACAGAGGTTCAGTTCAATAAACATTTATTAAATGCTCAATATGCCAGTCCTTTAAGAAATGTAGAGTGAAATAAGTGAAACAAGTATATAAGCAGATAATTTCAATTTAATTTTGAAGTATTATAACAGAATGATATAGTTGGACAACTACATTTTTGCCATCAAATAGTTGTTAGAAATGAAATAGAAAAGGTAAGCAGAAGCCAATTTAGGAGAATCTTAGACATTATGCCAAAGAATTCAGATTATCCCAAAAAATAGGGAATCAAAGAAGGGTTGAGGTGAGAAATGATAGGGAAGAGTAGAGGGGTCAAATGGGAAAACATTTTAAAAGTAAAGCTCTCACAGACTTATTTATTATTTTACATTTTTCTTTGATTTTTAAATGTATTCAAAATAACTTAAAGCTTATAAAAATTTTGCAGAAATAGGACAAAAAATATCATGTACCTTTCACATGCATTTCCAGCTATATAGTTGTTTATGGTAGCTGGTCTTATCTAGTACCAGGTACTTCATTATGTCAATGTCTTCGTCATTGCAAACCTTTAAAAAGTCTGGCTGACTACTATGCAGGTATGCAAATAATAAAAAAGGTTTCTATAAACTAACAGAATTTTTTTCAGGATACACTGTTAAAGTAAAACAAGCAAAGTGCTAAAGAACACGGTCATCCCCTCAGTACCCATGTGGAGTTGGTTCCAGAAACCTTCACAGATACCAAAATTTGTGTATGCTCAAGTCCCTCATATAAAGTGAAGTAGTATTTGCATATAACCTACACATATCCTCCCAGATACTTTTAAACATCTCTAGATTACTTATAATACCAAATACAATGGGAACGCTATAAAAATAGTTGTTGTACTGTATTTTTATTTGTATTATTTTCATTGCCATACTGTTATTTTTATTGTCTTTTAATATTTTCGATTTCAGGTTGATTGTATATGTGGATGCAGAACCTGTGGCTAAGAGAAGTTCAACTGTGTCTATAATATGCTATCTTCCGTGTAAGTGTAGGGGCAAAGGAAATTTTCCGCTCCCTCTCTGAAGGTTCCAGTTTGCTAAAATAAACTGATAACATGAAAAACGGTACGTAAATGTATTAACATGCAAGTGTGCACATACAAACTATGTATGAGCCATACAAAATTGAAACACAAAAAAGGATGAGATGGCTAATGCTTAAATAGCACCCTCTTCATAGAGGACAAGGAGATGAGGGAATGTAGGCAATTTTTAGGGGTAGTAAATGATTTTTAGGAGAGTTGATTGGGCCCAAAGAACAGATCATCATTTGTGAATTGCTGTGTTTGGAAACTGAATGGGACCTTAAGAACAGACAATAGTTTGTGACATTCTGTCTAGATATGTAATATTCCTCAGTCTTTCTTCCTGAAATATGAGTTTACTCCTCTCTAAATAATAAAATTTCAGGGAAGGTATCCAAAGCAATTATGTTCCTTCTGGAGTAGCTTCAGATAAAGAACCTTCAGAGAGTTCGACCCTGTGCTTGGGAAGAGACACAGAAGGTCAAAAAGTCCTTGATTCTGAGGCCTTCTAATTTCCTTTAATTCAAGTGCTAAGCATGTCAAAGAGCTATACTTTTGGGTATCATTTTCTAAGCCCCAACATAAGAAAGAAGGGAAAATAAAAACACATACATGTATCTTATTTGTCCTATGGGGGGAAAAGTTTCCCCAAGCCACCTAGGATTCCTGGCTAAGCCTAAAAATAGGAGAAAAGCACATAATTTTAATTCAATAAAAGTTTATATATTACATGGCAGCGAGCCATCATAAGGAAATGAAGATCCAAAGACCCAAGGAAAACTGTATTTTAAAAAATAAATCTGATAAAAGCAGTGCAGAGTTGTGAAGAAACATGACTGGACAAAAAGGGGTATGATCTAATGGTAATAGACTGGAGGGACAGGGGAGAGGAGAAGGAACTTCAGTAAGGCCTGTTTGTTCAGATTTTTTCCTGTGTCTCTGTATGACATTCTTTCCCCCCACATATACAGCAGGATACTTGCCTCGTAAGAACCTTTAGGGTAAAAGGGAGGCCAGAGAGTGACCTTTCCAGGTTTCATGCTTGCTTTGGGGAAGAGGAATTCTAGTTTCTATGACTCACCCAAGGGGAGAGTAATTCTGCTTTCTATGACTCAGCTTGGGCAGGAAAAATAGTGGGGAAAGGTGAATAGAAGAAAGTCAAAGAAACTCTGAGCCCCTTACAATCTCCTTCAGTTCAAAGTACTCAGCATGACAAAGTACCATAATTTGAGGTATCATGTTCTGAGCCCAACACTACAAAATTCAAGTTAGGAAGGTTAAATAATGTCCCAGGTTGGCAACTATCTGAGGCTGGTATTGCACAGGTGGTAAAAAGAATTTACCAAGACAGCTGTACGTAAAGAAAGGCAGGTTTGAGAAAGTAGGAAAATGCATTGCAAGAAAACAACAGGTAGGTCAGCAGGAGAGGAGGTGACTGACAGGAGAGAGAGACTTGCTGGGGATTTTATAGGATGATGTTTGTGCTGTGTGCTGAAGAGGGCTTTCTCTTTTTGCTTTCCCTTGGTCCCACCAGCCCAACTCCCCTTCTCTAATTAGGACTCCACAAATAAGGCATAACAAATAAAAAAAAAAAACAGGGGAGAAGGGAAAGCTCTTCCTTACAGGAAAATGTCAACAAATACACGTAGAAGAAATGAGGCAATCAGAAAACTACCAACCGGAAGACACCATAGTAATAATTGTTTGGAAAAGAAGGTGATACACAAAATATTTACCTAAATGCAAAATATCTCAAGGGGTGCCAGATAAGATAGCCAATTAGAAGCAGCTGCAGTCTGCAGCTGTCACAGGGAGGAGTGAAAACAGGAAGCGAATTCTGTACCTTCAACTGAGGTATCCAGGTTATTGCATTAGGACTGACTAGGTAGACAGCTGGACCCATGGAGAGTGAGGAAAAGCAGGGTGAAGCAATGGCCCACGGAGCAGCACAGAGCCAGGGGAACCCCCACCTCCAGCCAAGGGAGGTGGTGAGTGATTATGCACCCTCATCTGGGAAACCATGGTTTCCCCATGGATCTTTGCAAACTGTAGATCAGGAGATCCCCTCGTGAGCCAATGCGACCAGGGCCTTGGATCCGAAGCAGAGAGCTGTGTGGAAACTCCACATAATGGCCACTGGGGCATGCACAGAGGCCCAAGGGTTTTGTATAATCTGGCCCTGGGAATTCCAGTGAGGTGGGAGATCCATCCACGCATTACGCTAGGAAGGGGGCTGAATCCAGGAGTTAAGTGGCTTCATTCTGTGGGCCCTACTCCTACAGCACCTTACAGGTTAAGACCCACTGGCTTGGAATTCCAGCCAGCCAGTGGCAGCAGGCTGGAGACTGCCTGAAACAGACCAAGTTCCTGGGGGGAAGGGCAGCCACCATCTCTGAAGTTAAGAGTGGGCCATTCTACCCTGCCAGCTCCAGGGAGTCCAGGCTGTCTGGACTGGAAGGAGTTCCCCACAATACAGCATAGCTGCCATGCCAGATCATGGCCAGACTGCTGCTTTAACTGATCCCTCCCTCCTCACTGGGTGGGGCCTCCCTGTGGGAATTACAGCAACTTCAGCCAAGTTTTTCAGACAGAACTCTGATCTCTCCCTAGGATGAAGCCCCAGGGGGAAGTGGCCACTGTCCCTGTGGTTCAGCTGGCTTAGATGTTCCAGCCTGCTGGCACTGAAGAGTCCGGGCATTCTGGACGAGGGGGGGTTCCGCCCAGTGCAGCACACCTGCTTTGCTAAGGGGCAGCCATACTGCTTGTTTAAGTGGGTTCCTGAATCCCTTCCTCCGGACTGGGTGAGTCCTCCCAATAAGGGTCTCCAGACGCCTCCTACAGGAGCGTTCTGGCCAGCATCAGGTTGGTGACCCCCTGAAATCCATTAGCTCCCAGAGGAAGGAGAAGGCTACCCTCTTTGCTGTTTCACAGCCTTCACTGATGATATCTCCAGGTGCTGAAGGGAACAAGGTGACCAGGGTCTAGAGTGGACCCCCAGGAAACTGCAGCAGCTCTACAGAAGAGTGGCCTGAATGTTAAAAGAAAAACAAACAGAAAGCTACAACAACAACATCAACAAGAAAGACCCCACAAAAACCCCATTCAAAGGTCAGCAACCTCAAAGATTGAAGGTAGAGAAGCCCACAAAGATGGAACAGAATCAATGCAAAAATGCTGAAAACTCAAAAAGCCAGAGTGCCTTTTCTCCTCCAAATGACTGCAATACCTCTCCTGCAAGGGCACAGAACTGGGCTGAGGTTGAGATGGCTGAATTGACAGAAGTAGGCTTCAGAGAGTGGTTAATAATGAATAACAAACTTTGCTGAGCTAAAGGAGCATATTCTAACCCAATGCAAAGAAGGTAAGAATCATGATGAAACAATACAAGACCTGATAACCAGAACAGCTAGTTTAGTGGGAACATAATAGATCTGATGAAGCTGAAAAACAACACAAGAATGTTACAATGCGACCACAAGTATCAATAGCAGCATAGACCAAGCAGAGGAAAGAATCTCAGAGCTTGAAGACAATCTTTCTGAAATAAGACAGGCAAAAAAAATAGAGAGTAAAGAATGAAAATGAACAAACCAAACCTCTGAGAAATATAGGATTACGTAAAGTGACCAAACCTATGAATGATTGGGGTACCTGAAAGAGACAAGGAGAATGGAACTAAGTTGGAAAACATACTTCAGAATATCATCCAGGAGAACTTCCCTAACCTAGCAAATCGGGCCAACATTCAAATTCAAAAAATCCAGGGAACCCCAGTAAGATACCCAACAAGAAGATAATCCCCAAGATGCATAATCGTCAGATTCTCCTAGGTTGAAATGAAAGAAAAAAATGGTTAAGAGCAGCCAGAGAGAAAGGCCAGGTGACTAACAAAGAGAAGCTCAGCAGACTAACAGCAAACCTCTAAGCAAAAACCCTACAAACCAGAAGAGATTGGGGCCAATATTCAACATTCTTAAAGAAAAGTATTTCCAACCCAGAATTTCATGTCTGGCCAAACTAAACTCCATAAGTGAAGGAGAAATAAGATTCTTCTCAGACAAGCAAATGCTGATGTAATTTATCACCATCAGGCCTGCCTTGCAAGAGTTCCTGAAGGAAGCACTAAATATGGAAAGGAAAAACCCATTACCAGCAACAACTACAAAAACACACTGAAGTACACAGACCAGTGCCACTATGAAGTAACCACATAAACAAGTCTGCTAAGTAACCAGCTAGCATCATGATAACAGGATCAAATTCACACATAACAATAGTAACCTTAAAAATAAATGGGCTAAATGTTCCAATTAGAAGACAGAATGGCAAGCTGGATAGAGTCAAGACCCATTGGCGTGCTGTCTTTAAGAGACCCATCTCATGTGTAAAGACACACATAGGCTCAAAATAAAGGGATGGAGGAAAATTTACCAAGCAAATGGAAAACAGAAAAAAGGGGGTTGCAATCCTAGTTTATGATAAAACAGACTTTAAACCAACAAAGATCAAAAAAGATAAAGAAGGGCGTTACACAAGGGTAAAGGGTTCAATTCAACAAAAACAGCTAAGTATCCTGAATATACATGGACCAAATATAGGAGCACCCAAATTCATGAAGAAAGTTCCTAGAGAACTAAAAGAGACTTAGACTCTCAAAGAATAATAGTGGGAGACTTAAACACCCTACTGTCAATGTTAGACAGATCACCAAGACAGAAAATTAACAAAAATATTCAGGACCTGAACTCAGCTCTGGATCAAGTGGACCTGATAGGTATCTACAGAACTCTCCAACCAAAAACAACAGAATATATATTCTTCTCATAACCACACGGCAGTTACTCCAAAATTGATCACATAAATGGAAGTAAAACACCCTTCAGTAAATGCCTAAGAGGCGAAATAATAACAAACAGCCTTTCATACCAAAGCACACTCAAATTAGAGCTCAAGATTAAGAAACTTATTTAAAACCACACGACTACATGGAAATTGAACAACCTGCTCCTGAATGACACTTTGGTCAAAAATGAAATTAAGGTAGAAATCAAGAAGTTCTTTGAAACAAATGAAAACAATAAAGTATCAGAATCTCTGGGAAACAACTAAAGCAGTGTTAAAAGGGAAATTTACAGCACTAAATGCCACATTAAAAAGCTAGAAAGATCTCAAATTAACAACCTAACATCACAACTAGAAGATCTAGAGAACCAAGAGAAAATGAACCCCAAAGTTAGCAGAAGACAAGAAATAACCAAGATCAGAGTGGAACTAAGGAGACAGAGACATGAAAAACCCTTCAAAAAAGTCAATAAATCCAGGAGCTGATTTTTTGAAACTATTAATAAAATAGATAGACACTAGCTATACTAATAAAGAAGATAAGAGAGGGCAGTAAAATAGACACACTCAGAAATGATAAGGGGGATATCACCGCTGACCCCATAGAAATACAAACAACCAAGAGAAAACTATAATAAACACCTCTATGCACATCAACTAGAAAATCTAGAAGAAATTGATAAATTCCTGGACACATACATTCTCCCAAGACAGAACCAGGGCAAAAATTAAAGCCCTGAATAGACCAATAACAAGTTCTGAAATTGAGGAAGGAATAAATAGCCTAGCAACCAAAAAAAGCCCAGGACCAGATAAATTTACAGCTGAATTCTACCAGAGGTACAAAGAAAATCTGGTACCATTTCTAATGAAACTATTCCAAACAAATGAAAGGAAAGACTCCTCCCTAACACATTTTATGAGGCTAGCATCATCCTAATGCCAAAACCTGATGGAGATACAACAAAAAAAGAAAACTTCAGGCCAATATTCCTGATGAACATCGATGCAAAAATCCTCAATAAAATACTGGCAAACTGAATACAGCAACACATCAAAAAGCTTATCTACCATGACCCGACAGTTGGCTTCATCCCTAGGATGCAAGGTTGGTTCAACATATGCAAATCAATAAATGTGATTCATCACATAAACAGAACTAAAGAAACCACGTGATTTTCTCAATAGACACCAAAAAAGTCTTCAATAACATTCAACATCCTTTTATGTTAAAAACTCTGTATAAACTAGATATTAAAGGAACATACCTCAACATAAGAGCAATACATGACAAACCCCCAGCCAATATCACACTGAATGGGCAAAAGCTGGAAGCAGAACCCTTGAAAACTGGCACAAGACAAGGATGCCCTCTCTCACCACTCCTATTCAATGTAATATTAGAAGTTCTGGCCAGGGCAAACAGGCAACAGAAGGAAATAAAGAATAATCAAATAGGAAGAGAGAAAGTCAAATTATCTTTCTTTGCAGATGACATAATTCTATATCTAGAAAACTCTGCCGTCACCACCCAAAAGTATCTTAAGCTGATAAGCAACTTCAGCAAAGTCCCAGCATACAAAATCAATACGCAAAAATCACTAGCATTCCTATACACTAACAATAGGCAAGCAGAGAGCCAAATCATGAATGAATTCCCATTCACAATTGTCACAAAGGGAATAAAATACTTAGGAATATAGCTAACAAATGAAGTGAAGAGCTTCTTCAAGGAGAACTGTAAATCACTGCTCAAGGAAATCAGAGAGGACAAAAACAAATGAAAAAACATTCCATGCTCATGGAGAGGAAGAATCAATATCGTGAAAATGGCCATACTGCCCAAAGTAACTTATAGATTCAATGCTATTCCCATTAAACTACTATTGACATTCTTCACAGAATTAGAAGTAACTGTTTTAAAATTCATGTGGAACCAAAAAGGAGCCTGGATAACCAACACAATCCTACGCAAAAAGAACAAAGCTGGAGACATCAGACTACCTGACTTCAAACTATACTACAGGGCTACAACAACCAAAACAGCATGGTACCTGTAAAAAAGAAGACACCTAGAGCAATGGAACAGAATAGAGAACTCAGAAATAAGACGGCACATCTGCAACCATCTGACCTTCGACAAACCTGATAAAAACAAGCAATGGGGAAAGGTTTCCCTATTTAACAAATGGTGCTAGGAGAACTGGCTAGCCAAATGTGAAAAATTGAAACTGGACCATTTCCTTACACAATATACAAATTTAACTCAAGATGGATTAATGATCTAAATATAAAACTCAAAACTATGAAAACCCTAGAAGAAAATCTAGATAGTACCATTTAGGACATAGGCACTGGCAAAGATTTCATAATAAAAATGCCAAAAGCAATTGCAACAAAAGCAAAAATTGACAAATGGGATCTAATTTAACTAAACAGCCTCTGTGCAACAAAAGAAACTATCATCAGAGTGAACAGACAACCTACAAATGGGAGAAAATTTTTGCAAACTATCCATCTGACGAAGGTCTAATATCTAGAGTTTACATGGAATTTAAACAAATTTACAAGAAAAAACAACTCAATTAAAAAGTAGGCAAAGGACATGAGCAGACACTTCTCAAAAGAAGGCATTCATGCAGCCAACAAATATATGAAAAAAAGCCCAACATCACTGATCATTAAAGAAATGAGAATCAAAACCACAATGATATACCATTTCATGCCAGTCAGAATGGCGATTATTAAAGTCAAGAAACAACAGATGCTGGCTTGGTTGTGGAGAAAAAGGGATACTTTACACTGTGGGTGGGAGTATAAAATTGTTCAACCATTGTGGAAGACAGTGCAGCAATTCCTCAAAGATCTAGAAGCATAAATGCCATTTGACCCAGCAATCCCATTACTGAGTATATACCCAAAGGAATATAAATCATTCTATTATAGAGATAACATGCACATGTATGTTCACTGCAGCACTATTCACAATAGCAAAGACATGGAAACAGCCGAAATACTGCTCCATGATAGACTGAATAAAGAAAATGTGGTGTGTATGTATATGTATTTATATATATATATATATACATATACACACACACACACACACACACATACATACATACCAGGGAATACTATGCAGCCATAAAAAGAAACAAGATCATGTCCTTTGCAGGGACATGGGTAGAGTTGGAATCTGTTATCCTCAGCAAACTAACACAGGAACAGAAAACCAAATACCACATGTTCTCACTTATAAGTGGGAGCTGAATGATGAGAACACATGGACACATGCAGGGGAACAACACACACTGGGGCCTTACAGTGGGTGGCAGAGTGAGGGAGAGCATCAGGAAGAAAAGCTAATGGATGCTGGGCTTGATACCTAGGTGATGGGTTGACCTGTGCAGCAAACCACCATGGCACACTTTTACCTATGGAACAAACCTACACATCCTACATATATACCCCAGAACTTAAATGTTGAAGAAAAGAAATAGTGTCTCTTATGAGATTCTTATTAACTACTAAAAGAAAATAGTAACTTTACAGTAGATAATCTGGAAGCTACCTTAACCAAGTGAACAATGCATAATCAGTAATTTAACAAATATATATTTTAAATACCTTCTCAAATCATGTAATGAGAAGGATATATCCCTTTTGTAGTACTTCTGCCAAAAATATATAACTTGAATTTAATCATAAGGAAATAGCAGAAAAAAAATTAAAGGCTATTTTACAAAATAAATGTCTTATATTTGGGGAAAAAAATAAATTCAAGGTCTTGAAAGACAAAGGTAGACTGAGAAATATTCTTCATTGAAGATGACTAAAAAGACATGAAAACTAAATGCAATGTATAACACTAGATCAGAGCCTGGACCAGCAAATTTTTTTTATAATAAAGACATTTAGTGGAACATTTAATACAATTTTAATAAGATCTATAAGAATAGACAATATTTAGACCAATGCTAAATTCCTAATTTTGATCATTGTACCTTGGTTATACAAAAGAATATACTTGGTTTTAGAAAATACACAGTGAAGTATTCAGGGAAAAAAGGCAAATTGCTCTTTAACCACACCCCCAAAAAAGTATGCATGTGTTTATGCCTAAAGAGAATAACACAAATATAGTAAATGTTAATTTTGGAGAATCTGAGTAAAAGTTATACAGGTTATTTTTTACTATTTTTGTAACTTTTCTTTGTTTTAGATTATTTATAAATAAATAGTTTTTAAAAGAAAGCTACAGATCCAAAAATCCAAACTGTTTGAAGAAAGTATTATACTAAAACTATAGCAAAATTAGTAATCAGAATGTAAATATGTCCAATATGAATATAATAAAAGGAATGAAAAAGATCTTCAATAAACAGAATGCTCAGAGATAGAAGAAAATACAAAGTCAATTTTTTAAAAGCCAAACAAATTATGTTGGAAAACAGGAAGAGAGGGAACAAGAGGTAGAACAAGACAGATATAACAAAGAGCCATTAAAAATGGAATAAAAAATAGTCATTGCAACAAAAATTAATAGATATTATAAACCATAGACTAAACATATGCAGAAAAATTGGAAGATAGCACAAGAAATCCCCTCAGAACACAACACTAAAATGCTGAGATCTAAAATAGATAAAGAGCTGTACAAAAGCATGAAGAATAGATTGAGAGGGTCCAATATACATCTTCTCAGAGTATCATGAAAGGAGGATGAAGAGAACGCTGAAAAAGCAATATTTGAATAAATACAGCTGAGAATTTTCCAGGATTTCAAAAAGAGATGAGTCCACCGATAGAAAAAGCTTTCTAAGAGGCAGTGTACATACATAAAATTAAATATGCACTCAGACACACAAGAGTAAAACTGAAAATCAGCAGGAATAAAAAGGAAATCTTAGGATCTACAATAGGAAACAATCTACAGAAAAACAGCTTAATTAAGCAGAGAAACCAAAAGTAATAGAACATATGCTCACAGTGCCATGAGAAAATAATTGCTGTCCTATAAGCTTATAGCCAGCTAAATTATCATGCAAAAGGGAGAGTGCAAGCATACAAATATTAAGATAATTTAACAATAAATATCCTCACAACAATAATTACTAAAGGACGTACTTCAGCAAAAAGAAAAATAAACTCAGAGGAATATCTAAGTACAAAGATAAATAGTGAGCAAATAAATAAATAAAATATATCATAAGTCAAATATGAAGTATTGTATGGATATGAGAGACTGGAGTATTCAATGAGTTATTAAAATCCATCAAGGTCCTTGTCATATTTGAGAAAGATAAATATAACTTTAGATTTCTTAGAATAATATATAGATTATTATGTATGCCAAAAAGATAACCAATTAAAGAACAGAAGACAATCAGATGTTTCCAACCAGCAGAGGAAAAAATAAGAAGAAAACATAGAAAAATTTTCAGTACAACAGGAGGTACAAATGGGTGGGTGAAGGAGAAAGGAAAAGGATGGTCAATGAACAATGTCCTTAAATGGCGGAATAAGTCTAAAGACATTAGGACCCACAATAATACAAATGAACTAAACCTATCTATTTAAGATAGGTAGCAAACTGAACAACATAAATGTTAATAACGGTAGTTAATACTTCCTATTCTGCAAGTGCTTTACAAAGATTAACTCACTGAGTCATCACAATAGCCTATGAAGTTTATACTATTAGTGCACCATTATTATGGATAAGCATATTGAGATTTAAAGAATTTTAGCAAATTGTCCAAGGACACACAGCTAGTAGGTGGCTGTGATTTACACCAGGTAGGCTTATTCCAGAGTTTAACCTTTGTGACCATTCTATTCTGCTAAGACTCAATATAGTCATATGATCAAAAGTTATGTATTATTAAATATTATACTCTAGAAGAAGCTTTATGGATGTCAAAATGCCAGCAGGATTATTTTAAGTGAAAAAGTATGTTATAAAAGAATATATACTAATACCATCCAAAGTTTGATTAAACACACACACACATAAGCACATATACATACTGAGAAATCCACCAGAGAACAGTTGTAATTACTTCTGAATCTTGTGATAATAGGTGACATTTATTCTGTTCTTTATATATTTCTGTATTTTCTACAGTGCATAACTGTATGTCATTTTGTTAAACTTTTTTTAATGAGCCTTGTACAGTGCCTGGCACATTAATGATCAAGGGAGAGAGGGCAAACCACAAAGTCCTTTCATTAACTAAAGTTGAGTGGAAGCTACAGAACCAACGATGTTGTGTTATCTTACTATCACAAGCTCAGATCCTAGGGACAAATAAACTGCATACTTAATAAAAAGATTCAGCAACGAGAAAATCCTAACAAGCTGCCCTTTTGTGTTAGTTTCAGGATGTGATTTTGGAATCCAACCTCAATTGTGGCTTCAAAAGAAACCTGAAAATAAAAGCTTCAGCTGTAGAAATGCAGTTAAATATCAGCATTAAATAGAACATAGAGCCCAGGAATGTCAGAGCTGCAAATGTACTTATGGAGATTGCCACCTACAGACTAAATCTCTCACTTATACATCAGGGGAAAAGATCCACAAAAGCAGAGACTTGTCCAAGTTTACATAGACTTTCATAGATGAACCCAGACTGGAACTCAGTTTTTCTGTCTTGGATAAAGAAACTGAGGTTTCTGACATGAATTACTTGCCCAAAATTACACAGCTACCAAAAGGTAGAGCCAGTATTCTAATTTGGTTTGACAGGATTCCAAAATCCATTCTGTTTCTGAATTATAATCAAATAGACAATTTTTTAATTATTCATAGAAATCTTATTTAATCAACAAATTTATCAATTGTTTATTATTTAATATTCTTCAAGAATATGAAAGTATTGAATATTATTCAATAATTTTTATTCACCTAGCACTTCCATTTTACTAGCACTAAAGAAGAAATAATTTCTCTCTTCTTTCAGGCTTCCTCTTCCTGTTGCTTGAATATCTCCTTCTCTCCATATATATGTATATGTATATGTATACGTATATGTATATGTGTATATATATGTGTATATATGTGTATATATATGTGTGTATATACATAGAGGGAGAATCAATCCATCACCTCAAGCATTTATCCTTTGTGTTACAAACAATCCACTTACACCCTTTTAGTTATTTTACAATGTACAATTAAATTAGAAAATAGATATTTTTAAGTTACTATGAATTGGAGATGGAGTTTTTTTTAAGAATTTTCCCTGTGATCTCTTTCCTTTTTAATTTTCTATGACTTACTCTCTGAAAAGCCCAATACTTTTAGAAAGCAGGTGTCATGTCATATAATTGCAGTTCTCCTTTTAAAATTTAATTTTGTTTCCGTTCCCTTGTTATTTTTTCCCTGTCAACACTACCAATAGTTGCACTCACAAATAGGCAGTAACCCTTGCCTGCATGCCTAGTGCTGTTTTCCTGTATTCATTTTGCTTCTGATTAAACACATTTGTATTAAGAGTGTACTTGTAGCACAGCCACTTTCTACATGAAAGGAGAATTTTGTTGTGGTGATGAATATTGTTTTCCAGTAGATAAAATAATTTCTAAATATCTTCTCTATTAGCTCGATATTTTCAACCAGGCTTCATCCTAGATAAAAGATCCTAACTGAATGTAGCAGGAGATCATCGTCCCTTACAGGCTTCCAGGAAATGCTCTCTTCACTGTCAATTATTTATATTGTGAACATCCAGGCAAGGAGACTGCATAGCATTCTGCTTTTGTATTTTTCAAATTTGCCTCATCTTTGTGATGTGGAAATTTGTATGGTGATGAAGAAAGTACACATTCATCTAATGAGTGAGAAATAAATAGTTTTTATTTTTTGAATACATTTTGGTAGTTGGGGTTAGATGTGATGGAATTAATGTTTTGTCTCTAATGTCCTAGGACCTAGTGTAGGACCTATTTATTCCAAGTACTCTGCCTATGTTATCCCAATTCATTCTTCACAAATATCTTACGAGGGAACTGTCAACCCATTTTAACATGAGGCTTAGAGTAGTTAAGTAACTTGCCTGAGGTTGCATAGCTAAGACATGATGGAGTCTGAATGTAAGACCAAGTTGTCCTTGTGTTCTTTACACTGAAACACACTTCTCTTCACAATCTAAACATGTTAAAGTGATCAAGTGGAGAAAAAGAATGAAATAAGAATTATATTCTTTATTCAGCCTGACACATTTTAATTGGCAAGGAAATACTAAATCAGTTAGTTGTTCTAGAATTGAACCACTTACATTATAATTTTTATTTAAGAAACACAAACTGCTTTTTAAAAAGCAATGAAAGGCTTTAGAAATGTATCAGTTTTCTAACATAATTATTTGTCTGTGTGTGTGAGCAAGTGTGGGAGAAAAGAAAGAGAAAGAGAAATGGGGTGGGGTAGACTTATGGGCACGCCTGTGTGAACACACACATTCAGCTATTATTCTAAAGTGGAAATCACTCCCCAGCAACATATTCAGAAATTTAGCTGGGAGATAGAAGGGTAGGAAGCCACAAAACAACATTTAGGAAATTACTAGCAAAGTAAAAATCCTGGTGATTAAAAACAAAAAGAAAAAAAAGGGGAGGCACAAAAGACACTTGAAACCAAGTGCAACAAGTTACCATGGCAACTAGATAATGTGGGTTGAGATTTATATGACTCCATTGTTCCAGCAGAGAAATTCTAAATGACACCCTAGTGGCCTGACAGAGTCGATGCATCTCCCAGAATGCTCCGGCTTATTACTCAAGAGTGCTTTAGGCACAGAGAAAGAACAAGATCACAGTAACTTTGTCAGTTCCAGCCTTCCTAAGACACTTGTTTCTTCATTCTGGAGGCAAAACATTCTCAATTTCTGGAGCCAGTCCTGACCAAGCTTAGCAGAATATTAGCATTCTTATATTTACCTGTGGTTGAGGATAGCATTTACCTTACTGTCTGAAGTACGTGATCCAGTATGAATGGAATCAGCTTTGGGCACCTAAATCCCTCTTTGTTTTTCTGCTGGAACAGTAGTCTGCCCTGATTCCCAGGCAACTTTAGCTAAGGCTCTAAAATTCTGACTAATCATTACCATTGTTAATTAACAACACCATCAGCACAACAATCTAGTATTCATAACAAATATTTGTTGAAAATATATTACCTCTAATGCTAATTAACAAACCCCAAAGTAGTTATCATCTATAGATGCTCATATGTTTTTATTACTTTGCTACACATGAATGGCAAACTGAGGCTAAGAAAACTTAAGTGACCAAGGTCCCAAAACAGCCAAAATTTGATTTCAGAAATGACAACAAAACCATTGCCAGGGGGATTTATCTTACTACATCAAATCTTGGCTGTGGTTGGGTCCAGGTCCACCATTTTAACATAAACACTAACAGGAATAAAAGACACACAGAATATTATGGCTTGGTCCTGTTGTACCCCATTTACTGCATGGGCAGGCTGAGATATCAGGGACAGCAACTCCAGTCCAAATTAAGTCCAAATTAGCCATGCTCCTATTACCTCTGAATATTAGATCACTAGTTGAGAAAACAGGCTGCCCTATTTCTAGGTTCATTATCTTAGCTGGAACTCCATCCGTTTCTTGCTTCTCACTCTTTCTCACTGACCCTCAATGGAAGGAAAAAATAAAAAAGGAGGAGGCAATTAAGATGTTTAAGCATCTATTATGTGCTGGGCACTCTATTTGAATATGTTATCTCATTAAATTCCTACCAAAAAATCTATAGGCTAATTATTTTCCTTTCTGTTTTACATATATGAGAACTAAGAATCAGCAGATAAATAATTTCCAAGGGTTATACAGTAATTATTAGGGTTTAACCAAGTTTCTTTGACCCTAGTCCCTTGCCTTTTGTCCCTTAACCCTTGGCATTCCTCTCAACATAGCTTGTTCAGATTATAATTATGTTTAGAGCTGGAAGGGACCAGAGCATGATCAATTTTAAGAGATGTAATTAGTCAATATGAAAGTACTATTAAAAGTAATCAAAATAGAGAAAACAGTAGGAGTTAGCTGCATAAATTAAAACAAACTTATGCATAGCCTTATATCCTCCAATATGTAATTCTAAACAAGGGGATTTTTTTTTATAAAAGAGATTTTCCTTTTTTTTTTTTTAGGAACAGGTGTGCATAGATTAGGAATTTCTATTATGCCAAGGTTTCATTCGTTGCAATAAATAAGCTCCCATTTTGTAGAGAAACAAGGTAGTTAATAAGCAAACCAGTAATGGCAGCTTTTGGTGTGACTATTTCCTGATACCACCAAGCAGTTTCCTCCAAGTGAGACTAGTTGAAGCCATGCTTGGAGATATAACTGTTATTAGAACTGCCCATTTCCCTCATTTGGTACAGTAAAGGTTAGTTTCTTCCCTCAGAGTGGAATTAGGTAATCATTAGCCATCTTCCATGTCACAGAGGTAATACTATTAGGGCATAAATTAATACACATAGTTAAAATTTTAATATAAACTTGAACAGTATTAGAAGTTAGACCACTATTTTTCATGTTACACTTCTGTAATATGAACTTCTTTGGAAAAAAAAATAAAAGCAAGTTACCAGTTTCCAGTAGAGCAAAATGTGAATAAATTTAACAACTATACTGTGTTATCATAGCAACCAATTTAAAAAAAAACTGATATGATAAAAAATGACACAAGAGAACAAATGTATCAAGTTGTTATGGCAACTGGGGAACGTGGGTTGAAATTTATGTATCTAGAATCCAAGAGAATATTCTAAGCAACTAAAATAAACATTTGCTTATTAAAACATCCCCCAAATAGCACTTACCTATAAGCATTGAAGTGTTTTCATTATTTTGTCTGCTTTTTCTTTTATTTCCAATGGATGATTTTATATTGTGAGCATTTGTATTTTCAGTTCAGCTTACTTTTTGGCAACAGATACACCAAGATGCAGTTTGGTTTGCAGAAAATGGTGCAAAAGCCAATTTCAAAATAGCATCCTCAATCATGTTTTACCCTTTTACTCTTCTCTTAACAAAATGTCTATTCTATCTGCTTTTTCTTTATAAAGAAGCTCTTGCTTACTTGATCAATCAAATTCATTATGTTATCTTTACCTGATTTTGGAAGTCTTCCCATTAGACAGGATATGGGTTAAAGAATTATATAATAAATTTGGATATTTAGGAAGTCTTCCACTAATTTATGCACGCACACTTTTCTTTTAGTAGCATAACTGGTTGTTTTGGACTAAATGTTCTAATGGCATCTGCAGTTTCTACAGAACTTTGCCCATGCTCATGTAGAGTATCTCATTGTGAGAGCAGGAAAGGTGAGATTCTCTCATGACTCCATGCATTTTTGTAAAACCTTTTCCCAGTGCCACTAATACTCTTTTTTCCACCCTTCTATCTGCTTGGCTGATTCTTAATCATAACTTTCCACTGTCTACCCATTTGAGCTAAGTGTCCCTCACCTTTGTCCTCATAACACCCTCTGCATACTTACAGCTAAGTGCCATCATCCTCATCGAAATCAACATAATTAACATAATCATTATCACATATATTACATATTAAGCATTATCTGTATGTTAGTGACTGCTAACTACTTCCCAAATATCATTTCATTTAATCTTCACAAAAGCCATGTAAGGTAGATATAATTACCGCCACTTCTCTATTTCATAGGTAAGGGAAAACTGAGGCCTAGAGTTTGTCACTTGATTTAGGTCACATACTAAGTTACAGCCAAGAGATTTTAATCCATGTCAACAAAATACCAAAGCTCATTTCTTTATCATTTAGTTAGTCACTAAAATTTTTTCTTTAGTTTGTTTTGACATTAAACTATGAACTTTTTGAGAATTTCCATGTGCCTACACTGTAGATTTTCTGAACACATGTCTTATCTCTGGTATCTCCTGCACTGTTAAATAGAGACATAATATGAACCACAATTGTGAGCCATAGTAAAATTTTGTATTTTCTAGTAGCTGTATTAAAAAAGTAAAAAGAAACAAAATTAATTTAAATAATATATTTCATTTAACTCAATATATGCAAACTATTACCATTTCTACATGTAATCAATATATAATTATTAATGAAGTATTTTACATTTCTTTTTTAGTACTAAGTCTTTGAAATCTGTTGCATATTTTATATGTATCCAACATCTCAATTTACACATGCAGCTTTAGTGGCTACCATATTGGACAGAGCAGCTTTAACTCATGCCTGATAAGTAGATATGTAAAGAATGTTCAATACAAGTTTTGTGGAATGAATAAATAAATGGGCAAATACATAGAAATGGAGAATTTTAGATTTGTATTTATAGAATGACCCAATTTACCTTTATGGAACTTTTAACAGTTTGTTTATGAGGAAGCTAAAAGTGGCTATTTTAAGACAGAACATAGATACGTAGTAGTGTATTCATGTTGTGATAATTCCAGGATTACTGTCACATCCTGACCTATCATGGAGAATTGCCTGCCCAGACACTTGTGTATGCTGAAATCCATAGCGGTGTATCATTAGTCAGCTCAAAAAGCCTCCCATTTTTAGAACATGTGTTTTCCATTCTCAGGCTCGGGTTTCAAGTTATAATTCATCATATATTTCATTTTAAAAACTCCTTTAGATCATTTTAATCAATGCCTATTAACAGTAAGTTAAGAATATACATTTTAAATTAAATCAAAATCAGCCCATATCGATAATGAATAAATAAAGTATATCTCAGAGTATCCCCCTTAAAGAATATTTTTATATTAAAGCCCTGGATGTGCTGACACCACACTGAATATTACTGGTAGAAATAATCAACATTTTAAAAATCCATTTACATGATAACAGATATACTGAACATTGTAATATCTTTGCAGTCAAAAAACCAACCTCGAAATCACATCTCAGTGGCAATACTGAATATTACTAAAACACTGGCCCAGGGGGGAAATCTATAGAATAAAACCGGCAATTGCTAAGACTTTACATAATAAAATTATCCTTGACTAAAAATAAACCGAAGAAAAACATCAGGGAATGAGAATATGGTGATTACTCTAGAAAACTTTAAAAAATTCTTCAGAATACCTATATGAAAAGCCAAAGGGGGAGAAAAGAACAAATAAAAATATGGCTGTCATGACCTAACGGTTCATTGCCTATTAGGATGGGACCCACTGACTTATCTTACAAGGGAACTGCCAATTCTGCTTTTAATGTTATTAATTTGAGTGCTAACTATAATAGACATGATTAAAAATATATCGAATTAGAAAAAAAAGGAAGTATAAAAACTAGACAAAATTGCTAAAAATAACAATTTCAGGACTCTGGGAAATGACCAAAAGTGTACAACAAATTGAGAAATGTTTATTCATGAAAAACTACTCAACTACAGGTAAGAGAGTGGAAATTAGTGTCAGCGTTGACTGGGCATGCTCCCATCTCCACTCCATCCAGCTCAGTTTGCTAGTTCTATTAGGATGGGAAAAGTAGTAAGAACCAGTATCTTTGCAGCCTAAGGGAACTCGCTTGATTTGGAGTGGAACATGAGAAAAAAATCCACACTCAGTGGCATTGGCAGTAACAGTAACAGTCTCAGTGGCAAGCAAAAGGAATAAACAGTGGCTCCAGTGACCTTAGGTTGTAGTGCTGGTTGGGGCATGCAAAACATCAGCAGACTAATTGGTAGTTCAACAGGAAGATCCACGAAATGAGACGGCCATAAAGGGCCTTGATAAGCTATTCACACCACCCTGCTGATGGGAAAGTCTTAAAACTGTTCAGGAGAGATTAGAGAAGGCCTTAGTCTCTCTATGTGTCCCTGGCTGAATATAATCCACAAGCGCAGAGGAGACATGGGAATAGAGGACCTAAAGAGAGTAAAAGTTGGCAATGGCTTGTAAACTACTTGAACTATGAATGGAATCCCCAAACCAAACACAGATCCATCAGTAGAGGGTGGAAGCCTTGCTGATTCAAGATATTTAGGCACAAACTCTAACCAAATATTGGCTGACCACTAAGCTATGCTGACATAGGGGTGACCCATAGAAAGCCAGGATTTCAAACAAAAGTAAATATTAAAATCCTGCAGGGAAAGAGATTACATAGATTGAATGCAGGAAAGTTGCAAACAAACAAAACACAAGCAATAACAACCATCAGAGTGGGAGGCAGAATCTAGATTTGCTATAATCTGGTATCTAAAATGTCTAGTTTTTTTAAAAACAGACAAGCAAAGAAACATGAAAGCGTGATCCATGCTCAAGAGAAAAGCAGTCAACAGAAACTCTCTTAATGAATACACAATAGACCTAACAATGACTTTAAAGCAAATATTACAAATATATTATAAGAATTAAAGCCCATTTTTAAAAAATTAAAGTATGACTATAATGACTCAACTAACAGAAAATCTCAATAAAAATGAAGCAATTGTTTTAAAAATTTAAGTGGAAATTCTGAAGTATAACATTTAATAACTGAAATTTAAAACTCACTAGAGAGACTCAACAACAGTTCTGAAATGTCAGAAGAAATTATCAGTAAACTTGAAGATTAGAAATGATCTAACCTGAAGAACAAAGAGAAAATGAAGAAAAATTAACAGAGCCTTGGAGACCTCTAGGACAACATCAAACACACCAACACAAGTAACGGGAGTCCCAAAAGGTGAAAACACTGGGAAACAGACAGTAAAAATAAGCCCCAAGCTTTTAAAATTTGATAAAAACTGCTAATCTATAGATCCATGAAACTGAACAAAACCAGAATAGAAAAAATGCAAAGCAATATCCATCTAAATACATCACAGAAAAACTGTTGAAAGAAAAAGAGAAAATTTTTAAGGCAGCAAGATAAAAAATATGACTCATTAAGTACAGAGAAACAGCAATATGATTAATGGCTGACTTCCCATAAGAAAGAATGGTGGCTAAAAGACAGTGGAATTATATATCAAAGTGCTTAAAGTTAAAAACAAAAACAAAACCTGTCAACCAAAACCTCCTCGGGAAAATTATTCTTCAAAAAGGAAAACAAAATAAAGTCATTCCCAGATGAACAAAAATAAAAAAAATTCATTCCTAGAGACCTAAAAACTGGAAAGAACATTTGTCCATCAGTGGCCAAATAGTTATACAAACCATGCTGTATCTATTCAATGGAATGCTATTTGGCAATATAAAACAACACACTATTGATACACACGACAACTTGAATGTATCTCAATGGCATTATGCTGAGTGAAAGAAGCTAGTCTCAAAAGATTATATAGTGTATGCTTCCATTTACATATTTTTCAAAAACACAAAACTATAGCAATGAGGAAGAGATCAGTGGTTGTCATAGACTAGATGTGGTTGGAGAAGGTGATTATAGAGAGTTAGCAAAAGGAAAGAGGGTTTGAGGAATTAAAATTGTCTTATATCTTGATTACAATGATGATTACATATGTTAAAATTCAAAGACCCATGTACCAAAAGGCATCTTTACTTTATAATAATTGGAATAAAATAAAATAAAACCAAGAAAACCCACATAGTTGAACACTACACTCACAATGAATGTATTTTTTTTTTCTTAGAGACAGGGTCTCATTCTCACCCAGACTGGAGTACAGCAGTGTGATCATAGCTCACTGTAGTCTTAAATTCCTGAGCTCAAGAGATCCTTGCACCTCAGCTTCCTGAGTAGCTAGGACTACAGATGTGAGCCACCTTGACTGGAGGATGTATCTTATAATGTATAAATTATACTTCAGTAAAGCTGTAAATAAATAAAAGTTACTGTGAAACTGAATCTAATTCAGGCAGGACTTCTAATGCTTTAGACCCTTCAGAAATGAAAGTTTGTTCATCCTAGCAAAGGATCATGAATAAATAGTTCAGGTACTCAAATATGTGTAATCAGTATAGAAAATTTCACAAAAAGAATTGAGTTGATTTAATAGAATTTACCTCCCAAAACACTTCCTTGAACCAAATTACTGGTATAGTTTTCTTAAAAGTATTCACAATCATACACATTGTTTAAACATTCTCAGGGTCAGAATAGCTCGGACTAAACTAAGTAGCTCCTGAGTCAAAATGATATATCACATACCAGAATCTCTGGAAGACAACTACAGATGTGTTAAGAGGAAAGTTTACAGCAGTGAACACCTACAATGAAAAGTTAGGAAGATCTAAAATCAACAACCTGACATCACCCCTAAAGGAGCGAAAAAAAAACAAGAGCAAATCAGCTCCAAAGCTAGCAAAAGAAAAGCAAATAACCAAGATAAGCTACACTGAATGAAATTGAGATGTAAAATTCATTTGAAAAAAATCAATGAAACCAAAAGTTGGTTTTCTGAAAAAATAAACAAGATTGATAGATTGCTAGCTAGATTAATAAAGAAAAAGAGAAGATCCAAATAAACACAATCAGAAACGACAAAGGTGATATTAACATCAACCCCACAGAAATACAAAAGCTCTGTTATGAACACCCCTATGCACATAAATTAGAAAACCTAAAAGAAAAATGTTTGATATCACTAATCATTACAGAAATTCAAATCAAAACCACAATGAAATACCATCTTACACTGGTCAGAATGATTATTAAAAATTCAGAAAATGACAGATGTTGGTGATGTTGTGAAGAAAAGGGACAATTATACACTTCTGGTGGGAATGTAAACTAGTTCAGCCACTGTGGAAAGTACTCTGGATATTTCTCAAAGAACTTAAAACAAAACTGCCATTCAACCCAGCAATCTCGTTACTGTCATTACTGGGTACATACCCAGAGGAATATAAATCATTCTACCAAAAAGACACCTGCACTCATATGTTCATTGCTGCACTATTCACAATAGCAAAGACATGGAATCAATCTGGGTGATGAAATCATTTGTCTATATGCATGCGCGCGCGCGCACGCGCGCACACACACACACACACACACACACACACACACACACACACACGTTTGGATATATTCCCAATGAAGAACAACAACAAAATGGCGTATGGTGTATCGTAACTTTCCGTACTCTTTGCTAAGACTTTTTGGACCCAGTAGTGGAAGGAAATAACAGAAGTTAAACTCTCTACCACTTTTTTTAAGCAAAACTATGTAATCGATTTCACTCCCACCACACACCACACCCCCACCAACACACACACACACGTTGTTCCCCCACTTCATCCTCCACCAGGTTCCACTGGCCACACAACTCAAGATCTATGGAATGCAAGGAAGAAAACAGTCCTGGCTAGCTTGAAAAAATTTACTGACACGCTCTCAGAAGAATTCATGCTAAGAAAATCCATATCCCATCACTAATTTTCAGGGTATGGCAATGGCTTTCTCAAGAATATTACAGGGAACCTTTGGAGTATGACAGCAAATTGCTTCAAAGAGGCTTTCTTGCTTTTCTCCTTCAAACATGTGTATCTCATGTATGACCCAGGAAGATATATATAGATTGGTTTTCTGGGAGTTTTTTCCTCCATCCACAGATATGGCAGAAATATACTACCATTGATGGGCAGGCAGACATTCCAGCAACAGATGAATATTGAATACTTCTTATAAGTCTACTAAGAGCTTTACATACATTATCTCAATTGACCCTTACAATAAGTTTGAGAGATGGCTATTATTATTTTCATATTATCCTGGGCTTTTTGAGGCTCAGAAGTGTGAAATAATTTCCCCCAAGTAATGCGGTTACCTTAAAATACCCTATGAAAAATGTATTATTGCTATTTTACAAATAAGAGAAATGAAGTGACTTAGCAAAATTTACATAAATAGAAAGGAGTTGAACTGGAATCAAAATGCAATTTGATCTGACTACAAATTTACACGCTTATCATGGTGGAATTCGCGTACAGGCTTTGGAGACAAAAAGACTTAGGGTTATATCCCATTCTTTCCACTTACTAGTACCATGACCTTGAGCACATTTCTTACTTAACTTCTTTGTGCATTGGTTTCCTCATCTATAAAATGAGAATAAAAGTGATAAAGCATGTATTGAGTTCAGTACATACTAACTACTCCATAAAAACAGCTGGTGTTATCATTATCATTACAATCTTGTATTATTAACTTCAGCTAAATTAAATTAATTCATCCAAGGAATTCTGATGGGACTGTGACATAGAGATAGTTATCTATAAGGAATTGGGAGGGGAGGTCAACTACCTAGAACAAAGGGAACCTGGGGGAGAAACCATAGGGGGAGTGCCTGATTGGCCAGGAACACTATGACAGATTTGAGAACCCTAAGGTAGAAACAAGTGCAACAGGCATTGGAGTACAAACTGGAGGGGAATTAATAGGCACTTATTAAAAGTGCTAGGAAACATGATAGCTACCTTAAATTCTTCATCTTATTTTATCTGGAATAAGAGGACCCAATTTTTCCTTTTAATATTTCCTTAGATTATAATAAATCACCAAATCCTATTACTTTTGCCTTTGAAATTTCTCTCAGATTCATTGTCCCGTATCATTCCTCTTATTCCTTCTGTCATCTCCCTGAATCAAGTGCCTATCTTTTTATATTCAGATGCTTAAACCGGCACGGTAATAGCATGCACTCCATTCTTCACTTCAATCCACCCATGTTCCTGTGGCAGCATGGAAAGCACAGGATTTAGATTAGGACAGGGCTATTTTGTTCTCTTTAGGCTTTGAACTGAAATATAACTTTCTGTTCAAAATATGAACAGAAATATGCCTTTCTGAAGTGTACAACTTCGTGGCTTTCAGTATATTACCATTATCCTTATATAATTCCAGAACATTTTCATCACCTCAAAAAGAAACCCCATATTCATTAGCAGTTACTGTCTATTCCCCCTTCCTCCAGGCCCTGGCAGCAATAATCTACTTTCTATCTCTATGAATTTGCCTATTCTGGAATTTTATAAATTGAATCATATACTATATGCACTGGCTTTTTCCACTTAGGATAATGTTTTCAAGCTTCATCCATGTTTTAGCATGTATCAGCAGCACACGCTTTTTATGGCTGATTAATACTCCCTTATACAGATTCTATATATTGTTTATCCATTCATCAGTTAATGAGCACGAGGGTTATCTCTATTTTTGGCTATTATGAATAATGCTGCTATGAACATTCATATATAAGTTTTCATAGAAACATATATTTTCAGTTGTCTTGAATATATACCTAGAAGTGGAATTGCTGACAACTGTGTTTAACATTTTAAGGGAATAGCCAGACTATTTTCCAAAGTGGCTGCACTATTGTAAATTTCCAATTTCTATATGAGAATTCCAATTTCTCCATATCCTAATCAAACTTCTTCCTTCTGGTGGGTGTGACTTGGTGTCTCATTCTATTTTGACTTGCATTTCCCTAATGATTAATGTTATCGATCATCTTTTTGTGTGTTTTAGCCATTTGTTCATCTTATTTGAAGAATTACGTATTCAAATTCTTTGCCCATTTTTTTAAAATTGGATTGTATTTTTATTGTTGACTTGTAAGAGTTCTTATATATGCTGAATACTTGACCCTTTCAATATATATGTTTTGTATATTTTCTACCACTCTTTGGGTTGTCATTTTTACTTTCTTAACAGTAACCTTTGAAGCACAATACGGTTGTGCTATGTGGTTCAAATGCAGTGTCTTGGTCATTTTGTCTGTCTTAGGCTCTGGGTAGCCAGGGTTATAGTGCTGCAGGCACCCATGTGAATGTGATGGAATAACAATGGGGCCTCAGGGATGGAAAAAATTAGTGACTACTGGCCCCCAGGGCAGAATGCACTTTAGCAGTGGATTTAGTTTCAAGATGGCACCATTCTGTAACAGCTTAGGTCATGGGGATGAGAGGAGTGTTTAACATGGGCTCCTACTATAAGGCAATGCAGTCATGCAAACTCCTGGCTACTTTCCTCCCAACTGCATTTGGAGTCTGTGAAGACTGCAAGACTCTCATGTTGGAGAACTGCTAGTGTCTGTGGTAGCAGTGGGGACCGTGAGAGATGTACAGCTTACTTTTTTCTCGTAAGAAGTCCTTTCCAACTCCAAGCCAATCTTAGTGGGGGAAAGAGTATGGAAAAGCTGTACAAGGATTTTGCTGCTCCCTTGGTACTTTCCAGCACACTTCAGCCACTGCAGTCAAAATATAGTTATATATTCATTGTTTTGGTCCCTCTTTGTAGGGGGAGACAGGCTTCAAAGAACAGTATTTACCCATCTTACTGATGTCCTAAAAGCTGTTTTTCAGTTTAAATGCTGCAATATGAATATAAAGATACAAAGGGCCCAGAAGTCTCAGAGAGTAGAATTTCATATAAAGCAAACAAGAGGAAAACATTTTCCGCACTCCCCTCACCCCCACCCCCGCCAAAGAAAAATTCAAGCAGAATAGAAAGAGTATGGGAGGATTGTGGCATGAAGTTAAATGCTGGTACATCCCTCATAGGGGCTTATAATCCTGTCCATCCTCCTGGCTAAGCCCCTAGTAGGGAGAATAATGAGACAAACTCATACCGATTGGGATGGGGGAGTAGCACAAAGCAGATGAATTTTCATTTATTAATTCAGTTTATTTCCTTCATTTATTCATTCATATATTCATTTAACCAACAAATAATTATTGAGCACTTACTATGTGCCATGTTCTGTGTAAGCATTGGGATGCAGCTAGGTCTCACTTCCATCATAAAGTTGGAAAGTACAAAAAGTCTGGTAGAGAACTGTTCTATGTCAGCCTGGCTCTGCAATAGTAGACATAACAGAAGCTAAATCTAAAAAGAGAAGGCCAGAGATATTCCCTACCTGCTATTCTCAAGCTCTGAAGCCCAGGAAGAACAAGGGACAGCATCTAAAAATTCCCTATGTTCCTGAGAAAAAGGTACGATAGTGGCTGAGGGTGGGAGATGGCCCCTGGAGGAACATCATAATTAGGATGAATTGAGAGGCTATTGTAATCAGTACGAATCTAGTTAGCGGAGGCAAAGGGGAAGAGGACATTTTAGTGCACTGCAGTAAGAGTCAGTTCCAGTGACCAAAGATGTTAATGGTGACTATATTTTTCAACAGAAGGCAGCATGCATGGATGCAATAAATCATGGACACATTAACCTCCCCACTGAAGCCAGAGTAACAAGGCCCTACCCCTGTGGAATTTAGATCAAAGGTCTGAGGAGAAGAAAATAAGTGAAAAGGAGGGACCCTGAAGTCACCAAGTAGAAACCTAGAATTGGGCAAACTTAAATCATAAAGTGAATTATTTTCTCTGAAAGTGACAGTGTTTTTTTTTTTTTTTTTTGAGACGGAGTCTCGCTCTGTGGCCCAGGCGGGAGTGCAGTGGCGCAATCTCGGCTCACTGCAAGCTCCGCCTCCAGGGTTCACGTCATTCTCCTGCCTCAGCCTCCCGAGTAGCTGGGACTACAGGCGCCCACCATCACGCCCAGCTAATTTTTTTTTGTATTTTTAGTAGAGACGGGGTTTCACCGTGTTAGCCAGGATGGTCTCGATCTTCTGACCTCGTGATCCGCCCGCCTCGGCCTCCCAAAGTGCTGGGATTACAAGCCTGAGCCACCGCGCCCGGCCGACAGTGTTTTAAATAATCTGCTATCACTGGAAATAGGGACTTAACTAAATATTTTTAAAATAGAAACAATTTTGAAAAGTAAAATTTCATATACTTTGGTTTTATGGCAAAAAGATGTATACTCACTATAAAGTATCATTCATTATTTTAGATAAAATATTAACTTTTTGTGGTAGAACTTTCTTTAAATATTTATTTTTCTTTTGGAATGAGAATTTTCACACTAAGTAGCTCCACAAACACTAGCAAATTCCACCCAGCGTTGCCTCCTTTTATACTTAGGGAAACAAAGCACTTTTGACCATAAAGTTGTTGCTCAAGGTTGTAAAATCAGTGACAAATCCAAGTTCCTTGACTTCCACTCCAGTGGCATTTTCATTATCTTCAAAATTTCTTTAACACCAAATGAAAACTACCACGCACACATACTTTGGAGACTCAATTTCCAATTGGATGTGAATAGTTTAAGTACGTTTACAAAAGTAAAATTTTAAGAACAAACTGTTCAATTTTCCTTTATTTAAATTCTCTATAGAGATTACTAATGATAAATAACATGCAAAGTATGCAATCCTAACTGAGAAAATAGGTGAGCCAGGCAGTGGTGTCCTGGTCAGTGTTTCACAGCTGGTTCCTAGTGGTTGAGGGGCCTAATTAGTGGAGGCTGCTGATTTCCATAGTGTAAATAGTCCCACTATAACCAATTTCAAGTTATCAACATGATGTCAAAAAAGTGGGAAGTTTAAAATTATTTGAAAATTTTAAAATCAATTTTGCAAGCTTATTACAAGTTGGCCTTAGCACACTGCTGGGACCAGGGTTGTTTCTCCAGAGCAAAGACTGACTTAAGCATTTACTTATTAGAATTCAGGACATTTTATCAGGACAATACACTGAAGTGCTTTAAGAACATATATCCACTTAGTATGGATAATTATCATGAAATTGGTGTACTTTTAACTACATGTGGAAAGTAGCTTTTTCTTGTAATTTCCCCCAGCCAAATATAAAGGAAAGTGTTAAGTCTTCACGCACATGCAGTTCTCTGAATGGAATATTTAAGAGAATAGAAATTAAGTGTAAACACCCTTTTGTGAGATTCACATAAAAAGAATCAACCATATCTGTTTAATTTTGGCACCTTATATTCCTCTCATATGACACAACAGAATAGCTACATTTATACAAAGTCTAAATTTTTCTCCTTTCTACATTATAAAGATAAAAGAAAACTGAGGGCAGTTTTAAAATGGCTTGTGAAATGTGGTTTAGGCAAAGGAGTATAGGCACAAGATTGCTAGGCCTCTATACAATCAGAGAGCTATATAATTTGGCAGACCTTTCTACGATGTAATATTGAACTTTGCCCTTTATAGTTGACATATTACTAAAATGATATGTCTGTGTTACATTGTGAAAAGTCAACTCACGTTTTAGAACCAGAGTTCTGTTTTTTTCTTGATCCTAGATATCTTTGGAAATCTAATGAAAACTAATGAGTCTAATGAAACACTTTTAAAGAACAATGCACATATTTATAGATACAGAAAACTTTGCATAAAATGTTAAAGGACTCACAGACATTCTGTCACTTGACCATGGGCTTCTAGACTCACACCAAGAACCATTTTAAAGTGTATTAAGAAATCTTGACATTCAAAGGAAACCCATGATGATTATTTTAGAAAAGCTATACAATTATCTGTAAAGGAAAGCAATCACCTTAATTTATATTTTCCTTAAATTAAGCTTTTTAAACTTATTGAGTTTACTTATGTTAAGTCTAGATTTCTAGACATAAATTTCTGAAAGACATAGTCACAGATATGAGGAGTAAAGGGATCTTTAGAGATAAAATACCATACCACAAGTCCTTTATTTTATAAACAAAGAGAGGACCTAAGCACTGAACCAACTAGAACAAAATCTCCATGACCGAGGAGGCCTCATACCATTGTATAAAGGATACATCCCTGGACAATTTCAGAAATTTCAGAAACCCTGAATTCTAGTAAAGTCCTGCCATTTATTATTCGCATGGTATTGGGTCATCATTTAGCTTCTCTAATGTTTCCTCAGCTAAAATCTTAGTTATACTACAAAGTTGTTACAAGGATTAAATGAGGTATTTGTGAAAACAGTAAATATTCTAATGCCATGTAACAAGTTAATGAAATTATAATTATGATAAATAACAGACGAACGACATGCATTCTTCCTGTCGGGACCAAACTTATTAGACGCAGGTCTAGCCAACACCTAAGACAGTCTTTTATAAAGAAAAAAAAAAGTGGCTCAAAGGTACTGAGATTAGTGGTCACAGGAAAGACTTCTGGTATAAGTGGGATAATGGAAAAAGCACTAGATTCGGAATTAAGAGATTTCGTTGTAGTTCCAATTCTACTACTAACTAGTAAAACTGAAAAATTATTTCAGACCTCTGGCCCTCCATTTTTGTGGAGAGCAGATTTTCTTAAACATTTGAAGAAGTGCCACAGCCAGACCCCTTTAAGAACACACTGAAAATTATGAAAATTCTCCCCACAAAAAGTATACATTTGGCACATCATTGAAGGATCTCAAGTTAGCTATTAAATTTCCACAAGTGGCATACTAACAACCCAGACATTACTTATAAATTGTTTCTAGAACTAAATCAATTTATATATATGAAATATTCTATAAATGTACACATTATAGAATTATAGAATTTTGAGAAGTAAAATTGAAGGCAAGTTTACAGATATTTTATGTGAAAAATGTTTATATTTAGTAACAGTTATTACAATATTGGTTTCTATATCTACAACAAAAAGGTATCATTTTACTACCATAATTAAAAATTATCTACTAACCCTTTGCTACTTTTATGATAAAATCAAAACTCATTATTTTGGCATTTCTAATTTGAGTTCAACCAGCTTTTTGCCTCATTTATAACTATTCTTCTCTTACAACCACCCCATCTTTCTCTTACCTCAAGTCACTTGCCACACTTAAATTCTCATCAGTTGATGGATCCAGTGGAACTTTTCATGCTAGATTCACTGGGGCTCCGTGCTTTTGTACCTGATAATCTCTCTGCCAAAAGTTCCTCTGTTATCCTAATTCACCCAGTTATCTTCAAGTTTCAGGTCTAATGTCAACCTTCCCCACACATACTTTGGAGAACTAGTTGGCAGTACTATAAAGTTAAATATATGCCTATTTTAGGACCCCCAAATTCCACTCCTAGACATTTACCCAAATGAAGTTAAAGCCTACATCCACAAAAAGATTTGTACAAAAATGTTCAGAGCAACTTTATTCATAATAGCCAAAATCAGTGAATAACTCTTCAATAGATCAAGTTGTGATATATTTATATAATGTAATACTACTCAGCAATAAAAAGGAATGTAACCACTAATGCATACAAAAACATGGATGAACCTCAAAATCATTATATTGAGCAAGATAAGACTGACACCAATGCACACATATTTTATGTTTCTATTTACAAGAAGTTCTAGAAGAGACACAGCTAATCCCCAGGGACAAAAATTTAAAAAAGTCTAAGGAATAATGTGTGAAGTGATTCTAAAGATGCATCAGAGAACTTCCCAGGGTGATAGAAGTTTATGGTGAAGTTTACATAATTATATGCGAGAATCAAAGTTCATTGAACCAAGCACTTAAGGTCTATGCGTGTTATTGGATATAAATTATAACTCAGCTATTGCTTGGCTTGATATTCTAAATATTAATTCTGAAATTCTTCCTCTATTATAATAGATCTATATTTTACCAACCACTCAAGGTGATTCTTATGAAGATGGCTAGTTGACCTCTCTTTGGAAAGTACCATTGATGAGAGTTTAAAACTTGCCCTTTTACTAAAATTATACTTTCCACAAAATAATAAACAATATATAGAGTTCTAACCATGACTTTAGACAGTTGTATAAATACACACAGTGAGCCACAAATAGATTAAGCCACTGTTCACATAGTCTAGACTCTAGATCCCAAACCTGGATACACTTCAGAATCATATAGAAAACAAAATATAGAACTTTGGGTTCTACCCCCACACCAAGAACGCAGAATATTTTTGTAGTGAGACCCAGGAATTACTTTTTTTTTTTTTTTAAGTTTTCCCTGGAGACAGTGACATCAACAAGATGGCAGAATAAGAACAAACATGCTCATTTCCCCCACAACAACAACAAGAATTCTGTACTCACCCACATCCAAAAGTCTCTCTGCAGAAGTCTTGTGAATTCAGATAGGAGGTTGTAAACCCCCCCATGGAGCCCAACACCTAGGGGGGTCATTTCGAGAGTGCACACCAGCACCCAGGTATCTGATTCAACAATTGTGCTCCAGGGTTCAAGCCTAGAAACAGCCCACTTGCCAAAGAGCTTAGCTATAGCCCTCTTTGTCTTTTAGCCTGCTACCAAAACCATCTGACACGGGGTTGAGATGGAATCATCTTAGCAAAGAGGCTTGTCTGCCTGTTTAAATCAGTCTTGACAGTGAATCTAAGAGTTATCCAGTGGCTCAGCTCCAGCCTTCTCAGTTGAAGTCCCAGCTCAGTGCTGTTCACGGAAGAATCCAGAAAGAGATTTGTTCATATCTCACAGCCCAGGCATCTGAGCCTGCATGAGACTATCACTAACCTCCATCCTACAGCGGTTCCCAAGGCGGCCCAGTCTCAGCATCAGCCCCTTGCATTGCAGTTGGAGAACTACCCCATCTATGCAGGGACTTGCTGGGAGATGAATATTTCTCTGAGCCAATAAGGCTGGGTTCTGCAGCCTCTGTCCCACAGCAGATATGGAGGTGGTCCAGTCTCAGCTTAGGCCCCTCCTGCTGCAGTCAGGAAACTATCTTTGCAGAGACCTCCTGGAGATACACATGCTCATTAGAGCCAATGAGAAGGGTTCTCCAGCTTCCTTCCCACAGCAGATCCCAAGGGACCTCCCTCTCAGCTCCAGCCCCAGTCTGCTGCAGTTGGGAAACTATCCTGTTTGTGCATATACTTGCTAGGAATCACAGACCTGTCTGAGCTAATGAATCTGAGCTTTCCAGCCTCCATCCTGCAGCAGATCACAAGGGGCCCCATCAGCTCCAGCTCCTTCTGCTGCAGTTGGGAAACTAACCTGCTGGGAGACTCATGCTCCTCATGGCTAATGAGAATAAGCTCTCCAGCCTCCAGCCCATAGCAGATCCCAGTGTAGCCCAGTCTCAGCTCCAGCCCCTCCCACTGCAGTTGAGGAACTATCTAATCTGTGCAGGGACTTGCAGGGAGACATGCTCCCCTCTTAGCCAACAAGACCAGCCCCTCCAGCCTTTGTCCCATAGCAGATCCAAAGAGAGCCAGTCTCAGATCAGGCCCCACCCACTACAGTAGGGTAGCTACGCTATCTGTGCAGAGATCTGCTGAAAGACCCACACACCTCTGAGCCAATGAAACAGTCTCACCAATCTCCTTTCTACAGCATCTCTGGAGAGGGCTGAGTCTCAACTTCAGCCACTCTTGCTACAGTTGAAGACCCATGCTGCCTGTGCTGGAGCCTACATGTAGACCACCAAGACAGTCTTCTATACCTAGGTCCCTGGCCAGCTTTCCCACACAGCCCTGGTATCTGACTTAGGTGTTCCCCAGGTCTGTCTGGCCCAGAAAGCTGTGAATCTCAAAGCCCACGCAAGACACATGGCTTGGGTGCCCTTTAGTACTGGGGTAGCTGTAGTGGTCACAGTCTCATGGGACACAATAGTCAGTCTTCTTAGAGTCTCTGGAAGGTCCTCTAAAGAAGTACAGGCACAAAAAAGACTGCAAAGTAAAATAAATACCTATTTCCTCAATTTGCAGAAATTGTTACATCCACAAGCATCAAGAACATTCAGGGAAATATTACCTCACCAAATGGACAAAGTAAGGCACTAGAGACCAACCCTAAAGTGATGGAGATGTGTGATCTCTCAGACAAAGAATTCAAAACAACTACTTCAAGGAAGCTCAATGAACTTCAAAGAATACAGAGGATGAATTCTGAAATTTGTCAGAGAAATGTAACAGATAAATCAAAATAATAAAAAAAATTCTAGAGCTTAAAAATACAATGAATGAAATGAAAAATGTAATAGAATCAACAACAGAAATAAAACAGAAGAATAAATGAGCTTAAAGACAAACTATTTAAAACACAGAGGAAAAATGAAAAAAATGAAATAAAGAAAGCTTATGGACTCTATGGAACAATGTTAAAGCAAATATTTGTGTTATTGGCATTAAAGAGGGAATGGAGAAAAGCAATGTGATAAAAAGCTTATTAAAAAAAAAAACCCAAAACTTTGCAAACCTGGAAAAAAATATAAATATTCAGGTACAGAAAGGTGAAAGGTGAACAAGCATATTCAACCCAAATAAGAATAACTTAAGACATATTCTAATCAAATTGCAAAGGTTAAAGACAAAGAGGATTCTCAAAGCTGTGAGACAATAAAATCAAATAACATACAAGGCAGATTCAAATATATAAAATAGCCAAGTATATAAAGCACTGGAGCATCCAAATATATAAAGTAAATACTAATAGATCTAAGGGAAAAATAAACTGCGATATAATAGCATTAGGGACTTTAGCACCCTATTTTCAGCAATGGACAGATCATCCAGATAGAAAAATCAACAAGGAAACATCAAATTTAAAATGCCCTCTAGACCACATAGACCTAACAGGCATTTATAGAACATTTCATTCAACTGCTACAGAATAAATATTCTTTCCTCCAGCACATGGAACATTCTCCACAATAGATCATATGTTAAGCCACGAAACAAGTCTCAACAAATTTTAAAAGGTCAAAATAATATTAAGTCTCTTTTCTGACCACGATGTAACAAAAGTGAAAATCAGCAAAAAGAAGAAATTTAGAAACTTTACAGATACATGGAAATTAAACAACATGCTCATGAACAACCAATGAGTCAATGAAAAAATCAAAATGAAAATTTTAAAAATTCTCAAAACAAATGAAACTGGGAGCACTTTCATACCAAAAGCTATGGGATATAGTGAAAGCAGTACTCTAAGGGAAATATATAACAATAAATATCTACATAAAAAATCTAAAAACTTCAAATAACCTATCAATGCACCTCACAGAGCTAGAAAATAAGAACAAACCCAACTTATATTATTAAATAAACTTAATATTAATAATAAATTTATTATTTAATAATAAATATCAGTTCTAAATAAATATCCCATAGGTTTTGGTGTGGTGTTTTCTACTTTCATTTTCCATTACTTTTAATGGCAAAAAAAGCATTACTTTTGCACCAAACTAATACAACACAAAAATAAACATCAGACCATATATAAATGAAATTGATACTAAAAAAATACAAAAGATCAATGAGATGAAAATCTGGTTTTTTAAAGACAAACAAAATTAACAAACCTGTAGCTAGATTAAGACAAAAAAAGAGAAGAGCCATATAAACAAAATGAGAGAAGAGCCATATAAACAAAATTAGAGATGAAAAAGGAGACATTACAACTGATACCACAGAAATACAAAGGATCATTAGAGACAACTATATGCCAACACATTAGGAAACCTAGAAGAAATTAGTGAATAAATTTCTGGACATATACAACTTACCACAAGTGAATCAGGAAGAAATAGAAAACATGAACAAATAAGTATAATGAGATCAAAGAAGTAATAAAAAGTCTCCTATCAAAAAAATGCCTAGGACCTGATGGCTTCACTGCTGACCTCTACCAAACATTTAAAGAAGAACTAACACCACTTCTACTCAAACTATTCAAAAACATTGAAAAGAAAATACTTCCAAACTCATTGTATGAGGCCAGCATTACCCTAGTAACAGAACTAGACAAGGACACAGCACCTAAGAAAGCTACAGGCTAATATGCCTGATAAACATAGATGCAAAAATTCTCAATAAAATACTAGCAAACTGGATACCACACATTAAAAACATCATTTACCATAATCAAGTGGGATTTAGTCCAGGGATGCACAGATGGTTCAACCTACAAAAATCAATCAACATAATACATCACATTAACAGAATCAAGGACAAAAACAATACTATCATTTCAATTGATGCTGGAAAAACATTTGGTAAAATTCAACATCTCTTTATGATAAGAACTTTTAACCAACTGGGTATAGAAGGAGCATACTTTTAAAATGATAAAGTCCGTATATGACAAACCGACAGCTAACAACATACTGAATGGGGAAAAATTGAAAGCATTTCCATAAGATACCGAACAAGATGAAGATGCTCACTTTCACCACTTTCATTCAATATAGTAGTAGACGTCCTAACCAGAGCAATTAGACAAGGAAAAGAAATAAAGAGCATCCAAAATGGAAAGGAAGAGGTCAAATTTTATCCTTGTTTGCAGAAGACATGATCTTCTTGTTAGAAAAACCTAAACACTTTAGCAGAAAACTGTTAGAACTAATAAATTTGGTAAAGTTGCAGGATATAGCATCAACATACAAAAATCAGTAGCATTTCTATATGTTAACTGCAATCAATCTGAAAAAGAAACCAAGAAGGCAATCCCATTAACAATAGTTACCAAATAATTAAAATACCTAGAAATAAATTTAACCAAAGAAGTGAAAGATCTCTTCAATGACAATTATAAAACTCTGATGAAAATAAATTGAAGAGAACACACAAACAAATAGAAAGATATCCCATGCTAATGAATTGGAAGAATTACTATTAAAATATCCATACTCCCCAAAGCAATCTACGAATTCAATGCAATCCTTTTTAAAACATCAATGACATTCTTCACATAAACAGAAAAAAAAAACTCCTAAAATTTGTATGGACACAAAGATCTTGAAAAGCCAAAGCAATCCTGGGCAAAAAGTAAAGCTGGAAGCATCACATTGCCTGACTTCAAACTGTACTACAAAGCTACAGTAACCAAAACATCATGGTACTGGCATAAAAACAGACACACAGGCCAATGAAACAGAATAGAGAATCCAGAAATAAATCCACACATTTACAGTCAACTCATTTTCAACAAAGGTGTCAAGAAAATGCATTGGAGAAGGGACAGACTATTCAAGAAATGGTGCTGAGAAAAGTGGATATCCACACGCAGAAAAATAAAAATAGATCCCTACCTCTCACTTTACACCAAAAGTCAACTCAAAATGGAGTAAAGTCTTAAATGTAAAACATAAAACTATAAAACTAACAAACTAAATGTCCATCAGTGAATTAATGGATAAAGAAATATATATAATTCATATATATGTGTGTGTATATATATATATATATAGATATATATATATATAACAATGGAATATTATTCAGCCATAAAAAGAAATAAAATTCTGTCATTTGCAGCAACATGGATAGAAATGGAGGTCAGTGTGCTAAGTGAAATAAACCAGGTACAAAAAGACAAATAACATATGTTCTCAACCATATTTGGGAGCTAAAAAAAAGTGGATCTCATGGAGGTAGAAAATATAATGGGGTTACCAGAGACTGAGAAGGCTATAAGGGAAAGGAGGTTGAAGAGAAGCTGGTAAATAGGTACAAAAACACAGTTCAATAGAAGAAAAAAGTTACAGTGTTCAATAGTATAGTGGAATAACTATGGTTAACACTCATTCATTGTGTATGTATGTCAGAATAGCTGTAAAAGAATTGGAATGTTGCCAACACAAAAAACAGATAAATGTTTGGGGTGATGGATAGCCCTGTTACCTGGATTTGATCATTACACATTGTATACATGTATCAAAATAGCGCATGTATCCCCAAAATATGTACAACTATTATGTATCAATTTTGAAAAATCTAAAACATAAAAGTTCCCTATGGGATTCAAATGAGCAGCCCAATTAGGAAAGACTGACCCAGACAGTAAGTATTAGCAAAGAAAGAGATCAGAGTGTGATGTGGTTATCTATTCAACTATATCTTCTCCTTGTATCAAAAAGATTTCTAAGACTTACTCAAGATCCAATCTTTTTGTTCTACATTTTTTCAAATGTAACACAGAATACTTGCATTCCTTTACATAATCAATAGACACAATGTTTTATATAGCATTATATGGTTTGGATCTATGTCACCCCCACCCTCAAATCTCATGTGGAATTGTAATCCCCAGTGTTGGAGGTGGGGACGGGTGGGAGGTGATTTGATCATGGGGGGCAGATTTCCCCTACTGTACTATCCTCAAGATAATGAGTTCTCATGAGATCTGGTTTTTTAAAAGTGTGTGGCACCTCCCTGATCTCTATCTTCCTCCTGCTGTGGCTATGTGAAGTGCTGGCTCCCCCTTCGCCTTCTGCCATGATTGGAAGCTCCCTGAGGCTTTCCCAGAACCAGGTGCCAGCATCATGCTTCCTGTACAGCATGTGGAACCATGAGTCCATTAAACCTATTTTCTTTATAAATTACTCAGTCTCAGGTATTTCTTTATAGAAATGCAAGAACAGACTAATACATAGTAGAAAGACCTAAGAATTTGAAGCCAGATAGACCTGGGTTGGAATTCTAGCTCTGCCCCTTCAAAGCATGTGACGTTGAGGAAGTCATTTATCCACTTGAAGTCTCAAACTCCTTTTTGGCAAAAAATTGAGTTATTGATATTTCTTTGATATAATGAATATGAAAGCACCAAATACATGGTATATAAGTAATAAAGGTTTGCTTTATTTTATCCCAATAAATGTGAACAGATATTTCTACACTTCAGTAAAACAAAATAAAATGGGAAATCTCCTGAATTTGTAATGAAGTCGATTCTACTCTATTCCTTCTTACTGGTTAGAAAGTGCTAATCTTCTGGGCGTGGTGGTAGGCACCTGTAATCCCATCTACTTGGGAGGCTGAGGAAGGGGAATTGCTTGAACCCGGGAGGCAGAGCTTGCAGTGAGACGAGATCATGCCACTGCACTCCAGCCTGGGTGACAAGAGCAAAATTCCTTCTAAAAATGAAAAAAAGCGCATATCTTTTTTTTTAATTTCAAGTCCAATGTCATCACATGTATTTTTTGTCACAAAAAAAATCTTCAAAGATTCATTTATGTAACTTCAATTTCCTCTGGGCAGTTGTTTTTCATAGCTACACTTACCATAGTTCTAATGGTATAATTCATTATCTCATCATCGACTGGACATTTCATCAAACACATTTCACTGTTGAGACAACTTGTCAGTGATATTCAATTTGCTGTCTCATCAGCAATATAGTATATAGTAATTAAATTTTTATCATGGCATCTCATCCCTATTGCTCATCCATAATTCATATTTTTCTGTCAAACATCAACCCTACATATATTGTACTAATGAGGAGGGAAAACAGAGTTTACCTTCTCAGATGTCTTCTTAGACTGTGTAAACAATTGCATTCTTTTTCTAAGAGGAGGGCTAGCCAAAGGCACAATTGTGAAGCAAAAGCCCTACTCCCCCAGCCTACCTTCCAGGTATTTGCCAACCTACACATATCATCTACAACAAATTCTCTCTAAAGTACTAATGATTATTTAAAACAATTATAAATCCAATTTATCTTTCAAGCTGTAATGCAAAAACTACTCCTTCTATATTTTTTATTCTTCATCAGTAGCATTTGAGCTACCAACTTCTGGACTGACCTTCCCATTATTTTGTGAGGTTACCAGTGGGTAAGTTCAAGTCCTTTTTTAATGCAATTCTCAGTGCTTAACACAATGCTTGGCACATAGACCCATTACATGTGTCAAATTTTATTTAAATGAGTCAATTTTATATTCTGAGAGAATATTTACATTTTGAAAGAAATATGAAAAGAATGAAAGCTTATATATCCAAAAATTCATATTTTGGCACTTAGATGAAGGAGATATTTATATATGGGGTGGGAATGGAACTTTCTTATCACTACTCAAATTATATCACATTGTGTGCAGACTGTTTCACCCACTCATCTATCTCTCCAGCCTCCTTTTTACCCCTAGACTCTAACATAACTATTCCTTCTGCTTGATTGCCCTTTCATGCCCTCTACATCTGGTAAACTGCTTTTTATCCTTCAAAACCCATTTCAAAAGTAACCTCCTCCAAGAAGCCCTTCCAGGCATTCTCCACCTCTTCTGAGTTTCCAGAAGTGGCATACTGTGTTTATGCCTCTAGTAATAGTACATAGCTACCAGCAATGGGGTACTTACTGTGGACAGACATTATATTAGATATTTTATAGAACTTACCCAGTTTTATTCTTGTTAGAACCATATGAAATAGATGTTCATTTCATTCTTGAAAAACATATTCAAAGTAGTTAAGTAACCTACTGAAGATCACACAGGTGGTAATCAACAAAGCAGGAATGGAAGCTAGACTCTGACTCCAAAGCCCAGAATATTTTCCATGTATCATACAGTTTCAAAATTAATGACAAAATGACTGAATGAATGATGACTGTGACAAAGGATAGCATGTCCTCATGAGCACACATATGGCTAAGATAAATTTCAAATTTCACTCTCTCTTCCACATTTTATATTTGATATGCTAGCGTATACTAAGATACCTTTGTTAAGATAGCTAAGGCATGCAGAAAAAAAAAACAATTTCAATTTCAATATGATACTCTTAGAATCATGACAAAGACCTTCTATTGTAACTAAGCATTTTAGAACACAGTTTTGCAACTCAAAACCTCAGTGTCAAGCCAGTCTTATTATGTGTTCTTTCCATTTAAGCCCATTCTGATCACATTTTCCCTGGATCAGCCCCAGTGGTCCCAACAGGGAGCTATAACATGCACAAAATGTCTGCTGAGCCAGGTTAAATGAATTTCAGTTAAGGGACTAATATTATTAACATTATATGATGATTTGCAATTATCAGTCAAATAAGATCAGCTACCAGAGAACCAGGGAGTCCTTAGTAAGAGGTGAACCACAAAATCAGCACACTCCCTCCTCAATGAGTTTATAATCTAAATGGGCAATTGCAAACAAGGGAGGGATAGAAGGGCTCTCCGGGGAGAGGTGAGAAGGAGTCCTTCATTTGTTCTTGTCCTCAATGAAAAAGGCTTATGTAAGAAAACAAGTTCAACCGTACTCCCCTATCTACCCTCCCGCAATATGTAAGTCCTTTGCAAGTACACTGGGTTCATGCACTGATAATTGAGAGGTGGCTGTGGTTCAGCAAAAAGCATTGATCTGGACTTTAGAACCCAAGGATTCTAGTCCTAAATCTGCCACTAACTAGCTCTATGACCTTGCTCCCTAACTATTCATCTTCTACAGTCCCTGTTTCTCATCAATAAAAATAAAGATCACACTAGTTCAATCTGAGAGCCTCCAAC